>NC_000011.10:67097322-68383447 GCF_000001405.40 Homo sapiens | reverse complement strand
GCTTAACAGCCACTGTGGGGAGATCACAGTCCTGGAAGGTCCCCAAGGGCTTGGCCGGGAAGAGCCCCATCCACACGATGTCTACAGAACTTTCCAATGAGACTGCCAGGCACAGCGCAAGACGAATCACGCTTGACCTCAGCAGTGTGTCCATCATGGCCCCACAGAGAACGCCAGTGCCAGACAGAAACCGGCACTTGATCCCAAAACACATTCCAAGCCTGTCTTGCCAGCCCGTTCCCTCTGTCCTCCTAAGAAATCACTAAAGTAGGCCGGGCGCGGTGGCTCATGCTTGTAATCCCAGCACTTTGGGAGGCCGAGGCAGGTGGATCACCTGAGGTCAGGAGTTCAAGACCAGCCTAGCCAACATGGTAAAACCCCCTCTCTACTAAAAATAGAAAAATATGCCAGGCCTGGTGGCGCACTCCTGTAATTCCAGCTACTTGGGAGGCTGAGGCAGGAGAATCACTTGAACCCAGGAGGCAGAGGTTGCAATGAGCTGAGATCGCGCCACTGCACTCCAGCCTGCGCGTTGGGGTGAGACTTTGTCTCGAAAAAAAAAAAAATCATTAAAGTAACACAATAGCACAATTTTCACACACCACCCCTTGAGCTATGAGGATGCCCCATTCTACTGACAAGGACCCCAACGCTCAGAGAGGGTAGGCTCCCGGCCCAAGGACACACAGCCGCAAGAGGAAAGCTCACTTCACTTTGCTTCCTCAAACACTTCAATCCCAGGAGCCAGCACATGCAGGAAGTGCGTTTTTCACTTGCCGCCTGGCTGCCTTCATCATCCCACCAGTATCTCTGTGGGAAGCTAGTTCAGGCCAGGCCCTGGACCCGCTGCTAGGGAAGGAGGGGTGGACGAAACAGACTTGGAATCTGCCCTCAGGACGCCCTTGGGGTCACAGGGCAGAGACCTTAGGTGAACGACACCATCCGTGAACACATAGCCACGAACTGTACTGTGAAGGCAGACTAGGGTTATGGGGTCTGTGTGGGGGGCCTGCTGAGATTGAGAGGTCTGCTCTCCAGCTCAAGAGCCTCTGGGATTTAGGTAGCTGTCACCACATGGCAGGTTGTGGCAGGTTCTGGCGGGGTGTCCCAAATGGGCCTAGAACCTTCAGGGGCTGAGCACACCCAGCCCTAGCCCTCTGGTAACTAGGTCAGCAGAGGGCCTCTAGTCCCACCATGAGGAACCTATTCTCGGCATCCCTTCCAATTACTTAGGAGTAAATCAAACCTCTGTGGCGAAGCAGTCCTTTCACTGCTGGGGTGAATCTGTAGGTGTTTACTGACTCGAAGGAGGTGTCTCTGACACCCCTCAGGCTGCAAGGCCTCTGAGGTTTTTGAGTTTTGCAGAGACTGAGACACCTGGGAGAGAGGCAGGATCCAACCCATTTGCCTGAAGGTCTGAGTGAGCTGTGACCAGCACAGAGGTGACCCCAGTGGTGGTGGGGACTCTGTCCAGCCAGGCCAGCAGGGAGCAGCTGCAGAGAGAGTACCAGCAGCCTGGGCTCCGCCACAGCCCTGCCAAGGCTGGTGCCCACAGCTGGCCTCCAGGAGGTTCTGTGTGTAGAGAGGTCCGGGCAGCAGCCATGGCCACGGGGAAGCAGGCCTGGGGTTGGGAGGGGCAGGTGCAGGGGACTGACTGTGCCGGGCTATAAAGAAGAGAGGCCAACTCCTTCCCTGGGACCAGCTACAGAGTCTTGGTAGGAATTTATTTAAACACCAAGGAAGTAAAATGTTTGGAAACTAACAGTTTGGCCAAATGGTTTTCTTTGGGGTTGTTTAAACAGCCCCACAACATTGCCTGAAAGTGAAACCTTCCCCTCGCCCGAGCCTCCTCCAGGCGGGCTGCTGACCTCTCCCCTTCCTCCCTGCACGCATGCAGGAGAGAAGGGCGACATCCCTTCCGCGAGGCCAAGCACAGGCCAGGGGCTTGGGGCAAGGGCCAGGCAGGGCACAGCTTCCTGGCAGGCAGCCTTATCCTCAAAACAAAAAAGCCATCCCAAGGGATGGCCGACGTCATGGACATGTCCAGCTCGACACCGTCCGTCCCTGCCCACCTCTGTCCCCGACCACATGGACACGCAGAACCTGCAGAGGGCTCCCGTGACACATCGCCACCAACCAGGTGGCTTCTAACATCAGAAATGCACCCCCCCACACACCCTAAGACATGCATCCCTGCAATCAAAAGTCAAGACGTCTGCAGGGACAGACTCCCTCCGAAGGCTCCAGGGCAGGATCCTTCCTGGCATCTTCCAGCTTCTGGTGTTGCAGGAAATACTTGGAGTTCCTTGGCTTGTGGCCGCCATCGCACTAAGCCCTGTTCTGACTCCATGCAGCCTTCACCCCTGAGTGTCAGTGTCTGCTCACCTGCTCTCATGAGGACACCAGCACCGTGGATATAGGCCCCCTACTCTAGGGTGACCTCATCCTCGCTTGATTACATCTGCCAAGACCCTGTTTCCAAATTAGATCACATACACAGGTTCCTGGGGTTAG
The DNA here is from genome assembly GCF_000001405.40 of Homo sapiens. NCBI lineage: Eukaryota > Metazoa > Chordata > Mammalia > Primates > Hominidae > Homo > Homo sapiens. The sequence goes on along the minus strand of NC_000011.10, from coordinate 68,380,933 downwards.
ACCTTTAGCATATCTCCTTGAGGGACACAATTCAACGTACCCAGCCGGGAGCAGAGGGTAAGAGGAGCGCTTCAGTGGAAGGACAGAGGCAAGTGTGCCAGGCAGAGCAGACGGCCTGGGCCACTGCACAGAGGCCAGAGAGAGGGTGGCCCAAACCTGTCGCCGGGGCTGATCTGAGCGTGGAGGCCTGGCACCCACCAGCATTGGCACTGCCCCGCCCACCACAGCTCTCTTCTGAGGCCCCACTGCATGCAGGACACGCCCCACTGCGTGCAGCTCCGAGCCCAGCCCTATCCTCCAGGAAGCCTCATGCAAACAGCCCGCCGTGCGTGCAGCAGATCCCGACCACAAAAGCAAACAGACTGCCACTCTCACACAAAAGCCGGGAAGGAAACGCGCTCAAATGTCAACAGTGGTTATCGTCGGACGGGTCCTATCCTTCCTTCTAGCTGTCGGACAGAGGTCGGCAAGCACTCTGGGAAGGGCCAGAGAGCAAATATTTTCGGTGCTGCGGCCTGCACGGTCTCCTTCCCGCCTCCTCAGCTCTGCCGCAGCTGTAGGAAGCCAGCCTGCCTCAGTCAACACAGCTGGGAGCAAACAAAACTTCATTTATGGACACTAAAATGCAAATTCCATGTCATTTTCCCATGTCCCAAAACATTATTCTCCTGATTTTCTTCTCAACCATGTAAATATGTAAAAAGCATTCCGAGCTCATGGCCTGTCCCAACTAGATGGTGAGCCATCTGGCCCCTCGGCCAAATGACCCTCGTACAAGAAGCGTGTGTGACTTTGTTTTTGAGACGAAGCTTCACTCTTATTGCCCAGGCTGGAGTGCAGTGGCGCGATCTCGACTCACTGTAACCTCTGCCTCCCAGGTTCACGCCATTCTCCTGCCTCAGCCTCCTGAGTAGCTGGGATTACAGGTGCCCGCCACCACGCCTGGCTAACTTTTTGTGTTTTTAGTAGAGACGGGGTTTCACCATGTTGGCCAGGCTGGTCTGGAACTCCTGACCTCAGGTGATCTGCCTGCCTCTGCCTCCCAACGTGCTGGGATTACAGGCGTGAGCCACCACGCCCAGCCATGAGTGACTTTTATAATATCAGAAAGAAAGTTACAATAGGGGAAGGAGGGAAGGTGGGGAGGAGGAGAGGAGGACAGCAGGTGGAAGGAACTCTCTGTACTTGTCCCTTAATTTTCCTGTAAACTTAAAACTGCTCTAAAAAAATGAAGTCTATTAATGTTGTTTAAAAAATTAAAAGGCATACAAGTCAATAGGGACAACACCAAAACCCTAGCAATAAATTAGCGAAGACTATAAATACAAATTAACAGGAGAAACAGCAGTCAGTAAACGTGGAAATTGGTAACTTCTCAGTCATCTGCAAATAGAAGGGAGCCGCTCAGAGCTGCCAGTGAGGTGGAAAGGCCTGTCTGACACTTAAGTGGGGGCATCTCCCGCTTCTGGAAGGGCCGTAAAGCACCGCAGGCTTCCTGGTCAGCAGCCCGGGAACCGCGGACCCCAGCATTTCCTCTCTAAGAACACAGGCAGAAGCAGCAGCTGGAACGCATGGAGGTTCCTGCAACCAGACACCACCATGGCTCCACAAGAACAGCAAAACTCAAGACCAAGAACCTGGAGACAACCCAAATGTCCTCAAATATTTTTGAATAAAATGTACTTATTTTACCTAAACGAGGGCATTCAAGGTGACGGGTGATGACACAGGCAGGAAAACAGCACACTCTGGAGAAGAGTGAATGATGTCGGAATTTGCATGAACGATAAATGAAAAACACTCAGACACAACATTACACACATTGTTTGAACCAATCTCCTAAAAGTCAATTTATGTATTTATTTATTTTATTTTTATTTTTTTTTTTGAGACAGAGTCTCGCTCTGTTGCCAGGCTGGAGTGCAGTGGCGTGATCCTGGCTCACTGCAACCTCTGTCTCCTGGGTTCAAGCGATTCTCCTGCCTCAGCCTCCGGAGTAGCTGGGATTAGAGGCACCCACCACCACGCCTGGCTAATCTTTTATTTTTAGTAGAGATGGAGTTTCGCCATGTTGGCCAGGCTGGTCTCAAACTCCTGATCTTCAGTGATCCACCCCCCAACCCCAACTCCAGCCTCCCAAAGTGTTGGGATTACAGGTGTGAGCCACCGCGCCTGACCCTAAAAGTCGATTTTGATCCGTAAACAGAAAAAAGGTGCACAAGATACATGGACACAACTAAGTCTGTGTGGCAAAATTATGGGTAATTTCTATTTTCTTCACTATTTTTTATAATGTTTTCCTTGCTACAGCGAACGTATAAATGTTATTTTATAAGAGGAAAAAAAAGCCTCTGAAACACGGGTGAATGGGTTTATCCTTAGAGGCTCTCGGTCTCTAAGGGAGGTGGGAGGTGGGTCAGGATGCCGGGGACAGGGTCCTCTTCCTGGGGCAACGTGGGGGAACGAGCCACCTACCCCTCCACTGAATTGCCCTGGGGTGTGGGTACCGACGGCTCATTCGGTGTCCAGGGTCTGAGATGTGTTGACAGGAAGAATGAAAGGGGATGGGAGGGATGGGGCGAAAGAAGCCACCTGCAGCCCCAGGAACTATCTGGCCAGCACACCGTCGCCCAGCGGCCTGAGCCACCCCTGCCAGAGCCAGGAGGAGACCCTGCCAATGGGTCACCAGTGTGCAGGAACTCAGAAGGTCATCACAGTTAATACCCTCCATGCCCCAATGTGGGAAAACAGGTTTTTTCACAAACAAACAAGATAATTTTTGTTATTTTGGCAAAAGGAGGCAGGGCAGCCCCGGACACCTCCATCCCACCTCATCACCCAGCCGCAGGGCCCCGGCCATCCCTGCAGACAGAGTGGATGTCACAACCTCCCTGCACCGAACCAAGTGCAGCTCCCAGGCCACAGGCCACCCAGGAAAGGTCCAGTGGCCCCCGGAGGCTCCCACCGCAGGCCTCCCACCACAGCCGGCACCAACCCAGGATAGCTGTGTTCTCCTGGCTTCTTTTCACACGGGTAGCAGAAAGCTGAGATCCGGGGAAAGCTGAGATCCGGGGAAAGCTGAGATCCAGGGAAAGCTGAGAATCGGCCTCTGCTGCCCGGACGCCCACCCCCAGCTCTGCTCCCAGCTCCAGGGCCTCCTTCTCAGGTGCCCTTACAGGAGGCAGAGGGCTTGAGCCACCTCCTGGGCCTGGGGCACGCAGGATGAACGGGGTCACGGTGCAGGCCACTGTCCACTGCGCAGATCCCAAGGCCATAAACAGCCTGGCCACAGTGGCTTCCCAGCTGGCAGGCGGCCAGATTATTTTTGTTGTTTAGCAATTGATTAAGTTTCTCCGCTGCCCCCAGGGGTAAGTGGTGGGGCAAATGCCGCAACCGCAGCATTTGACCCGGGATCCTGTGCCAAGTGACCATAGGGTCACAAAGCACAAGGGAAGTGGCTGGGCCCGATGCTGGCTCTGCTGGAACCTGAGGCCGGCCACTGTCACCTGCACGGTGCCTGGGACCTTCCAGCAAGCACAGAGAGGCTATGGCCCTCCAGGAGCAGCTGGCAGGCACCTTGGCCTGCAGTCAGGGGCTCTGTCTGCTCAGCTCTAAAACAGGAAAGTCGCTGCTCTGCCTGGGGTCAGGGCAGCCAGAGAGTGACCAAGTCAGTGCCGGCCTCAGGAAGGGACCTGCAGGCGGGTCCCTTCCTCTCCCATCCCTCGGTGCCAGCCAGCCCCTCCTGTGGCCCCCCACTGCCTGCCTCTGCCCCCATGCCCCACCACAACCTCAGGCCCATGGCTGCATGGCCACTCCCCAGGCAGGCAGTGGGGATGGGATTTCACCATGTTGGCCAGGCTGGTCTCGAACTCCTGACCTCAGGTGAGGAGTTCCTAAAGTGCTGGGATTACAGGCGTGAGCCACCGCGCCAGCCCTCCCTGTGGTACTAAACACTCACACCCCCTTGCTGGGGACCCTGGTGAGGGAACACAGCCTCACAAGTGAAGTGTGGTTTTGTTGAGCAAATGACGCCTGGGCAGCCCTCTCATCTTTGCCTAAAACTGAAGAATTTAGGGGCGTGGATGTATAAAACAGTTGGTGACTTAAATGAAAAAGAAGGCCACACTCCCCCCTTTAGGCAGGCGGCCTAATTCTTTAAAAGCCAGCACAGGGTGCCTTTCTGAACCCAGGCACACAGTAGGTGTTCAATGGACAGCAGCGGTTACTTGTACTGCTCATGACACCCTGTCTGTGGCCTCTGCAGCTGGCTCCAGCCTGACGCATGGCTGCGCCCCTCCGCAAGGCCACCCCGGTATACATGGAAACTCTGTGGAGAAGGCCTTGGGGGCCGGCCAGGACGCCAGGCCCAGATCCCATCTGCGCCCTTCCTCCATAGACCTCAGCGAGCTCTCGGCACCGTGTGCCTCAGGCCCATTTAAGAAGTAGGGCCGGCCAGGCATGGTGGCTCATGCCTGTAATCCCAGCACTTTGGGAGGCCAAGGTGGGTGGATCACGAGATGGTCAGGAGATCGAGACCATCCTGGCTAACACGGTGAAACCCCATCTCTACTAAAAATACAAAAAATAAGCCGAGTGTGGTGGCGGGTGCCTATAGTCCAAGCTACTCGGGAGGCTGAGGCAGGATAATCGCTTGAGCTCAGCAGGCAGAGGTTGCAGTTAGCGGAGATCGCGCCATTGCACTCCAGCCTAGGTGACAGAGAGAGACTCTGTCTCAATTAAAAAAAAAAAAAAAAAAAAAAAAGAAGCAGGGCCAGCCACGGACGACCCCTCACACAGCTCCCAGGACGCGTGCCTGGGTATAGGGCTCAGGACCATGACCGCTGCAGTGGCCCCCAAGAAACGTTACTTTTGTCACCCACCCCGCCTCAGTGGCAGTAGCCAAAATAACGGATTAGAATGGAACCATGTGACAATGCCACTGCCCCAACTGACAGAAGATGGCTATCAGCAGTTCACGCGGCCCCACCTATCACAAGTGCAGGGCACTCTACAACTTATGCATCCTTCCCCAGACACCGTCCTTTCGACCCTCCCAGGTCAGCAAGGCACACAGGGCCTACATTTCACAGCCACACAGCAGAGGGCTGAGGCTGGAACTCGGATGCTCTGATTTCCGTTCAATCAGATCCCCAGAGGTGGCACAGAGACGGGGGGCTTCTCTTGACAAAGTCAAGAAAGTCACTGCCAGCTCCACTGAAGACCAAAGAACCTCAGCTCTCAAACCCTCTTGAAGGTGTTACCGAACTCTCCCAGCCTGTTTCCTGGGTCCCGATGTTGGTCCCGTGGGACACAGGAAGAGGAAGAAGCTCCCTAGAGCAGAGCCTGGTGCACCTGCCACACTCTCAGAGGGCTGCGCACGGGCGGAGGAGCCGTGTGCAGGAGTGGGGTCTGGATGGAGGGGCGCTGTGGCCGGGGGCAGGGGGCAGGGGAAGGGTGCTCCAGGTGGTGGGCACAGCACGAGCAGGGGCAGGGAGGTCCACACTCAGATGTGCACAGGGAGAAACAAATCGTGCATTTCCATTGGAATAGGCGGTAAAAGGTAGAAAAACAGAGTGGGGGCCAGGAAGGGAGTCGGAGCCTTCTAGTGTCTCTCTGCAGGTGAGCGGCAGCCCGAGGTGTCAGCTCAGCAGACTTGGGGCCCAGGGGCCGTGTCTTCTATCACTGACCCCAGGGCACACGGAACTGGGGAGGGAGAGCAGAGGCACAGGGCACGGTCAGTGAAACGAAACAAGGAGTCATCACCAAATGCGGAAAGGGCAAGGAGTGCCCGCAGCCGCACAAGGGTTCTGTCTGGGCAACGTGGGCGTCCCACCAGGCCCCGCACCCTGCAAGCGCAAAGCTCGCCACTGAAGATAAAGGGAAGCTGTTGGAGCTGCGGAGCTGGTCTGGGGTCCGCATGGAGCTGGGCTTATGCTGCAGTCACAAGGGGGACATGGAAGAGGCTGCAGGGGACAAAACCAGTGACCACAGTCTAACTCTGAGCCTGTGGAAAGGCGCCCACAGCATTCACCCATCCCAGAGATGCCATTCCCCCTGTGCCCCCGCTCCACGGTGACAGCGTTCTCCAGGAATATGATGCGCCCCTCTCCTCTTGCATCAGCCCTGACAGTGAGTATTCAGGCCAAAAAGCAGAAGAGCACAGCTGCGTGGTTCCATTTCCATGTAGTTCTGGAACAGGCAACGCTAATCCAAGGTGATAGAAGTCAGGAGAGTGGTGGAGGGGGCGGGGGTTGAGGATGGCAAAGGGGCACCGGGAACTTTCCCAGTGGTAGAAATGTTCTCTGTCTGGACCGTGTGGTAGTTATGCAGACATATGCAGCTGTCAAAGTTAATCCAAATGTACACGTTAAAATGTGTGCGTTTTATTGCCTGCAAGTTATACCTCAATTAAAAAAATAAAGTTAGCACTCAGGCTTCTTCCACAACTTCCTGAACCGTGTGAGCTGATTTTCTTGCTATTAAAAATTCACGGTCCATGGCTGAGAACAGCAGCTGCCTTCTGTTTGCAAAGTCAACGCCAATCACTGCCCGGCCGCGGCAGACTCGGCCCCACAGGACCTCCTTTCTTTTTTCCCTTTGACCTACTTCCCTGATAAGTGACAAGACAGCCAGACTCTGGGAACAAACGCCCGTTATTCGGCCCCGAGCTGAGCGGGCCCTGCTTCCTGAGCTAATCCGCCCGGACAGACGGAGGGACGTGAGGGGCTTTGCCGTCGGCTCCAGCTGTCAGTCTGCCCGTCAGACTCGACAGTGGCCCCCTCTGTTCCTCCCGCTGCCCCCACTCCATCCCCGACTTCTTTTTGTTTCCTGTCCCTGACAGACGAACATCTGTTAAAACTCTGTCTGGGTGAGCTGTGGCCAGCGGCCCACAAATCCCCAAGCCGCACCCCAGCCTCATCTGGGCGCTGCCGGGAGCACTGCCTGGCCACCCTCTGGACATAGCTCTGAGAGCCACCGGCCAGGGCACGTGTGGCCCGAGTGGCATGGTGCACGCCGCTAAGCCCACTGCCCAAAGGCCCCCAAGCAGGAGGGATGTGCAGGAGACAAAAGTCAAAAGAACAGGGGCACGTTCCACAGAGGATGGGGCTGGAGGGGTGGCAGTGAGGAACAGCAGCTTCCGAGGATGGCGGTGGCAACTCCCAAATAAGGCCTCACTCCTGCTGTTTTTAGCTCATTCCACATAATTGGAAAAACATGGCAGAAACCGAAGCCAGCTGCCGCCTTGGTCCTGGGGCTGTGTGGAGGGGGTGGGGAGGCCGGAGGCCCAGGCTCTGCACTCGACTGCTGGGGATGAGAGTGACTCTGAGCTGCAGAGAGCAGCATCGCAGCCGCCATGGTCCCACTGAGCCCCGGCCACGCTGGGCGGCAGAGGCTCGTGGGATATACCTGCCCTGTCTCATGGGGGTCACTTCAGGAGGGGCGGGGGAGCCAGGACACAGCCCAGGGCTAGCGGTCACCCTGCAGCTCAGGGGCCACGTAAATAGTGCCACCTTGAAGGCACACAGCAGTGCGGGGCCCCCCCCGCCACCAACGCATCCCTACCTCTAGGAGGCCGCCTGTGTGCCCCTGGGAACGCTGCTCCCTGTCCCTTGGGGTCCCGGTGTGACCACCCTCTCAGCCCCTTCCTTGGGGAAGGCACCTGACTCCCTACACCCAGCTGGCTTTCATTTGCTCAAAATCAGGAAAAAGCAGAATTCAAGACATCACAGAAATGTCTTCGCCTGTAACTCCATGAAAGATAAACGGTCAGACACCCAGGAGGGAGTCCCAGGGACCCTTGAGTCTCACCTGAGGCTCTGGCTTCAAACCTCGAGATGTTTCCAGCCATGCTAGCGCCGCCCCCCACAACCTGCCCCACACAGTCCTCCCTTGGGAACTCACAGATTTGGCCCCCACCTGCCCCGTTTCTTCTGGTGGAGTGGGTGCGTTGGGTTGGGGTGGGGCTGGGGACTCTGGATGTGTCTTAAGAGTCTGAGTGATTCTGACACAGCCAGGCCCTGCCCCCCTCCTGACCTTCGCCCCACAGGAAAGGGAGCCACACGCCTGAAGCGCCCAGCACACCCCCCTCCGTCCTCCCCAGGTCACCCGCTGGCCGTGTGAGCCGTGCTCCCCACTGCCCCTTCACCCACCCCAGCTCCTCCTGGCAGCACCCAGCCTTGGAAGCTACTTCTGATTACAACCGCCGAAGGAAGACTCGCTCCCTCGGCACTGACCCAGACAGCCTGCACCATCACGCTGCTCAGCACAACCCACACAGCCTTCCTCCAAACCCCATGGAGCGGGGAGTATAATCACCCCCTTTCTACCAACGGACAAACTGAAGCACAGAGAGGTTAAGTCACTTTCCTAAGCTCCCAACACGATGACAAAAAATAGAAGGTCAGCCCGCAAGTGGAACTAGGTGCTCCAAGTCCCCGGTCTGCCTGACACTGCACCTCCTCGCCGCCACGGTCCCGGGTCCGCCTGACGCTGCACCTCCTCGCCGCCACGGTCCCGGGTCTGCCTGACACTGCACCTCCTCAACACCACCACGGTCCCGGGTCTGCCTGACACTGCACCTCCTCACCACCACCACAGTCCCGGGTCTGCCTGACACTGCATTTCCTCATCACCACAGTCCCGGGTCTGCCTGACACTGCATTTCCTCATCACCACGGTCCCGGGTCTGCCTGACACTGCACCTCCTCACCGCCACGGTCCCGGGTCTGCCTGACACTGCACTTTCTCAACACCACTCCTTGGCCGGCTCCCAACTACAAACCAAGCCATGTCTTCCATCCTGAATCCTCTTGGCCTAAACATCACTCACAATGCCTCCCTCGGGAACAGGCACAAGTCCCACCAGCACAGCCTCCTTCGTTACCTGCGTTTCCGCTAGCCCAGGGCCAGCTCCAGAGCCCTCACCACAGAGCCTCTATCCTTCACCCCCGGACACTGGACCTCACCAACCCATAGCCTGGAGGAGATCCCTGTGTGACCCCAGGGCCTCCTCTGCCCGACTCTGAATTTCACTGCCCAACGTGACACCTCGGAAGGCTCTCTGGGCACTGGCAGCCCTCCATGGGCACCGCTCCTTCTGGCCAGCTCTGACATCCCGGCTGGTGAGGTGCCCTGCACGAGGCCTCTGCCCACTGGGACCTCACAGCCGTGCTGTCAGCTGCAACAAGCGACAGAATTTCACGTTTTCTTCACGTTGCCCCTGGGTGAGCAGCTCCAGGTAGTTTTCAGTCGAGGCGAGGCGTCCCGTCAGCAGCCAGGCGGCACAGCTAATTCATGCCCGCCGGGCGCACGGCCGCAATACCAATGGGCACCTGCAGCCTGGAAAGCCACAGAGGAACCGAGAACAGCGACTGTGCTCAGGTGACAGGACTGTGGTCTTTTAACAAAACATTTTCCTTTAACGTGATATTTTACGGCAAGGAATGAAACCTGGAGGGCAGGACATTTGGATACTAAAGCCCCAGGCTGCCGCGTGGTCTGCTTTGTGAAGTCTGAAGCCCGCGCCCCATTCTGGCCCCGCTCACAGGTCCGGCTCTGACTCACCAGCTTCAATGCTAGGCCGTGCCTGTCCTCCAACCAGAACATGACTTCCTTAAGGACAAAGCCGTTTCTCGCCCATCCCCATCTCCCTCTGGATTAAGAAATATGGGAAGATCTTCTAGAACCACCTCAAATTTGCAGAGAGCCATCCTGGTGACAAACCCTTGAAATGCTTCTAAGAAGAGTTTAGGTTTCTTCTCAACTCTAAAACCTCTAGAAAACTCTATTTCCACACCAGCTGCCCCTGGAACACTTCAGCTTCAAAAGGGCCCAGGGCAGGGAGACGGAGGAGCCAGCATCCACACCGAGCACCAGCCTGTTAATTAACGGGAAGCGGGTGGGGCCCATCTCCAGGCAGCTCTGAGGTCAGACTGGGGAACCATGCTTACAAAAAAAAGTGAACTGAAACGCTCACGTCCTCATGCAAAACCAGACTCCCAGTTGCATCTTTCTGTCTCATTGAGGAGCTTTTTCCTCCCTTTGACAGAACACCCTACACACGGCATCTGGAACCAAAGCAGAAAGATTCAGGCTCAGAGTAAAACAGTCCCCACACTGGCTGCATGTGGACGTTCCCGGCCCAGAGTCTCGCCCAAGCAGGGCCTATAAATGACACAAAATGTTTTTCTCCTGCGTGCCAGTCATGCTCCAACTGAGTTATGTGTAAAAGTGCCTCTCACGGCTGAGGGCAAAAACAGTTCCCACAAGACTAGAGAAAGGTGACCCCTGACGGCTGAGTCTCTAGGGAGCGTGGAGCTGCGTGCTCAGCCCTGCGGCCCTGACGGCTCTGGAATGGAAAAGCTATCCAACTGGAAGGGCAGGGCTCGCTGCTAGTCCAGCGGTCCAACCCCACAGGTGTCTGTGGTGTCAGCTCCATGCCACAGAGCCCAGGGCTGGGGCCAGAGCCACCAGGCCCCCTGCCAGCCTGCAGGGGCCTCCTCCTCTGGGTAGCCTAACCACCCCCTGTGAGCGCAGGCAGCCTCCTCTAATCACCACAGGGCCTGTCCCCCCCTCTCCCCCGCTTGCAGGAAAATGAGCCCTGAGGACTCCCCAGGGCTGCTCTGGGCCTGGACATGGAGACTGGGAATTACATTTGCAGAAGGAGCGCAATGCCCTTGAAGGGCTCAGCCACGAGCAGCCAGTCCCCAGGGCTCAGAAGGCCCAGCTGTTAGAACCCTGGGAGCCAGCAAAGAGCCAGGGGCTCCACCTAAGTCTATAGCCCCTGCCTCTTCTGGTTGGGAAAGAAATCAACGCCCCTTTACTGGCTCCCACTGACAGCCCACTCCCCCAGGTATGGGAGGATTCTGGGACGATGCAGGCAAACCTGGACCCTGAGTGAACCTGCCCCAGCTCTCACGGGCCTGGCACCAGCCACAGCACCTAAGGCGCCGGTCATGGTGACAACATGAAGGTGATAAGGGCATGGACAGTGGACATGGCAGCTGGACACTGGGCACCCACTGGATGCCAGGCACCCAGCACGGCTCCGTCACCCCTGGATGAGCAGTGGCCCTTTGCAAGCCAGGGTAGCCTGGGCAAGTTATTTGGGGGTCTCCAAGCTTGTCCAGCTGTGCGACTTCACTGAGCCATGAGTCTGGGATTTTATCAGGGCCCACACCCGTTCCTGGAACTCTGATACGTGAGGGAGCCACACAGGGACCCTTAACAAAAGCTCCCAGGGCAACATGTTCTCTTGCCTCAGTCTCCCAAATAGCTGGGATTACAGGCGCACGACTACCGCCCGGCTAATTTTTGTATTTTTAGTAGAGACAGGGTTTCACCATGTTGGCCAGGCTGGTCTTGAACCCCTGACCTCAAATGATCCTTCCACTGTTAGGGCAAGGCACCTGACAGGCACGACTGCACGATCTGCTTGTTGGGGGCTGTGTCCATTCCCCACTCCTTCGACAAATGTCCACACCCAGCCTTGCTTTGACACCCCAAGAACAGAGATGGTGACACCTGCTTCCTACATGCCCATTGCTCTCCCAAGGCAGACATCCCCAGCAGATGCAACACAGTGTTTAGGCAGACATCACCAATCGATGGTGGCAACAGACACCAGGCCCTGCTCCCTCTAACTCCAGTGGCCAGGCCCCAAGCCAGCTCTCACCTGCCCACTCCCAACCCACAGCAGCAAGACTCAGAAATGGCAAAAACACAAAGAGAACAGAAACGCCCCATAGCGGGAGGATGACTAAAAGACATGTCTTGATAAGATATTGTTCAGGCATAGGCCAGGCACAGTGGCTCATGCCTGTGATCCTAGAACTTTAGGAGGCTGAGGTAGGTGGATCACCTGAGGTTAGGAGTTCAAGACCAGCCTAGCCAACATGGTGAAACCCCATCTCTACTAAACATACAAAAATTAGCCAGACATAGTAGCGGGCGCCTGTAATCCCAGCTGCTTGGGAGGCTGAGGCAGGAGAATTGCTTGAACCTGGGAGGTGGAAGCTGCTGTGAGCCACTGTACTCCAACCTGGACAACAGAGCAAGACTCTGTCTCAAAAAAAAAAAAAAAAAAAGATATCCTTCACTAAAACTCATGTCTTTGATACATATTTACCTCCTGCAATCGCAAATGCTTCTGCAGTGCATAAAGTGAAATAAATAGCAGGAAGCCTTACGGTTCGATCACCCACACAGACACACAGTCACATACAGGAAAAACGCAGGGAGGGCTGGGGAACAAAAAAACAGAAGATAAAATGTGGAGACAGACACACCAAGAGAGTAAGAGACCACCTCCAGACCTCCCTTCAGCTTCTCAAACACACGAGCCGGGCCCGTTACAGAATTTGCGGGGACCGCTGCAAAATGGAAGTGCAGACAGCCCCTTACTCAAAAGGTAGGAATTTCAGGTCAACAACAGAGCTCACCTCATATGACTACACAGGTCACACAGCCCGTGAAGTCGGTCCCAACACCAGCATGCTCCTGCCTCAAAGCCGCTGCACGTGCTGTTCCTTCTCGCCTTTCCCTCTTTTAGTCCTTCAGATCTCAGGCCTCCTGAGAGAGACCTCTGACCTGCCGGCTCAGGCGGCCACACCCCCAGTACAGGAGTCTCCGGCTCAGCCCCTGCTGTGTTCCGTACCCGATCCAGGTCTGTCCTATGTCCATCTGTGTGCCGGCTTGCTTCCTGACATGGCCCCCACCACACGTGTGCCTCGGGGCAGGGGAACAGGCCCGTCTCATTAACTGCTTTCTTCTCAGATATTTTCTGGAATATTTGTGGATATTGGGCAACATATATGCTCCACCTTTTTCAGACTAGCCAGGACGAGCTGCATTTTTTTTTTTTTTTTTTTGAGACAGGGTCTCACTCTGTTGCCCAGGCTGGAGTATAGCGGCATGATCTTGGCTCAGTGCAACCTCCGCCTCCTAGGCTCAAGCAATTCTCCTGCCTCAGTCTCCCAAGTAGCTGGGATTACAGGCCCGTGCCACTACTGCCCAGCTAATTTTTATATTTTTAGTAGAGATGGAGTTTCACCATGTTGGCCAGGCTGGTCTTGAACTCCTGACCTCAAATGATCCACCTGCCTTGGACTCCCAAATTGTTGGGATTACAGGCGTGAGCCACTGCGCCCGGCCCGAGCTGCCTGTTTTACACCTTTGCCATATTCCGGTGATTCTCTCTCCCCTCCGTCCCCCGGCCCTGACTGTGGTGGCCACTCCCTGCCGTCATGAGCCCGTATGTCCTCACTCTTTCCCTTTCCGCCAGGACTTCAACCAACACTGCAGAGCGCAGGGTCCAGCTCCAGCACTGAGTTCAGCCTCTTCTCACCAACAGACAGGCAGGAAAGAAAACAAACTCTGAGAAGGCCAAGGTTCCCGGGCAGCCAGCAAGCCAAGCATCCTTCTCCGCTGAGGCTTGTGCAGCCGAGGCACCCCCTCCTCCAGGGAGCAGGCAGCGTCCTGGGGCAGTCTGCGAGGGAGACCAGGGCCTTGCTCCACCAGGGCCCAGGTATGGGGCAGCAGCAAACTCATGGCTCTGGGAGCCAGACCCCACCTGCTAGAACCTACTATGCCACCTGCTGTGGGCAACCCCAGGCTGGTGACTTGCCCTGGCCTCCTCTGTAAACAAAGGGCTCATCCAACCTGGTCAAACCACTCCTCCCCTTCAAGGGTCTATAATCCTCCCTTAACCTGCTTGGTCCAAACCCCTGGTGTCGCCAGGTCACTCAGGAGGCAGCTCATCTGGACTCCTTCCCTGGGTCCAGTTTCTCTCTCAACATTGCCTTTGAGGCCGAGGTGAACGGTCAACAGCGAAGGGCCCCAGAGGTGATGGAGGAGCGGGTGTCCAAGACACTCACCCTTTCTAATGCACTGACTCCCTCGTGGACTCACTTGTGCCGTCTCCCCCACCCACCCAGCCCCAGAGCCCAGAGTGCGAGCGCCAGAGGCCCGGGATTCTGTCTGCACCGCGGGGTCCCCAGTGCCTCGGAGCAATGCCAGCACCCGGCAAGTGTTCGACAAATGCCTGCTGAATGAGCAAATGGATGGATGAACGAATGAATGAGCAAGCAGATGAATGAATGGGGTGCTGTCCAGAGCCGTGAGGACTAGGCCGCCCAAGTCCCCATTTCTCAAATTCTCCTTCTCCCGACTTGGGAAACAAGATGCTTGGTCGGGGAGGCTCTCCAACCATCCCCTGCAGCAGCCGGCACAGCGGACAGACCCTTTGATGTAACAGCCATGTCTTCATTAAAGATGCCCTGCTCTCAGAAAGAGAAAGACAAATACAAACCTGGAAAATCCTCACCAAACGCAGGACCCCTGCCAGGGAGCAGAGAAAAGACCCACACGCCACGGGCGCCACGACCACACACACACCCCAGCCGCTGCACACAAACACAGACCCTAGCCAGCAAGAACAGGGGGACCAGGAAACTGTTCCTAAAGTCAGGACCCCCATGTGCTCAGACAGCAGTGAGAGCAAGGACACTTCTCCATCCACCGGATGCCAGGAGAGTCCTTCTAGGGGGCCCCACACCGAGACTCTGCCCTTAGGACTGTTCCTGAGTGTGGAAGCCAGCCCACTTGGAAGCCCCCTGCCCTCCCGAGTGGGACACCGGCACAGGAAGCAGGCCCTGTCCCCCACCACCTTCTGCAAGCTGGGCCCCATCACGCTACAGAAACGGGGAGGACTGGTCCCAGGGATGGCGCTTTCCTGACACCTCTCGTTACCCCCTCGCTTGCCAGGCCCCAGGGTCAGCCCCAGAGGCCAGACTGGCTATCCCAGGCCCGGGAGCATCCCCGAAGGCGAGCTGCATCCTGAACGTGTGTGATTTCCCGAAGGGCCCGCCCCGAACCGACACCTGGAAAGAAAGATCCTCAGCCGGTGCCCCAGAGGAGAAGAGCCATGCCTCACTGCAACACAGTCCCAGGAAGCACCAAGTGCCTGAGGACCAAGGCGGAGAGTAAAAAAGTGGAAAATATCTGGGGCAAAAATAAAACAAAACAAAACAGGATTGACCTCCTGGGCTCAAGCAATCCTCCCAACTCAGCTTCCCGAGTAGCTGGGACCACAGACTTGAATCACCACACCCGCCAAGTGGATCATTTCGAACGGGTTTGCCGAGGTTCCTTCTGGGGCACCCCCGGCGGCCGCAACCCATTCCCGCCAGGCCCCGCCCCGCCCGCCCGCCCCGTCCCGTCCCACCGCCTCACCTGCCTTACACGTCCTGCCGTTGTCCTGCAGCTGCACACCCGTGGGGCAGGCGCATGTGTAGAAAGGCTCGCTTGGGGACAGCAGGCACAGGTGGGAGCAGCCGCCATTGTCCTCCTCACAGCGAGTGTGGACTGAGAAAACCAGGACAGAGTGAGAGAAGGTTCCAGAAGAGGACCGTCACTTGTTTCTGAATGAGTCACATCCTGCCTCGTCCCCCGTGACAGCCTCCAGTGTGTCCCTCTGCCCAAACATCGGCCTCAAGTGGCATCAGGGACCTCCCCGCTGGCACCATTCCACCTGCCTCATCGCTGGCCCGTCCACATGGGGCCCTCAGCCTGGCCAGACGGCCTGCAATTTCCCCAAAACCAGCCGTGACCTTCCTGGCCACCCTCACACCCAGATGTGACCTGCCCATGGAGTGACATCTCCCCATCTGCTTCCTCCCACCAAGCTCCTATGACTAGAACACCCTCCCCAGCTCCTCGGAGCCCCCAAAGGACACCCCTCTGCAAAGGCTGCCCCCCACGCTCCAATGGCCGGGGTCAGGACCTGCCTGTGTGGTAGTGACGGGAACCCCAGAGACAATGGGCTCCTGGGCAAAAGGCTTGTCTTGTCTTTGTGCTATGTGTGGACCCAGCAGCTTCCATAGGAACACTGTCCCTCTTGCTGGGATGGCCAAGCTTGTCACTCTCCCAAGCCCTTCTATGACCAACAGCAATTGAACGGAACTCGATAAATGCTTCCAGCACCTCATTCAAACCAGGGGAAAGCTGGGTGTAGCAGCCCCAAAATACGGATATAACTGGAACAACAAACTCATCAAAATGAACCTCTCCCTCCCTCATGCTGCCCCAAGTGTAGATGGGTTTTGTGACCACGACTTTCTCACCAGGAAACAGCTCCAGAGAGCCCCACCCTCCTGTGTCCTGCTCTGGGAACAGCTGGCACCCCTAGGCCCCACATTTCAATTCAAAGTCCAAACCTTCCATAATGGCCTGGCCAGAAATCTCCATCCCTGGTCCCTGTGGGAGTGGGCCACTGTCCCCAGAGCCGCAGCCCCACTGTCACAGAAGCTGGTGCATTTCCCCATCAGGGACCTCTGTCACAACCCAGCGTGGCCCCCAGGCTGAGAACTGCTGATTCTGGGCAGATTATTCATTGATAAATACGCGACTTGCAGGGCCAAGCATGGTGGCTCATACCTGTGACCCCAGCACTTTGGGAAGTCAAGGTGTGAGGATCACTGGAGCCCAGGAGTTTGAGACAAGCCTGGGCAACGTGGCAAAATCTCTCATCTCTATTAAAAATACATACACACACACACACACACACACACACACACATATATATGTATATATAAATAACCATATATATATATACACACATACGTGTATGTGTATATAAATACATATACACACACACACAGACAACTTCTTCTGGGCCTTGAAAACGAGGCAACCTTCCTTGGAAATCCCCTTGCCACTGCTGAGCCTGAAA
This sequence comes from Homo sapiens, assembly GCF_000001405.40. Lineage (NCBI taxonomy): Eukaryota > Metazoa > Chordata > Mammalia > Primates > Hominidae > Homo > Homo sapiens. Next base: position 68,364,204 of record NC_000011.10, on the reverse strand, counting down.
TAGCCCCCATGAGCTCTGCAGAGGGGTCCTCTGCAGGCCCGTGTCCCCCAGCCAGCCACACACCTCCCTCCATTGCAGCAGGTACCCCTTTAGAGAGGGGGCCCCCCAGAGCATGGGCTTCTGCAGGGAGGGGTCACCTGCCCCCCCACCCCACCCACGCCCGCGCACCCCCACGCCCCCGCATCCTCCCACTCCCCTGCCCCGCGCCCCCGCTCCCCCCAGCCCCCGCACCCTCGCCCCCGCGCCCCAGCCGGCACTCACAGAAAGGCTGCCGCTCCTGGCTCAGCACCTGGATGTCCATGGGTGAGTAGAGGGCACTCAGGATCTCCTTCCTCTTCCCCCCAGTGCGCTTGTTGCAGGCATGGATGGAGCGGGTCTGCCAGTCTGTCCAGTACAGAGTGTCCCCGGAGAGCGTCAGGGCGAAGGGGTGCGTCAGGCTGCCCTCCACCACCTTCTGCCTGCAGTCAGGGAAGCGGGGTGGAGGAGCCATCAGGAGGGTCCCCCGACAGTCATTGCTGCTGACCCAATTAATTTCTTTTTTTTTTTTTGAGATGGAGTCTCGGTCTGTCGCCCAGGCTGGAGTGCAGTGATGTAATCTCAGCTCACTGCAACCTCCGCCTCCCGGGTTCAAGCAATTATCCTGCCTCAGCCTCCCGAGTAGCTGGGATCACTGATGCCCACCACTACGCCCAGATGATTTTTGTATTTTTAGTAGAGACAGGGTTTCATCATGTTGGCAAGGCTGGTCTCGAACTCCTGACCTCAGGTGATCCACCCACCTCAGCCTCTCAAAGCGCTGGGATTACAGGCGTGCGCCACCATGCCAGGCTTCCCATTTGCTTTCAACCAGACAAGTGAGGCCAGGTCAAGAGCCCCAGGAGCTGGCGCCCTCGTACATTTCTCCCGGCGTGCACAGGGCACCTCCCAAACACAGCCTGTGATGGTGACACACGGGCTCCCCCAGGTCAAGTGGCAAAGTCTCCCCCAGGGAAGAAAGGAGGAAGCCATGCCTGGCAAAAAGCACACCTCTCCTGCCCAACGCTTTAACCTCTGTATACAAATCAGGCCATGTGCACTCGCTCCTTCTTACAATGCTCATAATTTATACTTTCAGAGTAAATGAAACTTGGCATCAACCCGAGAAACAGCTATTCTTTTCTAGATGCTTACAGTGCCCAGCAAATGAGGACTCGGGTGTAATGAGATTATGGACACTGGAAACAGGATCATAATGTGACGTGGTCGGTAATGTGCAGTTTTATTTGCTTAATGACCCTCGCCCCGTGACAGGCTCCCTGAGGGTGGGCCTGGGGGCAGAGGGTCCCCGCCACGTCCCCAGCCCTCAGCACAGTTGCCAGGAGAGGGTGACACTCATGAAGTGGCACAGGGAAGATGGGAGCTGTGGGCTCTGCAGATCCACCACCTCTTCTGTTCATTTTTGTTGATGCTGTTTTTTAAGAAAATTATTGAAGTAAAATTCACAGGACATACGTTTACTTTTTTTTTTTTTTTTGGAGATGGGGTCTCACTCTGTCACCCAGGTTGGAGTGCAGTGGTGTGATCTCAGCTCACTGCAACCTCTGCCTCCCAGGTTCAAGCGATTCTCCCACCTCCGCCTCCAGAGTAGCTGGGACCACAGGCGTGCACCACCACACCCAGCTAATTTTTGGGGGGTATCTTTTTGGTAGAGACAGGGTTTCGCCATGTTGCCCAAGGCTGGTCTTGAAGCCCTGAGCTCAGGCGATCCACCCGCCTTGGCCTCTCAAAGTGCTGGGATTACAGGCATAAGCCACTGCACCCAGCCTAAATTTACCACTTTAAAGTGAATAGTGTTACCTAGTGCATTCGCAAGGCGGTGCAGCCTCCACTTCTGTCTAGTTCCAAAGCACTTCCATTGCCCCACAGGCAAACCCCACACCCGGCAGCAGTCACTCCCCAGTCCCCGCCCCCAGCCCCGGCAAACACTTTTGATGGACTTAACTACACACATTCTCAACATCTCATATAAACGGAATCACAATATACAGCCTCTGATGTCTGTCTTCTTTGACTTGGCACCATGTTTTCGAGGTTCATCCAGGCTGTAGCATGTCAGTGCTTCATCCCGTTTTAGGGGTGAACCATATTCCAGTGTGCAGACAGAACCCAATCTGTGCATCCATTCACCCACTGGGGGACCTTTGTGTCATTTCCACCCTCGGCTGTTGTGCACAGTGCTGCTACGGACATTACTGTCCATTCACATTTTGTGTGAAGACCTGTTTTCGATTCTTAAGAGTATACAGCTAGGAGCGGAATTGCTGGGTCATACGTAAATCAATGTTTACGTCTCAAGGAATCAACAAACTGTTTTCCACAATGTTGTCTTTTTTGTTTGTTTTCTGAGACAGGGTCTTGCTCTGTCACCCAGGCTGGAGTGCGGTGGTGTGATCATGGCTCACTGCAGCCTCAATCTCCTAAGCTCAATCCATCCTCCTGCCTCAGCCTCCTGAGTAGCTGGGAACACAGGTATGTACCACCATGGCCAGCTAATTTTCTAATTTTATTTTTTTTTGTTTTTGTTTTTTTGAGACAGAGTCTCGCTCTGTCGCCCAGGCTGGAGTGCAGTGGTGCCATCTCAGCTCACTGCAAGCTCTGCCTCCCGGGTTCACACCATTCTCCTGCCTCAGCCTCCCGAGTGGCTGGGACTATAGTCACCGGCCACCACGCCTGGCTAATTTTTTTGTATTTTTAGTAGAGATGGGGTTTCACCGTGTTACCCAGGATGGTCTCGATCTCCTAACTTCATGATCCACCTGCCTTGGCCTCCCAAAGTTCTGGGATTACAGGCGTGAGCCACCACGCCCGGCCTTACTTTTAATTTTTTAATTTTATTATTTTATTTTATTATTTTTTTTTTTGAGACAGAGTCTCGCTCTGTAGCCCAGGCTGGAGTGCAGTGGCGGGATCTCAGCTCACTGCAAGCTCCACCTCCCAGGTTCACGCCATTCTCCTGCCTCAGCCTCCCGAGTAGCTGGGACTACAGGTGCCCACCACGATGCCCGGCTAATTTTTTGTATTTTTAGTAGAGACAGGGTTTCACTGTGTTAGCCAGGATGATCTCAATCTCCTGACCTCGTGATCCGCCCGTCTCAGCCTCCCAAAGTGCTGGGATTACAGGCGTGAGCCACCGCGCCCAGCCTTTTTTTTTTTTTTTTTTTTTTTTTTTGAGATAGAGTCTTGCTCTGTCGCCCAGGCTGGAGTGCAGTGGCGGGATCTCAGCTCACTGCAAGCTCCGCCTCCCAGGTTCACGCCATTCTCCTGCCTCAGCCTCCCGAGTAGCTGGGACTACAGGCACCCACCACCACACCTGGCTAATGTTTTGTATTTTTAGTAGAGACGAGGTTTCACCGTGTTAGCCAGGATGGTCTCGATCTCCTGACCTCGTAATCCGCCCGCCTCGGCCTCCCAAAGTGCTGGGATTACACGCGTAAGCCATGGCGCCCAGCCCATGTGGCCATTTTTCAGTGAGAGAAGCCAGAGGCCCATCACTCTCGGTTGCTCCCTGGGCCATGCTCTGCCTCAGCCAGAAGCACTGAGGGAAGGTCAGCCTCGGCCCTTGCCCCAGCCACAGTCACAGATAAAGGGGCCTGCACAGGTCTGTGTGGCTCCAGAGCTCGTCACCCAACACACGACGCTTCCATGTGAATAGCCCCAGGTGCATCATGAAGAGCGATGGCCGCTGCAGAGGCAGAAGAATCCCGCGGGGAAGCAGGTGGGAGAGAGGCTGAGAACAGACCAGACCTGGAGCTACAGACCCTATGTTCCAACCCTGGCTGGGACTAGCTGTGTGGCTCTGGGCAAATTCACATGCTTCTCTGTGCACAGGGGATCAAAATAGCAAACACAGGCTAGGCACAGTGGTTCACACCTATAATCCCAGTGCTTTGAGAGGCCGAGGTGGACACATGGCTTAAGCTCAGGAGTTTGAGACCAGCCTGGGCAACATGGTGAAACCTCGTCTCTACAAAAAAAATACCAAATAAATTAGCCAGGCGTGGTGGTACGTGCCTGTGGTCTCAGCTACTTGGAAGGCTGAGGCGGGAGGAACACTTGAGCCCAAGAAGTCAAGGCTGTGGCCGCGTGTGGTGGCTCACGCCTGTAATCCCAGCACTTTGAGAGGCTCAGGTGGGTGGATCACTTGTGATCAGGAGTTCAAGACCAGCCTGGCCAACATGGTGAAACCCCGTCCCTACTAAAAAAATACAACAATTTGCCAGGCGTGGTGGCGGGCACCTGTAATCCCAGCTACTTGGGAGGCTGAGGCAGGAGAATCGCTAGAACCTGGGAGGTGGAGGTTGTAGTTAGCCAAGATGGTGCCGCTGCACTCCAGCCAGGGGGACAGAGCAAGACTCCATCCCAAAAAAAAAAAAAACAAACAAACAAACAAAAAAAGAGGTCAAGGCTGCAGTGAACCATGATTGTGCCAATGCACTCCAGCCTGGGTGACAAAGTGAGACCCTGCCTCAAAACAATAAAAATATAAATAAAAATAAAACATAATAGCAAACGTTTCATAGAGGTGGTATGAGCATTAAATGAACTGATAAACGTCCCTGGAAAACAGTAAGTGCTATGGAAGGATTCGCTGCCGCCACCGCCACCACCATTAGCATGTTTCAACCTCCATCACCCTCACTGTCCCCTGTCACCATCCTTTGACCAGGGCACTCCCAGCTGCAGCCTTTCTATCCTCTTGTCCACCCTTCATAACTGTAAGATCACTCAGCTCCCAAGAACCACAGTCTACAGGGTAACCACATTTCCAAATCTCAAACCAGACCCGCTGGTCTGCACTTCCAGGGACAACAGGATATTTTCAAACCAGCCCAAAAGAGATGTGTGGCTCAGCATAAGAGGAACAGGAGAAACTGAGGCCTCTTGCCCTGAGAATGAGCTTGGAAGTGGATGTCCCGGCCTCACTCAAACCTTCAGATGACTGAGGCCCAGCCAGGAGCTTGAGTGTACCCTCAGGTCATACCCTGAGCCAGAAGCACCCAGCTAATCCACTCCTCATCACTGACTCCCTCCCCATAAAAAACCTGTTTGCTGTTTCAGGCTGTTAAGTTGTGGGCTGTTTTGTTACACAGCAATGGATAACTAACACACGAGGCCTGGCAAGTGTGGAGCAAAGCTGCCCAAGCCCTCAAGTCTGTTCATGTGGGTGTTGGCCTGTGTTTGCAGAAATCCAGCCACTGAGTCCTCCCATGCAGTCACTACTGCCCTCTGCACAGACACCTGCCACATCCCTGCCTGGGCCAGGAGCTCCACTAGTGCAGGAATGGGGTCTGCCGTCCCAGGAGGATCCCTGACACCTAGCACAGGGCTAGCAGCAGGCAGCACTTGGTTAGTGAATAAACTGCCCTTCACCTGTACACAGAAGGGATGTTTCTATAAGGGGTAATTAAGTACAGAGCTGGGAAGCTATGCTGACCAGAAGGCTCTAAAAGCAATTAACCAACGAGGGGAAAACCCTTCCTACTCATTCTCGGCCCATTTTATTGAGCACTGACCATGTGGAAGGCCCCCTGGTGAGACTGGGGAATGCACCAATAACTGAGACAGCTTCCGGCTGTTGCCCTCAGGATGCCTGAGCTGGGATAGGGCCAGGGTGGGGGTGGTGCGTGTGACAGGGTTACTGTTCACAACCCTGCCGGGCCATAAGCCCTCCCCAACAATTCCAAAATCCAAAACGCTCTGAAGATGGAAAGCTTTTGTTGCTCATCTGGTGACAAAACCTCATTTGGTGCATGGGCCGGGTGCGGTGGCTCACGCCTGTAATCCCAGCACTCTGGGAGCCGAGGGGAAGGATCCCTTGAGCTTAGGAGTTTGAGACCAGCCTGAGCAACATGTGAGACCCCGTCTCTACCAAAAATACAAAAATTAGCCAGGTGTGGTGGCGCACTCCTGTAGTCCCAGCTACTCGGGAGGCTGAGGCGGGAGGATCGCTTGAGCCTGGGAGGTGGGGGCTGCAGTGAGCTGAGATTATGACATTGCACTCCAGCCTGGGTGAAAGAGTGAGACTCTGTCTCAAAAAAACAAAGTTAAAAAAAAAAAAACTGTGCATGGGTGTGGGCTACAGATAGTCTTTTCTGCCCTACTTAGAATGAACGTGCCACATTTGCTATAGAAATATTCAAGGGCTGGTGGCAAATGCCACACAGACCCTGACGCTGTTCCAAGTTCTGAGAAGTCCTGCATTCCTCAGGGCCCCAGAGTTTCAGAGAAGAGTCTGTAGGCCTGAGTTAAGAAGGAACGCCTTCAAAAGCCCTGGGGACAAAGGGGAAAGGGGTGCCCCAGGACTGCGTGGGTACCTACCGGAACGAGCCGTCCAGGTTGGCACGGTGGATGAAGCTGAGCTTGGCGTCAGCCCAGTAGAGCTTCTGCTCCTCCAGGTCGATGGTCAGTCCATTGGGCCAGTAAATGTCCGAGTCCACAATGATCTTCCGGGTGCTGCCATCCATCCCTGCCCGCTCAATCCGGGGCGTCTCACCCCAGTCTGTCCAGTACATGTACCTGTGACGGGGGCAGGGCAAGAGAAGCAGCTAACACAGATCTGTTTTTTGTTTTTGTCTGCATAGATGCAGACATGAAACAACAGACAGTGAACTTGCCCTAAAATCTCACCCATCGGAAATAACCAACAGGTATGGTTTCAGGTATTCCTGCCTTAAGCTGGGCAATCAAAATATACTATTTCCAACTTGTTCTCAGTTAACAGTAAATTCTGGGCACCTTCCCTTCTTGTGGATAGAAAGATTCCTTGTTCTTTTGATGATTGCCTAGTGTACTCTGCTGTAAGTTTTTTAAAGAACTTCAGGTTATTTCTGATTTTTTTGCTACCATGAAAATGCTGTAAATGAACCTCTAAAAGGCAATTCAAAACACTCAGGATGGAATATTATTTAGTGGTATAAAGAAATGAGCTATCGGCTGGGCCCAGTGGCTCACACCTCTAATCCCAGCACTTTGGGAGGCCAAGGCGGGTGGATCACGAGGTCGGGAGATCAAGACCATCCTGGCTAACACAGTGAAACCCCGTCCCTACTAAAAATACAAAACATTAGCCAGGCGTGGTAGTGAGCACCTGTAGTCCCAGCTACTTAGGAGGCTGAGGCAGGAGAATCATTTGAACCCGGGAGGGGGAGGTTGCAGTGAGCAGAAATCGCACCATTGCACTCCATCCTGGGCGACAGAGCGAGACTCCATCTCAAAAAAAAAAAAAAGAAAAGAAAAGAAATGATCTATCAAGCCATGAAAAGACATGGAGGAAACTTAAATGCATGTTAGTAGGTGAAAGAGCCAATCTGTATGAGTCCAGTTCTAAACACTCTGGAAAAAGCAAATACACAGAGACAGTAAAGCATCAGTGGTTGCCAGGAGTTGGAGAGGAGAGGGATGAATGAGTGGAGCACAGAAAATCAGGGCAGTGGAACTATCCTGTATGACATGGAATGGTGGGTGCATGTCCTTACTCATCTGTCTAAACCAAGAATGTACAAATCAAGGGCGAACCCTCGTGTAAACGTGGATTTTGGGTGATGGTGCGTCAGCCAGCTTTCATCAGTTGTAACAAATGTACCACCCTGCACAGGATGCTGACAGTTGGGAAGGCTGTGTGGGTGTGAGGACAGGGATGTATAGGAACTCAGTACCTGCTGCTCATCAATTTTGCTGTGAACCTACAACTGTTTGAAAAAATTAAGTCTATTTAAAAACAACAAAACATGGCCAGGCACGATGGCTTGCACCTGTAATTCCAGTACTTCGGGAGGCTGAGGTGGGTGGGTCACTTGAGCCACCCTGGGCAACATGGCAAAATCCCACCTCTACAAAAAATAAAAATTAAAAAAAAGTTAGCTGGGCATGGTGGCACACTCTTGTAGTCCCAGCTACTTGGGAGGCTGACGTGGGAGGATCCCTTCAGCCCTGGGAGGTCGAGGCTGCAGTGAGCTGTGACTGTACCACTGCACTCCAGCCTGGATGACAGAGTGAGACCCTGCCTAAAAAAAAAAAAAAAAAGGCTGGGTGCGGTGGCTCATGCCTGTAATTCCAGCGCTTTGGGAGGCCGAGATGGGCGGATCACGAGGTCAGGAGATCGAGACCATCCTGGCTAACACGGTGAAACCCCGTCTCTACTAAAAGTACAAAAAAAAAAATTAGCCGGGCATGGTGGCGGACACCTGTAGTCACAGCTACTCGGGAGGCTGAGGCAGGAGAATGGCGTGAACCCGGGAGGCGGAGCTTGCAGTGAGCCAAGATCACACCACTGCACTCTCAGCCTGGGAGACAGCAACACTCCGTCTCAAAAAAAAAAGAATAAAACCCATGGCTGGGATGGACCCTGAACCTGCAGCTGCAGCTGTTCCTGGGTAGGTCTGTGGGCGACGTGGCTTTGCTTCTCCATGTTCCCAAGAGACAAGCATCACCCATCCATGAGAAACAAGCACATCCTCAGGGCGCCCTTACGTGATCTCTGGCCAATGAACCAAGACAAAGTGAGCAGACACCAGGTCTGGGATGGCAGGTCCCACCCCCACCAGTGCCCAGTGTGCCCTGTTTGGAGGTGACCACAGGGTGTGTGCCCAGAGGCTGGGCGTGACTCTCAGCGGAGACCAGAGGGGAACCACACCAGCTTGGAGGACTCAGTTCCCATCCCAGCCAGCTGGGATGAGCCACAGGACACAAGGGCTGGCAGACCTATTGTGTTTTGTCCACCCTTCACAGCAGAGAAAGGGGACAGTGCCCAGAATGTCCTCTGAGGAGCCTCCTCCCACTCTTGGTCCTTGTAAAATGGTGCTGACTCCCTTGCTCCCTTCTTCCTGGGGTGGGCGGCAAACCCCATTCCCCTCAGCCTTAGCAAGTGATTTAGAAACAGGCAGCTCGCCCAAGCCAGGCATGAGAGTGATCCCGGGACACAGGGAGAACAAGCCCCGCTTTGCCCTCTGGGGGTCTCCATTCAGCAGAAGAGGCAAATGACAGACACACAGCCGCCTCCTCCCCCACCATGGTGCTCTGCAGCCTCAGGAGCCTCAGGTGCACCAAGGGCCACCCCATCCAGGGGGCCATGCTTCCTTGAGTGGTATCGTTCCTGAGCGAGTACCATCTCCACCTTCCAGAGGGGCTGTGACAAGATCAACAAGAATGAGGGCATAGGAGCCTCGAACCAAACATGCCCTCTTCCCTGCAGAGGCTGACTGCGCCCAGCTGCTATCACCAAGCCCCTGCTCCTCCGGCCCCGTGGGGACAGGGTAAGAGGGGTGTCACATGGAACAGCTCTCCAAACAGTCCCTCTCAAGCTGCTGTCTCCTGTGCATCTAGTGAGAACCCAACCAACAAAGGGAAGGTGGGAATTGCTATTCCCATTAGGCAGATGAGAAAACTGAGGCCCCGAAAGGCTGGCCTGTTCCAGGTTACAGGCGCTGAGCGGCTGCTCTGGGAACACACTTGGTGTCTGCTGAGGGCCCGAGCCCGGCCATCATATGACTCACCCTTCGCCAGCAAAGCCCGGGTGTGGGTGAACTTTTCCTGGCAGCCTGGGACTCCAAGGTGCTGGCAGCCAGCCCAGGGAAGGCTCCCGCGTGCCTGCGGCAGACGCCTTGCTTTACCTGCACGTCCCCACCCCTAGGAGCCTGGACAGAGCCCAGACCCTCCGCCACCTCCTGAGAAGGTATCAGGGGCATCAGTCTGGACTTGGGGGGGAATCCACACAGGCCTTCCCCAAATGCTCCACCGTGGCCCATGGAAAAGGCTGGAAAACGTGCAGGAGCAGGAGCCTCCGCATGGAGCATAATTCACATTCCTTCCCCGAGTTTCATAACAGAGGCCTGCTGGTTTCCTTAAATGGGGAATTTGCGAGCCAGTCGGTGACCAGAGACTGGTTGGCGTGGACGTGCTCTTGCAGAGTCTCAAACGCTACCACAAGCCCAGCCAAATTCCACGGAGGAAAATCGACTTCCGAAGAAAAGAGCTGCAGCATGGCCTTCGTGCAGAGCCAGCTGCGGTTGTGGTTGTGTGTTATTTTAGGGAAGGGCCATTTTGCATTTTAAAGAGGGGGTTGGGTTTCACCCTGGCTTTAATTTGAGACCCGGGGGCCACTGCAGCCCCTTGTCAGGCTGGTACAGGCCGGGGACTCCTCCCATGCTAAGCCAGTGTCTTTCTGGCCCCAGATCCTCAGGGGCCAGAGGGTCATCCCCAGAGCCCGCTCTGCCACCCACATGGGTACCCTGGGCCTGGGAGGGATGTGCCTTCCCTCAACCCTGCCTGGATGTCCGCACGGGGCCACCTGCATTGCTGAAACTGCAACGAAGTCGAGTCTCAGGAGGGGCCCCCCTGGCTGCAGGGCTCTTGATCCTTTTGGCCACGTGCACACTGAGGTGGACGCTCGGACCCAGAGACCCCCTTCCTGATGATGGCCGGGGCAGGAACCCCCTCCTCTGAGGAAGGACCCTGGTGGGGGACAGCACTGCAGGAGGGCACAGGAGATGACGGGGGCTCTAGCAGGGCCGGGAGGAAGGCCAAGATGCTCCTCGCAACCGTGTGCCTGTGGCCAGGACAGAGGACAAACCCACCCTCCACTGTCCCCACTCTCAGGACAGCAGTCCTGCCCCAGGACTCAGCGCCCACACTTATGCCTGAGGACCACTATTCAAGTCAGTATTTGGCGAGCAGGGGTTGCTGCCGCGGGCGCTGTGACAGGCTGGAATCCTCTCCCTCTCCCTCTCCCTCTCCGGAGACATGGAGCCTACAGGGACAGAGTCAGCACCTCAGGGTAGGACCATGGCTGGCGTCATCAGCATCACTGGATCTGATGAGTGGGAGCCGGCATCTCACTGTTTTCACTCTCTCATTCAAATGACTGGAGCAAAGGGAAGGTGTGGGGAGAGGCCCAGGAATCAACACTAAGGTCAACTTTGCCCCAGGGGCAGGGGTGGGAGTGAACAGCCACAGGTGTGATCCTGGGGAGGGCTTCTGGGAGAGAATTCAGAGGCAAGCATGTAAAGGAACCATTTCAAATAGTTAAGAAAAGCCAGAGCCAAACAGGGACAGTTGGCTCGCAGAGATGATGCAGGCAAAGCCAGCTCAGATCTGAGCATGGGAAAGACTACTCCCAACCAAGGGCCCAGCATCTCCCAACCAAGCACCAAGTACCTCCCAACCAAATGCCAAGCACCTCCCAATCAAATACCTCCCAACCAAGCACCTAGCACCTCTCAACTGGACACCAACTACTCCCAACCAGGCACCAAGTACCTCCCAACCAAGTGCCAAGCACCTCCCAACCAAGTACCAATTACCTCCCAACCAAGCGCCTAGCACCTCCCAACTGAGCATCATGCACCTCCCAACAGAGCATCTAGCACCTCCCAACTGATCACCTCCCAACCTAGCACCGAGCACCTCCCAACCAAGTGCAGAGCACCTCCCAACCAAGTGCCAAGCACCTCCCAATCAAATACCTCCCAACCAAGCACCTAGCACCTCTCAACTGGACACCAACAACTCCCAACCAAGCGCCAAGCACCTCCTAACAAAGTACCAATCACCTTCCAACCGAGCACCTAGCACCTCCCAACTGAGCATCATGCACCTCCCAACAAATCACCTAGCACCTCCCGACTGATCACCTCCCAACCTAGCACTGAGCACTTCCCAACCAACATAGCAAAAGCCATAAAGAAGTAAAAAGACAAAACCACGTAGGCATGGAGACTGGACTTCTGGTGGCGAGGAAAGGGCATTTTTATTATAACGACAGCTAACATTTGTTGAACTCACAAACTGTTCTTGGTGTTTTCCTCATGACATGCAGCATGGTCACGCCTCTGTACAGACAAGGATACTGAGGCACAGAGTGGCACCGTGCCAACCTTGTCTCATCTTTTTATCGAACCTACATGCAGAGTGCCAGCAAATCCAGCTGTCTTTTCTCTTCAGAACAGATCCCAAATCTCGCCACTCCTTACCCCCACAAGTGAGGTGTCCCCGCTGCTGCTTTCTGTCGCCAGGATCCCGGTAATAACCGTGGAGAGGGCTCCTGCCCCCACGCCACCCACCCCACAGCTCACTCTCGCTCCAGCCACCAGGGGATGCCTTCCAGCACGAGTCAGAGCTGGCACCTCCTCTGCTCGAGACCTCATGTGTCCTCTCCTCACACCTTGGGCCCTGTTTCCCTACATTCTGCTACAGCCCCTCAAACAGGCCCCGCCCCAAACCAGCCCAGGGCCTTTGCACTGGCTGATCCCTCTGCCTGGACCGCGCTGCCCCCAGACAGCCACACGGTTCTCAGCCTCATCTGCTTCCAGTCTCGACTCAAAAGTCACCAAGAGGCCTTCCCAGCACCTGAGCTCCGACGGAAGCCCCTCGCCACAGCACCCAAGCACTGCTTTATCCCCCTACGCACACGTCCCTTTCAAATACTATTCATTTACCATCTCCTCCCACTCACTGAAAGGGCCAGAGACTGGGCTATACCCGCTGCGTGGGGAGCAGGACCAGGCGCAAGGGCTCACAAATGCAGTGGATGCCTGGTTGGGAGGTGAGGGAGCTGCAGCGACCCACGCTGGGAGGGAACGCAATGACAGGAGGAGCGCAGGTCCTGGCGACACGATGGCCATGGCAGCCGCTGGTGAGCAACCGCAGGCCGGCCCTGGGAGAGGGCTTCTAGCAAGCTGCTATCTTCAGCCTCTCCGACTACTGCAGATGCCCCCTCCTAGCCAGAGACACTGCTACACCAGCCGACCCTTCCAAAAAGAAGGTCAGTAACCCCGCGACTCCTGGAGCCACAGTGCAGGGGGAGAGGGCTGAGAGGGCAACAGTTCACCAAGCGGAACAGAGGCTGCCCCGGAGGTCAGCTGGCTCCCCGGCAGCTGCAGGGGTGGCTAGCCCACTCGGAGGGCAGCGAGGGCATACGAGGGGCTCCAGGGATGAGTGGTTGCCCAGCACAGCACCCCTGGGAGGCCGGGGGCACTTCTCAGGTAGTGGGGGCACGAGGCTGCTCTGGCCTGACCTCAGGGACTCAAAATACTTTGGCGATAAATTCCACCGTGTCCCACCCCTGCTGGTACCCCATACTTACACACAGACTGGTTCAGATGCAGACACTCTCGCGCACATACTCGCTCACACGGGCACATACACGTGCACACACAGTCACATGCGCACACTCATACACACACAAATATCCACTCACACGCATGCATGCACACACACGGACACACACAGGCTCACACGTATGCACGCATATGCGTGCACACGCACACACACACACACACGCTCACATCCTCCCACTCCCACACTCAGTTGCTCAGACACACACACGCCTGGCTCTCACACAAACCTGTTGGGCTCTGAAAGGCTCCAGCCCTTCCCATGCTCGTCAGAAGCCAGTCAATGGCTTCCTAAGTCACCACACAGATCAAAGAGGTGAACTTGGCCACATGGCACTCTGCTTCCTGAGCTCCCAAACACCAGCCTTGGTGAGGACAGACCCTCACCCCACACCCTCATTCCCACTACCCTGGGCAGGCCCAGAGGAGGGGCATCTGCAGGATCTGGCAACCAGCCCCTCCCGCCCGGCTCCTGCAGCCGGCACCATGGGAGTCAGGGGGAGGTCACTGCAAAGGGCAACAGCAAGTTGGTGGCCCCAGGACTAGAGCCCAGGGGTCTTCAGTCCTACTCCAGAGCTTGGACACTGTCCCACAGGGCATGGCCAAGGGAAGGGCTTCCAGAGCCCTGACTTCAGGGAGGAGGGCAGGCGGGCTCCTGTGGCAGGCCTGGATGCATGGCCGCCCACTCCTGGGACTTTCTAACCTAGAAGATCTAGGTCAGGCTGGGTGCAGTGGCTCACGCCTGCAATCCCAACACTTTGGGAGGCCGAGGAGGGTGGATCACTTGAGGTTAGGAGTTTGAGACCAGCCTGGCCAACATGGCGAAACCCTGTGTCTACTAAAAATACAAAACCTAGCCAGGTGTGGTAGTGCACGCCTGTAATCACAGCTACTCAGGAGGCTGAGGCAGGAGAATCACTTGAACTCGGGAGGTGGAGGTTGCAGTGAGCTGAGATCGTGCCATTGCGCAAAGAAGATCTAGGCCGGCCCCTCAACCGGTGAGGTCCAGGCTGGGAGTGCTGAGAGACTGTGGTGACACTGAATGAACTAACAGGCAAAGGGCTTCCAACTGAGCCTGGGGGTGGTGGGAAATGGCTCTTGTGTTCTAGTCAAGACCTCTGCCAACCAGTTCTGACACTGACCCAGCACAGAACCTGACAGGTCAGCAAGGGCCAGGGCTTAGCACAGCCCAGGTAAGGGTGTGTGTACGGCCCCCAGAGTCACTCCCAGGCTGCAAGAAAAGGGACAAAGGAGGGACAAGGGGTGGCCAAGCAAACTGTTCCCTCTGCTCGGGAGTCTGGGGTGACCTGGCCTAGCTGGCCAGTGGAGCTGGGCCACCTCCCCTTAAACTCTCCACCCCGGACTTCGACTCCAAAGCTTTCCTGCCACCCACGCTCTCCCCACCTGGGATCACGGCCAGGCCCTGAGCCTTCAAGGGCCCAGGTGAACTCAGCCAGACTAGGAGCTGAGGAGGACACAGGGCAGCTTCCAGAACGGACCCGAGAACCACTCCCAGCAGGTTCTGCTTCCAGACAAGGAGCTGCACTTTTTCAGCCAATGCAATTAGAAAGCCAGGAGAAGGTGCAAATTCCACCTGCCTGAGCGTCCGCACTTCCCAGGCCGCCCACCATACACACAGCAAAGATGTGTTTAACCATTCAAACCCATGGCCAACCACATCGGTTGCCTCAGACATGCAAGTTTTAAAAAGGAACATAACTATGGGCCAGGCACGGTGGTTCACGTCTGTAATCCCAGCACTTTGGGAGGCCGAGGTGGGTGGATCACCTGAGGTCAGGAGTTCGAGACCAGCCTAGACACCATGGTGAAACCCCATCTGTACCAAAACTACAAAAATTAGCTGGGCGTGGTGGTGGGCGCCTGTAATCCCAGCTACTTGGGAAGCTGAGGCAGGAGAATCACTTGAACCCGGGAGGCGAAGGTTGCAGTGAGCCGAGATTGTGCCACTGCACTCCAGCCTGGGCAACAAGGGAGACTCCATCTCAATTAAAAAAAAAAAAAAAAAAAAGGAACATAACTATGGAATCTCAAGGGGAAGTAATTCCTTCAACAATAACAAATCTTGAAAGCTGAGCTCTTTTTTTTTTTTGAGACAGGATCTCCTCACTTTGTCGCCCAGGCTGGAGTGCAGTGGTGGGATCACAGCTCACTGCAGCCTCGATCTCCCAGGCTCAAATGATCCTCCTACCTCAGCCTCCCAAGAAGCTGGGATTACAGGTGCATACCATCACACCCGATTCATTTTTGTATACTTTGTAGAAATGGGGTCTCACCATGTTGCCCAGTGTGGTCTTGAATTCCTGGACTCAGGTGATCTGCCCGCCTTGGCCTCCCAGAGTGCTGGGATTACAGGCCTGAGCCAACACCCCCACGGGTTCATTTTCAGAGTCGCACCGAGTGCTGGGGTTACAGGCCTGAGCCAACCCCCCCACGGGTTCATTTTAAGAGTGACACCGAGTGCTGGGGTTACAGGCCTGAACCAACCCCCCCACGAGTTCATTTTCAGAGTCGCACCGAGTGCTGGGGTTACAGGCCTGAGCCAACCCCCCCACGGGTTCATTTTAAGAGTGACACCGAGTGCTGGGGTTACAGGCCTGAGCCAACACCCCCACGGGTTCATTTTCAGAGTCACACCGAGTGCTGGGGTTACAGGCCTGAGCCAACCCCCCCACGGGTTCATTTTCAGAGTCACACCCTTTTTCTGAAAAACAACTTGGGCTCATGCAAATTCGAGAGAGAGATGGTGACACTCCCCGCCCCCTGGACCCAGGTGGAGTCGCAGCAGGGTTTACCCGTGAGCGGGGTCCAAGGCGATGGCCCTCGGCTGGTCAAGGTCCTGCCAGAAGAGCACCTTCCGGGATGTGCCATTGAGGTTGGCCACCTCGATGCGGTTGGTCTCTGAGTCCGTCCAGTACAGCTTCTTGCCCACCCAGTCGCAGGCGAGGCCGTCGGGAGAGACCAGGCCGGAGATGACCACGTTCTGCACGGCGGCCCCCGTCTGGTTCAGGTAGGTCTGCTTGATGGCCTCCTCGCTCACGTCTGTCCAGTACACGGCTCCCTTGGAAAACTGGAAGTCCACTGCGGCCGCATCCTCCAGGCCGCTGACCACGATGGTGGACTCCAGCTTGACTCCGCCGGCGTCCACCAGCCGTACGTCCCGGCGGTTGGCAAATAGCAGGAGCGGCGAGGCTGTGGGGCAGAAGCAAACCGTGAGGGCCACTGGCTAAGCCAGCAAGATACACAGCCCTGGGATGGAGCACTATGCCCAGAGCACTCCTGGTACTGCCCTGCCCATGCCCAAGACCTCCAGTTCCTTCCTCCCACCCCTAAGGCGTTGTCAGGAAGTTGCCTGGGCAGCCCCGGCCCGCATCATTCAGAGGCTCCTGCAGCGCAGCAAACAGCCTTCTTCCCACATTCGGTGACAGCACCTGTTTGTTTACCAACTGTTACGTCTGTTCCCCCAGATATGGGTGACCCTTCCTGCCATGCCCAAAACCTCCCACATCGTCCTCCAGAGGCTACAGGGGCCCTGTCCTGTTCTGCAGAGAAGCCACATCCCCTTTGTTGGCCTGACACAGGGGATGGGGACATGCAGGCACAGCACTGGCCATGCTGCTCGCTACAGACCCAGCCACAGGGCCACATTTTTTGAGGGGTTCAGAGCCCAGGCCAGACAGAGCCTCAAGATTCCCTTACAAGTCTTTGACCACTGTCCAAGCTCAGGCCCGTTTCCTTGGCCGTGGCATCAGCTTCCCATCCACCCCTGTATTCCATGTTTCTCCCACCCTGCTTCTGGACATTCCTACATTTAAAGGGTCACTCTGGAATGCCACCCCTTGGCTCAGACACCTTCCACAGCTCCCTGTGCCAGTGCCATGCAGAACAAGGTCAGACCCCCTAGCCTGGCCTCCAAGGCCTTGGCCTCTGGCCTCACCTACACTTCTCTCCACCACCCCACCCCAAGCATTCCTGATCTGCCTGCGGCCAGGCTGGCTCCCTCACCTCCCTCTGCACCGCAGCCCTCAGCCCCTTCTGCCTGTGCAAGAAGCCTCATCTCACAGACAACGGTCTCATTCCCACAACGGGCTCAATGAGAAATCAGGAGAGGCCTTCAGACCATCACCCCACCAGACACCTCAGACGTCGGACCAGGAGGGTCCAGCAACCCCCAACACAGACTCAGAGGGACTAAGAAGCCACATGAGGAGTGAACACAAGATGTGGACAGGAGGAGGTTAAGGGCCTCCAGGGAGCTCCATCAGTCCGTGTCTGCTGTCAGCAGGGCTAGGCTGGGCTGGCCACAAACACCCCCAAAAAACATCTGAAGCCTTGGCTTGAAACAGCTGACATTCCTCATGAAAACTGCAGACCCCTGGGTCCTCCTGCGCAGATGGGGGAGCCCAGCCAACCCCACACTCCCACCTTCACCAAGAAAGAGAAAGCCAAAACAAACTCAACTCAGCCAATGACAATCACAGAACTGAATCCTGTAGTTAGTTCAGTTGGTTTCATTTCAGCAGGGGAAAGATTTGCAGCCTCTATGAGGGTAGCTGGGAACACAAAGGGCCAGAGCATGGCCCAGGAGACCCCAGCGCAGTGGGGTAGATGGTTCCGAGCACAGGCCTCCCTGC
Source organism: Homo sapiens (assembly GCF_000001405.40). Lineage (NCBI taxonomy): Eukaryota > Metazoa > Chordata > Mammalia > Primates > Hominidae > Homo > Homo sapiens. The sequence continues at coordinate 68,346,404 of NC_000011.10, read as the reverse complement.
CAAGACAAGCACTGGCTCAAATCCTGGCCCCTCCCATTCCCAGGAGACATGCTCCACAGGATGGGAGGACACACAGAGGACCTGAGGCCAGGAAAATGACAGCGGCGCCTCCGCCGCCCCACCCGTGCTGTCATCATCTTAGGTCTACAGTTCTTTGTGGCAACGAGGGACACTGTGAAAGTCAAACAACAGGAAGGCATAGGCCACAAATAAAGACAAACGGGACTTCATGGGAAGCTAAAGATTTTGTGCATCAAAAGACACTATCGAGAGAGTAAAAAGGCAACCCACAGAATGAGAGAAAATATTTCCAAATCATAGATCTACTAAGAGATTAATATCCATGAAATACAGAGAACTCCTAAAACTCAACAATGAGAAAACAACTAAGCCAACTCAAAAATGGGCAAACAACTTGAACAGACATTTCTCCAAAGATGACATATAAATGGCCAATAAACACATCAAAACAGGCTTAATATATCCCTAATCATCAGGGAAATGCAAATCAAAACTACAATAAGATACCATCTTGCACCAATTAGGACGGCTACTATCAAAAAAACAAAATAGCAAGTGTTGGTGAGGATCTGGAGCAACTGGAACCCTTGTGCACCACTGGCAAAAATGTGAAATGGTGCAGCTACTATGGAAAACAGCATGGCAGTTCCCCAAAAACTTAAACACAGAATTACCATATGACCCAGCAATTTCGCTTTGGGTTATATACCCAAAAGAACTGAAAACAGGGACACAATCAGATATGCATACACCTTGGATCACAGCAGCATCCTTCCCAACAGCTAAAACATGGAGGCAGCCAGGCATGGTGGCTCACGCCTGTAATCCCAGCACTTTGGGAGGCTGAGGCGGGTGGATCACCTGAGGTCAGGAGTTCGAGACCAGCCTGGCCAACATGGTGAAACCCCGTCTCTACTAAAATACAAAAATTAGCTGGGCGTAGTGACGGGCACCTGTAATCCCAGCTACTCACAAGTCTGAGGCAGGAGAATCACTTGAACCCTGGAGGTGGAGGTTGCAGTGAGCCAAGATTGCGCCACTGCATTCCAGCCTGGGTGACACAGCGAGACTCTGTCTCAAAAAACAGCAAAACAAAAACAAAAAAACAAACAAACATGGAAGCAACCCAAGCGTCCCTCTACTGAGGGATGAATAGCGGGGCAAAATCTGCTCCATCCACACAATGGAGTACTATTCAGTCTCAAAAAGGAAAAAGATTCTGGTCAGGCACGGTGGCTCATGCCTGTAATCCCAGCACTTGGGGAGGCTGAGGCGGGTGGATCACCTGAAGTCAGGAATTCAAGACCAGCCTGGCCAAGATGGTGAAACCCTGCCTCCACAAAAAATACAAAAATTAGCAAGGCATGGTGGCACGCGCCTGTAGTTCCAGCTGCTAAGGAGGCTGAGGCAGGAGAATTGCTTGGACCCAGGAGGCAGATGTTGCAGTGAACCGAGATCGTGCCACTGAACTCCAGTCTAGATGACAGAGCGAGACTCTGTCTGCAAAAAAAAAAAAAAAAAAAAAAAAAAAAAAGAGAGAGATTCTGACACATGCTACAACATGGATGAAACTTAAGAATGTTATGCTAAGTGAAATAAGCCAGATATAAAAAGACAAATACTTTATGATTCAATTTATATGAGGTACTTACGGTAGGCAAATTCATTGAGACAGAAAGCAGAATGGTGGGACCAGGGACTAGGGGAGGGAGACTGGGGACCTGCTTAAGGCGGCAAGTTTCAGGTGGGAATTAAAGAGTTCTGGGCCGGGCACGGTGGCTCACACCTGTCATCTCAGCACTTTGGGAGGCCGAGGCGGGCAGATCACTTAAGGCCAGGAGTTTGAGACCAGCCTGGCCAACATGACGAAACCTTGCCTCTACTAAAAATACAAAAATTAGCTGGGGCGTGGTGGCTCACGCCTGTAACCCCTGCTAGTCAGGAGGCTGAGGCAGGAGAATCACTTGAACCCGAGAAGTGGAGGTTGCAGTGAGCTGAGGTCACCCCATTGCACTCCAGCCTGGGTGACAGAGCGAGACTCCATCTCAAAAAGAAAAAGGAAAAAATAAAAAGAAATCAAAAAATGGGATGTTATAACTGCAGCGGAACTGGACATTGACCTCTCACAAAAGGAGATGGTCACAGCTAAGGCATTTATCTTCAGATCTCATCCCCTGCCTGCCCCAAACAGGTCCAAACAGATAACGAAGAAAACTCAGGGTCAAAGGCGACAACTATGCAGCTCACAGGCAGGGCCACCCAGGCTCCACCCCTACCCAGCCTGCGGGCGATGCACCCAGGCGCCACCCCTGACTGGGCTGCGGGTGAAGTCCCTCGGGCGGGGGAAGGCAGCTGCTCTGGAACACCAGCTGAGAGGTCTGCATTTCACCTGCACCACCCAGCCTGCAGGCACCCCAACTCCAAGACACTGAGTTCCCTCCACTCAGTGAGGGAGGAGCCCAGGTCCCTGCCCCCAGGCCCCGGCACATTCAGGGGAGTGCAGCACCCGCTACCAGGAGGTCTGGCCAACAGGTGCACCAAAGGATGAGATGGCAGCCGCGAGGGGGTCTGCAGGCACACAGGAATCACGCCCAGGATGCAGGAGCTCCTGGGGCCTTCCGAGACGGAAGCAGCACTGAGGCCTGAGGGCAGGAGGGGCCTTCGCTGGGAAGAGAGTTGTGTGTGAGACCCAGAGGGCACTGGTGGCACAAGCAGGTGGAACCATCACCAACAAGGACACCCGCGGCACACCCAGGCCAGGCAGCCCCCACACGGTGTGTTCCCACTCATCGTCCTGGCCGCCAGAGCAGGGATCACTTATACTCCCATTTTGTGAATGAGGCCAACTGTGCCCCATGCCCTGGCTGCTCCTGTGGCGAGGGCCCCCAGCTTGTCCCACTCACCAGTGAAGGTGTGATCCACCCAGGCTGAAATTCCTTGGTTCTTGGGGTCACAGGCCTTTTGAGAAACTGGTCCACCTCCTCAGACACACACACACACAAACACACACACACACAAATACACAGTGCTGTCGCCCAGGCCCCATGAAGTCCCCCTACCAGGGTGGACCCAGCTCCGGCCCGAGAGTCCCCTGCTAACACACGCACAGAGTGGGACTGGACACGGAACTTTCTACTCTAAATTAGCTTCCTTGGACAACAATGACATAGATTGTCTCGGGAGGCAGCGAGCCCCCACCACCGTGGGTGCTCAAGCAGGTGGGGGACCGGGCCTGCCAGGCCTGCACCTCACCAGGCAGACGCTGGCCCCAGTGTCTCTGATGCTGGAGGATCCCACAGACAACAGGCCTCCCATGGGCTGTATCTTCCAGGCAGGAGGGGAACCCGGGTAAAGGCAGGCATACCTGCCCTTAGGGGCAGTCCACAGTGGCCAGCAACCCAGTAAAACCTTCCCTATTACAGCTGGAGGTCCCAGCGGGGGGCCCTGGCCAGCCCAGCCGAGGGAGGCAGGAGCTCTTGGAAACCCTGGGTACAAAAGCCCCAGCTCTGCCCTGCTTCTCCCCAAACTGGAAAGACCACATTTCACCACGGTTTACACTCTCGGCTGTTCAGATGCATTCTTCAAAGGCCAGAGATGGAGGTGTTTTTTAATTTGCTGTGCTTTTCCCAACCCACACCGGGGGAGGCCAGGAGAGCCGGGCAGGAGCGGCAGGCCCCAGGGACATCTGTGGGCACAGCCAGGGTAAGGCCCGCTGTGGCAGGCAGGCTCTTTCCAGGAGCCGCTCCGGCTTCTAAGGCACTTAGAAGCAACCACACACTCAATTCCTAAGTTTAAGAGGAAGCCACATCACTCTCCCACCACCTGGGGAGCTGGCTTTCCTTTGGAAGGAACTGGCAGTGGCCCCAGGGTCCACAGCAAATGGGAGAGCTCTGTGTGGGTGGCCCCTGCCCTTCCCCAGCAGGCAAAGATGGCACCTCCTCTTCTGCTCCCCCTCCTCCCTACCAGGGCCTGTGGAACTCTGGGTGATGGGGGATCCTGTCACTGGAGGGCCTCGCACCAAGGCCCTACAGCCCCCTCTTCTCCAAAGGGGAAAGGAGCCCTGACAAAGAAAACCCAGCCTTTGGTGGGGAGAGGGGAGAACGTGGCAGGAGCAGAACCCGACGGGAGGGAGAGAGAACAGCAGAGTAGCAGAGTAGAAGGGAAGGGCCGGCTCCGTAGCTCACACCTATAATCCCAGCACTTTCCGAGGAGAGAGGATCATCTCAGGCCAGGAGTTCAAGACCAGCCTGGGCAACACAGCAAGACCGCATCTCTACAAAAACTTCTTTTAAAGCTTAAAAAAAAAAAAAAAAGCAAAGAGGACAGTTCAGGAGAAAAGCCTGTAGAGGCAGCACACTAAGGAGGAGACGCAGCCCAGGCACCAGGAGGGGCTGGCCATGGGCACTCACTCCTCCAGCAGGCGAGTGCCCAGCACCAGCTGGCCCACCCAGACACCCAGGACACGGCCTGAATGGCTCCGTATTCACGTGGGTGGTAATAAACAAGCAATACACATAGCCAATAAGGACACCTTAGTAATGTTACATCATAAACGCTGCAGATCAGGGAAATGGTGCAGGGTGAAGTGGGTCGGGGGGCTGCATGCTACATGAGAAGTGGGTCGGGGGGCTGCATGCTACCTGAGACAGAGCAGGCCTTGCTGGGAAAGAAGGAGCCGGCAGGCCTGGGCAAAGGTCCTGGGGTGGGAGCACACTGGAGCAGAGTGTGGGGGTAGCATGGCGGGTGCTGGTCCTCTGGGCGCCTTCCCACCACGTCATGTGCCCATGTGCCCAAGGTCTCTCGTTTCACAGCCCCCTGAAGCTCAGGGGTCACAGCTACACAGCCCCCAGATACCTTGGCCTGCCCCAGGTCATTCCATCCAGTGATGGACCTGCTGACCTCTAGCCTGACCTCTGGGCAGCGTAATTTGAGAAGGAGGAGAAGGGAGGGCAACAGACCTGGGGCGATGAGGGATGCACAGGGTGGCAGACACCTGAGGCTGCACCTTGGAGCCTCAGTTCTGGGTGTGGGTGGGGGATGGACAGGCTGAGGGCTGAAGCAGCTGGGCCCGGCCACCATCACACCCCAGGACCCACCAGATCACCATGAAAAACCGAATGTCAACTGGCAGCCCAGAGTGCAGAACAAACCTTTCAGAAACACGGTGGTGACTGCCGCATCATGAACATAAAATAATTACGCCCTCTCCCCAGGGATCACCCCTGCAGGAGTCTGTCCCAAGAAACACCAGAAAGAAGGAAAACGTCTGAGTCACAATATTTGCTGAGGCCTTATTTGTAATAGCAAAAAAAAAAAAAAAAAAAGAACAATCTCCAGCGGCAGGGGTAACTAGACTATTGTCTCCGTGGAAAGGTAGCACCAATTAACTAGTAACAAAATGACTGCGGTAACAACAAAACGTTCGACATGTCAACACCAAAAACCACACACCCAGCATAACCGTGAACCATGATTTCTACTAGAATGAATGGCAGTTATGAGAAAGCACCAGCGGAGACAAAGATTGAAAAAGTAAAGGTGGCCTCATTAGGGAGACAAGTCTCTGGGTAATATATTGTAATACTGGTAAATATATAGTTTTTAATATATTTTTTAATTCCAAATTCCATATATGTTCCTATGAAGCTATTTCTGCAAATATTTTTTTCAGGACCGTACATCACAAAGGCAAAAGGGCCAGGTCAGCTCTCCAGCTGAGAGTGACCACTTCAGAGCAGACGGCAGACTCCAGGGTTAGCAAGCCTGGCTGAGACCTGGCCCATGACAATCACTCAACCCCTCTGACCTCAACATCCTGTCTGTGAAATGGGGATAATTACTGCACCTCCACATCACAGAGTGCGAGGCTTAAACAGGATGCTTCATAGAAAAGCGCTCAAGAGGTAACAGCCGGGAGGGGGTAGTGGTTTTCATTAATTAAATGTTGCCTTCATCCAGCCCTGGGCCAGCTCCAACACAAAGCACACACCATCCACTCAGACTCAGTTGCCTGGATTCAAAGCCTGGCCTGGCCTCCAGCTGTGAGATTCCGGGCAGGATTTCCCATCTCCCAGAGCCTCAGTTTCCTCATTCATGAAACAGGAAGTGATCATTCCTTTTATTTTTATTTTTATTTTTATTTTGAGACGGAGTTTCACTCTAGTTGCCCAGGCTGGAGTATGATGGCGCAATCTCAGCTCACTGCAACCTCGGCCTCCCAGTTTCAAGCGATTCTCCCACCTCAGTCTCCTGAGTAGCTGGGATTACAGGCACACGCCACCACGCCCAGCTAATTTTGTATTTTTAGTAGAGACGGGGTTTTGCCATGTTGGTCAGGCTGGTCTCGAACTCCTGACCTCAGGTGATCCGCCCGCCTTGGCATCCCAAAGTGCTGGGATTACAGGTGTGAGCCACCAAGCCCAGTTGACAACTGCTTTTAAAGACACCTCTGGCTGCTGTGGAAAACAGCCTGGTAGTGCCTCAAAAAGTTACACATAGAATGATCCTATGACCAGTAATTCCACTCCTACATATATACCCAAAAGAACTGAACCCCTCTACTCATGTATGTACACATACAGGTACACGCATGTTAACAGCAGTGTTCACAAAGCCAAAACATGGAAACAGCTCAAATGTCCATAACCGATGAACGGATAAATGAAACGTAGTCTATTCACCACCTGACGGAGGTGAGAGGGGCCATAAAAAGGAATGATGCATAAAAACGAATATTATGGCCAGGTATGGTGGCTCACGCCTGTAATCCCAGGACTTTGGGAGGCTGAGGCGGGCGGATCACGAGGTAAGGAGTTCGAGACCAGCCTGGCCAACACGGTGAAACCCCATCTCTACTAAAAATACACAAATTAGCTGGGCATGGTGGAGGGCGCCTGTAATACCAGCTACTCCGGAGGCTGAGGCAAGAGAATCCCTTGAACCTGGGAAACAGAGGTTGCAGTGAGCTGAGATTGCACCACTGCACTCCAGCCTGGGCGACAGACCAAAATTCCGTTTCGGAAAAAAAAGAAAAAATTAGCCAGGTGTGGTGGCGGGTGGGTCCCTGTAATCCCAGCTCTACTTGGGATACTGAGGCAGGAGAACCACTTGAACCCGGGAGGTGGAGGTTGCGGTGAGCTGAGATTGTGCCACTGCGCTCCAGCCTGTGTGACAGAAGGAGACTCTGTCTCAAAAAAACAAAAACAAAAAAGGCCCGACGCGGTGTCTTACACCTGTAATGCCAACACTTTGGGAAGCCAAGGCAGGCAGATCATCTGAGGTCAGGAGTTTGAGAGCAGCCTGGGCAACACGGTGAAACCCCATCTCTACTAAAAATACAGAAATTAGCCAGGTGTGGTGGCACATGCCTGTAATCCCAGCTACTCGGGAGGCTGAGGCAGGAGAATCGCTTGAACCCAGGAAGCGGAGGTTGCAGTGAGCCGACATTGCACCATTATACTCCAGCCTGGGTGACAGAGTGAGATTCTGTCTCAAAAAAAAAAAAAAAAAAAAAAAACTAAACAAAAGCAAAAAAACCAATGAGTAATGTTGTCAAGTGAACTTCATCCCAATGGGAATGCAGATAATTTGTTTAAAAGGCACCATGCACACTGGGCAGGCTGGCTTCCCCTGGGAACGTCTTCTTTTGCCTGGATTCCCAGTTGGTTTAATCGGGCGTAGAACACTTTCTTCAATCCGGGATTCAGGCACCCCTGCTCAGCACAAACTCAGTACACCCCGCACTCTGCTGTGGGTTCTTGGCACTATTAGGAGAATGTGAGGGGGTGATTCAGATCTATCTCTAGTGGGTGCATGTCTGCCACTCCCAGGAACGCCCACTTCTGGCAAGTCAGTGTCAGAGAAAGGCCAGCTCGTGGCCCCTCCTGCCTTGAGTCCCAGGACCCGTGATCAGTCCTACCCGGAGCAGAATCAGGAGTTTGAAAACCCAAGTGCCAACAATCTCATTTTAACCCATGTAAGCATATCCAATATTTATATATAGAATTCATAACAGATGTCTGGGCTTCCATTCCAATAGCCTATATTTTACACTGTTTATTTACATGGTTACACCAAACAAGACTCAATTCAAGGTAACCCAATCCTTTGCTACTATACCAAAATAAGCAACATTTTCAGTCCATGCCTTATATATATTCACCAAGCATTACACTAGGCCTCCAACTGCTCATCGGAGCAAGCTGCAGCCTGGACACAAGCTAGAGATTAATCAGTCAGGAATGATCCTGCGTCCAGTGCCAGCATGATGGAAGAGACAGAGAAACAGAAGACATCAGGGCTCCAGAGTCAAGGAGCCTGCAGGTTAGTTGGGCAGGATATACACACATACACACACACACGCACACACAAAACCACCCAAGAAGAAAAGGTGGGATGAATGCATGGACAGGTAATGCCTGGAGCCTGGGGATGGATAAGCTGACTGCAGGTGGCCCAGGCAGGCTTCCTGGAGGAAGAAGACCTGGCTGTAGGTGGGGTAGGCAGGCTTTCTAGATGGGGAAGATCTGGCTGTGGGTGGAGTTGGCAGGTTTCCGAGAGGAGGAAGAGCTGACTATGGGTACACCTGGCTGTTGGTGGACCAGGCAGGCTTCTTGGAGGAGGAAGATCTGGCTGTGGGTGGATCAGGCAGGCTTCTTGGAGGAGGTAGACCTGACTATGGGTGGACCAGGCAGGCTTCCTAGAGGAAGAAGACACGGCTGTGGGTGAACCAGGCAGGCTTCCTAGACAGAGGAAGATCTGGCTGCGGTTAGAGTGGGCAGGCTTCTAAGAAGAGGAAGGGCTGACTGTGGGTAGACCTGGCTGTGGGTAGACTGGGCAGGCTTCCTGGAGGAGGAAGAGCTGGAGCATTGAAAAACAAACATGACTTGGTGAATGTTGAGCATGCCCAGGCCTGATCCCCAGAGGCAATTACGCACTCAAGTTACTTAATTCTACTCACAATGCCTCACAAACAACTTCTCTGACACCTAACACAGCTCTGGGCACCTTCTAGCTTCAGCTCCTCAAAGCAGTTATTCACGCTACTACCCTGCACACCTCCTCACACCCCAACCCCAGGGACAGGAGTTCTGCCAGATGCCAAAGCTCCTGATGCCAAAGCCTGGGTCTGCTTCCGGGCTCCTCTTGGTCTAACTGTCCACCCCGCATCGGCATGATGTGCAAAAACAAGGCTTTGCAATCTGCCCTGATGCCTGGCGGAGCGAGTCCCTCCCGATTCGTCTCCTTCAGAAACACCTGGGCTGCCCTGGTCCTGTTATACCCCCAACACATTCTACAGTCAGCTCCGCAAGTTCCACAAAGATCAACGCTGGCGTTTTTATGGCATTTTATTTACAGTTTTTACAATATAAAAAAGGAAGGATGCCACAGCTCAGCCAGCAGGACAGACAGAGATCTATGATGCTTCTGCTGCACCATTGTTTGTGGTCAAGAAAGTCTGTTTTCAATGATTTATTAAATTGTGGTGGGAGATGGATGGTGGCAGTGGTTACCAGCAACATGAATGTTCTTAATGCCACTGAACTTCACGCTTACAAATGGTTACGACGATAAGTGTTATATGTATTTTACCACAATTAAAAACAGGTAAATGCAGGCCGGGCACGGTGGCTCACGACTGTAATCTCAGCACTTTGGGAGGCCAAGGCAGGCAGATCACCTGAGGTCAGGGGTTCGAGACCAGTCTCGCCAACACGGTGAAACTCTGTCTCTATTAAAAATACAAAAATTAGCCAGATGTGGTGGTGCATGCCTGTAATCCCAGCTTCTCAGGAGGCTGAGGCAGGAAAATAGCTTGAAACCGGGAGGCAGAGGTTGCCATGAGCTGAGATTGTACCATTGCACTCCAGCCTGGGTGACAAAAGCAAAACTCTGTCTCAAAAAAATAAAATAAAATAAAAATAGGTAAATGCAAACATATGGTATAGTAATATTATGGGCTATTATGAGCTACAAAAAAGAATGACTTGGGACTACAGTTACAGCCCTCATTCAGGAATTTGTTTTAAATGTGGGTTGGTCGCTAAGGCATGTACACAACATTTTGACGTTCAAATATTCCTAGATTTGGACAGTGAGCACCCCTCTAAGCTGGCTCTTCTGTCCCAGAGGTCCCCACCAGTCCTCCAGAACTTCTTTGCTTTCTTACACAATAAGATGCCCCATGCTCGGCTTGTACCTTTCCTTGCCCCAGCCCTAGAACCAGCTTCTTCGTGGACAAGCTCTGACTCCTTTGGGTGGAGAATGGTATTCAGAAACCCAGACCTGGGCTCTGGTGTGCTCACTGCTACTTGGGGTCATTGCTTCTAGGCCTCTCTGCTGATGGAGGTAGGATATACACGTACAGTCTTCCCTCTTCCCAGATTCCGTACTTGAGCTCGCCTACTTGCTAACATTTATTTATATCCCCCAAATTAAACCTCACAGCACTTCTGCAATCACTCACTGACTTGCAGAGTGTGAAAAAACTGAGTCACCATCACACGTTCCAAACTGAGGTCAACTGAGGCCACAACGCCCCATCTTCTTGCTCCGGCTGTCGAGATGTAAGCAAGTGTCCTTCTCTCGGTCTAGCTAGTGCCATGCTTTCCACATCACTGTGCTTTTTGTGGGCAATTTTGCTGTATAAAATGTCCCCTGCACATATGCTGCTGTGTAGTGCTCCTAGGTGCATGAGGCTGCCCCACGCCTTACAGAGAGAATATGCATGAGAGGCTTTATTCAGGTATGAGTTATAGCGTAGTTGGCCATGAATTCAATGTTAATGAATCAACAATATACAGTAAATAAGGTGCTTTTTAGAGACAGGGTCTCACTCTGTCACCCAGGCTTTAGAGTCCAGTGGTGTGACCTTGGCTCACTGCCGCCTCAACCTCCTGGGCTCAAGTGATCCTCCCACCTCAGCCTCCCAAACTGTTGGGATTACAGGCGTGAGCTACTGCACTCAGCCTAAATAAGGTGTCTTAGAAACACACATAAGACAAGGTTATGGGCTGAGTGCGGTGGCTCATGCCTGTAATCCCAACACTTTGGGAGGCCAAGGTGGGAGGTTCACTTGAGGCCAGAAGTTTGAGACTAGCCTGGGCAACATGGCAAGACCTCATCTGTATATTTTTTTAAATCAGACAGGTGTGGTGGTGCATGCCTATAGTCCCAGCTACTGGAGAGGCTGAGGCAGGAAAATGGCCTGAGCCCAGGAGGTCAAGGCTGCAGTGACCCATGATTGTACCACTGCATTCCAGCCTGGGGTGACACAGCAAGACGCTGTCTTAAAAAAAAAAAAAAAAAAAGCCAGGTCAGGTATCGAACAGTTGGCAAAAACGTTGTGACCTGAGGCTCACAGGAACCTAGCCCGATGTTTCCCCTAGGAGCAATGGTTCAGTATTCAATAATTCAGGGTTCCCAGTGACTTTATGGAGCATAACTTTCAAGAATAACAAGAACCAACTGTACGTGTGTATGTATACTCACACTTTTATTTTATTTTATTTTATTTTTTGAGACAGAGTCTCACTCTGTCACCCAGGCTGGAGTAAAATGGCGTGATCTCGACTCACTGCAACCTCCGCCTCCCAGGTTCAAGTGATTCTCAGCCTCCCAAGTAGCTGGGATTACAGGTGTGCCCCCACAACCGGCTAATTTCTGTATTTTTAGTAGAGACGGAGTTTCGCCACATTGGCCACGCTGGTCTCAAACTCCTAACCTCAAGTGATCCACCCACCTCAGCCTCCCAAAGTGCTGGAATTACAGGCATGAGCTGCCGTGCCTAGCCTACATACACTTTTATACACACATGCATCTATGACTATTTCTCTATTTCTGTGCATGTGTGTGTGGCAGTACCTACAGTTTCAGCTATGTGTCTGGGTACTGTCTCGTCCAAGTTTGTAAGCACCTTCTCCAAAGTGCAAAGCCTGGCTTGTGTTACTATCCATATGTTTACTTATTTGCTCAATCAATTTACTTATTAGCTCCATAACCAGCTTCCCATCTGCTCCAGTAGCCTCTGCTGTCAGTCACCTCTGCACCCTACCCCACCTTGCTTCCGGATGCTGGATGCCAATCACCCCCGACACCTCTACATAGCACCACCCTCGACATGCTGCTTCTTTATTTCTTATTTATTTGTTTGAGATGGAGTCTTACTCTGTTGCCCAGGCTGGAGTGCAGTGGCACGATCCAGGCTCACTGCAACGTCCGCCTCCTGGGTTCAAGTGATTCTCCTGCCTCAGCTTCTCAAATAGCTGGGATTACAGGTGCCCACCACCACGCCCAGCTAATTTTTGTATTTTTAGTAGAGATGGGGTTTCACCATGTTGGCCAGGCTGGTCTCGAACTCCTGACCTCAAGTGATCCACCTTGGCCTCTCAAAGTGCTGGGATTACAGGTGTGAGCCACCGCGCCTGGTCTGCTTCTTTAAATGCCAGGCACCAACATTTGTGCAATGGGGTGGGAGGAAAGAACAGGGAGGAGAGCGCACTGCCGGCCCCTGCACTGAATCCACTGATCAATCTGGGGGCAACTGCCATCTCCATCTCCTGTCTTCCTATCCGTGAACATCTACTGCAGTCCTCTCCAATGTCCTTCTGTAAAGTTGTATTATGTTTTGCATACAGGCCTTGCATATTAGTTCTCAGATATAATCCATATACTTTATATAAAATTCAAACCACATTTAAAAAAATAAAACTAGCATGACTATAACGGAGTCTGCAACATTCTCACAGACTTTATGATAAAACATGAAACTTCAAAGATACTTAGGGTGGGGCAGGGACAATGTTTAAGGCTGCCTGGAAGCCTCCCCATCCCTGAGCCAGAAAGTCCTATCTCCCCTTCAAGGGGAAATGCTTGAAAAAGCACTGATCAGGCTAAAATGACAGGGACCAGGGAGAAATCAAAGTACAAGTGAGCTGGTCTCCTCCATTCTGAGCACAGCAAAGTTCAGTCTCTCCAAGTCCAAGAATCATACACCTGTTTGCCAAGAATGAAGTTCAGGTGTCTACAAGTGGCTGAAAATATTCATTGCTGGGCCATTAACAACATTCTTGGCAAAACCATACCTTAGCTTCTCGTGGAAATTTCTTAAGGTAGAAGAAACAGGAAACACCCAGGCTCGCTTTTATGTAGACAGTTCCATGAAGCCAGGGACCTTCCCCACATCCACGTTTCAATTACCTGCACGCAGCTCACAGTGTATTCAACATCTACGCGTCTCTCCTACTGGGGTGGCGGTGGCCACTCAAACCCTCATGCAGCTACGATGACCGCAATTTTGGCAACATAATTTCATGTTTTTCCTTGGGCTTTTACCCAAGTCAGTGACACAATTCTGCAGTTGTCTAAAGATTCAAAATGAGGGACTTGACATTTACAACAATAATAAAATCTTGGGTTTCCTTTAACCAAGCACATGTTCTGCCTTTTAGAGAAAGCTCTGCAAACTCAAGCTGGAGTGGGATACTTGCTGACATCTTCAAGCACCCCAGGAATAGCTCTACTCCCCCATTTCCACCTTGGCTGAACCATCTATATCCCACCAATTCCCCCAACATCCCTCCATCCGTCCATCCATCCACCCAAGGACCTGCTAAGCCAGGAGGTCTCTCCCATCTACCCCACAGCCTGGCCTCAGCCCACAAGGGCTCTCTCTACATGAATCCCACCGCACCAGAGTAGACCAAGTCTCCCGTAGACTCCACCCTGACCACCTCCATGCCTCCAGCCATTCCCACCCCTAAAAACCCTCCCTGGTCTCTACACCCAGCTGATGAATACTTGGCTGAATGTGACCTGGCCTCCTGGACCCAGGTGAAGCCCACGTCCTCCGTAAGCCCGCCAGCTCACCCTGCCTCTGCACCTTCACTGGAGAGAGCCCGCACTTCACCTCCTCAGGGCAGGCATGGCTGATGCCACCCAGTGGAACCTGGTGCAGAGCAGGGCCCGGTGCAGAGCAGGGCTGCCTGCAGAGCAAGGCCCGGGTGCTGGGGCCGAGCACCTCCAATGCTGGCCGTGGACCCATCCCTCCCATTCCAGGTGCTGTCTCCATCAAGAATGAGCGAGCTGCTGACATTTGCATGACAATAATGAATAAATACCATATTTTGCTTCAAATCCAGAATAGATGTGGCCAGGGTTGGCATATGACTGTTGGGAAAGGACAGTTTGCCTCTTCCCAAACCAACTTGGATTATAAAAAGCTTTTCTTAACGACCACAAGAGCGGAGGAGCTCAGGGGCAGACAAAAGGAAGGCTGGCTGCAGAAGGCGGGAGAGTGGGGCCTTCAGGGGCGGGTGGGGAGAGAGAAAGCCTGGAGCTGCACCCCCAAGGTCTGTGTACATCAGGTGCTACAGAATAACACCACCTCTTCCAGCTTGGCCCCCACCTGCCCTCTCCCAGCCCAGTCACCCAGACAGCACCCCACTCCCCACACACACCTCACATCTGCCCGCCTCACACTCACCAGCTTCGGCTCTCAATGCAACCTGGAACCTGCCCTTGGCCTCTCAGCTCAGCCACCCCCATTCCTGTTGGCCCCTGGCCCCCCATCGAATTCTCTCTAATCCTAATGCACACACTTGCACACTCAAACACACACACACACACACACACACACACACAGCCCAGAGGAAAACCATAATTGACTGAGGTCCAGGCAAGTTTCCCGAGCAGGGACCACATTTCAAAGGTCAGGGAAGCAGGCGAACAGGAAACATACAGGGGGCACGTTTGGGGGTGGAGCAGGAAATAAGAAATCACTTGCAAAAGATAAAAAGAAAATGAGGTAGCTGGTTTCAGACACCTCGGAGCACACAGAACAGGACAGGCGCCTCCGGGTCTTCCCTCAACAGGGAGATGGGCCAGGCAGGTCCCTGCTGCTCCACCGCAGAGCTGGGGGCTATGGCCCTGACACCAAGGCCCTGGGGCAGGCGGGGAGGCAGCTGTTCTCCTGCCTGTGCTCCCGGGCAGGGCCTGGCCCCACAAGGGAACTGGCCGAAGGCTCTGCTTGGCTACTCCGGAAAGTCCTGGGAGACAAGCAAAGGACTTGCTAGGTCACTCCAAACGGCCCAGATGTGACAACTGTGAAGAAGCCACACCAAAGCAAGGTGACAGAACAGTGTTGGTGACGTCAGGTTATCAGCTTAGGCACAACTCCACTTACCCGGACTCACCCGTAACCTGCCGTCTCTTCCCAACCAGTAAAGGATGCCTAGGTAGAGGGGCACAAGGCCTGGAGCATAATTACCATTTTAAAGGCTCTGAGAAGTCCTGCGGTGAGGAAGCCTAGTTCACTTTCTCTCCCCTAGGATTTCCCAACTGCGCCTGATCACAGAACATTTTTTCATTTCCACTCAGGAAACATATTTTGAAAAACACTGGCCTAGAGGCAGAAGTGAAATGGAAAACACAAAAGTAAAACTGAACAGGAGGCACTGGGCAGAGAACGGTCAGAGGCGCCCTGAATCCTGGACCGGTGGAGATCCCCAGCTTGGCATGCTCCCCTCCCTGGGCCCAGACCGCCTCCCCCCATTTCCTGGATAAGAAGGCTAATGCGCATCAGGGTGAAGGGCTTGCCTGGGCTACACCCCCAGGCTCGCCCCACACCAATCGCGCTCCTGCGAGAGCCAGTGACTTTCTTGATTTGGCTACTGTGGAATTGTTTGCAACTAACCACCCCAGATACAGATACAAATGACAGGATGATCAGATGTAAAGGACCCACAGGTCTCTGTGATACGGCTTCATGCAGCCAGCATGGCTAGTGCCGTGCAGAATGAGAATGACCCCAGGCAAGTCCTTGCCTCCCAGACCCAGAACCCCATGGAGCCCACCAGGGCTGGTTCACAAGCACTGTCTGGGTCGGGCAGAGATTCCAGCAAGAGGAGGGAACATCCATGCACCGGAGCCAGTTACCAGAAGCAAATCGCCTCTTCCAAAACCCAGGCTATTAATGGAGTCCACTGTTGAGTGGAGCTGGGGTCTAGCTATGGAATACTGCACAGCAGAGATCTTCCTGAGAGAAAGCAGTTTTCCCTGAAAGCCATGTGTCCTCCACTAACTGTGTTTTAATTGGGCGAACGTCTGTATCTCATTGCAGTGGCCGCGCATGTGCTGACAAGGGGCTGGGGGCGGGGTGGGGAGCAGAAGCTCAGGGGCCTGGGAGGGAAGGAAACAGGCCACCAGGGCTCCCCAGAAGGCATGTATCTCTCTCACAAACACACGCATGCACACACACGTGCACACATACTCTGCAAGCCCTGAGTTAGCAACTGTGGAATGTGACCAGCTCAGTGATCCCAGGACAAGCTGCTAGGGAATATGACATTTGATTGATGTCTGCAAATGTGCGTTTTCACTAATTAGAAGGTTTAGGGCAGAGCAGAGAAAAATATGTATTTCAGAGTCCCAGTTTGACCTGCCAGAAACCAGCCCATTACTAACATTCTTATTTTCAACAAAATATAGCATTCTGATTACATACCATCTTGGTTCCACGCCTCCTGCCTTGCCAAGCCCCCGGAAGCGGCCCAAGGCCATGGCAAATAGTGAGAGAAACAGTTCCAGGGTGGAGACTGACTCAGGGGTGTCAGTCAGTGGGGCGCTGATGGCCGGTGGGAGGCCAGCAGTCATCACCCTCTCCTTGGGACAGTTGAGTAGCTCTCCCCCAGGGTCATGTGGCCACTCAGGTTCATATGGGAGGCGAGAGGAGTGGCAGAGTCCAGGAGAGTGGCTCCGAAGTCACTGTTCCCTCCAGGCCTCAGTGTCTTCATCCATTAAATGGGCAGGCTGAGGTCTGGGATGACAAGGAGGGCTTGCACTTACTGAAACCCATGGGAGGCTGTTCGCCGATTTCTTTTATTGATGGAAGAAAACACTCGTATAATTCAAGTACCAATTAAAAGGCAGGCACTGGAACCACCGTCTGCCAATTCCTAGTTTTGCCTATACCAAATTTGAGCAAGTTAATTGACCTCTCCCAGCCTCAGTTTCTTCGTCTGTAAAATGAGGGTAGGGATGGCCCCCAGCCCACAGGGCAGCTGGAAGGATTAAAGAAATCAAACATCTCTTAGAGCCCACCTGGCACACTGTGATACACAACAAATGTTAGCTATTTTTGTCTATGAAGTCTAGATTTTATATCTTGGGTGTTCTAAAGCAGGATACATTTATTTAAAAACAAGGATTTTCATTAAACACGTACCCCACAGACAGCAACCCCATGGAGACTGCTCTTAATTCAGGCCAGTATCGAAACGACTCTAACTACAAGCTTTATACAGGTCTCTTGGCTGTCCTTCAAATCCAACTAAGGTGGTACTTCTGAAGCACTGTGCACATGTGTGTGTGCATGCACACGTGTGGGAAGGGCGGGCTCACGGATCCCTCAGGTACCCCACCCACGCAGTCTCAAGTCACAAAGCGACAGAGCAGCCGAGGAAGGTCTGTGCCCCACTGGACCCTCGTGAAGCCACCAACTCTACCTCTGCGCCGTGTCCTGCAGACTGGGCTACCCTTTGGGTGGGGACCAGCATTTGATGCAAGAAAGGCAGACAGAAAAGGAAAAGGGCAAGTTCGACTCCAGATAACACAGACAGTACCAAGCCCCAGGGTCCATAAATGCCACGCAGATGGAAGCATTTACTGCGAGGCCACACAGCAAACGCACGGATCCAGGGACGGAGGTGCAGACTGCGGTGCCCCTGAGCCATGACCCTGCAAATTACCACCATGGGAAAGGAGGCTGCCAAACCCCCCGACAGTCGGCTGGGCTGGCACAGACTCGTGGTTTCCATCGAGGTGGGAGGAGGTGGGACGTCCCAGCCCCTCCCCCATGCCCACTGCAGAGGGAAGCGGCCGTTTCCCCTGTGTGGTTACAAAGGTCTCATTGTTCTTCCTCACAGGGAGGAAACTGGAGGACCGAGCTCAGAACGCATTTTAGAACTGGCAGAAAAGAACATCTGGGGAAGGAAACACATTTCAGAAACAAACATACCTTTGTACCAGCTTTTATTTTCTTTAAGTGTTGAAAAAATAATAATAATAAAGACATGCCAAATTTATCATCGCTCTACAAAATCCCTTTATTGAGCAAAACGTGGCAGCTCTACTTTCAAATGATCTACTGTTCCTGGAAAATTGCAGCAACGTGGATGCCAAGGCCCGAAGGCCGCCATCAGCAGCCAAACAAAAGATGCCACCTCGGGCTCCGCGACACTGTACCATGCCAGGGAACTGGACAGATTTGGGGAATGCCACGGTTTGCCTTTAACCCCTTGCCTCCTGGTCTCCTGATGCATCTCAGAGGCTAACATTCTTTGAGGAACTGGCATTTCTTAGTTGTAAATATGCATGTGGGTTTGGGAGCTGCCTGCAAAGTCCAGTGTTGACGATCAGCTTTGATTTCCTTGGAATCAAGTTTACGTGTCGAGTCTGGAAGTTAAGAAGAATTTGGAGAAGCTGAGCACTATGGTGTTGCAGGCCCTGGGTGAACTCTTCCACCAAGCATTCATTGTGGACTGACAGCGTGCGAGGGGCTCTGCAGGCAGGTGCACAGGACGAAACACATTCCGTCCGGGGGAAACCTGCAGGAAAGCTCCCTCTTCTTCCTAAGGTGCCGGGCCTAGCTTCATGGGTCCCTACCCTCCACGCCTGTCACACTTTCTGAGTCTCATGTGGGAGCTGCTTCTGGTTCCTGACTTCACTCAGTCCTCATAGGAGGTGGAACTACTGTCACCCCATTTTACAGATGGGGAGACTGGGCACAAGGGGACCAAGAAACCAATGCAAAGTCACACTTGTGGGATCAGTGACAGGGGAGATCAATTCCCAGGTTCTTTCTGCAAGAGTTAAATTGTTTTCATGCTGCCTAAGGGGGGGCAACTGAAAGACCACTGCATATCTTTGCCAAAAGGGTCAAGCACAGGAGCCGCAGCCAGTGGGTCAGATCCGCAGAGGCGCTGGGGTGACCCTCCCCATACCTGGAGGGATGCTTGTCCCCTCCTGGCCTTCACTGGGTCCCCTCATGACCGTGGCCTCCCAGGACCTCAGCACAATCCCGGTCCTGTGCTCCAGGACAAGCCCTCCGTCCCCGAGACTGTGAGGAAATGGAACGAAGAGGGGCTCGCTGCAGCCCAGCACCCACACTGCCCCTTCTCAGGGGCAAGAACCGTCCTGGAGGACTTGGCTTTGGAGGGGGAGCCTGGGAGGCCAGTAAGTCAACAAGCCTCTACTGCTCATGGGTGGGATCCCACCGCAGGCCCCCACCTGCTGGGGCGGGCAGGGACGGGCGGCACAGCTTGGCCAGGGCAGATAACCCCCACCTTGGCCAGGGCGAAGGCAGGACACGTGGGCTCCAGCCTGGCCCCACCATCCCTGCACAACACTGGGCAAAGTCCACGTTCTCCTCAACTGGGTGTTGACATCTGCAGGACAGGGGCATGGAGGTACAGAGCGCTGAAGCCACACAGCAACCTAGGAGCGAGACTCCATGCCTCCCCGGGGACCCCTCCCCACCATGAGGACCATGAAGGCTTCCCATATGCCGCAAGGACTCTGGTGTGGAGACACACGTCTCCTACACAGCCAGGCCTAACGCTCTTGTAACTGGGTGGTCCCACCTGGGCTCACAGCTGGAGGGCCAGGAGCTCAAGGCTTCGCAGGGTCTGCTCTCATCCCAGAGGCGATGGGGAGCCACAGCAGGCTGCAGGAGAGAGGGTGGGCCCCCTCCACTTCAGAGGCCCCATCTGGCCCACAGACTGGAGAGCACATCTCTCAGCAACCACGGAGCGCCAACTGCGCACAGGGCCTGGTCGTCAGAGCGGGGCAAAGGCACTGACCGTCACGGCCAGGGCGAGGGAAGACGGGTGGGCAGGGACCTTGGGCAGAGGGGGAAGAACCTGGTGCCCAGGCTGGCCCTGCCTTCAGCAGTGAAGCTGAGTGGGGAGGCGCTGATGCAGGGGGCCAGAAAGGGCTGCTGGTCAGCCGGGAGGAGCCCCCCACAGAGGAAGCAGCCAGCCCAGACGCAGATGGCAGGGTCCCCTCAACAATGTCCTCTGAAAAGGAGAGGCGGGGACTGCTCTGGTGACACCTACAAATAGATAGTCAGCCCTCAGCCCCCTGCCATACTTCTGACAAAGCAGAGGCCCCCAGGGGAGGCGCACCCGAAGGTACCTGCACCTGTCCCCCAGACTCCTAGAGCCCACCTGACCCCATCCCACCAGGGCTCCAGCTACAAAATAAATGCCGAGGCCAGCTAGGCAAGGACGCACACTCGGTACCGACTGAATAGGCTCCACGTTGTCATGAGCGCAACCCACAGGCCACCAGGCCACACTATGCAGAGCTGAGATGGTTTCGGCCAAGCAGCCTCTCAGCTGAGCTGAACAAGTCCAGAGTCCCCGGGGGGTCGTCACTATGGAGTAACAATTGCGATGCGATGGTAACCCTAACAGCTAACCGTCACTGAGCCAGGCCCTGAGCTAGGTACTTTTCAACGCTGCCTCTCTGCAGCCTCAGGACGAGCCTGTGGGAGCATAAAGATCATTCCCTATCACGGATGGGGAAACTGAGCTCTGAAGCAGTTAACGTGCTTGTCCCAGACCGCAGAGCTAGGAGCAGGACACAACAGCAGGTCAGGCAGGAACGGGTGAGGGGGGCCTGCATGGGCTTCTCTGGAGGCTGCGCATACACGCAACCCCCAGGACCCCGACCCTGCACCTGCAGCTCGCTACTGCCCCCTCAGTGACTCCAGCAAACCTCGGGGTAGGGGAAGGAGGCTGGGAATACCTCGGGTGTCCGAAACAGCAGCTTCTGCTTGGAGGCCACTGCTGCATAATGGTTGCTGCCCAGCACACCCCAAGCCACCTGTGCCACCTGTGGTGACCTTCCAGCATGCCTTGGTGACCAAGCTGGCCTTAGGTGCTGTGGGCAGCCAAGAATAGAACAGGGCCCACCCCTCCTCTTCACACTAACACAAAGCAAGAGGCGGGCACTTCGACTGAGTGCATCCCTCTAGCTCAAGGGCCTCACGGATCACAGGGGTCAGGGCAAGATCCCAATTCTGCATTCCCGTCTGCCTTTCATCCTGCTCTGCCAACAACAGCCAGTGAGGCTGGGGACATCCCTGAACCTGTTTCTCACCTGAAACACATCATACCATTGGACCCCAGCCCTCCGGGAGAGGCCCTAATCCCTGACTGTGGTGAGATCAGATCACTGGTTAAGTACCCAGAAGGGCCTTGGTCAGGGGCTCCAGGGGTGGGGGGTGATGGGCGTGGTGGTATCCCGCTCTGGGCTATAGTCCACCCTGATGGAGGAGGTCTGTGGTCAGAACCGGGCTGTGCAGGGCACAGGAGCCCAGAGGGACCCCCAGAGCTCACCTGGTGGTCTCTGAGCAGGGCTCCCTCAACCCTCAGAGAAAAGCACAGCAAGGAGGCCGCCCAGAGCCCAGCGCCTAGCACCCAGTGGCGTGCCAGACCTGCCTGGATCCTGGAGATCTCTCATCACCCTCCAAGTCAGTCATGCCCAACCCAGGGACCCACAGCCCACGGGGCCGTGAAGGTGTGCTGAGTCCAAGAAGGCCTTCGACACTGGGAAGCCAAGTGGCACCTCCTGGTGTGGAGCAGGCGGAATCCCACCAGCCTCTGCTCTGCCAGTGGGCACAGCTGGACGATGAGCAGAAGGGGCTGTTGCTTAATAAACGTCATTTCCTTAAGAGGATAAAACCTTTCAAAACAGATGGAAATTTTTTTTTAATTAAAACTGGTGGCCAAAGAGATGGAAAGCACCCCTTGTGCCTCCCTCCCATCGTGACCCATCCTCTGCACACCTCAAGCTGTTCGCTGCCCAGGTGTCTCCTGAGGCACTGGGGGCGGGTGAGAATCCGTGAGCCCTCGGCCAGCCATGGCTCTCTGGAGCTCTGCCCCAGGCCATCAGGGCACACGCCGGGCACCCTGGGGGCCACACAGGGCAGAGCCCAGCTGGGTCAGCACACAGGGCCACACTGGGCACACAAGTCTCTGAGCCTCCCCTGTGGACGCAGCTCTCACTATCCCACCCCACTAGGTCCCGGGGATCTGTCCCACAGGGTGATATGCTGTCACAGACCACTACCAGAGCCATGGCCTGCTGTTCCGCCCGCAGCCAGGTAGTCACCTGCTCCACAGGGACAGGCAACGCCGCACTTGGGGGCTGCTCTGCGGCAGGACTAGAGCTCCAGCAGCTCAGCCCTCCTGAGAAGGAGAACTCCATGCTCTAAGAGGCAGACGCAGCGGACGGCACCAAAGCCACCACAAGCCCACGGGGCCCTGCATGGCAGGTCAGGAGTCCCTGACCACTCGCTCTTTGTAACCAGAGCTGCAGTGGAGTCTACGAGGCAAGGACTGTGGGTGGCAGTGGCCACAGCAAATGAATGAGTGTCCCAAGGGAGCAGGCGGCTGCGGGGAGGCACAGCCGGGACCCAGGAGTCCTCCGGCACTGCAGCAAACTCCCTGGGCCCCCTGAGCAGCGACCAGGTGGCAAGTGCATGAACTCCCGGGGGCATAACCTGGGAGGGTGACACTCTCTTCGTGTTCAAATTCTTGAGAACGCATTAAAAATATCACTCAGTCACCTACTCTATAGTTTTAACTCAAAAGTACCAAAGTAGCCAGGCGCGGTGGCTCACGCCTATAATCCCAGTACTTTGGGAAGCTGAGGCAAGAGGATCACTTAAGCCCAGGAGTTCCAAATGAACCTGGGCAACATGGAGGGACCCCATTTCTACAAAAAAAGTGTTTTAAAAAATTACCTGGGCCTGGTGGTGTGTGCCTGTAGTCCCAGCTACTCAGGAGGCTGAGGCGGGAGAACCACATGAACCCAGGGGAGGTAGAGGCTGCAGTAGGCTGTGATGGCACCACTGCACTCCAGCCTGGGTAACAGAGTCAGACTCTATCTCAAAATAAATTTAAAAAGCACCAAGCCAGGCTTGGTGGCTCACGCCTGTAATCCCAGCACTCTGGGAGGCTGAGGCAAGTGGATCACCTGAGTCAGAAGTTCGAGACCAGCCCAGCCAACATGGTGAAACTCCATCTCCACTAAAAATACAAAAATTACCCAGGCATGGTGGCGGGTGCCTGTAATCCCAGCTACTCAGGAAGCTGAGGCAGGAGAACTGCTTGAACCCAGGAGGCAGAGGTTGCAGTGAGCCAAGACTGTGCTACTGCACTCAAGCCTGGGAGACAGAACGAGACTCCATCTCAAAAAATAAATAAATCAATCAAAACCACCAAGACTTTTTAATATAAACATTTATTATTCCATAATTCCTTTTTTGCATGATTAAAAATGTTTATATAAAGTTTCCTGAAAATGGTAAGAATGCCAAGTGAAGGCTGCAAATGCCCAAGCCCCCACCGTGGCATCTCACGGAGTCTGGGCCCTAGGAGGCTGGTGGGTACCACGTGGACCCGGGACTTCACAGTCAAGTCCCTTTGGGGTACACTGGGTTTCCCACACCCCAGAAATATGGGCTCTTACTGCAGGACCATGGGGGTCCTCACACTTGGCCCAGAAGCTGTCACATAGCCAGACAGGTGTTCTACAACCTAGGCTAGAGGGAGCTCATGCTCCAGCAGAATTCGAGCCAGAGGAGGTAAAAGATGGGTAAGATCTGCTCCCTGGACAGATGAGGCCTTGGCCTCAGAACAGTTACTGATCATCTACCAGACATCACACTAGAGGCAGAGGGGCGCAGACGAAGACAGCCCCTGTCCTCAAGGCCCTCCCAGGTTGGGTGGACCATGGAAGGTTCCAGACAGATCTGGCAAGAGAAGTGCCCACACCAGGGGCAGAAGATGGGCAGGTCTGCTCAGGGCGGCACGGCCTGCCAGGCCAAAAAGTTCCAACTTCAGATGCTGGAGAATGGGCACGACTGTCTGAGAAAGGGAAGGATGTGATGAAAACTACTTGGAGAAAAATTAATCTGGCCAGAGCATAAGATAAATGGGCAAAGGGGAGGTTCCAGAAAGCAAGGAGACCAAGTAAAAGCTGATGTCATTGGCTCTGAATCTAGGCTTTCACTGAATATGCACCGCAGGGCCTGTAGGTAAAGCCTCAGAGCCCAGGGAGTCTGAGTGGAGGAGAGGGCAGGGGACAGAGCTGGGGCCTGTGTCTACAGTGCTCAGGAGGAATAGGCATGGACGTCAGCTCGGAGGCTCCAGCTGAAGTGAGGAGGCGGCCAGGGCAGCACGGCCACGCCCGGATCCAGACTCCTTTTGGGAAGCAAGTTCGCTCTGGGGGAAAGTTTGGAGAAATGGCCTTTACCCGCAGAAGCAAGCCCCAGAACATATCTTGCTCCAAAACTATCTCGTACAGTGAGGACGTTAAGCTTCAGGTCCCCTAGAGGAGACAGTCTGCTCCTTCCTGGGGCAGAACCCAAGGTGGCCAGAGCCTGGAAGACACCCAGCACCCAGGCTGGTGTGTTCCAGCCCAGGCCACACGCTCAGATAGCTATTAATGCCCCGTTGAGCAATTTCCTGAGAGCTTTGCCAGGCAGGTACCGCCTCCCCATCTGAACTAATACAGGGGTACATCCCAAGGAAGAAATGAAAGGTGCCCACATTTTGCTCTGGGATTAACTAGGGAGGGGAGTGATAATTAACTCAGTAATTATATTTGCCATCGGGCTAATGCTAAAATTAGTGTGCATTAGAATTTCTTTCCTGAGCAGACACCGGAGTGAGTTGGGCAGCAGGAGTGGCTCGGGCAAGTCGGCACAAAGGGCACCTCCAGAGCCTTCCACAAATGTCAGCAAAACCCACAAATGTCAAGGCCGGCTCCACTGCACCCAGCAGATGAATTCACTTCCACAGCCTGAGACCGCCAGCTCATCGGAGGCCATTTAAAATCCAGCCCTCTGACACCTGCTGGATATCACCATTTACCGTCCCCAGATCAAGAGATCAAAGGGTGGAACCTGATAGGACGGCTCTGAAGTTCACCACAAAAGCATAAACGTGCAAGCAGAGCCAATACGTCTTTTGAAAAGGACAATGAGGTGGGAATTTACATAACTGATCTTAAAATATGTTCTGATGCTTCAGAGATGGAGACAGCAGCATTCCGGTACACAAAGACACTCACAGGCAGTGGAGCACAGTGAAGGGTCTGGAATCAGGACCCAGGTGTCTGTGGACACTACACATAAAAGAGCAGCATTTACAATGAATGGATAGGATGGACCATCCCACCAAGGTGTTGGACAACTCCCTATTCACTGGCCAGACCCCTACCTCATACCATATACAAAAAAAAAAAAAAAAAAAAAACCCAGACAGAATAATGTCTGAATGTAAAACATAAAACAGTAACAGTCCTGGAAGAAAATAATGGAGGATATATTTATAATCTGGAGATGGAGTAACAAGGGATAGGAAAAAAGCCATAGGGAAAAAGTAGAGTTATGATTATATGAAGCTTCTTAATATCTTTATGATAATGTACCACCAGAAACAAGGATGAAGGACTAGCTACAGACCAGCAGTGAAACCTGAAACAAACAGAACAAAGAATTAAAGTCCATACCAAATAAAGACCTCCCACAAATCTATAAGAAAAAGATAAACAGGCTGGCACCGTGGCTTATGTCTGTAATCCCAGCACTTTGGGAGGCGGAGATGGGTAGGTCACTTGAGGTCAGGAGTTCGAGACCAGCCTGGCCAACATGGTGAAACCCTGTCTCTACCAAAAATACAAAAATTAGCCAGGCGTGGTGGCGCATGCCTGTAGTCCCAGCTACTTGGGAGGCTGAGCCAGGAGAACAGCTGGAACCCGGGAGGCAGAGGTTGCAGTGAACCAAGATGGCAATCGCGCCACTGCACTCCAGCCTGGAGGACACAGCGAGACTCTGTCTCAAAAAAAAAAAAAAAAGAAGAAGAAGAAAAAAGAAAAGAAAAAGACAACAGAAAAATGGGCCAAGGATAAGTGTAGGCAATTTGCAGAAAAGTAAATACCAATAAACCAGAAATGAGGGTTGTGCAAATCAAAAGGTGTTATAATTTTTAACCAAACTGGACCAAAGAAAACACCAAAAACCAAAATCTTGTAATTGCCAGCATCAGAGAGGATATAGGAAAGTGTGTGTTCTCGTAGATGCTTGCAGGTATGAACTGCTACAGCCTTTTAGGAGTTATGTATGTATGTATGCTTGTATGTATGTATTTGAGACAGGGTCTCGCTCTGTTGCCCAGGCTAGATCTGTTGCAGTGCTGTGATCATGGCTTACTGCAGCCTTGACCTCCTGAGCTCAATAGATTTTCCCACCTCAGCCTTTCAAGTAGCTGAGACTACAGGAGTGTGCAATCATACTCAGCTAATTTTTTAAATTTTTTGTAGACATGGGGGGTCTCCCAATTTTGCCCAGGCTGGTCTCGAACTCCTGGACTCAAGTGATCCTCCTGCCTCAACCTCCCAAAGTGCTGGGATTACCTGGATGAGCCACTGTGCCCGGCCTCAATATCTTTAAAAACAGAAATGGACACACTCTTTGACTAGGAATGTATCCTATAAAAACACTTATACACATGCAGAGACACACGAGCAAGCATGCTTTGTAATAGCAATGAAGGCTGGAAAAACTCCTCAATCAGGTAAATGCTGTCAAGTGCACCTGTGTACTATGAAATGGCACTTGGCTTTTAACAAGAGCAAAGACAGAAAAGCAAAAGTACAAAGTAGGGTGTGATGGCACATGCCTGCAGTCCCAGCTACTCAGGAGGCTGAGGCAGGAAGATCCTTTGAGCCCAGGAGTTGGAGGCCAGGAGCTGGGCAATAGTGAGAAAAAATAAAATTAAATAATAATAATAATAAAATAGGCTGGGCACAGCGGCTCATGCCTGTAATCCCAACACTTTGGGAGGCTGAGGTGGGAGGATCGCTTGATCCCAGGAGTTCAAGGCCAGCCTGGGCAGCAAAGCAAGACACCCATCTCAACGACAAATTTTAAAAAATCAGCCAGGCAGGCTGGGCATGGTGGCTCACGCCTGTAATCCCAGCACTTTGGGAGGCCGAGGCAGGCAGATCACTTGAGGTCAGGAGTTCGAGACCAGCCTGGCCAACGTGGCAAAACCCTGTCTCTACTAAAAATACAAAAATTAGCTGGGCATGGTGGCAGATGCCTGTAGTCCCAGCTACTGAGGCACAAGAATCGCTTGAACCAGGGTGGCAGAAGTTACAGTGAGCCGAGATCGTGCCACCGCACTCCATCCTGGGCGTGAGTGAGACTCCTGTCTCAAAAAAAAAAAAAAAAAAAAAAACAAGGAGCCAGGCACGGTGGGGTGAGGGAGGGCACAGAAGCAGCGCCTCTTCTGGGGGCACCCCCAATCTCTAGCGATCCAGAGGCCTCAGGATCCTGAAGGGAGAAAAAACGTGAAGCTCCGTGCTAGAAGAGACCATAGAGATTGGAATCAGCTGGTTCTATTTTACAAAAAAAGGAAACTGAGGCCCTCAGAAGGTGAGTGCCTCTCAATGCCCCACAGGGAGGCAGGGAGAGGGCTCTGAGCCCTGCAGGGCCCTGGATTCTTGCAATGGGGTGGAGTGGAGCCTGTGCCGCCCCCACCAGGCACCTTCTCAGGAGAGGAGCCGTTGTCATATCCTTGAAGGGGTCCTTGAGCCCCTCAAAAGGCTAAAAACCACTTTCCTCCTTGAGTGAACCTTCACCTCAGTTTAACCACAAGAAAAACTACATTAAGGCCCAGCGCAGTGGCTCATGTCTGTAATCCCAGCACTTTGGGAGGCTGAGGTGGGTGGATCGCTTGAGCCCAGGAGTTCAAGACCAGCCTGGGCAACATAGTGAAACCCTGTCTCTACAAAAAACAACAAAATCAGCTGGGCGTGGTGGTGCACACCTGAGGTCCCAACTACTTGCGGGCTGAGGTGAGAGGATTGCTTCAGCCCAGGAGGTAGAGGCTGCAGTAAGCGGTGACTGAATCACTGCACTCCAGCCTCAGCAACAGAGCAAGACTCAAAAAAAAAAAAAAAAGCAGGCCGGGTGTGGTGGCTCACGCCTGTAATCCCAGCACCTTGGGAAGCCGAGCGGGAGGATCAGGAGATGGAGACCATCCTGGCTAACACGGTGAAACCCCGTCTCTACTAAAAATGCAAAAAATTAGCCGGGCGTGGTGGCGGGTGCCTGTAGTTCCAGCTACTCAGGAGGCTGAGGCAGGAGAAAGGCGTGACCCTGGGAGGTGGAGCTTGCAGTGAGCTGAGATCACACCGCTGCACTCCAGCCTGGGCGACAGAGCAAGACTCCATCTCAAAAAAAAAAAAATTAAATCTCAAAAAAAATTACATTAAGGCAAACTAAAAGATGTTTAAAATATATATATTAAATTAAATACACTCCAATAGAGCAAATAAGAAAATACCCAGAAAACACAATCCCCGCACCCCCAGGACAACCTCCCAGGGGGTCCACAGCAAGAGACCCCAAGCACGAGAGACAGAGAACAGTGTCCCTGTGGCGGAACCTCTGGCCCATCAGGCTCTATTAGAAAATAAGGCTCTTGCCACTGAGAGAAAGAGGCACAGTCGCCCAGCAGCCACGGGCTCTGGCACACCACGAGTCAGGCCAGCAAAGTGTCAACTGCCCCCTACAAGGTGACAAACTAGGACAAACTGGAAACCAGAGGCTGGACCTGGAGCACAGGGACCACCACATGGGGCTGGGGAATGGGCAGGGACCTCAGAGCGCCACCCACATGCCTAAGAGCAGCGCGTATGCGCATGCCTCTGCATGGCTTAGGGACACAGGGAGCTCCCCCCACCCCCAACCCAGGAAGGCAGCCCCCACTACCCAGGTAGGGAACGGATAGGACCAGCACCCCGTTCTGCTCCTAACTCAGGGCTCCAGGCCCCCTCGGGGGCAACCAGCACAGAGCTCAGACCCCAAATATCTTCACCCACCTCCTGGTCCCCATCTGGACAAGGGTGCTGGGGACTGGCTCTCAGTCACACCCTCGGGGTACTCTTCAAAGGACAGCTGGATGCCCCAGGGCAGGAGCTTTTGGCCCCCAGCTCCCTCACCCCAGACACCAGCTCTTGGGACCCCACCAGCATGGGCAAGGTGGACACCATCGTCCCGATTTTGCAGATGAGGAAACTGAGGCTGAGGGCTGGCACACGGCTCTCCAGAGCTGAAGAGAATGCAGAGAGCAGCCGGAGCCAGCCGGTGGGTCCCTGAGGCCGGCTCGTAGCAAGCCACAGCTGCCTCCGCCCATCACACTTGGACCTCACTGGCCCCAGGACAGCCCTCCAGGGCGGCCTGGCACAGAGCCCACACCCTGCTGCTTCCTGAACAAATAAGTGAACAAGGCCACCAAGCCGAGGACCTGGATGTAGCCCCGGCTCCCGCCAGGGCCTCCCCAACAGACTCCCCATTTGGAGAGCGCATTAAGTGTTTCCAAAGCCTCACAAACCACAGATGTCCGGCTGTCTCACGGCTTCTGTAACCTGAACTTGGCCCTCACTCTGCCCTCCCAGCACTCCTCTCAGGGCCCAGGCCCCTCCTCTGAGATGCCAGCACTGACTCCCCAACTTGTCCCCATCACCTGGCTCGTTCCTGAACCTCGGCAGGAGAGTCTCAGGCCAGATCCTCCCACCAGCCACCTCCACCAGGATGCAGGAGGCATGAGACCTGCTCGTGCCGGCTGGGAGATGCAACCAACCAAGATCAATCCAATCAGCGGATGAACTGACAAATATAATGTGGTCCCTCCACACAATGGAATATTATTCAGCCACAAAAAGGGCTGAAATAGGCCGGGCGTGATGGCTCACACCTGTAATCCCAGCACTTTGGGAGGCCGAGGCCGGCAGCTCACTTGAGGTCAGGAGTTCAAGACCAGCCTGGCCAACATGGTGAAATCCCGTCTCTACTAAAAATACAAAAATTAGCTGGGCGTGGTGGCGGGCACCTGTAATGCAAGCTACTTGGGAGCCTGAGGCAGGAGAATCACTTAAACCCAGGAGGCAGAAGTTGCAGTGAGCCAAGATCGCACCACCGCACTCCAACCTGGGCAACAGAGCAAGACTCCATTTCAAAAAAAAAATAAAAGGCTGAAACACCCATACGTGGTACTACTTGGATGACTCCTGAAAACGTTACAGTAACCAAGGAAGTCAGCCACGAAGACGCATTGTAAGATTCCCTTCATGCAAAATGCCCAGAACAGGCAGAACCACAGAGGCAGAAAGTCGACTGGTGTTCACCAGGGGATCCGGGGAGAGGGAACGGGAAGTCACCGTGTAATGGGTATGGGTTTTATTTTGGGGTGATGGAAATCTCTTATAACTTGATAGAAGAGAGGGTTGTAAACACTGTGAATGTACCAAATGCCTGCCTTCTATACTTTAATATTTTATATTATATAAGTTTCACCTCAATTTAAAAAAAAAACAACTCGACACCTTTCACCTAGGAAAGATCTGGCTTTAGCTTGCATTTCCTGTAACTCCTGCCTAAAGCCTTCCAGAAGCTTCCGCTGCCTTGTGGATCACAACCAGACTCCACAGCATGATCTGGCCTCTAAGGGCCTCTCGCAGGACACCCCGAGGGTGAAGGAGCACCCGTGGGCCCACCTCTGCATAGCTGCAAAGCTTCTTTCCCTGTCCTCCCCTCTACATGGGAAGCTCTGCCCGCAGGGGCGGGGCCTTATCTGCCATTCTATCGCACTCAACCCTAGCACTTCACTCGGTAGCAGACACCAAAGCAAAACAGCAACAGCATTATACCGGGCCAGGTGCACGTTAACTCACTGAATTCATGGTAGGAAGGATTCTATTCCCATTTTACAGGTGAGAAAACTGAGGCACACAAAGGTAGCATCAGCTTCCTAAGCCTCCCAGCACAGGAAGCGGCCAGGCTGGAATCAGACCCTGGGCGCAGGGGCTCTGTCCACAGTGCTAACTAACTACTCCTGCCCCCGAGGGCTGCAGCGGTGAGTGAGTGAGTTTGTCAGTGGACTGGATGTCCAAGGTCATACAGGAAAAATCCAGACTATTGTAATAACAGCCTCTAGACCGGCTGGGGCCAGAAAGATCGAGGACGCTGACACACAACTGCGCTCACTGCAGCTCTGCCAGGGATGGGGCTAAAGGTCTCACACAGGGCAGTTAGGGCTCCCCATAGCCTGGGAGAGGAACGGGGTGAGATAACAGAAACTAGGTATGGTGCCCGAAGTCAAACAGCCACTGAGCATGTAAACCCAGGTGGGTCTGACCCCAAACCCCTCCACCCCCATCAGCCCTGCAACCCGTCGCTGCAAGGGAGAAAGCAACTCAGAGGCCTCACCTGCCTACATCCCCCACCCGTGTGTGTGAGTTCTACTAAATGCCTGAGCAGTGACACAGCACGGCTGAAATTAAACGGGTTCCAAAAACGACAGGAAGCACGAGGTGAATCTCCCCAGGAAAGTGCTGAACAAATGCTGGATCGGGTTCACCGGCGAATTTCTTGGAACTGAAGAGGGGAGCTAAACACACGGGGCCCTGCTTTGGAGGGGACTCTCTCAGGGTGCTCCACACAGCACTTGGTTAACCCCACTCAGCCCTTCTGGGCTCTCCCAGAGGGCCCGGCCTTGGCCTTGGGCATCTACAGGAGGAACCTCCAGGGGGAGAGGGGGTGCCTGGACAGGCCGGCCCTGGAACAAGCACTTGGGCCCCGAGGAGAGAGGACTAGGGCTTGGGAGCTGGGGAAGTTCTCAGCACTGGGACCACTAGAACAAAGCCATTTCCGTGCGTTCACAGCTTCCAATTGCAACAGGAAGCAATCAGGAAAAATAATTAGCGGCCCACTTACTGGCTTCGCTGAGGTCCGAGGCATGTATTTCACACAGTAAAACCAGGGATATAACATCAAAACCGTTCTGCAGAAAGATTCCTCCCTTTCCTTCCATTTTAGGCCTGGATCACCACATTCACTGGGGCTCCCAGGCCTTGCTGCCTAATGTTAAAATAATCAACTCTATTTTTGCCTCACACACAACTGAACTCTACAGCTATAATTCTTTCTCCTCAGGGGCTCGAACCACATGGACGACAGGCATTTGACTCCAGCAACATCACCCCAAAACGTGCACAAAACCCAAAACTGCAATGAGGTGAAAGGCAACGCGGTCGGCCTAGAAACCCCCCCTTTAAAACAAACAGTTTCCCCAAAACCCCTTTTGCCTCCTTGACCCAGGCATTTCCGGAAAAAGGAGCGGCGCTGGCCTGTACTCCCCAGATACTGTCGCTGTTTTGTCTTCACCTTGTTTTGCTAGCTCCAGACAAGGCCCCACAATGTAAACACGCTCCTGAAAGAGGCAGATTTGGGGTGAAACTGTCCATAGAATCTCTAGGCTTGGGTCAGAGGCAGGAGGACGTGAAACAAACTCCAAGCTCCTCCTGTTCCCCGCTGTCCCCCACACCTCCAAGCAGAGGCTGCAGCCTGGGGGATCTGACTACAGGGCCACCCCGCTGCACCATTCACACTGGAAATATTCAGGGAGACAGCTGTTTGCCTTAAGGAGGCCCAGACAAAGGGGCCCGAGGTCCTCCCCGCTAAACTGCCACAAACAGAACAGGAGCCGCGGCGTGCACAGGCACTTGCGGCCGTGCCACTTGGCCAGCCATACTCCAGAAAAACAAAACACGCACATCCGAAGAGAATGATTTAGGTAGCAAGAGGCTTGCTTGAAAAACCACATGGCAATCTCCAAATTAAAAGAACATGTGTAGCGTTTCACGACTGCTTAAGTTTCCTGAGTCCTCCTGACCTCAACTCCACCCCCTGGGAAACACCAAAAGTTGGAGAGAAAGTTCCCCCGCCCTACCTCTCCCCACGGGAGTGTACAACTGAGGCACAAGCCTGCCTCCCCCACTGCCCCGCGATCTGGGACCACGTCACCTCCGCGTAGCCGACCCGGGGATGGACACTATCTGGGGACCCGGCGGCCACACGGGGCATTCGGGTCGCCCGGGCACCTGGCAGGTGTCAGTCCGCTTGGAAACCCACAGCCACGCGGCTCACAGGAGCAGCGCCACCGGCCAGGCCGCCCCGCGCCCGGGCTCAGAACTTTCTCGCTGCAACTTCAGCCCGTCCTCGGAGCACGCGGGGCGGCCGCGCGGCCGCTGGAAACAGGCTTGCGAACCGGCTCCCCGGGCCAGGCCCGCCTCCGCGCCCCAAGTCCCCGCTCGGTGCCCGGCCCGGGCCACACGGGCCCAGCGCGGGCTCGGCTCGGCTCCCGGCTTCCCGCGGGCTCGGGCAGGTGAGGACCCGCCCGCGCCGCACCTGGCGGAGCGGGCGCCCTCCTCGCCAGCCCGGGACGCAGCGTCCCCGGGGAGGGCCCGGGTGGGGAGACAAAGGGCCCGCGCGTGGCGGGGACGCCGGGGACGGCAGGGGGATCCCGGGCGCGCGCCCCAACTCGCTCCCAACTCGCCAAGTCGCTTCCGAGACGGCGGCGGCGCCCGCGCACTTGGCCGCGGGGCCGCCCGGGCCATTGTCCGAGCAACCCGCGGCCCCCGGCCGGCCTGCGCCCACCTACCCGCGGCGGGGGCCGGGCAGCCGCACAGCGCCAGCAGCAGCAGCAGCAGCAGCAGCAGCGGCCACGGCGGCCCGGGCGGCGCTGCCTCCATGTTGTCCGGCGGCCGGACGGGCCCGCGCCGCGCTCACTCGGGCTCCATGGCGCGGCGGCGGCGGCTCCTCGCGCGGCTCCCGGCGCCTCCGCCTCCCCCCTCGGGCGCCGCGGACCAGGACGACGGGGAGGAGGGAGCTGGGCGCGCGGGAGCGGAAGCCGCGCCGCGTCTCCGCCCCCCGCCGCCGCCACCCGCGCC
Organism: Homo sapiens; assembly: GCF_000001405.40. Taxonomy (NCBI): domain Eukaryota; kingdom Metazoa; phylum Chordata; class Mammalia; order Primates; family Hominidae; genus Homo; species Homo sapiens. The sequence goes on along the minus strand of NC_000011.10, from coordinate 68,312,516 downwards.
CCCCGCACCGGCCGCGCCCTCCCGCGGGCGCCCCCCGGAGCCGGCCGGCGGCCAGGCGGCCCCAGCGGCGCAGGTCCCCGCGGCCCCTCCCCGCGCTCCCCGCCCTGCCCTGGAGGTGCCTCCGGGAGGCTTGGCGCGGGGTTTCCGCCCCGCGGGGCCCGGCGGCCGATCGGGGCCCGGAGCCAGGTGTGTCACCTGTGGAGCCTCTATGAGTGGGGAAACTGAGGCACGGAGCAGGGCGGGGTTGCCCAAGGGCACACAGCGAGGCAGTTTCAGGGCGGGCAGCCTGGGGCCCCACGGGGCGGCCCCGGACACTTGTTCTCACCTGTGGAGGGCAGAGAAGGGAACAGGGAGAGAAGTGGCCGGCTGGGAGTGGAGGTGGGTTTGAGGTTTTACTGTAAACTAAATGTGTACCCTCTACCTTAGTTATGAATTATGAGACACGAAGACTGCGAAACAGACACACTCCTCTAAAAGTGCCTCTAGGCTGACAGGGAGAAAGTCCCGCCAGGCTCCCAGACGCCACCTTTGAGTCCTTCAACAAGCCCGCCAGGGCCTCTTGCCCACCGGTGTCAGCTCAGCCACTGAACCCTCCAGGAAGAAGACGTGCTGGTAGGAGAAGAATCTCACCCAGGCACAGCCTGGAAGGGGCACAGAAGGGGCTCTGGAACCAGCAAGCCCAAGTTGGAACTCCCAGTCTGCTACTTTCTAGAACGACTGTGCCCTTGGCGGGTCTAAGTAGAACCTCTCCGCGCACTCTTTCCTCCTTTGTAAAGTGGGGACAGCAATGGCCACCTTGCAGGTTCAGAGAGGGCTTGCAGTACCTCACAGAACTGAGTGCCCGTGAACGTGTGTGTTCCTCCAGATTTGTGACAGCTTTGCCAGGCTGGAGTCAGGCTGAACGCCTCTGCCCTCATGGGGTTTATATTCTAGGAAGACCAACAAAAACAAGAAGACGGAAAATTAAAACAACAAAAGCCCCATTGACAGGCCATGAAGAATGCCATGAGAAATGAAGGGCGTTGTGCTGCAGTGTTTGGGGAAACTGGCTTAGGGAAGGAAGGACACTTGAGCTGCTACCAAGGAGCAGCCGTCCGGTGGGAGGGCAGTTCAGGAAGAGCAGACATCCACGGAGGAGGCGCTGGGGCAGAGGGCAGCCTGGTCGCTGGATTCGGGGGAGGAACCACATCAGGCCATGAGCTGGAGCTGGTGGTAGAAGGTACAGGAGAGGCCAGCCAGGGCCAGCACATGTCAGACCTCAGGCGGGGAAGAGGAATCGAGAATGCACCCCACGAGCAATGGGAAGCCAGGCTAGGATTTAAGCAGCAAAAATATTTTCCCTTCTTCCACCCTGCATCCAGCTCTACCAGCACAGCCTGGGGTTCTATTTTCAAGATAGAAGAGACCCAGACTCCCAGCTCTTCTTACACTTCTACTACTGCCACCTGTCACCCACTCATGCGTCCCCACTTGCAGCCTCGACCCCCTTCCACCTGATCTCATGGCAGCCAGGGAAGCTCCAGGGCTCGTGAGGGCTGCCATCTCAGGAAAGAAGCAAAAGCCTTCGGCACCTGCAGGGCCTGCTCCAACCACACTTCTTCCTTGACCTCTCAGCTTCCTTAGCCACTCCCTTCCCACATCTCACCCTGCTCCAGCCACAGTGGTGTCTCTGTGGGTTCTCAAACACACCAGGTGCACTCCTGCCTCAGGGCCTTTGTGCTTGCTGTTCTCTGCTGGGACTCTTTTTTTTTTTTTTTTTTTTGAGACAGGGTCTCACTCTGTGGCCCAGGCTGGAGTGTAGTGGTGTGATCGTAGCTCATTGCAACCTCAAACTCCTGGGCTCAAGCAATCCTCCCACCTCAGCCTCTCAAGTAGTTAGCTTTTGTTGTTTTGTTTTGAGATGGGATCTCACTCTGTTGCCCAGGCTGGAGTGCAGTGGGGCAATCTTGGCTCACCACAACCTCTGCCTCCCAGGCTCAAGCAATTCTCCTGCCTCAGCCTCCCAAGTAGCTGGGATTACAGGCATGTGCCACCACGCCCAGCTTATTTTTGTATTTTTAGTAGAGACAGGGTTTCACCATGTTGGTCTGGCTGGTCTTGAACTCCTGGCCTCAGATGATCCACCTGCCTCGGCCTCCCAAAGTGCTGGGATGACAGGCATGAGCCTGTCTCTAGTAGTTAGGACTACAGAGAGGGGCCATCATGCCTGGTGATCCTCCCACCTTTTCTGCTCCAACTCTTTCACCCCACTTAGCCTCGTGGCTCACTCTCTTACCTCTTCAGCTCCTCAGTCAGGCCTGAGGACCCCTGTTGAAAATTGCAAACCACACCCCCCACCACCACCACCCACTATTGCCAGCACTTTCTACTCCATTTCTCTGCTTTACTTTTCTCCTTTGTACTCATCACCACCTGACTCATTACATGTTTACGTATCTTTCTTCTCTCCACTAGCATGGAAGCTCCAGGAGAGCAGAGAGTGTAGTTTTATTCCCTGATGTGTTTCCTGTGCCCGTACCAGGGCCTAGCACACAGTAGGTGCTCAGTAAATGTGTGTTGGATGAACAAATACAGTGAAAGGATCTGATCTACATTTATAAAGAAGGCACTCTGGCTGCTGAGTGGGGATGAGACTGTCAGGAGGAAAGAGGCCCCTGTGGGGGCCTGGCCAGCAGGTGGGTACAATGGTAGCAGCCAGGAGAGAGGGCCTCTTGGACTCAAGTGGATGGGGCCTGCTCAGGGCTCCAGCCACAGGAACAAAGGGAAGGGGGCCCAGGATGGCCTGTCATAGAGGACACATTACAACTGGCCCAAAGTTCAAGTCAGGTTTCTAAATTTGGGAAGGGATACAGAAAAACTAAAGACTCTACTGGACAGTCAGTTATTGAAATGATTACATAGAAAATGTACCAAGAATTAAAAAAAAAAAAAAAAAAGCATTATGAAGGGGCCACCAGAGACTCCCAGAGAGGAAAGGGACTATGGGCTGGATGCGGTGACTCACACCTATAATCCCAGCACTTTGGGAGGCCGAGGAGGGTGGATCACGAGGTCAGGAGTTCAAGACCAGCCTAGGCAACATGGTAAAACCCCCGTTTCTACTAAAAATACAAAAAATTAGCTGGGCATGGCAGCATGTGCCTGTAATCCCAGCTACTCGGGAGGCTGAGGCAGGAGAGTTGCTAGAACCCAGGAGGCAGAGGTTGCAGTGAGCCGAGATTGAGCCACTATGCTCCAGCTTGGGCGACAGAGCAAGACTCCGTCTCTAAAAAAAAGAAAAAAAAGGCCAGATGAGGTGGCTCATGCCTGTAATCCCAGCACTTTGGGAGGCCGAGGTGGGTGGATCACGAGGTCAGGAGATCGAGACCATCCTGGCTAACATGGTGAAACTCCATCTCTACTTAAAATACAAAAAATTAGCCGGGCGTGGTGGCGGGCACCTGTAGTCCCAGCTACTTGGGAGGCTGAGGCAGGAGAATGGCGTGAACCTGGGAGGCGGAGCTTGCAGTGAGCCGAGATTGCGCCACTGCACTCCATCCAGCCTGGGCGACAGAGTTAGACTCCGTCTCAAAAAAAAAAAAAAAAAAAAAAAATTAGCTGATTAGTTGGGCTTGGTGGCGGGCGCCTGTAATCCCAACTACTCGGGAGGCTGAGGCGGGAGAATCACTTGAACCCGGGAGGCAGAGGTTGCAATGAGCCGATATCACGCCACTACACTCCAGCCTGGGCGACAGAGCAAGACTCCATCTCAAAAAAGAAAAAAAAAAAGAAAGGGGCTGTGCTGTGGCCTGGGACCCAAAGCACACTACTGCAAGGTCCCAGGGTGCCTGACTCCAACCGGAGCCTTGAGAACATTCATTTGCAAAGAATGAATTAAAATTCAGCACTATTTTATTCTGCAGGATTCCAGCACCCCAAGGACAGTCATTTTTAGACCCTTCAGTAACGTAATAAGTAACCGGAGGATGTGCTGAGCTTCCACTTCCCCAGACGGTTGCCTGTCACAGCTCATCAGGCCAACAAACTTTTCTTAGGCCTCAAATTTGGAAATGTTCACTCTCAGTTCGTTCCTTAGATGCAAGTCCATCCCAATGAAGTAACAGGGGCTCAGCACCTGTCCAATCTCATTGCTTCCGGGGACAGGGGCCCATGAGGATGTCGTTTCAGCCCGGTGACACTTGGGCAAAGTGCCTTTTGGTTTCCCTCCCAGGCTGGAACGTGCTGGCTCTGTGAAGTTACGCTGGGCACAAGAGCCCCCCCCAACCCGGCAGGACTGACTGCTGTGGTCAGAGGCGCCCCTGGGGCTTTGGGAGCCACAGAATCTTCCTGAGGGCAGCGCCGGAGGAGGCCCCAGTGAGAGTGCCCACTGCCAGGCTCATTCCTCAGGCTGCCGCAGGCCTCTCCCCAAAACAGGCAATGCTTCTCAGCAACCTGCCCCAGGAGCAGGCCAGGGAAGGCCGCCATCGGCCTACAGTGCTGGGCTCTGGAGGGCTTGGTTGGTAACAGGCCATGGTTTCTATGAGCCAGCTGGGGTGTGAAGGACACAGGCTGGATTCACCTCTCTGGGCCTCAGTTTCTGCATTCAAAAAGTGGGAATCATGATATCTGCTCTATTTCTTATCTCTCAGTGCTGATGTGAACCTCCAATAAGACTTTTAAAAATACTCTTTCTACCTTACTTTTATTTTTCATTTATTTTAAGATAATGTCTAGCTGTCTCACCCAGGCTGGAGTGCAGTGGTGTGATTACGGCTCACTACAGCCTTAACCTCCCAGGCTCAAGTGATCCTCCTACCACAGCCTCCCAAGTAGCTGGAACTACAGGCATGCACCACCGCACCTGGATAATTTTTTCTTTTGAGACAAGGTTTCACTCTGTTGCCCAGGCTGGAGTGCAGTGGTGCACTCTTGGCTCACTGCAGCCTCAACCTCCCTGGGCTTAGGTGATCCTCACACTTCAGTCTCCCAAGTAGCTGGGACTACAGGTATGTGCCAGTACACCCAGCTAATATTTTTGAAGGATGGGGTTTCACTATATTGCCCAGGCTGGTCTTGAACTCCAGGGCTTAAGCAATCTACCTTCCTCAGCCTGCCAAAGTGCTAGGATTATAGGTATGAGCCACCCCCCGGCCTATAATCCTACCACTTTAAAAAAGCCTGTAATTTTAGCACTTTAAAAAATTTTTCTAAATTTTTTATAGAGATGGGGGACAGCTGTGGTCTCACTGTGTTGCCCAGGCTGGTCTTGAACTCCTAGGATCAAGCCATCCTCCTGGCCTGGCCTCCCAAAGTGTTGGGATTATAAGCATAAGCCTTACCTTACCTTTTTTTTTTGAGTTGCAGTTTTGTTCTTGTTGCTCAGGCTGGAGTGCAATGGCAAGATCTTGGCTCACTGCAACCTCCACCTCCCGGGTTCAAGCAATTCTCCTGCCTCAGCCTCCCGAGTAGCTGGGATTACAGGCATGCGCCACCACACCCGGCTAATTTTGTATTTTTAGTAGAGATGGGGTTTCTCTATATACCTTAATTTTAAAGCACTGCATTCATGTAAATTGTGATTAACATGGATTCAAGAGAGGGAGTGAGGATGAATGAGCCAGGCACTCACCTCGGCTGTCACCCTCCACTTCTCTCCTCCTTCTGACAGTCATCGTCCATCCGTTTCTGCAGCTGTTTGTTTGACTCTCCTGATCATTTTGCTTGCCACATAACTTGCCTCCTGGGAAAGAATGCCCTGGGCAGGCCCACATGAGTAGTGAAAAATAATCTGCAGTGAAAAATAAAACTAAGTAGTCTGGTCCACAGAGCAGTCTTATTTTTTCACTGCAGATGAAGGAGTTGACATTCAGGCTTCATTCTCATTTATAAGTGTTTTAAAGACACATACAGTGGATTGAACAGTGGCCTTCAAAAAGATGTATCTACATCCTAATCCCTGGGACCTGTGAATGTTAACCAAGTTAGGAAAAGGGTCTTCCCGGGTGTCATTAAGTTAGAGATCTTGAGATGAGGAGCTCATCGTGGATTATCCAGGTGGACCCTGCATCCAAGGACAAATGGTCCTTAGAAAAGAAAAGCAGAGGCTGGGCACAGTGGCTCAAGCCTGTAATCCCAGCACTTTGAGAGGCCGAGGTGGGTGGATCACCTAAGGTCATGAGTTCGAGAGCAGCCTGGCCAACATGATGAAATCCCATCTCTACTAAAAATACAAAAATTAGCAAGGCATGGTGGCGGGTGCCTATAATCCCAGCTACTCAGGAAGCTGAGGCAGGAGAATGGCTTGCACCTGGGAGGCGGAGGTTGCAGTGAGCCAAGATCGCGCCACTGCACTCCAGCCTGAGGGAGAAAAGTGAAACTCTGTCTCATAAAAGAAAAGAAAAGCAGACAGAGATCTGAGACAGAAGAGGAGAGTGAAGGAAAAAAGGCCATGTGAAGATGAGGCAGAGGTTGGAGCCATGCAGCCACAAGCCAAGGAATACCTGGAGCCCCAGAAGTTGCAAGAGGTAGGAAGAAGCCTCCCCTAGAGCCTCCAGACGGAGCACAGCCCTGCCAACACCTCCACCTCAGACTTCTGGCCTCCAGCACTGTGAGATAATCAACTGCTGTTGTTTTAAGCCACCAGATTTGTGGTAATTTGTTATGGCAGCCACAGGAAACTAATACAGTACCTAATCTTCACAAACCCATCTTACAGAAAAGGAAACTGAAGTCAGAGAGGTAGTGGCTTGTGCAGTGTGTTAGGCCATTCTTGTATTACTATAAAGAAATACCTGAGGCCGGGCATGGTGGCTCACGCCTGTAATCCCAGCACTTTGGGAGGCCAAGGTGAGTGGATCACTTGAGGTCAGGAGTTCAAGACCAGCCTGGACAACATGGTGAAACCCCATTTCTACTGAAAATATGAAAATTAGCCAGGCATGGTGGCGTGCATCTGTAGTCCCAGCTACTCAGGAGGCTGAGGCAGGAGAATCACTTGCGCCCGGGAGGAGGAGGTTGTAGTGAGCCAAGATTGTGCCACTGCACTCCAGCCTGGGAGACAAGAGAGAAACCCTGTCTCAAAATAAATAAAAAACAAATAAACACCTGAGACTGGGTAGTTTATAAAGAAAGGGGTTAACTGGCTCCCGGTTCTGCAGGCTGTACAAGCATGGTGCCGGCATCTGCTTGGTTGCTGGGAAGGCTTCAGGGAGTTTTACTCATCGTGGAAGGCAGAGCCAGAGCAGGTGCATCACACAGCAAAAGCAGGAGCGAGAGAGAGAGAGAGCAGGGAGGTGTGCACACTTTTAAATGAGCAGATCTCACGAGAACTCACCATTGCAAGGACAGCACCAAGCCACGAGGGGTCTGCCCCCATGACCCAAACCTCCCACTAGGCCCCACCCCCAACATTGGGAATTACAGTTCAACATGAGGTTTGGGGGGACAAATATCCAAACTATATCATTCCACCCCTGGCCCCCCAGATCTCATGTTCTTCTCACATTGCAAAATATAGTCATGCCTTCCCAGTAGCCCCCCAAAGTCTTAACTCATCCCAGCATTAACTCAAAAATCCCATTCCCAAGTCCAACGTCTCATCTGAAGATGAGTTCCTTTCACCTACAAGACTGTAAAAATGAAAACAGTTATTTACTGCTGAGATACAATGGGGGCATAGGCATTAGGTAAACATTCCTGTTCCAAAAGGGAGAAATCTGTCAAAAGAAAGGGGCTATAGGCCCCAAGCAAGTCCAAAACCCAGCAGAGCAATCATTCAATCTTAAAGCTCCAAAATAACCTCCTTAAACTCCATGTCCCATAGCCAGGGCACACTGGTGCAAGGGGCAGGCTCCCAAGGCCTTGGGCAGCTCTATTCCTGCGGCTTTGCAGAATTCAGTCCCCATGGCTGCTCTTACAGATTGGAGATGAGGGCCTGCGGCTTTTCCAGGTGCAGGGTGCAAGCTGCTGGTGATCTACCATTCTGGGGTGTGGATGGTGGCGGCCCCGTCCCGCAGCTCCACTAGGCATTGTCCCAGTGGGGACTCTATGTGGGGCCTCCAACCCCACATTTCCCCTCCAATGGGAAGGCTCTGCCCCTGCAGCAGCCTTCTTCCTGGGCTCCCAGGCTTTCTCATACATCCTCTGACATCTAGGTGGATGGTGTCAAGCTTCCTTCACTCTTGCACTCTGCACACCTACAGGCTTAACACCACATGGAAGCTGCCAAGGTGTATGGCTGGAACCCTCTGAAGCAGCAGCCTGAGCTGTGACTATGGCCCTTTGAGCCAAGGCTGGAGCTGGAACAGTCTAGATGCAGGCAGGGAGCAGTGTCCTGAGGCTGTGCAGAGCAGCAGGGCCCTGTGCCTGGACAATGAAACCATTCTTTCCTCCTCATCCTCTGGGCCTGTGATGGGAGGGTTGTGGAAGATCTCTGAAATGCCTTTGAGGCCTTTTTGCCTCTGAGGCCTATTTCCTATTGTCTCAGTTATTGGCAGTCGGCTCCTTTTTAGTTATGCAAATCCTCTAGCAAGAGGTTACTCCACTGCCGGCTTGAACTCCTCTCCTGAAAAAGCTTTTTCTTTCTTTGTCACATGGCCAGGCTGCAAATTTTCCAAACTTTTATGCTCTGTTTTACCTTTAAATATAACTTCTAACTTTAATTCATTTATTTGCTCCTGCATTTGAGCATAGGGAATTCAAAGAAGCTGGGCCACATCTTGAATGCTTTGCTGCTTCAAAATTTATGGCCACGCTTGGTGGCTCACACCTGTAATCCCAGCACTTTGGGAGGCCTAGGTGGGCAGATCACGAGATCAGGAGATCGAGACCATCCTGGTCAACATGGTGAAACCCATCTCTACTAAAAATACAAAAAAATTAGCTTGGTGTGGTGGCGCAGACCTGTAGTCCCAGCTACTGGAGAGGCTGAGGCAGGAGAATTACTTGAACCTGGGAGGCAGAGGTTGCAGTGAGCCCAGATCATGCCACTGCACTCCAGCCTGGTGACAGAATAAGATTTGATCTCGAAAGGAAGGAAGGAAGGAGGAAGGGAAGAAATGTCTTCCCCCAGATGTCCTGGGTCATCCCTCTTATGTTCAAACTTCAACAGATCCCTAGGGCATGAAAATAATACAGCCAAATTATTTGCTAAGGCATAACGAAAGTGACCTTTGCTCCAGTTCCCAATAAGTTCCTCATTTCCATCTGAGACTCATCACCCTGGCCTTGGCTTGTCCATATCACTGTCAGCATTTTGGTCACAATCATTTAACCAGCTAATCGGGAGGCTGAGGCAAGAGGATCACTTGAACCCAGGAGGTTGAGGCTGCAGTGAGCTGTGATCACATCACTGCAGTCCAGCTTGGGCAACAGAGCAAGATCCTGTCTCAATAAATAAATAAATAAATACATAAATAACTTAAGTTTATTTAAAGCTGCATCTTTGCCACCATGGAGAAAGGCCAGGCCAGCTCCTTCTCTCTTTCTGCACGTGTTCCTCCCACCTCAGCTGCCTCCGCTCCTCAAGGAGGAACAGAGGGAGTAGGAAAGGCCATCCCAGGAGGCCCAGCACCCCATGACCTGGCTCTGGGGCCTTGTGGGTTTATGGATTCCCAGTGCTGAGTCATCCCTCACAGGCTCTTGTGGGCACCTTGGACATTGCTCAGAAGCATCTGGTCCCCGGGAACACACCTTTTCCTGATCATCTGGGAAGGGCAGCTTGTGCCAGCGAGGCCACCTGTTCAGCGCCACGGCCCGCCAGACAGCTGCAGCCACAGCCTTGCCTTTGATCAGAGCAAACACCAGACATGTGTGTCATGCCCCCAACCCATCTCCAGGGGACACATGTCCTTTCTTGCCAGGCCTGAGATGAACAAGAGAGGGACAAGTCCCCAAGCCTCTCTCTCCTTCCCGCCTCACCCACTCCGCTGTTAGATTCTCAAGGTGGATGGTGGGCTAACTAGGGCAACCGACCATCCTGGTTTACCTAGAACTGAGGGGGCATTTTCAGGAATAAAACTGCAAAAGTCTGGAGCAAACAGGAGCAAGTTGGTCACTCTGGGGCTGGTGGAGTCAGGTTTCCTTCTGCAGGCCCCCTCCCCGCAAGCATGGGTGGAACCCAGGACAGGAACACAGAGCAGGCCCCAGGACCGGGCTTGTCACTTACAAGTCTTTTTTTTTTTTTTTTTTTTTTGAGATGGAGTCTTGCTCTGTCATCAGGGCTGGAGTACAGTGGTGCCATCTTAGCTCACTGCAACCTCTGCCTTCTGGGTTCAAGTGATCCCCCTGCCTCAGCCTCCTGAGTAGCTGGGACTACAGGTGGCACCACCACGCCCAGCTAATTTTTTGTATTTCTAGTAGAGATGAGATGGCCAGGCTGGTCTTGAACTCCTGACCTCAAGTGATCTGCCCGCCTTGGCCTCCCAAAGTGCTGGGATTACAGGCGTGAGCCACTGTGCCTGGCCCCACTCACAAGTCTTAAACCATGCCTCAGCACATCAATGCCATTTACAAAAAGGTAGAGGGATTTTTCCAGGCAAAAATAGATGAAAGACATAGGCTGATTGATCATGTCCTGCTTAAAAATAGATCTGATGCTATTAAGAATTGTGGGCTGGGAGCGGTGGCTCACGCCTGTAATCCCAGCACTTTGGGAGGCCGAGGCAGGCGGATCACGAGGTCAGGAGATCGAGACCATCCTGGCTAACACAGTGAAGCCCCGTCTCTACTAAAAAATACAAAAAAAATTAGCCAGGCATGGTGGCGGGCGCCTGTAGTCCCAGCTACTCGGGAGGCTGAGGCAGGAGAAGAATGGTGTGAACCTGGGAGGTGGAGCTTGCAGTGAGCCGAGATCACACCACTGCACTCCAGCCTGGGCGACAGAGTGAAACTCCATCTCAAAAAAAAAATAAATAAATAAATAAGAATTGTTAGTATTTTGCAGGTGTGACAAATGATTCTGTTTCTGTGGCAGAATGTTCTCAGGAGATCTCTTTTGAACTCTCATGGAAAGCATCATGCTGTTGGCAACATCACATTTATTTTTATTTATTTATTATTTTTTAGAGACAGGGTCTTGCTCTGTTGCCCAGGCTGGAGTGCAGTGGCACAATCACAGCTCACTGCAGCCTCAACCTCCTGGGCTCAAGCAATCCTCCTGCCTCAGCCTCCCAAAGTAGCTGGGACCACAGGCGTGAGCCACTGCACTCAGCCCAATGTACCTTCAATATTTACATTTCTGGCAAAGGTAGCAAAACCTTAACAAATTTTGAATCTAGATAATAAAATTATGAGGCTGGGTGCAGTGGCCCTGACAGGGATGGCTCACATCTGTAATCTCAACATTTTGGGAGGCCAAGGTAGGCGGATCACCTGAGGCCAGGAGTTTGAGACCAGCCTGGCCAACATGGTGTAACCCTGTCTCTAACAAAAATACAAAAAAATTAGCCAGACGTGGTGGTGCACGTCTGTCATCCCAGCTACTAGGGAGGCTGAGGCAGGAGAATTGCTTGAACCCGAGAGGCAGAGGTTGTGATGAGCCGAGATCGCGTCATTGCACTCCAGCCTGGGCAAAAGCAAGAGCGAAACTCTCTCTCAAAAAAATAAAAAAAAAATAAATTAATGAATTAATTAAAATAAAATAAAATAATGGATAGTCACTGTAAAGAAAAAATAAATGTATATATCAGCCAACAAGTGATGGAATAGAGCACCCCATCTCCCTGGCTGGACAGATACATCCCACAACACCTGGAAGGCGGCTCCATGTAGAACTTTCTGGACTGCTTGAGGTGCTGTGCTGGAGCACGGTGACAGAGGAGCTGGACCATGGACCTCCCCCGGCCCCCACCAAGGGCGAGGTCCCCCTGTGGTGGGTCTGAGGGAGGCATCCGTATGGCCTCTGCGGCTTGGGCAGGGAATTTGGGGTCCAAGTACTTGGTGCAAAGCCTGGAAAGAGGGTTTGGGTGCTGAGGGCATATCCCCTGGGCCACATGGGGGCAGAAGTGGGGCCCCCTGAAGCTTGGAGTCCTGGGCAGGGGCATCTATTTTGCTGTCTGAGGCCTTCAGTACTTGAAGCAAAATGGAGGCAGAATGTCCCACCTTAATGCCCCTGATTCCTCCAAACCAATTCCAGAGACAGCAAGGGCCAGAACAGGGATGGCCCTGCCCAGGGTCATGCAGCGAGGAAGTGGCCAGGCTGGGATCTGAACCCAGGCTAATCCCCTCCCTTGTCCTCCTCCAGGCCCTCACCCCTGCATAGAGCCCTCCAGCTCACTCATCCTCGGCCAGCTCCATCTCCTCAGCTTGTAAACGCCACGGGATTCTCCCTTCTTAAAAACAAAGGCCTGGCCAGGCACGGTGGCTCATGCCTGTACTTTGGGGTGGCTCCCAGCACTTTGGGAGGCCAAGGTGGGCGGATCATGAGGTCAAGAGATTGAGACCATCCTGGCCAGCATGGTGAAACCCTGTATCTACTGAAAAAAAAAAAATTAACTGGGCATGGTGGCTAGCTACTTAGGAGGCTGAGGCAGGAGAATCGCTTGAACCTGGGAGAAAGAGGTTGCAGTGAGCCAAGATCGCGCCACTCCACTCTAACCTGGCAACAGAACAAGACTCCGTCTCAAAAAACAAACAAACAAACAAATAAACAAAAAAAGGCGGAGCGCGATGGCTCGCGCCTGCAATCCCAGCACTTTGGGAGGCTGAGGCGGGCGGATCACTTGAGGTTAGGAGTTTGAGACCAGCTTGGCCAACATGGTGAAACCCCATCTCCACTAAAAGTACAAAAATCAGCCAGGTGTGGTGGTGGGTGCCTGTAATCCCAGCTACTCAGGAGGCTGAGGCAGGAGAATCGCTTGAACCCATGACCTGGAGGCTACAGTGAGCTGAGATTGCGCCACTGTACTCCAGCCTGGGCAACAAGACTCTGTCTCAAAAAAAAAAAAAAAAAAAAGACTGGCCCTTCCCCTTCAGCTCTTCCTCAGGGTCCCTGAGCACTCTACACCCCCGTCTACACTGAGCACTCCACCCTGCTGTCTACACTGAGCACTCCACCCTGCCATCTACACTGAGGACTCCACCCCACTGTCTACACTGGCTGCCTCCCGCCCTCACCTCCTGCTAAGGCCATTCCCCGCTGCATCTGTCTTCTAGATTCTGCAGCCTTCAGCACGCTGGGCCCCTCCTTTGTCCCCTTGAGCCACCTCCAGCCTCCCCCTGAGCTGCTACTCCTCTCCCAGCAGCCTCCACCCAAGCCCCTCCAGTCCCCAAGCTGTCCCTTGCATCCAGCACTGCCCTTCCACGTGCCCCTTCCCTCCAGCTTCACAGCAGGGTGGGGCCTCCAGGCCCTGCCCACTGTGCCCATCCACAAGTTGTGGTGGGAGCTCCGAGGGGAGGCAGGGGTGTGCATGGACTTGGGACGTCCAAGTCTGGGACCAGGGGCAGCTGGTTGGTGGAGTGTGGAGGGGGATAGGGACTTTCAGGTAGAGAGGCTGTAGGGGCAAGATCGGGACGGCGGATGTCCCTAAGGAGGGCTCTGACCTGGGAAATATTGTGCAGCTTCCTCTTTGCCATTCCTGGAGCTCAGACACTGGCCGGCTCTCACCCCGCCCTTCCTGCAGGACACAGCTCCATCCCAGTGAGTTCCTAGTGTAGACATCTCCAGCAGCACGGATGGGAAAGGAAGTCATCAAAGGTGCCCAGGACCGGAGGCTTTTTCTGGAGGTGGCAGAGGAGGGTGTGGGTCTCAGGGCTCTGGCTGAGGGCAAGCGTGGGAGGTCTTAGGTCTGCACCAGCCCCGTGAAGGCCCCTCCTGCTCCCTGGTGGAGTCCTAGAGGGAACAGCAGCCCCTAGGCTCTAGCAGGAGTGGGTAGGGGCTTTTCTGGCTTCCTACTGTGCCAGCAGGATAGCTGGGCCTGGCACTGAGCCCAAAGATCACATGCCGGGGCATTGGCGCAGTGAGGAACAGACCCTCGCCAAAGCTGGCAAAGAAGACCCCATGGGGTGCAGCTGGTGAAGCTGAGAGCTCAATGTTTGGGGGAGCCTGGCAAAAGGGGTCCTCCCCTCCCTCTGCAGGCCAGGATCGCAGGTTTTCCCTACATGTTGGTAATTCTCAAACAATCCCATGGCCACTGGAGCAAAGATCACAGTGGGCGGCGGCCTCGGGAGCAGTGGACAGGGCACGCAGTGCCTTTGATGCCAGAGCCCTCGCCCCAAAGTCAACAAACTCTGCAGCGGACTTTGCACCCGGACTTTGTTTTCACCATACAAGGAAAGGGACAGATCACAGGCCCTCTCGCTGCCCTCGCTGAGCCGGAAGCTGCAGCGTGAGCTCTCTCAAGCCCCATTTCTAGGTTCCCCAGGCGCACCCCTGAGCCCCTACTCGCCTATTAAGTTCTCCTAATAGCCCTTCAAGGTCTTAATGTATGTCCATTAGACAGAGGGGAAAACTGAGGCGAGGGCAAGTGACTTGACCGAGGTTCCTCGGCGAGCAGGGCGTGGAGCTGAGAACCTCGTTATTACTGCTCCCCACACAACCCTCTGGCCGTTCTTGGAAGAGGCTGAGCCCGGGAGGGCCAGAGTGACCCAGACACCATGGGCCGCCTGCGGTAACACGTGCGGCCACGAGGGGGCAGCAGCGTCCCGCCCGGCCGGGCTCTCTCCGGCGCTCAGTATCCGTCCCAGGCCAAGAAGAAGAAACTCGGGGAGGAGGGCGGAGGGGGCTGCGTGGGAGGACGTGGAAGATGGACGTGGCCAGGGGAGTGGCAGCTGCACACACTGGATGCTGTTAAGATGAAGGGAAAGAACGTGGGCTCCGAGATCACTGGACACGGTTCCACCCTTCTTCCCGCTCACTGCATGGCCCTGGGCGGGTTGTTGAACCCTTGGAAACCTGTTTTTCCTTTTTTCCTTTTTTTTTGAGACAGGGTCTTGCTCTGTGGCCCAGACTGGAGTGCCGTGGCACGATCTTGGCTCACTGCTGCCTCCCAGGTTCAAGTGATCCTCCCAGCTCAGCCTCCTGCGTAGCTGGGACCCCAGGTATGTGTCACCACAGCCGGCTAATTTTTGTATTTTTTTGTAGAGACGGGATTTCGCCGTATTGCCCAGGCTGGTCTCAAACTCCTGAGTTCACCGGATCTTCCTGCCTCAGCCTCCCAAAGTGCTGGGATTACTGGCATGAGCCACCGCACCCAGCAGAGACCTCAGTTTTCTAACCTGTGCCAGCAGGAATAATGATAGCTGCCTAGCTTGGCTGTGCTGGGAATTAAGTAAGATGACCGGGTAGCAAATATGAAGTATTACTGGACACAGAGGGCCCCAGGCTGGGTTAGCAGCGGTGGTCAGGGCTGCTGCTTCCTGGCCTGAGCTCGAAGGAGGGCCCTCATTACCACCTGGGTGAGTCCTCGTCCAAGCCTGGCACTGCTGCGTGGGAATAACTTCTGCCACCCAAGTTGGCAGATTGTGTGCAAAGTTAAGTCCTGACTCTGTGGGGTGGACTTCGAGGCCTCTTCATCGGACCTGCTTCCGGTGACTGCATTCGCACCTCCTCCTGTTCCTGGTTTAACACAGCCCAGCTTTCCTCCTGCTGAGCCCTCCCTGGGCCTGCTGTCACCCTCGTGCCGCTGTGCCTCGCAGTGCCACTCCCTGTACCCTGAATACTTTGCCCTGCCTCTCCACCCAGCTGAGAGTCAGGGCCCCTGTGAGGCTCTGCCCAGCCCGTCCTCCGGGTTTCTGCCTCTGCTGAGCACTTCCCTGCATGATTGCTTCTGAGAGTCCCCCCAGCCTGTGAGCTTCTCAGGACTGGGACAGCTTCTCAGGACCGAGGCTTCCTGGTCTGCTTGCAATTTTACAGGCGGGCACATTTTCCCTTGGCCAACATCAGAGACTGGACATCTGCAGATCTGTGCTAGCCACTGAGCACCCAGGCACCCCAGCAGGTAGCTCTGTAACCAACCCATTCTGTAAAGCTGAGGCTCAGAGAGGTGAAGCGCCTGGCCTGGGGCCACAGCCTGCGTCAGCTGCAGAGCCAGGAGCTGAGATATGCACCTGCGGCTCTGCTCACAGGGTCCTGCACAGACTGCTGCTGGAGCCACCTATGTAGAGTCAAGAGAGTTCATGTTAACTCCCTCTCACATCCCTCAGCCAGGGTGGGGGCTGACGATAGACACTCAGGGATGGCCTACCCTCCCCAACAACCCCCGTCAGGTTTGCCGGATCTCCTTGGAAGAAAAGTTCTGGGCAGAATTCCACCGTTGGCCTGGCCTACACTCTCCTTAGTGGCTTAGGACCCTCAGCGGTGGATAAGTTGTGGGCAGAAGAGATGCAATCAGGATTCTCACCCACTCACCCCTTGCCAGCCCCAATAAGCTCAATAAGCTGGGCTCGGTCTGAGGAAGTGTCCAGGAAATGTGCAAATGGCCTGGGACAGCCCTGTGTTCCTTTCAGTAAGGTTGCTGAAGGTGAGGCTGAAAGTTGGAGAAACAGAAGCCAGTGCTTATGGTTTTAATTAAGATAATGGAATGTATGTATGTATGTATGTATGTATTTATGTATTTATCTTTAGAGATAGAGTCTCACTCTGTTGCCCAGGCTGGAATGCGGTGACACAATCATAGCTCCTTGCAGCCTCGACTTCCTATGCCCAAATGATCCTCCTACCTCAGCCTCCTGAGTAGCTGGGACTACAGACACACGCCAACTATACCTAGCTAATTTTTATTTCTATTTTTTGTGGAGACTGGGTTCTCACTTTGTTGCCCAGGCTGGTCTTGAACCCCTAGCTTCAAGCAATCCTCCTGCCTCAGCCTCCCAAAGTGGAGGGATTACAGGTGTGAGCCACCACACCTGGCCTGGAATTTATTTGTATTCTGCTTATAAAATTAATACATTCTTATTGCAGAAAAGTTTGAAAATAAAAGAAAGGACAAAGAACAAAAAGCGTATATAATTTCACAGCTCAGATCTCACTGCTATTAACATTTTTATTTACTTTCAGGCTTTTTTCTTTCTAGGTACATATGCAGAGATTATTTTATTTTATTTATTTTATTTTATATTTTATTTTATATTTTTTATTTCATTATTTTATTTTATTTTATTTTATTATTTTTAGAGACAGGGCCTCACTCTGTCACCCAGGCTGGAGTACAATGGAGTGATCATAGCTCACTGCAGCCTCAAACACCTGGGCTCAAGCAATCCCCCCACTCAGCCTTCTGAGTAGTTGGGACTAAAGTGTGAGTCTGGCTAATTTTTTTTACTTTTTGTATTGACAGAGGTCTCACTATGTTGCCCAGGCTGATCTCAAACTCCTGGGTTCAAGCGATCCTCCCACCTTGGACTCCCAAAGTGCTGGGATTACAGGCATGAGCCACCATGCCTGGCCTAAAATGCCACTTTTTGTCATTTACTAAAATCCCATGGACACTTTGACATGTCTGTATTCTATGCTATTGATCTGACTGTTGGCATCTACATCATTATGGCCATCTATCATCTATCATAATCCATTTTAACATTAAAATTGTGCTGCTGCTTAGAATTTTTCTGGCCTGTCTCCTATTTGTATTCTTCCAGATAAATTTTAGAATCATTTTATCAAATTCCCCTTGCAGAAAAAGCCCTATTGGATTTTGGTTGAAAAATACTGAATTTTTACATTAACTTAGGAAAGGGCTGGGCACGGTGGCTCACGCCTGTAATCCCTACACTTTTCGAGGCCAAGGCAGGTGGATCACTTGAGGTTGGGAGTTTGAGACCAGCCTGGCCAACATGGTGAAACTCGGTCTTTACTAAAAATACAAGAATTGCCAGGCGCAGTGGCTCACCTGTAATCCCAGCACTTTGGGAGGCCGAGGTGGGTGGATCACGAGGTCAGGAGATAGAGACCATCCTGGCTAACACGGTGCAACCCCGTCTCTCCTAAAAATACAAAAAATTAGCCAGGCGTGGTGGTGGGCGCCTGTGGTCTCAGCTACTTAGGAGGCTGAGGCAGGAGAATGGTGTGAACCCAGGAGGCGGAGCTTGCAGTGAGCCAAGATCGCGCCACTGCACTCCAGCCTGGGCGACAGAGTGAGACTCCATCTCAAAAAAAAATAATAATAATAATACAAAAATTAGCCGGGGGTCGTGGCGTGCACCTATAATCCCAGTTACTTGGGAGGCTGAGGCAGGAGAATCGCTTGAATCCAGGAGGTGGAGGTTGCAATGAGCAGAGATCGTGCCACTGTACTCCAGCCTGGGTGACAGAGTGACACTCTGTGAAAAAAAAAAAAAAATTCTGAAGGATTGAGACTCTTAGACTCTTAGGTCTTCCTATCCAAGAGCACAATATAGCTTTTCATGTATTCAAGCCTTTTTCAATGCATCAACAGAATTTTACAGTTTTTTTCATGATATCCTGCTATTTCTTATAAAATGTATTCCTAGATATTCTGCATGTTTTCCGGTTGTTTGTTAATAAATATTTTTCATTTGTCATTATTTCCTAATTGGCTGTTATTTGTATATATGACATCTGTTGAATTTTTTGATTACTTTGAAAATGGCCATTCTTTTGTGTTTTTTTTTAACTTTCTATTTTGAGATAATTTTGACTTACAGAAGATTTGCAAAAATAGTACAGAGAGTTCCTGTTTCCCCCTTATGTTAACCCAGTTTCTCCTTATGTTAACATCTTACATAACTACAGAACAATTGTCAAATCTAAGAATCAACCTGGGCACAATGCTATTAACTAAACTGCAGAAGCTGTTCAGATCTCACCAGTTCTTCTACTGCTCCCCTTTTCTCTTCCAGTGTTCAATCCGGAATCCTACATTATATTTAGTTGTCATTTCTCTTTGGTGTCTTCCAATCTGTGACAGTTCCTCAGTCTTTCTTTGTCTTTCATGACTTTCATTTTTTTATACTTTTGAAAAATACTGGCCGGTTGTTTTGTAGAACGCCCTCAGTTTGGGTTTGCCTGAAGTTTTTTGTGATTAGATCGAGGTCATGCATTATTGGAGAGGGTGCCACCGCCTCGATGTGCAAGCTCAATGCATCATATCAGAGGGTTTGTAATGTCAGTTTATACCGCCGGAGACCCTAACCTGGAGCATTTCGTGAAGGTGCTGTCTGCCAGGATTCTCCACTAGAAAGTTACTATTTTTCCCTTTTTAATTACTGAATGTCTGAGGGGAAATACTTTGAGACTATGCAAATATCCTGTTTCTGCTTTAACTTCGGCTCACTAAGTTTAGCATTCATCTATGGATCTCGCTTATAGCAAGTATTACTGTGGAGTTCTAATGGTAATTTTCTGTTTCTCTCATTCCTTCAACCTTTATTAATATGCTTCTTCCTCACTTATTCATTTTGTTTCAGTTGTTTATACCAACATGGATTTGTGGATATTGGTTTTATTCTTTGGGTTGCAATTGAATCCTATCATTATTTTGTTAGTCAGTTGTTCCATCCGACCTTGGTCATTAGGAGCCCTTGAAATTTGGCTCCCATGCCTTTTTTTTTTTTTTTGAGACCGAGTCTCACTCTGTCACCCAGGTTTGAGTGCAGTGGCATGATCTTGGCTTCCTGCAACCTCCGCCTCCCAGGTTCAAGCAATTCTCCTGCCTCAGCCTCCTGAGTAGCTGGTATTATAGGCGCTCCACCACCTTGCCCGGCTAATTTTTTGTATTTTTAGTAGAGATGGGGTTTTATTATGTTGGCCAGGCTGGTCTCAAACTCCTGACCTCAGGTGATCTGCCCGCCTCGGCCTCCCAAAGTGCTGGGACTACAGGCGTGAGCCACCACACCTGGCCTCCTATGCCATTTTAACATGCCCGTCTTTTCTTTTTCTTTCCTACTTTCTGTGACTGTAAGAAGCTCCAGGATACATTTTTGCTGCCCTAGACTTAGCCTCAATCAGTTCTCAGAAAAGCTCTGGTTCTTTTTATGGGATACTTAGAAAACTAGCTCTGTATGGCCTGGCGCGGTGGCTCACGCCTGTAATCCCAGTACTTTGGGAGGCCGAGGTGGGCAGATCACAGATCACGAAGTCAGGAGATCAAGACCATCCTGGCTAACATGGTGAAACTCTGTCTCTACTAAAAATACAAAAAATTAGCCAGGCGTGGTGGCGGGCGCCTGTAGTCCCAGCTACTCAGGAGGCTGAGGCAGGAGAACGGCATGAACCCGGGAGGCGGAGCTTGCAGTGAGCGGAGATCGGCAGCCACTGCACTCCAGCCTGGGCCACAGAGCGAGACTCCGTCTCAAAAAAAAAAAAAGGAAAAAGAAAAAAGAAAACTAGCTCTGTATGCTAGTTTTTTTTTTAAGACAGGGTCTCTCTTGCCCCAGCTGGAGTGTAGCAGCACGATCACAGCTCACTGTAGCCTCAACCTTCTGGGCTCAAGCAATCCTCCTGCCTCAGTCTCCTAAGTAGCTGGGTCTACAGGCATGCACCACCGTACGTGGCAATTTTTAAAAACTGTTTGTAGAGATGGAGTCTCCCTATGTTGCCTGGTCTGGAACTCCTGGCCTCAAGTGATCCTCCTGCCTCGGCCTCCCAAAGTGCTGAGATTACAGGCATGAGCCACTGTACCTGGCCTGGCCAAGGTCTGTCTTTTTTTAAAAGAAGTTGTTGTATAGTTGTTTTTTTTTTTTTTTTTTTTTTGAGACGGAGTCTCGCTCTGTCGCCCAGGCTGGAGTGCAGTGGCGCGATCTCGGCTCACTGCAAGCTCCGCCTCCCAGGTTCACGCCATTCTCCTGCCTCAGCCTCCCGAGTAGCTGGGACTACAGGCGCCCGCTACCACGCCCGGCTAATTTTTTGTATTTTTAGTAGAGACGGGGTTTCACCGTGTTAGCCAGGATGGTCTCGATCTCCTGACCTCGTGATCCGCCCGCCTCGGCCTCCCAAAGTGCTGGGATTACAGGCGTGAGCCACCGCGCCCGGCCTGTTGTATAGTTTTTATCTCGAGTTTTCTAGCGATTTAATCATATTGGTTACAAAAAAGGATGATTTTACTACCTCCTTTCCAATGTTTCTACATATTTTTTCATTTTATCTAACTGCATTTTAAAATAAACTTTTAATTTTAGAATGGTTTCATATTTACAGAAAATGTGCAAAGATAGTACAGAGAGTTCCTGTGTACTCCACACCCGGTTTCCTTATTATTATCTTAACGTGATACACAATTAATAAACCAGTAACATTATTATTCACTGAAGTCCACACTTTCTTTTTTTTTTTTTCTGAGACGGAGTCTACTTCTGTCACCCACGCTGGAGTGCAGTGGCGCAATCTCGGCTCACTGCAACCTCCACCTCCTGGGTTCAGGCAATTCTGTGGCTCAGCATCCCAAGTAGCTGGGAATACAGGTGCCCGCCACCACGCCCGGCTAATTTTTTGTATTTTTAGTAGAGATGGGGTTTCACCATGTTAGCCAGGATGGTCTTGAACTCCTGACCTCGTGATCTGCCTGCCTCAGCCTCCCAAAGTGCTGGGATTACAGGCGTGAGCCACCGCGCCCAGCGTCCATACTTTCTTTAGATATCCTTCCTTTTTACCTAACGTCCTTCTTCTGGTTCAGGATCCCATCCAGAAAGCAACATTACCCCTCGCCATCAGGTCTTCACAGGCTCCCCTTGACGGGAAGAGTTCCTCAGACTTTCCTTGTTTTTGTTGACCTTGACAGTTTTGAGGAGGACTGGTATCTTAGTCTGTTTTGTGCTGCTATCACAGACTAGCTGAGACCGATACATGATACATGAAAAAAAATGTATTCTTACAGTTGTGGAGGCTGGGAAGTTCAAGACGAAGTTGCTGGTTGGTTTGGTCTCTGGTTTCAAGATGGCGCCTTGCTGCTGCATCCTCTGGAGAAGAAGAATGCGGTGTCCTCTCACTGCAGAAGATGGAAGCGCTAAAAGGAATGAACTCCCTTTGCCAAGCCATTTTATAATGGGCATTAATCCACAAAGGATGAAACCCTGAGAAACATCAAGCTTTAAAGCACTGGTTCTCAACCTTTTTGGTCTCAGGAGCCCTTTATACTCTTAAAACGTTTTGAGGATCCCAAAAAAAGGCTTCTACAGGTTCCATCTTTTAATATTTACCATATCAAAAATTAAACTGAAAAAATTTTAAATTATTTATTCATTTAAAATAACAAGGATAAACCCATTACATGCTAACATAAATCATGTATTTTATGAAAAATAGCTATATTTATCAAAACAAAAATTAGTGAGAAGAGTGGCATGTATAATTTTTTTTGTTTATTTTTTGTTTTTAGATGGAATCTTATTCTGTCGCCCAGGCTGGAGTGCAGTGGTGTGATCTCGGCTCACTGCAAGCTCTGCCTCCCAGGTTCACACCATTCTCCTGCCTCAGCCTCCTGAGTAGCTGGGACTGCAGGTGCCTGCCACCACGCCCGGCTAATTTTTTGTATTTTTAGTAGAGATGGAGTTTCACCGTGTTAGCCAGAATGGTCTTGATCTCCTGACCTTGTGATCCACCCGCCTCAGCCTCCCAAAGTGCTGGGATTACAGGCTTGAGCCACTGCGTCTGGCCTAAATTTTTGTGAATGTCTTTAATGCCTGCCTTCTCATATTTGTTTCTGCATTCAAGTTATTGCAAAATGTTGTGTTGGTTGAAGTTTGTAAAGAAAATGTGGCCTCATACAGTTGTATAGTTGGAAAGGCAAGAGTATTTTGATTCTCTCTTCAAACAACTATGGACAACCTGCTGTTACAAAACCAGAATGCAAAAAGTTGTAGTAAATACAGGTTAGGTGTAGTGTGGAATCTGAAAGCATGTGAATGAACTTTCTGAGTTTTGTAACATTAAAGTCCAGTTGCGTTAAGCTACTGTGATAGCATATAGCATTGTCCTAATACTGGAATTAGTATCAGAAGTGGGGTGCTACTGTTAATAAATAAAAAGAAATAAATAAATCATGTGATACTGGCTCAGAAGTCAGGCAGTAGGCTGTGTGGAACCTGACATCACGCCATGTAATACATTGGCAACCATTTGATCCAGCTGTCTGTCATGATGACTTGGAAAGTCAACCACATACTTACAGAGCCTGTAG
Source organism: Homo sapiens (assembly GCF_000001405.40). Classification (NCBI taxonomy): domain Eukaryota; kingdom Metazoa; phylum Chordata; class Mammalia; order Primates; family Hominidae; genus Homo; species Homo sapiens. The sequence goes on along the minus strand of NC_000011.10, from coordinate 68,289,468 downwards.
ACATAGGGGAAAATAGTATAAAACAGAATACTAACAGTGGACCTTGGTTCTTGCCAGTTGCATTTAGCCAAATATTAAACAAAAGAGATATTCTTGGGCAGCAACTGGACCATCTTCAAGTAAAAGTGAAAGGTAATAAACAGAGTCCAGACATTTGTGCCCATGCGGGTTAAGAAAAATCCAGTTGCTTCTAGACACCGTATATGAAAACAACGCTGAAAACAAGCCTTTGAGTGGTAAAGGCCGATTAACACTCAGCGCGGTAACAAAGACCAGGTGGGCTAACCCGAAATGAAATGAGAAGCCTGTGGTGATGAGGAGGCAGAGAAGTAAAATCAAGTTTGAGCATTTCGTTTAGGAGAGTTTGGGCTCTGATTACTTGCACATGCAAACGAACTGGAAACAAACAGATCAGATGTCTACCACTTCTTCGAGGGAATTGCATTGCCAAAGAAGTCATGAAAGCAGACTCTATACTGATTAGGCATTAAAACAAAAACAATCTTTAGGCCCCTAAACTTGCATGGGCAGGAAGTGGGCTGTCAAAGCTGTTCATCCTCTAAGGTGGACCTAGTTCCTAGTCCCCAGTATACACTTCAGATGTGGCCCTGGAGGACACTGGACATGGAGGACCTCCCAGAGGATGAGGCTAGGGCTTCATTTCTCCAATGACCTCAGCTGCCTCTATTTCCCCTTCTTCCTCTGGAAGTCCTATCATCGTTATTATTATTATTATCATCATTTTTATTTTGAGATAAGGTCTCGCTCTGTTGCCCAGGCTGGAGTGCAGTGACATGATCATGGCTCACTGCAGCCCTCCCAGGCTCAAGTGATCCTCCTGCCTCAGCCTCCTGAGTAGCTGGGAGTACAGGCACATGCCACCATGCTTGGCTATTTTTTTTTTCAGTAGAGATAGGGCTCTCACTATGTTGCCAGGGCTGATCTCAACCTCCTGGGTTCAAGAGATCCTCCTACCTCAGCTCCTGAGTAGCTGGGATTCGGGTGCACACCACCATGCCAACTAATTTTTAATTTTTTTTTGTATGGACAGGATGTACAGTGTTAGAAATGGATTGCTTGCAGAGGCAGGAGGATCACTTGAGCCCAGGAGTTTGATCACACTGTGAACCATGATCGCACCCCTGCACTCCAATCTGGGCAACAGAGTGAGACCTTGTCTCAAAAAAAAAAAAAAAGAGAGAGAGAGAGAGACTCAAAGATAGGCAAAAAAGTGGGAAAGCTTTATAGTGGACAAAAAGGAACGCTCTAAGTCTGCCCTATTGGCATGGTGCTGAAGGTGGGCTAACTAGAGATAGGGGGTACTATGTGGTTGACTATGGGTGCATCTTTGGCTTTCCCTGGGTGATCCTAAGTTGGAAGCAGGGACAAAAATTAGGGAAGCTGTTAGTTATTCATCACGTTCTGGCAGTAGTGGACTGGTTGTGATAGAAGTTATTGTTTTGACCAGGTGCGGTGGCTCATGCCTGTAATCCTAGCACTTTCAGAGTTCAACGTGGGTGGATCAGGAAGGAGGGAGGATTTGGGAGGTCAGGAGTTAGCCTGGCTAACCTGGCGAAATCCCATCTCTACTAAAAATACAAAAATTAGCTGGGCGTGGTGGTGCATGCCTATAATCCCAGCTACTCGGGACGCTGAGGCAGGAGAATCAGTTGAACCTGGGGAGGCGGAGGTTGCAGTGAGCCAAGATCGTGCCCAATTTCATCTCAAAAAAAAAAAAAAAGTTATTGTTTAGCTTCCTCGATTGTTACTGGACGTAGTAATCTGGCTTCCTGCAAGTCTAACTTTCAGCAGACTGGCTACATGGGCTGTGTACTGTAGATAAGGCAGTAAGTAAAGCAAAAATTGATAGAGCATCAAGGATAAATAGAAAATCCGTAATCAAGCAGAAGATTTGAACACTTCACTTTCAGTAACTGATAAAACAAGTAGACAAAAAAAATCAGTAAGGATGTAGAAGATTTGAACAACGTAATTAACAAACTTGACTTGATTTACACGTCTAGAACCCTGCAGAACACACACTTTTTCAAGCATACTCAGAACATTTATATAAAGTGACCATATGGTGGACCATAAAGCAGTTTCAACAAATCTCACAGGAGTAAAATAACAGACCGTGTTTTCTGACCGTAAGTACAGTTAACCTAGAAATTGAAAACAAAAAGCTAGAAAAACCCCATGTATCTGGAAATTTTAATATACACTTTGAAATAACAAATGGATCAGAGATTAATTCAAATAGGAATTTAGAAATACCTTGAACTGAAAAATAATGAGAATACTATACCCCAAAACTGTGGGGTGCAGCTGAACAGTATATAGACGAAAAGTATACTCATATGTGCATACCTTAAGGAGCGGGGAGGATTGAAAGTTAATGGGAGGCCAAAGCAGGTGGATCACTTGAGGTTAGGAGTTCAAGATCAGCCTGGCTAACAGGGTGAAACCCCATCTCTACTAAAAATACAAAAAATTATCCAGGCGTAGTGAGGCTGAGGCAAGAGAATCGTTGGAACCCAGGAGGCAGAGGTTGCAGTGAGCCGCGATTGCGCCACTGCACCCCAGCCTGGGAGACAGAGCGAGACTCCATCTCAAGAAAGAAAAAAAAAAAAGAAAAGGCCAGGCGCGGTGGCTCATGCCTGTAATCCCAGCATTTTGGGAGGCCGAGGTGGGCGGATCACGAGGTCAGGAGATCGAGACTATCCTGGCTAGCACGGTGAAACCCCGCCTCTACTAAAAATACAAAAAAATTAGCCAGGCGTGGTGGCGGGTGCCTGTAGTCCCAGCTACTCAGGAGGCTGAGGCAGGAGAATGTCATGAACCCAGGAGGCAGAGCTTGCAGTGAGCCGAGATCGCGCCACTGTACTCCAGCCTGGGCAACAGAGAGAGACTCTGTCTCAAAAAAAAAAAAAAGTTAATGGGATAAACATCCATCTCAAGAAGTTAGAAAGGAATGACAAATAAACCAAAAAAAAAAAAATCAAAAGAAGAAAATCATAAGGTCAAGACTATAAAGAGAGTGGCTGGGTGCAGTGGCTCAGGCCTGTAATCTCAGCATTTTGGGAAGCAGAGGTGGGCAGATCACTTGAGCCCAGGAGTTCAAGACCAGCCTGAGTAACTTAGAGAGACCTCATCTTTGCTGAAAATAAAAATAAAAAATTAGCCAGGCATGGTGGTACTGAGGTGGGAGGATCACTTGAGCCTAGGAGGTTGAGGCTGCAGTAAGCCATGATTGTGCCACTGCACTTCAGCCTGGGTGACAGAGTGGGACCCTGTCTCTAAAAAACTAAAATAAGGCTGGGCGCGGTGGCTCAAATCTGTAATCCCACCACTTTGGGAGGCCAAGGCTGAGGTCAGCAGTTTGAGAACAGCTTGGCCAACAAGATGAAACCTCATCTCTACTAAAAATACAAAAAATTAGTTGGGTGTGGTGGCATGTGCCTGTAATCCCAGCGACTTAGGAGGCTGAGGCAGGAGAATCGCTTGAACCCAGAAGGCAGAGGTTGCGGTGAGCCAAGATCTCGCCACTGCATTCCAGCCTGGGTGACAGAATGAGACTCTGTCTCAAATAAATAAATAAATAAATAAATAAACCTTTTTTTTTTTTTTTTTTTTTTTTTTTTTGAGACAGAGTCTCACTCTGTTGCTCAGGCTGGAGTGCAGTGGCTCAATCTCGGCTCATGGCAACCTCTACCTCCCGGGTTCAAGCTGTTCTCCTGCCTCAGCCTCCCAGATAGCTGGGATTACAGGCATGTACCACCAGGCCCAACTAATTTTTATATTTTTAGTAGAGATGGGGTTTCATCATGTTGGCCAGGCTGGTCTCGAACTCTTAGCTTCAAGTGATCTGCTGACCTCGGCTTCCCAAAGTGCTGGAATTACAGGTGTGAACCACAACACCAGGCCAATCTTTTTTTATCAGTGTAGATAGACTCAAAAGATTCTGATTTTAGTCAATGGGCTACAGTCCATTACAACCATTACTTAAGAGTTTGTGTTCCATTCTCGTTTATCAATTTATTATTTATCTTTTAAAAATCTCTACCAAAAAAAAAAGATATATAAAGAGAGCAAAAAGACTGGCCATAGAGTAGGAAAAGATATTTACAACAAATGTAACTGACAACCCTCATGTCCAGAATATATAATCCACAAAGGACCCCTGCAAGTCTGTGAGAAAAATCCAGAAGACTCAGTAGAAAAATTAAAACTCTTGAACGGGTATTTTGTAAGAGAGAAATCCAAATGGTTAACAGATACAAGAAATGGTGCCCATCCTCATTAGGAATTTTAAAAATGCAAATTAAAACCACAACAAAATTCTATTACGTATCAACCAGAGAAGCAAACATTTAAAAGTCTGACAATACCAAGAATAGGGTAGATGTAGCATAATGGGGCTTTCATACACTCCGTTGGCATTATCTTATAAGGTTGAAGCATCTTATATCCTACAGCCTGACAGTGTCACTCCTAGTACCTACCAGAAAGAAATGGGTTCCAGAAGATGTGTATAAATTGGTATGTTCTCATGCGGCTAATAAAGACAGACCCAAGACTGGGTAATTTACAAAGGAAAGAGGTTTAATGGACTCACAGTTCCACATGGTTGGGGAGTCCTCACAATCATGGTGGAAGGCAGAGGAGAAGCAAAGGCACATCTTACATGGCGGCAGACAAGAGGGCTTGTGCAGGGGAACTCCCATGTATAAAACCATCAGATCTCATGAGACTTATTCACTATCATAAGGACAGCAGGGGAAAGACCTGCCCCTATGATTCAATTACCTCCCATTGGGTCCCTCCCACGACACATAGGAATTATGGGAGCTACAATTCAAGATGAGATTTGGGTGGGGACACAGCCAAACCATATAAGTGTACAAGAATGTTCAGCACAGCAGTGTTCATAATATCCAAATTCTAGAAGCAATCCACATGTTGACCTACAGGGAAACAGATAAACAAATCGTGATCATTCACATAATAACATGCCAAACAGCAATAAATATAAACAAGTTACAGCTACATATAACAACCAAAGCATGATGAAGAGCATGGGAAGCCAGGCACAGAAGGATGCATGCAGCACGATTCATTCATACGCTGCTCAAAATGAAACAAGTTTGACTAGGAATGCATGCAAAGGTGTCAAACTATAACAAAAAGCAAGGAGATGGTGCTCACAAAAACCAAGAGTTTGTTACCCACAGGGAAGGAGAAAAGGGATGTGTGCAAGGAACAAGCAACACACAGCTTTCAGAGAGCTGGAAAAGCTCTATTTCTCTTTTCTTCTTTTTTCCTTTCTTTTCTGAGTCGAGGTTTTGCTCTGTTGCCCAGGCTGGAGTGCAGTGGCATGATCATAGCTCACTGCAATCTTGAACTCCTGGGCTCAAGCACTCCACTCACCTCAGCCTCCCAAGTAGCTGGGACTACAGAGGCATGCCACCTCACCTGGCTAATTTTTTAGATTTTTATAGAGAAAAATGGTCCCCCTTTGTTGCCTAGGCTGGTCTTGAACTCCTGGGTCCAAGCAGTCCTCCTGCCTAGGCCTCCCAAAGTGCTGGGATTACAGGCTGAGCCACTGTGCCCTGCCATGTGTCACTGTTAAAGGGAAGATGCCAGGCCGGGCGCGGTGGCTCACACCTGTAATCCCAGCACTTTGGGAGGCCAAGGCGGGTGGATCATGAGGTCAGGAGATCGAGACCATCCTGGCTAACATGGTGAAACCCCATCTCTACTAAAAATACAAAAAAAATTAGCCAGGTGTGGTGGCAGGCGCCTGTGGTCCCAGCTACTCAGGAGGCTGAGGCAGAATAACGTGAACTTGGGAGGCAGAGCTTGCAGCGAGCCGAGATCGCGCCACTACACTCCAGCCTGGGCAACAGAGCAAGACTCCATCTCAAAAAAAAAAAAAAAAAAAAAAAAGGTAAGATTCCAGTAGAGACAGGTGGGACGTCCCGGAGAGGCAGTAGTTAATCAGTGGGATAAAGTTCCCCAGGAGATTGTGGGGGATAGAACCCACATCTCAGGTGAGAAGATACTTCACTGGTGAGAACACCTCTTCCAATGCTACTGGAAGGGAGGAGAAAAGGATGGACGTGTGTTTCTTCAGGCCTCGTGCAGGCAGGGAGGAAGGGAGTTAAGGGAGTTCCCATGACAGGGCTGCTATTTTCTCGTTGAAGAAAGAGGCAAGACCTGCTGAAAGAGAATGAGGTGGGTTCGAAAATGGTGGAGGGGGCTGGGTGCGAGCGCCATGCCAGGTGAGCATGGGGTTTCTGGCAGCGCAGAAGGCCTGGTTGCGGGAAAAAGCCACGGGTCTCCCTCAGCACCCACCCAGGGGCAGGCATGAAGGTGGGCATCTGGATTCATCCGGCGGGGTGGGGTTGCCAAGGGGAGTGTGGGAAGGACAAGGACGTGGAAGACACTCTATTGGCAAGAGAATGACTTACTTGTTGGGTGCAGCTGCAGCCCAGGAGCAGGTGCGGTGGGAGTCTCGAGGCGGGATAGCTGGAAGATGGCTCAGGAGCGGGGAGCTGGGTGGATCCTCTCTAAGATGGGGCCTGTCCCCGGGGATGATGACAGGGTCCCGAGCTTGGCCTTGGAGCAGGAGAAGCCACGAGGGTCAGAAGGACTAGGATGAAAGAAGTCACAGGGTGCACATGGAGGCTGGAGCACCCCGTTGACAACCTCAGGGCTGGAGGCATGGAGGGAAGACAGTGGTCCGATGCAATCAGAGCTGGATGGGGAAGTTGGTAGAAGGCAGTGCCCGGGAGTGGTCTTTTGAATGCAGAGTCTCCTTGAAGCTCAGGAAGAGAAATACTTGTGTGTATTTTTCAAGGCATGAAAAGGCTTTCCCTAGCACTTCACACAGGCTGCCGTCCTGGAAACACTGGGTGGAAATTCAACACCAGCTCTTGGGAAAGTCAGACATCTCCAAAACATACGTGACCCACGGAAGACAAAATTGTGAAAGAGATGGGGGGTGGGGAGGGGTGATCAATGACACCATAAGTGCTACCGGGAAACTGAAGTGAAATCAGAAATCTAAAGGGGAGGCACATTTCCCACTGGGGTCCTGGTTAGGATTCATTGTGACTCACCTCGTGACGGGTTACACTTGGGTGCTGGAGTAACGTTTAGCGTTTAGAATTGGTCAAATGTGCCTGGGCATGCCGGAACACAGATGACAAGATAGGGTTTGTGGTTGCTGTGAAGATCTCAAAGGACAGGAAGCAGCCCTTTCTCTATTTCCCAAATACACTATTGTTCAAATCGGTGACACTTGTTATTTGCTACTCTACACAGAAAGTTGATCAACATAATTCTTGAAAAACCATTCAGGTTCTGCAACACTCTAATGGGTTTGTTTCTTTTTCTTCTCTAGGCAAAACAATATCAAATCATATACCTTCTTCTCAAAGAACGATTTTCCCACTTATGTGAAGTCCTTTTGAGTGGAGTGACTTGAACTTCCGGCAATAATTTAATAAGGAATGGATAGGAAGGTTTATACCTCAGCTATTGCATGCTATATACTACTTTAAAATGTGTATTGGGATTAAGTTGGGTTTTTTTTTTGTTGTTGTTGTTGCTAAAGAGCATTTCTCCTAAAAAACAGTTTTCTATTTTAAAACACTCTTTTTCAGCAGGGCGCGGGGGCTCACGCCTGTAATCCTAGCACTTTGGGAGGCCAAGGCGGGCAGATCATGAGGTCAGGAGTTCGAGACCAGCCTGGCTAACATGATGAAACCCTGTCTCTACTAAAATTGCAAAAAATTAGCCAGGCATGGTGGCACACGCCTGTAGTCCCAGCTACTCGGGAGGCTGAGGCAGGAGAATTGCTTCAATCAGGGAGGTGGAGGTTGTGGTGAGCCGAGATTGTGCCACTGGACTCCAGCCTGGGCAACAGAGCAAGACTCTGTCTTAAAAAACAAAAAACAAAACAAAAACACTCTTTTTCTATTATAAAAGTAATAAATATTTTGTAGCCATTTTGAGAAATAAAGGCATGCTAACTTCTTTGCTATTTTTGACCATTTAGTGTTACAGATGAATGCTAGAATTATTTTCTCAAGTTCCAAAAGAATACAAAACGAGTTTTGAGGTCTTGTTATCGGTACATTCTGATTTAGAATATTTAGAATTGTTACGTCTTCCTGGTGAGTTGAATTTTTTATCATTTATCATAAAGTGACCCTCTTTATTTCTTTTCTTTTCTTTCTTTTTTGAGACAGAGTCTCGCTCTGTCACCAGGATGGAATGCAGTGGCGCGATCTTGGCTCACTGCAACCTCTGCCTCCTGGGTTCAAGCGATTCTCCCACCTCAGCCTCTGAAGTAGCAGGGACTACAGGTGCATGCCACCAGGCCCAGCTAATTTTTGTATTTTTAGTAGAGATGGGGTCTCACCATGTTGGCCAGGATGGTCTCGATCGCCTGACCTCGTGATGCCCCCACCTTGACCTCCCAAAGTGCTGGGATTACAGGTGTGAGCCACCGCGCCTGGCCAACCTTCTTTATTTTTAATATTGCTTTCTAAAGAATGAACTTTGGCCAGGCCTGGAGGCTCACACCTGTAATCCCAGCACTTTGGGAGGCCGAAGCGAGTGGATCAGCTGAGGTCAGGAGTTCGAGACCAGCCTGGCCAACATGGCAAAACCCTGTCTCTACTAAAAATACAAAAAATTACCTGGGCATGGCCGGGTGTGGTGGCTCACGCCTCACGCCTGTAATCCCAGCACTTTGGGAGGCCAAGGTGGGTGGATCACGAGGTCCCCAGATCGAGACCATCCTGGCTAACACAGTGAAACCCCGTCTCTACTAAAAATACAAAAAATTAGCCGGGCGTGGTGGCAGGCGCCTGTAGCCCCAGCTACACGGGAGGCTGAGGCAGGAGAATGGCGTGAACCCGGGAGGCGGAGCTTGCAGTGAGCCGAGATCATGCCACTGCATTCCAGCCTGGGTGACAGAGAGAGACTCCGTCTCAAAAAAAAAAAAAAAATTTACCTGGGCATGGTGGCAGGCACCTGTAATCCCAGCGACTTGGGAGGCTGAGGCAGGAGAATTGCTTGAATCTGGGAGGCAGAGGTTGCAGTGAGCCAAGATCGCACCACTGCACTCCAGCCTGGGCCACCAGAGCAAAATTCCGCCTCAAAAAAAAAAAAAAAAGAATCAACTTTATTGGGGGTATAATTAACATAGAATAAAATGCACCTATTTTAAGTGTTCAATTCTACGTGCGCGCACGCACACACACACACACACATTAACTACCATCATAATCCATAATCCATTTTTCCATTTTTGACTTTTACCTTTCTTTACAGCTGTTTTGTTTTTAGCTACATTTATTGAGGTATAATTTAGATGTAGTAAAATTTACATCTCCATGACTCCATGACAAATGCACACAGGCAAGTAACCATCACCACAATCAAAATATAGAATATTTCCATCATCCCCAAAACTTCCTTTATCCCCCTCTGTAGACAATCTAGGGTTGCCAGATTTAGTAAGTTTACCTGGGCGACCTGTATTTTCTCTGGCAACGCTAAGTCATTTCCTGTCTTCCCACTCCCATCCCTGGCAGCTACTGTTTTCTGTCTCTATACTTTTTTGTTTTCATGAATGTCATATAAATGGAATCCTACTGTATGTCATCTCTTACAGCTGGTCTCTTTCTCTTAGCATAATGGCTTTTGAGATTCATCGGTGGTGTTGCATATATCGGTAATTGGTAACTTTTTTTTTTTTTTTTTGAAACAGTCTCGTTCTGTTGCCCAGGCTGGAGTGCAGTGGCACCATCTCGGCTCCCTGCAACCCCCGCCCCCCAGATTCAAGCGATTCTCCTAAGTCATCCTCCCGAGTAGCTGGGACTACAGGTGCATACCACCATGCTGGCTAATTTTTGTACTTTTAGTAGAGACAGTTTTTCACTATATTTGCCAGGCTTGTCTCGAACTCCTGACCTCATGTGATCCATCTGCCTCGGCCTCCCAAAGTGCTGGGATTACAGGCGTGAGCCACCGTGCCTGGCCGGTAATTCGTGACTTTTTATGGCTGGGTAGTGTCCATTTTAAAGGCGTACCACAATTTGTATATCCATTCATTCACCCATTGATTGGCATTTGGGTGTTTCCAGTTGTGACATAAAAAGAAATATATAAGTGGTCTCTGCCCCTGTTCCTGGCACACAGCTTCTAAAGCTCTTGGAGTCTCAGGAGTGATCATGGTGTCTTTTTCTATGCTAATGAGACAACTGGCATGGCTGGGGACCCCTATATAGCTTAGGAGGGGTCTGGTCACCACAAAGACCAAGGCATGATTACAAGATTGGAACTTTCAGCCCCACTCCACCTTCCCACTTCTTTGGAGGGAAGAGAGGCTGAGATTGAGCTAATGACCAATGGCCAATTACTTAATCGATCACACCGATATAATAAAACCTCCATAAAAGTCTAAAGGCCTGGGCCAGGCGAAGTGGCTCATGCCCGTAATCCCAGCACTTTGGGAGGCCAAGGCGGGTGAATCACCTGAGGTGGGGAGTTTGAGACCAGCCTGACCAACATGGAGAAACCCCGTCTCTACTAAAAATACAAAAATTAGCCAAGTGTGGTGGCATATGCCTATAATCCCAGCTACTCGGGAGGCTGAGGCAGCAGGATCACTTGAACCCGGGAGGTGGAGGTTGCAGTGAGCTGAGATCACGCTGTTGCACTCCAGCCTGGGCAAGAACAGCAGAACTCCATCTCGAAAAAAAAAAAAAAAATTATAAAGGCCAGGGTACAGAGAACTTTGTGGTTCATGAACACATACATGTGCCAGGAGCGTGGTGCACCCCCAGCTCCACGGGAACAAAAGCTCTTGGGTTTGGGACCCTTCCAGACCTTGCCCTATGCTTCTCTTCATCTGCTGTTCATTTGTATCCTTTATAATAAATCGGCAACTGGAAGTAAGGTGTTTCCCTGAGCTCTGTGAGCTCTAGCAAATGACAAAACTAAGGAGGAGCTCGTGGGCCCCTCTGATTTGTAGCCAGTGTGGTAACCTGGGGACCCACTACCTGGGGTTGATGCCTGAAGCAGGGGCAGTCTTCTGGGACTGAGCTCTTAACCTATGGGGTCTGTGCTAACTCCACAGAGTTAGTGTCAAAATTGAATTAAATTGTAGGATACCCAGTTGGCGTCTGCAGAGAATTGCTTGGTGTGGAAAACCCACATGTTGGGCTGGGCACAGTGGCCCACACCTGTAATCCTAGCACTTTGGGAGGCCGAGGAGGGAAGATTGCTTAAGGCCAGGAGTTCGAGACCAGCATGGGCAATGTAGTGACACCCCTGTCTCTAACAAAAATTAAAAAAAAAAAATTATCTGAGGATAGTGCACACCCATAGTCCCAGCTACTTGGGAGGCTGAGGTTGGAGGACGGTGTGAGCCTTGGAGATCAAGGCTGCAATGAGCCATAATTGTGCCACCACAGTCCAGCCTGGGTGATAAGAGAAAGATCCTGTCTTGAAAAAAAAAGAAAAGAAAAGAAAACCTACACATGGATGTCAGACGTGTTGTGAGTAGAACAAGCTTTTCCTTTACCAGTTTTGGCAATTACAAATACAGCTGCTATAAACACTTCCTACAGATATTTGTGTGGATGTATGTTTTCATTTCCCTAGAGTAAATACCTACGAGTGGGACTGCTGGGTCACGTATGTGTATGTTTAACTGCCAAACTGTTTTCCAAAGTGGTTGTACCATTTTCCATTCCCACCAGCAACTCTATGGGAGTTCAGGTTGCTCTGAGTCTTCACAGATACTTGGCATTTTCATTTTGGGCCTGGAAGGGGGGTTGAAGGGAGCCCCCAGGACGCTGGTGCCACTGTTACTGAGTGTTCATTCCACAGGGTGGTTCAGTTTGTGAAAATTCATCAAGCTGTAAACGTTTATGTGCACTTTTCTGGACGTATACTAATCCTCAATAAAAATTATTTAAACCATATCAAATACATGTGAACTAAATTAAGTAACAATTTATTGAAATTAATATGCTTTAAAAAAATTGAAATAAAAAAACTCAGAGTAAGTCCGTAGTAGCCTTAAGAATTTTCCCCTGGCCATCCATGGTGAATACCCGAAAACCAAATTAATACTTCTGAACATTATAAGAGACATGTCAGGAGGCTCAGACCAATAATGCATATTTAATTTTACTCCTATCCCCATCAATTATTCACTTTTATTCTCAAAATTCTCATAATTGTAATATTCTTAGTTTTGTGTTCAGAACATAAAAATAAACCTTCTATTTTCAAATAATGACAATAAAGGGTGGAGCATGAAGGGGAGTATTGGCTTCCTCCTGAAAGGGAACTCCCTTTAATGACAGAGAACAGCTCCTTCCAGAGGGAGTTTCCGGTGACAAGGGAAGGGCTTCTGCCTGGTGTGACGAAGGTGGCACCGTGGAGGGGTTCGGAATGGTTTGGGACTCAGGGACTTCAAGTTGTTCCAAACTCTAGAGAATCCTCTTCCAAATACCAGAGTCCTGCTCTTTTGTAATCAATAATAGTAACAACGGGCCCAGGGGTGGTGGCTCACGCCTGTAATCCCAGCACTTTGGGAGGCCAAGGCAGGCAGATCACCTGAGGTCAGGAGTTTGAGACCAGCTTGGCCAACATGGCGAAACCCCGTCTCTACTAAAAATACAAAAATTAGCTGGGTGTGGTAGCACACGCCTGTAATCCCAGCTACTAGGGAGGCTGAGGCAAGAGAATCGCTTGAACTCAGGGGGTGGAGGTTGCAGTGAGCCAAGATCGCGCCACTGCACACCAGCCTGGGCAACAGGACAAGACTCCATCTCAAAAGCAAAACAAAAACAAACAAAAAAACACACAAAAAAAGTGGCTAATACTCAGTCCTCTCTGTGTAATGCCCCATTATAAGCAATTTACATGCACTCATATATCATTGAATTCCCATAGCCATCTGATGAGGCAGGTCCTATTACTCCTCTGTTTTAGCATACAGTTGATTCTCATGATTCATAGATTCCACATTTGCAAATTCACTTAGTAGGTAAAAAATTTATGTGTAACCTCCCCCCCTCCCCCCACAAATCAATACTTGCAGCGTTTCTGAGGCCATGAGCCTGTACATGCCATGTGCCTGGAGTGGGGAAAATCCGAGTCGCCGCGTGTTGGAGTCCCTGGCTGAGACCCAGCAAGCACTCTCTCTCTGCCCTCATTTCTGCTCACCTACTGCCAACAACTGTCCTTTTCTTGGTCTGTTTAGCGCCACATTTTTGTCATTTTTTGCTTTTTTTTGGGTGGCGGTTTTGCATTTTTAAATGGCCCCCACACGTAGGGTTGAAGTGTTATCTAGTGTTCCTCAGTGCAAAAGGTGTGTCTTAGGGAGAAAATACATGTTAGATGTACTTCATTCAGGCATGAGTTACATGCCATTGTCTGTGGGTTTGATACCAGTGGGCTGGGGAGGTGCCCAAACGCAGGTGGGACCTTGACCCCGGGCTCTTGACGTCATTACGAAAAGGAATTCAAGGATGAGTCAGAAAATAGTGAAAGTACAAAGACTTATTACCAGGTGAAAATTACATACTCAAGAAAGAGGAATGCAGGCCTACTCAAGAGAAAGTCGAGCAATGGTTCGGGGTTTCTACCTTTATGGGTTTCTTCAACCAAGAGGTGGAATATTCATGAAAATTCCTGGGAAAAGGTAGAGATTTCTTGGAGCGGTGGTGTCACCCATTTATGCGCCAAATCTGAGTGTTCCTGAAATTGTCATGGTACTGGTGGTTGTGTGTTTAGTATGTTAATGAGCACATAATGAGGTCCTAGGGGAAGCCTGGGTCAAGCCCAGCACCATGTTGGGTCCAGTTGGTCTTAGCCAGCTTGGTTCATACCTTGGCTTTTCAGGGTCTTAGAAGACGATAGTCTCTAGTTATGTAAAACTGCTGCCTGGAATTTAATTCTCCTGTGACCACCCTATATTATTCCCATCTCATTTTCAATGTTAATTAATGAGTCAATAATAGACATTAAATAAGGCTTCTTTTTGTTTGTTTCTGTTTTGTTTTGTTTGAGATGAAGTCTCGCTCTGTTGCCCAGGCTGGAGTACAATGGCGTGATCTTGGCTCACCGTAGCCTCCACCTCCCGGGTTCAAGTGATTCTCCTGCCTCAGCCTCCCCAGTAGCTGGGACTATAGGCATGGGCCACCACACTTGGCTAATTTTTGTGATTTTAGTGGAGATAGGGTTCCACCATGTTGGCCAGGCTGGTCTTGAACTCCTGACCTCAGGTGATCCATCTGCCTCGGCCTCCCGAAGTGCTGGGATTATAGGCATGAGCCACTGTGTCTGGCCTAAATAAAGCATCTTTAATAGAAACACACACACAAAAACAAAGTTATGTATATTGATCTGTTGATAAAAATGTTGTGATCAGAGGTTCACAGGAACCTAACCCTGTATCTTCCCTAGGAGCTGTGGTTTCCAAGGAGCAGTATTTGCTAAGTCCGTGTACTGGGTGACTTTATTCAACATAACTACTGCAAATACCAGAATTGACTATGATGAAACGGAGGCACAGAGCCTAAGCCTCTTGTTTGTTGTCATTTAGCAAAAAAATGAAGGATCTGAAGCCAGGCAGTGCCATTCCAGAGCCCTAACTTTCAAATGTCATATCTACAAGGTCTTACATTCAAATAACATTGTAAATTCAACAACAAAGAGACCAAGCTCCAAGTTTATTCAGCTATTTCTGCACAGAAGGCACCTGAAATGATCTGTGCCTGGAAACAAAAGGTAGAGGATGTAAGTGTATCATTCTCTATTTTATCCACAGCCCTCAGAAGCAGCTGGTCTGCCTGGCTTTACTCTCCATAACACTCCACAGAACAGTTTTGCAGTTCCCAGAGCTGTGCCTTCAATGGACACTAGGTTTCAGGTGACCAAAGATGCTATCAGAGAATATGACTTTCTCATAGGAGAGAATGAGTTTCCCGGTATGTTGGACCATCTCAGCCAGATATTTCTGTGTCAGAAACCCATCAGTAACACTCTAGACTGGAGATCAGCAAATAGATTCTGTAAAGGGCCAGAGAGTAAATATTTTAGGACTTGTGAGCCATATAGTCTCTACAACTAGTCGACTGTGCCCTTTTATCATCAGATAATACCTAATGAAGAGGCATGACTCTGTTCCAATAGAAATTTAAGAAAGCAGATGGGCTGGGCGCGGTGGCTCACGCCTGTAATCCCAACACTTTGGGAGTCCAAGGCGGGCGGATCACTAGGTCAGGAGATCAAGACCATCCTGGCTAACATGGTGAAACCCCGTCTCTACTAAAAATACAAAAAATTAGCTGGGCGTGGTGGCGGGCGCCTGTAGTCCCAGCTACTCGGGAGGCTGAGGCAGAAGAACGGCGTGAACCCGTGAGGCGGGGCTTACAGTGAGCCGAGATGGCGCCACTGCACTCCAGCCTGGGCGACAGAGCAAGACTCCGTGTCTAAAAAAAAAAAAAAAAAGCAAGCAGATGGAGGTCTAGCTGCCCAGCTGCTCTAGAGGAGAGGCTGTGTCTTATGTTTGTAATTTCAGCCCCAGCAGTAAAAATTGTCCCTATGTTGCCAAAGAGGAAATGAAAACAGAGTCACAGTCATTGATTTTTTTTTTTTTTTTTTTTTTTTTTTTTAGAAGGAGTCTCGCTCTGTCGCCCAGGCTGGAGTGCAGTGGTGAGATCTCGGCTCACTGAAGCCTCCCCCTCCCAAGTTCAAGCAATTTTCCTGTCTCAGACTCCCGAGTAGCTGGGAATACAGGCACACGCCACCACGCCTGGCTAATTTTTATATTTTTAGTAGAGACGGGTTTCACCATATCGGTCAGGCTGGTCTCAAACTCCTGACCTCAGGTGATCCGCCCGCCTTGGCCTCCCAAAATGTTGGGATTACAGGCGTGAGCCACCGCGCCCAGCCCAGTCATTGATTTTTGAAAAGGGCAGGCAAAGAACTAAAATCTGCCTGCCGATTGTATATTTTCACTTCTGGAGTGAGCCTCAATACTGTACTTCATGTTAGATCCGAACTAGTTGGAAAAATTAAAGCAAATACATAGTGAAAGGATCTGATCTTCACATGATCCAACCGGCGTTGGGTCTCAGCAAACCCAACTTTGCAGGTTAAATTCCACACATGAACTGTGGTTGAACTGGGGATGGTGGTGGTGACATCAAATCGCATTTCAGGTGCTCCCAGAGCTCGGAGTGGATGGTAGATCCTGTCTTTGCCCAATCTCAGCTTTCTGTGTCTCTTAGCTTCCTAGCCGAAGACCCCAAGGCAGGTTATAAAACTGGAAATAAAGTCTTGGTTTGCTCCTGTGAAATCATCCTTCGCAGACAGGTTTTGGTTTGGACCGGGGGATGCCTGAGGGTCTTATACAGACTGGGATTCAGTCACAGAACTACTAACTTGCAAAGCCTATTTCTTTCTTTCTTTTTTTTTTTTGGAGACAGAGTCTCGCTCTGTCGCCCAGGCTGGAGTGCAGTGGCACGAT
The DNA here is from genome assembly GCF_000001405.40 of Homo sapiens. Lineage (NCBI taxonomy): Eukaryota > Metazoa > Chordata > Mammalia > Primates > Hominidae > Homo > Homo sapiens. The sequence goes on along the minus strand of NC_000011.10, from coordinate 68,272,898 downwards.
CTCTGCTCACTTCAACCTCCACCTCCCAGGTTCAAGCAATTCTCCTGCCTCAGCCTCCCGAGTAGCTGGGACTACAGGCGCACGCCACCACGCCCGGCTAATTTTTTGTATTTTAGTAGACACAGGGTTTCACCATGTTGCCCAGGCTGGTCTCGAACTCCTGAGCTCAGATAATCCGCCCGTCTCGGCCTCCCAAAGTGCTAGGATTACAGGCAAGAGCCACCGCGCCTGGCCTGCAAAGCCTATTTCTAACCAAAGTCAAGTCCCACACACTTGCCTCTAAATTGCGTTTTGCTCCTTTGTTATCCCAGGTTTTACAATTACAGAGCACTTGATGAGCCTGTTTCCACGTCTGTAAAATGAGGCGAAGTTCTTCACTGTGCTATTGCAGAATTAAGCCACTGGCTCTATAGGCAAAGTGCTTAGCACGGGCGTGGCACGCTGCGGGTGCACAGAAACGCTCGCTGCCACCCCACCCTTAACTACCGGGCACCCCAGCGCCCCGCCAGGGGCTGAAGAAACGTGGGAGGAAGCGGAGGAACGCGAAGGGCGTGTGCCCGCGAAAGGTCTCACGAGGCGTTTCGAGGTCGCCTCTTCAGGCTCGGCTGCCGACAAGGTGCCTCTGAGCTCACCCAGCCCAACCCGCGCACCCCGGGACCCCAAGACGGCAGCGGGCACAGCTGGGCAGCAGAGACCCGGGAACACCCACTTCCGCCACAGACCTGCTCAAAATAGCTCCTTCTGGCAGCGCGCAAGAAGTGGCCCGAGCCGGCCCCGGGGAGGCGGGGCCTGAGAGCAGACAACCCCCCCACTTCCGGCTCGCCTCCGTTCGCCACAGGCCCCGCCGCAGCCGCTCTTCGCCCCGGCCAGCAGGCCCGCCCCGCCCTCCGTGACGTCATTTCCGGCGTTTGGGCGGGGCCCGGGCAGGGCGCGCTGCCCGGAGCTGCCTGGGTTGCGCTGCCGGCCACGTCCCCGCGCCGGGCCTCAGGCTCCTTCCTACTGTCCGAGGGCCACCAGGCCGCCGGGGGCCTGCTGCGCCCGGGTAAGGGGCTCGCACTGCCGTCCGGGTAGCTGCTGTCAGGGCTCCCTGACTGGCTTGGGACTGAGAGACAGAGGTTGGGGGGCAGGAGGAGGGTTGGATGGGGGCACGAGGGGCAGTGGGAGAGTGAGTGGGGCTGAGAGAGGCAGGAGGAACGGGACAGGAGGAGCGGCGGATGGGGCACGCACAGAGTGCAAGACGCTGAGCAATGCAGGTACTGAAGAAGTCAACTGGGGGCCGAGCATGGCTGGGGGCCCAAGAGACAGGAGGAGGGAGGAGGGCCGAAGGGGGCCCAGACTGGAGAAGAGGCCGGCTTGTCCCATTGTGGGAGCAGAATGGGGACACTCTGGAAGGGGGCCGAATTTGTCCTGGGGTCTTTCCCGGGCAAGCCCAGGACGGGACTGGACCCCAAGAAGTGTCGCTCTTACTTGAGTGACACAGACCTATCCCCCAGACCCTCTCTCTACCTGGGTGGAGGTTGTGCATTGCCCCAGATTCCCTCCCCTGCCCATCTGTCTCCCTGCCTGCTTCCCCCGTGCGAGTCACTTAGTAGCCCCCGTGTGGCTGCTTAGCATGTTGACTTAATCGTTAGGCTGATAGGAGGAATCGGCCTCCACACGCATGGTTTGCCACCAGAAATAATCATCGTGCTTAGAAATCTGACTGTAATAACTTGCAGCTATCCCTCGCCCCAGGAAAATCTCTAACATTTCGATAAAATCAGCTAGGAAAATCTTTAAAATACAGATGTTTCCATTTATACAGTGGATCTGCCTAATGGACAAAGGAATGTCAGAGCTACCCACGTTCTTAGCAAAAACTAGGCCCTAGTATTTAGCTGTGTTACCAAAACTTCCAGAAACCTGGAAGCAAGCAAGGTAGTTAATGTAATATAATAAATGTCCAATGTTCTAGGTTCCCGTCTGCCACAGAGTCACATCCTTTGGACTACAGGACAATGTCTATATACACAAAGCCATAAGTCTGTGTTCCTTGGGCTTCTGCTACCAAAGTTCAGCCAGGTGACGTGTCAGGATTAGGTACCTGCAGTTTGCCCTGTATTTGTGTTTGCAGTTCCTACTCCTTGGTATCTGTAGCTTGCCTAACTTGGTGTGGGGGCCTGGCCATGTTGCGGCTGAGTGAGTCTTAATAGCCTGATAGAATGTGGGGGTAACAGCTGTAGTCCTTTACCAAGCTTCAGGATTGGTCTTTGGAACCTCTCTATGCCAGAAAAAAAGAATTAAGTTATTTCTTTCCCTTTTTTTTTTTTTTTAAGAGATGGGGTCTCACTATGTTGCCCAGGCTGAACTCAAACTTCTGGGCTTGTAATCCTCCCACCTCAGCCTCCTGAGTGTCTGGGATTACAGGCATGCAGCACCACGCCTGGAGTCCAGTTTTGTGTAACTTGCATAAAGTGCGCCACATATAACAAGCCAAGGTTCGGAACACAAGAATTCAGACAAGATGCCTTGGGAGGCATCTCGAGGTCATGAACCAGAAAAGGATAGGGAGGTTGACACCCAGGGGCATAGTTGGGGGTGCCTTTGTCATGGAGTGTCACATGGCTCAAGGGAGTATCCTGTTGCACCTTCCTTGCAGATCCTATGGGGAGCTGACCCCTGAAGAAGGGAGCTCCCAGTGCCAGCCTAACCTTCCGTCTTTCCATCTGCCCTGGTCTCCAACTTAATACAAACTTAATTCTCTCTCGCTCATTCCCCTCCTGCCCCTGGGGTCTCTTTTTTCCCATCTATTATGGTCTGAGACCCTGATCTACCCAGTCTCCCTGTACCACATAATAATGAGAATAACTGGTGGGGTCCCGAGACCCACATCCTAATTTTGGCTTGAAGCCTTTGCAGGGGAAACTGTTATTTTAAATGTTGTTAATGGTTTGTCCATCATGAGTCAACTTACATAGATGACCACAGGTTCCCGCATGGGATCTTGACATTTAGAATATTCTGTTGGAAAGTGGAGGCAGGACCATAGCAGAGGGATGAAGTCATAGGACAATGAAGGCCTGTTCTCGACTACACAGTGGCCAATTCCTGTTTCTGTGGGAGTGACCACCAGCCCCACCGGCTGGGAGGGAGTAAGTGGTGATGGTATCCAGCAGAAGTTTCCTGAGAAACCCGTGGAGTGTCCTGATATAGCCTTGTGGACCTGCTCCGTGTGTGTGCCCTCACCTTTGTGTGTGTGATTTTGCATGTGTATGTGTGTGCCTGTGTGAGTGCACATGTGTGGTGGCATGTGTGCATGTGCAGATGGACATATGTGCAGCTGTGCGCACACAAGCGTGTGTGACTAAGTGCATGTATGTGTGGCTGTGTGTGCACACGTGGGCATCTGTGTTGGGAGCAGGCCCATGGTGGTCCTTGATATCACCACCTACTGATAACCTTCCCATGATAAGAGGTGACGAGCTGTTTCTGTAATCTCCTGAGTACGCGTTAAATATTCATCAATGAGAGAAGCATTTGTGCCGGTTGACATCTTTGCATTATGGCTTTGCTCCTGGATTCCTCCGAAGTTTTGGTTGGCTCCTAGGAAAATGTCTCTCCTGATATATAGATCGTGTAGTCTCTCTAAATTATGGAAATCAGCATGTGAAACTGTATCAGGTGGGATAACTCTGTGCCTTTCTGCTTAGTGGCTTGAAGTACTTGAAGAAAATATGCTGTTTTCTTTCCTTGGAGCCTTTCAGAAATGTTTTCCAAAAGTGATACATGCTTGTTAAAAAAAAAAAAAGAAGGAAAGATATGAAGTAGAGAATGAAAATCACAGGTGAATCCATTCCCCAGGGATATTCATTAACATTCTAGTGCAAATCTTTCCAGACCCTTGAATAAATGTCCCTTTTAACAAAAATAGGATCATGGTCCACACGTTGCTGTGTAACCTGCCGTGTTCATTTACTGATGCATGCTATATATCTTCCCATGTCAATAAGTAGAGAGTTGTGTATTTTTAACAGTTGCCATAGTATTTTATATATGAATGGGGCCATACTTGACAGAACTATTCCAGTTTTTTACTCTTTCTAAATAATGCTGTGAGAAATATCTTTGTAGATCATCTTTGGACCTCTGTCTGAGTGCTTCCTTAAAAGAAACTGCAGTAGAAGTTGCTGCATTGGAAGTCGTTGTTGTTTTTTGTTTTGTTTTTTTGAGACGCAGTTTTGCTCTTATTGCCCAGGCTAGAGTGCAGTGGCTCAATCTCGGCTCACTGCAACCTCCACCTTCTGGTTTCAAGCGATTCTCCTGCCTCAGCCTCCCAAGTCGCTGGGATTACAGGTGCCCACCACCACGCCCAGCTAATTTTTTTGTATTTTTAGTGGAGATGGGGTTTCACCATGTTGGTCAGGCTGGTCTCGAACTGCTGACCTCGTGATCCACTAGCCTCGGCCTCCCAAAGTGTTGGGATTACAGGCGTGAGCCACCGCACCCAGCCTGCATTGGAAGTTTTGACATTGAAAGCTTTGATCCATGTTGTCGTTTTCCCAGTGGAATGAATGATCTATTGAATTCTGCTCTTTTTGTGCCTCCCTCCTCACTGGAATTTTCCTTCATGCCTTTCATAAGGAATGTGGACTTTTTTTCAAACTCTAGATGCGTCTGTTACTAGAGTGGAGAGTCTACCTTCGTCTCACATGTGCCACAAAGGATGGCATGGCCCGGGAGTGCCCCACCACGTGGCTTTCACCCCCTGCAAAGCCAGACTTCGCCCAGCGACACAGTGTCAAGCCCACAGCTCTCCAAGGAGGAAGATGGTCCAGGCTGGGAGCATCCCCTTAGCAGCAGCCTCTGGTAAGTGTCCTGGCCCTGCAGGCTGGGCCTGCTTGTTGGGTGATGGGACGGTGAGCCCAGAGGGAGCTTTGCAAGATCATCAGAGGGTCAAGGGAAAAGGAAAGACAGCCAGGCCTTATAGTAACCAAGGAAGGCCCAGGCCCAGTCTGTGGCCCTTAACTGTCAGAGGCCCTGCCTCCATTTTTTTTTGTTTGTTTGTTTGAGACAATGTCTGGTTCTGTGGTCCAGGCTGGAGTGCAGAGGTGCAATCTTGGCTTACTGCAACCTCTGCCTCCCAGGTTCAAGCCATCCTCCCACCTCAGCCTCTCAAGTAGCTGGGACTACAGATGCATACCTGTAGTCCTGGCCAATTTCTGTATTTTTTGTAGAGATGGGGTTCCGCCATGTTGCCCAGGCTGGTCTCTAACTCATGAGCTCAGTCCATCCGCCTACCTCAGCCTCTCAAAGTGCGGGGATTACATGCATGAGTCATTGCATCTGATCAGGAGGCCTTATCTTCTGAGTGGACTGGGGTGGTGGCCCATGAACAGGATGGGGATCACGCAATCCCCTGCAACCCTCTTCGGCTTCGTGACACAAATGCAAGTTACCTCAAGAGGTTCTCCCTGACCTTGGTGATGCCGTGGGCACTCACAGAAGCCTCCTCTGTGCTGCAGGGAGGCTGTGTCTTACTCATGCAGGGTGGTGGAGGGGCGCCTCTTAGCAGAAGATGATGAAAGGCTGTCCCCTCTCAGGAAGGAGAAGGTCCTTGTCTGTTCCAAGGCAAAGAACTGGACAAGAAGGAGGAGGTTCATTCAGTACATTGAGTCTGATCCTCCCTGCTGTAGCTGGAGCACGGTCCCTGAAGCTGGCTGAAGTGCTAAAGCAGGGGCTAGCAAACTGTGGCCGAATCCCACCTGCTGCCTGTTTGTATAAATAAAGTTTTATTGGGACACAACCATGCCCACCATTCACTTCTATTCCAGGGCTGCCTCTGTACCGTAGCGGCAGAATGGAGTAGCTAAGACACAGACCAAATGGCCCACAGAATCCCAAATATTTGCCATCCTGTCCTCTATAGAGAAAGTGTGCTGACCCCTGCCCTAGAGATTTGTAGTGAGGGGGCAGCAGAAGGCCTGGGGCTGGGGTACATTCAGGAGCCGAGACCCTCTTCACCCATAAGAAGCCCCTGCCACATCATCTCACCTTTAACTCACCCAGAGGACCTCAAATCCCGGGCTCGGGCCTGGGGAACATACCAGGGGTGGTAGCATTTTAAAAACATTCGGTAGATGTTACTGGCCCAAGAGAGAGCCATTTAAATACTCATATTTATCAAAAGCCCAGCTGCACTGCCTTGACCCGTGGAGGATTGTGAGTTCTTTGTGCCCGAAACCTTCCAGTTTCAGTTCTGCCTTGCATGATATTGGTTAGTTTCTTCTCTCCCCATCCCCCCCGCCACACTTTTTTCTGTCAGAACAAAGAATGCTTTTTGCACTCTAGATCTGTGGTTTGTAAGGCCAAGTAATTTTTCTAAGCCCCTAACACATTAGGAGCCCTTACAGACCATTTTGAAGAGAAAGCACCATTTGAAGCTAGAGAAAAGTTAGTGACTCTTGGAAAGAGACCGGAAGTCTCGTGGAACACACCAGCCTTCCAGAGGAGTGTGTGCTCTAAGGGCTTTCTCCAGCCCCGGGGCAGCTTGACAACAGTCCACATGGATTACAGGAGGCAGGAAGCCACCCAGGGGCTTCTTGTTGCGCAGTGGCTGCTTTTGCGTAGCTGGAAGTGCTTCTCGGGTGGGCTGCTGGCTAAGCCAGGCGCCATGCTGGGTCCTTGCCCGTGTGATCCCATGTCCCATGTCACTCCCATGCAGCTCAGCGGGGCTCAGAGGTCCTGTGGCTGCACATGTCACTTGGTTAGTGAGCATGGGAGCTGGAGTTGGAACGCAGGCAGTGCTGTTGGCCTCTGTGTGTCCTGCTGGTCTCCCACTCCCCTTGCATGGTCTCTTGACCCTATTACAGTAGCTTCCTCAAGGGAATGACAGTGAATGCTGAAAGAGCTAAAAGGCTGCTTCTGCCACTCATGCATTCAATGGCCCCTTCGTCCCTGAGTGACCAATGGGCAGCTCACCCAGCACCCCAAAGCCCCAGTCTGCCTACAGCTATGCAGCTGGGGCCACACTTTGCTGTGGGCTGCTAAGTGCTGGTTACCTTGTGACTGTTTTCATTATTTTATCTAACAAAACAAATAAACCAAACCAAATAATTTTTTTATAATACATTAAGGGCCGGGCACAATAGCTCATGCCTGTAATCCCAATACTTTGGAGGCCAAGGTGGGAAGATTGCTTCAGCCGAGGAGCTGGAGACCACCCTGGGCAACATAGCAAGAATCCTCTCTCCACACACACAAAAAAAATAGCCAGGTGTGGTGGCATGCGCCTGTGATCCCAGCTGAGGTGGGAGGATCATTTGAGCCTGGGAGGTCAAAACTGTAGTGAGGTACGATCATGCCACTGCAGTCCAGCCTGGGCAGCAGAGCGAGACCCATCTCAAAAAAATAAAAATGTGTTAAGGCGTCCACATCACTTCTGTGGAGCATTAGAATGAAGGAGAGGGCTTTGCTTTACAGCAACTTGGGCCGGCTGTGGGGACCACTGCAGTCTCTGAAGTGGGTCAGTCACTCATTCACTCATGCCTTCATTCATTGAGAGAGCCTCTGTATCAGGTGCCTGGATCGCTGCCCCTCACTGGCTGCCCCTGCCTCCCCTCTTGCTAAAAGCACCTTTCTGTTCTTGTCTAAGGCCCCGGAGGGACTCGCATCCCCCTACTGTGAAATCTAAACTGCCACATGGCTCATGGGGCCTCCTCACGCTCTCCAGACTAATTCCCGCCTCACCACGCTCTTCCTTGCCTCTGACCCTGCTGTTGTCATCTGCTGCTCCCTCTCCACCTGCCTGCCCACCCCCACCCAGCTTTCAGAATGCGGCCCAGGCATCGCTTTCCCAGGAAGCCTTCCTTGGCATGCCGACCACACCACCACTGGCTGAACTGTGTCCTCTGGGCCCCTGTGGCACCCTGTCCTCTGGGGCCCAGCCACCCTTGGGGCTTCTGCCCAGAGTATCAGCCTACCTCACTCTTCAAGGCCTGCCCGCATACTGTCTCCTCCTTGCTTCCCAGCACTGAGTCACACCCTGCACAATGCTTGTGCCAGCCTGCAATGACCTCTTTTCTGTGTCTCCCATGGACTGCAGGTCCCTGAAGAGCTTGTGTGTTTTTCACCTTTTTGTCCTAAGTGTACTGCCTGGCACATGAGAAAGCACTAAGTAAATATTGGATGAAAGGATGGCTGGGTGCATGGATGGGTGGGTGGGTGGATGGATGGATAGATGAACAGATGGATAGGATATGGTGGGTGGATGGATGGATGAGTGGGTGGATGGATGGGTGGATGGATGGATGGATGGATGGATGGACTTATGGATGGACAGGTGAGTAGATGGATAGAATAGTGGGTGGATGGATGGATGGATGGATGGATGGATGGATGAGTGGGTGGATGGATGAGTGGGTGGATGGATGGGTGGGTGGATGGATGGATGGATGGATAGATGGGTAAGTGGGTAAGTGGATGGATGGATGGGTGAGTGGATGGATGGATGGACAGATGAGTAGATGGATAGAATAGTGGGTGGATGGATGGGTGGGCGGGCAGGTGGATGGATGAATGGGTGGATTGATGGATGAATGGTTAAGTAGTATCTCCCATGTGAAAGGCACAGTCACCTGTCACAGGGTGCACATGGGGTGCATTAGGCTTGATTTGTACTCTGCAGACTATGGGGGAAGCTGAGGAGGAAGACTTGACCAGTCTTGGTGATGAGAAGGCCTTCACCCTATGAACACAACCAAGTCTTAGCCCTCTCTCCTGCTCCTTTAAACTCTGAACTCTAGGATGGGAGAATGGGAACTTTTGCAGGTTGAGATTCATAGTGAAATCGGGTCAAGAAGTGATCAGATGCAAAGCACAGGGCAGTTCATTACTATACCATGGCTGAGGTCTTCCTGGGCACCAGGCCCTGGTCTCAGCACTTGGCTCAGTCTGCACCTTGGACCCTGCCAGAGCCCTCCACAGCAGGTGCTCTCAGGCAAGGCTGTGTGTTGCTGGCCAGACGCCTTCTGACCAGCGTGCTTTCTTGACCACAGATCCCTTGGCCAAGCAGGAGGGAACCATTAGCAGCCTGAGGAGCTGGCTGGCTGGGAGCCTCGGGGACCGCCCAGCCTTGCTCCCAGCTCACCCACAAGATGTGGACAGCTCTTGTGCTCATTTGGATTTTCTCCTTGTCCTTATCTGAAAGCCATGCGGCATCCAACGATCCACGTAAGTGAGAAAGCTGTGTGACTGCTGGATGGGCCCACGGTGGCCACAAAGCATGCTGAGCCCTTGAAAGCAGCATCTGCAAACCCAGGCCAACGCGTCAGGAACCGCAGCCCTCCCAGGTGCCGCACAGGGAAGGGTTGTCAGGCCAACCTTCCTTCTCCAGGGCCATGGTGGGCAAAGAGCCCCTAGCAGGACCAGGCAGCTGAGCCCTGAAAGGTTTGCTCGCTTGGCCTGCAAGATTTGATGTCATCTCTAAATTGAATCTTCACTGGGGAATTGATTCCTTCATACATCAGATCTTTAACTGCGTTCCCACTCTGTGCCATTCATTTCCAAGAATTCCTGCAGTGAATCCTTTCACAAAGCCAAGCGTTCTTTTATGATGTGAATACCTGTGCAGTTTATCTGCTTTGTAAACCTGGGTGTGCGTTCAGTGGGCTTTTAATGGTGAATCACACCTGTTGTGTGAGACTTTTACTCTGATGTTTTGGGAATTGGATCAAATAGTGAAGGTCTGAAGCCTTCAATGGGCAGGGGGTTCATAGAGGGCAAAGGAGTTTTAAAATCAAATTGACAAGGGCTTTTTCAATGAGCTGCATGCCAACAGTGGGAAGAGAGATGGGGAGGAAGCATGTTCGCACATCACCTCCCCCGACTCTGGCTGGGCTGAGGAGGGGGCCCCACAGGCCTGGGTGGAAGCCGATCCCTGAGCAATCCCCCTGTGCAGGATTGAACATGATTGTCTCTCTTTTTCTCCTTTTTCTGACTTTAAGGCAACTTTGTCCCTAACAAAATGTGGAAGGGATTAGTCAAGAGGAATGCATCTGTGGAAACAGTTGATAATAAAACGTCTGAGGATGTAACCATGGCAGCAGCTTCTCCTGTCACATTGACCAAAGGGACTTCGGCAGCCCACCTCAACTCTATGGAAGTCACAACAGAGGACACAAGCAGGACAGATGTGAGTGAACCAGCAACTTCAGGAGGTGCAGCTGATGGTGTGACCTCCATTGCTCCCACGGCTGTGGCCTCCAGTACGACTGCGGCCTCCATTACGACTGCGGCCTCCAGTATGACTGTGGCCTCCAGTGCTCCCACGACTGCAGCCTCCAGTACAACTGTGGCCTCCATTGCTCCCACGACTGCAGCCTCCAGTATGACTGCGGCCTCCAGCACTCCCATGACACTTGCACTCCCCGCGCCCACGTCCACTTCCACAGGGCGGACCCCGTCCACTACCGCCACTGGGCATCCATCTCTCAGCACAGCCCTCGCACAAGTGCCAAAGAGCAGCGCGTTGCCAAGAACAGCAACCCTGGCCACATTGGCCACACGTGCTCAGACTGTAGCGACCACAGCAAACACAAGCAGCCCCATGAGCACTCGTCCAAGTCCTTCCAAGCACATGCCCAGTGACACCGCGGCAAGCCCTGTACCCCCTATGCGTCCCCAAGCACAAGGTCCCATTAGCCAGGTGTCAGTGGACCAGCCTGTGGTTAACACAACAAATAAATCCACACCCATGCCCTCAAACACAACCCCAGAGCCCGCCCCCACCCCCACAGTGGTGACCACCACCAAGGCACAAGCCAGGGAGCCAACTGCCAGCCCAGTGCCAGTACCTCACACCAGCCCAATCCCTGAGATGGAGGCCATGTCCCCCACGACACAGCCAAGCCCCATGCCATATACCCAGAGGGCCGCTGGGCCAGGCACATCCCAGGCACCGGAGCAGGTAGAGACTGAAGCCACACCAGGTACTGATTCCACTGGGCCAACACCCAGGAGCTCAGGGGGCACTAAGATGCCAGCCACGGACTCGTGCCAGCCCAGCACCCAAGGCCAGTACATGGTGGTCACCACTGAGCCCCTCACCCAGGCCGTGGTAGACAAAACTCTCCTTCTGGTGGTGCTGTTACTCGGGGTGACCCTTTTCATCACAGTCTTGGTTTTGTTTGCCCTGCAGGCCTATGAGAGCTACAAGAAGAAGGACTACACCCAGGTGGACTACTTAATCAACGGGATGTATGCGGACTCAGAAATGTGAGGGGGGCGGGGGCCTGGCGGGAGGCCTGGCCCCTTCCTCGTCCTTTCCTTTTGCCTTTGAGACCAAACCAAGTGCTTCCAAATTCTTTTGGTGCAATTGAGGAGATATGCCAGATGCTTAAACACATTTAATTGCTGTCAGATTAATTCCATGATCACTAAAGAGTTGCTGCTTTTTTCATATTTATTTTTGTAAATGATTCTGTGCCCAGGAGCAGCTGGGGGTTCCACCTCAGGGTGGGGCGGGCAGGACCCCGTCTCCCCAGGTGTCGGAGCCTGACCTGAATTAAAGTACTGACTGCTCGCCACAATCGTGTGGGTGCATCCTGCTCCTTGGGGAGCCTTGCTTTCTGCCGTGCACGTGGCAGGGTTTTGTTCTGTGAATGTGCACCATCACTCCGCACCCTGGAGGTTGACTGTGTCGTTGCCACTGACTTGGGTTTCTCCCTGGTACCCACGCCCGCCCTGGTGCTTGCTGGGAGGCTCCTGGGCCCCAGAGGAGGCCACAGCCAGCATCTTTAATCCTTTTTCTGACCTGTTCGATGAACCTCCTGGAGCCAGCCTTAGGGGTGAAGGAGCTAAATTCAACACATCACCCCCGTGGTGTGGCCAGCTCGGCCTGAACCTGCGCAGAACAGAATCTGATCCTGCCCTGCTCATGAGGTGGGGTCACTATTGCTAGTCCTGAATAGTGCAAGTCCCTTGCTCCAGGTAACCCAGGACCCCAGGGCCAGTCCTGGGATTCGACCCCGGAGCCTGCTCCTTAGGCCAGTTCCCCTGGATTCCAGGCTCCCATCCTGAACATCCAGCCAGCACTTGCTCTGTGCTTGTTACATGCCTGCCCTGTCCCTGTGCTGTGTGAATGTGACTTGCTGTGTGAGTGTAACCTGCTGTGTATGACCTGCTGTGTGAGTGTAACCTACTGTGTGTAACCTGTGTGTGACCCGCTGCGTGTGTGTGATCTGTGCGTGTGTAATGTGCTGTGCGTGTGTAACTTGCTGCGTGAGTGCAACCCACTGTGTGTGTGTAACCTGCTGCACATGTGTGACCTGCTGCATTGCCTCAGCCCCAGGAGATCAGCATCACAATCTCCATTTTGAAGACGGGACCACTGAGGCACAGAGCAAAGTCACTCCTGGAGGCCCAGAGTCAGGATTGAGCCCTGGTCCTAGAGTCCCAGCTGTTTGTTTAACTAGGTTCCTTTGCCACCTGCCCAGCCTGAGCTTGGCCTTTGGTCCTTCATCTGCCCACCTGCCCAAGGCAGCAAGAGCTGATGGGCCACACGTGGCCAGGGCATCTTGTAAGGCCATGTTCTCAGGCCAGGTCTGCGGCTGCTGAGACCTGGAGCAAGCTATAGAGTGTTCTGGAGCTCGGCTTCTTCCTCTGGGAAATGGGGAGAGACAGAGCAGCATCTGCTGTAAACATGGCAGCATGGGGCCCCACCCAAAAGTGGTTGTGGAGTTGGCTGTGGCTTCTCAACCACCTGGCGCTGAGGCAGAGCTGATCTTTGTCCGGAATCTCCTGTCTCCCACTCACCAAGATCTCCCTGGGCTAGGTTTGGGTGGCCAGCTTCTTATTTAAGTTCATCTCCAAAAAGGATGTCAAAGGGCCTGGGATAAAAGGCTAAGACGGTAACTCCCAAACCATTTGAAGTAACTTCAAAGCCGAGGCTGGGAAAATATGGAGTGGGGAGAATGGGTCAGAAGCTGCCCCCCAGTCCTCTCCTCCTGTCTTCTCCCTCACTGCACCCCGGCTTCCCCAGCCTTTTCTTTCTCATTGTCACGTCCTGCTGGCCCCTTCCCCTCTCCCAGCCTTCACTGCCTGAGTCAGGCCTTCTGGACTGACAGCCACACTCCACAGAGCTTGTGCCTGACTGTCTCCTTTCCTGGCCATCACACATCGGAGTCGCATCTGCATGCTTAACTACAGGCACTGGCGCTGGCTGGGAAGGTGGTTGGTTCCAGCCCCTGGCTTGTCTCCCTTGCCATCTTGAGCTCTAGGCCAGCTCGCAGCATTGTCCTTGAATCTGACAAGACACCGTCTGCCCGGAATGGGCAGCTCTGCCCACCATGGGTAGACAATCGGAGCTGTGGAGGATGCCCTTTCCTCTGCCTGACTTCACCCCAGTGGCCCAGGCGAGGACCAGCCTGCTAAGGGTCAGCTCTCCACCCTGGCTCATTGAGCCTCCCCTGGGAGAGCCAGAACCCTGGGCCTGTGTGAGCTGTGGCTTGGGGGGTGTTCTCATAGACTGTGGGCACCTCGTTCCTTTCTGGGGAGGTAGGATGAAGAGTAACCTGCAGTGCTGGCCTTCAGCTTGTGACTAACGGCCTCTGCCTGGCACCCCTACATCCAGGGAGTGGGCCACAGGGATCTGCAGAGTCAGCCAGTCAGTCCCCCTGCCCCAGCCAGGGCCCCCAATTTTTTTTTGACAGAATCTCACTCTGTCACCCAGGCTGGAGTGCAGTGACACGATCTCGGCTGAGTGCAGCCTCTACCTCCTGGGTTCAAACGATTCTCCTGCTTCAGCCTCCCGAGTAGCTGGGATTACAGGTGCATGCCACCATGCCTGGCTAATTTTTGTATTTTTAGTAGAGATGGGATTTTGCCATGTTGGCCAGGCTGCTCTCAAACTCCTGATCTCAAGTGAACCACCCTCCTCGGCCTCCACTGGGATTCCAGGCATGAGCCATCGCACCCAGTCTCCGAATTCTTTTATCCTCTGAGAGCATTGGTCACACTCTCCCCCTCCATCCTTGGGGGTCCTATTCCAAACCCCCTGCCATTGTTCTCTCTTGGATGGCGTTCCTCCTGGACCACAGGTGCCTCAAACTCAGCATCCAAGGCCAACCTCAGCATCGGCCCCCAGGAGTGTGTTTGGCCCCAGGGGTCCTCCCTGTACCTAATGGCATCCCCACGTGGGCTAACAGATTTAGAAACCTGTGCTTCCCCCTGAGTCCAACTGGCCATCCTAAAGGTTTCAGTACTCCGGCCGCTTCCCCTGTCCTGACCCCAGCTGCTGCCCGGCCTTGGGCCCACCACCAACTGCCTGCCCACTCTGCTCCCAGACAGCCTGGCTCATCCGTTCTCCACCCTGCGGCAAGGGACCCGTCAAAACACAAATCTAACCACACCCGTCCCTGCCGAAAGCCCCAAGCTCCTCTGCCCAGCACTACAGGCCCAATGCAGCCCCCTGTGGTGAGTCCCAGCCAAACAGAGCTCAAGGCGCCCCCGTCGCAGACCTGTCCAAATCCAGGGGCTCCGGGCTTTCTTCTCCCTGCCTTGGAGGACACGAGACTGCAAGATAAGCCAGGTGCCATCCTGGCCTACACAAAGTCCCATTCAACTCACTTTATCAGGTGCCTAGTGAGCACCTACTGTTTGCCAGCCCAATGGGGATTCAGAGATGACGTGGCCCAGGAGCCCCCGGTGCGGTGGGTGAGACCTGCCTTGTGAGGAACACAATGAAGGTGAGGGGTGGGCTCAGAGAAGGTGCCTCCTCCACCCTGGGGAGCTCAGAGAGCTCAGAGCCCCCCTCAGGCTTTCTGTTCCTGCGGCAGGGGCAGTGGCTCATCCGGGGCCTAGCACAGCACTGACACACAGGAGGTACAAAGTCCCTAACTGATGGGTGAGAGTCCACACAGAAGGTGCCAGAAGGCCAAACAGAAGTGAGAGTCCAATTCGGGGCTTGGCCCCAAAAGGAGCTCTCGTCCCTTCACAGTGAGGAAACCAAGGCACAGAAAGGCCAGGTTGCTTGGCCGAGGTCATCCACCAAGCAAATGGCAGCACAGCATTCACACTGGATCTGTCTGCAAATGTTGGGCGTGGCTCAGGAGCACACGATGGCCACAGGGAGCAGAGGCTCCTCCAAAGCCGTGAGAGCTGAGCATTCACACCGGATCTGTCTGCAAATGTTGGGCGTGGCTGAGCACACCACGGCCGTAGGGAGCAGAGGCTCCTCCAAAGCCTTGAGAGCCCCGGCAGGGCATGGCCTCGAGCTCGACAGGGCATGGCCTCGAGCCAGCCAGTTTCTCTAGGAGCAGGGCCGCATCTCTTGGTAGAGGAAGTCCAAGGGCTCCCCCTGGCGGGCAAGGCTCCCTCCTAGCCTTCTTGTTTTTTGTTTTTTTGAGACAGAGTTTCATTCTTGTTGCCCAGGCTGGAGTGCATCTTGGCTCACTGCAGCCTCTGCCTCCCGGGTTTAAGCGATTCTCAGCCTCCTGAGTAGCTGGCATTATAGGCGCCTGCCACTACGCCCAGCTAAGTTTTTGTATTTTACTAGAGACGGGGTTTCACCATGTTGGCCGGACCGGTCTGGAACTCCTGACCTCAAGGTGATCCTCCTGCCTCGGCCTCCCAAAGTGCTGGGATTACAGGTGTGAGCCACCACGTCCTGCCCCTCCCAGCCTATTTCACCAGCCCTGGTGCTGGCCTTGGCTAGAGACACCATCCCACCCTCCGGCCCCCTGCGCCTACCATTCCATGTTTGCAGGTGGAAACCCCTTAGCCCGCTCCCCTGACAGCAGGGAGTCTTGCCGTTACCCCACACCAGAGAACTCTGGCCCTCTTCGATTGTTCCAGGCCAGGGGGGCTCGGCTTCCACTATGGGATGGATTGTTCTAGGTGGTATTAGGTCATTTGCGCCTGTAACTGTCTCCCACCAGAAGGAATCCACGAGTTCAGGGAGAATGCAATGAACTCACAGGCAGCCCCCCGGGCCTCGGTCCCAAAACCCACCAGCTGGGTCAGTTGGGACAAACCACGACCATACTCAGCCACAATTTCCGTATCTACAGCTTTGCTTCAAGATCCAGCGCAGTGGCTGACACAAGCCGATACTTTTTAGAATATGGACTACGTTCGACTACGTTGAATTCTCTGTGATGGTCTTCCTGCTCCCCGCCCCAGCCCTACTCATCCTCCACACAGCAGCCGGAGGATATTTTAAAAACACAACTCAGCTCCTAATACTCCCCTGCACAGCAATCCCCGATGGCCTCCTGCTGTGAGCAGGAAACAAAATCCAAACATTTGCAGTAAAAACACAGATGAAAAATCAGGGAGATGCGGGATCCAGGCAGAGAGGCCAGCAATGCGGAGCCCCCAGGACAGATCCAAGGCCACAAGTGTGAGGAGAGAAGGGCCCTGGGGAGAGTGAAAGAGACAGGCCGGTCCCAGGGGACAGCGGCGGGGGAGGAGCGGGAGAGCCCAGGAATGCACAGGGAGTCACGTTATCCAGTTCAGAGTTTAAAAGATGACTCTGTTGCTTGAGGCTGAAGTCATAGGCTGTCTGAGGTGTGCTTTAAAATGCTTCCACATCAGGAGAAGGGGGCAAGAGAATCGTGCCACAAGACACATGTGGCTGCCATCCATCCAGCATGGCTGATGGCTTCATGGAAGTGGGGGGTCTGTTTCCCACTCTCTCCATGTTTGTGTGTGTTTAGAAATTTCCATCATCAAAAGTTAAAAGAGGCCAGGCTTGGTGGCTCATGCCTGTCATCCCAGCACTTTGGGAGGCCGAGTTGAGTGGATCATTTGAGGTCAGGAGTTTGAGACCAGCCTGGCCAACATGGCAAAACCCCATCTCTACTAAAAATCCAAAAATTAGCTGGGTGTGGTGGCAGGTAGGTGCCTGTAATCCCAGCTACTCAGGAGGCTGAGGCAGGAGAATTTCTTGAACCCAGGAGGTGGAGGTTGCAGTGAGCCGAGATTGCGCCACCGCACTCCAGCCTGGGTGATAGAGTGAGACTCCGTCTCAAAAAACCCAAAAGTTAAAAGAAAAAGTGAATGGAAGGGAGGGAGGAGGGGAGGAAGAGTTTCAACTTCTATCTCATAAGTACACGATCACTTTGGCTGCAGATAGAGAGGCCTGGCTGGCTCGGTCATCCGCGGAGTGAGGAGGCTGGCTTGGACCAGGGTGTGTTCACACAGATGGACAGAAACCGAGGACCCTAGGGGCCACTTTGGAGGCTGAGTCAGCAGAACGTGCACTGCTTCCTTATGTACGATCCACGTGCCCACGGCAGGAGCCGGGGTGACCCCTGCATTTTTGGTTTGAGAAGGTGGAATGGTGGAGGGATCGTTTCTCGGGGGGAGGGAAAGGGTGAACCTTTATTCCCAGTGCTTCACACGTGAATTCATTTCATCCTCACCACAGCCCTGCGAGATAGTATGTCATCATCATCAGCCCCCCGTTTAGAGGGGAAACTAAGGCCTGGGGAATTCATGAACCTGCCCACCGTTACACATGTCACATTGCTGGTAGGTGACCCCAGCTTCTATGCTTTTACCACTAGACCATACTGCCTCTTTTTTTTGTTTGTTTGAGACAGAGTCTCACTTTGTCACCCAGGCTAGAATGCAGTGTCATAATCTTGGCTCACTGCAACCTCTGCCTCCTGGGATCAAGCAATTCTCCTGCCTCAGCCTCCAGAGTAGCTGAGACCACAGGCGCCTGCCACCATGCCCCCTTAATTTTTGTATTTTTAGTAGAGACAGGGTTTCACCATGTTGGCCAGGCTGGCCTCAAACTCCCGACCACAAGTGATCTGCCCGCCTCAGCCTCCCAAAGTGCTGGGATTACAGGTGTGAGCCACTGTGCCCGGCCTATACTGTCTCTTGATAAGGGGGTACAGAAGGATTTGGAGAGAAGGTGGCCCAGAAATCAAGAGTCCTGCTGTGGGTTGTGAAGGCAGAGATGCCTATTGGATGCCAGGCAGACACTGGCCGTGAGTCTGAAGCACAGGGAAGGTCCCCACAGGACTGGTAGAGTGCTTCACCGCCTCCCCACGTGGCGGGAACCATTTCTAAGCCCACTTTCAGATGAGGAAATAGACAACAGGGGAGGTAGGTGACTTGCCCAAGGTCACACACAAGGTAAGGGGTGGGCCCAGTCCACCTGACTCCTGAACCCCAACTTCACCAGTGCTGCGTGCTCCGGGCACACGCTGAATGTACTTGAAGCACAAGATGAGCCCCGCTGGGCAATCTGGACTTCAGAGTGAAAAACTCACTGTCTTTTATGAGCCAGGGCCCACGGCAGGGGCCTGGTCCCGCTTTGCTGACTGTAGAGATGCCCGCTTGGACAGGACACAGCAGGAGGGCAGCAGGCACGAAGACGTCAGGTGAGCAGAGAGAACCACGGAGTGGCGCCAGGCGGGTAGGCCCAGCACATGAGATTCCGGGGGCCCTATACGTGGAAATGCATGAAGAAGGAAGACTCCACCCCAGCCTCTGGCCTTTCTCCTGAATCTCTGGGAGACCCCCCAACTCAGCATCTGAAAGATCCAGAGAACAGGTCCACGAACACGGAGCAGCTCTTTGTCTTGGGGAGCCTGTGGCTACAAGGAACAGAAACCTCAGGCCGTCCCAAGACGGGGATTTGCTGCAAAGACAGAATGAGAGCCGGGCCTCCTGGGGGCCGTGCGTCTGCTCCTCTCCTTCCCTCTGCTCTCTGCCCATCTCTGCTCCTCTCTGCAGAGGACCTACCTCCCGAAGCTGTTAGGCTCTGCTTTCCCCAAGGGGCTCTGATTGTAACCTTGGCTCCAACAGCAGCCCATTTAAGCTGCCTGTCCAACGCCCAGGTCCTCTGTGATCCAGTCCACTGTAGCCACAAGGCTGTCCCTAGTGGGCTGTCACAGCCCAGCTGTTCAGAAAGGGTTGTGGGCCAGGCGCAGTGGCTCAGCCTGTAATCCTAGCACTTTGGAGGCGAGGCAGAGGTTAGTTCAAGCCCAGGAATTCAAGACCAGCCTGGGCAACATAGCAAGACCCCATCCCTACAAAAAATAAAAACTAGCCAGGCATGGTGGCACATGCCTGTACTCCCAGTTCCTCGGGAGGATAAGGCAGGAGGATGGCTTGAGCCCAGCAGGTTGAGGCTGCAGTGAGCTATGATCCCACCACTGCACTCTAGCCTGGGTGACAGAGAAGACCCTGTCTCAAAAAAAAGGGGAGGATGTGGACAGAGAAGGAAGGATGTGCATAGCTTGGGATCTGTGCCAGGCCCTGGGCTGAGCTCTGGGACACAAAGATGCAAAGGAAATGCTTCCTGCCTTCCAGGAGTTACAGTGGGGAAATCAGATGGTGACAGTGACAGGCAGTCAACAGGGACAGGAAAAATGGCGCTCTAAGGCCCCACTCGGGAGCTTCACTCTGCAGGGCAATTGGCAGTGGCATTAAAGCTAAAGATGCAGCCGGGTGCGGTGGCTCACACCTGTAATCCCAGCACTTTGGGAGGCCGAGGTGGGCGGATCACCTGAGGTCAGTAGTTTGAGACCAGCCTGGCCAACATGGTGAAACCCCATCTCTACTAAAAACACAAAAAAATTTAGCCGTGCATGGTAGCAGGCATCTATAGTCCCAGCTACTCTGGAGGGTGAGGCACAAGCATCACTTGAATCCGGGAGGTGGAGCTTGTAGTGAGCCGAGATCACACCACTGCACTCCAGCCTGGGTGACAGAACAAGACTCCGTCTCAATTAAAAACAAAACAAAACAAAAAGACTAAAGATGCAATCACACATCTTGGTTTCTTCCTTATGAAAGCACACATGGAGGCACTAAGGAGAACATCATGGGCCACATTATTTGTGATGGCAAAACATTTTAAAGCTCCAAATCATCTTCAATGGTGCTTATACAAAGTACTGAACAACAGTTCAGAGGAATGAGCTAGAGCTCCATGTAACAGAATTAGTAGTTTTCAGCCAGGCACGGTGGCTCACGCCTATAATCCCAGCACTTTGGGAGGCCGAGGTGGGTGGATCACCTGAGGTCGGGAGTTGAAGACCAGCCTAGCTAACATGGCAAAACTTCGTCTCTACTAAAAATACAAAAATTAGCCGGGCATGGTTGTGGGCACCTGTAGTCCCAGCTACTTGGGAGGCTGAGGCAGGAGAATGGCATGAACCCGGGAGGCAGAGCTTGCAGTGAGCTGGGATCACGCCACTGCACTCCAGCCTGGGTGACAGAGCAAGACTCCATCTCCAAAAAAAAAAAATTAGTAGTTTTCCAAGACATACTATTGAGCAAAGAAAAAGAAAAGTTGCTGATAGTACCGTACAATACTGCTTGCATTAGTTACCTATTGCAGTACAATATTACCACAAATTTAGCCATTCAAAAAACAGCCCACAGCTGGGCGTGGTGGCTCACACCTGTAGTCCCAGCACTTTGGGAGGCCGAGGCAGGCGGATCACAAGGTCAGGAGATTGAGACCATCCTGGCTAACACAGTGAAACCCTGTCTCTACTAAAAATACAAAAAACATTAGCCAGGCATGGTGGCACGGGCCTGTAGCCCCAGCTGCTAGGGAGGCTGAGGCAGGAGAATTGCTTGATCCCAGGAGGTGGAGGTTGCGGTGAACCAAGATTGTGCCCCTGCACTCCAGCCTGGGCAACAGAGCGAGACTCCATATCAAAAACAAAACAAAAAAACCAGCCCACATTTATCACCTCAGTTTCTGTGAGCCAGGAATCTGAGCGAGGCTTAGCTGGGTCTTCCAATTCAGGGTCTCACAGAGCTTTAATCAAGGTGTCAGCAAGGGCTGCAGTCTCATCTGAGGCTCACCTGGGGAAGGATCTGCTTCTACGCTCACATGGTTGTTGGTAGCATTCAGTTCCTTGCAGGACTGCAGACTGAGGGCTTCAGCTTCTCACTGGCTTTTGGAGGCTGGAGGCTGCACCCACTTCCTTGTCATGTGGCTCACTCCATAGGCCGCTCGTGACAGGGCAGCTTGCTTCTTCAAAGCCAGCAAGGCAGAGAGTCACTAAGCAAGACAGACTTTATAATCTTTTAAAATTATTAGTGTGATAAAATATACATCAGATAAAATTTACCATTTTTACCATTTTAAGTGTACAATTCAGTGGCATTAAATACATTCACAGTATTTAATTGTATAACCAGTACTTTTTCCACCATCCCAAACAGAAGCTCTCTACCCATTAAGCAATAACTCTCTGCTTCCTCCACCCCCAGCTCCTGGTAATCTTTATTCTACTTTCTGTCTTCATAAATTTGCCTATTCTAGATAGAGTGGAGTGATAGAAGTGGAATCATCCAATGTTTGTCCTTTCACTTCTGATTTTAGTAATCTGAGCTTTTTTTTTGGTTAGTTTAGCTAAAGATTTGTCCATTCTGTTGATTTTTTTTTCAACTTTGATTTCATTATTTAATGGTTAATTTTAGCTGTCAACTTGACTGAGTTAAGGGATATCCAGATAGCTGGGAAAGTGTTATTTCTCGGTGTGTCTGTGAGGGTGCTTCTGGAGGTTGGCATCTGAATCACCGGACTGAATGAGGAAGATCTGTCCACATCCAATGTGGGCAGGCACTGTATTAGTCCGTTCTCACACTGCTAATAAAGACATACCTGAGACTGGGTAATTTATAAAGGAAAGAGGCTTAATTGACTCACAGTTCAGCATTGCTGGGGAAGCCTCAGGAAACTTACCATTATGGGTCAGGGGAAGCAAATACATCCTTCTTCACTTGGCAGCAGCAGGAGAAGAATGAGAGTCCAGCGAAGGGAGAAGCCCCTTATAAAACCATCAGATCTCATAAGAACTAACTCACTATGATGAGAACAGGATGGGGGTACCACCCCCATGATCCAATTATCTCCATATGGTCCCTCCCATGACATGTGGGTATTATGGGAACTACAGTTCAAGATGAGATTTGGGTGGGGACACAGCCAAACCATATCAGACACCATGCAACTTGTTTAGGCCCATATAGAACAAAAAGGCAGAGGAATGGTGAATTCACTCTTCTGGAGCTGGGACATCTGTCTTCTCTTGCTTTGGACATCAGAATTCCAGGTTCTCAGGCCTTCAGACTCTGGGACTTATACCAGTTTCCCAATTTCTCAGGCCTTTGGCCTTAGTGAGTTACGCTATTGGCTTCCCTGATTCAGGCCTTTGAACTCAGAATGAATTAGATCACAACTTCCCTCATTCCCCAGTTTGCAGACAGCACATTGTGGAACTTCTCGTCTTCCATAATCATGTCAGTGAATTCCCATAGTCAATCTATTATCTATCTATCTATCTATCTATCTATCTATCTATCTATCTACCTATCATGTGTCTGCGTATGTATCTATCTGTATATATGTATGTATGTAGCCATCTATCTATCTTTGTATCTATCTGTATGTATGTATGTTTCTATCTATCTTTGCTTCTGTTTTTTGGAGAACCCTAATACACATTGATTTTTTTCTTTTTCTTCTTTTTCTAGTCCAAGTGAAGCAGTGGGAGTAAAGAAGGAACAAAGAGGCCGAGCGTGGTGGCTCACACCTGTAATCCCAGCACTTTGGGAGGCCAAGGCGGGTGGATCACCTGAGGTCGGGAGTTCGAGACTGGCCTGACCAACATGGAGAAACCCCGTCTCTACTAAAAATACAAAATTAGCCTGGCATGGTGGCGCATGCCTGTAATCCCAGCTACTTGGGAGGCTGAGGCAGGAGAATCACTTGAACCTGGGAGGCAGAGGTTGCAATGAACTGAGATCACGCCACTGCACTCCAGCCTGGGCAACAAGAGCGAAATTCCATCTCAAAAAAAAAAAAAAAAAAGAAGGAACAAAGAAATCCATAACTGCATGTTATCAGTTAGTCGTAAACACCCCTGCACTCAAACGAACCTAATACGCACTGATTTTATCTGTCATTTTTCTATTCTCTATCTTGTGTATCTCAGCTCTAATTTTTATTATTCTTCCTTCTGCTAGCTTTGGGTTTTGTTTGCTCTTCTTTTTCTAGTTCTTTAAGACGTACAGTTAGGTTATTGATTTGAGATCTTTCTTCTTTTTTAATATAGACATTTACAACTATAAATTTCTTTTCTAGCAGTGCCTTTTTTGTATCTTTTAAGTTTTGATATGCTGTGGTTTTTTGGGTTTGTTTTTGTTTTTGTTTTTGTTTTCATCTTATAGTCTGTTCTCATGCTGCTGTAAAGAACTGCCTGAGACTGGATAATTTATAAAGGAACA
Source organism: Homo sapiens (assembly GCF_000001405.40). Classification (NCBI taxonomy): domain Eukaryota; kingdom Metazoa; phylum Chordata; class Mammalia; order Primates; family Hominidae; genus Homo; species Homo sapiens. The sequence continues at coordinate 68,249,654 of NC_000011.10, read as the reverse complement.
AAATTTAATTGACTCACAGTTCTGCATGGCTGGGGATATCTCAGGAAACTTATGATCATGGGGGAAGGGGAAGCAAACACATCCTTCTTCACATGGCAGCAGGAGAGAGAAGTGCAAGCAGGGGAAATGCTAGATGCTTATAAAACTATCAGATCTCATGAGACTCACTCACTGTCATAAGAACAGCATGGGGGAAACTGCCCCCATGATCTCATTACCTCCACCTGATCCCCCACCCTTGACACGTGGGGATTCTTATAATTCAAGGTGAGATTTGGGTGGGGACACGGAGCCAATCACAACGTTTGAGTTGTGATTTATTCTTCAATCCATTGATTAAGAGTGTACTGTTTTGGTAGGGTGTGTTGGCTCACACCTGTAATCCCAGCACTTTGGGAGGCTGAGGCAGGCAAATCACCTGAGGTCAGGAGTTTGAGACCAGCCTGGCCAACATGGTGAAACTCCATCTCTACTGAAAAAATACAAAAATTAGCTAGATGTGGTGGCAGTCACCTGTAATTTCAGCTACTTGGGAAGCTGAGGCAGGAAAATCGATCTGGGAGGTGAAGGTTGTAGTGAGCCGAGATCCCACCACCACACTACAGCCTGGGCAACACAGTGAAACTCTGTCTCAAAAATAAAATAAAATAAAATAAAAGAGTATATTGTTTAATTTCCATATATTTGTGAATTTTCTAGTTTTCCTTCTGTTATTGCATTCTAGTTTCATTCCACTGTGGTTGTAAAAGATATTTTATATTATTTCAGTCTTTTAAAATTTAGTAAGACCTGTTTTTTGGCTTAATGTATGATTTGTCTTGTAGAATGTTGCATGTCTACTTGAGAAGAATGTATATTCCACTTTTGTTGATTGAGTATATATCTGTTAGGTCTAATTGCTTGAGAATATAATTTAAGTCCTCTCTTCTTTTTTTTTTTTTTTTTTTTTTGAGACAGACACTCAGGCTGGAGTGCAGTGGTGCCATCTCGGCTCACTGCAACCTCTGCCTCCCGGGTTCAAACAATTATCCTGCCTCAGACTCCTGAGTAGCTGGAATTACAGGCATGCGCCACCATGCCCAGCTAATTTTTGTATTTTTAGTAGAGACGGGCTTTCAACATGTTGGTCAGGCTGGTCTCAAACTCCTGACCTCATGATCCACCTGCTTCAGCCTCCCAAAGTTCTGGGATTACAGGCATGAGCCACCCCACCCGGCTTTTTTTTTTAGATGGAGTTTTGCTCTATTTCCTAGGCTGGAGTGCAGTGGCACGATCTCAGCTCACTGCAACCTCCACCTCCTGGGTTCAAGTGATTCTCCTACCTTACCCTCCTGAGTAGCTGGGATTACAGGTGCATGCCACCACATCCAGCTAATTTTTGTATTTTTAGTAGAGATGTGATTTCGCCATGTTGGCCAGACTGGTCTTGAACTCCTGACTTCAGGTGATCCACCTGCCTCGGCCTCCCAAAGTGCTGGGATTACAGGCATGAGCCACCACACCCAGCCAGTCCTCCATTTCTTTATTGATCTTCTGTCTGGCCATTCTATCCATTATTAAAAGTGAGATACTAAAATTTCTATTATTGCAGACATATCTATTTTCCCCTTCAATTCTGTCCATTTTTGCTTCATATTTTGGGACTTTTTTTGTTAGGTTCATATATGTTTATAATTGTTGTATCTTCTTGCTGGGTTGAAATTTTTATGACTATATAATGTTATTCTTTTCTCTGATAGCCTTTTTCTTTTTTTACTTATAGTTTAATAACCACCCTTGCTCTCCTTTGCTTACTATTTCACGGTATATCTTTTTTCACCCTTTTACTTTCAATCTCTTTGTGTCTTTGTTTCTAAAGTGAATCTCCTTAGAAACTGAGAAGGCAGTAGTAAAAAAGAAAAAAAAAAGATAAAGTGAATCTTTTAAAGATGGCATTAGGCCAAGCACAGTGGCTTATACCTGTAATCCCAGCACTTTGGGAGACCAAGGCAGGTGGATCACTTGAGGTCAGGAGTTCGAGACCAGCCTGGCTATCATGGTGAAACCTTGTCTCTACTAAAAATATAGTAGTGGTGGTGGGAGCCTGTAATCCCAGCTACTTGGGAGGCTAAGGCAGAATTGCTTGAACCTGGGAGGCTGAGATAGCAGTGAGCTGAGATGACACCACTGCACTCCAGCCTGGACACAGAGTGAGACTCTGTCTCAAAATAAATACATAAATAAATAAAGACAGCATTAGATCAAGCTTGTCCAACCCACGGCCTGTGGGCCACATGTGGCCCAGGACATCCTTGAATGTGGCCCAATACAAATTTGTAAACTTTCTTAAAACATTATGAGGTTTTTTTGTGATTTTTTTGTTTTAGCTCATCGGCTTAGTGTTAGTGTATTTTCTGTGTGGCCCAAGTCAATTCTTCTTCTTCCAATGTGGCTCAGGGAAGCCAAAACATTGAACACCCCTGATATAGATGGATCATGATTTTTAAAATCCAACCTGCCAATTTCTACCTTTTAATTGGAGAGTTTATTACATTTATATTTAAAGTAAATATTGATAAGGAAGGATTTACTTCTCCATGAAGCTATTTGTTTTCTGTGTCATATATTTTTTGTTCTTCAGTTCCTCCATTAGTGCCTTTTTTGCATTTATTAATTTTTTTGTAGAAAACAATTTTGATTCCCTTCTTTCCTTTTCTGAATTTTTTAAAAGTTATTTTGTTGGTGGTTACCTTGAGAATTACAATTAATATCTTAAACTTATAACAACTTAGTTTAAAAAATACCAACTTAGTTTCAAAAGTATACACACACTCTGCTCCCACACATTCCTATTCTTCCTTCCCTTTAAATTGTTATTATCACAAATTACATCTTTATCCATAGATTTGTAATTATGTTTTATGTACTTGCTTTTCTTTTCTTTTCCTTTTTTTTTTTTTTGAGATGGAATCTCGTTCTGTCACCCAGGTTGGAGTGCAGTGGCACGATCTCAGCTCACTGCAAACTCCACCTCCTGGGTTCACACCATTCTCTTGCCTCAGCCTCCCAAGTAGCTGGGACTACAGGCACGTGCCACCACGCCCAGCTAATTTTTTGTGTTTTTCGTAGAGATGGGGTTTCACCGTGTTAGCCAGGATGGTCTCGAGCTCCTGACCTTGTGATCCGCCCACCTCAGCCTCCCAAAGTGCTGGGATTACAGGTGTGAGCCACCACGACTGACTGTACATGCTTTTCTTAAATCATATAAGAAAAAAAAGGCCAGGTATGGTGGCTCACACCTGTAATCCCAGCACGTTGGGAGGCCGATGCCGGCCGATCACAAGGTCAGGAGATCGAGACCATCCTGGCCAACATAGTGAAACCTTTTCTCTACTAAAAATACAAAAGTTAGTTGGGCGTGGTGGTGCATGCCTGTAATCCCAGCTACTTGGGAGGCTGAGGCAGGAGAATCCCTTGAACCTGGGAGGTGGAGGTTGCAGTGAGCCAAGATCGCTCCACTGCACTCCAGCCTGGGTGACAGAGTGAGACTCCATCTCAAAAAAAAAAAAAAAAGAGAGAAAAAAAAAAGGAGTCACAAATAAAAAATGCACTAATCCTAGCTGTTATACCTACCTAAGTAGTTACCTTTACCAGCGTTCTTTGTTTATTCTTATGGCTTTGACTTACTGCCTAATGCCTTCGTCTCAGACTGAATGCCTGTAACTCCCTTTAGCATTTTTGATATGGCAGGTCTGCTAGTCATGACCTCCCTCAGCTTTTGTTTAACTGGAAATATCTTAAGTTCTCCTTCACTCTTCAAGGATAATTTTGCCAGATATAAAATTTTTGGTCAACAGGAGTTCAAGACCAGCCCAGGAGTTCAAGACCAGCCTGGACAACAAAGCAAGATTCTATCTCTATGAAAAAAAAAAAAAGAAAAGAAAAAAGGAAAAATTAGCTGGGAGTCGTGACATGTGCCTGTAGTCCCACAAGAGACTAAGGAAGCAGGATTGCTTGAGCCCAGGAGTTTGAGGCTGCAGTGAGCTGTGAATGGGTCACTGCACTCCAGCCTGCACAACAGAGTAAGATCCTATGTAAAAATAACAAAAAGTGTAGCACATACAATTATATACAGTATATAATACTTAATGATAATAAATGACTATGGTACTGGTTTATGTATTTACTGTACTATAGCATTAATCATTATGTTAGAATGTTCTTCTTCACATACATATATGTGTGTGTGTGTGTGTGTGTGTACATAGAAGACCTGTTTTGTGGTCTAATGTATGATTAATCATATATATATATATATATATATATATATATATATATGTATAATGTTGTATTAGTCCATTTTCACACTGCTATAAAGATACTACCAGAGACTGGGTAATTTATAAAGAAAAGAGGTTTAATTGATTCACAGTTCTGCATGGCGGGGGAGGCCTCAGCAAATCTACAATCATGGCGGAAGGCAAAGGGGAAGCAAGGCATGTTTTACATATCAGCAGGAGAGAGAGAGAGAGAGCACAGGGGAAACTGCCACTTTTAAACCATCAGACCTCGTGAGAACTCACTCACTATCGTGCGAACAGCATGGGGGAAACTGCCCCTATGATCCAATCACCTTCCACCAGGTCCCTCCCTCAACATGTGGAGAGTGGAGATTACAATTTGAGATGAGATTTGGGTGGGGACACAGAGCCAAACCATATCATAAGTTACTTGTAAAACAGCTTCAGGCAGATCCTTCAAGAGGTATTCCAGAAGAAGAAGGCATTGTTTACAGGAGATGACAACTCCATGCATGTTATTGTCTCTGAAGACCTCCCAGCAGGACAAGACATGGAGGTGGACAATAGTGATTTTGATGATCCTGACCCTGTGTAGGCCTAGGCTAATGTGTGTTTGTGTCTAAATGTTTGAAAAAAAAATTTTACAAAGTAAATAAAAATGTTAAAGACCAGTCACAGTGGCTTATTACTGTAGTTCTAGTACTTTGGAAGGCTAAGGCAGAAGGATCACTCAGGCCAGGAGTTTGAGAACAGCCTGGGCAACACAGTGAGATCCCATTTCTTAAAAAAAAAAAAAAAAAAAAAAAAAAACTAGCTGAGCAAGTTGGTGCACTCCTGTAGTCTCAGCTACTTGGGAGTTTGGGGTGAGAGGACTGCCTGAACCCAGCAGTTTGTGGTTACAGTGAGCTATGATTGCACTGCTGCATTCCAGTCTGGGACAGAGAAAGACCCTGTCTCAAATTTTAAAAAATAAATAAAATTAGGCCAGGCAGGGTGGCTCACGTCTGTAATCCCAGCACTTTGGGAGGCCGAGACGGGTGGATCACCTGAGGTCAGGAGTTCGAGACCAGCCTGACCAATGTGGTGGAACTCCGTCTCTACTAAAAATACAAAAATTAGCCGGGCATGGTGGCATACGCCTGTAGTCCCAGCTACTCAGGAGGCTGAGACAGGAGAATTGCTTGAACCTGGGAGGCAGAGGTTGCAGTGAGCAGAGATTGTGCCACTATACTCCAGCAGCCTGCCTGGGTGACAGAGCAAGACTCTGTCTCAAAAATATATATATATTTAATTATTTAATTATTTTTAATAATTATATAATTATTTTTAATAATTAAATAATTATTTAATTTTTTAATACTTTTTTAAATTATTTGGAGATGGGGGTGGGGGTATCTCCCTATGTTGCCCAGGCTGGTCTTGAACTCCTGGCCTCAAAGTGATCCTCCCACCTCAGCTTCCCAAAGTGCTGGGATTACAGGTGTAAGCCACCACACCCAGCCACTGAGTGTTTTTGTAATGAATACTGCCAACTGTCAACTGTTTCTTGTGCATCTATTGAGATGATATAATTTTTCTTTTTTAGGTTTGTTATTATGGTAAATTACATTAATTTTGTAATGTTAAACCAATCCTGCATTCCTAGAATAATAAAACCTAGTGATGATATGTTATCCTTCAAATATATTATTGGGTTTGATTTGCTAAATAAATTAAGGATGTTTGCATCAATGTTCATGAGGGATGTTAGTTGGAAGTTGTGGGTTTTTTCTCCCTGTTATGTTGTCATCTGGTTTCAGTATCAGGGTAATTAAGACCTCAGAAAATAAGTTGGAAAGATTTTGTATAGAAATGGTGTTTTTATTTCTCAATATTTGATAGAATTCACTAGTGAAGCCATCTGGGCCTAGTTTTTATTTGTGGGAAATTTAACTACAAGTTCAATTTATCTAATTGACATATGGCTACTTAAGCTATCTATTTCTTCTTGTGTGAGTTTTTGTGTTTTTCAAGGAATTTGTCCACTTCATCTAAGTTGTCAAATTTATTGGTAAATTATTTACGGTTTCCCCTTACCACTCTTTTATTGTCTGTGGATGCTATAGTGAGTCACCTCTTTTATGCCTGAAGTTGGTAATTTGTGTCTTCTTTTTCTCCTGATCAGTGTGGCTAGAGATTTAGAAATTTTATTGATCTTAAATAATAATAATTATTTTTTCTTTTGAGACGGAGTCTCACTCTGTCGCCCAGGCTGGAGTGCAGTGGCCCAATCTTGGCTCACTGCAGCCTCTCTCTGCCTTTCGGGTTCAAACAATTCTCCTGCCTCAGCCTCTCAAGTAGCTGGGATTACAGGTGCCTGCCACCACAGCTGGCTACTTTTTATATTTTTAGTGGAGATGGGGTTTCGCCATGTTGGTCAGGCTGGTCTCGAACTCCTGACCTCAAGTGGTCCACCTGCCTCCAAAAGTGCTGGAATTATAAGCATGAGCCACCATGCCTGGCCTGATTTTTAATAATTATTTTTTGATTAATCAATTATTTTTGATTAATTTTCTTGATCTTAAATAATTATTTTTGATTAATTAATTGATTAGCTTGATTTTCTGCTACTTGTTCTATCAGTTATTGACTAAGGGTTTTTAAATCTCTAGCTAAAATTGTGGATTGTTAATTTCTTCTGCTAATTCTTTCTCTTCTTGCTTTATGTATTTTGAAGCTCTGTTTTTGGATGCATAAACATTTAGGATTGCTATGTCTCCTCAATGAATTGACCTGTTTTTCATTATAAAATAATCTTTTTGTATCTGGTAATTTTTTTTACCCTGAAACTTATTATGTCTGATATTAATATAGCCACTTCAGATTTTTTTTGGCTAGTGTTAACATAGTGTATCTTTTTCATCTTTTTGCTTTTAATCTATGCGTGTCTTTATATTTGAAGTGGATTTCAGGCCAGGTGCAATGCTGGCTCATGCCTATAATCCCAGCACTTTGGGAGGTTGAGGCAGGAGAGTTGCTTGAGCCCAGGATTTCGAGATGAGTCTGGACAATATAACAAGACACCACCTTCGTGAAAGACAAAAAAAGTAAAGTTGAGGCTAGGTTCAGTGGCTGACGCCTGTAATCCCAGCAGTTTGGGAGGCCGAGGCAGGCAGATCACTTGAGGTCAGGAGTTCGAGATCAACCTGATCAACATGGTGGAACCCTGTCTCCACTAAAAATACAAAAATTAGCCAGGCATGGTAGTGCATACCTGTAATCTTAGCTACTCAGGAGGCTGAGGCAGGAGAATTGCTTGAGCCCAGGTGGTGAAGTTTGCAGTGAGCCAAGATGGAGCCACTGTACTCCAGCCTGGGCAACAGAGGGAGACTCCGTCTTAAAAAAAAAAAAAAAAAAAGGTAAAGTTAATTTTTTATATAGTATACAGCTTGGCCACTTTTAAAATACAATTTAAAAATTTTTACCTTTTAATTGGGAGTGTTCAGACCATTTAAATTTAATGTGATTATTATACGGTTATGTTTAAGTCTTAACATATTACTATTTGTGCCGTATTTGTCCCATCTCTTCTTTGTTCCATTTTTACTTTTTTCTGCCTTTTTTGGCATTAATTCTTTCTTTTTTTTTTTTTTTCATGAGTCAGGATTTTGCTCTGTCACCTAGGCTGGAGTGCAGTGACACAATCATGGCTCACTGCAGCCTCAACCTTTCAGGGTCAAGAGATCCTCCCACCTCAGCCTCCTGAGTAGGTGGGACCGCAGGCACACACCAACATGCCATGCTATTTTTAGTACAGACAGGGTTTCGCCATGTTGCCCAGGCTGGTCTCAAACTCCTGAGCTCAAGTGATCTGCCTGCCTCAACCTCCCAAAGTGCTGGGATTACAGGCATCAGCCACTGTGCCCAGCCAGCTTTTCTGGCATTAATTATTTCTTAGAATTCCATTTAATCTCCTTTGTTGGCTTTTTAGCTAAAACTCTTTGGATTTGTGTTTCAGTGGTTGCTTTATAGCATACATCTTTAACTTATCAAAGTCTACCTTTAAGTGCTATGATACCACTTCATGTATAGTATAAAAAACTTACAATAGGCTGGGCGTGGTGGTTCATGCCTTGATATACTTTGGCTCTGTGTCCCCACCCAAATCTCATGTTGAATAGTAATCCCCATTGTTGAGGGAGGGACCTGGTGGGAGGTGATTGGATCATGGGGGCAGATTTCTCCCTTGCTGTACTCATGATAGTGAGCTCTCACAAGATCTGGTTGTTTGAAAGCATGTAGCATTTCCCTTTGATTACTATCCTGCCAGGTGAAGACATGCTTGCTTCCCATTTGCCCTTCTGCCATTATTGTAAATTTCCTGAGGCCTCCCCAGCCATGCTTCTGGTACAACCTGTGGAAGAGTGAGTCAATTAAACCTCTTTTCTTTATAAATTACACAGTCTCAGGTAGATCTTGATAGCAGTGTGAGAACAGACTAATATGTGCCTGTAATCCCAGTGCTTTGGGAGGCCAAAGCAAAGGGATTGCTTGATCCCAGAAGTTCAAGACTGGCCTGGGCAATGTGGCAAAACCCCATCTCTACAAAAAATACAAAAATAGCTGGGCATGGTGGTGCACACCAGTAGTCCCAGCTACTTCAGAGGCTGAGGAAGGAAGATTGCTTGAGCCCAGGAGTCAAAGCTGCAGTGAGCTGTGATTGTGCCACTGCACTCCAGCCTGGGCAACAAGTGAGACCCTGTCTCAAAACAAAACAAAACTTACAATAGTATATTTCCATTTTTTCCTTTCCAGTCTTTAGGCTATTGTCATGCATTTACTTTTATATGAACTCCACAGCAAATTCTTATTATTTTTGCTTAAACAATCACTTACCTGATCTAGCAATGGCTTCTGGGTATTTACCCAGAAGATTTGAAATCAGTTTATTGAAGGGATGTCTGCACCTACATGTTCATTGCAGCACTATTCACAGTAGTTTATGAAATCACCCTGGCCTGGTGTGGTGGCTCACACCTGTAATCCCAGCACTCTGAGAGGCCAGGGTGGGTGGATTGCCTGAGTTCAGGAGTTCGAGACCAGCCTGAGCAACATGCTGAAACCCCGTCTCTACTAAAATACAAAAAAATTAGCTGGGTATGGTGGTGCACACCTGTAATCCCAGCTACTGGGAAGCTAAAGCATGAGAATTGCTTGAACCCAGGAGGCAAAGGTTGCAGTGAGCCGAGACTGCACCACTGCACTCCAGCCTGGGTGACAGAGCAAAACTCTGTCTCCAAAAAAAAAAAAGAAAGAAAGAAAGAAAGAAATTACCCTAACTGTCCATCAACAAATGAACAAAGAAAATGTGGTGTATATATACTGTGGAATACTATTCAGTCATTCAAAAGAAGGAAATTCTGTTATTTGTAACAATATGAATGGAACTGGACAACATTATGCTAAGTGAAATAAGCCAGACATGGAAAGACAAATGCCACATGTTCTCACTTATGTATGGAATCTAAAACAATTGAACTCATAGAAGCGGAGAGGCTGGTTACAGAGACTGGGACTGTGGAGAATGGGGAGATGAAGTGTACAAAATCTCAGTTAGAGGAAAAATATGGGGTTTTCTTAGTTCTATTACACAGCATGGTGAATATATTTAATAATAGAATATTTTATATTTCAAAATTGCTAAGAGAATAAAACGTAAATGTTCTTACCACAAAAAAAATGTTAAGTATTTGAGGTGATGCATACGCTAACTAGCTTGATTTAATTTTTCCACATTGCATTCATAAATCATAACATCACTTTGTACTTCACAAATGTATACAATTATAAATTGCCAATTTACAAAGTCAAAAAATTACTTGATAAATAAGTGTAATGAATAAGAAAAAAATACATGTATATTTATCCATGTAGTTTCCATTTCCAGTGCTCTGCATTCCTTTGTGTATTTCCAGCTTTTCTCTGGCCTCATTTTCCTTCTGCCTGAAGCACTTTCTTTGACATCTTAGTTCCCTAACTTTTTCTTCTGCCATGTCTTTTTTTTTTTTTTTTTTTTGAGACAGAGTCTTGCTCTGTTGCCCAGGTTGGAGTGCAGTGGCACGATCTAGGCTCACTGCAAGCTCCACCTCCTGGGTTCACGCCATTCTCCTGCCTCAGCCTCCTGAGTAGCTGGGGCTACAGGCATCTGCCACCATGCCTGGCTAATTTTTTGTATTTTTTTTTAGTAGAGACGGGGTTTCACTGTGTTAGCCAGGATGGTCTTGATCTCCTGACCTCATGATCCGCTCGCCTTGGCCTCCCAAAGTGCTGGGATTACAGGCGTGAGCCACCACGCCCAGCCTTCTTCTGCCATGTCTTATCTGCTGTTAATCCTATTCAATATATGTTTCATCTCAAACATTGTAATTTTAATATCTTGAAGTTCACGTTGGGTATTTAAAATATATTTCTGTGTCTTTACTTAACATTCTTAATTTTTCCTTTACTTTCCTTAGCATATGGAATACAGTTATAATAACTTTTTTTTTTTTTTGAGACAGTCTCGCTCTGTTGCCAGGCTGGAGTGCAGTGGCATGATCTCGGCTCACTGCAACCTCTGCCTCCCAGGTTCAAGCAATTCTCCTGCCTCAGCCTCCCGAGTAGCTGGGACTATAAGCAGGCACCACCACACCCAGCTAATTTTTGTATTTTTAGTAGAAACGGGGTTTCACCATGTTGGCCAGGATGGTCTCAATCTCTTGACCTTGTGATCCACCTACCTTGGTCTCCCAAAGTGCTGGGATTACAGGCGTGAGCCACCGCGCCCAGCCTATAATAACTATTTTAATGTCCTTGTCTACTAACACTGTCATCTGTGTCATTTCTGGCTCATTTCTAGTTTCAATTGATTTAACATTTTCTTTTCATGATGGCTCCCAGTTTCTTGCTTCTTTGCATGCCTGGCAACTTTTTACTGGCTGCAATACATCATTTGTGCTAGTTTTGAAAATTATTTTGTTGTATGATATTTTTGTATTCATATAAATTATCTTGAATTTTGTTCTGGGACACAGTTAAATTCTTTGAAAAGAGTTTGAGTCTTTCTGGTCGTGTTGTGTTAGGTAGAACCAGAGCGACATTTAGTCTAGGGCTCATTTTCCCCACTACTGAGGTAGAACCCTTCTGAGTACTTTACTCAATGCCCCACAAGGTTTCCACTCTGAAGTTGGGAAAGGAAAAATATTCCTGGCCCTACGTGAGCTGCCATGATTGTTTCCACTGATCCTTTTGGGAGGTTCCTTCCCCAGCCTCAGCATTTTCCTCACATGTATGCACTGATTGGCACTCAGATTAATTACGACTCTAAATCTTCAGGGTACAATCTCAATTTCTCTCCTTCCCCTGCACTCTTTTCTTTCTAGAACTTTGCCCTGTGAACTCCAGTCTGGGCCTCCCAGACCTCCAGCTCCATCTCCTCACTTCAGGAAAGCTTCCGGGCTGCTCCTCAGCTCTTCCTTCTTTGCGCTGCAGGCTGCAAACTCTTCAGACAGTAAGATGGGGCCATCATTAGGGCTCATCTCATTTGCTTCCTCTCCCTCAGGGATCACTAGTAATGGAAAACAATGACAAAACCAGTCCCAGAGCTCCCAAAAGTCTTACTACTTAGGTTTGAATCTAACAACGTATATATAGGATTGAAAGCTGCAAACTACAAAATGCTGATGAAATAAATCAAACAAGACCCAAGTAACAGATAGACATACTGTGTTCATGGTTTGGAATACTTGAGATACACACACACACACACACACACACACACACACACACACACACACACACATAGTTAAGATGACAATTCTCGGCCGGGCGTGGTGGCTCCCGCCTGTAATCTCAGCACTTTGGGAGGCCGAGGTGGGCGGATCACGAGGTCAGGAGATCGAGACCATCCTGGCTAACACGGTGAAACCCTGTCTCTACTAAAAATACAAAAAATTAGCCGGGCGTGGTGGCGGGCACCTGTAGTCTCAGCTACTCGGGAGGCTGAGTCAAGAGAATGGTGTGAACCTGGGAGGCGGAGCTCGCAGTGAGCCGAGATTGCACCACTGCACTCCAGCCTGGGCAGCAGAGACTCTGTCTCAAAAAAAAAAAAAAAATTCTCTGCAAATTGATCTACAGATTTCATTCAATTCCAATCAAAATCTCAGCAGAATATTTTTGTAGATATTAACAAGCTAATTTTAAATCTTATATGGAAAGACAGAGGATATGGAATAGTTAAATTTGAAAAAGAAAAAGAAGATTGGAGAACTCACAGACACTACTTGGGCTTTTAAAAAAAACATGAAAAGGTAAGTCAATTAAGAAAGAATAGTCCGGGCATGGTGGCTCATGCCTGTAATCTCAGCACTTTGGGAGGCCGAGGCGGGCGGATCATGAGATCAGGAGATCGAGACCATCCTGGCTAACACAGTGAAACCCTGTCTCTGCTAAAAAAAAAAAGAAAAACAAACAAACAAACAAAAAAACACACACAAAAAATTAGCCGGGCGTGGTGGCAGGCACCTGTAGTCCCAGCTACTCAGGAGGCTGAGGCAGGAGAATGGCGTGAACCCAGGAGGCCGTGCTTGCAGTGAGCCGAGATCGCGCCACTGCACTACAGCCTGGGCGACAGAGCGAGACTCCGTCTCCAAAAAAAAAAAAAAAAAAAGATAACCTTTCAACAGATGGTGCAACTAGACATCAGTATGCAAAAAAAGGAAGAAGAAGACAAAGATCCTCAATCTATACCTTAAGCTTTATATAAATATTAACGAAATATGGAGCACAGACTTAAATACAAAACAAAACAATGAAACTCTTAGAAGAAAAAGTAAGAGGCCAGGCACGGTGGCTCATGCCTGTAATCTTAGCACTTTGGGAGGCCAAGGTGGGCAGATCACTTGAGGTCAGGAGTTCGAGACCAGCCTGGTCAATAAGGTGAAACCCCATCTCTACTAAGAATACAAAAATTAGCCATGCATGGTGATGCACGCCTGTAATCCCAGGTACTCAGAGGCTGAGGCAGGAGAATAGCTTGAACTCGGGAGGTGGAGGCTTTTAGGAAAAGAATACAACTATGACACCAGAATCATGGTCTCTAAAGGAAAAAATTGATGAAATAGACCTCATCAAAATGTTTTCACCAAAATTTTTGCTCTGTAAAAGACACTGTTAAGAAAATGAAATGATAAGACACTGACTGGAAAAAAAAATTTATAAGTCACCTATTCAGAGAGGAATCTGGGAAGATAGCATGGTAGGAAGCACCAGGAATCTGTCTCCCCACCTAGACAACAATTGCATGGCAGAATCTGTCTGGTGTAACTATTTTAGAACTCTGCAGTGTATTGAAGACTTGTGGCTTCCAGGGGGAAGGCTTGGACTGGTAAATTACAGTAAATTTCAGTCCATTTTAGCTCTTCCCACAATGGCTACTACCCATCCCTGACCCCCAGCCCTATGGCACGCAGCTGTGCATGTGTTCCTGGAGCAACCTGCACACAGCTTGCAGGAGCCGGCGTGGGCAAAAAGAGTCCTGTCCTCCAAATACCAGGGATCTGTGCTCTCACTGCTGAGTGCTGCTTCTGATCTCAGAGGTGCTTCCTTTTTTTTCTTTTTGAGAGGGAGTCTTACTCTGTCGCCCAGGCTGGAGTGCAGTGGTGTGATCTCGGCTCACTGCAACCTCCACCTCCCGGGTTCAAGCGATTCTCCTGCCTCAGCCTCCTGAGTAGCTGGGACTACCGGCGTGCACCACCACGCCCAGCTAGTTTTTGTATTTTTAGTAGAGATGGGATTTCGCCATGTTGGCCAGGCTAGTCTCAAACTCCGGACCTCAAGTGATCCACCCACCTCAGCCTTCCGTAGTGCTGGGATTACAGGCGTGAGCCACCGTGCCTGGCCCACAGCGGTGCTCCTAATCACAGAGGCGCAGGTGGCCACTGTTGCTGCATCTCCTCCAGTTGTTGCAAGCTCCTCCCCCTCTGGCTGAAGTCACTTCTGGGGCATTTAAAGGGCTGATGCACTTTCCTTCCACCTTCATTTTTCTTTTTATTTCCCTTTGGGAGCCAGACATTAAACACTAGAACTTTTAAAACTTTATTTATTTATTTTTTACTTTTTAGATGGAGTCTCACTCTATCGCCAGGCTGGAGTGCATTGGTGCGATCTCGGCTCACTGCAACCTCCACCTCCCAGGTTCAAGCAATTCTCCTGCCTCAGGCTCTGGAGTAGCTGGGACTACAGGCGCGCGCCACCATGCCCAGCAAATTTTATTTTTGTATTTTTAGTAGAGACAGGGTTTCACCATGTTGGCCAGGATGGTCTCGATCTCCTGACCTCATGATCCGCCCGCCTCGGCCTCCCAAAGTGCTGGGTTTACAGGCGTGAGCCACTGCGCCTGGCCTGGAACATTTTTTTAAAACTGCATATATGAGGAAAATGAGTAAGTGACCACACGTACCCAAGGCTCAGAAAATACCTGAGAAGACCTTAAGTTTACATTCCAGGCTGATTCTTGACACAGAGATAGGCTACAACAATCAATCAAATAAACAAAAAACAAAAATAGTAACAAAAACCAGTAAACCCTGGATAAGGGGGAGAATATGATTTCCAGTTACAATTATGAAATTCAATTGTCCAATGCTCAACAAAACATCAAAAGGCATACAAAGAAACAGAAAAATATAGCCTATTCGAAGGTTAAAGAAAACCACAAATAAACAGAAACTGTCCCTGAAAAAGAGCTTATGGCAGGTGTACTAGAAAAAGGCTTTAAAGCAACTGTCTTAAAGATGCTCAGAAAACTACAGGAGGGTATGGAGTAAGTCAAGAGAATGATGTGTGAACGAAATGGAAATATCAGTAAAAATAAAATCTAAAAGAAACCAAAAAAATTTCCAGAGCTGAAAAGTACAACTGAAATGAAAAATAAGTAGAGGGCAGATTCAAAGGCAGGTTTAAGCAGGCAGAAGAAAGAATCAGTGAACTTGAAGATAGGGTAATGGAAATGATCAAGTCTAAAGAACAGAAAGAAAGAAAAAAAAAAGACTGAAGAAAAATGAACAGAGCTTAAGGGACCTTGGGATACCATCAAGTAGACCAACATAGGCACTGTGGGAGTCACAGAAAGAGAAGAGAAAGAAGCAGGGAGAATATTTGAAAAATTAATGTCCATAAATATCCGAAATTTGATGAAAGAGATGAAAAGAAACATGCAAGAAGCTTAATGAACTTCATGTAAGATGAATTCAAAGAGATCCAACCAAATGCAGTGGCTCATGCCTATAATCCCAGTGCTCTGGGAGGACGAAGCAGGAGGTTGGCTTGAGCCCAGGAGTTTGAGACAAGCCTGGGCAATATGGCAAAACCCTGTCTCTAACAAACAAACATATAAACAAACAAACAAACAAACAAACAAACAAATTAACTGTGCATTGTGGTGCATACCTGTAGTCCTAGCTAGCTACTTGGGAGGCTGAGGTGGGAGGATCACTTGAGCCCAGGAGTTCAAGGCTACAGTGAGCTATGATCACACCACTGCACCCCAGCCTGGGTGATAAAGTGAGACTCTGTTTCCAAAGAGAGAGAGAGAGAGAGAGAATCAGTGGCTCATGCCTTTGGGAGGGTGAGGCAGAAGAAGAATCACTTGAGCTGAAGAGTTTGAGACCAGCTTGGGCAACATAGTGAGACCTTGTTTCTACAAAAAATAAAATAATTAGTCAGATGTAGATGGCACACACCTATAGTCCCAGCTACTTGGGAAGCTGAGGTGAGAGGATTGCTTGAGCCCAGGAGGTCAAAGCTACAGTGAGCTATGATTGTGCCACTGCACTCCAGCCTAGGTGACAGAGTAAGACCCTGTCTCAAAAATTAAATTCAATTGGCTGGGCACAGTGGCTCACACCTGTAATCCCAGCACTCTGGGACGCCGAGGCGGGTGGATCACCTGAGGTCAGGAGTTCGCGACCAGCTTGGACAACATGGCGAAACCCCATCTTTACTAAAAGTACAAAAATTAGCCAGGTGTGGTGGCACGCGCCCACAGTCCCAGCTACTCAGGAGACTGAGGTAGGAGAATCGCTTGAACCCAGTAGGTGGAGGTTGCAGTGAGCCAAGATCACGCCACTGCACTCCAGCCTGGGTGACACAAAAAGACTCTGTCTCAAAAATAAATAAATAAATAAATAAAATTAAATTAAATATTAAAATTAAGAGAGAGAAGGAGTCACACCAAGACACGTTACAATTAAACTTTTGAGGCCAGGTGCGGCGGCTCATGCCTGTAATCCCAGCATTTTGGGAGGCCAAGGCAGGTGGATCACCTGAGGTCAGGAGTTTGAGACTAGCCTGACCAACATGGAGAAACTCTGTCTCTACTAAAAATAAAAAATTAGCCGGGCATGGTGGAGCATGCCTGTAATTCCAGCTACTCAGGAGGCAGAGGCAGGAGAATTGCTTGAACCTGGGAGGTGGAGGTTGCAGTGAGTCGAGATTCCACCATTGCACTCCAGCCTGGGCAACAAGAGCAAAACTCCTTCTCAAAATAATAATAATAATAATAATTAATAATAATTAAACTTTTGAAAGACAAAGAGAGAATGCTGAAAGTAGCAAGAGAGAAGAGACATGTGACATACCAAGATCTTAAATAAGATTTTCAACAGATTTCTCATTAGAAATTTTTCAGGCCAGAAGACAGTGGGCTGACATTTTCTTTTTTGTTCTTTCTTTTTTTTTGAGACAGAGTCTCGCTCTGTCGCCCAGGCTGGAGTGCAATGGCTTGATCTCGGCTCACTGCAAGCTCCACCTCCCAGGTTCATGCCATTCTCCTGCCTCAGCCTTCTGAGTAGCTGGGAATACAGGCGCCCATTACCACGCCTGGCTAAATTTTTGTATCTTTAGTAGAGATGGGGTTTCACCATGTTAGCCAGGATGGTCTCAATCTCCTGACCTTGTGATCTGCCTGCCTCGGCCTCCCAAGACATTTTCAAACTATTAAAAGAAAAAAAAAAACAGCCGGGCATGGTGACTCACGCCTGTAATCCCAGCACTTTGGGAGGCTGAGGAGGGCAGATCACGAGGTCAAGAGATTGAGACCATCCCGGCCAACATGGCAAAATGCCATCTACTAAAAATACAAAAATTAGCAGGGCTTGGTGGTGTGCACCTGTAATCCCAGCTACCCAGGAGGCTGAGGCAGGAGAATCGCTTGAACCCAGGAGGCAGAGGTTGCAGTGAGCTGAGATCATGTCATTGCACTCCAGCCTGGAGACAGAGTGAGACTCGGTCTCAAAAAAATAAAAAATAAACAAACAAAAACAAAAACAAAAAACCTGTCAACCAAGAATCCTATATTGGATAAAACTGTCTTTCAAAAGTGAAGAATATGTGCTTGGCTGAAAAGCCAATGCAGCAAAGCTTCCATCCGTGAGATTATGACTGAATGCCTCTAAATCAAAACTCCGCCCAGGCAGAAGGCAGAATGATATGATAGCACTGCAGAGCCTTGGTTGGCCTCAGATAGCTGGTCCTTTACCGTGCTGCCAGTGCCTCATCTGGTGCCAGGACCGGAGTCCAGTACAGAGAACTCCTCAACCCGTGAAATGGGGTATGGCCAGAAATGGGCTGTCCCCGCTGGCCCATCATGGAGTGCACATTCACGGAGAACCTGGTACTAAACCATTCATAGACAACCTGCTTCTGGGTCAGGATTTTGTACATAGCAGAGTATCTCCCTCACTGTGATCTATTTAAAGTCAGCCCTCAAGATAAGGGTTTGTAAAAGAAAGGAATCAATAATATAAAATTTTTTGAGACAAGGTCTTGCTGTGTCGCCCAGGTTGTAGTGGAGCGGCATGATCACAGCTCACTACAGCCTCAGCCTCCTGGGCTCAAGTGATCCTCCCATCTCAGCCTCCTGAGGACTACAGCTGGGACTACAGACATGCACCAAGCCCAGCTAATTTTTTTTTTCTTTTTTGTAGAGTGGGGTTTCTCCATGTTGTCCAGGGTGGTCTCCAACTCCTGGGCTCAAGCAATCTGCCCACTTTGGCCTCTCAGAGTGTTAGGATTACAGGCATGAGCCACCATACCCAACCCATAAATAATATTTTTAAGAAGATAAAAGAAAAATATAAGAAAAGCCAAAGGGGCCAGGTACAATAGCTCATACCTATAATCCCAATACTTTGGAGGACAAGGCAGGAAGATCACTTGAGTCCAGGATTTTGAGACCAGCCTGGGCAACATAGTGAGACCCTATCTCTACAAAATCAAAGGTCAGGCGTTGTGATGCATGTTTGTAATCCTAGCTACTCAGGAGGCTGAGGGAGGAGGATTGCTTGAGCCCAGGAGGTTGAGGTTGCAGTGAACTGTGATCATGCTACTGTACTCCATCCTGGGTGACAGAGTGAGGCCCTGTCTCTGAACAAAAAGAAGAAAGAAAAAGAAAAAAAAAGCGAAGAAGAAAACTCAAGAAGTTCATAACCAGTAAACCTGCTCTGCAAGATATGCTTAAGGGAGTCCTGAAGGTGAAACGAAAGGACACTAGATAGTAACATGAAACTGTATGAAGAAGTAAAGATCTCAATAGAGGCAAATATATGTGCAATTATAAAAGCTAGTACTATTGTAACAGTAGGTTGTAAAACTACTTTTGGTTTTCTGCAGAATTTAAGAGACTATTACACTTTAAAAAACAATCAGTATCGGCCGGGTGCAGTGGCTCACATCTGTAATCTCAGCACTTTTGGAGGCCGAGGCAGGCAGATCATCTGAGGTCAGGAGTTCAAGACCAGCCTGGCCAACATGGTAAAATCCTGTCTCTACTAAAAATACAAAAATTAGCCAGGCATGGTGGTGGGTGCCTGTAATCCCAGCTACTTGGGAGGCTAAGGCAGGAAAATCGCTTGAACCTGGGAGGCGGAGGTTTCTGTGAGCCAAGATCGGGCCACTGCACTCCAGCCTGGGTGACAAGAGTGAGACAGACTCCATCTCAAAATAAATAAATAAGTAAATAAAATAAATTAAAAGTCAGTATAATAATAAATTAATTAATTGATTAGTTAAACCAAGAACTAATCCAACGCTAGTATTACTGTAACTGGTTTGTAACTACACATTTTGTTTGCTGTATAATTTAAGACACTAACTTTTTAAAAATCATTGTCAGTTTATGTTTTGGGGCATAGAATGTTTAAAGATATAATTTTATGACATCAACAACCATAAGAAAAAGAGATGGAGCTGTAAAAAGAGCAGAGTTTTTATACGATACTGAAGTTGACCTGGTATAAATTCAAACCAGAGTGTTATAACTTTAGGATGTTGATATGGTTTGGCTGTGTCCCCACCCAAATATCATCTTGAATTGTAGTTCCTACAATCCCCATTTGTCATGGGAGGGGCCTGGTGGAAAGTAATTGAATCATGGGGGTCATTACCTCAAAGTTGCTGTTCTCATGATAGTGAGTGAGTTCTCATGAGATCTGATGGTTTTATAAGGGGACTTTCCCCCTTTTGCTCAGCACTTCTCCTTACTGTTGGCATGTGAAGAAGGACATGTTTGCTTCCCCTTCCACCCATGACTGTAAGTTTCCTGAGGCCTCCCCAGCCATGGTGAAGTGTGAGTCAATTAAGCCTCTTTCCTTTATAAATTACCCAGTCTCGGGTATGTCTTTGTTAGCAGCATGAGAATGGACTAATACAGATGTTAAATGTAATACCCATTGTAATAACAAAGAAAATAGCTGTAGAATATACACAGAAGAAAATGAGAAGAAATTCAAACATTTTTCTATTAAAAAAAAAAACCAAACACACCAAAAAGCTTGTAATGCAGGAAATGAGGTCCAGAAAAGCTAGGAAGCAAACAGAGGACAAATAGCAAAATAACAGCAGTACATCTCTCCTTATGCACTGAGAAGACATCACCCCTGGATATTCTTGCCACAAACGCACAACTTGAATCTACTCACAAGGAAACATCAGATAACACACACAGAAGGACATTCTGCAAGTCAAGACCACAAAAAGCAAAGCAAGACTGAGGCACCAAAAGACAGGACAACTAAACACATCCTGTGATCTTGGACTGGCTGCTGGACTGGGGGAAAAGCATGTATCAAATTATAGTATTGTATTGCTGGTGAGTTTCCAGATTCTGACAACTACAAAAGTGATTATGTAAGAGAACAACCATTTTGGAAATATACACTGAAGTACTCAGGGGTGCAGAGGTGGGGTGTTTCTAACATAACCTCACGATTCAAATCATCTTCATTATTCTTGGATTCTGTATTTGTGGGTTCACCTCTAGCTAAATTTATTTGTAACCCCAAAATCAATACTTGGGCCTTTCTGTGGGTATTTGAAAGCCGGTGCATACACAGAGTGGTGAAAAATTGATGTCTCCAGAGACTAAAGTCACCCGCTGAGGTGAAGCAGTCAGCACTCATCTCCCTGTTTCAGCTCTCCGACCCGTAAACAAGTGTCCTTTTCACAGTCTATTTAGTGTCATGTTTTTCACAGTTTTGTGCTTCTTGTTGGTGATTTCACCATTCAAAATGGCCCCCGTGCAGTGCTGAGGCTGTCTAGTGTTCCCATGATCGAGAAGGCTATGCGTGCCTTTGGGAGAAAATGCCCGAGTTAGATAAGCTTCATTCAGGCAGAGTTTTAGCGCTCATTGACCCCCACGGCCACGTGGGGTCAATGTCAATGGATCAACAATATGTATTAAATAAGGTGTATTTAGGCCGGGCACAGGGGCTCACACCTGTAATCTCAGCACTTTGGGAGGCCGAGGCATGTGGATCACCTGAGGTCGGGAGTTCGAGACCAGCCTGGCCAACATAGCGAAACCCTGTCTCTACTAAAAATACAAAAATTAGCTGGTGTTGTGGCACACACCTGTAATCCCACCTACTCAGGAGGCTGAGGCAAGAGAATCACTTGAATCCAGGAGATGGGGGTTGCAGTGAGTCAAGATGGTGACACTGCACTCCAGCCTGGGCGACAGAGTGAGACTCTGTCTCAAATAATAATAATAATAAATAAATAAGGTGTCTTTTTTTTTTTTTTTTTGAGACGGAGTCTCGCTCTGTCGCCCAGGCTGGAGTGCAATGGCTCTATCTCGGCTCACTGCAAGCTCCGCCGCCTGGGTTCACGCCATTCTCCTGCCTCAGCCTCCCGAATAGCTGGGACTACAGGCACGCCCCACCACGCCCGGCCAATTTTTTTGTATTTTTAGTAGAGACAGGGTTTCACCGTGTTAGCCAGGATGGTCTCGATCTCCTGACCTCGTGATCCGCCCGCCTCGGCCTCCCAAAGTGCTGGGATTACAGGCGTGAGCCACCGCGCCCGGCCTATAAATAAGGTGTCTTTAAACAAAAGCACACTTTTTTTTTGAAAAGGTCATGTATTGATCAGTCGATGAAAATGTTGTAGCCGGAGGCTCACAGGAACCTGACCCTGTCTTCCCCTAAAAGCAATGATCCAGTATTTGCAGCAACTGTGTAACTACTGTGAAGAGGGAGAGTGTAAATAGTTGGCGAATTTGAATAATGTATATATGGGAGTTTCTTATACTAGTCTTTTTTTCTGTAAGTTTGGAATTATACAAAAATAAAACATTACCCCAAAAACAGGACTGTGTCACTCCTGGCTTCTTGTTATACTTGGAATAAAATCCAAAGTCTTTAGCAAAAACTGAGAGGCTCCCACGTGTTCCAGCTTCTGCCTTTTCTCCAACTTCATTTCTTGCTCACCATGCTCCAGCACCCGCGGTCTCCTGGCACTCCCCAGGAGAACACACCAATCTCTTTCTCACCTCTGCATTTACTCGTCCTTCTGCTTGGGATACTTTGACTCAAGTCCTTGGCATGCCTCGGTCTTTCTCACCTGTTAGGTCTCAGCTTGCGTGTCATCTGCTTGGAGAGTTTGACATCAGCCACTCCATCTAATGGAGGTGCCATTCACCGTCTCGGCAGCCAGCTTACTTCTCTCATCCTCCTTGTCACAGTCCCTAATTCTTTTGTTATTTTGTTTTTGTTTTTGTTTGTTTTTGAGACAGAGTCTCGCTCTGTCACCCAGGCTGGAGTGCAGTGGTGTGATCTCAGCTCACTGCAAGCTCTGCCTCCCGGATTCAAGTGATTCTCCTGCCTCAGCCTCCCGAGTAGCTGGGATTACAGGTGCACACCACCATGCCCGGCTAATTTTTGTGTTTTTAGTAGAGATGGGATTTCATCATGTTGGCCAGACTGGTCTTGAACTCCTGACCTCAGGTGATCTGCCCACTTCAGCCTCCCAAAGTGCTGGGATTACAGGTGTGACCCACCATGCTCGACCCCTAATTCTTTGGACTCTTTGTTTATTTGGTTATTGTGCATCACCCCTCTTGGGCTGTATGCTCCATGAGGACAGGGGTCTTGTCTGTTATCCACCGCTGTTTTCCCAGGGCCCAGCTCACCACAGGGGCATAGTAATGTTGGTTGAAATTGAGAACAAGACTCTCCCTGGGACAGGGATTAGCTAAACTTGGATCCAATGACCACCCCTGGGCTTGGGAGCAGAGTTGTACCAGAAATAACCCCTGTGGAGGCTGAGGGCATGGTTGGTAGAGATGAAAAGGTAGTGAATCGGGCAGACCCCATGAAAGGTGTCTAGTCCAACCCTCTCTGCATGCAGCCCCTCCACAGGGATGCTGAGTGTTGACGGAGACGGTCTCACGGTGGTGCAGCTGGTTCCAGAAGCTCACGGTCCCCCAGGCCCCTGACTCCCAACCCTTTGGGAAGGGCGTCTCCATTTTCCTAGGCTGCTCTCTCCTTCTCCGTCGGGGCCTTCTCCACTCTCCTCAAGTTGTTTATCTCCTCCTCAGCCACCCTCACTCTCACCTCGCCTCCTTCCTCACAGAGAAACCAGATGCAATCAGAAAGCAACTTCCTCATCCACCTGCGGCCCACCCCCAGAAGTGTCCATGTTTACCCCGCAAGTGACACCCTTGCCCCTCCTGCCTAACGCAGCTCTCCCTCTGAACGCCCAACGCCGTCAGCCTCCTAGGCCTCCTGGGGACCCTGCTCCTCCCTGCACACTCTCCTTTATTTTCAGCCTCTTCGTCTGCATTGGGCCCATCTTGGTTGGAGTTCCCTCAAAAGCAGACCCTGCAACAAGGGTTCGAGGGCAAGCAGGTATTCCAGGAAGTGAGGAACTAGGCAGGGGAGGAGAAAGTTCCAGAAAGTGCTTTAACAAGTAGGTCTCGCCACTGGGGGTGAGTAGGGCTCTCTCCTGCCAGTGACTGCCTGAGGAACCACATGGAACTCACCCAGGAGTCATCCCACAGAGGTGAAGCTGATGGGTTATCTGTCGGCTGCCCACAGCATCACCTCCTGGGCAAGGCTGGGTTGTGCCTGCTCCCTTGTGGCCAGAGAAGGTCCCCGGGCAGAAAAGGGAGCGGCCATCCTGGACGTGGAGAAGCAGATCCAAGCAGTAAAGGGGAGGACTGTGGCGGATGCTCTCCTGCACTGCTCACATTCACCCTTAGGAGTGGGAGGCCCATTGGCCAGCTGCTGCAATGCTTTTGGCAGGTGGCCCCCTTCAGGGACGGCCTCAGCTGATGCAGGCTGCCCACCCCATGACATGCTCCCTTCCCAGGACAGCCTGGCATGGAAGTGCAAGGGCTACCTCATCTTCAGAGCTCCCCACGGGGGCTGGCATCCCAGGCCAGCTTCTCCCTCAGCCCAGTCCTGCTTGCCTCCATTCCATTCTCTTCCAAAGGCGTTGATCCCAAGAGCAGCCTCTAACCAACTTCCTGCATGTCCTCTGCCTCAGAGTCAGCCTCCTGGGAACCCAGCCTGGAACAATCACTCTTGAGAAATGCTGTACCATCAACATTCATGATGGCAGAAAGAGTGTGGATTGAAAAATTATGGATGTCGATGACTGAGTTGAGAAGGGTTCAGAAGAGTAGGGCTCTAAATGTAAAGAAGTTTAACAGTAGTTTTTCTGCTTTATTGCAGACATTGACAATGCCCATCCACTTCCCTTCAGCCCCCACTATTCCATGCCCCCAACCCTTCCAGCTGTAAGCATCTGTGCCTTAACTCGAGGGCACTCCCTGGCTGCACAAGCCTGCAATCCCAGGGAGCTTCCCTAATCCCATGACTGGCAGAAGTGGTGGATCAATACCCCAGCTCTCTTGCCTCAGTTGGAGAACACTGAAGCACATCCTCACAGTTGCCTGGAGGATCCCAGCAGAATTGAGCCTGCAGCAGTAACCGGATTATGAATGCACCATCTCTTCTGGCTTCTTCCCCATCCCCGTCTCACCTGCTCCCCAACTGGTGCTTCCTGGGATCACTTCTCAAATAAAGGACTCATTGTCAAATCATATTCTCGGGGTCTGCTTCTAGAGGACCCAGCCTGAGACAGCTGGTATCAGAGGTGGGCCTAGGAAGCAGTCCCTTAAGAAGGGCTCATTTGCCAGCCAGAGGGTCACCGGGTGCCTGCTGCTGAGGAGCAAAGTGGCGATCGCTGCAGCCCGCTGTAGCGTCACAATGCTAAGATGCTCACGTGTTGAGGTGGCACATAGGTGGGAAAGGTGCACGGGCCTGAGCTGCTCCTGCACCTGAGTGGCATGGAGGCAACAGTAGCCACCAGGATGGTGGAGAGCATGGCAGTAGTGAGCTGACGCCAAAGACTGGACGGCAGACTCAGCAGCCGACTCTTAACTCACAAAAGAATGCAATGGCCAGAAAGCCCCCAGGACAGCATTTAAAAGGACCCCATCTGGCAGGGCTCGGCGGCTCACGCCTATAATCTCAGCACTTTGGGAGGCCGAGATGGGCGGATTGCCTGAGGTTAGGAGTTCGAGACCAGCCTGGCCAACGTGGCGGAACCCCATCTCCACTAAAAATACAAAAATTGCTTGAATCTGCGGGGGTGGAGGTTGCAGTGAGCTGAGGTGGTACCACTGCACTCCAGCCTGGCCAACAGAGTGAGACTCCGTCCCTCAAAAAAGTAAAATAAAATAAAAGGACCCCATCTTCTGCAACAAGAGGACAGAATATGCTAAAAATTGAGGTCCCAGATGAGATTCTAAGAGTGTCCTCCTTCAAAGGAGGTTGGAGTCATAGCCCTGGCGGCTCATGCAGCGCCGGGGGGCACTCTCACACCTCAGCCGCACAACAGAGGGGTCAGCGCACTAGCTCTGCCACTAAGGCTGTGTGGCCCTGGGTAAGCCACTCCGAGCCTCAGTTTCCCCATCTATAAATGCAGATCACAATGTTCTCTATCAGAGCCTTACCCAGTCATGGCACATGGTGGAAATTCAGTGAACTGGCTGCTGTTTTGTTTTTTTAAAAAAAAAAAACTATGCGAAAATGCACATAATGTAAAATTTGTCATCTCAGTCTTTTTTTTTTTTTTTTTTTGAGATGGAGTCTCACTTTATCACCCAGGCTGGCATGCAGTGGTGTGATCTCGGCTCACTGCAACCTCCACCCGCCCCAGGTTCAAGTGATTCTCCCACTTCAGTCTCTCGAGTAGCTGAGACTACAGGTGCCCGCCACCACGCCCAGCTAATTTTTGTATTTTTAGTAGAGATGGGGTTTCATCATGTTGGCCAGGCTGGTCTGGAACTCCTAACCTCAAGTGATCTGCCTGTCTCTGCCTCCCAAAGTGCTGGCATTACAGGCATGAGCCACCGTGCCTGGCCTCAATCATTTTTAAGTGTATAGTTCAGTGGTATTAAGCACATTCACATAGTTGAGCTACAGTCATCATTACTTTATCCACACAACTCTTTTCATCTTACAAAATTGAAACTGTCCCCATTAAACAACTCTCCATTTCCTCCTCCCCAGCCCCTGGCACCCACCATTCTACTTTCTGTTTCTGTGAATACGACTACCCTACATACCTCACATAAGAGCAATCACACGGTTTCGTGCTCTATGTCTGGCTCATTTCACTCAGCCTAATGTCCTCAAGATGCTTCCACGTTGTAGCACATGTTGGAATTCCCTTCCTTTTTAAGGCTGAATACTCTTCCATGCTTTGGGTGTATTGTATTTTGTTTACGCCTCATCCACTGATGGGCACTTGGGTTGTGTACACCTTTTGGCTGTTGTGAAAAACAATACGAACATGTGTGTGTGTGGCGTTATTATTTTTCTTTTTTCTTTTTTTTTGAGACAGAGTTTTGCTCCTGTTGCCCAGGCTGGAGTGCAATGGCGTGATCTCGGCTCACCACAACCTCCGCCTCCCGGGTTCAAGTGATTCTCCTGCCTCAGCCTCCCGAGTATCTGGGATTACAGGCATGCATCACCACGCCTGGCTAATTTTTGTATTTTTAGTAGAGATGAGGTTTCACCATATTAGTCAGGCTGGTCACCAACTCCTGACCTCAGGTGATCCACCCGCCTTGGCCTCCCAAAGTGCTGGGATTACAGGTGTGAGCCACCTCGCCTGGCCTGTTATTTTTATTAAGAAAGCAATTGTTTGCAGAATGCAGGCCTGAACCAAGCCCTGGTCCCTCTCCTACCGGAGTACCTTTGCCTTTAAGATATATTTTATTATTAGAAACTCTGTTCCCAGAAGGAATAAGAAGGAAACACAGGAGGCAGAAGGTGTAACAGGGGCCAGAGGCCAGGGGCCAGGGACTTCTGCCTCTCCTGCCCCCAGCAGCAACTGGTCCCCATGGAAAGGGCCTGGTTTTGAGAGTCAGAGAACCCCTGATGGGGTGGCCACAATAACTGTGCTTTTCTGTTTTGTTTTGTTTTTTTCTTGCACTGTTGGCCAGGCTAGAGTGCAGGGGCGTGATCTTGGCTCACTGCAACCTCCGCCTCCGCCTCCGCCTCCCAGGTTCATGCCATTCTCCTGACTCAGCCTCCCGAGTAGCTGGGACTACAGGTGCCCGCCACCACACCCAGCTAATTTTTTGTATTTTTAGTAGAGATGGGATTTCACCGTTTTAGCCAGGATGGTCTCGATCTCCTGACCTCGTGATCCACCCTCCTCGGCTTCCCAAAGTGCTGGGATTACAGGCGTGAGCCACCGTGCCCGGCCAATAACTGTGCTTTTCTAGCACGGGCCCTGTGTCCAGCACTTCCCCTGCCTAACCCCTGGCAGCCTGTTTAGATTTGGAATTTTAACTCTTGGCTTTCTCTTCTTTGCTGTAATTAATTTTTCTCACTTCCAGGGAGGGTTTAAAAATTAAACTCTACTCTTTCTCTCCCCTTTCCCTTTCTGCTATAGACTGAATGTTTGTGCCCTCCCCTCCCCAAATTCATATGTTGAAGTCCTAGTGTTCTATTTGAGCCCCCAGTGGGTTGGATGAGGCCCCCCACACTGGGGGGGACGGGCATCTGCTTGACTCAGTCCACCCGATTCAAAGGCTAATCTCTTCCGGAGACACCCTCACAGACATGCCCAGAAATCTTGTTTACGCAGCTATCTGGGTGTCCCATGGCCCAGTCAAGTTGACACCCATTGACCACCATATGGAGAGACAGCCTAAGTCCCTCAGTCCCCATGGTGAGGGAGCTTCTAGGTCTCTAATGGCCCCCGCCTGGGAAGCCCTGTGCACTGAGCATGCAGGGCTGAGGCCCCCAGTCACCCTCTCTGCATGGCCACCCAGAATGCCCTAGAGGAAAACCATCTGGACTTTTGGCTCAGGAAATGCCACCCCTTGGAATTTATCAAGGGACAAGCCAATACCCCAAAGTGTGTCTATGAGGCGTAATGTAAGGGAATGATTATGAGACAGAGCAAAATTGGCTGATTCCACATAAACCACACATACCCCGGCCAGAGAAGACCCAGGTCAACTCAGCATTGGCTGGAGGCTTCCAGATCAGCACAGACCAGGCAGCAGCTGGGAGGTGACTGGAGGGGCCTGCAGCAGGGAGGCTCGCATGCTGGTAGAAGGTTCCAGCACGTCTATTAGAAGCAGGGACAGTTTCTCTTCCTCCCTTTTTTATTTATTTATTTATTTATTGAGACTGAGTCTCACTCTGTCACCCAGACTGGAGTCCAATGGTGCGATCTCGGCTCGCTGCAACCACCGCCTCCCAGATTCAAGCAATTCTCCTGCATCAGCCTCCTGAGTAGCTGGGATTACAGGTGTACACCACCATGCCTAGCTAGTTTGTGTGTGTGTGTGTGTGTGTGTGTGTGTGTGTGTGTGTGTGTGTGTGTATTTTTTAGTAGAGTCGGGGTTTCGCCATGTTGGCCAGGCTGGTCTCAAACTCCTCGCCTCATGCGATCCACCTGCCTCGGCCTCCCAAAGTGCTGGGATTACAGGCGTGAGCCACCACGACTAGCTCGCCTCCTCCCTTTAAATATCTGCAGCAATAATTGGCACCAACAGTGCTTCGGCTGAAGGAACAAGATTCTTCAGGTTCCTCATCTGCACCTTAAACCTGGAACCTGTACCATGAACCTGGGTCTTCTCAGAAGCAATGTCTGGGAAACACCCGAGAAAAAACTATTTTATAGAATTTGCTTGTCAAGATAAGTCATAGAAAAACTGAAGTTTTCATTGAGCAGTAGCATTTCTCCAGATTATTTCCCTCTTTTTTGAGTGCATAATTTGCAGCAGTGATTTGCACAGATTTTAGATTTGGCTCACGCCTGTAATCACAGAGCTTTGGGAGGCCGAGGCGGGGGGATTGCTTGAGCTCAGGAGTTCAAGACCAGCCTGGACAACATGGTGAAACCCCATCTCTACAAAAAAATTTCAAAAAAATTAGCTGGGTGTTGCTGGGCACAGTGGCTCACGCCTGTAATCCCAGCACTTTGGAAGGCTGAGGCAGGTGGATCATCTGAGGTCAGGAGTTTGAGACCAGGCTGGACAACATGGCGAAACCCCGTCTCTACTAAAAATATAAAAATTAGCCGGGCATGGTGGCACGTACCTGTAATCCCAGCTACTAGGGGGGCTGAGGCAGAAGGATCACTTGAACCTGGGAGGCAGAGGTCGCAGTGAGCTGAGATTGTGCCACTGCACTCCAGCTTGGGCAACAGAGCAAGACACCATCTCCAAAAAAAAAAAAAATTAGCTGGGTGTGGTGGTGAGTGCCTGCAGTCCCAGCTACTGAGGTGGCTGAAATGGGAGGATCACCTAAGCCCAGAGAGGTCGAGGCTGCAGGGAGTGAGATCACACCACTGTATTCCAGCCTGGGTGGAAGAGTGAGACTCTATCTCAAAGAAAAGAAAAAAAAAGAACTTAGATTTACAGTTTGAGAATTTTCACAACATACACACCCTGGCAATCAGCCCTCAGAAACAGAGATTTCCATCTCACCACAGTTTCTCATGTCCCCTCATGGGCAATCCCAGCTGCCAGAAGCTAATGACCCCTTGGACTTCTATCACCATAGATTAGGGGATTTTTCTCTTCCACGACCTCATTGTTGGAACCCAGCAATTTTTACTCTATGGTTTCTGACGTCTTTGTCTCAATGTAATGTTTCTGAAATTCATCTATGGTGTTTGTAACAGTGGTCCGTTCCTTTTTATTTCTGAACAGGATTCTATCACATGGAGAGACCACAATTTGTCTACCCATTCTTTTGGTGGTTGGCATTTGGGTTGTTTCCAGTTTACAGCTACTATAAATAAAGCTACCACAAATAACTGTAAAGGAGGAAATAAAGAGAGTGGGAGGGAAAGAGAGAAATAAATAGAGAAAGAGAAGAGGAAGAAAGAAAGGGTGGAAGAAGAAGAGGAGAGAGGAAGGAACAGACACCAAATGAACAAAACTAGGAACCCAAAAATCCATTCTGATATATATATATACACATATATATATACATATATACATATATATACACATATATATACACATATACACATATATACATATATACACACACATATATATATACATATATACATATATACACATATATATATACATATATATACATATATATACACATATATATATACCAGAATATATATATACCAGAATATATATATATACCAGAATATATATATATAAACCAGAATATATATATATATACCAGAATATATATATATATATGTGTGTGTGTGTGTGTGTGTGTGTGTGTGTGTGTGTATATATATATAAAATGTGGTGAGGAATGATGTTCACATCCCCTCAGTGAACCTCTCCACAGAAAACTTATTTATGACAATGGGCAAGCAAGTGACCTGACGATGGGGAAGCCTGGACACCCCTAAACCACATGACGGGTAACCCAAGTGGACATCACCCATAATGGGTTAAATCAAAACTGCTTCAGTTGTAACATCTCATTTTTTTGATTTTGTTTCTTTTTTTTTTTTTTGAGATGGAGTCTCGCTCTGTCACCCAGGCTGGAGTGCAGTGGCATGATCTCGGTTCACCGCAACCTCTGCCTCCTGAGTTCAAGCGATTCTTGTGCCTCAGCCTCCCAAGTAGCTGGAACTACAGGCACATGCCACCACACCTAGCTAGTTTTTGTATTTTTGGTAGAGAGGGGGTTTCTCCATGTTGGCCAAGCTGGTCTCAAACTCCTGACCTCAAGTGATCCGCCCACCTCGGCCTCTCAAAGTGCTGGGATTACAAGTGTGAACCACCACACCTGGCCAGAAATTATTAAAAAATAATAGTAATAATAAAAAAACAAAGCTCCCCGTGCCCATGAGGAAACCTTTGCCAGCTGCTGTCAGTCCTCTCTGTGTTTGCTTCTAGAGAGGGCTGGTTAGGGCTGAGTTTTATTTGGGGGAGGGGAGATGAAAAGGTGTGTGATGGGATCCCAAAGGAACAACATCCTCAGTGACAGGGAAATTTTCTTGGTGCCTGTCCCACTGCCCCAGGTGGGTGCTGAGCACACAACCCCCAGGGCACCCGTGAGCTGGAACGCTACACATCTTGTGGGGTGGGTGGTGGAGAAGCCTTGTCAACAAAGCAAGATTGAGCCCCCAGAATTTGGGGAGTGATTACAGAGCCCCTTGCACCTCCCTTTATCCTTGTAGCAACCCTGGAAAGTTAGTATTATCTTTCCCTCTTCCTCCCTCCCTCCCTTCAGCAAAAGCATAGAAGCCTCAACACTCTGTCCCCAGGGGTGGTTCCAGATGCTGAAGACACAGCAATGAATGAGACAGACAAAGCTCCCTGCCCTTGAGAAGCTGATAGTCTAAAAGGAGAGTCAGCCCTAGGATGAATACTGAAAGATACAGAATGCTAGAGCTGTCGTATGTGCTAAGGAGAAAGAACCCTGAAGCCACAAAGGAAGAATGAAAACTAGGTCTTGGCCGGGCATGGAGGCTCACGCCTGTAATCCCAGCACTTTGGGAGGCCAAGGCAGGCGGATCACCTGAGATCAGGAGTTCGAGACTGGCCTAGCTAACATGGCAAAACTCCATCTCTACTAAAAATACAAACGTTAGCCGGGCGCGGTGGCACACGCCTGTAATCCCAGCTACTCAGGAGGCTGAGGCAGGAGAACTGCTTGAACCTGGGAGGTGGAGGTGGCAGTGAGCCGACAGTGCACCACTGTACTCCAGCCTGGGCGACAAGAGTGAAACTCCGTCTCAAAAAAAAAAAAAAAAAAAAAAAGAAAAAAAAAGAAAGAAAGAAAAAAAAAAAGAAAACTATGTCCTGGACCTGGACCTGAGTGGTGGAACGGTACCTGTTTGAAGAGGTGGAAGGGTGTGTGAGGAGAGGGTTTTGCTTTCGTGTGTCCCCCAGGTTAGCCGTGTTATATTTGAAATGCCTATTAAGCATCGAAGTAGTGTTGTCTGAAGTTCAGAGAAGTCCAGGCTGGAGAGAGAATTTGAGCATCTGAAGCACATAAACAATTGTAAAGCTATAGAGGAACTTACTAAGACAGGTCCAAGGAATGGACATTTTCACAGGTAAAGGAATGGTGGGCTGACAGGCTACATCATTTGTCCCAAATCCCATGGCTGGTAAACTGCAGAGCTAGGATTCAAACCCAGGTCAGACTCGTGCCAACCTCTGTTGGCAGCTGCTGTACAGTCTTGCTGCTGTTGACCAGGGGTCTCGTGTGTGTCACTTGACCTTTCAGTGGCTGTTTCTTTTTCTTTTTTCTTTTTTTTGAGACAGAGTCTCAAAAAACAGGCTGGAGTGTACTGGCATGATCTCGGCTCACTGCAACTTCTACCTTCCGGGTTCAAGCCATTCTCCTGCCTCAGCCTCCTGAGTAGCTGGGATTACAGGCATGCGCCACCACGTCCAGTTATTTTTGTATTTTTAGTAGAGACGGGGTTTCACCATGTTGGCCAGATTGTTCTCAAACTCCTGAGCTCAGGTGATATGCCCACCTTGGCCTCCCAAAGCGCTGGGATTACAGGCGTGAGCCACCACGCCCGGCTTCAGTGGCTGTTTCTTCTTCTATTCAAGGACAGTGGCAGTGGAGGGGCAGGTGGAAAGCAAGAATGGTGCCGGGGGTAGTGGTGCTCAGGAATGTGACCAGGAAACCCGCCAGCCGCCCAGAGGGGCCACTGGGAAAGCCGGGTACGCCCCACTCTCCCTCCGGTTTCAGACACCTGCTCCCATCAGAGGAGTCCTAGCTTCCGGGCGGGGTGGGGACTGGGGCAGACGCATGTGCGGAGCACGAAAGCCAACATATCGCTTTACAATGAAAAGCAACCTGCCTCCAGCCTGGAATTCTGGGGTCAACGTGACCTGTGGGCCATCCCAGTAAGCACAGGATCAAAGCAAGTGAATCCCTGCCATCCTGTCACTGAGTGAACCTGGCACTCGAGGAAAGGGAGCGAGAGAGCATAGCAGGGTGGGTGGCACTAGGCTGGAGTGCCCCTGGACACACCAGAGCCAGACCTGCTAGAGAGACCAAAATAGACTCCATGGCCTCAGTCAGTGCCCTGGCAAGCGTGCCACTCCTAGGCCAGCTCCGGGCTAGGCTGGCACTCCTGGCCAGCCTCACGGTGCTTCCGGGGCCAGCCGGGCCCCTTCCGCTGACTCGGTCTTTCTTTAGAGCTGTTAATCCCTTTTGGTCCGGCCAGGCTGGGGAGGCCCCCCAGCCTCTGTGGCTCAGCTCTTCCACTTTGGGGTGCCTAGAGCTCTCCCAGTGTAAATGCCAAAGGCTCCTGACACACAGGACTGGGCAGGTGCCTGGCTGCCTACTTCCTGCTCTCCCTCCCCTGCCAGCTGGCAGGAGGAGCCTCCAACTGGCCTCTCCTGTGGGAGTCTCCCTAGGAAGGGCTCTCCTGGGCTGTGCTCTCAGCCCAGCCTAGCCCTGGCTTCCCTGAGTGGGGACCCCCAAAGGCCTCAAGCCCCCTGCATGGCTCCACCAAGGTCCTGAACCCCAATTCAGCTCTGCCAGGAGCCCTGGCCCACCCTGGGCCTCTCAGCTGAGGCTGGAAGAGCAGCTGGCAACGTAGGGGGATTGAGGGAGGAATGCACACAGAACTGGGGGCCTGGGAGCAGGCTGGGCTTGGGTTTGCTCATCTGTATCCCTGCCAGGCTGTGGGCCCAGCCTTGCAAGGAAATGTCCAGAACACTTGACTTGGCATCAGGCAGTGAACACATGGAAGTGTCTGCATCTTGGAAGTATGGGGGCTTCACAGGACTCAGGATTTGGCGTTCACCCTGAAGGGCACATGGAGAGCACCTCTATGCTGGGGTGGGCTCTGGAAAGCTGGGAGTGGGCAGGACATCGGCTTTGGGGGCTCTGGAGGGCTGCTCAGGCATAGCTGGACTTGGGACCTGAGACCAAGGTCGACTTAGAGGCAGATGGTATTCCCCTAGTGAGCTCGCCTCCCATAGGCATTCGGTGGTGGTGGGTGGCAAAGGCAGGCTCAGTGTTTCTGGGGTGCAAGTTGAGTATTTGGAGCCAGGCACTACGAAAATCTTGGAAAGTTTCTGATAAACCAGAAACCAAGAACACCAAAGCAATCATTTGTTAGTTGCGTCTGCAAAGACGAACGTGGCAGAGTGGATTCTGCTGCCACAGATGACGCTGCTTTTAGTGAAAGGGCAGACAGGAGAAGTGCTTGGGCTGTGCCCACCGCCCACACCCGAATCGGCCTCCAAAAGGAGGAAGCTGCTGATAGGGCAGGTGAAGGCAGTGGGAGGAGCTCTGTTTTGAAGATGAGACCCGCTTCTGCCTCCGTCAGCCATGTGCCCTCAGCGAGTCACCGTGCCTCAGTTTCCCTCTGTGGAAGGCGGTAATGAGCATCATGTCTACCAGCCAAAGTCAAGGTCGAGAATGAGGGCAAACGAGGGAGGCGCTGTGCGTCAGTGTTACTTGGACTTAGTCCAGTTCTTGTGTTGGGTGGTCGTCCACAGCCTCGATTCATCATCCTTTGTGGAGGATGATGGCCCTGGAGCCGCAGGGGAAAACTAAGGCAGGCTGCGGCTCTTCCTGGCATCTGACTGAGCTGCCTGCCCTGCCCGCCTCCTCTCTGTGGCAAGGGCAGCCTCTCTCCCCTCCCAGGGCTTTGACACTGGCTGGTCCCACTACCCGCCCATATCCTAGGCACCCCCTTTCCCCAACACGCTCCAATTCACACTCCAGGTCTGCGCTTCCTTGGGCACCTGCCGGCACCAAGTTCCAGGCATGTGCACGCCTATGCCAACCTCAACTTCTTGGAGGTCCTCCGCACCCGCTTCCTGATTTATTCTGCATTTTTCACCCGAATGCTGAAAGAGGGCTCTGGCTCAAGCCCTGACTAGTTGTCATAGAGGTCACGGAACTCCCTGTGCCTCAGTTTCCCTAGGTGTAAAGTGGCACCCACATGGCCCCCACCTCCGGGGGTCGTCCTGACGCGTGAGAGGGAGGATGCGCGGAGACCCTGGGCAGCCCCGCAGGGGCCGGGAGCGCGCTCATCGTTCTGTTGTCTGGACTACAAGATCGATGCCCAGGCAAGCTTCGCAGCTCCCCGGCTCGCAGGCGGCCCGGTCCCTCAGGATCTCCCCGCCAGCCCGGGATCCCCGAGGAGGGATCGCACGGCCAGCGCGCAGGGCACACCCGGAGTGGAGCGGAGCACGGCGCGGGGCACATAGTGGGTGCTGGGGGCGGCGGGGCCCGCGGGGGGCCAGGCCAAGGCGCGCCCGCTCTCCTCCTCCCTCGCATGCTCCGCGCAGGAACGCTCAGCCTGCCCACACGGTCTTAGGGTGCATCTGCTGCCAGTGACCCCCATTCCCACAACAAAAACGCTCGTCTGCCCGGGGCCACCTCCCTCGGAGCAACTGGGACGCGCGGCGGGAGGGGGGGGGGTCCCCTTCCCCAGGGCTGCAGTCCGAGAGGCTGGCTCTAGAGCCGTCCCTGGTAGGGGCAGGTGTGCAAAGACCCAGGGCCCGGGACAGCTGCCGCGGTCCCGCGGGGACCGGGACCGGAATGCGGTCGCGTAAGGGCCGCAGGGGACCCTAACGTGGCGCCCGCGGGGCGCGGGCGACGCCGCCTCAGCCGCGATTTAAAGGGCAGCGAGGGCGGAGGGATCCCAGCCGCCTACCGGCCGGCCGCGAATCCCTCCGCCACGAGGGGAGGCGACGGCTCGCTCTGAATCGCCCTTTGTCCCTCCGCCGTCGGGAGCGCCCGGCACAGAACTCGCTCCCCGCGCGTGCCCGCGTCCCGCACAGAGCCCCGTGGAAGCGCCGCGGCGGCTGGGCCTGGCGGGAGGCGCGCGCACACTGTGGCAGCTGCGCCGCACGGTGTCCCTCCGCCGTCGAGGCCGCGGCCTTCTTTTCGTATCCTTCCACCGTGCCCGGGCGGGGTCCAGGCGGCTCACCGGGGGCGGCGACGCGGCGGCGGTGCGGGCGGCAGGGCAGCGGGGCGATGAGGTGAGGACGCCCGGGAACCGGAGGCGGCACCGCGCGGCGCACGGACCTGGGACGCGGAGTCCTGAAGCCGGCGGACGGTTTTCGTACGGGCGGCCGTGCGCGAGGCGAGGTGAGGCCCCGGGTGGCGGGGCGCGGGGGCGGGCGCCGGGGGCGCAGCGAGCCGAGGCCGGGGGCGCGGGGGGCGCGACGGCGGCGGCGGCGGCCGGTTGGGGGCGGGGGGCTCGGACGCTGCGGGGACTCATTTTTCCCGTCAGCGGAGGGAGCGAGCGGTGCTGCGGCCCGCGCCGCCATCTTGGATTTTACTCTCCATTTTTCTCTGGAATTATTTTTGGTGATTAATTTTCTGGGGGGGACTGGGACGCGGGGCCCGGCGGCGCGGCCCCGCATCGCAGCGGCCGGGCAGCGGGGCCTGGGACGCGCCCCGAGGAGGAGCGGGGCGGCGCAGGCGGTGAGTCGGGGGAGGGGCGGGCGCCGGCGAGGGTGTGCGGGGGGCGGCCTCGGTGACGGGGCGGGCAGGGACGTGGGGGACCGCGGGCCCAGGCCGGTCGCAGGGCTCCGGGGCCAGGGCGGGTGGGGCCGGGGCCGGGCGCAAGCGGCCGGGCGCGGGGGGCGGGGCTGCGGCCGGGCCGGTGCGGGGCCGGCGCGGGGCCTGCAGTGGTGGCCGCGGCCGGAAGGGAGCGGTAGCGGCCGCCGGGCAGCGTCGGGGCCGGGCCCGCGGCCGCACGAGGGGAGCAGCCCCGCCGCTCGCGATTGGGGGACTCTGTTTTCCCTTTTCTCCAATGGGCAGCCGTGAACCGTCTCGCCCAATCTGCTCCCACTGCCGCGCTGAACTTTTTGTTTTTGTTTTGGCCCGAGCGCATTTCGGAGCCCTCCCGAGCTCGTCCTGCAGCCCACCCTCCTCCCCGACGGCGCCCCTGGCCGTGGCCCGGCGACCCCGCGGCCGCTGCGTCCCCTTTGTGCTTTATCCGCTCTCCCTGCGTCCCCTGGTGTGTGTCTGTCCTTCCACGTATTCGCGGATGATGTGCACCGTTGTCACCTCCGCCTTGGAAGGAGGAACAATGACAACTCGATGCAACTTGCTGGATTAAGATAGAAACAAGTTGGGTGCTGAGAAATTCAGTCTATTTGGGTTTATTGGACCCGGGTCTGGAACAGTAACTTAACGATTTATTAAGTGGTGGAACTTTCGGAATACTGGGGAGGTGAACATGTGTTCTTTGAAGTTAATTTTTAAGAATTTGCCAAATGAAATTTACCTGGAGTGGGGGGAGTTTTCCTTAGAATAGAGGGCAGGTGAATTAATTTGATTGATTGTGGTTCTTTGTGATGTGGACCTTTTTCGATTTAAACCAGTTTGATATAAAGTGTAGTTGAGGATGGCCATACAGGTCTGAACTTTGCTGTGTAGGATCTTTAGAGGAAGCAGTTGCCAGCTATAACTTTTTTCCTTTAGTCTTTAATATTGAGAACACGCCTATAATATTGATAATTAGTAGTAAAAAGAAGTATTTTCAAAAGAGGAGGAAACCATTTTTACCTGAAATAATTACAGATAATGTGTGCATGTTGAAATACATAAATTGCCGCTTGCTGTAAATACAGATTTATTGTGTATCTGAAGGTTTAGCAATTTGAACCAGAGGTGTGGCCCTGTCCCTCTTGGAGCGCCTTATATTCCCAGGTTAGAGTCCACAAACGCTCTAATCCCGGCTTGTGTGGGAACTCCAGCCCATTTTTCACTTTGTAATCTCTAAACATTCGACATTCTGGTCCCTCTCCCAAGCTCTGGCTCCAATAGCTTCCCATACCTGGTCCCTGTCGGCCGTGCCCTGCCCGGCATTCCTCCACCCCTTTTCTCCACCCCGTACACTCTTGTCCTTCAGAAAGGCCCCGTGAGAATGTTGCTTC
Source organism: Homo sapiens (assembly GCF_000001405.40). Taxonomy (NCBI): domain Eukaryota; kingdom Metazoa; phylum Chordata; class Mammalia; order Primates; family Hominidae; genus Homo; species Homo sapiens. The sequence goes on along the minus strand of NC_000011.10, from coordinate 68,211,677 downwards.
CTGGTGAAACCTTCACACACACAGCCGTTGGGGTGGTTACTCGTGAGTTTTTGAGTCTCTTGTTATCTCGTCCGCCCACGGGCAGGTACAGAGTAGGTGCTCATAGACCCTTAATGAATGGGTTAATTTATTAATCTCCAAGTTGTCAAGCTTAATAGTTTGTATTAGTTTTTCAAAATAAATCCACTTTAATGTTGTTTACAAACATAATTATATTTTAAAAACTGAGCTGGAGAGTGAAGGGAATATGGTAGATATTTCTTCAATAAGAGAGTAGGGTAGGGCTTGATTCTTTATCCATGATCATTTCCAAGTGCTCTCGCGCCTTTATTTTCATCTGCTTTCCCAAACACCCTGAACTGCTCATGCAGTGAACTTTTTATTCTCGCAGCAAATGCCAGGGGACAGTAGTGGGGAAGGTGGAGGTGGATGGAGGGTAGCGGACTCTGACAGGGAGAGACGCGTGTGAAGGAAGTGTCCCGGTGTCTGCGTGTCTTTCAGCAGAGAATTTAGTGGGTGGGGGATGTTGGTGATTTTTCTCTTGGGTTATTTAAAAAGGAGGTTGAATCTGATTTTCCTTTACCTGATTATCAGTTTGTGGGTTTATAGGGCCTGGGTTCGTGGCCAGGTTGTGTGATAAAGAGATTTGTGTGTGTGGCATCTAAGCAGCTCCCTGTCCACAGGAATGCCCTTCCCATGGCTTACAGAGCAAATCCTTTCAGATAAATCGCCGTGGTCCCATTATTTCGTGTTTCTGTGTACCATGTATGAGCTTTACATTGGCAAATCTCTCCATTGGCAAAATCCTTCTCCGTGGTCAGGAGTTCCCCGACTATGTCAGCCTTAGAACGCTCTGATGGTTAAGAATCTTCCTCACACTTTTGACGATAGGGACCATGTGTCCTCCCTCCGCTCCATCACCCTGTTAGCTACAATACTGCATGTTAAGTAAATGCAGGGGGTGATCCATTATGTGTCTGGATGGGGTTGATTTGGGGCTAGCCGGTCTCCGAATGAGACAGACTTGAACACCAGGCCATCTTCTAGGGCCGTATGTCAAATGATGACTGCTGTATAGAAGTGTAATTTTAGGAATAGTTGAAGGACCATGGAATAAGAATCAATTCTTATTCCATTCTCTGCTCTATCACTGTTTGTATAAGTCATTGATAGGGCCTAGACTCCGTCTACAAAACGACTCTGAGGTCACTTCCAATCCAAAATTGTATTAATGCTTCATCTTTTACACTTCACTGCCATCCTATTTTCTCCTAATAATTATTTTAATCATATTTTGACATCTCTCTAATCACCTTAGTTCATCTGCATGTTTCATGTAGTTTTACCTCCTTTTTTTGAAATGTCATTATGAGATAGTTAATCAGTTGGGTTTTAGAATTGAGAGACTAGGGTATCAGTGTCCCCCCCCCCAAAGCTTGATTGGGGGCCTGTATGACTCCTACAATGCCAGTTGCATTTCTATAAGCTGTCTTAGTTTGTCTGTTGTAATAGCACACTAAAGAAAACAGTACCGGCCGGGTACGGTGGCTCACGCCTGTAATCCCAGCACTTTGGGAGGCCGAGGCGGGTGGATCACGAGGTCAGGAATTGAGATCATCTTGGCTAACACGGTGAAACCCCGTCTCTACTAAAAATACAAAAATTAGCCTGTAGTCCCAGCTACTCCGGAGGTTGAGGCAGGAGAATGGTGTGAACCCGGGAGTTGGAGGTTGCAGTGAGCAGAGATGGCTCCACTGCACTCCAGCCTGGGCGACAGAGCAAGACTCCGTCTCTTAAAAAAAAAAAAAAAGGGGGAAAGAAAACAGTACCTAGATCCGGGGATCATTTGCTGGTGATAAACCTCTAGGTGGTACACGTGGCTCAAGCACTGGAGTAAACCCCAGACTGCAGTTTAAAGATGAAGGTTTTAGACCCACCCTTACCACTTAGTAGCACTTTGAGTTTAGGAAAGCAATTTGTTTCTGAGCTTTAGCCTCCTTGTTGTAGTGCTAATACCTGTTTCACCTGATAGGGTTGCTGAGCTAGCGAATCCCGAGTCCTGCATGTTAGGGGAACCAGTAGAAACCGAATGTGTGTGTTGTGACACCTGTGTTTCTACCTTGTGCCACCTTTATAGGAATGCCTGGTCAGCACATCTCTAATGGCACTCGGCTTGCTTCTCAGGCCTTACGCAAAAGGCCCATTCAGTGAAGGGTCATTCTGCTTCCTAGTCTGTACTTTTCTACCCTGTTAACTTTTTTTCCCCTTATGCATCTGTTTGGTTTTCTTCCCTGACTCAACGACTGATTTTCCTGAAAGTAGAAGCTCTCATACGCCCTCTAGTGTTCCCTGGACATGACCAGTATTCCAGCACCACGAACAGTGCCTGGCAGCTCTGGGAGGTTCTTCATAAGTTTGTTGAACTGAGTGGATTCTAGGTCGGCCCGATGAATTGTTTTGCCTGTCTGATTTGTATAACACGGTTGAAATGTATGATACATTTTAATGGTCTCTGAGGAGTATTTTTATTTTCGAGGCAATGTTTATGTTGCATCATATGGAGAAATAGATATTTTTAGTAAGAAAACCAATCTGATTTTAGGAAGCTGCAGCTTTCCTCACTGAGAAGTAAAAGGGGGCTTGATCCTTCAGCCAGTGAGCCAGTGGCACCATAGGAAACCCCCCTTCACTTTCCCCCTTGGAAAGGAAACAAAACCAGACGTCATTCAGGGTCCTGGAGGGTTTAAAGCAAATATTTGTTTGGTGCATATAAATAAGTACCAGGAGGGCTTTTGACCCAAAAAAGGTATTTTTTGTTTGTTTGTTTTTGAGACAGGGTCTTGTAGCCTCCCAGGCTGGAGAGCAGTGGCATAATCCCAGTTCACTGCAGCCTTAGTCTCCTGGGCCCAAGCAATCATCTCGCCTTGGCCTCCCAAAGTGCTGGGATTATAGGATGAGCTGCCATGTCTGGTCTTGTTTTTATATTTACAATTTTGATTTATATTTCCCTGATCATCCCATCTCAAGTCCATTCTTACATTAGTCTCTCTCCTAACATCCTGTTTGTTTTTCTTACAGCTCGCATCAGATTGATAACCACATACTTACTTACATCTCTTCCCATAGTATGCTCTGACCTCTATGCAGTCAGGAACGATGTCTATTTTGCTCTAGAGTTTTACTCTTCAAATATGGGGCACAGTGGTTTTTTTGTTTGTTTGTTTGGAGACAGAGTCTCACTCTGTTGCCCAGGCTGGAGTGCAGTGGCGCGATCTTGGCTCATTGCAACCTCCACCTCCCAGGTCCCGGTTCATGCAATTCTCCTGCCTCAGCCTCCCGAGTAGCTGGGATTACAGCCACATGCCACCACGCCTAGCTAACTTTTGTATTTTTAGTAGAGACGGGGTTTCACCATGTTGGCCAGGCTGGTCTTGAACTCCTGACCTCGTGACCCTCCCGCCTCGGCCTCCTAAAGTGCTGGGATTACAGGCGTGAGCCACCGTGCCTGGCTTGGGCGAAGTGTGTTTAAAAATTTGTTTGGGGCCAGGCGTGATGGCTCACGCCTGTAACCTCAGCACTTTGGGAGGCCGAGACAGGTGAATCACGTGGTCAGGAGTTCAAGACCATCCTGGCCAACATGGTGAAACGCTGTCTCTACTGAAAATACAAAAATTAGCTGGGCGTGGTGGTGGGCACCTGTAATTCCTGCTACTCGGGAGGCTGAGACAGAGAATTCCTTGAACCTGGGAGGCAGAGGTTGCAGTGAGCAGAGATCGTGCCACTGCACTCCAGCCTGGGCAATAGAGCGAGACAGCGTCTAAAAAAATAAAAAATTTGTTTGGGTCATTATTCTGTGTTGTTTTTTGGTTTGTTTTTTTTTTTTTTTTGAGATGGAGTCTCACTCTGTTGCCCAAGCTGGAGTGCAGTGGCACGATCTTGGTTCACCACAACCTCTGCCTCCTGGGTTCAAGCGATTCTCCTGCCTCAGCCTCCCGAGTAGCTGGGACTACGGGCAGGTGCCACCATGCCTGGCTAATTTTTGTATTTTTAGTAGAAATGGATTTTCACTATGTTCGCCAGGCTGGTCTCGAATTCTTGACCTCGTGATCCGCCCACCTCGGCCTCCCAAAGTGCTGGGATTACAGGCGTGAGCCACCGTGCCTGGCCTGTGTTGCTTTTTTGTGTGATATTAACAGTACACAGTCTCTCAGCCTGGACTTCACTTCAGTTTTTTTTCTAATTCTCTGAGTTTTGTTCTCATTTGTAAAATGGGGATGATAGTATTGAGTGTGTGTTAAAGGGCAGTGATGTTTGTATCTTCTTTTATAGGGTGTGAAAATAATCTGTTTGACCAGGTACACCACAAACTAAACTGTGTTGTAAGAAGCTCTGTAGTCCAGTCTGTGGTCCCTCTGAATGTTTAGGATGGGAGATGTAGCTTGGCATGATTTTTTTTTTTTTTTTGAAACGGAGTCTCGCTCTGTCGCCGAGGCTGGAGTGCAGTGGCGCAATCTTGGCTCACTGCAAGCTCCGCCTCCCAGGTTCACACCATTCTCCTGCCTCAGCCGCCACCATGCCCGGCTAATTTTTTGTATTTTTAGTGGAGACGGGGTTTCACCGTGTTAGCCAGGATGGTCTCGATCTCCTGACCTCGTGATCCGCCCGCCTCAGCCTCCCAAAGTGCTGGGATTACAGACGTGAGCCACTGTGCCCTGCTGCTTGGCATGATTTTTAATCATGCGTGTTGCAGCCAGAAGTTACATTCCTTCTCTTTGGGAACTGTAGGGAAAGCAGAACTGGTGCTCAGCCTTGTGTCATAATTATTCTTTTGCACATTTGTTCTTTTTTAAATGGGTGAGGTGATGAGATTTTTTTTTTCATGTGTGAGTTATGGTGGGGAATAGAAGGGAAATTTCTACTTGATTAAAGTTTTGTGAAGAATGTTTCTGGCCTGCTTTACTTTTGCCTTAGTTACTTGGAAGGGGAGACCTTAATTTGTTAGCAGTTTGTGCTCATTTAAAATATCTTGTGCCAAACCTAGGGAGGCCTTCTTTTCATTGTACTGGTGGGGCATCGGTGAAGTTAAATAACTCGTCTGCTCACACTGCTGGGGTAAGGATGAAGCTAGGGTGGGACAGGTGCTTTGACTGCAGAGCCACATCCTTAATCCCTGTGCGGGCTGCCTCTGCAAAGCCCACCAGCTGGCAAACTCAAAGTGGCCTCTAACGTCCAGCCCAAGAACCACCTTTTGGAAGCTTTTCCTCACACTTGTCCTTGCCCAGTAAAAATCTTTGATGTACTTCTTGTAACTTCTGACAGAAACTGTGGGCTGTAAAGGCTGTACTTACAGTCATTTGACACTAGGTGGCATCTGTTTCTAGAACCGTGAATGGCTGTTTGAGTCCTAGAGAAAACAGTAACAAAGAAAGCATCCTTGATTTTATTTCTAGGCACTGCTAGGTAAGCAGATGGATCAAATGTGGAGAGATGGGGGAAGCAGGCATTTTTTGTTTTCTTCTGGAAGTTTTTTTGAGGACTTTCCCTCAACAACCCCATCAGTGAAAACCTTTGTTTTAAAATAACTACTGAGATGAAGACATGAAGTCTTTCTTACATGACATCCCTCGTCGTAAATACGTATTGAATGTGATATTTAAGAATGAAGCAGTATTTTCTGTGATAAGGCAATTAGGAGTTTCTTACATGTCTGGCTGTAGATCAGTAGCCAAATAAGTAAGTCTAAGAATTGCGAACGTCTGGCCGGGCGCGGTGGCTCACGCCTGTAATCCCAGCACTTTGGGAGGCCGAGGTGGGTGGATCTCGAGGTCAGGAGATTGAGACCATCCTGCCTAACACGGTGAAACCCTGTCTGTACTAAAAATACAAAAAGTTAGCTAATTGTGGTGGCGGGTGTCTGTAGTCCCAGGTACTCAGGAGGCTGAGGCAGGAGAATGGCTTGAACCCGGGAGGTGGAGCTTGCAGTGAGCTGAGATCATGCCACTGCACTCCAGCCTGGTGGACAGAGTGAGACTCCGTCTGAAAAAAAAAAAAAAAGAATTGCGAATGTCTGATCATAAACTTACCAGTAGTGGATAGTTTGCTCCTTAAAATGTTTTGCTCAATGAGAAATTCTAATAGTTTCAGTTTTTATTGTAAGTTTTAATATAAATAGAAAAATGTTCAATTACAATGCTATTCAGGAAGATCATGGTTATCTGGCCTAGCAAGTGTGTGAGTAATCAGAGGTGTAATTAAGAGGCTGGCTCTATTTTCAAAATCTATATAACTCAGTAGCTGCATTTTATACCTTCAGTTGAAGGATAGTGTATGATTTAAACTTTTTATTTATTTATGTTTTTAAAGGTGAGGTCTCACTCTGTCACCCAGGCTGGAGTGCAGTGGCATGATCATAGCTCACTGCAGCCTCTACCTCCTGGACTCCCATGATCCTTCAGCCTCAGCCTCCTGAGTAGCAGGGACTGAAGTTGCGCAGCAGCACAACTGGCTACTTGTTTTTTTTGTTTTTTTTTTTGGTAGAGATGAGGGTCTCACTTTGTTGCCCAGTCTTTTAAAACTTGTTTTAAATACACTGTTTTAAAAGTTGTTTAAAATCTTTTTTCCTGTGACATGTTGGAATTTTATGTATTTTTGGAGTGTGGTAACTGTAAAGCGTTTCTACTTTGGTTTAGTTTTTCATAATCTCTGTTATGTGGTCACTGTAACAAATTCCATAAACTTAGCGGCTTAAAACAACAGAAATGGGCTGGGCACGGTGGCTCACACCTGTAATCCCAGCACTTTGGGAGGCCAAGGTGGGCGGATCACTTGAGGTCAAGAGTTCGAGACCATCCTGGCCAACATGGCGAAACCCCATCTCTACTAAAAATACAAAAATTAGCCTGGCGTGGCAGCAGGTGCCTATAATCCCAGCTACTCAGGAGGCTGAGGCAGGAGAAATTGCTGGAATCTGGGAGGTGGAGGTTACAGTGAGCTGAGATCGCACCACTGCCTCCAGCCTAGGCAACATGTGAGACTCTGTGTCAAAAAAAAAAAAAAAAAAAAAAAACCGGAAATTTATTCTCTCACGGTTTTCGAGGCCAGAAGTTCAACATCAGTTTCACTGGGCCAAAGTCAAGGCGTTGGCAGGGCTGTGGAGGGAAGCTGCTCTTTGCTTCTTCCAGCCTCTGGTGGGCTGCAGCATTCCCTCACCTGTGGCCACATCACTCCAGTCTGCTTCACCTTCTGTACTTTGTGAGGTGTCAAATCTCCCTCTGCCTCTTATAAAGTCATTTGAGTGGCATTTAAGGCTTACCCAGATAATCTAGGATAATCTCTTTTATCTCAAAATTTTTTATAACATCTTCAAAGACCATTTTCCTTATAAGGTAGCATTCACAGGCTCCAGAGATTAGGAGCCGATGTCTTTGGGGGCCGTTTTCCACCATACTACAGTCTGCTTTAGAGCTGTTAGCTCAACAAGTTTAGTCTTTTTCAAAACTTAGTGATGGTGTCTGTGGCCATCGTTTTATTCTGAAAGGGCAGTGGGTGAAGCATTCTACCTTGGTGGTAGGTAAACTGCTCAGCTTCAGACGCTATTCTCTTGGTGGCCTGAGTGAGGGCATTACCACCTGAGGGTACTTGGGAAAGCTGTTGAATTGGGTGAAGCAAAATGCATCCAAGCTTGACCCTATGAAAGCTAGAGAAGGAAAGTAGGAATGATAATATCATGGACATTTGTAATTATTTTAGGAGTATAGAGACGTATTCTTTGCTATGGAGTTGATGGTTCTAGATACCTGATTACCATTTGAATTAGCGTGACAGCTCTAATTTTAAAGTAAAGGCTCTGCCTTAGGTAGAAGCATAATTGTGAATTCAGGGAAATGAAAACCCTGAGGCCTTTCTCTTTTCATAATACTAACACCCCGTTGAACTACTCTGACAAGTCACCTAGCTTCTCAGGTGAGACAACAATGTTTATAGGAGCAAGTTTTAAGGTTACAGGTATGAACGTGAATTCGTGGTAGTTTTCTAACAAATTAGCAACTGAGAAATTGCCCTGTCAAGCAGTGTTAATGGTGTTATGATGGAATATTGGTCACAAATGCTTCTGATAGCTTTGCAGGGCTTCTTTTATTGGCCTCATCGCTGGGATTGATACCATAGGATTCCGTGGAGCCTTAGTTATTGCAATATTGATTGCAGACGGCTTTGGAATAGCCATTGATAAAGACCGATTTGGAATTCTTTGATGTCAAGTCCTTTTGTGATTTCACATTTAGGAGAAAACTAAAAACCGATTCTGCTTATGTGTAGCAGTTGGTTTGAGAATAGAAAGGGAAGGTGATATGAATGGACCTATGTCTGGTCTTGTGCTGGATTCTAATGATATGAAAGTGTATGGGGCCGGGTGCGGTGCCTCACGCCTGTAATCCCAGCACTTTGGGAGGCCGAGGCAGGCAGATCACGAGGTCAGGAGTTCGAGACCAGCCTGACCAACATGGTGAAACCTCGTCTCTCCTAAAAATACAAAAATTAGCTGGGTGTGATGGCACACACCTGTAATCCCAGCTACTCAGGAGGCTGAGGCAGGAGAATCCCTGGAACCCAGGAGGCGGAGGTTGCAGTGAGCTGAGATCGTGCCACTGCACTACAGCCTGGGTGACAGAGCAAGACTCCATCTAAAAAGAAAAAGTTTAGCATAGAATTACCATATGACCCGGCAATTCTACTTCTGGGTATATCGTCAAAAGAATTAAAGCGGGTACTCAAACAGGTATTTTGTACACCCACGTTCACAGCAGGATTATTCGGCCAAAACATGGAAATAAAGCCAGGTGCAGTGGCTTACGCCTGTAATCCCAGTACTTTGGGAGGCCGAGGTGGGCAAATCACGAGGTCAAGAGTTCAAGACCAGCCCAACCAACATGGTGAAACCCCGTGTCTACTAAAAATACAAAAATTAGCCGGGCATAGTGGTGCGCGCCTGTAATCCCAGCTACTCAGGAGGCTGAGGCAGGAGAATCGCTTGAACCCGGGAGGCAGGGGTTGCAGTGAGCTGAGATTGAGCCACTGCACTCCAGCCTGGGCAACAGAGTGAGAGTTTGTCTCAAAAAAAAAAAAAAAAAAAAGTGTGTCTTAGCTAGTAGGGAAGGCAGGTGTTACCAGATAATTACACAGAGTAGTGAGTATGGTTGTAATAAGCACCATGCTGAGAAACGTTAAGGGTTAAAATGTATAACAAGGAAATCTATATAGCTGGAGAAGTGGGGTTGGGCAGGGACTGAGGAGCAGTGTGGCGGCACCCCAAGTGCAAAGGCCCTGTGGTGGGAAGCTGCCAAGCTGTTTCCCTTTCCTTTGTGTAAGTATCTTTAATATTTTGTTACAAAAGTCACAGATGTTTATTTTGAAAAGTTGAACATGTAGCAGGTAAATATTGCTTGTGATGTCATTCTCCATTGTAATCTCACTCACTGTTAACCAGTGGTGTACTGGATTGTTTTCTTACCAAATTATAACTAAATCACTTGAAAAATGTTTTCTTTGCCTTTCTAAATAAAGATTTATGAAAGTCCTCTAACAGGCTAGAACCTGCTTTTTATTATTTCTTTGAGACAGAGTCTTGCTCTATCACCTAGGCTAGAGTGCAGTGGTGCAATCTCCTGGACTCAAGCCATCCTCCCACCTCAGCCTCCTGAGTACCTGGGACTACAAGCACGCACCACCACACCCGACTAATTTTTTTTTTTTTTTTTTTTTGGTAGAGACTGGGGTCTGACCATGTTGCCCAGGCTGGTCTTGAACTCCTGGGCTCAAGGAATCCACCTGCTTCGGCCTCCCTAAGTGTTGGGATTACAGGCGTGAGCCACCACACCCAGCCAGAACCTACTTTTTAAAAATGTGTATTGACTTTTCTTTTTCAACCACTTGGGGATTGTTTCCCTGCCACTGGATAATTTCTCTAAGATAAACTGTTTGCAGACAAGTTCAGCATGTCAACTGGCTAGAGGGTTCTCGGTAATGTCACAGGAATTACGTTAACATTCTTTCTAGTCATTCAGAATCAGTGTTTTAACTTTTTTGACAGATTTTTTTTTTAATCTTAGTTTGTTTTTAGGATATTAAGCAAAAAATGCCTGTGTTTAAGTAAAAATGGATTGGAATCAGAGTTCTCAAATTGGACACAATTTCTCAAAAGTCACTCAACAATTTATAATCTCATAAAGAGCCTGGAAAGAGAAGGGCATTGACATTTGTTGAGGGGCCATCACTGGCATAGAACAGGCATGGTTATGTGAACGTAGCCCATTTTCTATGAATCAATGCTGCTTTCTTTTGAAATGTGTTAAAGTATTAAGGTTTTCAGTTTTTTTCTGATTATAAGTAAATAGGTTCACTGTAAACGTTTGGGGAAAAAATACTTTTGAAAGTTATCCTTCCCCCCAGCAACGGTAGCACTGGTGATTTGGAATGCATTGTGGTGGTGCTGGTGGTGGTGGGTGTCGCGCTTCTCACCTTAGTGGCATCGTGTTATGATTAGGAGTTTCCGCTTTAAATACAACTGGAAATCATTCTTGAAATCTTTTCCCCTTTAAATACATTTCTTATTTTAGCAGTTTTCCAGTATGTTTTATCTTGATCATAAATTGTCCCCTCACCCCCCACCTCCTTATTTATGTTTGGTACCAGAATCTGTAGTAAGTGCTTCTTTTCCCATGTGTTGATCCAGTGAAACCACATAAGGTGACTCTTCCTGTTGATTTCAGTGCTGGGTAAATCCCTTGGGGAAGTGATGCTGCCCATCTTGGAGCAGAATCCCAATTCCATTTTCTCAGAGCCTGATTGCATCATTTCTGTGAATACTCACGAAAGTAGAAGGCACAAAGCCTTGCACAGTAGTCCTCAGGAATTCCACTTCGTTTTCCTACTCAGATCATCTGTATTACTCCCATCCAGAGATTTAACCAATCTATTAGTTTAAAAAAATTTTTTTAACACAGATCCTATAAGCGCTCTGAAGGCTTGCCTTCTCAAATTAACTAACCTATTCCCATCACCTCCCACTCCATAATTTTAACTTACATTTGTCTTTTCTGGCCTGCGAGTCAGTCTCTCTCTCTCTCGTTCCTGATATTGCCCTCTGCCATCTGTTTCTTAAAGCAAAGCCCCGTCTTCCTCACAAGTGCGTGTTTTAAGACATTGTGTCCATTTAGAAGTTCTCTGTTGTTTCTGAGCAAGGCTCACAGATCAGCAATAGCCCATCCTTTCCACGAGTTTAGACTCATAAAATAAAAGTATTTGCTTACTGGGCACCTATAGTCCTTGCCTGAGTTGGTAACTCCCTCCACAGAGTGGTCCCTGTCATGCCTGGCTCTGCTTCTCACTTGTTGCTCCTTTTGTGATCCTGTGCTGCTTCTCCTCCTCTTGACCTATACATGTTAAAGTGCCCCCGACACCCAGTCCTTGGACTTCATTGATCTGCACTGAGTCCTAGATTTCATCTGATTCCATGGCTTGAAATGCCATTAATACTTTGATTTTATTTGAAGATAAAAATACCAGATTTTTATCTTCAGCTTGGAGCTGGACTCCAGACCCTGGTATCCAGCTGCCAACTCCAGTTGGATCTGTAGTGGGCATCTCAAAAGTGACTAAAACCAAAAAAGACCCCCAAAAAGGAAGAAAAAATGACCAAAACCAAATTCCCACACCGCAGTCCTTGCGGAAGCCAATCTTCCTATAGTCTTTGTCACATCCCTAAATATTAATTCCATTCTTCATTTGCAGGTATTTTTGAGTCCTCTTTCTCCTACACCTGCATTCAATCTGTCAGCAGTTCCCGACTATCAGCGGAACCTTCAGAAAAGATCTCGAAGCCAACCACTTCTTGCCACCTCTGCTGCTGCAGCCACTAGTTCTCCTCTGGCTAGCAGTAGTCAGTTAGTAAATAGACTACTACTACTAATAACGTCTCCCTGCATTCTCTTGTCCTAGAAATTATTAGTAGCTTCATTAGAACTGCTTTTTTAAAGTACCATGTAGCAAGCTGCCAGCATGGTCCTTTAAAACTGTGGGTTGGATCGTGTCACTCCTCTGCTTTCCCTCTCACTGGGAGTAAAGGCCCAAGTCTCAGCAGTGGCTTTGAAGCCCTTCTTCCCTGTGGCAGCCTCTCTGACCTCATCCTCCCACTCTTCCTCCATATTTGCCCCAGCCACGCCAGCCTCTGGGCCTTGTGTTTGCCCTTCCCTTTGTCTACTGCATGCTTCTTGCCTGATGCCTGGCTGTCCCTTCACATCCCTTGCTGTCTTAGAAAACAGCCACTATCACCCTCCTTCTCCACCTGAAACACTCCCTGCCACCATAAATGGCTTATTCCCCCCAAAAGGTGCCGACATTCATTCGTTAATTTATTATTTCCTAGTGCTTTTTTCCATTAGAATATAAGCACAGATGAGGGCAGAAGCCTTATTTTGTTCCATGCTGTATTCTCAGTGCCTGCAACAGTGTCTGGAATATAGTGGATGTCTAATTTTCCTGACATTTTTATATTGGGAAATCAGAACAGGATTTGTAACTAAAAAAAAAACAACGCAATTACTTTATTACTTTTGCACCAAGCTAATACACCATTTAAGAAGTGGTCAGTAATGGCCGGGCGTGGTGGCTCACGCCTGTAATCCCAGCACTATGGGAGGCCAAGGCGGGCAGATCACAAGGTCAGGAGATTGAGACCAGCCTGGCTAACACGGTGAAACCCCATCTTTACTAGAAATACAAAAAATCAGCCGGGTGTGATGGCGTGCATCTGCAGTTCCAGCTACTCAGGAGGTTGAGGCAGGAGAATGGCTTGAACCCGGGAAGCGGAGGTTGCAGTGAGCCAAGATCGTGCCACTGCACTCCAGCCTGGGCAACAGAGCGAGACTCCGTCTCAAAAAAAAAAGAAGCAGTCAGTACTTTCTTGAAATGTTTTTCCTAACAATTTGGGACAAAATTGAGGCAATTTTTACTTCTAAATGTAGTCAGTGGCTAATTAGCTCAGAGTGTGTCAGCCAAACCGTGACCATGGGGACATTTCCACGTGAGCCAGCTATGTCCCATGGGAGTCTGCACCCTTGTGTGTTTGTTGGGAGGGGGCACCTCTGTGGTAGCTATGAAGCATTTAGGCTTTGCTAGCCGCCCTGTCTTGTCTTGTCTTGTCTTGTCTTGTCTTGTCTTGTCTTGTCTTGTCTTGTCTTGTCTTTTTTCCTTTCCTTTCCTTCATCTTCTTTCCTCTTCTTTTCTCTTCTTTTCTTTTCACAGTCTTGCTGTGTCGCCCAGGCTGGATGGAGTGCAGTGGCACAATCTTGGCTCAGTGCAACCTCTGCCTCCTGGGTTGAAGCTATTCTCCTGCCTCAGCCTCCCAAGTAGCTGGGATTACAGGCATGTGACACCACGCCTGGCTAATTTTTGTATTTTTAGCAGGGATGGGGTTTCACCTTGTTGTCCAGGCTGGTCTCGAACTCCTGACCTCAGGTGATCTGCCCGCCTTGGCCTCCCAAAGTGCTGGGATGTTTTCAACCCCTATTTGTCTATACTCTACTACAGTATCGACTTGTGTTAGCTTTTTAAAATCCCATCGCTACCTTTAATGTGTAAACGTGTGGTCTTAGAGGAAAGATCATGCCAGCAAGAACAGATTCCACACTTAGGAGGGCAGAACAAATGATGACCTGATCATTAGTACAATATATATTCATTTTGAGCTGAAAATTTTTTTAAATAGCCCCCAAATTATTGATAGCTTCATTAGAATTGTTTTTACAAATGTTTCATTTATCAGTTTAAGAAAGATCTTTTGATAGCTTTTATCATATGGACCTGTGGAGAATCTCTCTCTGCTAGGCTACATCCAGACATGTGCAGTGCATTCATACTAGTGAAATTTAGCCATGTTCTGTGATTGACAGAAGTACCTGTTAGATTAAATTACCTTGAGTTCAAATAATATCAGTTGATCACAATATAAATGAGATCTGAGGGCACAGATTTTTTCCAGTTTGGATCATTAACCCACATTTAATTTAAATTATGTGCACATTAGAGTGGATCTCAGTCTGTGTTCCATGAATTGAACCAAAGTTTGCTATTACTAAAGTGATTTGTTGGTGAATTTTCCTAATTCTCAGAAAAATGTTTGGTTGATATTATAATTTCCTTAATTTTTTATTCCATAATTTTTCTTAAAATTTTGTATCTATTCTTTGCCCTAACATGATAAAATGAATAAGTAAATTAGAGCGATTGCTCTTACACTGGAGCTTGCATCACCTGGAGGTCTTACTACAACACAGATTGCTGGGCCTCATCCCCAAATTTTCTGCTTTCTCTCAAGTAGACATCTTGGTTGGGACTTAAAGACTTTCCATGGCCGGGCGTGGTGGCTCACGCCTGTAATTCCAGCACTTTGGGAGGCCGAGACAGGCAGATCATGAGGTCAGGAGATCGAGACTATCCTGGCCAACATGGTGAAACCCCGTGTCTACTAAAATAGCAAAAAAAAATTAGCCAGGTGTGGTGGTGCGCACCTGTAGTCCTAGCTACTCGGGAGGCTGAGTCAGGAGAATCGCTTGAACCCAGGAAGCAGAGGTTGTAGTGAGCCGAGTTTGGGCCACTGCACTCTAACTTGGGGACAGTGCGAGACTCCGTCTCAAAAAAAGAAAAAAAAAAAGACTCTCCATGGATAACCTTTCTATTCCATATATTTTATTTCTATTTCATATAATTATGCTTTATGTCTTATTTTTGAGGTATATTAGGACTCCTGAGAAGCCTAAAAGTACATTGTTCCATGATTATCCATAAGTTGTGTGTTAAACACAGGCATTCTACAGATGATTTCCTAAAGGACCAAAAGCACTTTTCCTGGTCCTGGTTCTTTTTCTCTGGAGGGTCAAGGACTAGGGAGTAAACCAGAAAGTATAATGGCAAGCAGTAGGGAAGTTAGTGGTGGTAGCAGCTGTGATTCCTGCCTTGTTTCTGTCTGTGCAGGAGCTTCTCTCACCCCCTTACACACCATGGACATTTTGAGAAAGGAGAGGATTTGAAGAGGTCAGGAAGTATCTTTAATTTACAGTTTTTTTTAATGCAGAAATATAGTTTCTATGATGCAGTTTAGAATACAACCTATTTATTTCATCAGTTGAGTGCCTCTAGGATGTACTGTGTGCTATACTAGATACACAAGGGCCAGAGATAAGAAAAATAGATTCTCAACCTTAGGAACTCTCAATTAAGGAAGCAGACACTTAAACAATATAGTCACATAAGGGCTTTCACTTAAGTTTTATAGCATAAGTATATAACTAGATTTGGCAGTGAATGTCAAGGAACACTTCCTAGAGGATGTGAACACTGAACTGGGACTTAAGGAATTAGGCAAAGAGATGGTGTTATAACATTCCAGGCAGACAGAGGAGAAAGGCATGGTGCATTGCCCTTCCCCACACCCCCAGGAAAAAAATGCATTTTATTTTATTTTATTTTAGACAGGGTCTTGCTCTGTCACTCAGGCTGGAGTCCAGTGGTGCAGTCTTGGCTCACTTCACCCTCCATCTCCTGGGCTCAAGTGATCCTCCTGCTTCAGCCTCCTGAGTAGCTGGGATTACAGGCGCATACCACCACACCTAGCTAATTTTTGTATTTTTGGTAGAGACGGGGTTTCACCATGTTGGCGAGGCTGGTCTCAAACTCCTGGATTCAAGTGATCTGCCCACCTGGGCCTCCCAAAGTGTTGGGATTACAGGCATGAGCCACCACACCTGGCCAAAAATTCATTTTATTTAATGACCAAGTATACACACATTTACACATATATAACTAAAACAAAACTTACTATGTGGGATGCATTGTGAAATATTCTGCTCTGTGTTCTTTCATTTAAAAAAAATTACTGGTCACAACATAGTAAAAAAAATGTTGCAAACCATTAATATGTTACAACCCATAATTGCCCTAGAGCACTATGAATGCTGAGCTATAATTTTAGGGAAAGTTACAGTCTTGCTCCTTAGAATTAGCCCATGGTAGTATTCTGTGTATTCAGAGGAAAATAACATAATCTTGTTACCATGTATGTGCCCTGGACATGGTAGGTGCTTTCTGTGTGCTTAAATCACCTACCTTCCCAGGCCCTGGAGATAAGAGTGTGACTTGCAACTATGTAACAGGACCCTGGATCTATCTGTGTTGTACCTTTTATAGAAACAACTTTTTTAGGTACATTATTTCATGTGATCCTCACAACAGCCCTGTGAGGTGGATGGGGAAAATATGATCAGCTTCACTTTCTGGATAATGGAAGTTAAGGTTCAGAGAGGTTAAGTGACTTTGTTGGTTACCAACTGCCTAGTAAGAGACAGAGGTGGGATAGGAGAGGGCTATTTTCTGTAAACCACATAGCTTCTGAGAGTATAATCTAACTTGAAATATAAAATACATTTATATAAATTTACCACTTCATCATTTTCTTTTTTTTCACTCTGTCACCCAGGCTGCAGTGTAATGGCATGGTCATGGCTCACTGTGTCCGCAATTTCCTGGGCTGCAGCCATCCTCCCACTTCAGCCTCCTGAGTGTAACTACAGGTGCATACCACCATCCTTGGCTAATTTTTTAATTTTTATTTTTAGTAGCAATGAGGTCTTGCCGTGTTGCCCAGGCTGGTCTCGAACTCCTGGCCTCAAGCAGTCCTCTTGCCTTGGTCTCCCAGAGGGCTAGGATTATAGGCATAAGCCACCACCTGGCCCATTTGCTTGTTGTTAATGCAGCTTTTTATAGGATACAACAAAAAACCTAATTCTAAATTTATCATGCCAAGTTTATGCATCTGTACCAATGAAAGCTTATAGCCACAGAACATCTGTTTTTCAGAAAGTGCTGTTTCTTTGGCTCTTGTCTTAAAGGAACATAAGTAATATGAAAGACCCTAGGGGTCAAGGAAATTGAAGAAAACTGAGGAAGGGATATAAAATGGAATGTAGTCACGGATTTTAGTCCCTTTAAGCTTTTACTTTTGTGAGATGGCTCAATGATGGAGAGCTTTAATGCAGATGAACCTTGAAGCTTTTAAAGATCTAAGTCTTGACGAGGTTATTGAAATTCAAATCTTCAATGCATTGTGATAGTAGGCTATAATTTTTGAACACTTGGCCGGGCACAATGGCTCATGCCTGTAATCGTAGCACTTTGGGAGGCCGAGGTGGGAGGATCGCTTGTGGCCAGGAGTTCAAGACTAGCCTGGCCAACATGGTGAAACTCTGTCTCTACTAAAAAATACAAAAATTAGGCGGGCATGGTGGTGCACACCTGTAATTCCAGCTACTTAGGAGGCTGAGGCATGAGAATAGCTTGAACCTGGGAGGTGGAGGTTGCAGTGAGCCAAGATCGTGGACACTGCACTCCAGCCTGGGTGAGGGAGCGATACTCTGTCTCAAAAAAAAAAAAAAAAAAACTTGGTACTTGATGCTCTCCCGAAGTGCTAGGATTTGAATGCCACAATTCATATTGTTTTATGTTTTTATCTATTACTGTTCCATGGGTTTCTTTAAATGAAGTCCATTTTAGAGTCCATAGGCAAAACTGCTGGGGATCCAAGATCCAAGGCTCCCAATGGACCACCCATTGCTCTTTTTCTCAAGCTTTCTTTGTACTTTATACCTCAAAAGTACACTGCTCTTACTGAGTGTGGTGGCTCATGCTGGTAATCCTAACACTTTGGGAGGCTGAGGTGGAGGATTGCTTGAGCCTAGGACTTTGAGGCCACAGTGAGCCATCATCACACCACTGCACTCCAACCTGGGTGACAGAGCAAGACCCTGTCTCTTAAAAAAAAAAAAAAAAGTATACTGCTGTTCAATTCTATGCCTTTTCTCCTAAGTGTAAGATATATGATCATTAATGAGAGGTTTTAATGTTAAATTTGGTAAAATTTAATAATTGAAAAATCCTTAGCTTATAACTGATGTAGAATAGATAGAAGACTGTTTAGTGAAACCTATGAGAAAAATCAAAAGGCACGTTAAAAGTTAAATACTATAATCGAATTTAAATAGTAAGGGAACCAGAAAAAAAATTCATGTTAGAAAACAATTGT
This sequence comes from Homo sapiens, assembly GCF_000001405.40. Lineage (NCBI taxonomy): Eukaryota > Metazoa > Chordata > Mammalia > Primates > Hominidae > Homo > Homo sapiens. Next base: position 68,193,547 of record NC_000011.10, on the reverse strand, counting down.
AAAGTTGTCTTTAGCATTGATCAGATTTTTTTTTTTTGCCATTCCCCTAAGCATACTGCTCACATGCACATCTTACCCTCCAGTGAACTCACACAGATACTCCTGTAACATGAAAGAGACCTGAGATCAAGTAAAAATTCATGTTTTGTGTTTGTGTTGAGTATCATTAAAGGTATGTCCAGGCATGTATTTTTGTGAATACTTCGAAGTAATTTATCATTTGTACTTTTCTATGTGTTTGTGGAAAGGAAATTGACCTGCGTCTGGTGTAGTTGAGAATTTGTTGGGCAGCAGTGCTGGGTTCTACTCGTGAGACTGCTGCAGGTGGATCATGTGGTTTTAGGCATGTGGCCTCAGTTTCATTTGCAAATTGAAGGAGTTGCACTGATGATCTTAAGGCATCTTTGGCTCTGAAGTTCTGTATTTTTGCCCTTTATCGTAGGGCCTTTTTAGTCTGACTTGTACTAATGCATAATTCGATAATGAGGTGGTATCATGGACATCCTTTTTCTCATTCCATTAGTAGTGAGTGTGATGTATAATATCCTCATTTCCAAAGGTCATTATAAATTACAAGCATCCCCCACTATTCAGATCAATCGGTTCCCAAATTCAGATAGTAAGAGATACATTTACATTACCGAATACAGTAGCTTCTCAGTTTTGTTGCCATTGTGAAGGAATGATAAGGTAGACATTTCCAGATGGGCACTACTTTGATATCTGAATATTGGTTTCTTAAATATCTAGAACAGTGAATTGAAACTAACAACAACAAAGAGATATGAAGTCCTTTACTTTCCTTACTCTTGTCCCTCTGCTAAATTTTGTTTGTGGTGATGAGTAGCCAGCACAACAGTTAGGAGTCTCTTACTGTGATGGACAAAGCTTAGTATAGATGCCTTTTCCTAAGCTTGCCTTGGAACAAAGAGATAAATAACTTCCTTGTAGTTTACTCACCCAGTTCAGAGCATTACCAAAACATGTAGTTTGAGCAGATAGATGAGAAAGCTCTACTAGATATCAGTATAACAAGGAGCAAAGATGGTTCTTACTGTTTACTGAGAGAAATATTTGTTGAGCACCTGCTGTTTGTCAGTACTGTTCTAAACACAAGCAAGGAACAAGTCAGAATGAGTCCCTGCCTTCTGTAGTTTACATTCTGGCCAGTCTGGGGGCACTGTATTCCTGAGCAGGCATCATATGATTGGGGAGAGCCAAGATTGTCTTTAAAGAGTGGAGACATCAGTTATTAAAGTATAGTCATGCATTGCTTAATGACAGGGATACCACACATTCTGAGAAATGTGAGTTTAGGTGATTTTGTTATCGTGCAGATATCATAGAGTGCACTCATAGAGTGTGTCTCGGACACATTCTAGAAATGTGAGGTTAGGTGGTTTTGTTGTCATGCAGTTGTCATAGAGTGTACTTACACAAACCTAGGTAGTCTAGCCTACTACACACCTGGGCCATTGCTCCTAGGCCACTAACCTGTACAGCTTGTTACTGTACTGACTACTGTAGTCACTGGTAACACAATATTATTTGTTATCTAAACATATATAAACATAAAGATACAGTAAAAATACAGAATAAAAGATTTTAAAATGGTACACCTGTGAAGGGCACTTCCCATGAATGGAACTTGCAGGATTTGAAGTTGCTCTGGATGAGTCAGTGAGTGAGTGGTGAGTAATTGCGTAGACCTAGTACATGTATACTATTGTAGACTTTATTAACACCGTACACTTAGGCTACGCTAAATTTATTTTGAAATGTTTCTTCAATAATTAACCTTAGCTTGTAACTGTTTTACTTTATAAAGTTTTTTTTTCTAAAAACTTTTTGACTCTTTTATGGTAATACTTGGCTTAAAATACAAACACATATAGCTATACAAAAATACATTCTGGCCACATACAGTGGCTCACGCCTATAATCCCAGCACTTTCGGAGGCCAAGGCAGGTGGATCACTTGAGGTTGGGAGTTCGAGACCAGCCTAGCCAACATGGTAAAACCCTGTCTCTACTAAAAATACAAAAATTAGCTGGGTGTGGTGGTGCACGCCTGTAATCCCACCTACTCAGGAGACTGAGGCAGGAGAATCATTTGAACCTGGGAGGTGGAGGTTGCAATGAGAAGAGATGGCACCACTGCACTCTAGCCGGGGCGACAGAGCAAGGCCCTGTCTCAAATAAATGAATGTATATTCTTTCTTAGCCAGGCACAGTGGCTCATGCCTGTAATCCCAGCACTTTTGGAGGCCAAGGTGGAGGGATTGCTTGAGGCCAGGAGTTTGAGACCAGTCTGGGCAACATAGTGAGACCTCGTCTCTACACACACACACACACACACACACACACACACACAAAGTTTTAAAATTAACTGGATGTGGTGGCTCCTGCCTCTAGTCCCAGCTACTTGGGAGGCTGAGTGGGAGGATTGGTTGAGCCCTGGAATTTGAGGTTGCAGTGAGCCATAATCACACCACTGCACTCCAGCCTGGGCCATAGAGTGAGACTGTCTCAAAACACAGACAAAAAGACACAAAAATATATTATTATTTTCTTTTCTTTTTTGGAAGACAGGGTTGCTCTGTCACCCAGGCTGGAGTACAGTGTTGCAATCATAGCTTCACTGCAGGCTTGACCTCCCATCTCAGCCTCTCAAGTAGCTGGAACCACAGGCTCATGCCACTATGCCTGGCTCACTTTTTTATTTTCTGTAGAGGCAGGGTCTTGCCATGTTGCCCAGGCTGGTCTCAACTTCTGGGCTCAAGCAGTCCGCCTGCCATGGCCCCCCAAAGTGCTGGGATTACAGGCATGAGCCACTGTGCTCAGCTATATTCTTTTTAAAATATCTTTATTCTATAACCTTTTCCTACTTTTATTTTTTTAACTTTTTTATTAAAAACTGAGACACAGGTCACAAACATTAGCTTCAGCCCACACAGGGTCGGGATTATCCATATCACTGTCTTCTCCCTCTGCATCTTGTCCCACTGGAGCGTCTTCAGGGGCAGTAGCATGCATGGAGCTGTCATCTCCTGTGATAACAGTGCCTTCCTCTGGAATATCTCTTGAATAACCTGCCTGGGGCTGTTTTATAGTTAACTTAAAAAAAAGTAGAAGGAATATACTCTAAAATAACAGTAAAAAGTATAATATAGTAAATACTAGGCAATACGAATTTTATGAAGTGTATGTCCAGCTCTGTTATAATCTTATGGAACCACCGTTGTTTATGTGGTCTGTCATTGACCAAAACATCATTATACTGTGAATGACTGTCCTTTTAATATTATATATCTTTCTCAAGGGTCTGTTTAGCATGATCTTTCATGTATTTATCTCCCCATTTTGTTTTGTTTTTCATATTTTGTTTCTGTTAGGAGAGAACATTGAAAGTATTCTCTAAGCTATTTGAAGAGAGTGACTAAATGCACCTGGGTCAGGCTGTCTGTGGGTATGAAGTGGTTGGGAGAATCCAAGAACATGGTGGTGAATGGCAGGAGAAATGGAGGCAAGTTGTCTAATGACCATCAGCAGAATCAATCAAAATTACAGCACACGGGGAAGGACACCCTGAAGGCTGGCAAAAATGCAGTCGAGAGGAGGTCGAACAGATGTATGTACACACTTAAACCTTCAATGTTCTGATTGTGATATGGGGTAGTAATTCTTTCCAGTTTGTAATGTGTATTCTGTTTTCTTTTGTCTTAAATAATTTTTTGCATTTTCATAATTAACAATATAGTCTTTTTACTCTCAAAGTTGTGTCAATTTTTATTCTCATCAAACTATATAAAACTCAAGTTTAATGCTTCATATAATTATTTTAATCATGCTTTTCTGTCTGTTACTTTATATTTTGTAGAATTTACCTGAATGGTTGATATGTCTTACTAAATTTTTAAAATTTTAATTGAACTTCTTACAGGTTAACCTGTATTTTTTTAATAGATGTAAGTATAGGTATGTACTTCTTTGCTAATTTCCACAAATGTTTCATGGAATAATATGAATAATGACGCCAACTGTAATTTACATAAGTAGAATGAGGATAGATAGAACTGACTGCTTTAGGGCAGCCTCACAAATCATAGCAATTTATTCTATTTATACAGGGTAGACAGTTGTTCATCCTGACAGTGAAACACTGCTGATAAGTTACTTTATTTCCTCTATACCTCTTGATAGGAAAGAGGCTGCTTTTTGAGAGTTCAGGAAGTTGTAGATTTGGTGCGTATTTCATAGTTCCTCTAAAAGTAGTAAAATGACTGAGGACAAGTGTATACCTAACTAGGCAGCTATATGTCCAAACGTATGTCATGTTAAAGAGGACAGCTTTTCTTCTTTTTCTAACGTGAATCTAGCCACCTTTGAATATCCTTAATTCAGATTGGCATTGGCCTGTTTCCAGGGATTTGGATTAGCCTGGGATTTTCTGTAGTTTCAGATTGTACAAGTTCTGATAGATTTCCTTCTTACCTTTTAGGGTTTATGCGATTCATTGGGCCCAGGCTACCCTTAACCTTTCCATTTCAGATCAGGTCACTGTTGCTATAGAAAACCAGACAGAATTCCTGCTTGGGACAAGAGTAGGAAGAGGCAAGACTGAATGAGTGGTCCTCTGCATGGACACCACTCACTCCTGAGGCTGCTGGCAGCATGTACCCTCATCCTGCCTCACTCCTTAGCAGCTAGTGTGAACGTGAAGAATTGAGAAATATAGTGATCACATCAGTGTGTATTCATTCTGGTCAGCAAACTAGGCATATCTTAAGTTTTTTAGGAAATCACTGTTGGCCTCCTTTTGTGTATCATAGTGCAAAACAGTTTTAATTAGTTGAATTATTATAGATACACAAGAATTTAGAAAATGCGTCTGGGCGTGGTAGCTCACACCTGTAGTCCCGGCACTTTGGGAGTCCAAGGCGAATGGATCTGCTTAAGTCCAGGAGTTTGAGACCAGCCTGGGCAACATGGTGAAACCCTGTGTCTACAAAAACTACCGTGTCTACAAAAAAATTAGCCAATCATGGTGTTGCATGTCTATGGTTCCAACTACTTTGAGAGGCTGTGGTTGGAAAGATCACTTGAGCCCAGGAGTTAGAGGTTGCAGTGAGCCGAGATCACACCACTGCACTCCAGCATGGGCAAAAAAAAATGAGACTCTTGTTTAAAGAAAAAAAAAAAGAGTTTAGAAATGGCCATTACGGGCCGGGCGTGGTGGCTCACGCCTGTAATCCCAGCACTTTGGGAGGCTGAGGTGGGTGGATCATGAGGTCAGGAGATCGAGACCATCCTGGCTAATACGGTCAAACCCCGCCTCTACTAAAAATACAAAAAATCAGCTGGGCGTGGTGGCAGGTGCCTGTAGTCCCAACTACTCGTGAGGCTGAGGCGGGAGAATGGTGTGAACCCGGGAGGCAGAGCTTGCAGTGAGCCGAGATTGCGTCACTGCACTCCAGCCTGGGCGACAGAGCGAGACTCCATCTCAAAAAAAAAAAAAAAAGAAAAAGGAAAATGGCCATTACTTTGGTTACACTTTACCAAGCATAGATAAATATAGAGGGCTAGGTTGGGAAAACCCAGTGTGTGAAGATGACATAGCCTTACATTGAATGTTATTGGGCCAGAATGGTGCAGAAAGAGAGCCAGCAATGAGAAATGGGAGAGCACAGAGCAGTGCCCCATCTCAGATACAATCAGTGACTTTCCCAGCAGCAGAGCCTTAAGATACAGGAAAGAAAAACTGACAAAATTGAAGGGAAAAATCAACAATTCAGCAATAATTTGGAGACTTTGATACGCCACTTTTAATAATGGATAGAACAGCTTAAGACTATAAACCAATGAGGCCTAACAGACATCTATAGAACCTCATCAGAATACGCATTCATCTCAAGTGCAAGTGCAGCATTCCAGGATAGAACATATGCTAGACCGTATAACAAGCTTCCATAAACTTCAAAGGATTGAAATCATAAAAGGTATGTTCTGTGACCCCAATGGAGGAAAATTAGAAATTAACAAGGAAATTTGGGAATTTCACAAATACATAGAAATGAAATAACACACTTCTAAATAATCAGTGGGTCAAAGAAGAAATCAAAAAGGAAATCAGAAAACATTTTGAAGTGAATTAAAAGAAAGATAAAACATACTAAAACTTACAGGATGCAGCCAAAGCGGTGGTTTAGAGGGAAATTTATACTTGTAAATGCCTGCGTGAAAAAAAGAAGACTGGGCGTGGTGGCTCACGCCTGTAATCCCAGCAGTTTGGGAGGCTGAGGCAGGAGGATGGCTTGAGCTCAGGAGTTCAAGACCAGCCTGGACAATATGGCGAGACCCCACTTTTACAAAAAAATACAAAAATTAACCAGGTTTGATGATGCATGCCTGTGGTCCCAGCTACTAGGGAGGCTGAGGCAGGATGATTCCTTGAGCCCAGGAATTCGAGGCTGCGGTGAGCTGTGATCATGCCACTGCACTCCAGGCTGGGTGGCAAAGCAAGACCCTGTCTTCAAAAAAAAAAAAAGTGAGTTGTGTCGTATGTGAATTGTATTTCAATAAAGCTATTATGCTGTTACCAAAAATTTAACAATGTTGATAGCTTTTCACATACCTACATGCAACTAATTTGATTGCAAAATCATATGTCTACCCTTGGCAGGAACTTACATTTAAGTATTTGTTCTGTGAAAGAGTGGATGAAAAGGTTAAACTTTACTCTGTGTTTCATTCTTCCCCATTTTGGTTTTGAGAGCCTGAAAGTTACATTGCTGTTGTCCTCCATAAATGATGTGCTGATTCCATGGAAGGACTGTCAGTGGCATATACATCAAACTTAATCAGCTCTGATGAAACTTCTTACAAACTTGGCCTTCATTTCCTTCTTTACATTGCTTTTCTTCCACAGTTAAACCCAGTTATTTCAGTTATATATTTCAGTCTGTATTTTTATCCATTCGTTCATAATTGCTTCAAACAGAGGTCAGTAGAAATAGGTCTGTCATTCTCTCTCCACTTCTTTCCCCACTTCTACTGCCCAGCTCTGGAATTGTGGGCAAGTTTCTTTTTGTCTGGGCCTCAGTTGCCTGCAAAGTGGGGATAATAATCATTCACCTGCCCTAAAGCAGGAAGCTGAACTTCATGAGATTCCTTTTGATACTTGAGATCTGGAGTTCTGGCGCTTCTTGCAGAAACTATCTTGTGTTCCTCTTTCCTTTTCAGTCGAGTCCTATCTGTAATGGCCCTGTGTATTGTCTTGTTAAAATAGTGAACATGCTCCCGTCCCGTTTCTCAGTGTTCCTTGGAGAGAAGGGGGTGGGGGAGAGTCAAGCATTTGAACCAAATTCTCACGACTACCCAGACCCCATTCTTGGGAACCTGCTATTACTACCTGCTAACGATAATACTCTCAGTAATGGAGATAGTTTACTGCATTTGGTTTTCTGTCTTATGCAAAGGTTATTAAATTCTTAATTACTAAAATGATTGATTTTTCAGTTCTTTATTACCAGCTTGAATGGGCAATGCCGCTAAAGATTTTAAGGCAGATTTAAGTAGTTTTCAATTTGAGTAATTTTTCTTGCTTTTGCTTTTCACAGGTAATGGTAACTCGGGATTTGAAGGACAGAGTCGCTATGTACCATCCTCTGGAATGTCCGCCAAGGAACTCTGTGAAAATGATGACCTAGCAACCAGTTTGGTTCTTGATCCCTATTTAGGTTTTCAAACACACAAAATGAATACTAGGTAATTTTCAGTCTTTATCCTGAATGGAACAGATGATTATGTTGAATTCAAGAACATAGATGGCTAATTTTACTTTTGCTCAAAATTTAAAATGACATTAAAGGAAAGTTCTTTGCAGTGGAAGGGTTTTCTGTCTGTGAGCCAAGAGAAGCAGAGAAAAGACTCCAGGAATCTTGTCAGTTCTAACTCTGTGTTCTTATTTTACCTCAGAACATTTCTATTAACGTATAAAGCTGGAGGAGCATCCTCATGTTCTATTTTAAAAGTTGATGATGCCAGGCATGGTGGCTCACGCCTGTAATCCCCACACTTTGGGAGGCCAAGGTGGGTGGATCACCTGAGGTCAGGAGTTTGAGACCAGCCTGACCAACATGGTGAAACCCTGTCTCTACTAAAAGTACAAAAAAAATTAGCCAGGCAGGTGGCACATGCCTGTAATCCCAGCTACTTGGGAGGCTGAGGCAGGAGAATCACTTGAACCCGGGAGGCGGAGGTTGCAGTGAGCCGAGATCGTGCCATTGCACTCCAGTCTGGGCAACAAGAGCGAAACTCCATCTCAAAAAAAAAAAGGTGATGACAATTATCTTAGCGAAAAGAAAAATCTGACAAGCATCCTGTAACACCTTGAAAGTGTATGATTATTTCCAACCTAAAGTAGGGTACATCCCTTTTTTTCATGATTTTATTATAGACTTTTCTCTTACACGTTGTCTCTGTATAGATGGGGAATTTTGTCATCATGTTTAATCTTTGGGATTCAGCTAATTATTTAAGAGCGAATAGTTTTAAAGACATGTTTATATTCAGTATGCAGGTAAGAAAGTGGATGTGTAAGTGTTTTGAGTACCAAATGCTGTATATAAAAAACATTATTACATTAATCTTGAAATCTGTCATCTTTTAACAGCTGAGGTCTCTCTTTAATTCTCTTAAATACCATTTCTCCCTCAAAAAAGACCATTAGATCATTTCACAAATGTATCTGCCACCAAACAGGTCAGAGCTTTGCAACTTTGCTTTGTCTCTTAACCTCTATGGCAAAGGGTTTTTTAGCCTGGTGGAAAAGCATAACAGCAGGGATTTAGAAGATAGAGCTAGTTCTGGCCCATCACTTTCATCTCCATCACACCCGGACTGGGGTTATATAGTTCTGATTTTAGTGGCAACCCTGGGGGAACTTGATACCCAGGTAGGTGGTCACTGATCAGTAGTTGGGAGAGGTAGGAATTGGTGAGTACAGGTAATTAGAGGAAAGTCTTGTGTCCTGTTTCCCCCCTTTTAATTTTATCCCTTGCTAGAATTAAGATACTATATGCCTCACTTATCAATTACAGTCTAAATCCAAAAGAAGTAATTCAGGTAAAAATATGCTTTTGTTTTTTTCATAAATTTTTTTTTCTTTTCTTTTTTAGATGGAGTCTCACTCTGTCGCCCAGACTGGAGTGCAGTGGCATGATCTCAGCTCACTGCAACCTCCACCTTCTGGGTTCAAGTGATTCTTCTGCCTCAGTTTCCCAAGTAGCTGGGATTACAGGCGTGCACCACTGCACCCAGCTAATTTTTGTATTTTTAGTGTAGATGAGGTTTCACCATGTTGACCAGGCTGGTCTTGAAACTCCTGACCTCAGGTGATCCACCTGCCTCAGCCTCCCAAAGTGCTGGGATTATAGACGTGAGCCACCATGTCTGACCATAAAATTTTCTGTCATATATCTTTACCTACTAAAATGAAGTGTGAAATATTGGAATGGAGTTGGGGGATTATTTAAACAGTTCCCTGCCAAATGACTGCCATTGGATGCCCTGATTGATTAAGATCCAGGCTGGGCGCAGTGGCTCATGCCTGTAATCTCAGCACTTTGGGAGGCCAAGCTGGGTGGATCACCAGAGGTCAGGAGTTCGAGACCAGCCTGGCCAACATGATGAAATCCCATCTCTACTAAAAATACAAAAATTAGCTGGGTGTGGTGGTGCACACCTGTAGTCCTGGCTACTCAGGAGGCTGAGGCAGGAGAATCACGTGAACCCGGGAGACAGAGGTTGCAGTGAACCAAGATCACATCACTGCACTCCAGCCTGGGTAACAAAGTGAGACTGCCTCAAAAAAAAAAAAAAGATACAGGACTGGGCATGGTAGCTCATGCCTGTAATCCCAGCACTTTGGGAGGCCGAGGTGGGTGGATCACCTGAGCTCAGGAGTTCGAGACCAGCCTGGCCAACATGCTGAAACCCCGTCTCTACTAAAAATACAAAAAATTAGCTGGGCCTGGCCACATGCGCCTGTAGTCCCAGCTACTCGGAAGGCTGAGGCAGGAGAATCCCTCGAACCTGGGAGGTGGAAGTTGCAGTGAGCTGGGATCGCGCCACTGCACTCCAGCCTGGGCAACAGAGCGTGACTCCGGCTAAAAACAAAAAACTAATTTGCATTATTTTAAGTCCATTTTCTTTTCTTTTCTTTTTTTTTGCCCATTGAACATGAGACCAGTGCTCATTCTCCTAGAAGATGCTGATAATATTTGTCACCCTGTAGCACCCCCAGTGTTTTTCTTTGTTTTTTTTTTTTTTGAGTTAAGAAATGTGAATGTGTGAATGAATCACTCTTTGACACAGTAGTCTAGTGGCATTCAGAATGTCACCACAAAGGCCCAGAATCTTGACCTGGGGTCATCAAGAAAGTTATATTGATTATGCCTTATTACCAAGATATGGAAGCATATAAAACAGCGTTACATCAGAATTACAATGGGCCAGGTGCGGTGGCTCACGCCTGTAATCCCAGCACTTTGGGAGGCTGAGGTGGGCGGATCACCTGAGGTCGGGAGTTCAAGACCAGCCTGACCAACATGGAAAACCCCGTCTCTACTAAAAATACAAAATTTAGCCAGGCGTGGTGGCACATGCCTGTACTCCCAGCTACTCAGGAGGCCGAGGCAGGAGAATCGCTTGAACCTGGGAGGCAGAGGTTGTGGTGAGCCGAGATTGCGCCACTGCACTCCAGCCTGGGCAACAAGAGCGAAACTCAGTCTCAAAAAAAAAAAAAAAAAATTACAATGAAAGTTTTAGTGGCTTATGACAGAACTTCATGTACTCTAAAATCCCCGTGCCGTATTCCAGAAGGCTGCCTGTTACTGGCATCTTCAATAGTAAATACTCCAGTTTTCTGCTGCAGTGGCTCATGCCTGTAATCCCAGCACTTTGGGAGGGCAAGGTGGGAGGATCACTGGAGCCCAGGAGCTCGAGGCTGCAATGAGCTGTATTCATACCACTGCACTCCAGCCTGGGCCACAGAGTGAAACCCTATATTAAAAAACAAAAGGAAGCACTCCAGTTTTCTGTAAAAGTCCTCCTATACCATTGCTTCTTATAATTAGTTTACATGAGAGTCACCTGGGAGTTTGTTGAAATGCAGGCTCTGATTCAGTAGCTTTGGGGTGGGGCCTGAGATTGTGCCTTTCTAACAAGCTCCCAGACTACACTTGGAATAGCTAGGTCCTAAAACATCTGGCCTCTCAGTTTCATTGTGACGTGCTAAGTGGATAAAAATACCTTACTAGGAGTTTCCTAGGGCTCACGTAAAACTATGTAGTCATAAATGTAAACTTCAGGATTACCACACAAATATTTTTGGAACTCAAGACATTAACTGAGGACTCCTAAGTTAAAATGCACCCAGTGCCTAAGATTTTTCCCCATAGAATTGAAGCATCTAAAATTAAAGCTGGTTAAACTTGCAGAAGAAATCATTTTTTAAGTATTTTTTAGTCCAACATTTAATTATACAGTTCCTAAAATAACCTGTGGAAGTACAGACGATTCTGTTGCCCTGGTTAGAGCAGCCTGGGTTCCTAGCAATGCCAGCACTTCAGGCCGGTGTGGGAGTGCAGGGGACGGCCTGCCTACTTCCCACCAGAGTGTTCCGTTTACGTGTGCTTTTACACTCTTGTGTACACTGATATTTGGGAACAGAAACTTTATTAATGACCTTTACAATAATCTTGGTGAAAGGTATATGTTTTCAATTAACCTTAGTGAATTTACTTGAAAATAAAACTATCCCTTCTAGCTCTTCATCTTTTGAGCAAGAATTTACCAGAATGTGACTTTAGAAAATAAGGAAAACTGATAATGCTTAATTAAGGTAGTAAATAGCCAATAAATACTTCTTAAATTGTTAGTTTATGGACTTCTCTCTCTTTGGGGTGCAAAAGAAGTGACCAGAAGATGTACTGCTCTTGGATTTTAATTTTCTAAGCTCTCTGCCTGTTCCTTGTATAGTGCGCTCTTTGTTCATATGTTTATGCACCTGTAATTTGTCACTTTTTAGTTTCTCTTTTTTATACTCTTTTCCCTTCCTTTTACTTCTTTCAGTCTACCAACAGGAAGAATGTTTAGAAACAGTAGATGTTTAGCCCGGGCGTGATGGCTCACGCCTGTAATTCCAGCACTTTGGGAGGCCGAGGCGGGTGGATCACGAGGTCAGGTGTTCGACACCAGCCTGACCAACATGGTGAAACCCCGTCTCTACTAAAAATACAAAAATTAGCCAGGCATGGTGGTGCGTGCCCGTAATCCCAGCTACTCAAGAGTTTGAGGCAGGCGAATAACTTGAACCTGGGAGGCAGAGGTTGCAGTGAGCCTAGATCACACCACTGCACTCCAGCCTGGGCAACAGAGTGAGACTCTATCTCCAAAAAAAAAAAAAAAAGAAAAAAGAAAGAGTAGATGTTTAATGATTGGAGAATTTTCAAAACTGGCTATGTTTTGAGTGCACAGGTTTTAATCTTAATATATCCTTACATTTACTAACAAGCAAGAGTTGTAGCATGAATACTTAGAAATAGTACGAACAAAATGCTAATTTCAATTTATTGGGAGAAATTTGAACTTAATTGACTTTTGTCAATTATGAAACCTAAAGTTTTCTTTTTAACAAGAAAAAAAGAGTTGTTGTTTATACCTCTGGTTTTTAAATGGAGTGGGAGCGGGATATTTTAAGAAAGGGATCGATGCTTTCAGTAATGCCCCCTTTTTGAGGCTGCATGACCCTGAGATGTCACAGTATCCTGAGGCGCGAAGGCGACTCAGGCCAGCAGTGAGCTGAGCAGGAGACAGCATTTAAACATCAGGGGAGTCACTTCAGGGCACTGAGTTTCTCTTTTCAACTTTTCTTGGTTTTCTAATCAGAATGTCAGCCTGTACAGTCCTTACTCATTTTTCTACTGTTATAACCATCTAATTTTTATTTCACTTTTATATGTATTTGATTATTCATATCCACTATTGGATATGAATATGAATCACTTTAAATATCATTTTAAAATTAAGTGCTTGACTAGAATCCGTAAAGAATGTTTTCAAAGCTTCTAACTTCATGGTAAGGTGTGTTCTATGGGAAGCAGAGAATTTCAGCAGCATGGCTTCTATCCTGCCGCGCCCACCTGTGGTATCTTAAAGTTCTTGATTATCACAGAGTTTTAAAGATTTTTGCAACAACGAATATTGTAAGTCTGTTTAGAAATTACAAGTACAGATTATACAAATAGCTTTTTATTTTTGTTGTTTGTTTTTGCATTTATATAGCGCCTTTCCTTCGAGGAGCTCAAGGCATTTTTCAAAATCTGACAGTTTTTCTCACAACAACCCTGTGAGGTAGGTAGTGTGTGTTAAAAACAATGAGATACTGACTAACCCATTCTAGCCTTTTAAAATGTTCTTTTATGTTAAGTAATTTGAAGTGTCAGCATAAATTAGAGTTTTAGAACATTTTACAAACCTTTTAAAGTAGTTTGATAATAGTTGTATTTTTTAAAAAACCACTTGTACTTCATAACAGGGTGATTTTAAGAGAAACAAATCATTCTTCAAAAGATCAGGAGTCACTCCATGTGATTAGCTGAGCACTGATTGCAGGACTCAGCCAGGTATGTTTTTGGTTCTCGTTTATTTTCAGGTCAAGAAGGACTGAAGAGCTGATCTGCGACTCCTCACTCAGCGTCTACAAACTGTGGATTTGCAGCTAAACTTTCTTCAGAGGGGGAAATGTGTTCACTATGTTGCCTCATGGTTTTATTTTATATCTTAAATATTTGAGCATTTTTCTCTCTTCCTCTCTCCTTCCCTGTCTCCCTTTTTTCTGTTCCCCTTCCTGTTCCCCACCCCTCCAGTCAGCTCTTGATTGTGCATGCTAATGAAGGGCACAGTAGCACAGCTAATACAGTCTACAACTTTTCTTCACTGCCACAGTGGGGAGACAGAAAAACCAAATAGCAAGAAAACCTGGGAAGTGAGTCTCTGGAAAGAGTGGGGAACAGGTGTGTGGGAGTGTGAATTCATATGTTTTTTTCCTGCCCCTTTAATAATAATCAATTGTAAATGACATTTTTATTTTTCTTATACCAGCCATTGATTGGAAGTGTAAAAAGAGAAAAAATAGATATGTTTGGTTGATTTAAAGTAGCAAATTTTCTATTAAGGGAGGGAGGACGGGGCATATTGGTTTGGAAATGCCAAATAACTGTTTTTCTTGCCTCCCTTGTCACCCACCCCCCCACCCAAATACGAAATTTTAAAATTCACATTTGCGTCCATCCCTTCCACTGTATTGTCAGTATACAAGCTAGAGCTGTCTCTGGCTGGGCCCAGTGCTGATGTTCAATGGCAAACGCAAGTCAAATCCTCTTCTAACCATGAAACAATGTGAGGAAGGCTCTCCTGAGCCAGGTGATATAACAGGAACCAGAAAGGCCAGGGTAAATCCCAGGTCTTCCATTCATTAACCCTAAGTCATTGGCAATCTACTCAGCCTTGTTGGGCCTTATTTTCCTCATTTGTGGAACAAAAGGGCTGTTCTAAATTATCTGGCCTTTAAGTGTCAGAGTAAAAGGATAGTTTTATGCAGTTTGTATGGGAGATTTAGAGTGATTATAGTTAAGGAGAGAGGGTATTTTTCTGTTCAATAATAGGAAAAAAAAAAATTTCCCTAAGGTTTTCAGTGCATTTGCACCAGCCCTAATAGGTATAACAGTCTTAACTTTTATTTTCCACAGTATTTGTTACAATGGGATTTGATTTGGACTATCAGCCAGCTGACTTTTACATACTTCTGTAGGATTATTGAAAACAACTGTCTCATCTCCTGCCTGTCTGCACCCTTAACCATTTTCTTCCCCCTTTTCCTTACTGTCATTTCATGCCCATAGCAGCCAACTGTGACAGTAAGTTTTAACAGGTTTGGGACAGCAACTTATATTTTTAGTGAAATAGAGGTTCTTGCTATTGGTAGCAAGGGATAGTTTCAGGGGTTTTATTTATGTTTGAGGCAATAAAGTCAGGAAAGCAGAAACAGAAGTCAACACAGGGAAGGTAGGCAGAATACTACTAAATCAAGAGTTGACTATTTTGTGTTGGTTTTAGCATGTAAATTGTTTGGCATTATGAATAAAAAGTAAACAAAACCAAGGTTACCTGAAGGCATTTTTAGATAGGAATGAACTTGTTTCAGAAAGCATAGAACACACATAAAGCCTATTAAAAATAGCCAAGTTTCATTCCAGGTCTATAACTTACTTTTGTATAATGTTCCCATTGGTCACTTTCACATTGAACGTGTAAAGATAGCTTGGCCCTTTCTGTCGTTTGTAGCCCTGTCATTTAACGGCATGGATAATTTATTGCATTTGCTTAAAGTGAACTATTGCTTTTCTGATTGCCACACAAAGCACGGGTTATCTGTTTCCCACCATTTCATATTTCATATTTCATATTGCTCGACAGGTCATGCCTTAGCTGAGAGCTGCTTTGTTGTCTTATCTGTCCTTCATGTGCAAATAACCATGTAGTGTAGGATTGCAGCAAGAATGGTTTCCATTGGATTTCTTGGAGATGGTATCTTGACACAATCAATTGTGATGGCTACAAGTAGTTGAGTATGGATATTTGGATGCTTTCCCAATTCTACAGCTCTTTATTTTCATGGTGGTTCTCTGACACCATATGTCGACAGACTAGTAAGACGTTCTGAATTGTTTAAAGGACTTGCATTTATCTGTCTGTAAAGGCTTGTATACCAATTGATTGAAAATGGAAAATAGGGCCCTGTTCATTTCTTCAGTATTATCTCTAGGATATGTTTGAACTTTCAGATGGTTCAGCTAATAGTTGTGAGAATTCAGGATTACTGAATTAAAAAAAAAATGACTAGAGTGTGTAGCTAGTAAGTTCCTGGTAGTATCAGTATGCATTAATACACCTGAAGTCTTCCAGTGATCCTGTCCAGTAAACAGTATTATACCTGTTCAGGACCTCATGTCTTTCCTCTTCCTGATTCTGGTACTTTACTTTATTATTGCTACCTAGCTGACCCTGGTCAACTCTTTGAATCCAGCTTGATTAAGATCTTCTGCTTAGACTTCCCCTCATTCTTCCTTCCTTTTGATTCTTACCTGCTTATAATGTGCTTTTCTTAAACCTTTCCCATGTACATTTTGCACCCTAGTTATAATTTCTATACTTTTAGGTGCTATAGCAATGCAGTTTTTAGCATATTAACATGCATTTGCATATTGATCACTTGCTTAACTGTTTGATGCATATATATGTCTTTTAGTCCCAATTAAATTTTCCATTCAAGAACAGTGGCCATGTCTTCTCTTGTATTTTTCACCATAGCACTTCATATGCCACTGTATACACAACACAGCACCTAATAATCCTTGATGAAATACTGTGGCTTGAAATCTTACTGAAATACTATGAATACATATATGATAGCTTCTCTAGGAAAAAAAATTCTGCTGAATGCTTCCTTTGCTGGAGTTTGTGCTAGATCTTACCTCAATTTTAGCATATTCAGGTTTATGAAATGTACAATTTTAAATGTCAGAGTAAGACACATAAAGATTTTTTTCTCCTGAACCACTAATATTTTTTCTTAATGTATTTTATTTGAATGGCAATCGGTGATTCCTTTTTTCTGTTGGACGTTTTGTTTTGTTTTTTTGATACAGAGTCTTGCTCTGTCACCAGGCTGAAGTGCAGTGACGCGATCTTGGCTCACTCCAACTTCAACTCTCGAGTTCAAGCAATTCCCCTGCCTCAGCCTCCTGAGTACCTAGGACTACAGGCGTGTACCACTACGTGGGCCTGGCTAATTTTTTGCATTTTAGAGACGGGGTTTCACCAGGTTGGCCAGGATGGTCTCGATCTCCTGACCTCGTGATCCATCCGCCTCGACCTCCCAAAGTGCTGGGATTATAGGTGAGAGCCACCATACCGGGCCATAATCCGGTTAGAATTAGCTTTATGAAAATAAAATAAAACTTTTTTTTAAAATAAAAACTTTATTTGGGAGAATTAGCTTTATGAAATTGACATGAAAAGAAAATTTGAAATTAAGATGCTAGTAACTTTATAGTACACGTTTTACTGAAAACACAGCTTTAGAATGAGGGGTTCACAAATTTGTCTTGCTTGGGCCATGACTGCATCATGCATAAATACAGACCTAATGGGATAATATTCTGAAGACATCAGTGTGGCTGATTCTACAATGGAAGCCTTTTCAATTCTACCCCTGCAGGCCAGGCGCAGTGGCTCACACCTATAATCCCAGCACTTTGGGAGGCCAAGGTGGGCAGACCACTTGAGGTTAGGAGTTCAAGACCAGCCTGGCCAACATGGTCTCTACTAAAAATACAAAAATTAGCTGGGCATGGTGGCGCACGCCTGTCATCCCAGCTACATGGGAGGCTGAGGCAAGAGAATCACTTGAACCCGGGAGGCAGAGGTTGCAGTGAGCCAAGATCACACCACTGCACTCCAGCCTGGGCCACAGAGTGAGACTCCATCTCAAAAAAAAAAAAAAAAAACAACTCTACCCCATCAGTTTTCCTACATTACCAGTATAGCAATTTCACCACTAGAGTTAACACTGCTTGTACTCGTTTTGTTCTCTGAATGCAGTCATCAAAGATGACTTTGACATGGGTGGTTAGAACATCAAGGTGTGTTTCGAAGCCTGTTGGAATACTTAGTTTGGGGTTTTTTCTGACTGTGTACATAAAGAATGTTTTTGTGTATGGCATGGTTTTGTTTACATCATCATACTTCTGAAATTCATTGCCTGGCACTCTTCCAGCTTGATTTTGCATGTTTTAAAAAGATTCTTGTCATTCTAACTCTAAATTAGGTGTGCTGTATTCTAGAGCTTTGATTTTGTGTCTCCCAAAGTTGACGACTAGTGTAAGTCTGAATCAGACAGCTTTTGTTTGAATCGTCTGCTCACCTCACAGTTAATGAGATAACAGTGAAATAAAAATAATTAAAATAACAGATTGAAAAAAGAGAAGTTACTGAGATAACAGTGAAATAAAAATATTAAAATAACAGATTGAAAAAAGAGAACTTGCGTATCCAGGTGATCAGTATTACTTGAATAGTAGTAATCAAGACTATTGATTGTTGTTCTCTTCTCTTAGATCTTTGCTCTGATAACCATGGCTGTTTTTAGGGTATTAGCTCTTTCTCAAGATCTGTTAAGATGGATCAGTGGCGCAAGGATTGTGGCAGATAACCCATTCATTCTTTTGATTTCTTTCAGATTTAGGCCTATTAAAGGAAGGCAGGAAGAACTAAAGGAAGTAATTGAACGTTTTAAGAAAGATGAACACTTGGAGAAAGCCTTCAAATGTTTGACTTCAGGCGAATGGGCACGGCACTATTTTCTCAACAAGAATAAAATGCAGGAGAAATTATTCAAAGAACATGTAAGTTTATTAAGACTGATGCTGTTAACCTATTTGGATAAGAATAGTGAAGTAAATTAAAACCCTAAATGTTAGTTAATACTGAAATTTTAAATTTATTTTTCATAAAACTAATCAGTCTGAAGATCTTGTAACACATACAGTCATTTGGATGACAGTCCAGAGAAAAAACTGGGCCAGGCTCAGTGGCTCATGCTTGTAATCCCAGCACTTTGTGGGGGCTAAGATGGGAGTATTGCTTGAGGCCAGGACTTCGAGACCAGCCTGGGCAACATAGCAAGACTCCATCTCTAAAAAAATAAGAATAAAAAAATTAGCTAGGCATAGTAGTGTGTACCTTTGTAGTTTGTAGTTCCGGCTACTCAGGAAGCAGAGCCAGAAGCATTGCTTGTGCCCAAGAGTTAGAGGCTGCTCTGAGCTATGATCATGCCACTGCGCTCCAGCCCTGGGAGACAGAGCAAGACCCTGTCTCTAAAACCAAAAAAGGAGAGAAAACTTTGTCATATAGAGGTGAAATTCATTATGAGCCTTAAGGGAAACAAGCCATTAGGTACTCATACAGAGTGAGTACCCTTAACCCCAAAATTTGAAATGCTCCAAAATCTGAAACTTTTTGAACACCGACCTGACACTCAAAGGAAATGCTCATGGGAGGATTTTGAATTTTTTGTTTAGAGGTGTTCAGCTAGTTACTGTAATGCAAATATTGCAAAATGAGAAAAATTGTGACATTCAAAACTCTTGAGTAACAATAAAGTTTGTTACCTAATGATCTTACTTTTTTTGTTTATTTTATTGTTTTTTTAGAGGCAGAATCTTGCTCTGTCACCCAGGCTGGAGTGCAGTGGCCTGATTATGGCTCACTGCAGCTTCCATCTCTTGGGCTCAAGTGATTCTTCCTCTCAGCCTCCCACGTAGCTGGCACTAAAGGTACATGCCATCATGCTTGGCTAATGTTTTTCGTAGAGACAGGGTCTCGCTATGTTGCTCAGGCTAGATCTTACATTTTTTTCATCATTGCGGGTGGTTTGCTTTTATAATTGTAAGAAAGTCTAGCAGGGTATACCATTTAAAGTCATTATCAATTTTTTTTTCCTGTTTTAGGTATTTATTTATTTGCGAATGTTTGCAACTGACAGTGGATTTGAAATATTGCCATGTAATAGATACTCATCAGAACAAAATGGAGCCAAAATAGTTGCAACAAAAGAGTGGTAACTATTCTACTAGTATAAGCCTTTAATTTAATTTAAAGTTCTCTTCTAAATTATTGTTGAAGTGCTGAGAAATTCATGGTAAGGAATGAAGCCAGAGTTTACCCTGAAGTAGCCAATGCATCGCCGTTGCCTTGGCCCATCAGCTGGAGTCAGAGTGGGGAAATCGGAAGTCTCAGTTGAACCAGATCCCATCTCTAGGCCAAATTGCTTTTCATTTTCCTTTATTGACTCTGGATGCCTGTTCAGTGATATGATTGCTGAAGAGTTGTGGATACCGTGATTAGATAACCTGGCTTCCACAGTCAGTCTTCTACTGGCCTAGAAGAAAGGTTGGGGCTAAAGTTTTAATGATCCTAGTTTTATGGGTGGAAACCTCCCTAAAGCATTAGTTGCTTAAAAATACATACATACAGATATATATATATGTATATATGCCAGCTTCAATAAAAATAGTAGAGTTGGTGGGGGGCATTGGCTCACGCCTATAATCCCAGCACTTTGGGAGGCCGAGGCAGGCAGATCACTTGAGGTCAGGAGTTCAAGACCAGCCTGGCCAACATGGTGAAACCCCATCTCTACTAAAAATACAAAAATTAGCTGGGCGTGGTAGCACACACCTGTAGTCCTAGCTACTCGGGTGGCTGAGGCAGGAGAATCACTTGAACCCAGGAGACAGAGGCTATAGTGAGCTGAGATCGCGCCACTGCACTCCAGCCTGGGCAATAGAGTGAGACTCTATCTCAAAATTAAGTCAGAGTTGAGCCCAGCTAAAAGGGATAAAAGTTACAGATGAAAGAGAATATACTACTGTATCTTCTTTCCTATCATGCCTGTTCCCTATGTTATCTCCCAGGAAAAACATGTAGCTCCTCATGTACCCACCCTCTGATATTTCTACCACAAAAATTTGGGGGGTCAGATATCTGAAAATGGATAGGTAAAAGAACTTTATTGCCAGGCCTCTGGGGTGAGTGTGTGTACATGAAATGTGCTTCATTTACCTCAGGATGTATTGAGCCTGCTAGTTGGATTATGTGGCTCCCTGTGTTGCAGATGGGTGTGTAGGTTTGAGATCTAGAGTCCTAGAGCTGTACCGTCCGGTACAGTAGCCACCAGCCCTTGAGTCCTTGAAATGTAGCTAGTCTGAATTGAGAAGCGCTGTAAGTGTGCTATACACACCAGATTTCATATTAAATTTTATTCCCATTCATAGTTCTTATATTACCTACTGAAATCGTATTTTGGATATTGGGTTAAAATATATTGTTGGCTGGGCATGGTGGCTCATCTGTAATCCCAGCACTTTGGGAGGCTGAGGTGGGCGGATCATGACGTCAAGAAATCGAGACCATCCTGGCCAACACGGTGAAACTCCATCTCTAGTAAAAATACAAAAAAAAAAAATGAGCTAGGTGTGGTGGCACACACCTGTAGTCCCAGCTACTTAGGCTGAGGCAGGAGAATCACTTGAACTCAGGAGGCAGAGGTTGCAGTGAGCTGAGATCACGCCACTGCACTCCAGCCTGGGCAACAGAGCGAGATTCCGTCTCAAATAAAATAAAATAAAATAAATTGTTAAAGTAATTTCACCTATATTCACTTAACTTTCTCAATGTGGCTGCTAAAAAATTTAAGATTGAAAATTTGGCTTGCATTATATTCCTAGCAGATGGTGTGCTCTAAAGAGTGGCACCATGATTCCGGATCCTCATAACCCTTACTGCCACTGGTCCCTGCCTGCTTCATCCAGCAGTCAGAAAGTTTAATTCATTGCCGCAAGTATTTGAGTACTTTCTGCTTGCAAAACACCACACCAGGGCATTCAGAGACATAGGTGGCATAGTCCCTGTCCTGGTTGAGTTTCCATTCTCTTGCAGGAATAAGATAGGTACACAAGTAACCATGGCACAAGGCTGTGGAGCTCCAGGGTAGGAGAGAAGATAGCCAGGTGGGGATCCCAGTGAGCTAACTAAAGTATAGACAGCTAGGCCTTTTCAGTTTCTGATATTTATTGTCAGGATTATTTTATTAAAAGAAGCCTTACTATATTTAATTACTAGTAATTTTTAACACATCACATATTTTAAATAGGAAACGAAATGACAAAATAGAATTACTGGTGGGTTGTATTGCCGAACTTTCAGAAATTGAGGAGAACATGCTACTTAGACATGGAGAAAACGACTTCAGTGTCATGTACTCCACAAGGAAAAACTGTGCTCAACTCTGGCTGGGTCCTGCTGCGTTTATAAACCATGGTAAGCTGTGTTTCCAAGGTGTTGGCGCTAGTGTTGGCCATTCCTGCTAACTGCTAGAATGGCCTTGTCAACCTCAGTCAAACCTTTATCTTCCTTTAAAGGAGAATTTGAAATAGAAATGTTTCCACAAACTTATTAAAATAAATGTATATTCCTTTAGTTGAACTTGAGACCTAAACTCCTATCAAAAGTTGTAAAGTTATATGGAAAGCTTATTTCAGATTTCTATAATTGTTCGTGTTTCAGATCTTATCAACAGTTAATTGACTTTATCTTTTGGACATTTTTCAGATTGCAGACCTAATTGTAAGGTAAGCATTAAAAAAATTTTCTTCAAGTATTTTGTTTTTGCTTCAGGTGTGAGTTTCTTACTGAGTTACTTTTATTTTAGTTTGTGTCAACTGGTCGAGATACAGCATGTGTGAAGGCTCTAAGAGACATTGAACCTGGAGAAGAAATTTCTTGTTATTATGGAGATGGGTTCTTTGGAGAAAATAATGAGTTCTGCGAGTGTTACACTTGCGAAAGGTAAGGTATTAAGTAAAATGTTCAGCCTAAACATTTTTTGTTAACAACCTGATTATGGGGATTAAACTCACATTATCTCTTTGTTGTTTAAATGCAGAGATAGTCTTTATGTTCTTTAGCATAGCGGCTGGTGCAGTGTGTATGAACAAAGTCAAATGCTGCACAGCTATTTAGGGACATTGGAATGTCCCTCAATAAATTTAAAATTTCCCTTTAAAATCTTAATATTACCAGCTAAGAGTGGGCCAGAATACAGATGTGCTTAAGGAGAGAATGGTTAATAGCTCACACACATGCACACACGCAATGCCAGAATGGGGTTGCCGCTACTCAAAATGTCAAGTGGAGTTCACCACTGATAGTCGTCTTGCATATTATCAAGCTGTGTCTTCTGGAATTTTGGTTTCACAGTTCTTAAGAGTTGTTCCCTGATATCAGTCATTCAATAAGGAACCTCTTCTTATGTCTCATCAAGAGTCCTGGAGTCTTTACAGAAATCCCCCAGATCTTCATTGGCAGGACCACCAGTTCATATTGCTCATTATAGTGACTTCTGTGTGTGAGAGCACCATGAAGGGAGCGTCACAGGCTCAGGCAGGCAAGGGCTGCAGGAAGAGTCCCCTCAAAGGCAGTACAGACCACACAGGCCACAGAGAAGGAAACCTGGAGTCCATTTTGCACATCTTGCACTGTGCCAGGCACTTTACTCACACCACCTTGTTCAGTTCTCACAGATATTCATGAGAGAGCTAGGAGGTGCCCACATTGCGAGTACCAGAACATAAGTATCAGACCCCAGTCAGCCTAACTTCAGAGTCCTCATTCTTTCCACTTCATATTGCTTTTGGAGTTATGATCAGAGTTATTAGTGTCACTTCTCCCACTTTAAAACACCTACAAATAGCCAGCCTAGAGGTTGCAGTGGGCAGATACCCCAGTTGCCATTTCCCTCCTTTCTGGATAGCCAGGGATTTCCAACTGTGTGGTGAGAGAGGACGGAGTCATCAAGTCACAGTGCTACCGTAGCCATCCCTCTCCCAGCACTGAGTGGGCTCCTTGCCATAAAGATGTGGCAGAAAACCAGTTCCTAGTGCTGCTGAATTTTTACCAGGGCAGAGGGACATAAAATTTATCTTTTTCTACATAAAAATTATTCACATGTTGGTTAGATCTTGGACCAGTCCAGAGAATACCCTTTAAAGTAGTTTAATTATAGTTCAATAATTCTTCAAAATCATTTTGTAGAGGAAACAGTATAACAGTTAAGTGCCTATCATCTGAAATCAGACTGCCTGGGTTGGAATCCTGCAACTCTGCATTTCATTAGCTATGTGATGTGTAGGGTAAGTCACTTAGCTGCTTTGTGCCTTAATTTCCCCATCTGTAAAATGGGGATAACATCAGAACCTATTTTGTAGGGTTGATGTGAAGGCTAAATTTGTTATTTCCTGTAAAGCATGTAGAATAGCACACAGTTAATACACAAATGTTAACTACAATAATTGGTTTCTGGTTATTTTCCCATTAGAATATGAGCTCCATGAAGGCAGGGGCTTGTATCTGTTTCATTTTCCGCTATATCCCCAGAATACAGAACAGTACCCTGGTGCATAGTAAGTCCTTGATAAATATTTGGTAAATGAATGAATAGAGTAAATATATATAATGAAGTTTTTGGAGGCGGTCCTGAAAACACCTAACCACATACTGAGGATTCCAAACCAACACCGAAACAGCTCTTTCCCTGGTTTAGAACTGCAGGTATAGTCATTTTCCTTGAGCAGATTAGTTCTCTTTCATGAGCCTCTGTTTTCTCACTGGTGAAAATGAGGATAATCCCACCTACTCCACAAGGTTAGTGTGAGAAGTAGATAGAAACGTGTGTAAGTCCTTTTTAAATGGAACAGCATGATGGAGAATAGTGGCCATGGCTATTGTCAGACTGTTTGAGCAGTTTGATTTCAAGATTGGCTGCATATATTCTTGAAGTTCTCATAAACACCAAATTGTTTCTGCCTTTACAGAAATTAGCTGGGAAGATGCATCTAGGAGCTCATTCCATTATTCATTACATATTAACTGAACAGTTACTTAATGTTAGGCCAAGTGCATGCAGGATAAACAAGACCAGCACAGTGCCAGCTGTCAGGGCAGTTCAGTGAAGGGGACACACACACTGTGCTGAGAGCCAGAGGGTAAAAGGAAGAGGCTCCGTGAAGAAGTGAGAATGGACGGAATCACGTGTGCAGAGACACTGAGTCGCGCTAGACACTCCAGGATACATTTGAAGCATGTTTCTCTGCTACACTGTACTGACAGTAGTAATTGTAATATGTTCATAAGTACTGCACATTTTACTCTAGAAAATTTAAAGCAAAGGCCACGCACGTGTGACTCACGCCTATAATCCCAGCACTTTGGGAGGCTGAGGCAGGTGGATCACCTGAGGTCAGGAGTTCGAGACCAGCCTGGCCAACATGGCAAAACCCCGTCTCTACTAAAAATACAAAAATTAGCCAGATGTGGTGGTGCGCGCCTATAATTCCAGCTACTCAGGAGGCTGAAGCAGGAGAATCGCTTGCACCCAGGAGGCAGGGGTTGCAGTGAGCCAAGATCGCACCACTGCACTCCAGCTTGGGTGACACAGCAAGACTGTGTCTCAAAAAAAAAAAAAAAATTCTAATAACAAAAAGCTCCTATAAGCTTATAGGGAAAAGACATAGTCAAATAGGAAAAAAGGTAAAGGAAAAAGAGATGCAGAGATGCTTCACAGGAAAAAAATGGCCATAAATGAGATTAAAACAAGATTAGGTATTCATTTTCACTCATCACTTTGGCAAAAAGTAAAATTTTTTTAGACGGAGTCTTGCTCTGTGTAAGTTTCGATCTCAACTCACTGCAACCTTCACCTTCCAGGTTCACGCAATTCTTCTGCCTCAGCCTCCCGAGTAGCTGGGACTACAGGCGCCTGCCATCACGCCGGGCTAATTTTTTTTTGTATTTTTAGTAGAGACAGGGTTTCACCATGTTCACCAGGATGGTCTCTTTATCTCTTGACCTCGTGATCTGCCCACCTCAGCCTCCCAACGTGCTGGGATTACAGGTGTGAGCCACCATGCCTGGCCCACTTTGGTAAAATTTAAGGAGTACAATGTACCGTTGATGAGGATGTGGAGAAGCAGGAACTCACACCATGCTAGTGGGACCATGATTTGCTCTATCCCTTTGGCAAAGTAATCTGGCAATGTTTATTAAAGGGCTGGACTTTGTGGCTCACGCCTGTAAATCCAGCACTTTGGGAGACCCAGCTGGGAAGATCCCTTGAGCCCAGCAGTTGGAGACCAGCCTGGGCAACATAGTGAGACCCCATCTCTACAAAAAAAAATTTAAAAATTAGCTGGTGGTGGTGCTACACGCTTATGGTCCCAGATACTCAGGATGCTGAGGTGGGACGACTTCTTGAGCCTAAGAGGTTGAGGCTGCAGTGAGCCATGATCGTGCCACTGCATTCCAGCCTGGGCGGTAGAGTGAGACCCTGTCTCAAAAAAAAAAAAAAAAGGAAAAAATTTTACAAGGTCCAGTAGTTTCTCATAGGCAATTAATGATTGATAATAGTCATAACAAGTTGTTTTATTATTTTAAATATAGATTTAAAGTTAATTTTATAATATAGATACTTAATTTCCTTTGTGAGTTCTAGTCTTCGGTTTCCAGTGGTGATTAAGGCCTCAGCAGCTCATCACATCTGTTAACCTGTAGCCAAGTACCCTCAGCAGTTAAGCTTATTATAAGAAAGTGTGTTCTATTTGTTTAACCTGTGCTATTTTCTCTTTCAGACGGGGCACTGGTGCTTTTAAATCCAGAGTGGGACTGCCTGCGCCTGCTCCTGTTATCAATAGCAAATATGGACTCAGAGAAACAGATAAACGTTTAAATAGGCTTAAAAAGTTAGGTGACAGCAGCAAAAATTCAGACAGTCAATCTGTCAGCTCTAACACTGATGCAGATACCACTCAGGAAAAAAACAATGCAAGTAAGTAAGGGAGATTTGATAAGCATATCTTTTAAAAGTATTTTCACACAATTTGCTTTATAAAGTGTGCTTCAGTAGTTTTAAACTTTTAAATACTCAGAGAGACTGGGACTTGTGAGCTTTGGCTGCACTTCAAGGCTCTAGACGTGATTTGAGTAGAGGCACAGTCTGTATCCCATCTCTAACTTCAGTACCGTCCTCTAGACTATTTTTCTTGAATACCTTGGTAACTGGATATGAGTTCTTCATCATATGTTCCAAGGTCATCATATGTTTTAAACATTTTCAAGGTGTTAGAGACTGTGATGATGTCGCTAAGTCCTGCAAGAAGACAAAAGGACTGAGTAGAATTAAATTAGACTCTATACATTCCAGTGCCTAGCCAGTTTGTTAGAAAAGATGATGGACTTGGGGAATTCATAGCTTCTGGCCTTAAGGCTTCCACCTTTTCATTGCTTGCTGACCTTTTTCAAAACGAACTGACTCAGTTCAGCAGACCACCAGTACCAGACTCAGAATTGTGATAGAGGAGCATTTTGAACAGTGCCGTATTGTGACATGCTGTATTGGCTACTCCAGAAAGTAGGAGTAAAGATGGAAAGGAGAAAGAAGCAACCTCTGAGATTCCAGTGGTGTGTGGGGGCAAGATCTGATGGAAACTGAAAAAGAGAACGAAGACTAAACAAAGAGAAAGGAAAGAGAAGAAACCCTAAATGGGCAAAGGAAAGCACATCCTGTTTGCGGAGCTTTGAAATATTGGAACCATTTCTAATTGCTCCTGTTTTTCTGGGTAACACCAGTTTTCTGTAGTTGCCACTAAAGCAGTAGACTCTTGAGTCTCACTTGTCTCTGAGAGAGACAGAAGTTAGAAAGTTTTGACTTGGCGATTCCGAAAGTATGCCTTTGTTGGCACTTAAATGTCCAGTGAGACTTCTTGGCACCTTAGAGCCCTCTGAGATACTGATTATTTTAGGTTCTTCTCCCTACTTTCAGATGTTTTCAGCCCAACACTGGGTGCTCTCTTCCACTACAGAGAATCCTGAAGAAAAGGGAAGGTGTTTCCCATGATGGTGAATGTCACTGCCATGAATTCCTGAATCTACCTGCTGCTGGGAGTCAGAGTCCAAGCATAACCCGTGTAGCATAAAAGCAGCGCTGTAGCCCTATTCCAGTCTTTTTCGTTAATGTCCAGAGTGAACAACAAGAGTTAGTCAATCATTAACTGTTGACTGTTGATTCTCATAATAAATGCAGCATAACGACCATTTGTTTTCTGAGTCTGGTTCCTTGGTGAAACTGGAGACTTGTGAAGCCCATTTTATAAATGCAGACATAAAAACACTTAAAAGCCAGGCATGGTGGCACACCTGTAGCCCCAGCTACATGGGAGGCTGAGGTGGGAGGGTCACTTGAGCCTAGGAGTTTTGAGACCTGCCTGGGCAACATAGTAAGACCTGTGTCTTTTTTTTTTTTTCTTTTGAGACGGAGTCTCGCTCTGTCCCCAGGCTGGAGTGCAGTGGCACACTCTCAGCTCACTGCAGCCTCTGCCTCCCAAGTTCAAGCGATTCTCCTGCCTCAGCCTCCCAAGTAGCTGGGATTACAGGCACGTGCCACCGCATCCAGCTAATTTTTGTATTTTTAGTAGAGACGGGGTTTCACCATGTTGTCCAGGATGGTCTCAATCTCCTGACCTCAGGTGATCCGCCTTGCCTTGGCCTCCCAAAGTGCTGGGATTATAGGTGTGAGCCACTGCACCCGGCCAGAGACCTGTGATTTTTAAACAAAAACACTTAGGTTCGTGCTGCCATCTGTATATGGAGACAGCCACAGAGTTGCCTATGTTGAATGGCTATGTGATGTAGGTGTTTTATGCTTAAGTAGTAACTTTATTACTGGTGTATAGCTACTGAACTCAATATACTACTTAGTTTAAAAGATAAGAATACAAATAATTTTTGGAAGATGTTGGGTGTACTAATATTTAACTATTAATATTTATTAAACCAAATATTTGGGAATATATATTAACAAACTAAATACTTACTGAAATCCTGCTAGTTCTTGAAGACATACAAAGATGTTTGAGACTTGGGCCCTTTCCTCAGGGAGCTTATGCCTTACTTAGCTCCAGGATAAGACAGGTGCACAAGTAAGCAGAACAAACTGGAGGCACAGGCTTTCAAGTTCAGAGGGACTGAATAATCGCTTTAAGCTGAAGTCTCAGCATTACAGAAGAAAGGTGTACATTTTGCAGGGACTGCTGATATTGGGGTGCTTGGCTTATTCAAATTCCCTTTCTGCAGCATGATTGGAGCAATCCAAGGATCAGTATGACTAACTCTGAGGTCATGGGCAGAGTGGATAGGCATGGCTCAGTGCTCTCTCTGAAGGAGCTCAAGGCTTTAGTTGTCTCTGAGACCATTGTATGTTAAGTCATGTTCACATAAGGATTTCTTGAGTTCTTACATGCGTTCTCTTAGGCTGTATTTCTTTTGGTGTTTGTCTCAGCCATCCCCTCCACCTGTCTGAAAGAAAGGTTCTGGAAGCCACATCCTGCAGGAAAGCCAGCACTGCCAGTCCCTCCTCCCAGGGTGGTGGGTGCATGTGCTGTGTATGTGTTTGCGGAGTGCTTTTTCTGTGTGGCTGCTCATCTTTATCATGTGGTTCGTTTAGAATTTAGCAGCTGACAGAGGAACTGCTTTCTTTGAACACATGTATAAAAAAATGTTCTGAGTAGTTGGAAGAAAAATTTCCATACAGGTGCTTTTTCGGAAAGTACCTTGAGAGCTATGGTGTGACTTTGCTTTAGCATCCAGAAGTAGAGACAACAAGGAATCCGTTTTCACAAATCCAGTCCACAGGTCTGAATTAGAATGCCAGGACTGGAGGATTCTGGTTTTTCAGGCCTCTTATGCCTCGCTGACTGGGCTGCCCCCTCTGAAGTTAGTGCTGTGATAGGGAAGGTGAGACCAGAGAGAGGCTCGCGAGCGGTCTGTGAAGATGCGGACACGGGTCTCTGCAGGTGCCACAAGTCAGGACAAGCCCCAGAAGAATCGGCCAGAGGGAGAAGTTGATCTTAACTATGGAGCACCTGTCCTAGATGCAGAGGCTGGGGCGCTGCTCCTCACTCCTGCCCTGTCACTCATGTCAAGAGTTGATCTGAACACTTTTCTGCTGAGCCTTCGGGCTGCTTCCAAATTCTAACACCCCGTTCCAGGTAGCCATTGGCAGTCTGTGCTAGTCATGTCAGATGAAAGCTGCTTGTGCCAAGTAAACTCCTTGAGACCGAGGTCTTTAAAGTCCTGTCAGAGGCCTTCTGGATCCTCCAGCTCTGGAGATGCTCAGCTGTGGCCCTTGTATTATCTTAGTTCACGCTGATTGTGCATTTCCAGTGCGGCCTGAGTGCTCAGGAAGGCTTTGGTGTCGGTCACAGCTCTTTTGTCTGACTGGAAGTCTTGTGCCACCCTGCCTTATGATTTTGAGGACACCCTGAAATGACCATAATAGCCATGCAGTGGGGCCTTTACCCGTAAGTTGAGGCCAACACCATAATTCTTCTGTATATGCCTTATAGGCAGCATAAGCGTGATTTTAATGCTCAGGAAGGCCTAACAAGTCCCATCTCTGCCATTCACCAGCTGGATGACCTTAGGCATGCTAGTTCGTGTAAGCTTGGTTTTCACATAGCTTTAATCGCTTTCCCTTCCAACGGCGTTCATTAGGATGAATGTGGCCATTTTGCACAGCACCTAGCATGTAGTAATTGCTGAGAAGAATGTGTACCCCCACCTAAAATTACAGTCCAGGTCCATGTATTTGAGATTTGTCCCAGCCCCTAGGGGAAGAGTCATACGAGGCATATAAGTGCCACAGCAAGCTCAAACACAGGTGCATCTGACCCCACTTAGGTCATAGTCCTTGGTTTCTTGATGGACTTTAAAATCATTGACTTTTAGTTTGTCATTGTGGCCACTGTCTTCCTCCTTTAGCCTTCACTGTCTGAAATTCTCAACCCCTGCCAGGACAGTGCAGCTTCTTTGGACAGTGAAGGACTCTTGTCACTCTACTGGGTCCTCATCTTTGTCACATTTCTCAAATTCTTTGCCTGTCTTTTTTTTCCTTTGATTTGATGAGCATACCTTTTGACAGGGCTTTTGATGAGATAATGCTTTTCAAACAAAATTAGAATACATTGGTAACATGTAAGTGAAATCTCTGTGTTGATGTAATACATAGCATCAAATACATACCCATTTTGTGCTCAAAAATGGAGCGTTTATGTTAGTTTAGAGACAAACACATAAAAGTGCTTTGGTTTTCTGTTGTCAACAGTGAATGTTTTGGAAGGAGGGATGGGATGGGGAGAGCCGAATTCAGAATCACCATAAAATGGGAGTCAT
The DNA here is from genome assembly GCF_000001405.40 of Homo sapiens. Taxonomy (NCBI): domain Eukaryota; kingdom Metazoa; phylum Chordata; class Mammalia; order Primates; family Hominidae; genus Homo; species Homo sapiens. The sequence continues at coordinate 68,162,581 of NC_000011.10, read as the reverse complement.
CCAACGGGTGAAAATAAGAAGTACCAAGGAAGGAGCTTCTTGGGTGCTGTGAGAAGACATAGGAAAGGCATTGCAGAGAAAGTCCCGAGAGGCTCCCTCAGGGAGGTGTTGCCTAAGCTGAGTCTTACAGGGGGATGAGAAGTTGGCCAAGTGAAGCCTATTCAAAGCAGAGGGCCTTTCAGACAGCTCTATAGACAGAGGGGAGTTTGAGTCAAAGCTTTTCTTCATGGCGAGTACAGGCTAAGAAGAAGAGATGTGAGCACAGGTTAAAATTCTAGACTTCATTCTTAGGGCATTAGGTTGCTGAAAGGTTTAAAGCCCAGAAGCTGCATGATACACTAGGAAAGTCATCCTGGCTATGTGGTGGTAAACGGATTGTTGGGAAAACAATAGGAAAAACAAAACTGCCATAGTTCATGCAGGAGGCTGTGGCTTTCGAGACAGGGAAGAGTAGACAGGTTGCAGTGACATTGCAGGGGTGGACTCCACGGCACATGGTGATTGGCTTGGTGAGGCAGTTCAGGAGAGCAGGAGTCAAGGAGGACCTCCAGCTTTCTGCTTTGGCAGCTGGGCATGTGGTGGTGATATTGACCAAGATGGAGACCTCGAAAGGGGACGTCGTCAGGAGACTTGATGGTGAGTTCCATTTAGGGGCTTAGAGACAGTCAGTATTTGGTGACCTGGTTCTGTAAGTTAGGAGCGGGTCTGGCCAGAGTTCGGGAACTGTCAGCCTGTAAGTGGTAATAGCCGTGCGAGAATGGGTGCTTGTCACCTGGGGCCTAGGACTACACAGACCTGAAGAAGAACAGTCTAAGGGGCCGATGAAGGAGGGTGCCAGGGATGGAGAAGGGAACCAGGAGAGTGCGCTCTCTTTGACAGCCAAGAGAAGAAAGGTTTTCTCAAGAAAAAGTGGTTATCAGTGTCACATTCAGAGAAATGAAGAAAGGGAAGGGCTGAGGAGTGTGTGCTGGGTTTGACGACAAGAAGTTGTCAGATCACCAAAGGCTGTCTCATTGGAGGAGCAGGCTGGATCCAGATGGCGGGGATTGCTGTTGAGAATATGACATAGATGTGAGTGTTGTGTAAGGGTGCTTGCAGGTACGTCATGAGAGTGGAATGGAAAGAGGAGAAATCAAAGGTTGGAAACCACTAAGTTTGGTCATAAATTAGTCCTTGAGGAGGCATAGAATGAGCAAAGGATCATCGTAGCCACATCTGAGAGAGCCAAGCAAAGGGAAGCCAAGCAGTGCAGTCCTTTCTTCACTAGTGTCTTTATATTGGCAGCACGTCCATTCAGTCCACCTTGTAGGCAAGCATAAAGAAACCCTTTAGCCGAAGAGTTCCCTATTTTTTCTTATTTTCTAAATTTCTTATTAAAAAAAAATTTGCTATCACATAGTTCTGTATAGTTCCAGTGGATAATAAATCACTCGTTCTCAAATTGAATCACATTCAAAGTTCACTACTCCTACTATTCTAAAAAGAGGCGCCACCTTGGTAGCAGCCCACATGTGTAAGTATGTTCTTGTTTCAAACTGTGAATCCCTTTGCTGTGAATTCTGCTGGTTTATGTACCCTGAAGCCATTTATGAGCCAGTCTGTGCGTGCAGGACCTTCTTTGTTTTTGTTTTTCTGAGAGGAAGTTTCACTCTTGTCACCCAGGCTGGAGTACAATCGTGCGATTTTGGCTCACTGCAAACTCTGCCTCCCAGGTTCAAGTGATTCTCCTGCCTCAGCCTCCCCAGTAGCTGGGATTACAGGCACGTACCACCGTGCCCGACTAATTTTTGTATTTTTAGTAGAGACAGGGTTTCACCATATTGGCCAGGTTGGTCTCGAACTCCTGACCTCAGGTGCAGAGCCTTCTATTCTTGGTGGTTTGATATTTTTGGAATGTTGTGATGCATTCTTGCTCCTCTCTCAATAAAAACTGAACTTATGGTAACTTACTTGCTTAGCTGGGCGGAAGGAATGGCAGTTGCCCTGGCAACCTGAGGCATGTAGAAAGCGACAGATTTCTCTGCAGGATCCTGGTCCTCACTTGGTTGGGCAGTGTGCTGAGCTTACCCATGTTTTATTGTTTTTATCCTCCCTGTTCTGATGAGAGGTGGTGATGATTCGTTTTGTTATCGTGGCTTCTCTAGTGAATCTGTAAATGGAGTGTTTTGATTAGGAAGAAGTTTTTCAACTGGACCTGCAAGAACTAAGTAATTGAGAAACTGACTTGTGTAACAACTTCTATAAATAATAGTCTGGAATGTCAATACAGAGGAAAAATTAACATAGCAGAAAGTCAGTGGCAAGGTCAGAGACACTACAGGAGCAGCTTAAGCTTGAGTCACAAATGAAGCCTTTTGAGAAGCCATTCAACTTTATTCTTTATATTGACAGCACGTCTATTCGATCCACCTTGTAGGCAAGCCTCGTAAGCATAAAGAAATTCTGTAGCAAAAGAATTATCTAAATATCCTTATATTTTAAAAAATATTTTCTACCTAGTAGTTCTGTATAATTCCAGTGGATAAGAATACGCTCATTCTCAAATGGAATCATATTCATCACTACTCAGGTTGTCATTACCATTAGGGTCATTGTAACCCTTTTCTATCCTGGCCTTGGAGGAAAGAAGTTGGATCTCCCTTTGTCCTGAGAGTGTACAATTCTAGCAGCGTGCATCTTCCTTCACTGTGATTGTTGGCATCTGGCCGTCACTGAAGGGATGGGGCTGAGTAAGCTTTGCAGCTCTTCTAAGTTGACAGCCCACTGGTTGCCTCTTCTGTTCCTCACGGAGTTGAAGGGGACAACTTAGAATAGTGCATTTCTTTTTCGGTAGTGACTGTACTTTTCAGAGTGATAATATATGGTTCTTAGCATCTGTTTTTCTTGTTTGAAACCATTGCGATAGAATTTGTTCCTTAGAGCCCATGAGTATTCTATTTCTACTCTATGTTAATGGCCAAGTGCTGTACTTCCTTTAGGTTAATGAGCAATGGATTTTAGAAACATTTTAAATGACTAAGGAGAATCTGTGAAAGGAAAAAACCATGTTAACTTTCTTTGAAATCTTTTATGTGGGAAACTACTAAATCAGGAGAAGAAAGCGTTCGTTTGGGCCAGTGTCACGACAGATTAAGAAGCTTAGAGTGGAATCTAGGTCCCTGCTGTGAAAAGCTCCTTAACCGTGCAACTACTTACCTCAAAAATGAATAGATGCCCCATAAATTAGAAAAGAACTTCAAAGAGAAGCAGTGTAGGGAATGCAGGTGCGCTGGCAGAATCTGCAGCAGGAGCCGTGGTGTTGGCGTTTGTGTAATCTAAACGTGCTGTAGCTAATAGCCTGGGTTTGGGCATTCTTTTCTTGAACTCTGCTGTTACCAAGGCTTTTCACCTTTTTCTCTTTAACCTTACAGCTTCTAACCGAAAATCTTCAGTTGGCGTAAAAAAGAATAGCAAGAGCAGAACGTTAACGAGGCAATCTATGTCAAGAATTCCAGCTTCTTCCAACTCTACCTCATCTAAGCTAACTCATATAAATAATTCCAGGGTACCAAAGAAACTGAAGAAGCCTGCAAAGCCTTTACTTTCAAAGATAAAATTGAGAAATCATTGCAAGCGGCTGGAGCAAAAGAATGCTTCAAGAAAACTCGAAATGGGAAACTTAGTACTGAAAGAGCCTAAAGTAGTTCTGTATAAAAATTTGCCCATTAAAAAAGATAAGGAGCCAGAGGGACCAGCCCAAGCCGCAGTTGCCAGCGGGTGCTTGACTAGACACGCGGCGAGAGAACACAGACAGAATCCTGTGAGAGGTGCTCATTCGCAGGGGGAGAGCTCGCCCTGCACCTACATAACTCGGCGGTCAGTGAGGACAAGAACAAATCTGAAGGAGGCCTCTGACATCAAGCTTGAACCAAATACGTTGAATGGCTATAAAAGCAGTGTGACGGAACCTTGCCCCGACAGTGGTGAACAGCTGCAGCCAGCTCCTGTGCTGCAGGAGGAAGAACTGGCTCATGAGACTGCACAAAAAGGGGAGGCAAAGTGTCATAAGAGTGACACAGGCATGTCCAAAAAGAAGTCACGACAAGGAAAACTTGTGAAACAGTTTGCAAAAATAGAGGAATCTACTCCAGTGCACGATTCTCCTGGAAAAGACGACGCGGTACCAGATTTGATGGGTCCCCATTCTGACCAGGGTGAGCACAGTGGCACTGTGGGCGTGCCTGTGAGCTACACAGACTGTGCTCCTTCACCCGTCGGTTGTTCAGTTGTGACATCAGATAGCTTCAAAACAAAAGACAGCTTTAGAACTGCAAAAAGTAAAAAGAAGAGGCGAATCACAAGGTATGATGCACAGTTAATCCTAGAAAATAACTCTGGGATTCCCAAATTGACTCTTCGTAGGCGTCATGATAGCAGCAGCAAAACAAATGACCAAGAGAATGATGGAATGAACTCTTCCAAAATAAGCATCAAGTTAAGCAAAGACCATGACAACGATAACAATCTCTATGTAGCAAAGCTTAATAATGGATTTAACTCAGGATCAGGCAGTAGTTCTACAAAATTAAAAATCCAGCTAAAACGAGATGAGGAAAATAGGGGGTCTTATACAGAGGGGCTTCATGAAAATGGGGTGTGCTGCAGTGATCCTCTTTCTCTCTTGGAGTCTCGAATGGAGGTGGATGACTATAGTCAGTATGAGGAAGAAAGTACAGATGATTCCTCCTCTTCTGAGGGCGATGAAGAGGAGGATGACTATGATGATGACTTTGAAGACGATTTTATTCCTCTTCCTCCAGCTAAGCGCTTGAGGTTAATAGTTGGAAAAGACTCTATAGATATTGACATTTCTTCAAGGAGAAGAGAAGATCAGTCTTTAAGGCTTAATGCCTAAGCTCTTGGTCTTAACTTGACCTGGGATAACTACTTTAAAGAAATAAAAAATTCCAGTCAATTATTCCTCAACTGAAAGTTTAGTGGCAGCACTTCTATTGTCCCTTCACTTATCAGCATACTATTGTAGAAAGTGTACAGCATACTGACTCAATTCTTAAGTCTGATTTGTGCAAATTTTTATCGTACTTTTTAAATAGCCTTCTTACGTGCAATTCTGAGTTAGAGGTAAAGCCCTGTTGTAAAATAAAGGCTCAAGCAAAATTGTACAGTGATAGCAACTTTCCACACAGGACGTTGAAAACAGTAATGTGGCTACACAGTTTTTTTAACTGTAAGAGCATCAGCTGGCTCTTTAATATATGACTAAACAATAATTTAAAACAAATCATAGTAGCAGCATATTAAGGGTTTCTAGTATGCTAATATCACCAGCAATGATCTTTGGCTTTTTGATTTATTTGCTAGATGTTTCCCCCTTGGAGTTTTGTCAGTTTCACACTGTTTGCTGGCCCAGGTGTACTGTTTGTGGCCTTTGTTAATATCGCAAACCATTGGTTGGGAGTCAGATTGGTTTCTTAAAAAAAAAAAAAAAATGACATACGTGACAGCTCACTTTTCAGTTCATTATATGTACGAGGGTAGCAGTGTGTGGGATGAGGTTCGATACAGCGTATTTATTGCTTGTCATGTAAATTAAAAACCTTGTATTTAACTCTTTTCAATCCTTTTAGATAAAATTGTTCTTTGCAAGAATGATTGGTGCTTATTTTTTCAAAAATTTGCTGTGAACAACGTGATGACAACAAGCAACATTTATCTAATGAACTACAGCTATCTTAATTTGGTTCTTCAAGTTTTCTGTTGCACTTGTAAAATGCTACAAGGAATATTAAAAAAATCTATTCACTTTAACTTATAATAGTTTATGAAATAAAAACATGAGTCACAGCTTTTGTTCTGTGGTAACCTATAAAAAAAGTTTGTCTTTGAGATTCAATGTAAAGAACTGAAAACAATGTATATGTTGTAAATATTTGTGTGTTGTGAGAAATTTTTGTCATAAGAAATTAAAAGAACTTACCAGGAAGGTTTTTAAGTTTAGAAATATTCATGCCAATAAAATAGGAAATTATAAATATATAGTTTTAAGCACTGCATCAGTGGGAGTTCTTGGCTTATGTTAGTTTATGTTAGTTTATTATGAAAACATCAAAGATTTTTTTGACTATATTATCAGTTAAACAAAAAGGAGTCAGATTTAATTTGTTTTTTGAAGCACTTTGAGAAATTAATTTTAATTAACTTAATGAGCAAATTTTTATTACTACTTTATGTTCAATACCAGGTTCTTTTCATTTCTCTGGATTATTTTGCAAATCATTGGACAGAGAATTTGGGAATATAAATCTGTAACAGGTGTTTGACACCAGTAGGTCTCTTTATTTCTGGGAAATGTGTACCTGTACTTTCTGATATACAGTGTTCCTAAGTAAAAATCAATTCAGGGGATTTGTATAGTGTCTATAGGAAAGTAGCCCATGTCTTGAAATATGAAAAGGAATCTGAAGGTCATGAAAAGTCCAGTGGAGAAAATCTCAATGCTTACTGTTACTACTAATTGATTCCTACTAGTTTCCAGGTTTGGGGGGATATTGTTTCAATGACGCTCCTTAAGACTGTTGATTGCCCATAGGTTCCAAATAGAAATTAAGACTCATGAACATTTTTAGAAAGTAGATTGTTTTCTCCTGGTTCTCTAAGGAACTACTTCTGCAGTCTTACATAGTCTCATCCTTGTTTGTTGTGGTGCAGTCGAACTCCTCAGGCGTTTGGAAAGCATGTGGTAGACCTTCTTCCACACCCACCCATACCCCCGTTCACTGCGTCTGGAGGTCTTCAACAGTGAAGTAGGGCAGCCCACACAGCCTCTCAGGAGCACCTGTCCGAGGCACCCGGAGCACTTTGCAGAGCACGTCCAGCCCTCATGGGGTCCCTGCATAGAAATGTGAACCCCTGCCACTGAGGAAGATGAAGGTAGACCCTGTGTCTGGAGGTGCTGGAGGGCAGCGGGTCACCTCTTGTATTCCCACCTTAGTTTGGGGTGTTTTGAAGAGGTTCAGAGACTAAATCTTAAACCTTATTTGAATACCAACGATAGCTATTTTGGGAATTTCGATCTTAAAAAGTGACAAAACACATTTCCCATTTTCATTTTTCAGCTGAATTTTAGTAACTTATTTTTGATGTTTTAATTTTATCATGGCCTCCTCTTTGGAGGCCAACCTTCCCATGGGTCTCAAAGCAGTGACATTTGGTAGTAAATCACTGCCTCTCAGGAGTCGGTATGCACAAGCACTCAGCAGCCACTGTTGATGCCTTCTAGGGAAACCTAATTTCCGTTGGTAAAGGTAGGGGCCTCGGAACTGTTCCGGATCTGCTGTAGAACTTCACCGTGTGGAATGGTGACAGCCACACACCGTTGACCAGTTTAGAAGAGGTTGCATTCAATAAAACTCTTAGCTTGAGCTTATGCAATGATTGGTTAAGATTTTGGCATTGTAAGAATTAGGAGATGATCATAGAAATATATGTAAAGTATTCAATTTTCAATCATTTTCAAATTACTGTTATAAATTGTTTTTGCTGAGTTGTAATACTTTTGAGATACAATGTATTCCTTGTACTGAAAGAATGAAAAAGGACTTTTTCAGCATTTGAGGTAAGTTCTTTAACGTTTCATTAAAAACATTTTTTACAAATATTTTGTACATGCACTTGCAGTATTGAGGTTAATCATTTTAATAAATTCGGAAATTAAAACAATTTGGCCGGTGTTCACTGTATCTGAAAAGAAAAAAAAAAGATCAAAGTGGTGACTTTCTCCACAAAATTTTCATGTAAAACAATTTGTAAAATCAATTTCTAAAGCTTTTCAATACCTGTGAGTGTTGAGTTCTCTGGGCCCTGGTCTCTTGTGTCTGGTGCCACTCATTTTTAAGAGAAGAGAGGGTAAACATACATTCTTCTTTTAGTAGGGAGACTAAACTACATACCTTCCTAGTCCTTGAACCCAAGAAATGTTTGCCCTCAACATGGAGCACAATAACATCGAAGGCTTTTGCAACCCAAATGCATTAATAGTTCCTGATTACTTGGAGTTGTTTTTTTCCCCCCTCTCCGTATTGGTCAAAGTTAGCATACTCATGACTGGCCTGGGTCCTTTTTTCACCCATTTACTGTTGAAATATGACTGTACAGGAGAGAGGAAACCTGCAACATCTGAGTATCCCTGAGCAAGCTGCTTAATCTCCACATCTCTTTCCTGGCACCCAGCATCATTCTGTGCCGGAGATCAGTGTGGACGCCTGGTCCCGTCATCAGTTAAGTTTCTGGTTGAGCTGCATTCACTCATGAGGATAATCTGGGTGAGTGCTGCACACACGGGACTAGTCAAGTATTGATTATTGATTTTTCCTAATTGATTGAAGTATCCACCCAAACTTGGGTTCCCAGTATAGAAAAAGGCTAAGCGTGGCATGTCTGTTAAGTACTTAGGAGTCTTGTTCAGCATCTCAGGTTTTCTCTCTACTCTTCCAATAGCCAATGGTAGCTAACTTGCCGGGAGCCCTTGTGTGACTCGTTTCTCAAATGTCAACTTTCTGTCACTGACCTGCTGCACCGTTGCGTACTCTGCTGCAGAACCCAGTCGCACCCAGAGCAGAGTACAAGCAAGTTGCCAGCTCCAGGGCACTCCCTGTGACTATGGCACGTGTGACCCTCGCATGCAAAGGAAGGTGAGGTTTACTCCCTCCCTGATGTCCTAGAGCACATGGGCATTACTTGTGTTTGCTAATGATAGAGCCCAGGGGAAAAGGAAATTTATTGATTTAGAGACGGAGTCTCACTCTGTTGCCCAGGCTGAAGTGCAGTGGCACAATCTTGACTCACTGCAACCTCCACCTCCCAGGTTCAAGCGGTTCTCCTGCATCAGCCTCCCAAGTAGCTGGGACTACAGGCGCCCGCCACCATGCTGGGTTAATTTTTGTATTTTTGGTAGAGATGGAGTTTAACCATGTTGGCCAGGCTGGTCTTGAACTCCTGACCTCAAGTGATCTGCCCATCTCAGCCTCCCAAAGTGCTGGGATTACAGGCATGAGCCACCATGCCCGGCTGAAAAGTAAATTTGGATTCTTCCAAAAGGGTACCAGGGATTGCTAGGGGCAGTGTGTGTGAATGGCCAAGACTGGGAAAGGGGGTCGCTCACTAACACTGCCTCCACCATCTGCCACTTATTTTCTCCCAGGCCGTTAAGCTTAACACATATTCATGGAAACTGTTGTAAAGCTGCTAATCTGGAGGACAGAAGACAGACGCAGGCCCGTAGAGATTGCTTTGGTAATGTTCTGAAAAAGCCAGATCTGTTGCCAGATCCCGCGTCCTCCTTGCCAGGTTTGTGGGGTTTTCAGCTGACTTGCAGTAAACAGTGACTTAGGTCTTTTTGGGGCAGCCCACCTTGTTGAGTCTACTCTGGCTGAAGGGAGGCAGAGCGCTGCTGGGCCTGCTCAGGCACACCAGACCGCTGGAACCAGTGTGAGGCCCTGAGCAGCTGGGGCCCAGTGTGGCAGGAGTGAAGGTGCACTTCCGTGTTGTTTGAGCACCTAGTACGTTCTTGGGGTTTGGAGCAGGGAACAAGATTTGAATCTTCAATGTGGGGTAAAATCAAAGCCATGAGAGTGGGTGTCTTGGTCTCTTTGTACTGCTATCACAATATCACAGACTGGGCAATTTAGAACCAATAGACGTTTGTTTGGTTCATGGTTCTGGAGGCTGGGAAGTTCAAGATGGAGGGGCCGATTCTGGCGAGGAAGACCTTTCTGCTGCATCGTCCCGTGCTGCAGAGAGGGGAAGGGGCTTGACTTCTATTGGGAGCCCACTCCCACGATAATGGCATTAATCCATTCATTCATGAGGCAGGGCCTTCATGACCGAATTGCCTCTTAGACCCCACTTCTCAACACACTGTTGCACTGGGGGCTGAGTTTCCAGCATGAACCTGGGGCCATGCTCAGACCACAGCAGTGAGCTAGCCTAGGGAGCTGGCTGAGGGCAGCCCCTGCACCCACCCTCACTGAGGCCTGGGGGCGGCAGGAAAGGCTGCTCCCCCGCTGTTGGTCCTCGACTTCGGAGAGCTGAGCTTAGGTCAGTGCTTCAAGGAAGAGCCGGATGGGTTGAGAGGGTGGAGGCAAAGTTTGTGAAGGAGGAACGAGAGAGGATGACCACTGGGAAGGGAGGAGGTTCATTTCATTAATAGGAGACCCAAGTTGAATCTTGGAGGCGGGGAGCTTGCATAGTAAGTGTGTTCTGAGAAAGAAAGTGAAGGAGTTACTTGGAGTAGGGCCTCAGGGGGGTCTTCAGAGAGTAGATCCGTCTTCCTTCCAGGAGGAAAAGAGGATTTGGGATGTGGTGAGGGAGCCAGTCCAGAGTGAGGTTTTCTCTTGTCTGGTAAGTAGGAGGCAGATGAGAGTGAAGACAGGAGGGCCAGGAGGTTTGAGGAGTAAGAAGGAGGTTTGAAATTGAGAATGGGAAAGCATGCTGACTGTAGAAACCTAGTTATCATTCATTAAAGAAATATCTACTCATCACTTTCAAGGTACCAGGTCAGTGTCCTGAGCCCAGGCTGGTGGCCAGCACTTCCCTGCACAGGTGTGAGCCTCTCAGGCACACGTGGGCCTTTACCCAGGTGGAGACCACAGAAGACAGCAGGGCTGGGGGCCCTAGGGTTCAGGTTGGCAGGAGAAGGGGTTGCATGAGAAGCCGTGCATACCTGCAGGTTAGGGAAGAAAAGGCAAGTCTGTGAGCTGAGTGGGTCACTAGACAGGTGAAGGTGGAGGTGTTTGAATCCTGGAGGCTCCCTGTGGGCAGAGGACTGCCAAGCATTGGAGCAGTAAGCAAGTGTGGAGGGCAGGCGGAGAACAGGCGCTCAGAGCTCTGGAGGGGCCACACTTTCCTGTGAGAACAAGGTCCTAGTCGGGACCCTGGTAGTGGAGTGGTCACAGTTGTGAGAAATCATGGCATGGGTCACCCAAGAGGATGGCAGACAACCTTCATGGTGGGCCTCCAGTGGACTTCCAGTGAGTGCAGGCTTCTGGGGCTCAGGGAACAAAGCAACATGCCTTGGGGGGCTACCACACTCCATACAGGGAGCCATACAGAAACTGGGCCTGTGGGGAAACGAACGGGGAATACCCCACTCAGGGTGGTGGTGCTCTGGGGCCTTAATAAACAAGGAAATCGGCCTGCCTGAGATTGTGCAGCTGGTGGCAAGTGACAGAGGCAGACATTAACCCCAGGCTCCAAGGCACCAGCTTGTTTTTTGTTTTTGTTTTGTTTTTTTGAGACAGGGTTTCACTCTGTCACCCGGGCTGGAGTACGGTGGTGTGACCATGCCTCACTGTAGCCTTGACCTCCCAGACCTGAGCAATCCTCCTGCCTCAGCCTCCTGCTGAGTAGCTGGAACAACAGGTGCGCACCACCATGCCCCACTAATTTTTTTACTTTTTGTAGAAACGGGCTTCTCCCTATATTGCCCAGGCTCATCTCAAATATCTAGAGAGCACAGGTAAGGACCACAGAGCTGCCAGTGTTCCAGAGACCCCCAGCCCCAGCTGCGCAGCCCCACCTTTGCCAGGGTGATTCTGAAAGTCTCTGTCTCCTCGGCATTCCTGTGGGTCTACTTGGGAGGCTGAGGCTGGAGGATCACTTGAGCCCAGGAGTCCAGCCTGGGCAACATAGCAAGACCGATCCATCTCTTTAAAAGAAAAAAAAGGCCGGGCACGGTGGCTCACGCCTGTAATCCCAGCACTTTGGGAGGCCGAGGCAGGCAGATCATGAGGTCAGGAGATCGAGACCAAACTGGCTAACACGGTGAAACCCTGTCTCTACTAAAAATACAAAAAATTAGCCAGGTGTGGTGGCACACGCCTGCAGTCCCAGCTACTTGGGAGGCTGAGGCAGGAGAATCGCTTGAACTTGGGAGGCGGAGGTTCCAGTGAGCCGAGATCACGCCACTGCACTCCAGCCTGGTGACAGAGCGAGACTCTGTCTCAAAAAAAAAAAAAAAAAAAAAAGAATCCCTATGGGCGAAAAATAGGAATCATTGCTTTCTACCCACTTTCCATGCAGTTATGTGGGGCCAGGAGAAGTCTGTCTAAAGATTATGCCCCAGATAAGTGGGGTGATCCACGCCCACTGTCAAATATGCTTAGGGAGCTTGAAAAGTGGGAGAGGTGCCACTGCCCAAAGCACGGGCTCCTAGGAAGCCACAGGTGTTTGCTGGCCCTCAGGCACTCCATGGGGGCAGGCCTCTTGTTATCTGAAAGGGTGAGTCAAACTGGAGGGGAGCGGAGCATGCCTAGAGACAGCAAAGGAAGTCCGAGGTTTCCTCCAGCCAGGCAGGCTGCTGGACTTGACGATTAGTGTTTTTTTCGTTTTGTTTTGTTTTTCCTGTCTTTCTTTCTTTTTTTTTTTTTTTTGAGACAAGGTCTTGCTTTGTTGCCCAAGATTGGAGTGCAGTGGTGAAATCTTGGCTCACTGCAGCCTCGACCTCCTGGGTTCAGGCGATCCTCCCACCTCAGTCTCCCAAGTAGCTGGGACCACAGGCACAGACCACCACACCCAGCTAATTTTCTGTATTTTTAGTAGAGATGGGGGTGGGGGCCGGGGTCTCACCATGTTCCCTAGGCTGGTCTTGAACTCGTGACCTCAAGTGATCCACCCACCTCGGCCTCTCAAACTTCTGGGATTACAGGTGTGAGCCAGCATGCCCAGCCTGGACTTGGTGATTTTAATAGCGACTTGACAGAAATGTCATCCGGGGCAAAGGAATAACTGCATTTGATGAGGAGAAGGTTTCTTGTGTTATTCTCTAAATTATTACTGTGATTCCCCTCAGGACAAGTGTTTTCTCTCATGGGGCAGAGGCTGGAAGCTATAATTACATGAATGGGAAGCAGGGTTCTATTTACCGAAAGGCAATTTACATCTCATAAGCACGTCTGCAAAGCACGTTACACTTTTGCCACTCTTCATGAGTGTGGTTACTCCCTGAGCAGCAGGCCGGGGTCAGGTAATTTTGATTTCATCACACCAGCCTCAGTGGGGATGGCAAGTTGAGCACTGATAGAACGTGACTGGAAGCTACAGGCCAGGAGTCTTGGACTTAGCTGTTCTCCAGAGTGACTCTTCTTTTTCCTTTTTTTTTTTTTTTTTTTTTTTGAGACAGAGTCTCACTCTGTCGCCCAGGCTGGAGTGCAGTGGCACGATCTTGGCTCATTGCAACCTCCACCTCCTGGGTTCAAGCGATTCTCATGCCTCAACCTCCCGAGTAGCTGGAATTACAGGCGCCTGCCACTACACCCGGCTAATTTTTATGCTTTTAGTAGAGAAAGGGTTTCACCGTGTTGGCCAGGCTGGTCTCAAACTCCTGACCTCAAGTGATCCACCCACCTTGGCCTCTCAAAGTGCTGGGATTACAGGTGTGAGCCACTGCGCCCGGCCCAGAGTGACTCTTCTATACACAAAACTCTAATTTCCTCCTCTTGCTAGTCAAACCATGTTTTTCTTCTGCGGTAAGCGGCAAGCTGGGGAGGCTGAGCTAGGTGTGGTGGCACATGACTGTCATCCAAGTGGACCAGAGTTGACTCAGGCACCCACTTGGCCTGGGGCAAGGTTGGGGGGCACCTGCCCTGCCTCACTTGTTCCCAAACCTCAGATTTGTAACTTGTAAAGCAGAGGGAGTGAAAGCGCTCTGGGTTTGTTGAGGATTCAGCAGGAGAGTGCCCATCGTGCCCTTCACATGGGTCTGGCACCCAAGTCAGTTGGTACCCGTGTCCTGCCTCAACAGTCTGTGGGTGCACCCCAGACACCTCATGCGCCCTGCTCTGCCCCTAACCTCTGCCCTCCTCAGCTGACACCTGCTCAAACTGCCTTCATTACAACCTTCTCCAGCTCAGCTGCGTACTCAGACGATCCTGGATCCCGGTTCTATTTTCCCCTGGCTGATGCCCCTCTGTCAGTCAGGCCGCCTCTGTTTACCCGAAACCTCCGCTCCACCCCCGGGCCTCTCCTCCTTCCAAGGCAGTCTCTCTGCAGTCAGCTGCTCCCCTGACAGCCTTCCCTATTTGAGTGCCGAATAACGGCTGGTCACTCAAAAGGCACAGGGGATATGGGGGTGATTGAAACCCACTCCTTTCCCTCCAGGGAAACACACACGAACATCAGTAAAATGTGGTAATTGCCAGGATGCATGTGTGGAAGAAGCGTGGCAGGAGGACCAAGGAGAGTGCCCCCTGTTTCTGCTGGGGAACCAAGCAAAGCAGGCTTCATGGAGGAGGTAAAATTAAGAAGGGTCCTGAGAGATGAATAGGAGTTCATAAGCCCAAAGGGCAGAGGCGGTGGACACCTGCAAAGTCCTGGAGACATGGAAGGACAGGGTGTCTTATGGAAAGGAGGGTGAGAAGTTCAGCGTGGCCAGTCCAGAAAGTTTAAAAGGGGATGATAGCTGGCCGGACGTGGTGGCTCATGCCTATAATCCCAGCACTTTGGGAGGCTGAGGCGGGTAGGAGATCGAGACCATCCTGGCTAACATGGTGAAACCCTGTCTCTACTAAAAATACAAAAAATTTGCCAGGCGTGGTGGCGGCCGCCTGTAGTCCCAGCTCCTCAGGAGGCTGAGGCAAGAGAATGGTGTGAACCCGGCAGGCGGAGCTTACAGTGAGCCCAGATCGTGTACTCCAGCCTGGGCGACAAAGCGAGACTCCACCTCAAAAAACAAAAAAAAGGGATGATAGCTGAGGACCATTGACCTTAGGAGATGGGGGCATCTGCCTCTAGGTGAGGGCCCTGATCAGCACCCTAGGGGCACATTCTGTCTTCACCACCTCCTGATTTTGCAGCGTCTCCTATCTGAGCCTTAGTTTCTGCTCTGTAAAATGGAGATGATAATAGTACCCAACTCACTAAGGATGAAATAAAACAGCAAAAGATGCGTGAGCACCACGTCGGGTGCGTGGTAAGCATTCGGTAACTGTTAGCAGCTTTTGTTATTTCCTGGAATCTAATAGCAAAGCCTGTACTTTTCTACTGGCTTCAACTAATCAGCCCCAGCCCCAGCCCAGCCCTCCAACTTCCTCCTGGCCCCCAGCCCCAAGTGTGGCCCAACCATTCCAGGGCTGGGTGTCTTCCCAGAGCAGAGAGATCCAGGCCTCCCACTGTACAGAGAGGCAGGGACAGTGACTTGCTTGGGGACACACAGTGAGCAGGAGCAGGGGTAGCCCGGGCTTGAACCCAGGGCAGTAGCTGCCCTTCCCTGACTGTTGGCTGTGGCAGGCAGTGCCCCGGAAGGGCTGCTCTGGGCTTTGAGCCAGCAGCAGCCCAGCCAGCAAGGAGGTGGCCGCTATTGACAGATGATAACACGTGTTTGTTTAGCTAGAGCCACTCACCAAAGGGGCGTTCAACTCCCTGCAGCAGGGAGCTGAGCTTGAGGCCAGAGTCTTTCTGCCCTTCCTCACTGACACCCACAAGGGCTGCTCTGGCCTTAGAGATCGCCTGGCTGGAAACTCACAACTGTGTGTCTCCTGGATGTTTGGGAACATGAAAATCCAACAAGGTTCCACATCGCTGCTCCTGGGCGGAGTAGCCCGAGGCTCCAAGTGGGACAGCAGTCCCCAGTGTCCCCCAGCCTACCAGCTCTACCACATGGGGTGCTCCAGGCTGGGGACCCCTGGGAGGCCCTGAGGAGTGGTGGCTTGAAGAAGTGGGGGTGCTGCTGGTCGGTGGTCTCAGCGCTCCCCTGGGTTATGAAGGTCTTTGCACTTGCTTCTCCCTCTGCCTGGGACCCCCTCTTTGCCCCACCCGCTCAGGTCTCTTTGTAGATGTCACCTCCCAAATCTTCCCTCACCCCTCACTGCCATCCCGGGGCTTCCCTCCCCTTAGCCCTGAGCCCTCCAGCCACATGGAGTCCTTGGAGCCAATGTCAGGCTGATGGGGAAGGAGCTTCTTCTCTGGGAAAGCAGCCCCCAGAGACTCCAGCCTCCATAATGCGGCAGGATTCAGGTCACCCTGAAGTCAAAACCTCAGGTTGCCAGCCGCTGTCAGAGCCCCTGGGCCAGTCCAGACCCCTCCCACCTGCGGAAGCATGGAGCCCAGGAGGCCATGTTGGGCAAACAGGCTGTGCCCAGACAGTGCCCCAAGACCAACTCATCACACCCAGTGAGTCCTGGCAGAGAAGGAGCCAGAAGCCGGGGACAGAGCTTTCTCTGGGTTGGGCAAACGACGTGGTGTGAGGTCTGAGCAGCGTCTGGCTTCAACCTGCTGCTGCCACAGGCTGTGTGCCAAGAGAGGTCAGGGGACTGGCAAGAAACGAACTGTCCTCGGGCTGGCCCTCTGCCTACTTCCTGGTATAGAACACCCCGCCCCGGGGGTTCCCACGCGGCCCTGAGGGCTGGGCCCCAACAGCACAAAGCTCAAAAACCCAGCCTCCCAAGGCGGGCGGATCACCTGAGGTCAGGAGTTCAAGACCAGCCTGCCCAACATGGCAAAACCCCGTCTCTACTAAAAATACAAAAAATTTGCTGAGTGTGGTGGTGGGCACCTGTAATCCCAGCTACTTGGGAGGCTGAGGCAGGAGAATCACTTGAACCCAGGAGGCGGAGGTTGCAGTGAGCCAAGATCGCGCCATTGCACTCCAGCCTGGGTGACAGAGTGAGACTTCGTCTCAAAAAAAAACACAAAATACCAGCCTCATCCAGCTTAAAGGGCCAGCCTCCCCCGACTGCCTTTGCACAGCCAAGAAATACAGAGAGGGAAACTGAGGCTCAGTGACGGGCCAAGCGTGTGTGTCAGGCAGGGGCAGAGCTGGCACGAGGCCCCATCTCTCCTCCAGACGAGAAGGGAAAGTGTGCTTTGGTCGGGGAGTAGTGCTGCAGGCTCAAAAGAAGGAATGAGAGAGAGAGGCTCAGGGTGCCCACTGACGGGCCTGGTAGGGAGATGGGGCCTGATGCGGCCCCATCCTGAAGCTGCCCCTCCCACCCCCAGTGGGGCAGCCAGGTTAGCACGTGACCCCTTGGCTGGCAGACACGCAGAACAGGGCTGTCCTGGAGATGAGCCAGGTGTGACCCATACCCCCATACCAGACAGCATTCTGGGCATTGAGTCACAGACCTGAGGTTCCCAGTCATTAGGTCAGGTGAACAGACTGCAGTAAGGGTGACAGCGTGTTACTGACCACATGGCTTCCAAAGGCCGTGGTGTCAGCCGGGTTCAGAGGGGTCCTGTTGAGAGAAGCTGACCTTGGACTCTGGCCTCCAGAAGCTGCAAAGGACTGGCCTCTTTCCCTCCTCCAGCTTCAGCCACCCCCAGACCAAGGCACTAGACGGTCCAGCTCCTACAGCCACAGCACCCTGGGGCTGTCTTCAGGGAAACTCACCCCAAGATTCCATGCATTCATTCACTCACTCATTCATTTATGCTCTGTTTGCTGAGCCTCCACTCTGTACCATGATCTACACGGGGCACACCTTGGGCATCAGGGAATTCCCTCTCCTTGCCCTCAGGTTGTCCCAGTCTGACCGAGGAGACAGACAGACAGACACACACACACACACACACACACACACACACACCATACACACCATACACACCATACACACCACACACACACACTATGGTTGGGGCTTTGATGAGTACAACGTAGGGGATGGAGTACACAGAGAAGTTGTGTGTGTGTGTGTGTGTGTGTGTGTGTCTTCCTGGGGTCAGGGGAGGGTTATAGGCACAGCAGAGAAGACTTCTGGGAGGAAGTGTCCTTCGAGCTGGGTTTTGAGGGAGAAAGAAGAGTTGGGCCACAGTGGTGAGGAAGTGTCCTGCGGCCTTCAACACTGCCTCAGCAACTTTGGAAGTAGAGCCCCCCTCCCACATCCTTCACCCCCACCTTACTCACTCACAACAGCCTTATTTCCTGGGCTGAGAGCTGAGGCCTCAGACATGGCCCACAACCTCACACTAACTCGTTTACAACTAGAACAGCACTACTTTAACAAGACACTGATGATGTTTTATGTGTTTTTATTTTATTTTATTTTATTTTATTTTTTTTTTTTTTGAGACGGAGTCTTTCTCTGTCGCCCAGGCTGGAGTGCAGTGGTACAATCTTGGCTCACTGCAAGCTCTGCCTCCCGGGTTCACGCCATTCTCCTGCCTCAGCCTCCCAAATGGCTGGGACTACAGGCGCCCGTCACCACGCCTGGCTAATTTTTTTGTATTTTTAGTAGAGACGGGGTTTCACCGTGTTAGCCAGGGTGGTCTCGATCTCCTGACCTCGTGATCTGCCTGCCTCGGCCTCCCAGAGTGCTGGGATTACAGGCATGAGCCACCGCGCCCAGCCCGCCTGGCTATTTTTAGTTATTTATGTATCGTGAGTCAGGGTCTCATTCTGTTGCCTAGGCTGGGGTGCAGTGGCATGACCATGGCTCATTGGAGCCTCAACCTCCAGGGCTCAGGTGATCGTCCCACCTCAGCTTCCCAAGAAGCTGGGACCACAGGCATGTGCCACCATGCCTGGGTAATTTTTGTATTTTCTGTAGAGATGGGATTTTGCCATATTACCCAGGGTGGACTGATGATGTTTTTAAAAGAAGATAGGCTGGTGCGGTGGCTCACGCCTGTATTCCCAACACTTTGAGAGGCCGAGGTGGGTGGATCACGAGGTCAGGAGAGTGAGACCTCCTGGCCAACATGGTGAAACCCCGTCTCTACTAAAAATACAAAAATTAGCGGGGTGTGGTGGCGTGCGTCTTTAGTCCCAGCTACTAGGGAGGCTGAGGCAAGAGAATCACTTGAACCCATGGGGCGGAGAGGAGCCGAGATCGCGCCACTGCACTCCAGCCTGAGCGACAGAGTGAGACTCTGTCTAAAAATAAATAAATACATAAAAAATAAAAGAAGATAAAGAGGAGTTTTTGGTGGACTTGTAGAATTCAGGGTCTGGGATCACACAGACCTAGGTTTGAGCATAGATTCAGCCACTTATTGGCTGAAACGTTTGTCTTTCTGAGCCTCCGTTTCTTCATCTGTGAAATGGGTGCTCATGAAGCTTTGGCAAGGCTGAAGTGAAGTGACTCATCAGATGTGTCCAACATAGTGCCTGGCCTTGGGTCAGCTCTCCATAAGGCCCTGATCTTGGCTGTTAGAGAGTTTCCTGAGACAGAGGCTGGGCCGGGCACTTGCTGTTTGGAGAAGGGGAGGAGACATTATTCTCGCTTCTCCAAGAGAACATTCCATCCTCAACTGTCTCTCACACTCTGAGCTCCAGCCTGTACCTGCCACCTCCCCAGACTCCATCCAGCTCCTGCTGCCAAGGTGAGGAAGAAAGGATGGCCACCATCAGCAGGGCTGGCGACAGTGGGGCCTGCGTTTCCCCGTCCGGGTCATTCACTACTTCTGACTCCTAGAGTCCATTACCCCCTCTTTGGAAAGGTCACCTCCCCATTCTCAGTTCATGTGGCTCAGGGAGGAGAGGCCTTTTCTGACCCCAGCCTACTCCATGGCTGGCCTATGAGAGGGCGCACCCCCCGGGCACTGCGACTGGTCAGGGATGAACATATCACCAAGCCTGGCCAATGAGATGCAGCCTGGGGACTTCAGCTGGGACCCTGAGGCAAGGTGACCTCTCTCCACTGGGGTAGCCTCATGGGCAGCAATGGAGCTGGCCTGAAGCTGCAGACCACCATATTGCTGTCGCAGGAGAGAGGCTGCCAGGGAGGAAGCTGGACCGCCAGACGTGCGTCTGCAAGCCCAGGTGCCTCAACCTGCAGCCCAGAGAAAACCTCCAGGCCTCTGCCAACCTGCCCCGGTGCAGCAAGAGTCCAGCCTGGGCAAGGGGATTCGGAGGCTTGAGCTCGGGCCCCAGGCCAGCCCCAGCACTGATCTGCGCAGGACCCAGGGCCAAGCACTGCCTTGTTCTGAACTTCTGTCAACAGCAGGCCCTGTCCCTGCCCTGTGGAGTGCACAGGGCTGACAAGGCCCAGGCAAGGAGACAAGGTGGACAGGTGAGGGCCATGGCAGTCCCCTACTCCACAGGGCAGCAGCCCCAGGAGAGGGAGGGGAGGCAGGCTGGCCCACCCTGCTCCCCTCACCCTGCCATGCCAGTCCCTGACCGGCATCCTGGCCTCCCACAGGGCACTGACCCACAGCCAGGGAGAAACAGACGAGCTGGAAGCTTCACACTCCTGGGTTTGAATTCGCACCCCACCACCTCCCAACTGTGTGATTTGGGGCAAATGACATCACCTCTTTGAGCCTCACTTTCCTCATCTGCTACCAGGAAATGGAAAGAGCGCCTCATCGGCCATCGCCGCAGGCACTGGGCTTGTGTGTCCCCGATGTCGCCCTGGTTTATCTCCACGTCCCCATGAGAGACGCCACCACTGCCTGTTCCAAATGAGGAAACAGGAAAATGAGACTCAGGCACATGAAGCGACCAAAAAACCACAAACCCACAGAACTGGCAGAGCCGGGCTCGCACCCCCAGCTTTCCTGTTCTAAAGCCAGTCCTGCCTCAGCCTCCTGGGGCCTGGCACCCGGTGAGTGCTTGGCACAGGGGCTTGGCACCGGTGAGTGCTTGGCAAATGCTGGCTATTATCCTAGAAGGACATTTCTTGGGGTAGGAGGCCCTGGCTGCTTGTTGAGCTGCCCCACACCTGGTGTCCCTTCTGCAATGTGGAATTCCCCATTGAGGGGGTCTTGTTGAGCGCGGGGACCAGAGCCTTGTTCCTCCATTCCCCAGCCTCTAGAGCTCAGGCCTATAGGCCCAGCTGCTTTGCCTTAACACCTCTGCCTCATCAAGGTTCAGTTGGGAAAATGGCATTTCAAGCAGGAAAGGACTGAACACGGGGAATTTGAGGCTTGCAAAACCTTCCAAAGAGCTGAGGGGCAGCCACACCTGGTCCAGAAGTTAGGATTTGTAGCCTGGCATGGTGGTGCACGCCTGTGGTCCCAGCTACTCAAGAGGCTGGGGCAGGAGGACTGCTTGAGCCTGGGAGGTCAAGGCTGCAATGAGCCATGATTGCACCACTGCACTCCAGCCTGGGTGACAGAAAGAGACCCTGTCTTAAGAAAAAGAAAGAAAAGAAACTAGGACTGGAGGAATTGCAGGAGCATGCACCACTCGGAGGGGGGCTGGTCAGCCCCAGGAGACCCCCAGAAGTCACTGGCAAAGTGTCACATCTGGCAAAGCCCACCCCTGCCTGCCACTGCACCTCCCCACAGCCTTCCAGGTGTCAGGCAAATGCCCGTGACTGACAGGCTGTAACCCAGAACCCTGCTGCAGGGGCTTCAAGGAAACGTGGCTGTCAGGCTTCCAGCCCCTGCAGCCCCCTGCAGCCACAGAGCAGGGAAAATGGTGCTGAGTGTCCAAGGCCCTCAGCCCTAAGAGGACTGCAAAGTGCCCTGCACTGACCTGGCACACAGGTGCCCCCAATGCAATGCCGCCTCCTGCTCCTCATGCGTGTGGTCCTGGGCAGGTTGCCAAATTGCTCTGTGCCTGCCTCCTTGTCTGCAAAATCAAGATAATAATAACCCCCACCCCACAGGGCTAATGTGAGTATTCTTTGTGATAATCCATGTAGGAAGTTTGGCACAGGGGCCTGGCACCCAGTGAGAGCTCAACAAATACTGGCTGTTATTGTCTTAGAGGACATTTCTCGGGGTAGGAATCCCTGGCTGCTTGTTTAGCTGCCCTGCATCTGGTGCCCCTTCTGCAATGAGGAATTCCCCACTGAGGGGGTCTTGTTGAGCATGGGGACCAGAGACTTGCCCCTCCATTTCCCAGCCTCTAGAGCTCAGGCCTATAGATTCCTCCACAAAGAATCCGGGCCCACTGGGACCTCTTCCCAGTGGCTATGGCTGCAGCGTCCCAGAGTGGCACTGTCCCTGATGGTGACATCCACAGTGTCAGCAGTGGTTACAGCGGCCCCTAGACCAGCCTATTCCTGGGGTAACCCAGGCTGTGGGGCAGCTTCCTGCCTCCTTGAGCTCCTCCTTCTTTCCAAGCCAGGTTTCCTAGCCTTCCCAGGGGTCTAAGAAAAACCTTCCAATAAATTATTTTGCGTCTTAACGTGGGTCGGGACCTTGTCTGCAACCTTGGGGCTGTGACATGGGGCTGTGGTTCTCACAATTCTGGGGAAAGATTTGAGAGTGAATGAAGGTACCAGGACACATCCGTGGATGGGAAAATATGTGGCCACTGAAGGTGGTATTTTCTTTTTTTTTTTTTTTTTTCAGATGGAGTCTTGCTTTGTCATCCAGGCTGCGGGTGCAATCTCGGCTCACTGCAACCTCCACCTCCCGGGTTCAAGCAATTCTCCTGCTTCAGCCTCCTGAATAGCTGGGACTACAGGCATGCACCACCATGCCCAGCCCATTTTTGTATTTTTAGTAGAGACAGGATTTCACCGTGTTGGCCAGGCTGGTCTTGAACTCCTGACCTCAAGTTATCTGCCTGCCTTGGCCTCCCAAAGTGCTGGGATTAAAGGCGTGAGCAACTGCGCCTGGCCTGAAGGTGGTATTTTCAAAGAACATTTGCAATGACTTGGGGGGACGGGCGCAGTAGCTTATTATGCCTGACATCCCAGCTACTTGGGAGGCTGATGTGGGAATATCACTTGAGCCCAGGAGTTCGAGGCTGCAGTGAGCTATGATTGTGCCACTGCACTCCAGCCTGGGCGACAGAGCGAGACCTCATGTCTGAAAAATGAAAAAAATTACTCAGGAGCCAGGGGCAACGATCGTGCTAAATGTTTCAGTTGAAGTGCAACTGACATGTAATAAAGTCCACAAACCTTAAGGTATAACTCAATTTTTTTGTATGGTGGTAAAATAGATATAACATAAAATCTAACATCTTCACCATTTTTAAGTGTACGGCTCAGTGGTGTTAAATACATTCACAACATGACTCAACTTTTTTTTTTTTTTTTTTTGAGACAGAGTTTCGCTCTTGTCGCTTAGGCTGGAGTGCAGTGGCGCAATCATAGTTCACTGCAACCTTCACTTCCCAGGTTCAAGCGATTCTCCTGCCTCAGCCTCCTGAGTAGCTGGGATTAGCGCCTGCCATCATTCCTGGCTAATTTTTATACTTTTAGTAGGGTTTCACCATGCTGGCCAGGCTGGTCTTGAACTCCTGACCTCAAGTGATCTAGCCACCTCAGCTTCCCAAAGTGCTGGAATTAAAGCCATGAGCCACCGTGCCCAGCCCCAAGTATCTTTTATGTCTTTATTTCTTTTTTTTTTTCTTTTGAGATGGAGTTTCGCTCGTCACCCAGGCTGGAGTGCAATTGCGCGATCTTGGCTCACCGCAAACTCTGCCTCCCGGGTTCAAGCGATTCTCCTACCTCAGCCTCCCGAGTAGCTGGGATTACAGGCATGTGCCACCATGCCCGGCTAATTTTGTATTTTTAGTAGAGACAGGGTTTCTCCATGTTGGTCAGGCTGGTCTCTAACTCCCAACCTCTGGTGATCCACCTACCTTGGCCTCCCAAAGTGCTGGGATTACAGGTGTGAGCCACCACTCCTGGCCTTCTTTTTTTTTTTTTTTAAGATGGAATCTTGCTCTGTCCTCCAGGCTAGAGTGCAGTTGCGTGATCTTGGCTCTCTGCAAACTCTGCCTCCCGTGTTCAAGCGATTCTCCTGCCTCAGACTCCCGAGTAGCTGGGATTACGGGTGCCCACCACCATGCTCAGCTAATCTTATGTATTTTTTTTAGTAGAGACAGGGGTTTCACCATGTTGGCCAGGCTGGTCTTAAACTCCTGACCTCAGGTGATCCACCCACCTTGGCCTCCCAAAATGCTAGGATTACAGGCATGAGCTACTGTGCCCGGCTAACTCAATTATTTTTGACAAGCCATATGCCTGTGTACCCACCACCTAGCTCAAGATACAGAACATTTCCAGCCCCCAGAAGGCTCCCAAGTGCCTCTTCTCAGACAACACTTGCCAAAAGTAAACCATTATCCTGAACATTATCCTCAAACTCCCATAGATTAGTTTTGCCTCTTCTAGAGCCCCAAATAGGCAGTATCACACAAGCACACTCTTTTGCCTGCCTTCCTTCGCTTCATGTATGTCTGGAAGATTCCCCTTCATTGTCAAGTACATGGGCACTCACTGTTCTTCACTGCTTTGTGGTATCCAATCGCATGATGGGAAAGGCAAATAAAATCTTGGAATCCCAATTCACTCTGCCAAAAGAAAAAAATTAAGCTGAAAGCTGAGTCAGGCAAGAAGCTGCTTCTCCTTTTGTTCCTAAGCAGAGAGCCACGGATAAAAGGTTAAATATCTACACTCTGCATTCACCTTATCTTGTGTAAAATGCCGATGTAGAAGCACTAGATGAATATGTCACTATTCCCCTCCCTGCTCCTTTTCTCTTCCAACATACGGATTTAATAATGTGACCATCCCCTCCCTCCTTCCCCTCCAGCCTGCTTTTCCCCTTTAAATACTGAAGCCCTCAAAATCATCTTTGATGATTGGGGCTCAGACTGGGAGAGCTCTTGGCTTTGCAGAGAAAAGAATTCAAGGGTGAGCAAACAAGACAGAGCAAAGCAAACACAAGTTTATTAGAGCAACAGTGCAGGAAAATGGCTGCTCCGTAGAGCAGTAGCGGCAGCCCTCGTGGATTGCTGGCCAGCTATATTTATGTCTATTCCTTCATTATATGCTAAATAAAGGACAGGCTATTCACGAGTTTTCTGCAAAAGGAGTGGGGAGTTTCTGGAAGCAAGGGTTTCTACCTTTTTTTAATTTTTATTTTATTTATTTATTCATTCATTCATTCTTTCTTTCTTTCTTTTGAGATGGAGTTTCGCTCTTGTTGCCCAGGCTGGAGTACAGTGGCATGATCTTGGCTCATGGAAACCTCCGCCTCCCGGGTTCAAGTGATTCTCCTGCCTCAGCCTCCCGAGTAGCTGGGATCACAGGCGATGAGCCACCAAGCCTGGCTAATTTTGTATTTTAGTAGAGACGGAGTTTCACCATGTTGGTCAGGGTGACCTCAGGTGATCTGTCCCACCTCGGCCTCCCAAAGTGCTGGGATTACAGGCGTGAGCCAGCCTGGCTTTTTTTTTTTTTTTTTTAATTTGAGACAGAGTCTTGCTCTGTCTCCCAGGCTGGAGTGCAGTGGCGCCATCTCGGCTCACGGAAACCTCCGCCTCCCGGGTTCAAGCGATTCTCCTGCCTCAGCCTCCTAAGTAACTGGGACTACAGGTGCCTGCCACCACGCCCGGCTAATTTTTGTATTTTTCGTAGAGACGGGGTTTCACCACGTTAGCCAGGATGGTCTCGATCTCCTGACCTCGTGATCCACCCGCCTCCCAAAGTGCTGGGATTACAGGCGTGAAACACCACACTGGGCCTCTACCCTTTTTAAACTGTATAAGGTAGCTTCTGGGAGTGGCCACAGTATTTGTAAACTGTCACGGTGCTGGCGGGAGTGTCTTTCAGCATGCGAAGGCATTATAATTAGTGCACAATGAACAATGAGGGCATCTAGAGGTTGCTTTGGTCACCGTGTTGGTTTTAGCTAGTTTTGGCCAATGTCTTTCCTGCATCCTCTTTTGATCAGATCATGTTTTGTTCAGCAAGGTCTTGTGACTGGTGCTCAGAAAACAAGTCCTGCTGATCTCTAACCTTATTCCTTCCCGGAGAGACTGTAGAGTCCTCTTCAATCTTTGTTTTGTTTTGTTTTGTTTTGAGCCCGAGTCTCGCTCTGTCGCCCAGGCTGGAGTGCAGTGGCGTGATCTCAGCTCACTGCAAGCTCCGCCTCCCAGGTTCATGCCTTTGTCCTGCCTCAGCCTCCCAAGTAGCTGGGACTACAGGCGCCCACCACCATGCCTGGCTAATTTTTTTTGTATTTTTAGTAGAGATGGGGTTTTACCGTGTTAGCCAGGATGGTCTGTATCTCCTGACCTCGTGATCCACCCGTCTCGGCCTCCCAAAGTGCTGGGATTACAGGCGTGAGCCATCGCACCAGACCTTTTTTTTTTTTTTTTGGACAGAGTCTTGCTCTCTCACCCAGGCTGGAGTGCAGTGGCACCATGTTGGCTCACTGCAACCTCTGCCTCAGCCTCCTGAGTAGCTGGGATTAAAGGCGCACGCCACTACTGCATGGATAATTTTTTGTACTTTGAGTAGAGACGGGGCTTCACCATGTTGGCCAGGCTACTCTCCAACTCCTGACCTCAGGTGATCCGCCTGCTTCGGCCTCCCAAAGTGCTGGGATGACAGGCGTCAGACTCCTCCTTAATCTTAAAAAGTGGTAGAAGGGCAGAGGTCCACCCTCTACAACTGCTTCCTGCTGATCTTATGGGCATAGGCTCTGCCTGGTGTTGGAGGAGTGAAAATCTCTGGTTGCCTGATCTAAGGACCCCAAAGGCAGGAGATCTTTATTTTCCAGGCTAGAAGACAGGATGGGTCAGAAACCTAGTGCAAGCATCATTTCCACATGGAATTGTTATAATCTAGAAGACACGAACTTTACTAAGAGGTTAAATAAGTAAAGGCCAAACAAAGATCAATAGTAACAAGAGAGCTATTAAAGGTCCTAGGTAAAAACCAAGTCACTGCCGGTAGAAACCCCTTATGGAATTCCGCATAGTAGTCTGGGTATTGGGGTTGTGAACACCATGTAGCCACTTGGCTTGTTCTTTTTTTTTTTTTTTTTTTTTTTTTTTTTTGAGACGCAGTCTTGCTCTGTTGCCAGGCTGGAGTACAATGGCGCAATCTTGGCTCACTGCAACCTCTACCTCCTGGCTTCAAGCGATTCTCCTGCCTCAGCCTCCTGAGTAGCTGAGACTACAGGTGTGCACCACCACACCCAGCTAATTTTTGTATTTTTAGTAGAGGCAGGGTTTCACCATGTTGGCCAGGATGATTTCGATCTCTTGACCTTGTGATCCACCCGCCTCAGCCTCCCAAAGTGCTGGGATTACAGGCGTGAGCCAACATGCCTGGCCCTTTTTTTTTTTTCTTTTTCTTTTTTTTTTTGGAGACAGGGTCCCACTCTGTCTCCCAGGCTGGAATGCAGTGGCATAATCTTGGCCTACTGCAGCCTCTGCCTCCCAGGTTCACACAATTCTCCTCCCTCAGCCTCCGGAGTAGCTGGGATTACAGACATGTGCCTCCATGCCTGGCTAATTTTTGTATTTTTCCTAGAGATGGGGTTTCACCATGTTGGCCAGGCTGGTCTCCAACTCCTGACCTCAAGTGATTCACCCTCCTTGGCCTCCAAAAGCACTGGACGTGAGCCACTGTGCCCAGCCTTGTTCATATATTTTGTCGGTATCTTCCTCTACTTGACCTGAGTTGTTTACATAGGTACAGCAGGTTTTATTAATCACAGCATATACCTGTCATTGTTCAGCCAACAAATAGTCTAATGCCAATCTATTATCCATAACTATATCTGCTATAGAATCGAGAGAGTCTCAATTTATCTAAAGTATCTCCCATTTTATAAGAAGGTATGTAGAGTGAAAAGTAAAGTTTTGAAGAGTTGCCTCATGTTAGGCAAATCCTCCCCATGGGGCCAACAAGCCCACAGCAGCCCTGACCCCAGACAACAGAAGGCCAATTGCTCACTTAGTGCTTGGGCAAGTGATGTTGTATAATTGTATATTAGAAGGCTTCGCCTGTCTTTTTTTTGTTTTGTTTTGTTTTTGTTTTTGTTTTTGTTTTGAGACAGAGTCTTGCTGTGTCGCCCAGGCTGGAGTGCAGTGGCACGATCTCGGCTCACTGCAAGCTCCGCCTCCTGGGTTCACGCCATTCTCCTGTCTCAACCTCCCGAGTAGCTGGGACTACAGGCGCCTGCCACCACGCCCGACTCTATTTTTGTATTTTTAGTAGAGACAGGGTTTCACCATGTTAGCCAGGATGGTCTTGATCTCCTGACCTCGTGATCCGCCCGCCTAGGCCTCTCAAAGTGCTGGGATTACAGGCGTGAGCCACCGCGCCCGGCCGGCTTCACCTGTCTTACTATATGTTGACCTTTGAGCCAAATGTTATCAACACATTGGTACCCGTGGTCTCAAATGAGGAATGAGTTGTTTATAGGCTGATTGATTTAGTGGGCATCCATATAGCCACAGATATCCACTGTGGGTCACAGACTGGAATGGGATGGGAGCTGTTAAGGTTAAGTACCGCTGGGCGCAGTGGCTCACGCCTGTAATCCCAGCACTTTGGGAGGCCAAGGCAGGCGGATCACTGGAGGTCAGGAGTTTTGAGACCAGCCTGGCCAACATGGCAAAACCCTGTCTCTACTAAAAATACAAAATTAGCCAGGTGTGGTGGCACATGCCTGTAATCCCAGCTACTTGGGAGGCTGAGGATCACGCCACTGTACTCCAGCCTGGGAGACAGAGCAAGACTGTGTCTCAAAAAAAAAAAAAAAGGTTAAGTACCTGTGTTATTCAAGGGGTGCTTTGGTTTAAGCATGAATGGGATGGGGGGAAAGTAGTAATTTAATGTGATACCAGTATTATGGGGAGCAGTTATGGGAATTGAGAAAGACACTGTTGTTTGTAGAGGGACTAAGGCCCTCCAAGGGGGACAAGAAGAATTATAATTGGTGGTACCATCAGGGAAAATATGTGTGGAATTCCAAGGCGAGGAAATATAGTGAGGCCTGGCTGACTCTCCCTCCCCCTACCCACTTCCTGTCATGGCCTCAACTAGATTTTCAGGTGCATGTGTTTTTTTTTTTTTTTTTTTTTTTTTTTCTGGTCATGGTATGCCAGAGGCAGTATCATGGCCAAGCTTTTATTGTGCCCCATATCGATGCCAGGGTGGTGTGCTACCTGCCCTGGCTATATTATGTCCCTAAGTGGGACCGCTGTGGCCAAGAGACTTAGAATCAAAAGACGTGTAGACAGTTAAATATGCTAGGCCAGATGAAATGGAGGTGGACAGGCACTCATTCATCCCTTTTTTTTTTTTTTTTTAGACAGAGTCTCGCTCTGTTGCCCAGGCTGGAGTGACCCTGGGAGGTGGAGCTTGCGGTGAGCTGAGATCACGCCACCGCACTCCAGTCTGGGCGACAGAGCGAGACTCCATCTCAAAACTAACAAACAAAAAATTGAAAAGCAAAATTTCTTATAATTTCATTAAGAGCAAATCAATACCTTAAGCAGACCTTCTTTTAACATAGGGGACCATTCCTTAGAAAGGAGAAATAATCTCCTTTTAATCGCAGCTAACTTAATCACAAACAAAATTCCTGTTTTTGTAAATTCCCCTTTACAAATCTTTTTTTTTTTTTTTTTTTTTTTGAGACGGAGTCTCGCTCTGTCGCCCAGGCTGGAGTGCAGTGGCGGGATCTCGGCTCACTGCAAGCTCCGCCTCCCGGGTTCACGCCATTCTCCTGCCTCAGCCTCCCAAGTAGCTGGGACTACAGGCGCCCGCCACTACGCCCGGCTAATTTTTTGTATTTTTAGTAGAGACAGGGTTTCACCGTTTTAGCCGGGATGGTCTCCATCTCCTGACCTCGTGATCCGCCCGCCTCGGCCTCCCAAAGTGCTGGGATTACAGGCCTGAGCCACCGCGCCCGGCCTCCCCTTTACAAATCTTATCACAACTTACACAAACCATCTATGTCCTGCTTGGACTTTCTGACTTGTCCTAGACTATTTCTCTCTTTCTTCATTTTCTCTTTCTTTTTTTTTTTTTGAGATGGAGTTTTGCTCTTGTTGCCCAGGATGGAGTGCAATGGTGTGATCTCAGCTCACCACAACCTCCGCCTCCCAGGTTCAAGCAATTCTCCTGCCTCAGCCTCTCTAGTAGCTGGGATTACAGGTCTGTGCCACCATGCCCAGCTAATTTTGAATTTTTAGTAGAGACGGGGTTTCTCCATGTTGGTCAGGCTGGTCTCGAACTCCCGACCTCAGGTGATCCACCCGCCTCAGCCTCCCAAAGTGCTGGGATTACAGGCATGAGCCACCACACCCAGCTTCTCTCTGTCTTCCTTCCTTCCTTTCCTTCCTTCCTTCTCTCTCTCTCCCTCCCTCCCTCCATCCCTCCCTCCCTCCCTCCTTCCTTCCTTCCTTCCTCTCTCTCTCCCTCTCTCTCCTTCCTTCCTTCCTTCTTTCCTTCCTTCTTTCTTTCCTTTTTTAAAGACAGGGTCTTGTTCTGTTGCTCAGGATGAAATGCAGTGGCACAATCTTGGCTCACTGCAGCCTGAATCTCCTCGGCTTAAGCAATCTTCCCACCTTAGCCTCCCGAGTACCTGGGACTACAGGCACATGCTGCCATGCCCAGCTAAGTTTTATATTTTTGGGGAGACAGTGTTTCACCATGTTCCCCAGGCTGGTCTCAAACTCCTGAGCTCAAATGATCCCCCTGCCTCAGCCTCCCAAAGTTTTGGGATTACAGGTGTGAGCCACCACATCTGGCCTTCCTCTTTCTTAAATAACCAGTCATTCTACTCTAGGACAATAATTTTCCATACAAGATCCTTTCTCATATAAAGGTATTGTCTTTTCTTTATAAGCTTCTTTGCCAAAAATACATCTTTGTATCCATAATTTTTTTCACATCTCTCTCTCCCCTACTTAATGGTTTCTTTCAACCTTGTTTAAGGACCTTTTTTTTTTTTTTTTTTTGAGATGGAGTTTCACTCTTGTCGCCCAGGCTGGAGTGCAATGGCATGATCTCAGCTCACTGCAACCTCTGCCTCCCCAGTTCAAGAGATTCTCCTGCCTCAGCCTCCTGAGTAGCTGGAATTACAGGCGCCCACCACCACACCCAGCTAATTTTTGTATTTTTAGTAGAGATGGGGTTTCACCATGTTGCTCAGGCTGGTCTCAAACTCCTGACCTCAGGTGATCCACCTGCCTTGGCCTCCCAAAGTGCTGGGATTACAGGTGTGAGCCACTGCGTCTGGCCAAGAACCACTTTTAACTCCATAATTTGAATTGACTTTTAGATAACTTTTTTTTTTTGGTATTTTTAGTAGAGATGTGTTTCACCATGTTGGCCAGGCTGGTCTTGAACTCCTGACCTGAAGTAATCCACCCAACTTGGCCTCCCAAAGTGCTGGGTTTACAGGCATGAGCCACTGCGTCTGGGCAGATAACTTCTGAATTAGACAAAATTCTTCTTTTTCTCAATAAGAACACATCTTTGGCACATTTTATATAAATCTAGAAAGCAAGAAATCCTGAAATGCCCATTAGATATTAGCATTTTATGGATGAGCAGCATTCCACAATTCTTTTTGTTCGTTTGTTTGTTGTTTTTGACATGGAGTCTCGCTGTGTTGCCCAGGCTGGAGTGCAGTGGTGCAAACTTGGCTCACTGCAACTTCCACCTCCCAGGTTCAAGCAATTCTCATGCCTCAGCCTCCCGAGTAGCTGGGATTACAGGTGTCTGCCACCATGCCTGGCTAATTTTTTGTGTGCTTTGGGTAGAGATGAGGTTTTACCATGTTGGCCAGGCTGGTCTCAAATTCCTGATCTCAAGTGATCCACCTGCGTTGGCCTCCCAAAGTGTGGGATTACAGGCATGAGTCACCATGCCCAGCAGGATTCCACAATTCTTTTTTTTTTTTTTTTTTTTTGAGATGGAGTCTCACTCTGTCACCCAGGCTGGAGTGCAGTGGCAAGATCTCGGCTCAATGTAACCTCCACCTCCGAGGTTCAAGTGATTCCCCTGCCTCAGCCTCCCGAGTAGCTGGGACTACAGGCACGTGCCACCACGCCTGGCTAATTTTTTGTTTTTTTAGTAGAGATGGAGTTTCACCATGTTGGCCAGGATGGTCTCCATCTCCTGACCTCATGAGCCACCCACCTTGGCCTTCCAAAGTTCTGGGATTACAGGCATGAGCCATCGTGCCCGGCCCAGGATTACTTATAAAAACTATGATACTAGGCTGGTCAAAGTTATATCCTGGTTAATCATTTTTAAAGTCTGAATATTAAGTGAACACCTATCTAAGAATCTTAAACACATGAGCATTTTGCCGACAACTCAGAAGATTCAGTTATTTTCATTGAACCAATGATCTTAAATTAGTCTTACTTGCACAAGGCTATTTTATCAATAATTTCAGACATTTCTATATTTATCAATAATTTTACAACCAGTTTTATTTACCAAAGATTCATGTGAATTTGAAAAGCATTTGTACTTAATTTATAAGTACTAATTTACTTAAAATTCAATTTGGTAGCATGTTAGACACATGGTGGGGAAAGGAATGATGTGATGTGTCAGTCAGGATAGGTCAACTGCTGTAACAAACAGCCCTCAAATCTCAGTGGCTGAACACCATACAGCTCTGCTTCTGGCTCACACAAAATCCTTGCAGACGGTCTTGGTTAGGCATCTCTCCTCCTTGTGGTAACACAGGGATCCTGGCTTCCTCCTTGTGATGCTGTTGTCTTCATCCTGCAGCTTCCTAGGTCACCAGGAAAGCAGAGGAGAGTGTGAGGAAGGCATACCAGCTGTTTCACCTCCTTGGCCCTAAAGGGGTGTGTATTACTTCTGTTCATACCTTAGTCCATTCAGGTGGTGGGCGCGTAGACTTCCATGTGGTGATTCAGGGACCCAGGCTTCTTGGGACTAGTAACTCTGCCAGGTTTCTTCCCTTAGATCCTTTGCCACTAGTTAGACTTAGAGAGGGCAGAGAGGGCCTCCCAGGAGAGAGAAGTGACCTAATTAAGGAGTCACATGGTCCCAGACACTGCAAGGGGGTGGGGGGCTAGGAAATGTAGTCTTCTGGTGTGCCTAGGAAGAAGAAATGCATTCAGAGAGTGGAAGTACTGAGTCTCTGCCAGGACGGGTGGCAGCGTTCACAAGGGGATGGAATCCACACTAGGGATGGGGAGAGGTGCAGACAAGAGGCAAGAAAGTGGCAAGGTCAGTGAATGGAAGGTCGAGAGGGGTTGGGAAATCGTAGCCAGGGAGGGTCCTGGAGGAGAGGCCTAAGCTCAAAGGCTAGGAACTGGTGGACCCAAAGTGGGATGATTAAAACACATTTCAGAGCCAGGGCTATTTCTAGTGGGGAGAAAGTACAGGGCATGGTGGAAGGCCTATGCAGAGAAGATGTCAGTGAGGGTGGCAAGGTAACAGCGGCCAGGTGCTGCATAGGTCATGCAGGTAGAATGTTGAAGTCACACAGAGTGATGGCAGAAGCCTGGAGAGAAATGGGTTTTTAATTTTTTTAATACTGTGGCTGTGTGTTTCTTTGAACACTCTGTTCCAGGCTCTTTGTAACTATTCACTCATTTAATCCTTTAACAACCTTATGCAGTAGGTACTGGTATTCTCCTCATTTTACGGGCAAGGTACAGAGGCAAAGAGAGAATAATCACCTGCCCAGGGCCAAATAGCCAACAACTGGTGGGGCTGGGATTAGAACTCAAGCAGCAGGGCCCCATTAGGCTACCTCTGGAATCTTCAGACCATTTGTTCACAATTCATTTATTCATTCCTCCAAACAGTCATTGAGAATTTGCGACGTGCATGCTCTGAAGGAGGAGGGGGCCTCAGGGGTCTGTAGATGCAGGAGGCAAGGACAGGAGAGGACAGCGTGAGCCCAAGGACATAGACTTTGGGAGAGGACTGGGAAGGGGTTCTTGGCCCAGCCTGGAGGCCTTGCTTGGTCGGATTAGTCAATCCTGCCTCCCGGGCGGGGGTAGGGACCACAGGCATCCTAGGCAGCAATCCAGCCAGGGAACCTTGGCCTTATCACAGGCTGCTGGTGGCCAAGGGTTTCCCTTTCCATCCACCACCCCCGTCCACGTGGCGCGGTAGCCTGGGTAGTTTATTGTTATCAGCATTGTAAATATAAATTCTAATCGCAAAAGCAGCTTCAGCACACTAAGTCCTAGGAAAATTGTAATCCCCTTAACCCCGCACCAGCCCCAACTTTGCGGGGCAACTCCTCGCCAGGTCCCAAGGGGGGGCGGGGGTGGGGGCTTGTAGGGCAGGGAGGCCCGCAGTCGGTGGCAGTCAAGCTGCGCCGCTCCCCAGAAGCCCCGGGGCGGAGGGAGGAATGGGGGTCCTGGGACGCCTCGCCGCCAACCCCGCCCCTCGCGCGAGGCCCCGCCCGCTGTTTTCCTGGGAGCTCCGCCTACCCCGCGGGCCCCGCCCCTGCCCGCCCCTTCTGAGGCCCCCTCCTCCCGGCGCCGCTCTCGCCAGGAGGGGCCAGAGGGAAGCCAGAATCCCGTTGGTCCGGATTCCTTCTCAGCGGGCAGCCGCTGGCCTTGGAATTCGGCCCGGGCAGTAGCGCTGGGGGAGGAGGGTCCGCCTTCGCTTCCCTGTGACCCAGTGGATCTTCCCAAGGCCTGCCCCTCCTCCCCGCCGCCGCTCATCCCCCTCTGCCTTCTTAGATGGCATTCTAAGAAGCTTGGGGGCCCGGCCAAGGCTACACGGACGGGCTGCCAGTGGGGCCCCACCGATCGCTGGTAGCTTCCACAAGCTGGTGTGGGGATGGGGGCTGCCAGCTCCCCTGCCTCCCTGTCAGTCACTCAAAGGGGGTGCCGACAGGACTGGGGGCCCCTTAGGGGCCTCTTGCCATTCAGGCCTGGATGGCAAGTGCCCTTGGGAGGGGAGGATCAAGGATGGAGTAGGCCCACGACTGGCCATGGCATCCTGCGTGAGCAGAGCCGCTGTCCTGCCTGTGCCCCTGTGCCTCTGCTTACCCATCTGTACAAGGGGTCCCCTGCAGAAGGGAGGGCCAGCCCAAAGCTACCAGGCAAAAGTCCAGCCTGCAGGGCCCAGGGCTGACTGAGGGGAGAGGGGCCCTGTGCAGCCGGCAGAGGGGGTGCGGTGCCTGAACCCAGGTTGCCCAACTCCTAGCCCAGAAGTGTTATCCCCACAGTGTAACCTGCATGATGACTGGGGTCTTTTTAAAAATTGTATTTATTTTCTATTTTGTTTGTTTGTTTTTTGGAGACAGAGTTTGGCTCTTTTGCCCAGGCTGGAGTAAAGTGGCGCAATCTTGGCTCACTGCAACCTCTGCCCTCCAGGTTCAAGTGATTCTCCTGCCTCAGCCTGTTAAATAGCTGGGATTATAGACACCTGCCACGATGCCCAGCTAATTTTTGTATTTTTAGTAGAGACAGGGTTTCGCCCTGTTGGCCAGGCTTGTCTTGAACTCCTGACCTCAGGTGATCCACCTGCCTCGGCCTCCCAAAGTGCTAGGATTACACGTATGAGTCACTGCGCCACAATTTTGCATTTATTGTGCCAAAAATTGCATTTATTGTGTTACAAATGTAATGCAAGCTTAAAGCACAAAACCTCAAATCAGGTTTTCAACAAACTTGGAAAGGGAGCTTAGATTGCCTGACTTAAGACTGGCGACGGTGGCTCATGCCTGTAATTCCAGCACTTTGGGAAGCTGAGGTGGGCAGATATCGAGACTAGCCTGGCCAACATGGCAAAACCCCATCTCTACTAAAAATACCAAAATTAGCCGGGCGTTGTGGTGCACACCTGTAATCCCAGCTACTTGGGAGACTGAGGCAGGCCAGTCACTTGAACCCATGAGGAAGAAGTTTCAGTGAGCCGAGATTGCACCACTGCATTCCAGCCTGGGCAACGAGAGAGGCCTCGTCTCAAAAAAAAAAAAAAAAAAAAAAAGATCACCTGACTTAAAACACCGGCTATGTGGACACAGGAAATGCATTCTGAGGGGCCCAGGGGATCATCTCCAGTAGAGGAACGGTCACTAGGTCATTGCCAGGGTCTACTATGGCAGCCCCAGGAGGCAATCATGTGCCCCAAGGGCCTCAGATTTAGATACATCTGAATAAGGATAATCAGATTAGTACAGAGATCTGTTGTCAGGCCTGAAAGATGTTTGTCACACCATACCACTTAAGGTGCTCTACAAACCATTATTATTATTATTATTGACAGTATCTCACTCTGTCACCCAGGCTGGAGTCAGTGGCTCAATCATGTCTCTACAGCCTCAATCCCCTGGGCTCAAGTGATCCTCCTGCCTCAGCTTCCCCAGTAGCTTGGACCACAGGCAGGTGTCACTATGCTTGGTTGGCTCCATTATTATTTTAAAGTAATCCCTCTATTACCTTGAGAATTGCAAAATTATCTTGAATGGGACTTTTGCATGTGTGTTAAAAGCACTGATTTGTTCAATTTAAGTATTTCAAACATGCCCCAGTTTTGGTAACCCTGTCGAGATGTTTCTTTTTTTTTTTTTAGAGATGGAGTCTTGCTCCTGACCTCAGGTGATCTGCCCACCTCAGCCTCCCAAAGTGCTGGGATTACAGGCGTGAGCCACCGTGTCCCGCCTAGATTTTTCTTAATTTTTGAATGTGCCAGGAGCTTCAAAGAATGGAAAACTCTCCAGGCCCTGTTAGACCTGCCAGAGCTCCTGCAGGCTTTGCGCTTCCACTGGCACTTAGGATGAATGGGTATTTGCTGCTCTCTGCCAGGCTCTGGGAATCCAGCTAACAATAAGCTGAAAAGCATAGATACCCTTTGTGGGGCTTTGGCTCTACACCCAGCTCTTTCCTTGCTGGTTTCGGTGAATCTCCCCAACAGCCCTGTAGAGTAGGACTCCATTTGGGGATGAGGAAAGTGGCTTAGAAAGGTAGATGTTCTGTCCAAGGTCACACAGTGGGTGGCAGCATGACCTCTAAAGATTGTGTGTGTGTGTGTGTGTGTGTGTGTGTGTGTGTGTGTGCGCGCGCGCGTTATGGAGTCTTGCTTTTATTGCCCAGACTGGAGTGCAGTGGCATGATCTCGGCTCACTGCAACCTCCACCTCCTAGGTTCAAGTGATTCTCCTTCCTCAGCCTCCCGAGTAGCTGGAACTATAGACATGTGCCACCATGCCTGGCTAATTTTTGTATTTTTAGTAGAGACGGGGTTTCACCGTGTTGGCCAGGCTGGTCTCGAACTCCTGACCCAGGTGATCCACCTTGGCCTCTCAAAGTGTTGGGATTACAGGCGTGAGCCACTGCACCTGGCCAGAATTTTTACCCATAATATTATACTCAAAATCCCTGCAAATGAGGACAGGAGGAATGCCTGCCCCACCCACCAGACAGATGGATATTCTAGTCACCTGCTTCCTCTGAGCCCTGTGGGCCCTAGACTCTGGCTGCGGGTGCTGAGCCAAATGTATGGTAGAAGGGTCAGTCCAAGTCAGACCACACTTGTGCTCAGAGACCTCCAGAAAGCTGCTGGACCTACACAGCCTTTCGCTGACAGAGCTGGGCTGGGGCCACGCTCAGCACTCAGGGAAAGCCCAGCTCCATGTCACTCTGCTAGCTGGCACTGCAACCCAATCTTCAACATGGAGGATTGCAGCCAGGTGGCCTCTGTGCTCTCATCAATATTTTAAGGCTCAGAACTGGAGCAGGGGTGCTTGGTCCTGGGTGTGACCTGGGAGGAGGTGTGAGCACAGCCTTGCCAGGGCTCTGCTTCTCCAGCCCGTGAGGGAACCCCCACTGTGCCAAATGTCTAGTGCTTCCTGGGCCAAAGGTGCTTATGGTGCAGAAGGACAGAAGGACAAGGCTCCCCTGGATGGGGTCCTGGGTGGAGTCCCAGGTCCTGCTGGCCTTTAACGAATGGTTTTATCCCCTGGGAAGCTCCCTTGCCACCTGGGAGATGAAGTGCTAATGACACTCACCTCACTGCTGCTTAGGGAACTTGCTGTATGCAGCATCTTTGAAAGGGCTCAAAGCCTGCTCCTACCAGGTGCTTGACAGTGGGTTCCCCCATCTTGGGGGGAGTCAGACTCACAAAGCCCTTTCTCAGAACAGGCCTTGGAGTTGGTGGCAGGGCTGAGGCCCGTGGGTGGACCCCGAGGAACCCATCAGCAGGAAATTCAGAGTGGACGGGAACTTCCCAATCTTTCCTCTATCCCTCCTAAGGCCCATCACCCACCCTCTGAGTCTGCTCTCAGAATTCAGCATCAATCACAGAGCTTTTGGATAATTTTTTTATCTTATCCTAGAGGAAAAGGTTTGGTAATTGGAACAACCTCCAATTACCTGCCATAGCAAGTTTCTCTCAAACTCGTCTACTTGTGCACAGACATTGACATTTTGGTTATCAGAGTGTTTGAATTATTTTTGTTTAAAATGTATTTTTATTTTCCTAGCCTCTGTTGCCCAGGCTGGAGAGCAGTGGCGTGATCATGGCTCACTGCAGCCTTGAACTCCTGGGTTCAAGGGATCCTCCCACCTCCGGCTTCTAAGTAACTGAGATTACAGGCACATGTCACTGTGCCTGGCCAATTATTTTATTTTTTGTAGAGACAGGGTCTCACTTGTTGCCCAGGCTCATCTTGAACTCCTGGCCTCAAGCAAACCTCCCACCTTGGCCTCCCACAGTGCTGGGATTACAGGCATAAGCTACTACACCCGGCCCAAATTCTTTTCTTATACGACACTGTCTTCCCAAGCTGTGAAATGCTACAAGTGCATGCATTATTCATCTCCGAAAACCAACCACTGGCAGAGGCAACGCCATGCAATGCACTGCACGCAACCAAACGGTTACTTCTTGCATGCTATGCATTTTGCATACATTCTCTCAATCCTGGATGCTCGGGGTATTATAATCCCCATTTTATAGTTGAGGAAACCGAGGCTCAGCCCAAAGTCATAAGTTAATAATTGCTGAGCCAGGAGCTCACTGATTCATTCATTCAGCAAATACGGTCTCACTCTGTCACTCAGGCTGGAGTGCAGTGGGTGCCTTGACCTCCCAGGCTCAAGTGATGCTCCTGGCTGAGCCTCCCAAGTAGTCGGACAAGTGTAAGACACAATGCTCTGTTAATTTTTTTTTTCATTTTTAATTTTTGAGACAGTCTTTTTTTTTTTTTGAGACGGAGTCTCGCTCTGTCTCCCAGTCTGTAGTGCAGTGGCGCGATCTCGGCTCACTGCAACCTCCGCTTCCTGGGTTTTATGCCATTCTCCTGCCTCAGCCTCCCGAGTAGCTGGGACTACAGGCATGCACCACCTACGCCCGGCTAATTTTTTTTGTATTTTTAGTAGAGATGGGGTTTCACCGTGTTAGCCGGAATGGTCTCGAACTCCTGACCTTGTGATCCGCCCACCTCGGCCTCCCAAAGTGCTGGGGTTACAGGCATGAGCCACCTCGCCCGGCGAGACAGAGTCTTGTTATGTTGGCCAGGCTGGTCTCAAACTCCTGGCTCAAGTGATCCTCCTGCCTTGGCCTCCCAAAGTGCTGGGATTACAGCCATAAGCCACCATGCCTGGCCTTGAGGCAACCTCTTCCTCCCACAGGGAACTGTGATCCCATAAAAATGTCTGAGGCTTTTCCTAACAAAAGCCAGCAGATGCCAGAAAGAGTTATTTCAAATTATAGAGGGCCACTCCTTACTTTAGTGTCCCTTCCTCCTGGCCAGATTTCTGGCATTCCTTTGAGATTACCAGACTGGTGCCAGGGGACAGTGGGACAAAGGGCTTGTCACCTGGGCAGGCCATTGGCATGGCCCCACCTCCCTGTGAGCCGGTATTTTTAGAGAAAGTCCTTGGCTCCTTTATCCAAACGGCCTCCCCAGATTGAAGCCCTTGGCTTCTCAGCCTTTCAAACATCCAGTGGCCGGCCTCCGTCCCAGGGGCCTTGGTCTCTCCTACCTCCCTGCAGGTCAACTTCCAGGCCTGTCGCCACAGCAGCCTTACAAAAGTCCCCTTTCATTTTTATCCTTAAATAAGACCATTTTGCGTGGAGCAAGTTCAGCCAAGTACACACTCTAAAAGATTTTTGCGGCCGGGCGCGGTGGCTCACTCCTGTAATCCCAGCACTTTGGGAGGCCGAGGCGGGCGGATCACGAGGTCAGGAGATCGAGACCATCCTGGCTAACACGATGAAACCCCGTCTCTACTAAAAATACAAAAAAAAAAAAAAAAAAAAAAAAAAAATTAGCCAGGCGTCGTGGCGGGCGTCTGTAGTCCTAGCTACTCGGGAGGCTGAGGCAGCAGAATGGCGTGAACCCGGGAGGCGGAGGTTGCAGTGAGCCGAGATCGTGCCACTGCACTCCAGCCTGGGCGACTGAGCAAGACTCCGTCTCAAAAAAAAAACCAAAAAACATTTTTGCTTCTGGAAGACTGTGAACTCCCCACATAGAAGCATTTCCTGTGTATCAGGCACTGGATTTCCTAAGCCCCTGGCAGCCCAGGAAACCTCCTGTTTCAGCTCATGTCCCATAAAATGGGATCCATAATTTTTATATGTATCAGCACCTCACTTCTAGGAAGGACGGGAGCAGTGAGGGACATGGGGCAGTGTGTGGCAAACGGTAGCAGGGGCCCTTGCCCCTCTACCCCGGCAAAGGTGCGTTAGTCACGGTCACAAGGCTGTTTCCTGCGGGGGATGGGGAGGCAGGGGCAGCGTCCACAACGCCAGTAGCCCCGTGGCACGCACCTTTGGCCTGTGCTCTGGGCAGTTGCGGCGGCCCCATGGCGGGGATGATGCCCCTCCCTCGACGGTCCCTGGGCCTCCAGCCCTGAACTTCTAGGCCCGAGCATCCTCAGTACCACGGACAGGGAAACTGAGGCTGCGGGAGGCGTGCAGAGGGCTGGGCCCCGGTAGCCGGCGTGCAGCCGGGCCCAGCCTGGCCCACCGTGTGGCCTCGAGCCCGTCACCTCTTCCCTCCTTCAGACCTCGGTTTCTTAGTAATTCTTCGGGCTCCGCGTTGGACAGGGCGAGACGCGCCTGTGGCAGCGCTGGGAAATGTTACAAAATCACACCCACTGAGCCCCAGGAGGAGGCTGCTCGCCCAAGGTCACGCGGAGAGGGCAGTAGCCTCCAGACACGTTTCCTGCCTGCCCCTGCCAGGCCCGGCCTCTGATGTCACGGGGCTTCCGAGGGGTCCAAGGAAACTTTCAGCTCCCAAAGCCAACCCCGGGGTCCTCCGAGGCTCAGGAGCCTCCCTCGCTCGGCCCAGTCCGGCTCCGTCCCACCGCGGAGGCGCTCTCCCGGCGCCCCCCGCGCCTCGCTCCCCTCTCCCCCTTCCCTGCGACCGCCGGGGCGCCCCCTCGACGCCCCGCCCCCTTCGCCCAGGCCCCGCTCACGGAGGCCGCAGCGCTCTGGGTTGGGGGCGGCGCCGCAGCCAATGGGGAGGCGGTGTGGCGAGGGCGGCGGCGGTTATGATGCGCCGGGCCGGCGGACGGCGGCCAATCAGTGGCGAGCGCGAGGGCGGGCTGTGACGCGGCCGGCGCTCCTCGTGCGGCGGCGGCAGAGGAGCGAGTGCAGCGGCCAGCAGCACATCCCCGCTCCACAGTCGCCGCAGTCGCCGCAGCCGCCGCCGCCGCCCCGCGCGCCCAACCGCCGCGGCCCCCTGCCCCGCCGGCCTGCCAGTGAGAGAGCGGCGAGGGGGCGCCCGGCCGGACTCTGAGCCTAGTCCTCTCGCGCTGCGGCCGCCCGCGCCTCCTCGGCCGCCTGTCGGGCATGAAAACCAAATTCTGCACCGGGGGCGAGGCGGAGCCCTCGCCGCTCGGGCTGCTGCTGAGCTGCGGTAGCGGCAGCGCGGCCCCGGCGCCCGGCGTGGGGCAGCAGCGCGACGCCGCCAGCGACCTCGAGTCCAAGCAGCTGGGCGGCCAACAGCCGCCGCTCGCGCTGCCCCCTCCGCCGCCGCTGCCGCTGCCGCTGCCGCTGCCCCAGCCCCCGCCGCCGCAGCCGCCCGCAGACGAGCAGCCGGAGCCCCGGACGCGGCGCAGGGCCTATCTGTGGTGCAAGGAGTTCCTGCCCGGCGCCTGGCGGGGCCTCCGCGAGGACGAGTTCCACATCAGTGTCATCAGGTCGGTGGCGCCGGGTCTGGGGGCCGCGGGACAGTCAGGTGACGCGGGGCGGGGCCGGGGCGGGGTCCGGGCAGGGGGCGTGGGCCGGGGGGGTCGGGGGCCGGGGGAGCCGGGGCCGGGGCGGAGGCCGGGGACCGGGGACCGCAGCCGGCGAAAGCCCTCCTTCTCCCAGCCCTGGGTAATCCAAGGGAAGCGGGTTCGCGGCCGCCGCAGGCCGTCCACAAACAGGCTTTTGTAAAAACGTCGGTTTCATGAGAAAACGGGTCTGTTCTAGGAGAACAATACCGTTCCATCACGAAGTGCGTGTGGTACTGACGCTTAAGATAGGTCTAGAAAGTCTCTGCGGTTTAGGGCCTTGAATGAAGGTGTTGTGGCTGGCTTTAAAAACACAAACCACTTTTTAACTTTTTTCTGTTAGTTTTTCGAGTTCGCGATTTGATGTCTTGTTCCCTCTCCAAGAGTCATTGTTAGTGGAGGAGTAGCATTTTCTCATCCCCTAAGAGACATCACTATAGCTGTGTTACTAGACAAAGGTGGGAGGCGTGGCTCCTAAAATAAGAGTAAGGTAGAAATGTTTTTTCCTTTTTTTTTTTTTTTTGAGACGGAGTTTCGCTCTTGGTCCCCAGGCTGGAGTGCAGTGGCGCGACCTCG
Source organism: Homo sapiens (assembly GCF_000001405.40). NCBI lineage: Eukaryota > Metazoa > Chordata > Mammalia > Primates > Hominidae > Homo > Homo sapiens. The sequence goes on along the minus strand of NC_000011.10, from coordinate 68,120,176 downwards.
GCTCACTGCAACCACGGCCTCCCGTGTTCAAGCGATTCTCCTTGCCTCAGCCTCCCGAGTAGCTGGGATTACAGACACACGCCACCACGCCCGGCTAATTTTGTATTTTTAGTAGAGACAAGGTTTCTCCATGTTCGTTAGGCTGATCTTGAACTCCCGACCTCAGGTGATCCACCCGCTTCGACCTCCCAAAATGTTGGGATTACAGGCATGAGCCACCGCGCTCGGCCATTTTTTCCTTTTTTTAAACTTGAAAATATTTAATCTTAAATTTGAATTACAGAAGTACGCGTGTAGGTATTCAGACTTAACAGAAGTCTGACCTTCTTTCACCACTCTGCTCCGAAGACATAACCATTCAACGTAGTGTGTGCATCCTTCTATTGAGACCTTTAAAGATGTGTTCCCGGGCCGGGCGCAGTGGCTCACGCCTGTAATCCCAGCACTTTGGGAGGCCAAGGTGGGCGGGTCACGAGGTCGGGAGATCGAGACCAGCCTGGCCAACATGGTGAAACCCCATATCTACTAAAAATACAAAAATTAGCTGGGCATGGTGGCGCACACCTGTAGTCCCAGCTACTTGGGAGGCTGAGGCAGGAGAATCGCTTGAACCTGGGAGGCGGCGGTTGCAGTGAGCCGAGATCACGCCACTGCACTCCAGCCTTTGACAGAGAGAGACTGTCTCAAAAAAACAAAAACAAAGAACGTGTTCCGTCATTTTCTGCCAATTTTCTTTTAATTGGCTGACAGGTTGTGTGCAGTATCTAGAAATTTGCTGGCTGGCTGCCACCAGTAATCCCCAAGTCCAGTTTTGGTCATTTGATTCCTTTTCTGTGCCCACTGTCTTTCACCAGAGCCGCTAATGCAGCAAAATTAACTCTTTGAGCTTCACTTCCTCTTTGTGCTTCAGCCCCTCTGACTGCTTATGAGCTAAGAGTGAGAGTTAATAGGCAGTTGGTAAGGAAGCAGAGAAAAGAAAACCGAGGCTGTTTAGATAATCCCTGAATTGCTTAATGGCACTTAAAAAAAATTCAGCTCTCTCCAAGGTTTACTTTAATCTACTTTTAGTTAGGCCTGAAAATTCTCAACTAGAAGGGCGATCATTTTAGGCCATGTACTCATCAGTCTGTGAAATGGAAAACCTAAAGGAGAAGTGACTTGCCTGAGGTCAGTGGCTGTTTACTGCCTTCAAAGCCTGAACTGCCAGGTCTCTGGTGTCCCCTTCTCCTGCACCAGTGCTCTAGCCTGCGGCCTGTGAAAATGTTTGGACACCCTAGATCCAGCCTTAAGATATTTTCATGGCTTTCTCCAGGGAGAGTCACTCAGCAGTTAAACTTTTGCATTTTGCTCAAACCAGTTATTAGGAAAGCATTGAGGATGTCTTGTTTCTTTTCTCCAGGAGTTAGCAGTCTTGGAAAACACAGCTTTCCTTTTGGATTGGATGACCTTTTTACATAATGTTGCAAGAGTACACTCTCTCAGTCCTGTGTTCTGAAAGAGAACGTAGTTATGGAATAAGTTTAATAAGGAGAAAAAAAGGTGATTTAGGACATGGGAAAGTGGGTGATGTCTAGCTTTTAAAAAAGACACAAGGGCATTTGGAGGTGCGGAGAAGGAGAGGAATTCGTCTGGTTGAAATTCAGTGATTCTCCATAGGCAGTTGCAGTTATTATGGCTCCAGCTATCAAATTTTACTGACATTTCCCAATCTGATTCTGGTTTTTGGTTTTTTTTTGGAGACAGGGTTTCACTCTGTCGCGCAGGCTGGAGTGCAGTGGTGTGATCACAGCTCACTGTAGCCTCGACTTCCCAGGCTCTGGTGATCCTCCCACCTCAGCCTCTCAAGTAGCTGGGACTACAGGCACGCACCACCATTACTGGCTAATTTTTGTATTTTTGTAGAGATGGGGTTTCGCCATGTTGCCCAGGCTGGTCTTGAACTCCTGAGCTCAAGCAGTCCTTCCGCTTCAGCCTCCCAAAGTGCCAGGATTTTAGACCTGAGCCACCATACCTGGCCCCGATCCGTTTCTGGAGCTCCGTGTTTCACTGAGTGCCAGTGCATCTGCAGTAGTTGATGAGACTTCACCACCTCAACTCAGTGCATTCCTATTCCAAATTTAACCCTTTGGCTCCTCCCCACCCAGGAATGTGCTTCTGCTTTCGCTCTGCGTTTGTAGCAGCAGCCTGGCCAGAGCCCCAGGATCATTTCTAACTCTGCATTCCCCCAGAAATCCCTCCTCTGCACACAGTTGTAACTCAAACCTGATGAGCTACTTTTGTATCCCCACCTTCTGTCTGGTCCCTTTGCTGTCCTTGCTTAGACACTAGAACAGGAGGTGCCTTAGGATCTTCTTGCATTTTGTGTGTTCCTTCTAATCCATTCTGTATCTTGTTGCTATGGATTTCTCAAATATTGGAAAATAAAATCCAAACTTGTTTGCATGGTCTAAACTTGAGCCTTGGCCTACCTTTTTATTTTTTATTTTTAAATTTATTTTTTGAGATGGAGTCTTGCTCTGTCACCCAGGCTGGTGTGATCTCGGCTAGCTGCAACTTCTGCCTCCTGGGTTCGAGCGATTCTTGTGCCTCAGCCTCCCGAGTAGCTGGGACTACAGATGCACCACCACATCCGGCTAATTTTTGTATTTTTGGTAGAGATAGGGTTTCACCATATTGACCAGGCTGGTCTCGAACTCCTGACCTCAGGTGTTCCACCCTCCTTGGCCTCCCAAAGTGCTGGGATTACAGGCGTTAGCCACTGCACCCTGCCCGGCCTAACTTTTTAGACTGGTTCTTTTTGTTATTACTGTTTTAAAATCACTCCTTCTCCAGAACCACAGCAACTAACATTGAGCTAGTTACACTGGAGCCTGCATTTTCTGAATGAGCTTTGTGTTTTCAGTTTCCAGGCCTTTCTTTGCCCCTACCCTCTGCTTGGCAGCCTTTCCCTTGGTGTGTTTCCTTTAAAATTCCTCTTTCAAGGCTTAACTCAGAGAGAACCAGACATACTGAATTTCTTTCCCCTCTGTGTCTCATCCTTAGCACTTTGTACATGCAGGCCTTGTTATCACAACCCTTAACACGTTTGTGTGTGTGTTTATTCATTCCATTCTCTTGTTAGATTGAATTCCTAGAGGGCATTTCACGTTCATCTTTGTATCTCCAGCACTAGGATAGTGCCTGGCACACCGGAACTGGATAAGTGTAGAAATTGTCATTTTTAGCTTAAGTTGGCCTCTTTGCTGTGTGATGAACGGAGATCCTTGTCTGAGTCTCTTCAACTATGAGTGGTATAGGGAAAAATAAAAATTGTCCTAACATGAGAGTTGTTGTTAATGAGCTGACCACTTAGAAAATTTGTTCATTTCCAGACATCACAACTTAATACTAACTTCTGTCCCTGCCTATCAAATCAATAGTATGTTATTAGCATTTTCTTTCTTTCTTTCTTTTTTTTTTTTTAAGACAGTCTTGCTCTGTTGCCCAGGCGGGAGCACAATGGCGCGATCTCGGCTCACTGCAACCTCTGCCTCCCAGGTTCAAGCGATTCTCCTGCCTCGGCCTCCCGAGTAGCTGGGATTACAGTCACATGCCATGTCCAGCTAAATTTTTTTTTTTTGGTATCTTTAGTAGATACAAGGTTTCACATGTTGGCCAGGCTGGTCTTGAACTCCTGACCTCATGATCCGCCTGCTTTGGCCTCCCATAGTGCTGGGATTACAGGCATGAGCCACCACGCCTGGCTACCTGGCTAATTTTTGTATTTTTTGGTAGCCACGGGGTTTTACCATGGTGCCCAGGCTGGTATAGAACTCCTGGGCTCAGGTGATCCGCCTGCCTCCGCCCAAAGAGCAGGGATTACAGGCGTAAACCACCACACCCAGCTTAGAGTTTGTTATTTTCATTGCTGATTGATAAGGTCACAGCAGTTGTGAAATGAAGTTTAAAATCTTGTGAAGGATACAAGATTTCATGAAGTTCAATGAATGAAATGTTGGAGACTAAGTTTCACACACATCTTTTGACATTACGTTCCACAGACCCACTAACAGTGAAAAGAAAACCATTGAGGAGGATGCTACCTTGGGCCCTGCAAAATAGAATCATATCAAAAGATGGAGAGAGTCCCATGAAAAGACTGGCCAAGTCCTCAGATACTGTAAAATTAATGCAGTAAAACTCACATAGGAAGTTAATTGTGTCTTATGGTGCCATCATAATTTTTTTGGAAAAATTGTGCCCAAACTCCCTACTTTTCATTTTAAACGTTTGCTTTTCAAATTAAACATAAATATGTAGTTGTATTATAACCTAAATTATGTTACATATAAGAACAGAAACAATTTTCAATTTCATTTTTCAAGATACAATTTTATTTACACTTTGTTTTTACTGGAAAGTTTTGTTCCTTGGGTGGCTGGCTTGCTGGCTTTCTTTTTCTTTCTTCCTTTTTAAACTAATACACTATATTTTTTAGAGCAACTTGTATTTGTTTGTTTAGAAATGGGGGATTTCACTGTGTTACCCAGGCTGGTCTTGAACTCCTGGGCTCAAGTGGTCCCTCCTGCCTCAGCCACCTTAGTAGCTGGGATTACAAGTGTGTGCCACTGTGCCCAGTTTTAGAGCAGTTTTAGGTTCACAGCAAAATTGAGCAGATAGTACAGAGAGTTCCCATATAACCCCCTGCCTGCACACAGGCACTGCCTTCCCCTTTCTCAACTTCCCCCACCAGAATGGGACATTTGTTACAACTGAGGAACCTACATTGACATATTATCACTCAGAGTCCATAACACACTACATCCTATTCTTGCTGTTGTACATTCTGTGGTTTTTGGCCACCGTATAATGACATGTATCCACCATTGTATTGATGCTGCTTTACATGATGAGCTTACTTCAACAGGGTTATGCCCTGATAAACCATCATAAATTGAAATGCATTTAATACATTGAATCTACTGAACAGCATATCTTAGCCTAGCCTACCTTTAATTTGCCAGAACACTTACACATTAGCTTACAGTTGGGCAAAGTAATCTAACAGAAAGTCTGTTTTTATAATAAAGTGTTAAATATTTCATGTAATTTATTGATTACTGAAAATGAAAAATAAAATGGTTGTATGTTTACTTGAAGTATGGTTTCTTCCGAATACATATCACCTTTGTACCATTGTATAGTCGAAAAATCATAAGTTGAACCATCATAAGTTGGAGACCATCTGTAGTGTCATACAGAATAGTTTCACTGCCCTAGAAATCCTCTACTTAATGTCTGTTTATCCCTCTTTCCCTCCTAAGCCCAGCCAATCACTGGTCTTTTTACAGTCTCCATAGGTTTTCCTTTTCCAGAATGTCATAGAATTGGAATCACACAGTATGTAAGTCTTTTCAGTTTGGCTTTTTTCACTTGATAATATGCACTGAGTTTCCCTGGGTCTTGTCTTGTCTTTTCTTCTTCTTTTTTTTTTTTTTCCCGAGACAGAGTCTCGCTCTGTCGCCGAGGCTGGAGTGCAATGGTGCGATCTTGGCTCACTGCAACCTCCGCCTTCCGGGTTCAGGCAATTCTCCTTCCTCAGCCTCCCAAGTAGCTGGAATTACAGGCATGTGCCACCCCGCCTGGCTAATTTTTTGTATTTTTAGTAGAGACAGGGTTTCACCATATTGACCAGGCTGGTCTCGAACTCCTGACCTTGTCATCTGCCTGCCTTGGCCTCCCAAGGTGTTGGAATTACAGGGGTGAGCCCCTGTGCCCAGCCTCCCTGTGTCTTTTCATGGCTTGATAACTCACTTCTTTTTAATACTCAGTAGTATTCTGTCATCTGGATATACCACAGTTTATTTATCCATTCATCTACTGAAGGACATCTGGGTTACTTCACGGTTTTGGCAATTATGAATAAAGTTGCTCTAAACATTTGTGTGTAGGTTTTCAATTCATTTGGGTAAATACTTAGGAGCATGATTGCTGGTCATATGGTGAGAGTTACGTTTAGTTTTGTAAGGAACTGCCAAACTGTCTTCCAGAGTAGCTGTAACATTTTGCATTCCTACCAGCAGTGAATGAGATTTCCTGTTATTCTATGTCCTTACTAGCATTTGGTGGTGTCAGCATTCTGGTGTTTGGTCATTCTGGTAGGCGTATAATGGTCTCTCATTTTCTTTTTCTTTCCTTTTTTTTTTGAGACAGAGTTTCACTCTTGTTGCCCAGGCTGGAGTGCAATGGCGCGATCTCGGCTTGCTGCAACCTCCGCTTCCTGGGTTCAAGCGATTCTCCTGTCTCTGCCTCCTGAGTTCTTGAGATTACAGGCACCTGCCACTACGCCTAGCTAATTTTTGGTATTTAGAGATGGGGTTTCACCATGTTGGCCAGGCTGGTCTTGAACTCCTAACCTCAGGTGATCCACCTGCCTCGGCCTCCCAAAGTGCTGGGATTACAGGCATGAGCCATCGCGCCTGGCTGTTTTTTGTTTTTGTTTTGAGACAGAGTCTTGCTCTTTTGCCCAGGCTGGAGCGCAGTGGTGTGATCTTGGCTCACTGCAACCTCCGCCTCCCGGGTTCAAGCAGTTCTCTGCCTCAGCCTCCTGAGTAGCTGGGATTACAGGCGCCTGCCACCATGCCCGGCTAATTTTTTGTATTTTTAGTAGAGGTGGGTTTCACTGTGTTGGACAGGCTGGTCTGGAACTCCTGACCCACGTGATCTGCCCACCTCGGCCTCCCAAAGTGCTGGGATTACAGGCGTGAACCACCGCGCCCAGTCAGGTATCTTATTTTAATTTGCAACTTTCTAATGACATATGATGAAAATCTTTTCAGATGCTTATTTGCTATCTGTATATCTTCTTTGATGAGATGTCAGTTTGTGTCTTTTTCTTTTTCCTTTTTATTTTTTTAAGAAACTGGGTCTTGCTACATTGCTCAGGCTTGAGTGTAGTGGGTATTCACAGATGTGGTCCTCCTGCCTCAGTCTCCCAAGTATCTGGGACTATAGGGGCATGCCACAGAGCTTCTTGCCCATTTTAAAATTTTAATTTAATTGTTTTTTTTTTTCCTGCCACAGCTTCTTTTTTTTTTTTTTTTTTTTTTTTTTTTTGAGACGGAGTCTTGCTCTGTTGCCCAGGCTAGAGTGCAGTGGTGCGATCTTGGCTCACTGCAAGCTCCGTCTCCCGGTTTCACGCCATTTTCCTGCCTCAGCCTCCCGAGTAGCTGGGACTACAGGCGGCTGCCACCACGCCCGGCTAATTTTTTGTATTTTTAGTAGAGATGGGGTTTCACTGTGTTAGCCAGGATGGTCTTGATCTCCTGACCTCGTGATCCTCCTGCCTCGGCCTCCCGAAGTGCTGGGATTACAGGCATGAACCACCGTGCCAGGCACCTGCCACACCTTCTTGAGTGGGAAAGTGTTTTCCTATTCTTGAGTTTTAAGAGTTCTTTATATATTTTTGTTAACAGTCCTTTATCAAATGTGTCTTTTGCAAATATTTTTTCCTTGTTTGTGACTTTTCATTCTCTTGACAGTATCTTTTGCAAAGCAGTTTTTAATTTTAATGAAGTCTGGCCTATCAATTATTTCTTTCATGGATCATGCTTTTGATGCTGTATCTAAAAGTAATCTGGCTGGGCGCAGTGGCTTATGCCTGTAATTCCAGCACTTGGGGAGGACAAGATGGGTGGATCACCTGAGGTCAGGAGTTTGAGACCAGCCTGGCCAACATGGTGAAACTCTGTCTCTTCTAGAAATACAAAAAAATTAGTCTGGTGTAGTCGTGGGCACCTGTAATGCCAGCTACTCAGGAGGCTAAGGCAGGAAGAATCGCTTGAACCCGGGAGGCGGAGGTTGCAGTGAGCCTGGATTGCGGCACTGCACTCCAGACTGTTGCGACAAGAGTGAGACTCCGTCTCAAAAAAAGTAAATAAATAAATAAAAGCAATCACCATACCTAAGGTCATCTAGATTTTCTTCTATGTTACCATCAAGAAATTATCTAGTTTTGCATTTTATATTTAGCTTTATGATCCATTTTGATTTAATTTTTGGGAAGTGTAACGTCTGTCTAGATTTTTTTTTGCATGTGGACGTCCCGTTGTTCCAGGACTTTTTTTTTTTTTTTTTTTTTTTTTGAGACGGAGTTTTGCTGTTGTTGCCCAGGCTGGAATGCAATGGCGTGATCTCGGCTCACCGCAACCTCCACCTCCCAGGTTCAAGCGATTCTCCTGCCTCAGCCTCCTGAGTAGCTGGGATTACAGGCATGCGTCACCACGCCTGGCTAATTTTGTATTTTTAGTAGAGACGGGGTTTCTTCATGTTGGTCAGGCTGGTCTCAAACTCCTGACCTCAAGTGATCCACCCGCCTCAGCCTCCCAAAGTGCTGGGATTACAGGTGTGAGCTACCGCTCCGGGCATGTTCCAGGACCATTTGTTGAAACAACAAATGGTTTGTTGTAAAAGACATTTGTTACATTGTATTGCCTTTGCTCCTTTGTGAAAGATCTGTTGACTATGTGAGTGTATTTCTGTACTCTCTAGTCTGTTCCATTGATCCATTTGTCCTTTCTTTTGCCAATACCACACTGTTTTAATTAATGTAGCTTTTTTATTTTTATTTTTTGAGATAGTGTCTTGGCTGGAGTACAATGGCATGATCTTGGCTCACTGCAACCTCTGTCTCCCGGGTTCAAGTGATTCTCATGCCTCAGCCTCCTGAGTAGCTGGGATTACAGGTGTGTACCACCATACCTGGCTCATTTTTTTTTTTTTTCTTGAGATGGAGTTTGGCTTTTGTTGCCCAGGCTGGAGTGCAATGGCACGATCTCGGCTCACTGCAACCTCTGCCTCCCAGGTTCAAGCAATTTTCCTGCCTCAACTTCCCCAGTAGCTGGGGTTACAGGCGCCCACCACCACGCCCAGCTAATTTTTGTATTTTTAGTAGAGACAGGGTTTCACCATGTTGGCCAGGCTGGTCTCGAACTCCTGACCTCAGGTAATCTGCCCAGCTCGGCCTCCCAAAGTGCTGGGATTAGAGGCATGAGCCACCGCGCCTGGCCTAATTAATGTAGCTTCATAATGATTCTTGAGGTTGAGTATTGTCGGTCCTCTGACTTTATTCTTCATTGGCTATTCTAGGTTTTTTGCCTCTCCTGATAAACTTTATTATTATTATCATTTTTTTTTTTTTTGAGATGGAGTCTCATTCTGTTGCCCAGGCTGGAGTGCAGTGGCGTGATCCCAGCTCACTGCAACCTCCGCCTCCTGGATTCAAGCGATTCTCCTGCCTCAGCCTCCCGAGTAGCTGGGATTATAGGTGCATGCCACCACGCCCAGCTAATTTTGTATTTTTAGTAGAGACAGGGTTTCACCATGTTTGCCAGGCTGGTCTCGGAACTCCTGACCATAAGTGATCTGCCCACCTTGGCCTCCCAAATTGCTGGGATTACAAGCATGAGCCACTGTGCCTGGCTTCCCTGTAAATTTTAGAATCAGTTCGTTGGTATTCACAAAATAACTTGCTGGGGTTTTCATTGGGATTGCATTAAATCTACAGATCAAGTTGGGAAGAACCGACATCTTGATAATATTGAGTCTTCCTACCCATGACTCAATACACATTGAGTGACATAACAAAATACACATTTTGTTAGATTTATATATAAGTATTTCATTTTTGGGGGTGCTCATATAAATGGTAATGTGCTTTTAATTTCAAATTCCACTTATTTGTCACTGGTATGTAGGAAACTGGTTGACTTTTATGTATTAACCTTGTATCTTGCAGTCCTGCTATATAATCTCTTATTCCAGAAATTTTTTTTCACTTCTTTCTGATTTTCTACATAGATAATCATATCATCTACAAAGTTTTATTTCTCTCTTCCTAATCTGTATACTTTTAATTTCCTTTTCTTATTAGTTAGGACTTCCTATGATGTTGGAAAAAAGTGGTGAGGGGGAACATTGTTACCTTGTTCCTGTTCTTCGTAGAAAAGCTGTGACTTTCTCATCAAGTATAATGTTAGCTGTAGGTTTTTTATAGATGTTCTTTATCAAGTTGAGGAAGTTCCTCTCTATTCCTCATTTTCTGAGAGTTTATTATTTACCATGAGTGGGTGTTGGATTTTGTCAGATAGTTTTTCTCCATCTATTGATATGATCATGTGATTTTTCTTCTTTAGCCTGTTGATGTGATAGATTATATTAATTGATTTTATTTTTTATTTTTTATTTTGAGACAGAGTCTCGCTCTGTCACCCACACTGGAGTGCAGTGGCGTGACCTCGGCTCACTGCAACCTCTACTCCCTGGATTCAAGCAATTCTCATGCCTCAGTCACCCGAGTAGCTGGGATTACAGGTGTGCACCATCACATTCAGCTAATTTTTGTATTTTCAGTACAGACAGGGTTTCACCATGTTGGCCAGGCTGGTCTTGAACTCCTGACCTCAAGTGGTCCACCTGCCTTGGCCTCCCCAGGTGCTGGACTACAGGCACGAGCCACCACATCCAGCCTATTGTTGATTTTTGAATGTTTAACCTATAGTCCTATGGTGAGGTCTCAGTCTTTTGGTGAGCCTGTGCACCTAGACTGTGAACTTTACCCATTTTTCTTAGTTCTCCTCCCCGCTTAGGTGGGACAGAATGGCCAGAGGGGGCTGGAATTGTGTATTTGCCCTCTCTCAGGAAGTTTAGGCTCTGAGAAAATCCCAACAGGTTAGACACTGGCAAAATAATTTCTCCTGAGGGCAGACCTTGTTAAGAACAGAATGTTCTGTCGTATTTAAAAATATAAGAGGCCGGGCTCGGTGGCTCACGCCTGTAATCCCAGCACTTTGGGAGCCTGAGGCGGGAGGATCACGAGGTCAGGAGATCGAGACCATCCTGGCTAACACGGTGAAACTCCGTCTCTACTAAAAATACAAAAAATTAGCCCAGTGTGGTGGCGGGCGCCTGTAGTCCCAGCTACTCGGGAGGCTGAGGCAGGAGAATGGTGTGAACCCGGGAGGTGGAGCTTGCTGTGAGCCGAGATCGCGCCACTGCACTCCTGCCTGGGGGACAGAGCGAGACTCTGTCTCAAAAAAAAAAAAAAAAAAAAAGGAAAAGAAAAAAGGAAAGGTTTCTTTGCCCCTCCCTCTGCTGGAAGCATGAAGGGATTTTTTCCCCCCCTCAGTTTTCACTGTAAGGAACTCGTAGAGCTCCTGGAGGTAAAACTCGTCAAAGAATGGGGCTCCCCAGTAATTGGGTCTCCTGGAGTTTTAAACTCTCACAGTTGTCCACACTGAGCCTCCGGCAATTTGTTAGTTATAGTTAAGGTTTTCCTACCCTAGTGCTGATTTGGTGGAGGATTTTGCTCCAGTAAACTGTGATTCTCTGTATCTGCCGGTCTGTCTGTCCAATTTGGGAGGCAGCAGTTTCCCCCTTAACCTCATTTCTTTTTTTTTGAGACAGAGCCTTGCGGTCACCCAGGCTGGAGTGCAGTGGCATGATCTTGGCTCACTGCAAGCTCCGCCTCCCAGGTTCACGCCATTCTCTTGCCTCAGCCTCCCAAGTGGCTGGGACTACAGGCGCCCGCCACCACGCCAGGCTAATTTTTTGTATTTTTAGTAGAGACGGAGTTTCACCGTGTTAGCCAGGATGGTCTCGATCTCCTGACCTCGTGATCCTCCCGCCTTGGCCTCCCAAAGTGCTGGGATTACAGGCGTGAGCCTCTGCGCCCAGCCACCTTATTTCTTTAAGAGTTGATTTTTCAGTTGATTTAGCTTTTTACATGTTGTTAGGATCAGGTGGCGACTTCTAAGCTTCTTACACATACTGGACTGGAAACCAGAAGGTTGAGTGGTATTTCTTTTCTTTCTTTCTTTTTGAGACAGGGTCTTGCTCTTGTTGCCCAGTCTGGAGTGCATTTGTGGGATCATAGCTCAACTGCAGCCTGGAATTCCTGGGCTCAAGCGATCATCCCACCTCACCCTCCTCATTAGCTGGGACTACAGGTGTGTGCCACTGCACCCAGCTAGGAGTAGAATTTAGATAATAATAATAATAAAAGCACTTCTTCTGTTATCTGTCATATATTGCTTTCAGTGATGCCCACGTTCTCCTTCCTGTTTTCCCCTCCAGTGGAGCCCCGTCAGCCTGTCTAGCGTCCTTCCAGGATCTCTCCATTCTCTGTCAGTGGCAGGGAATCTCCTCGTTCTGCTGCGTGGTGGGGCACAACCCTTATCTTTAGTTTTCCACAATGAGATCGTAATTTCCGTGTCTTTCGTAATGTATTTACACATCTTAATGTGCCTAGTACTCTTTTTGTCGAGTATTGACTGGGAGTCAGCGTGGGCTAGAAGGGATGCAAGCACTTTATGAGAAAGTGGGAGGGAGTACTTCTGACCATGCCTGGTGGAAGGACCTCCTAGGTGGGAAGGGTAGGCAGAGGCATGCTGTGTTCCAAGGACTGTGCTAAGGACAGTGGCGGCTTGAAATTTGTATTTTAGAAACACTTTCTAAGGTGGCCTAGGGGATAGCATAGAGGAGAGAGGGATCAAGAAGCTGGGAGACCAGAGAGGAGGCTGCTGTAGTGGGGGTTGGGGGAGGATATACATTTGGGCAGGAGCATTGAGAATGGAAAGGAGGAGAGAATTTGGGAGATAGGGAGAGGACCAGGCCATTGGAAACGAGGAAGATTTTGAGCCTGGGTGAGTGGGAAAAAGGCACTACTGTTAACTGAAATAGGCAAATCAGGAGGAAGAAATTATTTTGAATAGAGGAAGGAAAAGATTATAAGTTGGGAATCAAGTTAGAGAACAAATTGGTTTTCAAATTTTGGGGAAGGAAAAATAGGTAAAAACTGCAGAAAGAATGATAAAAAAAGTAGAGGAATAGTGGGGTGATTTTGTACCCGCATCTCGCCATTTGGTAATGTTTGAACATTTTTTTTTTTGAGACAGAGTCTCACTCTGTCACCCAGGTTGGAGTGCAGTGGCTCAATCTTGACTCATTGAAATCACTGCTGCTCAGGTTCAAGCGATTCTCCTGCCTAAGCCTCCCAAGTAGCTGGGATTACAGGTGCCTGCCACTGCGCCCGGCTAATTTTTGTATTTTTAGTAGAGACGGGGTTTCACCATATTGGCCAGGCTGGTCTTGAACTCCTGATCTCGTGATCCACCCACCTCGGCCTCCCAAAGTGCTGGGATTACAGGTATGATCCACCATGCCCGGCCGAACATGTTTTTTATTGTTACCATGTTGGTGGTAGTACAGCTGGCATCTAGTGAATAGAGGGCAGTGTTGCTGCTAAACATTCCTGCAGTACACAGGGCAGCTTTGCCCCTCAGCAAAGAATGACCTGGCCCCAGATACAAAGCGTCAAGGCTGAGCCGTGCTGGAGTAGAATTCTTAAGACTGAGCTTTATCCTTTCTTCCTTCTGGCATCCTCTTAAACATTAACCTTTGCTTTGCAATTGGTGCTGATAAGTGAACAGCTCATATGATCTCATGTAATTTTCGCAGAAACTTCTGTTAGATACTGCTACATTGTTTTATGGTGTGAAAACAGACTTGGAGGCCTGCCCAAGGTCTGCACAGCTATTTTGTGCAGAGCCAGCACTCCACCTGGGCTGGACTGGTCTTTTTTTTTTTTTGGAGGCAGGGTTTTTGTGTTGCCCAGGCTGGAGTGCAGTGACGTGATCACGGCTCACTGCAGCCCCAACCTTCCAGGCTCAAGCAGTCATCCCACCTCAACTTCCCAAGTACCTGGGACCACAGGCTCAATGCCACCATGCCTGGCCAATTAAAAAAAAAAATTGTAGAGATCGAGTCTTGTTATGTTGCCTAGGCTGGTCTCCAGCTCTTGGGCTGAAGCAATCCTTTCACCTTGACCTCCTGAAGTGTTGAGATTGATTATAGGTGTTAGCCACTGTGCTTGGCCTAGCCTGTTCTTTTAATGGTACCTCCTGGCTTTTCTTGTTTTCAGAGAGGTGGGGGTTAATACCGTCCTGATTACTCCGTAGAGGTGCTGATGTTTTACTGCAGCACTGTTTTTTTCACCTGAGCCATAGCTGCAATTTGAATTTTAGATGGTTAGAAGAAATTTTTCAAAAATCTGCTTTTTTTTCTTATTTTCCTTGTGCTCTAAATTCAGTAGCTGTTTTGATATTACGCTGTATTCTCTTTTCCATGTAGCCAGCCCTATGGCTTAAAGATCATTTCTCTGTTGAGACACTGGTTATGTCGTGATTTTTTTTTCTTTCTAGTCATTTTGACTTTTAGATGATAGTCATGGAACTGCCTGCTCTATTTTCTCCTAGGTCCAGGCCCTCAGCCTTGGGGACTAAGCCCTGTATGTGCTAGACTGGGTACCCTGTGACTTGTAGACAGTTTGCGGAGCTTTCAGTGGCTTTTTTGCTTTTCAGCAAAATATAGTTGGTTAGGTAACTTCTTATCTTAATTTATCAGGTGGAAATCTTTGTGTTACAGGTTGGAGCAGACAGTTCCTCAGGTTTGTCATCTGCCTAAGCATTCATTCAGCGGATTCACATACATGAATCCCAAAATATCCCCGTTGCTAAAAATGACAGGGGAAAAAACCCAAATAATTAAAAATAGGTAGATGTTTGACATTAGAGATGGCATATTTCTTTCTTTTTCTTTTCTTTTTTTTTTTTTTTTTTTTTTTTTTGAGATGGAGTCTCACTCTGCTGCCCAGGCTGGAGTACAGTGGCCCGATTTCGGCTCACTGCAACCTCCTCCTCCCGTGTTTAAGCGATTCTCTTGCCTCAGCCTCCTGAGTAGTTGGGACTATAGGTGTCTGCCACCATGCCCAGCTAATTTTTGTATTTTTAGTAGAGATGGGGTTTCACCGTGTTTGCCAGGCTGGTCTTGAATTCCTGACCTCATGATCCACCCGCCTCAGCCTCCCAAAGTGCTGGGATTACAGGCGTGAGCCACCATGTCCGGCCTAGAGATGACATATTTCAAGACCTTGGGCAGCCTACTAAGTTGTTGTATCACTGTAGCATGTAGCATGGGTTTTTCTTGTTTTATAGTGCTATAGAATGTAACAGGCATTAAATAATCTCTTTTTTTTTTTGAGATGGAGTTTCACTCTGTTGCCGAGGCTGGAGTGCAATGGTACGATCTCAACTCACTGCAGCCTCCATCTCCCGGGTTCAAGCGATTCTCCTGCCTCAGCCTCCTGAGTAGCTGAGATTACAGACATGTGCCACCACGCCTGGCTAATTTTGTATTTTTAGTAGAGACAGGGTTTCACCATGTTGATCAGGCTGGTCTTGAACTCCTGACCTCAGATGATCTGCCCGTCTTTGCCTCCCAAAGTGCTGGGATTCCAGGCGTGAGCCACTGTGCCCGGCCAGAATTTTATAATTTTATAACCTGTGTATTTGATGTAAGTGCTGAGGCAATGGAGCATTATTCATAATGTTTATAATTGACATGTAATAATTGTACATATTGGTCGGGTGCGGTGGCTCACGCCTGTTATCCCAGCAATTTGGGAGGCCGAGGCGGTTGGATCACTTGAGGTCAGGAGTTCGAGACCAGCTGACCAACATGGTGCAACCCTATCTGTACTAAAAATACAAAAATTATTAGCTGGGCATGGTAGTGGGAGCCTGAATCCTAGCTACTCAGGAGACTAATGCATGAGAACCGCTTAAACCTGAGAGGCGGAGGTTGCGGTGAGCCGAGATTGCACCATTGCACTCCAGCCTGGATGATAGAGCAAAACTCAGTCTCAAAAAATAATAATAATAATAATTGTCCTATTTATGAGGTATAAGGTGAATTTATTCCTTCCATCTGACTATAATATTGTACCAGTTGGCCAACCTCTCCCTGTCTCCCCTCCCCTCGCCTCTGGTAAGCACTATTCTCAACTTCTATGAGATCAACTTTTTTAGATTCTACACAAGTGAGATCACATTGTTACTGTCTTTCTGTGCCTGACTTACTTTGCTTAATATAAGTACTGTCCTCCAGGTTCATCCATATTGTCACAAATGACAGAATTTCCTGCTTTTATAAGGCTTAATAGGATTCTACTGTGTATATATACCACATTTTCTTTATTCATCTGTTGATGGACACTTACATTTATTCTATAATCAATTGATGGCTTTTGTGACTAGTGCTGCAATATACATGAGAGTGTAGATGTCTGATGTACTGATTTCATTTCCTCTGGATGTATTACCAGTAATGGGATTGCTGGATTTTTAATTTTTTATTTTATTTAATTAATTTATTTATTTTTTATTTTTTTGAGACTGAGCCTTGCTCTGTCTCCCAGGCTGGAGTGCAGTGGTGTGATCTCGGCTCACTGCAACACTGCCTCCCGGGTTCAAGTGATTCTCGTGCTTCCTCCTCACAAATAGCTGGGATTACAGATGTACACCACCATGCGTGGCTAATTTTTTTGTTTTTTTAATAGAGACAGAGTTTCACCATGTTGGCCAGGCTGATCTCGAATTCCCGACCTCAGGTGATCTGCCCGCCTCAGCCTTCCAAAGTGCGGGGATTACACGCATGAGCCACTGCACCAAGCCTGGATTTTTTTTTTTTAAACTTGCTTTGATGAGCAGGAGCTGGATCTTAATGGTAATTCTATTTTTAATTTTCTGAGGACCCTGCATACTGTTTTTCATATCTGTACTAACTTACATTGCCATCAACAGTGTGTAAGGGTTCCCTTTTCTCCACATCCTTGTCAACGTTTGTTATCTTTTATCATTGAAAATAGACAGTCTAATAATGACTAGTGGTGGTCAGCATTTTTTCATATACCTGTTGGCCATTTATTTTATTTTTTTTAAATTTACTGAGACAGGGTCTTGCTCCGTCACCCAGGCTGGAGTGCAGTAGCACAATCACAGCTCATTTGCAGCCTCAACCTCCCAGGCTCAAGTGATCCTCCCATCTCAACCTCCCGAGTAGTTGGGACTGCAGGCACGTGCTACCTACCACATGTGGCTTTCTGGCCATTTATTTGTCATCTTTTGATAAATGTCTGTTGGGTCTTTTGCCTTGTTTTTGTTATTGAGGGATGGAATCTTGCTCTGTCATCCAGGCTGGAGTACAGTGGTGCATTCATAGCTTACTTCAGCCTCAAACTCTTAGGCTCAAACAATCCTCCTATGTCAGCCTCCCAAGCTGGGAATATAGGCACACGCCACCATTTAGGGCAAATATATTTTTTTTTTTTTAAACAGGGTCTTGCTCTGTCACCCAGGCTAAAGTACAGTGCAGCCTTGACTTCCTGGGCTCTAGTGATCCTCTTGCCTCAGCCTCTTGAGTAGCTGGTGTCCATTTTTTAATTGGTTTCCTTTCCTTTCTTTGCTGTGAGTTCCTTGTATATTTTCTATATTATCCCCTTAACTGATGTATAGTTTGCAAATAGATTCTTCCATTCTGTAGGTTGTTTCTTCACTCTTGTTTCCTTTGCTGTGCAGAAGCTTTTTAGTCTGCTATAATCCTATTTGTTTATTTTTGTTTGTGTTGCCTGTGCTTTTGAGGTCTTTTAAAAAAAATTCCTGGCTCAGACCAAGGTCATGAAGCTTTTTCCCTATGTTTTCTTATGGCAGTTTCATAGTTTCAGGTCTTACTTTAAGTTTTCGATCCATTTTGGAGTTTATTTTTGTATATGGTGTGAGATAAGGATCTAATTTCATTCTTGTGCGTGCGATATCCAGTTTTCCCAACACTGTTTATTGAAGAGACTGTCTTTTTCCCTATTGTGTTCTTGACACTTGTTGAAAATCAGGTAGCTGTAAGTGTGGATTAATTTGTGGGCTTTTATTCTGTTATATTGGTCTCTGTCTGTTTTTATGCCAACACCATGCTGTTTTGGTTACTATGACTTTGTAGTATATGTTGAAGTTAGGTAGTGTGATTCCTCTAGCTTTGTTCTTTTTGCTCCAGATTGCTTTGGCTACTGGGGTCTTTTGTGATTTCATATAAATTTTAGGATTGGTTTTCCTATTTCTATGAAGAATGTCATTGGTATTTTGATAGGGATTGCATTGAATGTATAGATTGCTTTGGGTAGTATGGACTTTTTTTTTTCTTTTTTTTTTTTTGAGACAGAGTCTTGCTCTGTCACCCAGGCTGGAGTGCAGTGGCGTGATCTTGGCTCACTGCCACCTCCGCCTCCTGAGTTCAAGAGATTCTCCTGCCTCAGCCTCCCGAGTAGCTGGGATTACAGGCGCCCACCACCATGCCCAGCTAATTTTTGTATTTTTAGTAGAGGCAGGATTTTATCATGTTGGCGAGGCTGGTCTTGAACTCCTGGCCTCAGGTGATCAGCCCACCTCAGCCTCCCAAAGTGTTGGGATTACAGGCGTCAGCCACGCGCTTGGCCAGTATGGACATTTTAACAATATTAATTCTTCTAATACATGAACATGGGATATTGTTCCATTTATTTGTGTCTTCAGTTTCTCTGATCAATATTTTAAAGTTTTCATTGCAGAGCTCTTTCACCTCCTTGGTTAAATTTCTTTCTTTTTCTTTTCTTTTTTTTTTTGTTAGCTATTGTAAACAGGATTGTTTTCTTGATTTCCATTCCAGATAATTTGCTATTAGCTGGCATGCAGTGGCGTGATCACAGCTCACTCCAGCCTTGACCTCCTGGGCTCAAGTGATCTTCCCACCTGAGCCTCCCGTTTAGAAATAATACTGCTACTGATTTTTGTATGTTGATTTTGTATCCTGCAATCTTACTGAACTTATTAGTTCTCATAGTTTTTTGGTGGGGTCTTTAGGGTTTTCTATATGTAAGATCATGTTGTCTGCAAACAGGGATAATTTAACTTCATTTCCAATTTGGATGCCTTTTATTTCTTTCTCTTGCCTTGTTTTTCTGGCTATCAAGAGAAGCTGAAATGATTCATTTCATTTTTGCTCAACAATTTATGTAAAATAACCTCTTTGGACCAGCGTGGTGGCTCACGCCTGTAATCCCAGCACTTTGGGGGGCTGAGACAGGTAGATCATGAGGTCAGGAGATCGAGACCATCCTGGCTAACACGGTGAAACCCCGTCTCTACTAAAAATACAAAAAAATTAGCCCGGTGTGGTGGTGGGCGCCTGTAGTCCCAGCTACTTGGGAGGCTGAGGCAGGAGAATGGTGTGAACCTGGGAGGTGGAGCTTGCAGTGAGCCGAGATCGCGCTGTTGCACTCCAGCCTGGGTGACAGAGTGAGACTCCGTCTCAAAAAAAAAAAAAAAAAAAAAAAAAAAAGAACCTCTTTATACTGCTTGTTATTCCCTTAGTATTCTGTTTTAAGGAATCATGGGTTGACAGTTAGTGATGCGTGCACCACTGGGTCTGGAGGGCAGGGGTGAGAATTCCTGCCAGCAGGTACTTCCTGCTTTTTTCTGTTTCCTTCCTGTCATTGTGTTGAGTGTGGAATAAGTGTGTTATTGTCACTGTATTTGAGATTTTGCTTGAGTATCTTGTGCCTCTCATATATATGTGTGTGTGTGTGCATATATATATTTAAATTTATTTATTTATTTATTGGAGATGATGTTTCGCTCTTGTATTTATTTATTTATTTATTTATTTATTTATGTATTTATTTATTGGAGATGATGTTTCGTTCTTGTCCCCCAGGCTGGAGTGCAATGGCACAATCTCGGCTCACTGCAATCTCTGCCTCTCGGGTTCAAGTAGTTCTCCTGCCTCAGCCTCCTGAGTAGCTGGGATTACAGGCACGTGCCACCATGCCCGGCTAATTTTTGTATTTTTAGTAGAGACAGGGTTTCACCATGTTGGCCAGGCTGGTCTTGAACTCCTGACCTCAAGTGATCTGCCCGCCTCAGCCTCCCAAAGTGCTAGGATTACAGGCGTGAGCCGCCACATCCAGCCCATGCCTCTCATATCTAATTATGACTTATAAAGCTATTATGCCAGGTGATAAAGTTTGTGGTTTCAAAACTTCTTGCAAATCCTTGAGAGCTCCTGGGGTTTTACTTGGGAGGATATTTTTGACAAATTATATGATAAATTGAACTGTTACATTTTTGCTACCATTTCTGGCATTTCTTCCTACCACATTTTATTGTTCCTGGTCATATTATTATTTGACTCATTGGTAGTTGGCTTTTTTTCTAGGTAAATTTCTCACAGTTTGGGTTATTGGTGCCAGTCACCTTGCTTCATTTATTTTGACTGTCACTAAAAAATAATTGACAATTTATTCACTAAAACCTATTGAACAATAGAGGCTACAGGTAATAAAAAGCAGTTGAAGGGTTTCCAGGTTGTGAGCTTGTTTCTGGCCAAGCTAGTCTGCCTTCCTTCTTTAGCAGTACGGGGGTAAACTTTGAATCAGGTTACACAATTTAGAACAGTACTTCATCTGTTTGCCTTTGCATTTGACTGAGATTTCCAGAGTATGTGACCGGAAGAAAAACTAGGGCTTTTAACTCTGTTTTAATGCCCGTTCTGTTGCTTGGTAGCCAGAAACCCATGTTGGCTGTGACCAGACGCGGCAGGGGGATTCTGATAAGCCACACAGTTGAGGCGCCACGCCAAGTTTAACAGAAAGGTTAAGGCTGCTTTTGGTTCCTTTGATCTACACGCTGTCGGCCTGCTTCACAGCTTGCTTTGGGAAAACAAGAACTTTGGGTTCCCTTTTATTTTTGTTCTTTTTAACTAAGGTAGACAACCTTCTGGGAAAATAGATCCTGACTCTTGCTGTCTTGTTCCTAGAGACTCATGATGGTTTTTCATTTTAAGTAACCTTTGAAAAAACCTCTTAAATATGTCTTACTTAAATCTGGGAAAAAATTGTTTGTGCTAGAAGCACATTCAAATTTTTTATTTGGTAAGAAAATGAGATATAGTTCACAAACCATACAATTCACCCATTTAAATTGTACAGTCCAGTGGCTTTTAGTGTAATCACAGATACTTGCAGCTGTTACCACAGTCAGTTTTAGAACATTTTCATCTTTCAAAAAGAAACTTTTAGCTATCATCCCCTACCCCTAAGTACCCCTTCCCACCCCAGCTCCTGGCAACCACTAATGGACTTTATAGATTTCCTTGTTCTGGACAGTTCATATGAATGGAATCATATAACATGTGGTCTTTTGTGACTGTCTTCTTTCACTTAGCATAATGTTTTTAAGTTTCATGTTGTAGTATATATCAGTACTTCATACTTTTTTATTAAAACTGTGGTAAAATAAGGTCAGGCATGGTGTGCCTGTAATTCTAGCACTTTGGGAGGCCGAGATGGGTGGATCACCTGAGGTCAGGAGTTCCAGAGCAGCCTGGCAAAACTCCGTTTCTACCAAAAATACAAAAATTAGCTAAGCATGCTGGCATACACCTGTAATCCCAGCTACTTGGGGGGCTGAGGCAGGAGAATCGCTTGAACCTGGGTGGTGGAGGTTGCAGTGAGCCGAGATTGTGCCACTGTACTCTAGCCTGGATGACAGAGCAAAACCCTCTCTGAAAAAAATAAATAAATAAATAAAATCAAGTAAAATTGTGGTAAAATAAGCAGCATTAAAAATACAATTTTAACAATTTAAAAATATATAGTTTAGTGGCATTAAGTACATTCATTGTTGTGCTGCCATCACCACCATCCGTCTCCAGAATGTTGTCGTCTTCCCAAACTGAAACTCTGTACCCATTAAACTTAAACCAACTCCCCATTTCCACCTAGTTACCCTTATTTTTAAAAATTAATGAGCTCGATCAGAATCTGTTTTCAGTTTTAAGCCACTAAATTTGTAGTAATTTGTTATAGCAGTAATAGGACATGGAGATGTTTGTGTCATAGAGGTTTATAGAGAGTAGTCCTGATGGAAGGTGATTTTGCAGCTCACGCAGCTCCTATGACATTTTTCTTTTATCTTTTCTTTTTCTTTTTTTTTTTTTTTTTTTTTGAGATAGGAGTCTCACTCTGTCGCCCAGGCTGGAGTACAGTGGCGCGATAACGGCTCACTGCAACCTCTGCCTCCTGGGTTCAAGCGATTCTTCTGCCTCAGCCTCTCAAGTAGCTGGTATTACAAGGTGTGTGCCACCACACCCGGCTAATTTATATTTTTAGTAGAGACAGGCTTTCACCATGTTGGCCAGGCTGGTGTCAAACTCTTGACCTCAGGTGATCCACCTGCCTTGGCCTCCCAAAGTGCTGGGATTACAGGCATGAGCCACTGCGCCCGACCTCCTGTAATGTCTTTAATGTGGCACATGGTGCTCTCCAGCTTTGCCTCCTATCTCTTTGACAACTCTTCATGGTTAGTTACAAGCAGGGACTCGAGCCATATGCCTGGGTTTGATTCCTTGCTTAGCTACTTACTTGGTGTGTGATTAGAGTATTGAGGTCTCCTGTTTCATCTGAAGGCCGTGGTAACCAGTTAATGTTGGGAGTTTTTTGAACAAGCTCCTAGTCAAAATCAGTTGACAGATTTTTAGTAACACTAGCGTAGAAGATCTTGGAACTATTAATACATATCAAATGGAAAGCCCTAGAGAAGAAGGTTTAAATATTGCCTCAAGATTTTTTTTTTTTTTTTTTTGAGACGGAGTCTTGCTCTGTCGCCCAGGCTGGAGTGCAGTGGTGCCATCTCGGCTCACTGCAAGCTTCGCCTCCCGGGTTCATGCCATTCTCCTGCCTCAGCCTCCTGAGTTGCTGGGACTACAGGCACCTGCCACCACGCCTGGCTAATTTTTTGTATTTTTTTAGTAGAGACGGGGTTTCACCGTGTTAGCCAGGATGGTCTAGATTCCTTGACCTTGTGATCCACCCGCCTCGGCCTCCCAAAGTGCTGGGATTACAGGCGTGAGCCACCGTGCCCGGCCCACACGGGCAATTTCAAAAACGCTTCCCCACCTCTACTGCAGAAAAACAGAAAGGGAATTTGTCTGTTTTTAATGTGACTCATGGAGTTAAATTGAGAGAATAAATCGAGATAAGATGAGAACAGTTCTTGTGTAACCCTGACTTTTCATCCATATTTATCCAAGAAGAGTGATTTAGCTCACCTGCAATAAAGATACTTACTGTCCTCTTATTTCTGACAGAGGCGGCCTTAGCAACATGCTGTTCCAGTGCTCCCTACCTGACACCACAGCCACCCTTGGTGATGAGCCTCGGAAAGTGCTCCTGCGGCTGTATGGAGCGATTTTGCAGATGGTGAGTTGGTAGGCTACTTTGGGAGGGGGGGATCCTGTTAACATTTTAAATCCTCTTTGCTGAGATACCTTGGAAAGAGATTTTAAATACTTTAATGGTGTTACTAAAGATATTTGAGTATATTGCTTTTACTTTTACTTTAATTGGGCTGCACAGCTTGGTTTGCATTCTAAGTTAATTCGTGTTTTTTTTAGTTATTATTTATTAGTAAACTAGTGCAAGTATTCCCAGTTTTACATCCAGAGAAGGTACAATGTTGGTTAAATCTTCAATAGTGCTTGATGATTCTTGGTTCTACATATTGATTAAAATTTTCAGCTCAGATTTAGATTATAAAGTTCTAATGTGGAGAAGGTATTGTTTTTATAACATTATCCAAAAGATTTTAGAGGATAGTCCCAGTTAACAAAGTATGATCTCAACGAAGCTGAATTTAATAACTGTTTCTCTGAGATTTCTTTAAAACTTTGAGTTGTTTGTTACAGTCATAATCTTTCTAAAGTTTTATATTAGATAATCTAATTCTTAAAGTACCTATTGAATTATCCAGTTATAGGATATCCCAACTTGTCTGGGTTTATTATTATTATTATTAATGTCATGAATTTACTATTTCATTGAGCACGGTAGAAATATTAGGTTGATATATATATTTTTGAGATGGAGTTTCACTCTTGTTGCCCAGGCTGGAGTGCAATGGCGTGATCTCAGCTCACTGCAACCTCTGCCTCCCGGGTTCAAGTGATTCTCCTGCCTAAGCCTCCCAAGTAGCTGACGTTATGCATGCCACCACGCCTGGCTAATTTTGTACTTTTTTAGTAGAGACGGGGTTTCACCATGTTGGTCAGGCTGGTCTCAAACTCCTGACCTCAAGTGATCCACCCGCCGTGGTCCCCCAAAGTGCTGGGATTACAGGCATGAGCCACCGCACCCGGCCAGGTTGAGGTATTTCTGTGGTAGAATTTTTTTTTTTTTTCCTGAGATGGAGTCTGGCTGTGTAGCTCAGGCTGGAATGCAGTGGCACGATCTCGGCTCACTGCAGCCTCTGCCTCCCGGGTTCAAGCCATTCTCCTGCCTCAGCTTTCCGAGTAGCTGGGATTATGGGTGTGCCACTACACCCGCCTAATTTTTGTATTTTTAGTAGAGACAGGGTTTCACCATGTTGGCCAGGCTGGTCTCAAACTTGTGACCTCAGGTGATCTGCCCGCCTCACCCTCTCGCGGTGCTGGGATTACAGGTGTGAGCCACCACGCCTGGCCTGTGGTAGGATTTTGATACCTGTTGTTTTTTTTTTTTTTTTTTTTTTTTTTGCGACGGAGTCTTGCTCTGTCACCCAGGCTGGTGTGCAGTGGTGCAATCTCGGCTTACTGCAAACTCTGCCTCCCGGGTTCACGCCATTCTCCTGCCTCAGCCTCCTGAGTAGCTGGGACTACAGGTGCCTGCCACCACGCCTGGCTCACTTTTTGTATTTTTAGTAGAGACGGGGTTTCACCGTGTTAGCCAGGATGGTCTCGATCTCCTGACCTCGTGATCCGTCCACCTTGGCCTCCAAAGTGCTGGGATTATAGGTGTGAGCCACCGTGCCTGGCTTTTTTTTTTTTTTTTTTTTTTTTTTTGAGATGGAGTCTTGCTCTGTTGCCCAGGCTGGAGTGCAGTGGTGCAATCTCAGCTCACTGCAAGCTGCGCCTCCTGGGTTCACGCCATTCTCCTGCCTCAGCCTTTCAAGTAGCTGGGACTACAGGTGTCCGCCACCACGCCTGGCTAATTTTTGTATTTTTAGTAGAGATGAGGTTTCACCATGTTAGCCAGGATGGTTTCGATCTCCTGACCTTGTGACCTGCCCGCCTTGGCCTCACAAAGTACTGGGATTACAGGCATGAGCCACCGCGCCTGGCCCTGATATCCATTTTAATCTTCTTTGGAAGGGCCCATTTTTATCTTAATGAAATAGAGCAGAGTAGTTTTCAAACTAAATTTTTTAAAAGACCGGCCTATTTCAGCTCAATCTAAAAAGTAGATCATATCCATATGATATTTGATTATATGTTTAGAAATATTAAAGTTCAAATTGGCAGTCTAGATGTTAATTCATTAAAAAAATTGTCATAATGTGAAGAAACCCTTTAATTGGATAGCTTTTCCTTGACTCTGTCAAGCTGTGGAAATGGTTAAGATCTAAAAATGCTGGGAACAAGTTAGTATGTTTGAAGGTACGTAGCTATTCCACACACGTGTGCACTTGCTGAGGATATCTGAGGTCACTTTGTCATTAGGTGCAGATAGCTGGCATCCAGCTAGGACAACAGTTGATGCCAGCTGAAAACACAGACCCCTTGCTGTTAATACACAAGCAGAAAAGATTCTTGTGTTCACCATGCAGCTTGGGTTTTAAATTTAATCAGGTTGCAGTTTCAAAGTATAGTTTTTGAAATCTTTCATCATTATTTTGGCACTTTTACTGGTGTGCCTTTATTTTTTGAGACAGGATCTCACTTTGCCACCCAGGCTGTAGTGTAGTGGCACAACCATGGCTCACTGCAGCCTCGACCTCCTGGGCTCAGGTGATCCTCCCACCTCAGCCTCCTGAGTAGCTGGGACTACAGGAGTGAGCCACCACGCCCAGCTAATTTTGTATTTTTTGTAGAGGCAGGGTTTCACCATGTTTCCCAGGATGGTCTCAAACTCCTGGCCTTAAGTGATGCACCCGTCTAGTCCTCTCAAAATGCTAGGATTACAGGCATGAACCACTGCACTTGGCCTGCTATGTCTTGATAGTCATTTTTTCTTTGAGGACTGTTTACGTTCTGCAACGATTAAGTCCCATTTCTGCTGTTTTTTGTGTTTTGCATTTATACAACACTTTTACAATAATAAGTAGATGCTGAAATTACATGTGATTTAAAACTATTGTTTAAATCTGATTTATGAGGCTTTCATTTCTAACTTAAGAAGCATTTTAAATGTGTTACAAGGTGCTCCTCTGTGGGCTAGACTAACCTGGGAGTTTAATCCTGTGCTCTAGAACAGTGCTATAGTGATGGGAGTAATGGAGGGTTCTGCATCTGTGCTGTCTGATACACTCGTCATCAGCCACATGTCACTAACGAATATGTGGAATGTGGCAAGTGTGGCTGTTGAACTGAGTTTTAAATTGTTTTTAATTTTAATTAATTTAAATTAAAATAGTCACATGTAGCTCGTGGCCACTGTATTGGACAGCCCAACTCTAGAATGTTCTGGTTTATTATATGAGTCACTTAGTAAAAGCCAGCTGCAGCATAGCCTACTACTTGGCAATTAGCCTTCCTCTAATAAAGATTCATTGTCAATTGTTAGTCTTTCTTCCATTTTGAAATTTTAGCAGTCTGGAAGTAGTACCTGACAGTAGTTAAATACAGTAGAAATGTCTGGAAATAAAATTTGTTTGAACAGAATTCTATGTCCCGATTTATTTCTAAGAAAAAAGACTATTAAGTAACTAAGAAAAATAAAAAGAATAATTTAAGCCACTTAAAATGTAATTAGCTCTTACCAAACTAATAGAATGGAGTATGTTTTACATATAATTCCAATTTGGGGGGAGGAGGTACCCTACATTTAGCTTCTCAGTTATATTTTTATTAGGCAAATGTTAAATGAGTTTCCATTCCTGAAGCTATATCTACTGATGTAAGGTAGAAACCATACTTGAAAGCACCTTGGATAGAAAGGGAAATTAGGGCTGGTCATGGTGGCTCACTCCTGTAATTCCAACACTTTGGGAGGCCAAGGCAGGTGGATTGCTTGAGTCCAGGAGTTTGAAACCAGCCTGGGCAACATGGCCAAACCCTATCTCTATAAAAAAATAGCTGGGCGTGGTGGCATGTGCCTGTGGTCCCAGCAACTTTGGAGGCTGAGGTGAGAAGATCTCTTAAGCCCAGGAGGTGGAGATTGCAGTGAGCCAAGATCATGCCACTGCACTGCAGCCTGGGGGACAGAGAGAGACCCCGTCTCAAAAAAAAAAAAAAAAAACCCAAAAAAAACTGGATGGGAAATTAGTAGTTTTCTATACGGATAATAAGCATACCTCTAACAATCTGACAGTTGACATAGACAACAAACTGATTTTTGTTAGAAAAAAACTATTTCTTTGCTTCTTAGGTGGGAATCTATATTTTCAATATAATTATTCAGTTGGTCGAGTCCTTAGTTCAAACACACTTTTTTGGTTGTAGTTTAAACTTAGGAAACCATGAAGCCTAGAGTCTCAGAGTTAAGTATATTTGGTTTCCTAGCTCTGCAGAGTTTAGCAGTCATACTTGTTGCCAGTTAAGAGTTTCAGATATTAATGGCCATTGGAGACTGTTGGTCATTGGGAGTACTGTGACAACATGAGGAGGGGAACCAAAATCAAGAACTCCAAAAGATGGCTATGGTACAAAAGAAGCAAAGTAGAGAACAGGCTTAGAAGCTTCTAAGATGCGAGCCAGGCAACAGCTGCTGTGTGCTTTAGAAGCTGAGCTGCCACACACTGTGCCGAGGATTTTAAATTCCTTTCCAAATATTTTCAAATCAGCTTTAAAGTTTCTATTATTTATTTTTGCTGTGATCTAGCTGTGATGAAATTGCTAATGTATAGCCAGCTCTTTAGAATGAATCTGGCCTATAATGGAAGGAGATATTTATGGTCTACAATGAGGGTTTTGTTCCTATCACAACAAAAAAAGCCAGAATTTATGATAAATTGTCAGGATTGATAAAAAATTGTCAAGATTTGCATTAATTGAGAGATGTGGCTGAGCAAATACAGAGCCCCCAATAATAAATCACATCATGGTTAAAGAGAGAATTAAATATAGTATGACTCAAGTCTTCTGCTTTCCTTCTTTTTGCTCTACCTTATGGGAAAGCATACACATATCCTATACATGTATGTGTACTTATACAATATAACTGGTATCTCCCAAGCCAACTTTATAAATGCAGCTATAATGTCCTTTAAGATGGGTTAGAATTCACTCCTTCTTTGAAAAATGTTAATTGAAGTCTACTGCACAAATAATAGGTCTATGTATTTTTTCAGAGTATTTTGCATTTTTCCTTAATTATATGACAGATTTAGTTTAGTATGTCCCTTCTTTCCATTTCTCTTCCTTGTTTTTAGCTTTTGAACATTTTACCTCTGTGAGAATCAGAGGTGGTAACATTTTACACGTTCTTTGATCAGCAAATGATTTACAGGTGACTTGGTTTAAAATAACTAGATGATTCTCAACTTTCTCATTTTTCTTCATCTTGGCATTATAAGATGTCTGATTTCCTTTATTTCCATAGTGACACTGAAATGACTGCTCTTTGGTACAGTTCTCTAAGGGTTAAGTGCCAGAAAGCCAAGGTAAAACTTTCTGATTGGGTTCAGCTCCACAGCTTCTGTCCCACAAACATCTGTCTCTTCTAGCCCCTATTTCTATCTAAGATGAGACGGAAACAAACTTCCTGACTGTATCCTGGAGTTTTTGTTTAGTATTTGTGTTAGTTTTAGGGTGCTTATGAAAATTCCTGTGTTTGGCAAGGTCAAGAATGGGTCCTTTTGAAAATATGAACAAGATAAGACACACACAACTATACAATATTATTTGTAGGAAATTATTAAACATAAAAATATTGGTCTGATCTTAATGCATGTGAGTATAATTTAGCGTCTGTTTTACATAGACTGTCTTTAATTTTAATGGAAATGAGATTATTTTCATTAGCTACATAGATTATGAAAACCAAACTCAACTGTAAAACTACCCTGAACTAAAGGAGGATAATTTAATAGAAGTTTTGAGAAGTAATAGTTCAGCCTTTGCATTGTGGAAAGAGATAGAATTGCTAGAAGAGAGCGTAAATGTATAAAATTAGCTATAAATGTAACTTGATTTTTTTCCTTTCTGATACTGGGAAGGAACATGAGCTCTGCAACGTCCAGTAGCAGCCTTTTCAGAGAAGCAAGTTTGGCTGATTACAAATAACCAGTTTGCTTATTTATCATGAATTGTGGAAGACACAAATGTCAGTACGTATTGTTCATTCAATGTAACCTGTGCCAGTTGGCGGAAGTCTCAGAGGATTGCTTTGTCCCTTCCTCTGTCAGAACAGTGACTCTGTGTTAAGCCACTTCCTTCTGTGCATGAGTGGAGAGATTTGGCCTCACCGTTATGAGCGGTCTCACAGGCATGAACGTTTATAATACACATCAAAGATCTCTCTTGAATGTTGTCTGGAAAATTGTTTTTGTTTGTTTTTTGAGTAATAGAAGGCTAATATTAGTGCTTGTTTGAGTACTAACCATAATAAAGGCATCAAGGCACAACGCAGATATGTATTAGCAACTTAAAAGAGTCAAATTTGAGACACTGTCCTTTTTAAATCTAGAAAACAAATGTCTTCCTCCCTATTTTCTCTTAGCCCCAGTTTAATTAAAAATTAAGCCACAATAAAATATGGAATAACTCATAAATAGTTAATATTAAACTACCAGCTACTGAGAAATCAGCTGCTAAAACCTATTTCTTTATGTTACTAAGGTCACACCATGCAAAGACCAGCATTGCTGGTACTCCTTGAAGGAGTCATGTCCCTGGTAACTGAATTCTATGAATTGCCACTGTTTTCCTCATTGTGTTAGGATCATTAGGAATTTAAGTTGTTCTGTTCACTCTGCTTTAAAAAAATTCCCTTATACTTTTGAGTATGGTTTAATTCTGTGTTCCTAAGGCAGTCAAAACTTCCTTCTCAGAAGTAAAACATTTTTCTAGTGTTGTGCGTTCCCATTTGGTCTAACCTAATATTTCTTTAGCTGATACTCTCCCAAGATAGTTGCCAAATTACTACCAATAGTCCTTCCATACCTGCTTTGGTGCCTTCTTTTGATAACCAAATAAACCACAGACTACTATGTCTAATTTTTACATATTCAGAGTGTCTTTGTCTTGCTGGTATTAAATGTTTGGGATTTATAGCATGAAGCCAATGCGGATTTCTGGTCCATGGAACGATGGTTTGACCGCAGCCCACCCCTCTTTGGGAAGGAATGTCTTTATGTTGGGTGGAGTGAAGGGCGTTGGGGGTAATGTACCACTTTAGCTGTATGTGCATGTGTTCTCTGCTGCAGGCTTGTCCATGCGATCGTGCCTGGAGCACTCTGGTTTCCAGGTGACAGACACGATTCACGGTATAGTATGAGACCTCTGAAGTTGGAGCATTCTCTACAGCTTTAATTTCTTTCTTTTAGTTCTTGGATTCAAGAATTGCTTTTAAAAAAGAAAGTTGTAATGCTTGTTAAGTAGCACCAGCTACAGTTTGTGCTGTGCTTAAAGAGGTACAGTGATTAAGATTTCAGAATGTTGTGTAATAAATATATCACTTATTTTTTTTGTCCAAAGCAAATCAGATTCCTTTCTTCTGTTTCCTCAGTAGAAAATGACAAACATTTAGGAATTTTAGAAATTTATGGGCCTCAACTTGATAACTTAATTGAAGTAATCAAGTTCTTCCTTCATATCACTTCCAGCATTAAGGAGACACCATATATATTTTGATATTTTGGTCAGAATTAGAAACAAACCTTCTTCTTTGTCCTTACCAGTCAGTATACTTTCATATGTCTTAGCTGGGTACCTGAGACCTTAGGGAGCTCTGCAGTGCTGACTTGATGTAGTGAAGGCACACTTCCCGTAAAAGTGTTGCTTGCAAGTCAACCTTTGGGATACTTAGAGGGAGGGTATTTTATTTAGTCTTGGAAGTCTGAGGAGTGTTGGGTCAGCAGGTTGCCCTAGATCAGACATAGATTTTGAGAAGGTCCTGAAATAGGCCTTTTTAAAACCTGGGCTTCCACTCACCTGTCTTTCTGCTGGCTTGTGTTGCCTAAAGTGTTTTAGAAGTTCTAGTTTCCTACGGATATTCATCAAGTCATCCAATTTTGAAATTATTAATGTCCAAAAAGATCAAGGTGTTTTAGGCTGGTCCTTGGGATAATTGAAGACACTCTAGAGACTACCATAAAATGTTAGAAATCACTTATCTGTTTAAATTCTTGTAATTCATATGTGCTTATTAAATAATCACATAAGCTATACTTTAAATCATTGCATTGAGATCTCACATTTTAATGTGTTCTGTAAAATGTTTTCAGAAAGTGCTAAAAGTGGCCGGGCATAGTGGCTCACACCTGTAATCCCAGCACTTTGGGAGGCTGAGGCGAGTTGGATCACTGAGGTCAGGAGTTCGAGAAAGAATGCTGTAAGAAACCATAAAAGCAAGAAATACGGGATGATTTCATTTTTTTTCATAGAAATCAGGAAGAAGTAAGGTTAGGGTCCATGATAACTCTGAGAAGAAAACATATTGCCAAGAAAATATACTGCAAAATGTTAATTGAAAGAGTCACATAACTCTTTCAATTCTATAGAATTGAACACATTCTATAGAGTCATGGTTCTCATGCTTTTTCCTGCCCCACCTCTCCTGAGATGGAACATAGCTTCATCATCAACAGGGACTTGGCAGGCCAGGGATTATAACAGATGCCACCCCTGTATTAAAAATTATTTCTCTCCTAGAGGGTTGAGTGTGGTGAGATAACCAGGGTGGGTATTAAGGGTCTCCGAAGCCACAGGCTACACAGTAAAGAAGTTCATGCCACTCCAAGACCAAATGGGCATCACAGCTACTGAATTGAATCCGAATGATGCACCATATCCTCCTATTCTCAGGGTGAATACGATGACCTGGGAGTTGTTTCAGTACTCAGCTCAGGAAGATAATACCAGATTAGTAGAAAGATGGATTATTTTCCGAGACCAAAATTTACATATCCTAGAAACTGAGGAAACTGAGTCTAGCTAACAGTAGGAATTTTTTTTTTTTTTTTTTTTTTTTTTTTGAGACAGCCTCCCACTGTCGCCCAAGCTAGAGTGCAATGGCGTGATCTTAGCTCGCGGCAACCTCTGCCTCTCAGGTTCAAGCGATTCTTATGCCTCAGTCCCCTGAGTAGCTGGGATTACAGGCATGTGCCACTATACCTGACTAATTTTTGTATTTTAAGTAGAGACAGGGTTTCACCATGTTGGTCAGGCTGGTCTCAAATTCCCAACCTCAGGTGATCCACCCACCTCGGCCTCCCAACGTGCTGGGATTACAGGCGTGAGCCACTGCACCCAGACAGGATTATTCTTACTTATTTATTTATAGGTCTCAAAGCATTTTTAAAAGGTCACAATCAATCTACCGTTTTATGTAAAGCCTTTAAAAGAGACAGTAAGCTGAATGATCCATTTAGTTATTTTTTGGTGAGGAAGGGGTGGTAGGAAGAAGAGAATGTCATCCATGTTTCTTAATTTTCTTTTTTTGTGTGTATTTTTCTTTTTTTCTATTAAAAAATGGATGGCACAATTTTTTTTCTATAAAAAACCTGTACTCTTATTTATATATCATTTTAGTTCAGCAGCCACCATTATATTTAACATAGTACCTATTTCTATTCTATATTATGATTTTTTTGTGTGTGTGTGTGAGATGAAGTCTCACTCTATTGCCCAGGCTGGAGTGCAGTGGTGTGATCTTGGCTCACTACAATCTCTGCCTCCCAGGTTCAAGCGATTCTCCCGCCTCAGCCTTCCAAGTAGCTGAGATTACAGGCACTTGCCACCAGACCCGGCTAATTTTTTTGTATTTTTAGTAGAGATTGGGTTTCACCATGTTGGCCAGGATGGTTTTGAACTCCTGACCTCAAATGATCCGCCCCCCTCAACCTCCCAAAGTGCTAAGGTTACCAATGTGAGCCACCATGCCTGGCTCATATTATATTATCCATAATTGATAATGATTTCGTTTCTTAAATAGCATTTCCAATTTATTTTGCTATTGATGACATGCTATTCTTTGTAGCTGATTCATCACTTTTTAAAATCTGTCTCACAGCAGCTCATGTAGTATTGGACGTTTAAAGATACTTTGAAGATAAATGTTTTGGGTGTTAAAGATGTTTTAAATGACATTTTTTTTTTTTGAGACGGAGTCTCGCTCTGTCGCCCAGGCTGGAGTGAAGTGGCACGATCTCTGCTCACTGCAAGCTCCGCCTCCCGGGTTCACGCCATTCTCCTGCCTCAGCCTCCCGAGTAGCTGGGACAACAGGCGCCCGCCACCGCGCCAGGCAATTTTTTGTATTTTTAGTAGAGACGGTGTTTCACTGTGTCAGCCAGGATGGTCTCAATCCCCTGACCTCGTGATCCGCCCATCTTGGCCTCCCAAAGTGTTGGGATTACAGGCGTGAGCCACCACGCCCAGCCAAATGACATTTAAATGATAACTATATGTGACTTAATGACACTTTCTTTATGCCGCTTTCACCCATTCTTACTATACACAGACTCTAGGGAAAACTGAGGTGCTGCTTTGTTTTCATCTCCCAAATGGGGCTTTATTCATTTAGTCATAAACCTACTTCCCTCAGTATTAGAGAAGTCTTTCATTAAGTACTGGCCAAATAAGTTTATTCTGTCTGATGGCTTAAATAGGTTAAAAGAAATATACCTGCTATATTGTGGAACATTAGGTAACTTAAAGTAGGTTTTTGAATCCTAAAATCATATAACACAAAATACAATAAAGGGACATCTCTTCCTCCTTGGTCCTGGAGTTGTCTTACCACTTATTGATTTTTTTTATTGTATTTTTATTTTATGAGACAGAGTCTCGCTGTCGCCAGGCTGGGGTGCAGTGGCGCGATCTTGGCTCACTGCAACCTCGGCCTCCTGGGTTCAAGTGATTCTCCTGCCTCAGCTTCCCGAGTAGCTGAGACTTACAGGCGCACATCACCACACCCAGCTAATTTTTGTATTTTTAGTAGAGAAGGGGTTTCACCATGTTGGCAAGGATGGTGTCGATCTCTTGACCTCGTGATCCGCCTGCCTCGGCCTCCCAAAGTGTTGGGATTACAGGCGTGAGCCACCGTGCCTGGCCCATTTTATTTTTAAAGCATGAAGTAGAACATTTTGAAAACCTGTGCTCTGTAATATGAATATTTACTGCTTTTCATAGTCTCATTTAAAATACAAAGCCTAAATAGCCGGGCGTGGTGGCACACACCTGTAATCCCAACTATTCCGGAGGCTGAGGTGGGAGAATCGCTTGAACCCAGGAGGTGGAGGTTGCAGTGAGCTGAGATTGCACCACTGCACTCTAGCCTGGGTGACAGAGTGAGACGCTGTCTCAAAAACAAAAAACAAAACAAACAAAAAAACCCCAAAGCCTTAAATTGCAATTTTGTTAGAAAAGTAACATTTGAAACCTTGTATCAAATGTATTTATTATAAAAATAATACACGCTTTTAAGCACTTTTTAAAGTATAGAAATAAAGTAAAAATGAAAGTCCTCTATTTTCTCATTTTACTCCATAGCTAATATAATTCAGACTTTCAGGAATTTAGTTTTTAAATTTAAAAGTTCTTGGCCAATCAAAAAATCTTTTTCAGGCTGGTCATGGTGGCTCATGCCTGTAATCTCAGCCCTTTGGGAGACTGTGGCAGGAGGATCACTTGAGCTCAGGAATTCAAGAGCAGCCTGGGTAACATAGTGAGATCTTGTCTCTACAAGAAAAAAAAAAAGGCTAGGTATGGTGGCACATGCCTGTGGTCCTGCTACTTGGGAGGCTAATACAGGAGGATTGCTCGACCTGGGGAGGTTGAGGCTGCAGTGAGCCCTATTCCTGCCACTGCACTCCAACCTGAGAGACAGAGCGAGACCCAGTCTCCAAATTTTTTTTTTAAAGTTTCACCTCTTAAAAGCTAACTTTAAAATAGTAAGTATGCCTCCTTTATTAATGCTGTCACTGTAGCCTCATTTGTTTCCTACATCACAGGCTAATGAATATATGACTCTAACTTAAGATTCTCTTGAAAACTAAGCCCAAAATAGGAAGGAAAGAAAGAAGGTGGGAGGAAGCCAGTGGCAATATATTTTTCATTATTGTGTGCCTTTTAAGTGTAGAATTCAGTGGTTTTCAGTGTATTTATGGAGTTGGGTGTCTTAGGCATAATTGAGACATTCTGATTTCTTAGGTCTTGAAATTTCAATGTTTATTTTTTAAAAGTTTTTATTATGGGGAATTTCAGATATACCCTAAAGTAGAAGAGTATAATGAACCCCAGTGTCCATTCCTCATCTTCCCCTCACAGCCAGTCTTCTTCCATCTTTTCCCTCATTTACTCCACCAGGGTTATTTTGAAGCAAATTCCAGATGTTATATTATTCTGTAAATATTTCAGTCTGTATCTATATAAGATGATTTTTTAAAAATGACCACAGTAATGTTCACATTAAAAAAATTTAATAATTACTTAATATTAAATAACCAGTGTTCAAATTTCTAATAAATGTAAAAAGCTTAGTTTTGTTTTATAACTTATAGAGGATAATTTTTATTAACTTGTTAGAGAAAAGTTGGATGTCATACTAAATATTTATACAATGTATTTTAATATCTACTTCAAATGAATTTATGTCACTGAAGTAAAATCCCACGGATTCCTATATATATATACACACATATATATACGTATATATATGTGTATATATATATACACATATATACGTATATGTGTGTATATATATACACATATACGTATATATGTGTATATATATATACACATATATATACGTATATGTGTATATATATACACATGTATATACACATATACGTATATATATGTGTATATATACGTATATATGTATTTTTTTTTTTTTTTGAGTCAGAGTTTTGCTCTTGTCACCCAGGCTGGAGTGCAGTGGCGTGATCTTGGCTCACTACAACCTCTTCTTCCCGGATTCAAGCGATTCTCCTGCCTCAGCCTCCTGAGTAGCTGGGATTACAGGCATGCGCCACTATGCCCGGCTAATTTTTTTGTATTTTTAGTAGAGTTGGAGTTTCACCATGTTGGCCAGGCTGATCTCAAGCTCCTGACCTGAGATGATCCACCTGCCTCAGCCTCCCAAAGTGCTGGGATTACAGGCATGGGCCACCCCCGCCGGCCCCAAAATATATTTAACTTCCTGTCTTCCTGGACGAAAAAGTTATTCTCTTACCTTTCCATGAATATACACTTGGTTTGAGATTTCCTCGTCTTACACTTCTTATTTACAGGACTTAGGGAGCCTGAACATTCTGTACTGAGGAAACAGAACAGAGGGCTGGATATTGCAGAAGTCCATCTTGCCTTCATAATGGTGCTCTTATGGTATAAGTGATGAATTCATCTGGGGGTGGAGTGAGGGAGTGGGCAGGGGAGATTATCATGGATTTACTACCACTTATAGTGCCAATATGTTTAAAAAAAGGAAAGACTTTGGGGCCTCAGCCAATTTTTAACTTTGGATGAAGTAACTTGCTTTTGCGAGCGCCATTAGATAAGGGAAAGGGACTTCTGAAGGCTAAATAACCCATTAACTGTATCTCCCTAAGAAGATACAGTTAGAGTAACAACAGCATAGGAATAACCATAGTCATTTAGAATTGTGTACAGGTCAAATCCCGTTACAACAATTTCAGAAGAGTATCTAACTTATTTGTCTTAAAGCTTATACTGCAAAGTATTAATATGTAATATATCAGATTATAGAACTTTTTTGTTCTTAAGTTTCTTTGGAGAAAAAAACACAAGGACTTTTGAAGGGGCATTTCTAATTAACCCCACAGCCAGCTTCCTTGTTACCAAGACCCTGGATGGGAATTTGCTATCACTGGTTGGCTGCGTGGCACCAGGCAGCTCGTTGGGCTCACTTGCCTCGTGCTATACCACTCCGGAGTGTTCATTTATTCATGCAGCCTAAAAAGTGTAGTGGGCATCGAGATTTGCTTGGTGCTCTGGGAGAAGACTAACATCAATAAAAGACGCAGTCCCTATTCATTAGGAATTTACAGACTGCTTGGAAGAGGCGACCCGCAAAGCAGAGTCTAAGGAACGATGCGGCCACGAGAGTGTTTGGAATTAGGGTGAAGGGAAGCTTTCCAGCGCCTACCACATCGCACATCAAACCATCTGCAAAGATCTGAAAGCATTTTTGTAGTATTTTGATTTTTATAGCTTTCATTGTAACGGGATTTAACCTGTAACATCTTTTCATCAGAGAACTGCAGATTACACAAATGAAAATATCATAAATCCCCATTTGTACTTTCTGTACTTTGTACCAAATGTACTTAACTGTATGCTAAATATAGTATTGAATATGTATCAGTGCAAACGTTAAGAGCCTTTTGCAAATAGATTTATGAACATGGATACTTATTTTGTTTACTTTTATATTACATGTACTGTTTATACAAAACATGCATTAAAACGTCTGTAATGTTATTTCAGTGTGTGATGGATGAGTGGTTGCTTTAAATCACTAGGTTTTTGATTGGTGCTAGAGTAGCTGGTGTTGCTTAACGTGGCATTTTTTTTCCTGTCCACACTTTCCACCCTTGGTACAGGTATTTTTGATAAAGCTGTGGAATGGAAAGGTATGTTTTTCATGGGGTGTTCAAGAATCTGTTACCTTAAATTTTTTTAAAGAGGTTTCCTTTCTGGGATTCCTTTTGTGTCTGGCTTAAGCAGACTTAGTTTAATTTAACAAGTAACATTTTTAGAGGCAGTATTTGAGTATAAAAGTTTGACGTGACACAAGTTTCTGACTTTACTTTTCCCCATTCCCTTATTAAAGATAGTACGAAGGATTTTAAAGCATTTGGGGTGGGGGGTTGCTCTTAAAATATATGATCTGTACCATGAGAAAGAATGTAGCCCAAGGGTTGTTTATGGTAGTTAATGATCTAGTGTGTTGTTATTGCTAGAATCCTGGTTATCATAAATTTGCAATTTCATTGAGGAAAGTGATATAAGTATTTCTTAATATATTAATATATGAAATAATTTTAGAGACTTTATTAAATACACACAGTCCTCTTTATGGTAGAGGAACAGTTCAGCTTGAGCTGGTGACCGGCTGAACTAGAGGGGTTACTCTGGGAAAGTGGCGAGTCGGCAGGGCATGTCTGCACAGATTTTGTGCCAGGTTTCCTGCCTGCACAGCGCTTTCTTCTCTGTCCAAGTTCTGTGCTGACCACAGCTGTCCACAGGCATGTTTACACTCCCTGTTCTTGCAGGTTGACTTGAGAGAACCACGTAGCTAAATTGGTGAGAGACTCAGCCTGACCGCTTGTCTTTAGAAGGCCTGATTGGAAGAGTGCACTCTATTGACTTTCCTCTAACAATGAAATTGTGAAAGGTACATGGGGCGGCTGTGAGACGTGCAGCTATCGGGTCTCACCGGCACATCCCTTTTCTCGTAAAGCAATGAAGCACTTTCTAAGGTGTTGGTACTAGTGCTGGAGGCTGCTGGTGCATTAGATGCTGCCCGTCACATCGGTGGGCTGAGAAACCTTCCTTAAAGACCTGTGATGTTTTGTAAACCCTGACTGTTCTGGTGGTTGCAAAGTTAGTGTCTGTTTAGTGTTCCCCATCTCACCAGAAGTGTTTCCTTTTTCTCATTCATAGAGGTCCTGTAATAAAGAGGGATCCGAACAAGCTCAGAAAGAAAATGAATTTCAAGTAAGTAATTCAGTCTTTCTGCATCTGTGTGAGATGTGAACTAGTGTTAGCCACCCTTCGCTACTCCAGGGCTTGGCAGTGCCTCTTATCTACCCTTGGAAAATCCTGATCTATCTTTCTACGAGGAGGGGCTCTTGGTATATCTATCAGAAGCCACCTTACGGAGACTGAGTGAGCGGTGGGTATTCCTCATTCCTCCTGAGAGTGTAGACTGTGGAAGTTTGGTGTCTTTATGGCAATCGAAACAGCATTCGGATGTTGGCAGATGGCAGCCAGGGGAGCATTCGTGTGTGGTACCTGATGAGGAGGCCCTGGCTGCCGCTGCTGTGATGCCTCTCTCACCCCCTTTCTGGTCGTTCCCACACTTCCCATCAGGAAGCGGGTCACTGCCCAGTGGTTTTGGTGGCCACCCATTTTCCATGGGCTAACAGCAATGTTTTTTCCTATGGATGATACCCAAGTTGGAAAAGCTTCTTCCTAGACTTAGAGAATGTGACCCCACTCTCTGAAACACACATGTGCAGATGGCTTGAGGCCAAGAGCACTGACCGATGGAGCCTCAGAGGCAGGGGTCTGGGGTGTTGGTCTGCATGCCCCAGCGTAAGCACCTTTTGAGCATCTCTGCCATTATGTGCAGGCTCACAGAGAAGGGTGCATGTGCACACATGCCCAACATACGTGGGTCTAAGATGTAGATACACACATCGCCACATCACTTTTACCAATTGTATATTGATTATTAAAATGGTCAAGAAATAGGCTGAATGCGGTGGCTCACACCTGTAATCCCAGCATTTTGGGAGGCTGAGGCAGGTGGATCATGAGGTCAGGAGTTTGAGACCAGCCTGGCCAACAAGGTGAAACCCCGTCTCTACTGAAAATAGAAAAATTAGCCAGGCATAGTGGTGGGCACCTGTAATTCCAGCTACTTGGGAGGCTGAGGCAGGAGAATTACTTGAACCTGGGAGGCGGAGGTTGCAGTAGACCGAGATTGTGCCACTGCACTCCAGCCTGGGCGACAGGAGTCGTCCCCACCAAATGCAAAAAAAAAAGAAAAAAATCAAGAAATAGACATTAAAACGGTTGAGATAAAAAAGGAATGAAAGTGATGATATTTTTTCCACACTTTTCAGCGGCTTGTTTTACATGTGTCTTGCTCTGGGTGCCCTGCTAGAGGATCTAGAACTTGTGCTCTCTGGAGTGACAGTGACTGGGAAGTCCTTGGGTGGGAAGTGATTGACAATCTGTTGTGAACCATTCCAAGCCCTTTGTGCAGAGGCCTTTGGACATCCTGTTAGCTGAAAATGGTGGATCACCAGGACCTGCGTGATGCTAAATCCAAAGTACTTTTCAGTTCTCATTTTATTTTGACTTCTCAGTAGCATTTGACATGACCCCCACCCTTTTGAAATGTTTCCTCTCCTGAGGGCAGCCATGACACAGAGACACAAAGTACAGATCTGGCTGTCTACATGCTAGGGCGCCCCATGATTTGACCATAGGCCCTCTTCTCATGTTGTCCTGTCTCCCTCGGTCACCTGATCTATAGGCCAAAGGGCCGCTACATTCTTCCTCCAGCCCTGACCTCGACTTGGAACTAATGCCATTGGCTAGCAGTCTCTCCTCGGATGTCTCACATGCCCCTCAAACTCGCCATGAAATCGCCCGGCCGATTTCAGTCTTTTTTATGTGAATTTTATATGAATTTATTTTTAACCTTTTATTTCATACCAATTTTAGACTTACAGAAAAAATTTCAAGAATAGTACAGAGAGGCCGGGCATGGTGGCTCACGCCGTAATCCTAGCACTTTGGGAGGCCAAGGTGGGTGGATCACGAGGTCAGGAGATCGAGACCATCCTGGCTAACATGGTGAAACCCCGTCTCTACTAAAAATACAAAAAAAATTAGCCAGGCGTGGTGGCGGGCGCCTGTAGTCCTAGCTACTTGGGAGGCTGAGGCAGGAGAATGGCGTGAACCTAGGAGGCAGAGCTTGCAGTGAGCCGAGATCGTGCCAGTGCACTCCAGCCTGGGCGACAGTGCGAAACTCCGACTCAAAAGAAAAAAAAAATAGTACAGAGATTTCCCATGCACCCCTCACCCAGCTTCCCTAATGCGAACATCTCACATAACCACAGTGCAATGGTCAAAACCAGGACATTAACGTTGATGCAATAGTGATAACTAAACGTCTGTAATCCCAGCACTTTGGGAGGCTGAGGTGAGCTGATCACTTGGGGTCACAAGTTTGAGACCAGCTTGGCCAACAGGGTGAAACCCTGTTTTTACTAAAAATACAAAAATAAGCTGGGCTTGGTAGTGAATGCCTATAGTCCTAGCTACTCGGGAGGCTGAGGCAGGAGAATCGCATGAACCCAGGAGGCGGAGGCTTCAGTGAGCCGAGATCTTGCCACTGCACTCCAGCCTGGGCTATCCATCTCCAAAAAAAAAATAATAATAATAATATCTCCAAAAAAAAAATAATAACTGAACTATGACCTGAATTGAATTTCAGAAGTTTTCCTATGCATATTTTCTTTTGTTCTGTCTCGAGATTTAGCTAGATCTCAAGATTGCATTGGCTATTTCTCTTTAGTCTTTTTCAGCCTGTAACAATTCTTTTGTTATTTGTAATCTTTATACTTGTGAAGAGTACTGATCCGTTATTTTGGAAATGTCTCCTCAATTTCAGCTTGTCTAGTGTTTTCTCACAATTGAGGTTATGCATTTTTGGCTGAAATACCACAGAAATGCTGTTATGTCTTCTCAAGAAGTTCATAACATCAATACTCTTCTTCCTGGGTTTTAAATAAATGAAACTTCATAGATAAAGTGAAAAGTCAGTTTAAACCCCTTGTTCCATTCTCAACCACTTCTCTCTCCCGTTTCTGTTCACTCTTCACATGCTCCAATCTGACATCTGTCCACCCATCACTCTGAAGCTGTTCTTTTTTTTGTCACCAACAGGTTCCATATTGCCAAATCTAATGGCCACTTAGCAGCACCATTAGGGAATACCACTCTCCTTCCTGGCAGTGGCGCCTGCCTCACCTTGCCTTCTGCCCTGGCCCCTCTTTTTGCTGCCTGAACTTAAACCAGTTTTTCAAGTTGTGGCTTGTGAACCTCTAGTGGGGCATGAAATGTTAGCATGTTGATTGCTTTTTAAAATGAAATAGAGTAGAAAATATTAATAAGTGTTGCCCAGTTGTGAGAGTGAGTATTGCTGTGGGGATAGTGTTTGTTTTGGGGGTGTATGCGAGGGTGCCCTGTAGAAAGCTTTCTTACTGTGGTGACAGTCACATAAGAAAGGGCATTTTAAGGCCTGTGCTGGTTCCTCCTCTTCTGTCCCCAGGGGATCGAACCCAGTTTGTGAGCTGTAAACATCAACAACATGTTGAGGACTTGTGAATTGGTATCTGTAAGCCCCAGTCCACCCGGCAATCTCATGCTCTGCTCTTCCTTTTCCTTGATTGTCCTGTTCCAGTGAGACAGGCCTCTCAGTTCCTTGAAGGCGTCACACTTGTTCCTTCCTCATGGCCCTGT
The DNA here is from genome assembly GCF_000001405.40 of Homo sapiens. Classification (NCBI taxonomy): domain Eukaryota; kingdom Metazoa; phylum Chordata; class Mammalia; order Primates; family Hominidae; genus Homo; species Homo sapiens. Next base: position 68,077,860 of record NC_000011.10, on the reverse strand, counting down.
GCTCCCATGGGGCTGCTGTGGCTTTTCACACCTCAGATCTCAGGTCAGTTCAGTGTGGCCTCCTTAGAAATACCCACACCACCACACCAGTCACCCTTGTTTCCCTCATGGCAGTGAGCCCAGTCCATAGCTGCGTGTACTTGCTTACTGTCCATTTCTCTCTCTCTCCCCATCCCTCCTTCTCTGTCATGTAAGCCCCGTTGTGGGCAGGGGCCTTATGTATCTTGTTCTTTGTTGGTTCCCTGGCGCTTAGCACAGTGCCAGGACATAGTAGACATTGAGTAAGTGTGTTTTAGGCAAATGTATTAATGAGTCTTTATTTCTGAAGCCCAAGTAAATTGTTCCAAGTTGAGATATCTGAAAAAGTAGGACCAATTTTCCCTCCACTGTCACCAGCTGTGGCTAAACCAGTGCGTGGTACAGGAGAGAACCCAGCCATGTCTGTCCAGCCCCCTTTTTACCATGCTCACTTTCAGGAGCAATCAGGAAGGTGCCTGGAGACATAGTGATGACAAGAAGACCACCAGTAGTTGGTACACTTATTCTAGGATTCTCTGCTGTCCTTAACCTGTCATTTTTCTTGCTTGTGCCTGGGTGTTCTCTTTCATTTTCTTTTCTTTTGAGACAGAGTCTTGCTCTGTCACCCAGGCTGGAGTGCAGTGGTGTGATCTCGGCTCACTGCAACCTCTGCCTCCCATGTTCAGGCGATTCTCCTGCCTCAGCCTCCTGAGTAGCTGGGATTACAGGTGCCCGCCACCATGCCCAGATAGTTTTTATACTTTTTTGGTAGAGACAGGGTTTCACCCTGTTGGCCACGCTGGTCTCAAACTCCTGACCTCAGGTGATCTGCCCTCCTCAGCCTCCCGAAATGCTGGGATTACAGGCGTGAGCCACCGCACCCGGCCTCATTTTCTTCCTCTCCAAATCCTTCTCTCCATACACCATCTCCCCCTTTCTTCCTACTGTGAATAAATATTGAACTACAGTATTACGTAAGAATAAGTGTGTTTTTGTTTACAATGTTTAGGGCAGTGCTAAAGAGAATTGGAAAGTTCTTACATCTCTTTCCCTCTTCTCTATGTCCTTTCTGGGTTGACTCAGCTCTGGAGAGGATTCTGGCTAGTGCTGGTGACATGTGTTGACGATGCCACACGTAAATAAAGTCACCTCCGAGAATCCTTCCCAGTGGACATGATGTGCAAAATGCTGAACTTCCGAGTCCAGCACCCCCTTGTCCTGCCATGCCCAGCCCCTGTTTACTTTTGTGTTTTACACAGCATGAGGGTGGTGGTGGGGACCACAGTCTTCAGAGCACCAGGACCGTGCTGCCCCCTGGGGAGCAGGGGAGCATAATGTCTAAGCAGAGACTTGGAGGAGGCTTTGCAGACCCTTGCTTAAATGCCCCGGATACTTTCTGTGATGTTGGGCTTGGAGTAAGATGGGGACTGCATCTCTGGACAACACTACCATAGGACTAAAAAGTTCTTGGAAACCTTTTGACAACTAAATAGAGATACTAGATCTTTGTTTTCATTCTCTAAGGTTTTAAGAAATAAAACCTGTCTGATATCAAATCCCACCCTAAAATTCATTAGCTTGATAGATAGATGTTATCAGTTTATTGTCATATACACAAAACCACAAATTAGGAAAGATTGAGCCTCACAAGATCACAGGCCATAATTGTGAGGATTATACGAATGATGGTTGTAGACGATAATTGTGGGGGGATTACCGGCAAATCCATTTACCCCCACAAAATGTAAAAGTGACCAAAATACTTTTTGCTTTAATGTGGTCTGATATCCTTTGGAAGTAGCTTTTCTTTTTTGTTTTCTTCTTACTATAGTACTGTATCATTTCCTAATAAGTTTGTCCTCTTGGTTTCTCAGTTTTTGGTAACGTGAATGTGTTTTAGAGGTTTCTCTGGGATCATGTTCCTCCACAGCACATTGCTTCACAGGGGGTGAATTAGAATCATCTGAAAGCTTTTTCAAAACAGCCCTGCTGGTGCCTCTCTTTTAATACTTGGAGTAAGACCTAGGAATCTCTTTGCAAAAGCTCTTTTTTTTAAAAAGAGACTTCGGTGGTGGTGGGGCATCTCACTATGTTGCCCAGGCTGGTCTCTAACTCCTGGCCTCAAGTGATCCTCCCACCTCAGCCTCCCAAAGTGTTGGGATTACAGGCATGAGCCACCGCCTGGCCTGTAAAAGCTCTTTAAGAGATTCAGGTGGACCTCTGGGTAAGCGTGACTCCTTCACTCCAACAGATGGAAACCATTATGCTGTAATGTGCTGTTTAAGGGGGAAAGACCAAGGACTGAATTTGCTTTGAGATCAAAGCATGGATTTTGAAGGCAAAATGATGATAGATCCCACGTTAATTATTAGGACGAAGATAGAACAGACAGCATCATAGAGATTTCAGCAAGACAACAAACATTCAATAACAGGAAAAGGTCGGGTGTGCCAACTGAAAATAGCAATCTAGGATGCTCCATGCTAGGGTGCTCTTTGGACTAGAAAGCCGTAGACCCTGGACCTAAATCAGTAATTTTCAAGCTTGTTGGACCCATGAGCCCAATTTAGTAGGCAGAAGGTCCTTTGGATCCTTTGCTTTAACTAGACACACTCAACCAAAAGCAAATCAACCCTTACCAGAATGGATGGTGTTGTGGCCTTTGGTGAGATACCAAGGGTGAGACTCCTATATAGGTTGCGAAATAAATAGAAGCAATAAAAGCACTGATGGATATTTTTCTATTTTTGGATCTAGTGACCTAAATTAAACTCATATTTTAAATCTTATCAATATAGCATAGTGCTTGCAAGCATGAATCCTGCAAATGACACGATGTGTGACTTTGGAACCTCTGTTTCTTCATATTTAAAATGGGGATGATGATAACAGTAGTGCCCACGTGAAAGAATACTCATGAGGATCAGATGAAACACTCCTGTGAGAGTGCTTCTGATGCCTGGCGCTTAGCAAACACTCAGTAAACACCTGATTTGTTGCCATCTGTTTTAGGGGGCTGAGGCCATGGTTCTGGAGAGCGTTATGTTTGCCATTCTCGCAGAGAGGTCACTTGGGCCAAAACTCTATGGCATCTTTCCCCAAGGCCGACTGGAGCAGTTCATCCCGGTAAGATTTGTTCATAAACGCTTAGTTGACATATGCCACAGACAGAAGATGGCTTCTTTGTCTCATTGCTGCAAGAACCTGCAATGCTGTGTTTTCACTGTTAACCTCACCTATGTCATTAAACTGTATCAGAAATCATGAAAAGCAACATTTATTTTGTACTTACATCCGAACCTCTTTCTTTTCTGTAAAGGTGTATTCATCCAAATTTGAAATATATATGAAACTTACCATTTTATTGTCCCCTGAGGCTGTGTACCCTGAGACTTTGCCCTTTTCACCGTGTTCCTCTCAACTTCTAGGGCCCTGCTTTATAGAACTTGCTGCTAGAACACCTTGGCCCTGCTCAGTCTCTGACTGTAGCCCTGTGGGGGCCATGCCTGTTCTTTCCCATCACCCTTCCTTGGTTTGTTTTGTGCATTCCTACTGAGTCTCCCTACCTCCCATCTTCCTGTCCCCATATGCTGGTCAAATTCTTAGATTTCAAGGCCTTGCTCCAAGACCTTGCAGTCTTATTTCTAAGCAGTCAGGATTATTTTCCCTTTCTTATTGTCCCAAGGCAGTTTTAATGTTGCTGTAACATTTACCAGTATACCATGTCTTAGAGTTACATGTACATATCTAAAGCATAGGTCCTGTTCCTCTACCCACCCACCCCTGACTCCATGCCCTGCACAATGCTTCATGCCCAGAGGTTCTCATGAACCCTAAGTGTTGAAGTGTGGCTCTGAGCCCTGGCAATACTTCTTTGATTGGCAATGCTCGTCTTTGTCAGCCTGCACTCTCTTCCTAGATAGATCAGATATTCCCCATTTTCATTGAGCGTAAGTTCCTTGAGGACTAGAATCATAAGCTGCTAGCTTTTCCTGCCCTGCTGCATGAGATATCTTATCCATGAGAGGCCTGGGCATGTCCAGGGCTGCCCTGTACATCTGTGCAGATGGAGCCCAGCACTAGGATGCCTGGCAGAGGGGTGCTCTGCTGCGTCTGGCTGGGGACCAGGGGCAGGGGTTTCTTTGTCTAATCCCACAGCCCAGAAACAGAGAGGCTAGTTGTGCTCTGTCTCCCCAGAAGAGGTATCCTCTTCTAGTTGACAGTGGCACTGTCCGTCTGTGCTAGTGTTGTGCTAGCTGCCAGTGCTGAGGATGTGTTTAGATGAGTGGATGGTGCCTTCACTGCGCTGGCTTTTTCCTTTAGTTTGCTCCCTGGCACCTGGCTATGTTTTAGTAGAGACAGGGTTTCTCCATGTTGGCTAGGCTGGTCTCGAACTCCCGACCTCAGGTGATCCACCCGCCTTGGCCTCCCAAAGTGCTGGGATTACAGGTGTGAACCACCGCGCCCGGCCGAGATGATAAGTTTTTGAAAGAATTTTGTAAATAATAGAACCTCATATGGTTATAAGTGGCAATATAGGTGAATCTTACAAACATAATGTTGAATGATCAAACTGCAGGAGACTGTAAGTAGTATCATACCATTCTATAAAGCCTGATAAATTTTAAAAATTGTTTAAGAATATGTGCACATGTAGTAAAAGTTCTCTTTTTGGAAAAGGTAAGGGAATTGTGTTAACACAATTCAGAATAATAAAAATATCTTGGGGACAAAAAGGGCAGGCATCAGGACACATAGATTATAGTATCTGTGGAACTGATTTTGTTCTAGTTCTTAAGTTCTATCTATGCTCTTGTATGTATTGTTTATTATATATTAAATTTTTTGAGATGGGAGTCTCACTCTCTTGCCCAGGCTGGAGTGCAATAGCATGATCATAGCTCACTGCAGCCTCGAACTCCTGGACTCAAGTGATCTTTCTGCCTTAGCCTTTCAGGTAGCTGGGAGTACAGGTGCACACCAGCACACCCAGCTTATTAAAAATTTTTTTTTGTAGAGATGGGTCTTGCTGTGTTACCCTGGCTGGTCTTGAACTCTCCTGGCTTCAAGCTCTTCTCCTGTCTCAGCCTCCTAAGTCACCAGGATTACAGGTGTGAACCACTGCACCCAGCCATAGTGAAGATTTTTTTAAAATTCTGTTATATACTAGGTTTGAACCATATGACGCCGCCGGTGTTTGACTGTTTTTGACCAACAAGAATGGCAGTTTCATTTGATTCAACCTAATACCGTATGTTATTTCTAGATTTGCTTTTTTTTTTTTTTTTTTTTAAGATAGGGTCTCACTCTATTGCCCAGTATAGTGAAGTATAAGTGGCCTGATCTCAGCTCACTGCAGCTTCAACCTCCCAGGCTCAAGTGATCCTCTCACCTCAGCCTCCCGAGTAGCTGGGACTACAGGCACGTGCCACCATGTTTGACTAATTTTGTTTATTTTTTTGTAGAGACGGGGTCTCCCTGTGTTGCCCAGGCTGGTCTCAAACTCCTGGGCTCAAGCAGTCCTCCCGCCTTGGCCTCCCAAAGTGCTGGGATTACAGGCATGAGCCACCACGCCTGGCTTAGGTTTACTCTTCACTGCTTGGGATCAGGTGATTTAGTTTCATGATTCCTGTAGCCATCTTTCAAAGGGCATGTGAGAATAGCCGGGCCACTAGGGATAGTAGGTAGTCTGTTTCTCTTTCTCTACTGGGGAAGGAATTTGGAATACTGAGATTTGTTCATATCTGAGCATGTTAGCTTCAGATTTTCCTTGTTGCCAAATTAATGGCAGTTTTGAAAGCTGAGTGAGCTACCTTAATAAGTCCTGTGTGTCCTGCTGCTGGAAGTGGAGGCCCTGTTCTTATTGCAGCATGGTAATTTGTTGACAGTGCTGTGGTGACAGTGCTTTCTGGAGGGAGTTGAATAGAAGGTTGAGTCCAATGCTTACAGTGAGCTCTTAGCTCTCAGTAGCAGACATCTGCCACTTGCTGAGCTGCACCCTGGGCTAGGTGCTGTCCCAGAGACCTCATCTGCATTCTCTCCTCCAGCTCTCCTGGCAACTCTGTGAGAGAATTCATGTCCTGATTCCCATTTGATAGAAATGGGAACACACAGATGTATGAGGTAACTTGGATGGCCATGTAGCTTTGAAATGAGAATTAAAGCCACAATTTCAACTGAGGTTTCCCTGAGTTGGGAGCATTCACTCTTACCCCTGTGCTGTACTTCTTTGCATTTTCACAGAAACCTCTCTTTAGATTTCTGCAGGGTGGCAGGTTGCATGAGGAAGCTCTGGAGGTCTCAGTTGATTGTGAGCTCCCATGGGCCTCCTGTAAAAGGGCAGCCAAACAAGCATGGCCTCGGGCTGATTTAGGGGAAGTGCAGGATGCAGAGGCCAGGAGGAAGTCCTCTAGACACTGTTTCTTTGCCCAACTTTGCCCTGGACACCTGCTCTGTGCCAGGCCAGGTGCTGACACCACCACTGGGAGCAGCTGGAGACGGCCCCCCTGTCTCTGTGACGCATCTCCTGGTTAGGACCTATTCTGGACCCCACATCTCACCTGCAACACATCAGAGTAGAATGTCCCAGCTGATGGAGGAGCTGGAAGTGGGGCCATGTGATAAACTGCTGAAGACATGGACTTCAGCATTGGGTAGTGAATAGACATTCAGTGTGGTTTTAGAGGCCAGAATAATAGATGATAGTGTAGTAGTTCAATAAAATTTAAGGAAGGAGTTCTCATAGTTAAAAAGGGTTCAAAATGAAATAGATCTTTGGAGGTGGCCGGCTCCTCACTGTAGAAATGCCATAGCAATTGCTGGGTCACTGTCTGTAGGGACACAGTGTCCATTCTTAAGGGAATTTGGGGCATTGGGTGAGACTTAAATGCACTACAAAAACACTTCTCGTTCCTAAGACTGTGTGATCTCACTCTTTTTAGTTTACTTGGTAAATGTCAGTTTTTAACTCCCTTTTCTTTTTCAGAGCCGGCGATTAGATACTGAAGAATTAAGTTTGCCAGATATTTCTGCAGAAATCGCCGAGAAAATGGCTACATTTCATGGTATGAAAATGCCATTCAATAAGGAACCAAAATGGCTTTTTGGCACAATGGAAAAGTAAGTGGTCAAATCACTTGGTCCTAACATAGTTTTACAGTGGTGGCTCCCAGAAGTACCATAAGTGAGCATTTGTTTGCCACAGTAGTCAGAGGTCTTCCTAGTTCACTGAAGTGCAGGGTGTCAGCTGGTGATACTTGTCTCATAAGTAAGTCTTTCTTGTGTGTAAAAGTCAATTCCTAAACCAGGAAAGAAGGCTTATGCAAAAATGCTATTGAACGGGTGAAGGGACAGAAGAAAGTCACCTTCCTAGAATGCCACGAACCCCCAAGGCCACTCCTCTTCCCCTCAGTCATGGCAGTCAGAGGGGTCCCACTGGCATTGTGACTGCGCTGGGATTGAATGTTTAACCAAAGCCCCAAGAACAGCAAGCCTTGGTGAATTGATCGGTGATTCTTTGTTCTGTTCTTTTTTGAAAATTTTTTAATAGGTATCTAAAGGAAGTGCTGAGAATTAAATTTACTGAGGAATCCAGAATTAAAAAGCTCCACAAATTGCTCAGTTACAATCTGCCCTTGGAACTGGAAAACCTGAGGTGAGTTTTCCTTCTATTTCCTGACTTTAAATATTCTTAGTCACTAAAACTGTTGTCAGTAAACATTGATTGAGCTTGCCTTATGTCTGGCATTTTACATTGGTTTTACAGGATGAATTTAAACCATAAGTTTTGTCATCTGGAATTATGGTTCTCTAGAGGACTAGAGATTATGGACTCTATGGACTAGAAGCCCACACGTGGCCTCTGGTCAGTTTGTGAAGGTTCCATTGAGAAGGAAAATGTCAAAGGAGTGGCTTGGTGGCCAGGGCAGTAGAGTGTCTGGTGGGGTGGATTTTCTCTGGTGGGGAGAAGGGAGTAAGGGCAGGCTGGGGAGTGTGAGGAAGATCCTTCTTCCTTACAGTTCAACCTTGGCTTTTGCGAGAAACAGAGTCTTCATACTGATCTCTGAAGCAAGGCCGTCATTGTCCTCAGAGTGATGCTTGGCGCAGGCCACTCACATCTGTACACTAACAAGTATTTACACCTTTTTTTTTTTTTTTTATAAGACGGAGTCTCGCTTTGTTGCCAGGCTGGAGTGCAGTGGCGCGATCTTGACTCACTGCAGCTTCACCCTCCTGGGTTCAAGTGATTCTCCTGCCTCAGCCTCCCGAGTAGCTGGAACTACAGGCATGCGCCCCCACACCCAGCTAATTTTTGTATTTTTGTGGAGATGGGGTTACACCATGTTGGCCAGAGTGGTCTTGATCTCTTGACCTCGTGATCGGCCCACCTCGGCCTCCCAAAGTGCTAGGATTACAGGCGCGAGCCACCACACCCAGCCACAAGTATTTACACCTTTAATTACTCAGGTTTGTGCCTCCTCTGCTAGGCTTGATGATCGCTGCTGAGGGAAAACAAGTAAACAAATAAAATAATGTCAAATTGTGATAAGTGCTGTGACAGAAACAGATCAAAGTAGGCCCTTAGTCTGCATAGGAGGACCTGCTTGGGTCACTGGTAAGAGAAGGGCTGTCTAAGGGGGTGCTATACAAGCCGAGACCAGCAGAGAAAGGGGCTCCAGGAGGGAGCGGCACATGCAGAGGTCCTCCGGGGGAAGAGCTGAGTGCAGAGGGCCTGTGGAGTTGTTGCCACGTAATGACGCAGTTGTCAGAATTCACATCACAGATACTACTCTGAAACTGTGTGTTGCTTTGGAGCACGAATTTGGTGCTGGCCATGTGGAGAAAGCAAGACTGTGTGCAGCTGACTGAGAAGCGTGATGGGTAACAGTGAAACCTTTCTTTTCAGATCATTGCTTGAATCTACTCCATCTCCAGTTGTATTTTGTCATAATGACTGTCAAGAAGGTAAGAATTGCTATGTTCTGTTACAGATGAGGTTTGTGTGCATACTTAGAAAATTACTGGCAGTGTGTCTGAAAAATGTAAGGTAGCATCAAGAGTATTAGGTACATTAAAGTATGATACAACCAGACAATGAGGTTTTGTATTATTTTTATAGAGTATGAGGCCAGTCACAATGTCTCATGTCTGTAATCCCAGCACTTTGGGAGGCCAAGGTGGGAGGATTGCTTGAGCCCAGGAGTTCTAGACCAGCCTGGGCAACATAGCAAGACCCCATCTCTACAAAAAATAAAAACATTAGCCAGGTATAGTAGTGTGCACCTGTAGTCCCAGCTACTTGGTAAGCTGAGGCAGGAGGATGGCTTGAGCCTAGGAGTTCAAGGCTATAGTATGCTGTGATCGCACCACTGTACTGTAGCCTGGATGACAGAGCAAGATCCTGTTAAAAAAAAAAAAAAAATTACATGGAAGAAATCCGAAAGAATATTCACTAAACTTGGGAACTGGGATGAAGAACTTAAACTTTCTAAGTCACATATTACTTTTTCAGTGTTTAACTCCTTACAGTAAACATGTATGATTTTTTTTTAACCTGAAAAAGCAATAAAAGAACAAGATCCACTGCCTACCCCATTGAGTCCCGGGCCCTTCCCCCTTCTGCACCACACAGCGTAGTGTTGCTTATCGCAACACGTGTAATCCTAACACCTCCTCTCCTAGTATCAGTGCACTGTGCTATTAATTATTTCGGGCTTCTCTGCTTTGAAAACATGACAGTGATATGTTCCTTACTGTAACAAAACTTCATCCCATGCAATTGCACATTGAACAGTCTCATCAGAGGCCCCCCACTATGCAGCTCCCACTGGTGCTGCTGACATGGCCTCTCTCTGCCTTGACCTTGCCTCCCCTAGTCACAGTAGTTCAGGTCCCACCTTGAGCCCTTGTTTGCCAGGCTCAGCAGTTTGCTTTTAATCCTGAGAACAGTTTCTCATGAAGACTCGTCATCCATAAGCCATTCATTTGAGCCAAATTACCTTTTACTAATTAGCTGCTCATCGCTGGCTAACTCAAGGAGGGTGTAGACATTACAGCTACAGCTTTGTGTATTACCCTTGCCCTTCTGGTGGTGAGGGGGTGATAAATGGCACAGACATCACTAGAGAGAGGGGACTGGAGGAGATCGGCTGTGTTGATGATGGCAAAGTGTAGGAAGGATCGAAGAGGTAACAGTTGTACATTAATTTTGTTGTGCTACTTTGGGCGTCTGCCTCCAATTTGCCTTTTTTTTGAGACTGTTACTGTGTCACCCAGGCTGGTGTGCAGTAGTGCAGTCTAGGCTCCACGTAACCTTAGCCTGTTGGGCTTAAGTGATCCTCCTGCCTTAGCCTCCTGAGTAGTTGGGATCACAGGCGCACACCACTACACCTGGCTAATTATTTGTGGAGATGGAGTTTCTCTGTGTTGCCCAGGCTGGTCTTAAACTCCTGGACTTAAGTGATCCTCCCACCTCCACCTCCCAAAGTGCTGTGATTACAAGTGTGAGCCAATACACGTTTTCTGGTCTCCAGTTTACATTGTAATTGCTACTCTAAATGGAAAAAGTATGCTGAAGAGCCTAGACACTATACCTCCACTAGAAATCCTAAGGAGAGAGAGCTGCTGAAAACCTAGCGAAGGTTGGCTCACTGGTGCCAGCAGCAGGATGTCGGAGATGCTGAACATCATGTCGAGTGTGGGGATCTCAGGAACGCAGGCCTGCAGAGCCAGGCTGATGGCTGACCAACTCCTGACCCAGAATCCAATACTAAAGCAAATAGTCTTGTAGGAATGCTGCCTGTGGTCTCCTTGGGAAGGAAAAGCAGGCAAGAACAAAGCAGGGGATCCCCTGTGGCAGCTGAGCTCTCCCTTGCCTTTCTTACCAGGAGGGCACTCCCACAGCTTCCCAGCTGGAGTGCTGCAGCCAGCTGGCCTGCAGACAGCAAACCAAGTCCCAGGGCTGCTGAGGGTGGTGTTTGGCTAGCACGAGCTCCTGCATGCCACCATGCAGAACATTTGGGAAGTACTGTCCTGACAGCAGAGCAAGAGGCCAGGCTTTGTTCCACAGTGATCCTGGGGGTCTGGCGAGGACTAGGGCTGTGAGCAGGGGTTCTCATGGCCAGGTGGGTCAGGAGCCACCCTGCATAGGGTTATGCCTCCCGTGAGCACTTCTACGCTCTGTCTAGGCCCTGGTGATGTCCACAGACCAAAAGCCACATTCAGTTAGGATTCCCTAAGGGATCAAATCCATTCTCTCGGCTCTGCTGTTCAAGGACTTGAGCCTTCTATTGTAAAACATAAACCATGTTATCCAAACCTTTTGCAGGTAATATCTTGTTGCTGGAAGGCCGAGAGAATTCTGAAAAACAGAAACTGATGCTCATTGATTTCGAATACAGCAGTTACAATTACAGGTACTGTGTTACAGTCCAGTGTTTCCATCTCAATATTGATTTATCATTACGATATGCTTAATTAACAGTTATTAGAGAAAATAAGTCAAAATGCCGCTCTGAGTTGCAAGCTGCTTCACCTGGAATCAGTGGCTTCTCGTCCAGTGGCCGGTGATGGTTGTGGTGAAGCAGCACAGCCTTCTTTGTTCCTAGCAGACAGCGCTAGTTGGGGACAGCCATGCCATTCAGTCCAGACTTTGGCATTTTCTTTTGGCTTCAGAGGTCATTTTCTTCTCATAAATCCTGGTCTAGGAGACACAATGTTCTGGAGTAGTGGTTCAGGTGCACCTGTATAGCTTTAGTCAGCTGTGATGCTGATCAACCACCTGTTGTCTCTCTCTGTCATTAAAGCAGCTACAGTCCTGCTCCCTCAGCAAGTCCAGATGGCAACAGGAGTGGCGTGCTCGGAACTCAGCCTTTCTTTCTTCTGCAGTCAGGGAGCCTCCAGGCATACGGTTTGCCTCATTGTGTGCACTGTCTTATGTCTTATTTCAGGGGATTCGACATTGGAAATCACTTCTGTGAGTGGATGTATGATTATAGCTATGAAAAATACCCTTTTTTCAGAGCAAACATCCGGAAGTATCCCACCAAGAAACAACAGGTAGGAGATGAGTTTTTGTATACTTGATAGGAAAATTACATGTCAATTTCATGCAGTTAGAATTACATCTTCTTTTTTATTTTTTGAGGCAGGGTCTCACTCTGTTTCCCAGGCTGGAGTGCAGTAGTGCGATCATGGCTCACTGTACCCTTGACCTTCTGTGCTCAGGTGATCCTCTCGCCTCAGCCCCCCAAGTAGCTGGGACCACAGACGCATGCCACCACGCCCAGCTAATTGTTTGTATTTTTTGTAGAGATGGGATTTCACCAAGTTGCCCAGGCTGGTCTCAAACTCCTGGGCTCAAGTGATCCTCCTGCCTCAGCCTCCCAAACTGCTGGGATTACAGTTGTGAGCCACCATGCCTGGCCTACATCTTCATTTTTAAAGATAACCTTTTAAAATTTGGTTTATGTTAAAAAATGTTATTTTGTTCCTGTTAAATGTAGACACAAACTTGACCTTTTAGTCCAGCTTATTAAAAATCTCTGTGCCAGAGATACTTGTATTCAGAGAAGAGCTTTGTCATCCTTTGTAGTTCCTTGTAGTATTTTTTTGAAAAGCCCAGCCTTGATTCTGCTTTCTGGCCATCTTTTTGGTGATCACTGACCTTTTTCTATTCATTTCACACTATGGAGAGAGAAGTAATCTTTCGGGCACCAGGGTTTAGTAGTGGGAGGAAATATCTTTGGTGTTAACAGTTCCCTTTCCTGTCCTGAATGATGGGAGGAGGCTGGTGATTGTGTGGAGAATCAGTTCTCATGGGAATTTCCTCCTGAGATCTTTCTCTCCCATTCCTCAGCCCAGCACTGAAACCTTGGTAGCGGTGCTGAAGCTGAGTAGGATTGGGAGGGTGCACCAAGCCTGCCTCCAAAATAGTGGTCTCCAGTTTATGTTTTAAGTGCTACTCTAAATGGAAAAAGTATGCTGAAGAGCCTAGACACTGTATCTCCACTAGAAATCCTGGGGAGAGAGAGCGGCTGAAAACCTAGCAAAGGTTGGCTCACTGGTGCCAGCCCCAGGATGTCGGAGATGCTGAACATCATGTTGAGTGTGTGTCTCCCAGTGTGTCACAGTAGATGCATATGCTTAGTGACAGCTATTGACATTGTCTATTTTAACCATCATTGATCCTAACACAATTACTTTTTTTTAAGCTCCATTTTATTTCCAGTTACTTGCCTGCATTCCAAAATGACTTTGAAAACCTCAGTACTGAAGAAAAATCCATTATAAAAGAAGAAATGTTGCTTGAAGTTAATAGGTAACATTTTTCCTTTTTTGATTTGTAAAGATAGCTTTCCTCTTTATAGACTATATTTGGGAGATGCTGACTTGCAATTAGGAGTATTTTAGAGCTTCTTCTTCTTTTTTTTTTTTTGAGACAGAGTCTTGCTCTGTCACCCAGGCTGGAGTGCAGTGGCGCAATCTCGGCTCACTGCAACCTCCGCCTCCCGGGTTCAAGCAATTCTCCTGTCTCAGCTTCCCAAGTAGCTGGGATTACAGGTGCCTGCCACCATGTCCAGCTAATTTTTGTATTTTTTAGTAGAGATGGGTTTTTGCCATGTTGGCCAGGCTAGTCTTGAACTCCTGACCTCCAGTGATCCACCCAGCTCGGCCTTCCCATGCTGGGATTACAGATGTGAGCCACTGCGCCTGGCCTAGGAGCTTCTTTTTAATCGTACATCTTTAGGACTTGCACTTTGTCAAAAATAGAATCTGCTACTTCTCCATTGTGGCCGAGACTATGCAGAGCTTTCAGATCTGAGCATACAGCAGGCAAAGTATATTAGTCTGTTCTCACATGGCTACAAAGATATTACCTGAGACTGGGTAATTTATAAAGAAAGGAGTTTTAATTGACTCACAGTTCTGCATGGCCAGGGAGGCCTCAGGAAACTTAACAATCATAGCAGAAGGCAAAGGGGAAGCAAGGCACATCTTACATGGCGCCAGGAGAGAGAGGGGCAGAGAGATAGAGAAGAAGGTAGGACTACCAAATACTTGTAAAACCATCAGATCTTGTGAGAACTCCCTCACTATTGTGAGGACAGCATGGGGGAAACTACCCCCATGATCTAATCACCTCCTGCCAGGTCCCTCCCTCCACACATGGGGATTACAATTAAAGATGAGATTTGGGTGGGGAGACAGAGCCAAACCATATCACAAGAAGAGTTCCCATGTCCAAGAAGGGTCAGGACACTTTGTGGCATTCTGAACTGTCATCCAGACACAACAACCCAGCCATACAGGGCTGCTGCCACCCAGAGCCTATAGAATTTTTTTTTTTTTTGAGATGGAGTCTTGATCTGTCACCCAAGCTGGAGTGCAGCTATGCGATCATGGCTCACTGCAGCCTCTAACTCTTAGCAAGCCTCTTGCCTCAGCCTCCCAAGTAACTGGGACTACAGGCACGTACCACCATGCCTGGCTAATTTTTGTATTTTTTTGTAGACACGAGGTCTTGCTCTGTTGCCCAGGCTGGTCATGAACTCCTGGGCTCAAGTGGTTCTCCTGCCTTGGCCCCCCAAAGTGCTAGGATTACAGATGTGGGCTACTGCATCTGTCCCTGCAAACTTGTCACTGATGCTTCTGGAGTGGCGGCCACCATATGCTGTGTTTTAACTCTTAAGTTTCTCCTAGAAAATGATTAAACTTATGTTTATCGGTTTTAAGTCTTGCTTTTAACTGTTTTCTCAACAGTTTTCAAAGCAGGGCCCTGAAACTTCCAGATTGTGCAAAGGTCTAGACCACTATTTGTCCATCTCTTTAGTCAAGAGGCCTGTGGGTTGTTCCTATTATTTGGGGTCTCCTGTGACATTTTTTGGTAGAATGGCTGTTTAAGTCACTGTGGCCCCTCATCTTTCCACGCACTTAGCACAGTCATCTCCTCGTGGCCTCCAGAGTGCTCACCCCCAACACTAAGTGTGATGTCACACCTGCCTACCTGCTGGGCTTCACCGCAGCATACATCATCTCTTTCTGTTTCTTGAACTGGTGGAAATAGAAAAAAACAGATGGAGGAGAACCCAGACAGAAAGGGTAGCACACGGGACTCTTGTGGGCCGGGGACCACAGGATGAACAGAGAGTAGGGTTGGAGGATACTAGAGCAGGCACTCCTAAATTTGAGCTTTATCTTCATGTGGATGAGCCCTCAGGGTATTGTTTGAGGAGGAACTTGGATTCACAGTGACTTGGGGGCTTGGTACAGCTTAGAGATGGTGACGTGGCTCACGCTCTCTGATCTGCTCTTTTCACTTCTGTGTGACAGGAGGGGATGGGACAAGGATGGGATTTGAGAATTCTCTTGCTCAAGGAGTGAGAGCTTCATCCCGCCTCCAGCAAAGGGCTGCCTCTTGGTTGCTATGGTGTGCACCCTCCCTTGTAGCAAGCTTGCTTTCTTTTCTGCCAGCATGGCCACCCAGGCCTTCACCTGCACCCTGTGAATGTGAATATATTCACCTTGTGAATATATTATGGCCAAGTGGCATTTACGTGTGCCATGGCCAGGCCAGCTGTGTGTGTTCACACTCACCAGTGCACCTGTCACTAGCAGATGAGGGAAGGGTGTGGGAGTGGTATTCCCATTGTTCTTAGTTAGTCCCGTGGAATATAGACCCATGATTTGCCAACACTAACTAGGTTTGCATCCACACAAGTTAAAATGTCCATCTGGCATGAAATCATTTCATCAGTCCTGTAACTGATACTGTATGTCTCTTATATGTTTCTTGCTTTTATCATTCCAGGTTTGCCCTTGCATCTCATTTCCTCTGGGGACTGTGGTCCATTGTACAAGCCAAGATTTCATCTATTGAATTTGGGTACATGGTATGTTTTAGCAGCGTTTTTGTTTTTTTTTTTCTTCCTACTCCCAGGTAAAAATGCTATAGTATTTGTGAATGTTGGCAGCAAATGACTGTTCCTTACAGAGGGTTCTCTGTCTCCCCAAGTACCCGAATGTGGTGACCTGGTGGCATCAGGACAGTGTGGCTCAGCCCAGGAAGCCGGGGGAGAAGCCGCTGTCACTGATGCTGTGGTTGCCTTTGGAGGTTGCCCTCACTTCCAGGCCAGCTGACCTTGCCTCCCCTGCTTCAGAGAAGTGCCTGCAATCCTGATGGGGAATGTAGGCATCTGCACCCTCGAAGTCCAGCTCTGACCTCAGTCCCTTCTGACACGGGACAGTAAGTGAAGAAGAGTGGGTGGCTCCTGCCTGTGCTGTGGAAGGTTTTATTTATCGGTTACCACTTCATTCTCCAGCCTGTAGTGCCCGACTTTGGGTTGGAAGCTGGTAATTATTGAATTAGACCTCCTGTTTTTCATAGGCATGTTTGTAACCAAGCTAGGCTGTCATTTAATTTTAACCTTAAGAATTGTCAGCCGGGTACGGTGGCTCACGCCTGTAATCCCAGCACTTCGGGAGGCTGAGGTGGGCAGATCACCTGAGGTCAGGAGTTCGAGACCATCCTGGCCAACGTGGGGAAACCCCATCTCTACTAAAAATACCAAAATTAGCATGCATGGTGGCGGGCGCCTGTAATCCCAGCTACTCAAGAGGCTGAGGCAGGAGAACCGCTTGAACCCAGGAGGTGGAGGTTGCAGTGAGCTGAAATCATGCCACTGCACTCCAGCCTGGGTGACAGAACAAGATTCTGTCTCAAAAAAAAAAAAAAAAAAAAAAAAAAAAACTGTCACTGACATAGAAATAGAAAGTATTTTTAACCTTCAGACAAACCTTTCTGTTGTTCCATAGTGAATGAATGTTGGTGAGTTGTCTTGGGGTGGGGGATAACACAAATGTCCACAGTCTGGTGAGCTGCCTTCCTTTGGGACAGGGATGGGACTAGTTCATTTTGACCTCCTCAGTCTTATACTACAATGATTTCTACTTCTAGGCAGAAGGTTTGGTAATGCAAGGATGATATTAGGTAAAAGAAGGGGACATTGGATTTTTAAAGCAGATTTGAGTCATGGTCAAATGATACTGTACGACAAAGCACACTTCGTAACAAGGAATATTACTAGAGATAAAGAAGGGCATTTTGTGATAATAAAGGCATCAGTACATCCAGAGGACATTAAAAACCCTTGTCTTGCTTCAAAAGACATGATATTAAAACTGACAAAAGTGAAAGAAGAAAATGGCAGATTCACGATTAAAGTTGGTGATCTCGGCCGGTTGCAGTGGCTCACGCCTGTAATCCCAGCACTTTGGGAGGCCGAGGTGGTTGGATCACTTGAGGTCAGGAGTTTGAGACCAGCCTAACCAATATGGTGAAACTCTATCTCTACTAAAAATACAAAAATTAGCTGGGCATGGTGGCACATGCCTGTAATCCCAGGTACTTAGGGAGGCTGAGGCAGGAGAATCGCTTGAACCTGGGAGGCAGAGTTTGCAGTGAGCCGAGATGGCGCCATTGCACTCCAGCCTGGACAATAAGAATGAAACTCTGGCCGGGTGCGGTGGCCCATGCCTGTAATCCCAGAACTTTGGGAGGCCGAGGCGGGCGGATCACGAGGTCAGGAGATCGAGACCATCCTGGCAAACACGGTGAAACCCCGTCTCTACTAAAAATACAAAAAAAAAAATTAGCTGGGCCTGTTGGTGGGTGCCTGTAGTCCCAGCTAACTCGGGAGGCTGAGGCAGGAGAATGGCATGAACCCAGGAGGCGGAGCTTGCAGTGAGCCGAGATCACGCCACTGCACTCCAGCCTGGGCGACAGAGCGAGACTCTGGGTCTCAAAAAAAAAAGAGTGAAACTCTATCTCAGAAACAAAAACAAAACAAAACAAAAAACATGGGAGATCTCACCACTCCTCTTCTGTGGTTAGAACAAAGGAGGAACACACGCAGAAGGAGGGATAGGGCCTTACAACTCTCCCTGCCAGCCTGGCCTCATGCATGTTCATTAAACCCCCCAGCAACTGCAGGGTGCACATTCTTTTCAAATGAATATGGAATATTCCTCAAGATAGACCATATGCTGGCCCATCAGACAGGTCTTGATAAATTCAAAGGGATTGAAATAATACTGGATATGTTCTCAGTGAAATTTAAGTGGAAATCAACAACAAAAGATAGCTAGAAAATTCTCAATTATTTGGAAATTAAACAGTACACTTCTAAATAAACCCTGGGTCAAAGAAATTAAAAAGAAAATGAGAAAATATTTTAAACTGAATTATAATGAAAACATAGCATGTCAGTATTTGTGGGATATACATAAAGCAGTATCTAGAAACTTACGGCTTTGTAGCTTAAATGTTTATATTCCATAAGAAGAAACATTACACAAAATCCCTATCAAAACATTGGCAAAAATTAAATCCACTAACATATGTAAAAGGATAATATATTATGGTCAAGTGGCATTTATCCCTGGAATGCAAGGCTGGTTTATATTTGAAAAAATCAGTTCATATAATTCTTCATATTAACAGAATGAAGGTGAAAAACCGTATGATTATCTCAGGGACCACAGGAAAAAGCATTTGACAAGATCCAATGTGATAAAAAAAAATCTCAGCAAACTAGGACTAGAGGGGATCTTCCTCAGCCAGATAAAGGCATGTATGAAAAACCCTCAGCCAGCCAGGCGCGGTGGCTCATGCCTGTAATCCCAACACTTTGGGAGGCCAGGGCAGGTGGATCACCTGAGGTCGGGAGTTCGAGACCAGCCTGACTAACACGGAGAAACCCCGTCTCTACTAAAATACAGAATTAGCCAGGGGTGGTGGCACATGCCTGTAATCCCAGCTACTCAGGAAACTGAGGCAGGAGAATCGCTTGAACCCAGGAGGTGGAGGTTGCAGTGAGCCGAGATCACGCCACTGCACTCCAGCCTGGGCAACAAGAGCAAAACTCTGTCTCAATAAAAAAAAAGGAAAACCCACAGCCAACATTATCACTAGTGGTAACAGGGAAAATGTCCCCTTTGACCCCCACCCCAAGTACAGAACATGCAAGGACGCCTGTTCTCACTGCATGTCTTCTGTGTTGTACTGAAGCTCCTAG
Organism: Homo sapiens; assembly: GCF_000001405.40. Lineage (NCBI taxonomy): Eukaryota > Metazoa > Chordata > Mammalia > Primates > Hominidae > Homo > Homo sapiens. The sequence goes on along the minus strand of NC_000011.10, from coordinate 68,058,769 downwards.
CTGGTGCAGTGAGGCAAGACAAAGAAAGGAAATATAGGTGCACTGGGAAGGAAGAAGAAACACTGCCTTTATTCTTTAGGTGACATGATTGTGTGCTTTTAAAATAATAAAGGAATCAACAGAAAAGTTGCTTAACCTAATGAATGAGTTTATCAAAGTCACAAGATACAAGGTCAGTATACAAAAATCAGTTGGATTTCTACATGGTAGAAACAACTGTACATGGAAAAATGTTTAATAGTGTAAGATATGTACATTGGAAACTATGAAAGAGTGTAAAAAATAAAGAAGTGAAATAAATGGAGAAGATACCACCTTGATGGATGGAAGCCTTAAGGTAAAGATGCTCATTCTCCCCACACTGACCTGTACATTCCCCACAGGCCTAATCAAAACCCCCACAGGCTTCTGTGTAGAAATTGACATGCTGATCCTGAAATTTATATGAAAATGCAAAGAGTCTGGAATAACCAAAATAATTTTGTAAAAGAACAAAGAAGACTTCTACTACCTGGTTATAAGACTTCTCTGAAGCACAGAAGTCAAGGCAGTGTGGTGGTGGCATAAGTAATGTAAATCATCCAGGTGTGGTGGCTCAAGCCAGTCATCCAGCACTTTGGGAGGCTGAGGCAGGAGAATCGCTAGAGCCCAGGAGTTGGAAACCAGCCTGGGCAGCATAGCAAGACTCATCTCTACAAAAAATACGAAACAATTAGCTGGGTGTCTGTAGCACATGCCTGTAGTCCCAGCTGCGCGGGAGGCTGAGCTGGGAAGATCACTTTAGCCTGGGAAGTCAGGGGAGCTGTGATCACACCACTGCACTCCAGCCTGGGCAACAGAGCAAGACCCCATCTCAAAAACAAAACAAAACAAAAAACAAATCAGATGGAACAGAATACAGTGTCCAGAAATTGATCCATGTGTATATAATCACCTGGTACTCAACAGAAAGGCCAAGGTAATTTAAGAGGGAAAGGATTGTATTTTCAAAAAATGATGCAAGAACATTTGAAGAGTCATGTGGAGAAAAAACTGAACCTGATTCTGTGCCATAAACAACAGTCAACTTGAAACAGATAATAGACCTAAATGTGAAGGCTAAAACTATTAAGTTTCTATGAGAAAACACAAGAGAAAAGCTTAGTGACCTAGACTGGTCGCGGTGGCTCACGCCTGTAATCCCAGCACTTTGGGAGGCCGAGGCTGGTGGATCACGAGGTCAGGAGATTGAGACCATCCTGGCTAACACGGTGAAACCTTGTCTCTACTAAAAATACAAAAAATTAGCCGGGCCTGGTGGCAGGTGCCTGTAGTCCCAGCTACTGGAGAGGCTGAGGCAGGAGAATGGTGTGAACTCGGGAGGTGGAGCTTGCATTGAGCCGAGATCATGCCACTGCACTCTGGCCTGGGCGACAGAATGAGACTCCGTCTCAAAAAAGAAAAAAAGAAAAGCTTACTGACCTAAGCACAGATTTCTTGGGTTACATAAAGCACTAGCCATAAAAGAGGAAAAAATAGAGTAAGTTGCTGTGAGCAGGAAACACATAAAAACCAAAGTGCTTTTTCCCATTCCTTTCATCAGCAACAATCATCACCACAGAAGACTAAAGTGACCACGTCAGGGGTGGTTCTCCCCGCCAACAAACAAGTAATCAGTTCTGGAGTGGACACCAGATGGGTGCCCTCCAATTCCATTACGACACTGTCTACGTGGGGACAGAGTCAGACCCCACAGGTTGAGGGTTGAGACCTTAAGACTGCCCCCCACTTCCAACACCAGTTGCAAGTCCAGGCCTCTGGAATTTCTGACCAACTAGCCATATATTGGAGTTCCCACGTTCCCCTCGGGTTCAATTAATTTGCTAGAGCAGCTCACAGAACTCAGGGAAACACGTAAGTTTACCAGTGTATTACTTTTTTTTTTTTAAGACAGGGTCTCACTGTGTTGCCCAGGCTGGTCTCCAACTTCTGGGCTCAAGCGATCCTCTTGTCTCAACCTTCCAAGTAGCTGGGACTACAGACATTCCGCCACCATGCCTAGCTAACAAAGGGTATTTTAAGGGTGAAGAGATAAATAGGTGGGGTGAGGTCTGAAAGGATTCCCAGCACAGGAGCTTCTGTCCCTGTGGGTGGGTTGGGGAACTCATTCTTGTTCACCTTCCTGTCAGCCTCCACATTCAGTTCTCTAGAAACTCCCCAAACCCTGTCCTCTTGGGCATTTTATGGAGATGTCATTGGATAGGCATGATTGAAATGTGGACAACCGTGTTGAAATGTGATTGGACAAAAAAGGTGTGATCTAAACCTAGCAAGACCTGACCAGGTTCTTCGGGCTTCTCTGTACAGCATTCCTTATCCCAGGGTATGGTGCAGGACCCCCTCTGGAATAAGAGTCTTATGACCCACAGTCAGATTAGAGTCTAGCTTTGGGCAGGTGAAAGGACGGCAGAAGGTCAGAGAGAGAGATTCTGTTTACTGTAGTAAGGGCTATGGGAGTTATGAGCCAGGGACCCTGGACAAAAACACACATATATGTCATCACAGTTGGACTTTATCAAAATGAGTAACTCTGAACGATATCATGGAGAAAATGAAAAGGCAAGCCACAGACTGGGAGGAAATACTACAAATGTATATTTAATAAAGGACTCATATTTAGGATATATAAAGAACTCATAACTCAGCCAGAAACCAAACAGCCTGCTTCATTATTATTATTTTGAGATGGAGTTTCGCTCTTGTTGCGCAGGCTGGAGTTCAATGGTGCGATCTCGGCTCACCACAACCTCTGCCTTCTGGGTTCAAACGACTCTCCTGCCTCAGCCTCCCAAGTAGCTGGGATTACAGGAGCCCACCACCATGCCTGGCTAATTTTTTTTTTTTTTTAAGTAGAGACGGGGTTTCTTTGTGTTGGTCAGGCTGGTCTCGAACTCCTGACCTCAGGTGATCCACCCGCCTTGGCCTCCCAAAGTGCTAGGATTACAGGCATGAGCCACCGCGCCCGGCCTCAGCCTGCTTTATAAATGGATGGAAGATTTGGACACTTAAGAGAAACACATGGCCAGTAAGAATCTTTTCATGTGTTTTGTATAATTAGTCATTAAAGAAATGTGAATCAAAGCCTCATTGCGATACCCTACACACCCACAGTGATGGCTAAAACTTGAAAGAACTGACGGTCCCAAATGGCGAGCACATGGAGCAATGGGAATGCGCATGCGCTGCTGCTGGGAATGCAGTCGCGACAGCCAGTGTGAAGATGGGTTAGACCACCCAGCAGCCCTCCTGGGGAATTTTTCCAGAACAAATGAAAACAAATTCCACACCAAGACTTGCACTCAAACACTCATAGCAGCTTCATTTGTTTGTCTGTTTTTGAGACAGAGTCTCACTCTGTTGCCCAGGCAGGAGGAGTACAGTGGCCCGATCTTGGCTCACTGCAACCTCCGCCTCCCGGGTTCAAGCAATTCTCCTGCCTCAGCCTCTTGAGTAGCTGGGATTACAGGCGCCCGCCACCGCACCCAGCTAATTTTTTATTTTTAGTAGAGGGGGTTTCGCCGTGTTGACCAGTCTGGTCTCAAACTCCTGACCTCAAGTGATCCGTCTGCCTTGGCCTTCCAAAGTGTTGGGATTACAGGTGTGAGCCACCTCGCCCGGTCTGCACCTTCATTTATAATCGTCCCAAACTGGAAGCAGCCTAAATGCCAGTCAGCAGGTGTGTGGATACGACAGTGCCAGATCCGTGTACTGAGAACACTCGGCAGTGCAAAAGGAAGGTGGCACCAGTGCATGACAGCACAGGCCACTCAGAGACAGCACGCTGAGTGAGAAGCCAGACACGAGGCTGCATATTGTATAGTGGCATTTATGTGCTACTCTAGGAAAGAAAAGTCCAGTCCATAGTGACAGATATTGAGTCGGTGGCTGCCTGTGGCCAACTGCAAGAGGCCCATGGGAGCTTGTAGGGATGCTGGAAACACAGGTCTCCTGACTGCGGTGGTGGAGAACTGGCTGGATGCATCTGTGAAGGCCCTCAACTGGACACTTAAAATGGGCTCATGCTTGTAGAGTAGAAATTACAGCTCAGTTAATTTTTCAAAAAAGTTAATTGTAATCTTCCTGGCTTCTAGAATTGCAGACTTTTAGATTAGGAGTGGGTCTTTGAGATTGTGTTGTCCTCACACAACACAATCCCAGAAAAATAGTGGCAGAAACAGAACACCAAGCCGGGTTTTCTCCCTTGCCTCTCAGTGTCCTTCTTAAAAGTCATGCTGCAGGAGATCCCGGGAAATAGGCGATGGGCATCCTCTTCTCCCCTTCTGTTCTAGACTCGCCTGTGTCCCAGGGGTCTTTTGCTCTAAAAGGTGTGTTATGTCGGTCAGTCAGTGCCCACAGCACCCAGGGTTAGCAAGGTGATGAATGGTAGCAGTGCTAAGCATGTGGATGAGACGTTCATCCTGAGAGGCAGGGCTGGGCTGGCCCATGCCTATAAACCAGGCCTCCTGAGAATGAAGGTGTGTGGGGTGGGCTGGGAGCTTGAGGAGCCTGCACCTGTAGAGCAGCGAGGCCCCCGAGCAGCCCTGCTGCACAGGCCAGTCCTGTGCTTTTGGTCTCATGGGTCCGTGCCCTCAGCTCTTGCCTGGGGTGGGGATTGGGGGACACATGGGCAGGGTTCAGGCCAGCAGGATTCCTTGCTGAGGCCTTCTCTTTGCTGTCTCCTAGGACTACGCCCAAGCAAGGTTTGATGCCTATTTCCACCAGAAGAGGAAGCTTGGGGTGTGACTGTGGGGAGGACTCCATCCACCTCATCACTGGACTGCATGGGGAGGCAGCAGAGCGGGGTCCCCTCTGTGCTTCGACTACTGCTCCTGTGGCAGGAGGCTTTGGGTGGCTCACTACTGAACACATGTGTATGATACTAAAGACGGTATTAAAATGGAGCGACGTTTATTTCATCTCTTGTTTACGATTTCACTAGGACTCAGAAACGAGATCGGGAAGCAGAAATATAGTGCAATAGTGCAACATCTCTGAATCCTTTTAATCTAGAGAAGGCATTTCATATTTGGGGGCTAAGGTTTCCAGTCAGATGAGGCAAACAGCAAGAGTAAGCAGTGTTACTTGCAGGTACTTTGGTTAATGTTGATTTAAATTTTCATGAATGTGCTGGTGAACACTGTGACCAGGCTTTTGTAGATGGCGATGTGTTATAGACGGTGCTCACTCCCAAGGGACAGCAAGTGAGCAGAGATGTACTGCAAAGTCGCCAGTCACTGCTGCAAGGTGGCCTCTGCCTGGGGCCTCCAGAAGCTGCTCCTTTACCCTCTTGGTCCCATGGCTGAAGCTGGAGCAGCGGATTGCTCTGGAGCAGCCAAGGCCGCCAGCGTGTGGAGCAGAGCTCTCCCCTCCTGCTGGGCGTGTGTGACACTGATGAGTTTCACTGTACTGCATGTGACTTCTCCCCTGCCCTTCCTCCTGATGGAGTGTGCAGACAGCCATGCGTGGCCACGGGGGCAGTGTGAGGACCTCCCTGTCTCCCGGCTCCCCTCCCAGGGGAGCCAGCTGCTTGACCTAGCTCTTTGGGCCTCTCCTGCCCTCTGCTCTGCCTGGAGTGTCGGATCCTGTGAGTAGGCTGGGCCTCCCCTGGGCAGGGTTCTCCAAGGGCCCGGTTTCCCGGCCCTTACCTTTCCTGATGCCCCTGACATCATCATTCTTGTGGGAGACAGCAGCCTGTATGTGGTGTGGGGCGTGGATCGAGTGTAGCTGTGAAATCCATATATATGAAATGTCCTGCGGGATACAGTCTTAGCTGACTTTTTTTTACTCTGAACTCTTATTTGAATTGTTTTTTGTGCATATATTTCTGCTACCACAGAGATTGTACTATACAAATAAAAAAATAAAAACCCAACCTCAAGCTGTCACCCTTGGATGTGTCCTGAATCTCAGGCAGGGCTCCTGGTACCTGAAGGAGCCCACGGAGGGCTCCATCTGCACCCACTCAGCCCCTTAGCTTAGCAGTGCTCCGCTGCTCTCAGCTGGCATCCCAGCAGCATGTGGCCCCATCATCAGCCCTCCTCCACCTCCTCCTCTTCTTCCCCAGCACACTCTGGTTTCCCTGCTTCTAGCCCAGAAGCGAAGAGCCCTGGAGGACGTTGGAGACTGGGAGCAGTGCTGGTGCCTGGGGATGCTGAGCGGCTGGGCAGGAGGGAGGCTTTTGCTGTTCAGCCTTCTAGAGAGTTACAGTTTTAAGCAGGTGAAGCCAAACTGAATGAAGCAGTAAAGGTGTTGCGCTCCTGCACAGGAGCTCCAGTGGCTTCTCACTCACCGTCTTCCTGTGCCCAGGCCACTGCTGGCCTCACTCAGCCCTCGCCTCTGCCTGGTCCACACGAGCTCGCTTGCAGTCTCCTCGCAGAGATACATGTGGAGCCGATCTTCCAATACTGGGCTCCTTCACTTTGCCCCACTGTCAGCTCAGTCACAGTCTCAGGCCTTCCTATTCTACCCAGGACACTGCCATTCCCTAAACCACCCTGGGCCCGGCCCTGGCCCATCGTTTCTCTCCATGCAGCTTAACTTTCCTGGAGCCCCTGGTGGTCTCTACATCAGGCCATAAGCTCACGTGGACAAGGATGGGCTCGGGCCTGTGCTGTTCAGTGCCCAGTCCTCCACGCAGGTGACCCACCCCATCCCTATGTCTCCCTATGTCCATGCCCCAGAGGTGCCCACCCCAGTGCCTTATGTGCCATTCTCTTGGCAAACTGGACTTCTCTAGCCACCACTGCCAGGCACCCCCATGTCAAAGCCAGGGCGGGGCTGACTGGTCATGTCCCTGGGATCCCACACTGCACCCCTCCTAAATCACACTGGGGCCACTCACCACGAGTGCTGCTCACCTATCCCCACCTCACTGCCCGCCCCAAGTCTCTGCCCAGCTCTCTCCCCAGGAGGGAGTAAGGCGTTGGGTTCTGGATTTGGTCCAGATCCACCTGCAGCTCTCCGGAGTCCTTCATTTAGCCTTCTCTGCTCCTACCCCAGCACTGTGAGCACCGTTTCTCTAAGCTGAATCTGCTGGGCATGTGGAATTACCTTAGAGCCCCTGATACGACCCCTGGCATCCAGAGGTCCTGAGCAAAGCAGTCCAGGAGCCAATGGACAGGCTCCTCCCAGCAGCTGGCCTCAGCCACAGCTGTGGGAAGAACCACTTTGCAGCTTGTTGGCTTCTGGGAAGCACTTCCTCTGCCTCCCAGTGGGGGTGGGACCCAGGCCAGAGGGAACTGCAGAAAGCCACCCCCATTCTGCCAGCAACGCAGGAAGGACCACCTGGGAGGGATCAGGAAGACTGTAGTCTCAGGTGAGGGGAGGCTGGGCCTGGAGTCAGGCTCAGCCCCTGTTCTGAACCCCGGGGTCCTGGGTAATGTCTGCTGCTGGGGACAGCCTCTACCCTTCCTGGCAGGTGTGTGGCCTTGGGCGTGTGACACCATGGCCCTGCATGGAGCACTGGCCGGGGCTCAGGTGCCCCACACTGCTCTGTACTTCCAGACCCCTGAGGCCCGGCACCAGGGCATGGATATTGGCACCACTCCCAACAGAGAGTAACCCAGACACCCGCTCACAGCCAGGTGCACACCTCCAAGGATGGGGAGCTCACTCCCCTGACCCGGCCTGGGAAGACATTTGCTCACTCCAAGTTAGAATGTGCTGGAAACATCTCTCCTTGGCCCTTTTCTGCCCCTTTTCACCCCAAGAGTCTGACATTATTGCAGATCTGCTCAGGTCCAGGCCTTGACTTTTGAGGTCCCAGATCCTACACCATGCCTTCTACCCTGCCACCTGCCTCAGCTAAAAAGGAGGGAAGAGAGACGAGACATCACTGCCAGGGCGGACCGTCTTTATTCCTCTCCTGCCTCAGAGGTCAGGAAGGAGGTCTGGCAGGACCTGCAGTGGGCCCTAGTCATCTGTGGCAGCGAAGGTGAAGGGACTCAGCTTGTAGCCCGTGCCTGAGTAGAACTTGTTCTGGAATTCCACCCTGGGGGTGAGAAGCAGAGGGGTTGGTGAGGGGAACTCACGCCTTGAGCAGCCCAGGCCAGTGGGTGGTCGCTCACCAGTGCAGCCGCAGGGCGTGCAGGAAGGCTGAGAGTCCCTCCATCACCAGCAGGATAGCCACGGTCATCACGGCAAAGGCGGCAAAGATGGGGACCAGCACCACAGCCGCCACGCCCACCTCCCGGCCCAGGCCCAGGCCTATGCGCATCACCATGGCCCACAGAACCTCGGACAGCTCTGCAAGCAAAGGAGACAGTGGGGGCCAACGGCAAGTGGGTGCCTGCCAGCCCCCTACCTACCTGCCGCAGCCTGAAGCCCTCCCTGCACGGGGGGCCAGCGAGGGACCTCCTTGGACAGTCCCACTTTACAGAGGGGAAACTGAGGCCCAGAGAGAAGCAACCCGCCCAGCCAGCAGCGGTATGTGAGAAGCCAGGAGCTGGGGCCAGCCGTCGGTGGCCAGGTCACTCACGGGCGTGGGCCAGGCTCAGGGCCCACAGGCGCAGGTAGGAGGCGGTGTTGGAGACGCAGCCCAGGCAGAACTCGATGGTGTGGATGGCCTGGTGCATGAGCACCTCGGAGGGGACGAGCTGCGGGGCGGGTGCAGTGAGGGCCGGCAGGGCCTCAGCCGTCCCACCCCCAGGAAGGCACTGCACCCACCTCGGCCTCCTCTTCATCATCCAGGCCCCCTGCCTTTTCCTCATCGGAGCTCCAGCCATTCACAGATGCGTCAGGCAGGTCCAGCAACCCGGCCTTGTTTTCCTCCTGGGGCATGAGCAGGCAGTGTTGGCAGCACTCCAGCCCCAGGAGGTCCCCCACCACCCGCCAGGCCTGCTCCTGGCCACTCAGGAGTCTGTCAGGAAGCGAGGAGTCAGGGACACACCGGACAGTGGCCTCTCCCCGCAAGCAGCCCCCCACACCTTAGGCCCCGGTCCCACCTGTCGGTCAGCGGGCCTCCTCCGCAGGCGGCGGCGGTGGCGGTGCAGCAGGTGCAGGGGTGTGCCAAGCAGCAGGATGGGCACCATGGCCAAGGCCAGGACCACCAGCGTGGCCTGGACCACCTCCTGCCAGGGAGAGGGCGAGAGTCAGGGCGTCCCTGCTGTGCACACCTGCAAAGGAACCTGAGTCACAGCAGTCACGGGGCCCAGAGAGCCTGCGGTCGCTCCTCCCTCCAGGGCCCCCGGGGGCTCCGTGCCCTCACTGGGTGAGGGTCTGCCTCCATAAGGACTCCTGAGGGAAGGGACCCCCGGTTCCCAGTGCCAGTTGTGCCACCTGCTAAAGATGCACACCATCACCTCTGACGGCCCTGTCTGCACGGCCCGGGGCCTGCATCCCCGTTTCTCGGACGAGGATCTTGCAGCTCCCAGTGGCCCTGTGACCGCGGGGTCCCCATGAGGCCGTGTGAGCCCGGCCCCCACCAGCCGCAGCCCACCTGCCGGGGGTAGAGCAGCCTGTTGCTGGGGCTGTGGGAGAAGAGGAACATGTTGATGAAGTGGATGAGGATGCTGGGGGCCGAGGCGGCCCTGGCAGCCCAGACACACAGCCACTTGTAGATGACTAGGAACACGAGGTAACCGAAGAGTCCCAGCAGGAAGGTGAGCTCCGGCAGCGTCTCCAGCAGCAGCCGGTGCCTCTGGCCAAAGTGCCTGGCGGGCAAGAGGGAGGTGTGCTCACTGGGGCCCACTCTGGCCTGCCAGCCTCCCGTCCCCCGGGCAGCCTTGGCCCTCACACGTGGTTGAAGACTCCGAGGACCACCCCAAAGGCCATGTGCACGACGCCCAGGATGACGGACATCTTCATCTTGAAGGAGTTGAGGAAGCTCAAGTGGTTGGCAGCCAGGCTCCAAATCTAGGGTGGCAGCAGGGGTGGGCTGGACTCAGGGGCTCCCTCGCCATCACTGCCAGGAAGTCCCCGGCCCGAGTCACTCTCTCACCACCCTGTTTTCCCCCTCGGAGCCTGCAGCCTCATCCATCACCCACCCACCGAGGGGCAACAGAGCGCAGATGGGCCAGCTGCCACGGTGCCAGCCTGGGTGACCTTGGGCATGACCTCTGTGCCTCAGTCTCTTCTTTAGGTGAGGACACTACTAATGTGAGGCCCACGGGGTTGTTACGAGGTTCAAATAGAAAATCAGGCTGGGCGCGGTGACTCACGCCTGTAATCCCAGCACTTCGAGAGGCTGAAGCAGGTGGATCACATGAGGTCAGGAGTTCGAGACCAGCCTAGCCAACATGGTGAAACCCTGTCTCTACTAAAAATACAGAAATTAGCCAGGCATGGTGGCGGGCGCCTGTAATCCCAGCTACTCAGGAGGCTGAAGCAGGGGAATCGCTTGAACCCGGGAGATGGAGGTTGCAGTGAGCCAAGATCACACCACTGCACTCCAGCCTGGGCAACAGAATGAGACTCTATATCCAAAAATAAAAAAAAGAAAAAAGAAAATCACTTCCACAGAGGGTTGGGAACAGTGCTTGGCACAGTGCAAGCTGCAGGCTGGTTCCTGTCCAGTCTCGCTTTGCCTCTGCACACTCAGGAGACTGGTTCCTGGCTGGTCTCGCTTTGCCTCCGCACACTCAGGGGACTGTGATGCAGGCTCCGCAGGGCAGGAGGCTTGTCTGCCTCTTGTGCTGAGGAAAGGGCCTGGCACACAGGAGTGCTCAGCGACAGCGCTGCAGGACGGCTGAACCGAGGGGAGCCCCAGCCCCCACTCCCAGCTGCCTTCACCACCCACGGACACTCCATCCCAGGACTCACAGGATCGATGCCAAAGGGGTAGGGTCCCAGGAAGACACCGGTGACGTTGGGATCCAGGGTAAGCATCGTGTGCTGGGCCAGGAATGCATCACTGCGGCAACGCAGGGGAGGGCGGTCAGGGCTGCGGGTGCTGCGGGGCCCCCAGCCGGGCTGGGGCCCGGGCCTCACCTCCAGCCAGACTGGTTGGCCATGGCGGCCACACTCCAGCCCGAGGGGAAGATGCTGGTGGCGCGACTGAAGCACTCGTTGTAGATGAAGCCGGTGTAGATGGAGAACAGGCCCATAAGCAGGAGCAGGTAGCGGCCCCTGAAGAAAGTCTGCCAGATCTGGGGGGGCAGTGGTGTGGTGAGGGGCTGCCTGGCCCTGCTACCCTCATCAGGACCCCAGCCCCGCCCCTCACCTCGTTCTGCGCGGCCTTCACAGCCGGTCGGTTCTCCGCAAGGACCATGGCCAGGGCGAACAGGAACATGAGCAGCCCGTGGCCCACATCCCCGAACATCACAGCAAACAGGAAGGGGAAGGTGATGATGGTGTAGGGAGCTGTGGGCAGAGGTGGGTGAGCTGGGAACCCCCGAACACACCAGCATCTGCCTCCCGGCCCAAGACGCCACGGAGGCCCTGCTGGCCTGCAGTCAAGAACCCATCACTTAGCAGCCAGGCACAGTGGCTCATGCCTGTAATCCCAGCACTCTGGGAGGCCGAGACGGGGGGGGGGGGGGGCATCACCCGAGGTCAGGAGTTCGAGACCAGCCTGGCCCACACGGTGAAACCCTGCCTGTACTAAAAACAGAAAAATTAGCTGGGCATGGTGGCAGGTGCCTGTAATCCCAGCTACTCAGGAGGCTGAGGCAGGAGAATCATTTGAACCCGGGAGGCGGAGGTTGCAGTGAGCCGAGCTCGCGCCACTGCACTCCAGCCTGCGCGACAGAGCGAAGATTCTGTCTCCGAAAAAAAAAAAAAAAAAAAGAACCCACCACTTAGGAGCTGTGTGACCTTGGCCCAGCCACTTCACCTCTCTGAGCCTCCATTTCCCCATCTGTAAAATGCAGGTAACACCAGACCACTTCATAAGTTCTCCACGGGCAGCACGGGCCAGCTGCTGGAGCCACAGGAAGTTAGCAGCTTCAGCTGTTGCTGTTCCCAGAGCTCCACACAGAAGCCAGAGAGGACAGGGAGCCACAGGCAGCCCCAGCTGGCACATGGCAAGTTCCGGGAGGCCGAGCTGGTCACTTCAGCTCTGAAGTCTCGACTTCCCATCAGTAAAATGGGAACAAGTCCTCATGGGAGGCAGGAGGACCCCAACATACACACTGTCAGGGGCTGTGTTGTGACCCCAAAAAAGATACACTGGAGTCGCAACCCCCAGGAACTCCAGATGTGACCTTCTTTGGAGACAGGGTCCTTACAGAGGTCACTGGGTTAAGATAAGGCCATTACAGTGGGCCCCAATCCAGTGTGCCCGATGTCCTTATGAAAAGGAACATTTGGACCCACATAGAAGGAGAACAGTGTGTGAAGATGAGGACGGCCGCTCCAAGCCCAGGAGAGAGGCCGGGAACAGATCTTCCTGGACAGCCTCAGAAGGAGCCACTCCTGCTGACAACACCTCATCATCTTTTATTTTTTTAAGATACAAGGGCTTGCTATGTTGCCCAGGCTGGTCTCGAACTCCTGGACTCCAGAGATCCTCCTCCCACCACAGCCTCCCAAAGTGCTGAGATCACAGGCATCAGCCAGTGCCCCCGGCCCCTGCTGACACCTTGGTCTTGGACTTCCAGCCTCCAGGACTGTGGGACCGTGTCTGCCCCTTAAGCCAGTAGCCGGTGGCACTTTGTTACAGCTTCCCTGGCAAACACGCTGCCCCGACGGCTGGTGCTTTGAGCTGGCAGCATTCTATCTGCCACGGGCCTCCAGGTGATGCTCTAGCTGCACCAGCCTCTGCCCACGTGCAGGGGAATCCTGTTGGGGCCCAGATCCAGCCCCAGGACACTGGCCCTGCAGAAGCAGCAAACCCCCCAGTGCCCCCAGTGACACTGAGTGGGGGCCCGGCCCATAGCATGGGTGTGATGTGGTGGAGCCCATGTCGGGAGGGGACTTGGTCACAGGACAGGGAGGGGCCCTGCCTCATCCAGTGGGCAAGAGTCAGGGTGCTTGGGCCCCCAACGGCCTGTGTGGGTGGATCACGTGAGGTCGGGGGTTCAAGACCAGCCTGACCAACATGGTGAAACCCCATCTCTACTAAAAATATGAAATTAGCCAGGCGTGGTGGTGCGTGCCTGTAATCCCAGCTACTTGGGAGGCTGAGGCAGGAGAATCGCTTGAACCTGGGAGGCGGAGGTTTCAGTGAGCCGAGATCATGCCATTGCACTCCAGCCTGGGCAACTGAGCAAGACTCTATCTCAAAAAAAAAAAAAAAGCTGTGCAACCAAAGCAACCACACCAAAGGCTGCCCCTGGCTCCAGCTTGCAGTCTCCAACAGTCACTAAGCTTCCCAACATTCCTCTGAGGTTTGCGCTATTATTTCCATTTTGCAGGTGAGGCAGCTGAGGCTCAGAGAAGCTAAGAAATGTCTCAAAGTAGGCGAGATGGGCTTCCAACCTGGGCCATGCCCACCGCACAGCCTCTGTTCTTTGCACAAGCCCGTGCCGGCTCCCTTGTAAACTCAACAAGGGGGAGTTGGCTGGGGGCCGACATAAAGCCTCACACTGGCTGCAGAGCCCAACAGCCCCTTGAGAGTGATGGGATGTGTGCCCCTCATCCCAGGAGGGCAGGCCAGGCCCAGGATGGAGATACCTCCCCCTCAGGCTCACACCCACCCAGTGGGGCAGCTGAGCCTCCCAGGACACGGGTAAGGATGCCGTGGCTCTCACCGGGGTTGACCTCCTGGTAGCGGCCCACGCCGTAGGCATCCACGATGCCCTGGAAGCTGGCCGTGAAGCGGTTGGTGCGGATGAGTGTGGGGGGCATGTCCCGGCAGGGGATGCGGTGAGCCACGGCACTCACTCCCTCCTCCATCTGGGTGCCAGGGCAGAGACAGACCAGAACGGTGGCGGGGGCCTTCAGGGACCCTGGGATCTCCAGCCAGGCCCAGCTGGAGATGTAGAGCCCTGTGGGGGCTCACTGGGCAGCCCCTTCCCCTCTCTCTGACGTGAGATGATCAGCCCTGCTCTGCCCTGGTGGGGGCCCAAAGACACCACATGGATTGGCAATTGCTTGGGAAAGGCAAGCATGCTGCCTCCTAGGGACGGCCCAGGAGAAGGAGCCCAGCCTCACCCGCAAGCACCTGCTGTGCGCGGCGGGTGACCCCCGGAGGCAGGGGCATCACACCGGTTCCACAGACCATGAGCAGGCCTAAGGTCACAGGGGGGCCTGGATTGGAATGAGGCTTCTGACTTTAAAACTATCCTGTGCAGCCTCCAGGGACTTAGGAAAGTCAGGGTAGGGCTTGCTGGGCCAGGGCCATCAGGGCAGACTCCCTGGAAGCGGTGGGCCATGGAGGAGGCTGGGAGGAGAAGGAGCCCCTAGGCAAAGCCCAGGTGCAGGGAGCCAGAGGCTGGAAGTGAGGCAGAAACGCCCCGGCCTGGTAGGAGGGGCGGGCGGAGAGGGGGCGAGGCCTCAGGCTGCTCACCGAGCTGTCCCGCAGGGCCTCCTGCAGGGCGGGCAGGTCTCGCACAGAGCACCAGGCCTCGGCAATGAGGCACTTGTGCGTGGTGCTCACGCTGCACTGGTTCAGGGCCAGGTACACGGCCTTCATCTTGTGGACCTGCACCTGCCCTGGCGGCAGCAGCTGCAGCACCCGGCCTAGCACCTGGCTCAGGAACCGCTCTGTCTCCCCGAGGACCTGCGCCAGAGTGGGCAGTCAGCGGGGGCTGGGCAGGCAGGTGGGGTGGCTGGGCCGGGGGCACCCACCTCCTGCACCCACCTCCTGGAGGCCAGGCCAGGGCACCCACCTCCTGCACCCACCTCCTGGAGGCCAGGCCAGGGCACCCACCTCCTGCACCCACCTCCGGGAGGCCGGGGGCACCCACCTCCTACACCCGCCTCCGGAAGGCCGGGGGCACCCACCTCCTGCAGCTCCTGGCTCTGCTGTTGCAGCTGCTGCAGGGCCCCGAGGCGGGCCTCCTCCTGCTGCAGAAACGGGAAGACGTGGCAGTGGAAGCTGGAGGGAGGATGCGCTGCGTGAGGGGCCAGAAGGACACAGCTACGAGACTCTGAGTCTGAAGGGAGCTCATGGGGAGGAGTCACGATAGGGCGGGCTGGGAGGTGACAGCAGGGGCCTGGGGAGCAGGGCGGTGGGGCGGGTGTTCCCAGTGACTCACCAGTCCGTGATCTTGCGGATCTTCTGTCCGATCTGCTCACCCCAGTAGGAGATGAGGAAGGTCATCCACGTGGCTGGCTCGCCCTGCAGAGCAGGCTCAGCTGACTCTGGGGTCCCGCTCTGCCCAGGACCCCCCAGCCCAGCGCCAGCTGCTCACCGTCACGGGGTGCTCCAGCGGCTGCTCCAGCTCCCTGAAGCTGGCAATGAGGAAGCCGCGGCAGGCCCTCCAGAGCAGGCGCTCTAGGGCAGGGGCCTTGTGGGGCTCCACGGCACCTGCCACAAAGCTGGCGGCCACGGGGCTGGGCAGGGCTGCTCCAACCTCCTGCCCTGCCTCCCCCACCAGGCCCCCCGGGCAGGACCCTGCCCAGCACGGGCAATCGGGCAATTGGGCACACTGGCCCTGCCCACAGGGGAAGGCAGGAGGCCTCCCGGGCAGGACCAGAAGAGGAGAACCCCCTAGGGCTAGGGCTTGGGACTGTGGGAAGTTCCGGGCCTGAAGGAGGAGGCGGGGCCAGCCTGGGGAGAGCACTGGACAAGGAGTCGGAGCTCAGCCTGGCCCAGCCCAGCGACTGGCCAGGGGTTCTGGGCTGGCCAGAAAGGGCATGAGGTCATCCCTCACTCACTTGACCCTCAGGTCCTGGTGCGGCCCCCCGGGGGCCTGGAGCAGGGGCGTCCTCTCTGAGGCCCCATCTGTGTGGGCGGCTGCCAGCTAGGAACCCAGAAGCACCATGAGCCCTAGGCTGGACAGCCCCTCCCCAGCCCCCCAGTCTCCTGCCTGGGTGGGAGCTGACCTGAGGTTCATGGCCCTGGCGTAGCACGGCGGCGTGGAGCTGCAGCTGGTGCAGCTGGGCCCGCAGGGCCTGCTGGTTGCCCCGCACATCCCGCAGCTCCTGGGCCAGGCGCTCCGTC
Source organism: Homo sapiens (assembly GCF_000001405.40). Lineage (NCBI taxonomy): Eukaryota > Metazoa > Chordata > Mammalia > Primates > Hominidae > Homo > Homo sapiens. The sequence goes on along the minus strand of NC_000011.10, from coordinate 68,042,745 downwards.
TCCTCCTGGATGCGCAGCAGGTCCCGGGGTGGGGGTGCCGGCAGCCTCCCCTTTGGCGGGGGCAGGACCAGCCCAGCCCGCCGCACCTCCTCCTGCAGGAAGGCTGGGCGCAGAGGAACGGGAGTGGGGTGCAGTTGAGGTTGTCTCAACAGTTGAGGGCCCCACCTGCTGCCCCAAACTCCATCGGCCACCAGCTGCTGGATTCACCAGGTGGAGGTGGCCAGAAAATCCCGGCCAAACTTTCATCCAGAAGCTGTGCTCCCCTCCCTGAGCTCAGGTCTGGGCTCACTCTCCCTCCCCAGTCCCTTGGCCACCACTCAGAAGAGGGCCTGAGGTCTCCCCACAGGCCGGCCCTTGCGCTGCAGGGCTTGGGACCGGAGCTGGCGTGAGTCCTGTGTCTGCCTGATCATTGAAAAGCTGTAAACTGCACCAGCAAACACAAAACCCTGCCTGCCCCATGCCCCTGCCTTGGTGCCCCCACAGGCTCCTCCTGAGAGGGGTTGCCCAGGGCAGGGGTCCCTTTTGCCTGCTCCTTAGGGGTACCCTACCCTAGATCCTGGGCCCCACCCACCCCAGCCCAGCTGTAGAGGAGAAAGCTGTCTGTGCCTCTTCCCTGCTTAGAAACCCCTGTGGCTTCCTGGCGCCCACAGGACGAAGTCCTGGGCTCTTATGCTGTATTCGAGGCCTCCCCAGCCAGCCCTGCCCTAGGCCCTCTGCTCAGCCCACACAAGGCAGCCACCTTCGCAAGCACACTTCACAGATCCCAGCTGCTCTGTCTTGGCCCTGCAGGGCCCTGCATATACCTCCCTTCTCTGCCTTCCACCTGGCAAACCCAGACTCTTCCTTTCAGATCAAACTTGGCCCATGCCTCCTCCAGGAAGCCTGCCTGGAATGTAGGCCTGGGACCAACTCACTGAAGGTCTTCTCCAGCTCCTCACAGCGCCGAACATCAACCACAAAGCGTCTCTGGAAGGCGCTCACCGAGGCGTTGAGCTGTGGGTGCCACACGGAGGGGTGAGTGTCCCGGGAAGGGGGTCAGGGAGCTCCTCACCCTAGAGCCCAGGCCTGACTCTCCCCAGGCCTTAGCTGCCTCCTCCAGAAAGGTGTGGAGTGCCCTGGGAGCCACAAGACGCAGATCAGAGCACAGACCAGACCCCATGCCCCAGGAGGGTATGGGGAGGAGCCAGCTCAGGGGCCTCAGCTGCGGGCTTCCCATGAGCAGTGCCCATGGCAGGGGCCGCTGGGGTTCAAATGGGGCCAGGGCCCTATGGCGGAGGGGGGGCAGTCCCCATCCTGGACCGGCCTCCGGGCTAACCTTGGCAGTAGCCCCCTTCCCACGCCTGCCCACCCAACTCACGTCTCTGAACTCCACGAGGCCCAGCTCGCCCAGCCGACTCACGCAGGTGTAGGCAGCCGCTGTGGGCAGAAAGAGCTGGACCAGGGCCACCTCCTCGCTCCGGAACATGGAGCCCATGGTCCTGTGGGTGGACACGGATGGGGGCCAGTCAGGGGCAGACCACAGACAGTTCCCAACCACGGGCACCTGTGCACCTTCACTCACTGAATCCTGGAAGCTGCTGTTACCACCCCCATCTGACAGAGGTGGAAACTGAGGCCTGGGCAGGCTTGATGCGGTGCTGAGGTCACGCAGAAAGTAAGCAGTGGGACTGGGAGACCCCGAAGCCCACCCTCAGGCCGACCTCAAGCTCTCTCCTGGCTTGCTCTGCCCATGGGGACCCCCGCCCCTACCTCCAGCGTCTCCCAGTGACACCGGCTCCACCCCCACCTTCACTCTGGCCTCCCTCCTCTCGGGCTGCCGTCACCCTAGACAGGACCCCACTGGCCCAGGCACTTAGGCCCAGGGCTGCCCCGGGGGTGGCTGGAGCCCTCGCTGCTCCCTGTGGAGCTGCATGTGCTGAGTGGTAGGAGCGGGCATCTCCACCGGGTACCCTGGGGCTAGCCAGGGAGCACTGCTGTGGGGGGGCTGTCCCCTGAGGCCCGGGCCGCCCGGCAGCAGCCGCAGCCTTCCAGGTGTTGAAACCAACAAAAGTGAAACTACAGAATGGCGGGGAAGGGCCCGGGGCCTTGCTCAAGGCCGATGTGGGGTGGGGGCAGGTGCCAGGCCACCTCCAACCCGCCCTGGATGCTGGGGCCCCTCCAGCTCCAAAGCCACTGCTCTCAGGGCCCAGGGCCCCTCTGTGGGAATCAGTTGCTTAGCTCGAAAATTAGGGGGAGGGGACAGGCCTGGTCAGGGCCCCGCCTGCCCAGCCAGTCACTTCCTCCCCTGGGTCTGGTTTACTTAACTCTAAACAGGGAAACGCAGCCCCAGCCCCAGCCTGGGAAAGGAGAGAAGGAGGGAACGAGGGAACACTGAGCAGATGGCCCAAGGCTGCAGGTGGGCAGGGCAGGGGGCAGCGGGGCTGGGTTCCATCCCTAAGGACCAGGCCCGGCCACAGGGCAGAGGGACTTGGAGCCCAGGCTGAGATTGGGTGTGTGACCTTGGGCAAGTCTCTCACCCTCTCTGTGCCTCTACTTCCTCTTTGGGTGAATGGGACGTGGCACCCCTGACAGAGACAGGATCTAGGGAGGTGACAAAAATAACCAGAGCCTCAACTGAATCCCTTCATCCACACGACCTCACACTAATCCCTGGGGGGAGAAACCCTTGGGGAGGGGGTACGGTGCTTTTGTTTCATACAGGACTCCACTGACACTTGGAGAGGTAAAGTCCAATGTTATGTGCCCAGCACAAAGGGTGAGCTCAGAGGAGGGTTGTGTCTGACCTGGCTCCCTTTGGGGCTGTGCTGGCCAAATAAGGAGGTGTGGGGAATCAGCTCTGGGGATCTGGGGAGGGGTCACCCCTGGCTCAGGGCCATCAGGGCTCCCACAGCCACTATGCCGAGGGCTCGAGGGCCGGGCTCCTTCCAGCACTTCCCAGGGGGTGGGGGAACAACCTGTAATGGGCGGGGGGAAAGGTGTGGGGACGTGATCAGCCCCCGTGCCTGGCATGTGAGGCTCCACTGGCTCACCCCCTACCCCTGTCCCCCTTGGTCCCCGCTCTAGCCAGGGTCACCCAGCCACTTTTATGGTGTAAATGAATACGCCTCCATCCTGCGGCCCTGGGGTCCAGGCTCCAGCCCACTCCTCACCCTGTGCCCCTTTCCTGGCCCCTCCAGGAACCCAGCAGGTCTCTCTGCACCTCTGCCCTCCCCTCCAGATGATGGGAAGGCAGTAGGAGAGGGTCTGGCGCCCCCTCCATTCCAAATGGGGTGGGCTCTGGAGTCAAATGACCCAGCTGGTCTCCAGCTCTGACACTTCCTAGTTGTGTGGTCTCAGCTTCCCCATCTGTAGAATGGGTCCCTCCCTCCAAGGAAGCAGCAGCGGGGAAAGCTCCGCGCACACCAGGCCCGGGAACGCTGGGCTGTGTTGGTAAACACCCCATCCTTCTCCTCCTCCCTTGGGGATCCTCCGTGGCCCCCCGCAAGGCCTGACACCCTGCGGGGTGGCGGGCTGAGCTGCATTCACGGAGCCAACTGGGTGGGGCGCCAGGATCTCCTCCCCGGGGCAGGGGGAAGAGGGTGGGCAGGAAATTCTGGGGCTCCGCAGACCCCGGCAGGGGCACTCACCCCGGGTGTGCTGCGCGCCGCGCCTCCGCTGCTGGCTGCCCCGCTCCGCGCACGCCGGGCGGGACTCAGAACTGCACTCCCGCCAGCCCGGGACTAGGCGCCGCTCACTCCTTTCCGGGCAGGCGGGACGACGGGGAGGGGCCAGGGACGCCCCGCCCCCGGCCCAAGGCTCCACTGGAGTCCAGGAAGTCTGGGAGAGGTTGAGCCCAGGCTGTGGCCTGGCGGACGGGTCCTGAGGCGCTTAATCCCGGAGAGGAGGCCTGGAGAAAGGAGCGGATAACAGACCACTGCCAACCGCGCGCGTCTATGCTGGCCCCGATGCAGGGGCAGCTCCGCTCAGGCCCAGCTCAGGATAGGAGATGAGACCCTGCTCTCCTCTCACTTCGAGGCTTGTGCGCCTCTGGCTGATGGGACCCCAACATTCGCAGGCTCATGGGCTTGGGGTCCCCAGGATGCTCCCCCACCTCCGGGACCCCTCCCTTGGGCGGCAGTGAAACCCGCCGGTGCTTACACCTTCCTGCTCTTGACCACCCTGGAGAGGCCCCGCTCTGGCCCTTGGGTGGGTGGCTGCCCCACTCTGGGCCTGCTTCACTGGCAGCAGGACACAGGGCCAGGCCATGCTGCCTTGTTCTGCCCAGCGCCCCGCACCCAGCAGGCCCTGGGAGATACCCTGGGGCCAGAGGCCAGCTGTCAGCTCCACCTGCAGCTGCAGCCGCGGGGGGTAGAGGGGGGTGTCACTGTGACCTTGCTCCAGGTCAGCACCATGGGCGTCATCAGGTCCTAGTGCCTGGAAGCTGGGACTCACGACCGTCCAGCTGCCTGCACTTTGGACAGGCCTGGGGCATTCCCACTGGAGGCCAGGGGCCCTTCAGCTCTGGTGATCCCTAAGCCCCACACAGCGAGCACAGGCCTGTGGGGCTGCGGCAGGGGTGGACAAGTGGAGCCCCAGAGCCGGGCCTGGAAACTGAGTCACAGCCAAGCTCAGCTGTGGTTCCTCAGAAAATTGGGGGACTTGTGGTTGGGCGCCATAGGCCTGTTCTGACAGGGTCGGGGCCTGATACAACCAGACAGCCTGAGTGGGGTCTCAGCAGTAAGTGCCTGGGAGACCACGGTAAGGGAAAGAACCCAGCGGTGAGCTGGAAAGACTGACCCGCTTGGAATAGAAGTATTCAGTGCACAGCTACAGGCTCCATGCCACGCTCTGACGGCGGTTACGTCTGGGAAAAGCTAAACCGGCGGTGCTTCAGGAGTCCTGCGCCTGCCTTGTTTTTGGAAAGAACACCTGTTTTCATCAGTGGCCAAGATGAGCTGCGGGCCAGACCTGTGGACACTTCCCGGGCTCCAGGCTTCCCCTCGCCTCCTGCAGTTACTTCTCACCCCAGTGCCACAGGCTGTGGGGCCCAAGCGGGAGCCTGGCCACTTTGGCATTAGATGGCAATGCCTGGTCTAGGAAGGAGGCCCAGGTGTTAGACCTGAGAAAAGCTCCCTGGGAATGGGCTGGGAGAGGCTGGTGTTTTTGCTGCAGGCCTTCTCAGAGCCTTGAATGTCTACCATGCAGTACCTGCCAGCAGGCACACAGCAGCTGGAGCATTTCCAACACTCACTGGGCCAGGAAACTTGTTCTTTCGAAGAAGTAGCTTTTTACAAAGTAGTGCTTTGTAAAAAGCACTTTTGGAAATGATGGTAGATGGGGGGGGTCAAGGTCTCTGAACTGAGTTTTATTATGGGATGTGCCCTGCATGGCCCTGAGCAAGCCCTTTCACCTCTCGGAGCTGGTTTCCTCACTGCAAATGAAGTGAAATCCTTCCACAGTACTTAGCACAAGTTCAGGGGGGCTGCTTTTGGCCATTATATGGGCAAGGGGCTTGTGTGTGGCCCTAGGGAAACCCCACCGTGTCGCTGGGCCAGCAAAGCAGGAAGTGGTGAGCAGTGGCCGGGCCAGCACCCTGGCGTAGGGAACACAGGAAAGAGGATGTGGCTGGACGCAGGCCAGCTCAGGGCCAGCAGGGCCTGTGTCACCCTCGTGTGACTGTCACCCCAAGCAGGCTTCCTCCTACCCCCAGCAAGGATGCCCCGGCCTGAGTTTCTGCCACTTGCTGTTCTTCAGCCTGAGGTCTTGGGAGGCTCCAAGTCCTAAGCGTCTTACAAGTGGATGGCTCTTGGGAGACAGGAGGCCCAGGCCCCAGCCAGGACACCCGGGAGAGTGGGAACGGCAGGTCTGTGGTGACCTCTGGCATCGCTGGGCCTTGGGGAAGACGCCCAGGAAGAGGCAGGGTGACAGGGATGCTGCGGCCTGTGGTCTAGCCATGAGAGCCTGGTGGGGCCCTGGAGTCTACAGGAAGGCAGGGCTGGGGCAGCAGGACTCCAGAGAGCATAAAGACTAGGTGGCGACCTAGTCCAGTTGGAGGCACCACAGGCCTCAGGCAGGCCGGGAACGGCCCCACCCTGGACCACCAGAGTCAAGACAAGAGGCCGTGGGGTCGGAGTGGTTTTATTGGGCAGCAGGGGCTGCGGGCCGGTGGGGCGTCACCGATACAAGTAGTCAGCCTGGATGTTGGCGGCGATCTCGGCCTCCCACTTGTCCCCGTTGTTGAGCAACTTCTCCTTGTTGTACAGCAGCTCCTCATGGGTCTCCGTGGAGAACTCAAAGTTGGGGCCCTGCAGGTTGAGGTGCAGGGACGGTGGTTAGGCCCTGCTGAGGAGCCTCAGGCCCCCTCCCACCCGGGGGCCTCACGTGCCTCGACGATGGCATCCACGGGACAGGCCTCCTGGCAGAAGCCGCAGTAGATGCACTTGGTCATGTCGATGTCATAGCGGGTGGTCCGGCGGCTGCCATCAGCTCTTGGCTCAGCCTCGATGGTGATGGCCTGCGGGAGGGGCCACCAGACACTGCCACGCTGCCCTGTCACATCCCAGCCCCCAGGGCCCCTGTCACTGCTCATCCCCACCCCTGGGGTCTGCCAGAAGCCCTCTCCCCTCAAAGGCCTCCTGGACTCCGGCTAAGAGGCCGCCCTGCACCTCTGGTGCTCGCGCCTGTCTCCTCAGCACGTGCCCTGCTGGCGTCCCTGCCTTGCTGGTTTTTTTTTTTTTTTTTTTTTTTTTGAGATAGAGTCTCGCTCTGTCGCCAGGCTGGAGTGCAGCAGCACAATCTCGGCTCACTGCAACCTCGGCCTTCCCGGTTCAAGTGATTCTCCTGCCTCAGCCCCCTGAGTAGCTGGGACTACAAGTGTGCATCACCACGCCCAGCTAATTTTTGTATTTTTTAGTAGAGATGGGGTTTCACCATGTAGACCAGGATGGTCTCGATCTCTTGACCTTGTGATCCGCTTACCTTGGACTCCCAAAGTGCTGGGATTACAAGCGTGAGCCACCGTGCCCGGCCTGCCTTGCCTGTTTGTCAGCTGCTGGCGTCATCTGCCAAGAACCCCCTCTCACGAGGGGGCTGTTCACCGCTTTGTTCAGTGTAGCACCCGCTGCCCTAAGGGTCTCACCCTGCGGTGAGTGCTGAGTTACAGTCCCGCCTCGCCTCACCAAGCTTTCCAGATATTTTGAGTTTTACAAATTGAAGGTTTGGGGCAACCCTGCATAAAGCAAGCTCACTGATGTCATTTTACCAACCATGTGCTTGCTTCTTATCTCTGGGTCAGCACTTTTTAGGAATAAAGTTTTTGTTGTTGTTTTTGTTTTTTGAGACAGAGTCTTGCCCTGTCACCCAGGCTGGAGTACAGTGGTGCAGCTCATAGCTCACTGCAGCCTCAACCTCCCAGGCTCAAGCGATCCTCCCACCTCAACCTCCCAAGTAACTGGGCCTACAGGGGCTAATTTTTTGTATTTTTTGTTGTTGTTGTAGAGTCGGGGTTTTGCCATGTTGCCCAGGCTGGTCTCAAACTCCTGGGCTCAAGTAATCCCCTCACCTTGACCTCCCAAAGCACTTGGACTACAGGTGTGAGCCACTGTGCCTGGCCCCTAAAGTATTTTTAATTAAGGTATATACATTGTGTTTTAGACACTTCGCAGCCTACAGTACAGTGTAAATCCTTTTTTTTTTTTTGAGACGAAGTCTTGCTCTGTGGCCCAGGATGGAGTATGGTGGTGCAATCATAGTTCACTGCAACCTCCGCCTCCCAGGTTCAAGCAATTCTCCTGCCTCAGCCTCTTGAGTAGCTGGGACTACAGGTGTGCAACCCCACACCCGGCTAATTTTTGTATTTTTACTAGAGACGGGGTTTCAACATGTTGGCCAGGCTGGTCTTGAATTCCTGACCTTGTGATCCGCCCACCTTGGCCTCCCAAAGTGCTGGGATTACAGGCGTGAGCCACCGCAACCGGCCCTAATTTTTTTTTTTTTTTTCAATTTTGGCTCACTGCAACCCCCACCTCCCGGTTCAAGTGATTATCGTGCCTCAGCCTAGCAAGTAGCTGAGATTACAGGGACCTGCCAACGTGCCCGGCTAAGTTTTGTTATTTTTAGTAGAGACGGGGTTTCACTATGTTGGCCAGGCTGGTCTCGAACTCTTGACCTCAAGTGATCCGCCCACCTCGGCTTCTCAAAGTGCTGGAATTACAGGCATGAGCCACTGTGCCCGGTCTAAATCTAACTTTTAAATGCACTGGAAAACCAAAACAGCTGTGTGACTCAGTTTACCCCGATGGTCTGGAGCCGAACCTGCAACATCGCCAAGAATGCCTACACTGTTGGGTGCAATCCTGTGCCTTAAATCTACTTCTCTCCATTTGATGGATGAGAAAAACAAGGTTCCGAGAGGTTGAGGGGCTCCCCAAAGCTACACAGCAAGTGGGGGCACAGCCCAAACTCAAGGGCACGTCCTAACTCTCAGTTCCTGGGTAGCCCGCTGGGGGAGGGGCTGGCTGGGAAAACCTTCAAATGTGCTTGGCAAGGACTCTCATATGCCCCCATCCCAGAAATGTAGTGTCCACAACTCACAGTGGGACCTGTGGCTGGCAGGCTCATCCTTTAGTGCTTATAAAGATGGAGACAATAACCTCGACCTCCTCGAGGGGTTGTGGAGATTACAGGAGAGGCTGTGAGTCACACACATGGCACAGCACCGGGTCTGTCTGTGGACAGCACTCACTGTCTGGAAGCCAAGGTTGTGACCATCGTGACTGCTGTTTGGGGACACTCCTATGCACTCTCAGTCCGTGGCTGGAGTAGAGACATCAGGGCCGCAGCTCATGGCCTGGAGGACCTGGGAGTGCTCCAGAGGACAAACTAGGATCTGGACAGGAGCCACCCGAGTCACAGAACACTGGGAGGGGTTGCTGTGCACACAGAAAGTAGCGGCGGCGGCTGCCGGGGCTCCTGCCAGGCACACACAGGGGTCTGACCAGAGCTCTGACCGAGTCATATTGTTCCCGTGCTGGCAGGCCTGGCCCCCACGGGTAAGCACGAGACCCACTAAGAGAACGGAAAGCCGGGCCTCAGGGGAGCAGCCACTGGGGAAGGGAAGCTGCAACAGGCACACAAGCAGGACTCCGGAAACGGTGGCTACATCCAGGGAGGCGTGGATGGCCTCAGGTGTCACCCCATGGCTCAGAGGCCCAGGGGTCACACCCTTGGCCAGACCCCAAGGGGGAACCTCTGTGTGTCAGGCGCCTGCCCAGGGCTGGAAGCTTCACTCTGCCAACTCACTGACTCTGTGCTCTGGTAACAAGCCCTCATCATTCCCATTCACGAGGGAAGTGGCTCAGAGGGGGAAAGGGACTTCCTGGGGACGCACATCAAGCAGGGGCTAGGGTTTGGGCCTAGGGCTGCCTGGCCTCCCTCTCCCAGTGGCAGGGGCTGGCGTGGTGGCCGGTTGGGGCAGGGGCTCACCTGGGCGGGGCAGATGGCCTCGCAGAGCTTGCAGGCAATGCAACGCTCCTCCCCGGATGGGTACCGGCGCAGCGCATGCTCCCCACGGAAGCGAGGGCTCAGCGGGCCCTTCTCGAACGGGTAGTTGATGGTGGCCGGTTCCCGGAACAGGTAGCTCAGGGTCATGCCCAGGCCTGTGGGCAGCACGGGTGTGGTGGGCAGGGGCACCCTCCTCCCCCATGCATCCGTGCCCACCCGGCACCTTCCCTGTCCCCTCATGCCCAGGACGCACCTCGGAAGAGCTCAGTCCACAGCAGGGTGCGGGCTGCCCGGTCAGTCACTGACTTCATGTCCATCTCGGGATCCTGCATGTTCACATACTCTGCAGAGAGGCGGGCAGGGAGGCCATGGCAAGAGGCCTCACACACTGTCTCCCTGGAGCCTCAGGGAGAGCAGCCTGGCCCTCACTTCCAGGTGCAACTGCTGGGCTACAAAGGGGCTGTACACTCACCACACCTCTCCCCAGCCTCAGCAAGGACCCTGGAGGCCGCCTCTGGCCTGAGCCCGTCCGTGCCTACCTCTCCCTGTGCTTGGGTGGCCATTGGAGCCCAGACGCACTTCCCTGCCCAACAGGGCTTGAAAGAGGAATCAAGGGGGGTAGGTGGGGGGCTTGAGCCTTTGCCTTCACCAGGGACTGGCAATAGGCACAGGTACCCATGGCTCACACCTGGCAACCCCCTCCCCATCACACCCAGGGAGCTCTGAGATCACACATGCTAACCTCGGCAATGATGGACCCTGCCCCTGTGAATCAGAGTCAGTCTCCATCACCATAATCATTTTAAAAGTGGAAACAGGCTCAGAGAAGAACGCCCCTGACAAAGCCAGGACTGGAACTCAGGTCTCTTCCCCTACTCCAGCAGGACCAGTCAGGAACACCTGAGGCTAGAGGCCACCCAGGTACTCACTGTAGGTGGCTGCCACTGCACTGCTGTGGAGGCTCCGGCCACCAGGAGGTCCTGCAAAAAGAAGGGCGTGACGTCATACCAGGAGACTGGACTCCCCTACCCCCAGCAAAGGCTTCTTTGGTCCTACCTGCACGTGCAGCCTGGGCCAGGGCCCGCAGCAGCATAGGCGTGGTCAGGCAGCGCATCTGGTGGCATAAAAAGGGATGGAGGGTGGGGTGTGCCCAAGAACCATCCTCTTCTGAGACTGGCACCGCAAGGATCCCAAGTCTCCACTGACATGTGTCACTTTGCCCTCTACTCGCACCCCATTGCTGTCAGAGGCACAGATGGCTTTCCTGTTCCCAGCGCCTCCCAGCTTTCCATCTGATTCAGCTTGGCTGAGCTACAATTCAGTTTCTGTGGACCCCAAGTTCTGCCTCACCTAAGAAACCTTTTAAATCCATCCTTCCTTTCTCCCTCCCAGAGATCCTGTTTCCCACCTTTCTGCTCCTCCCTTCATCCTCCCCAAATCTAACCAAAAACAACATTACCAGCCCCCGCCAGCATGCACTGAGAGCGAACTTTGTTAGCTCTCCTCCCCCAGGAACCGTGCCCAGGGGTGGAAAGCGCTGCCATCCTATCCTTACAAGGACTCCACGAGGGAGGCACAAATAAGGCGCTGGGACTCAGTTTGTTGAGTGACTCGCTAGGGCTGGGTGTGGTGGCTCACGCCTGTAATCCCAGCACTTTGGGAGGCTGAGGCAGGTGGATCACCTGAGGTCAGGAGTTTGAGACCAGCCTGGCTAACATGGTGGAACCCCGTCCCTACCAAAAAATACAGAAATTAGCCAGGTGTGGTGGTGGGCACTTATAATCCCAGCTACTCGGGAGGTTGAGGTAGGAGAATCGCTTGAACCCAGGAGGCAGAAGTTGCAGTGAGCCCAGACTGCACCACTGCCCTCCAACCTGGGCGACAGAGTGAGACCTTGTCTCAAAAAAAAGATAAAAAAGTGACTTGTCGGAAGTCACACGATAAGGAGGTGGGCCGAGGATCGGAACCCAGCCCTGCCCTGCTGGAAACTCTTCAAGGCCTGAACAGTCCTCGGTACCACATTCCTTTCCCCAGCTTCAAGGCCCTCCTGGAACTGTCCCCCAGCCTGCCGCGTGACCTTGGGCAGATGATGTGACCTGACCTCCGTCTTCTCACCTATGAAGTGGGTTGGGGGCGGTTGGTCTTGGGAATTAGGGGAGCCCGTACATGCCAAGGGCACCCCAGAGCCCGGCACTTAGCCGGCGCTCATAAGAGCTCATCCCACGACCTGTGAACCCCCTAACAGGCCCACTCCTTTGGATCACTGACTGCAGTTCCAGGGACCCAACCCAGCACCTTCCCCACCTTCCCAGTGATCTCCGACCCTAACTAGGCCGGTGGCGCAGAGCGGGCGGCGCATGCGCCCTGAGAGCCGGCTCCCCGCTGCACCTGAAGGACACGGAGGCCGCGGATCCTGAGTGAGCCGAGGGGAAGCCCAGGCGCAGAGCTGGCGGCGCCAACGGGGACACCACACTCGCCCCCGACGCCACGCTGCCCAAGCCCGACTTTCACGGCCAAAACGTGAACACCCACCTTGAAGCGCCGCCGCTACTTGCCTTGCCAAGCAGGCCAGTCAATCGGGAGGCGGAGGCTACACTGTAGGACGCTGCCATTGGGCCAGCGGGTTCCCCCTTTTCTGTATTGATGCTTCATGGTGTGGTCTGATTGGCCAGCAAGGCTGCTGAAAGAGGCGGGATTCAGAAATATCTTTCTTTTGATTGGCTAGGAGAGACCGGCGCTTGAAGTTTGTAGGGGGCCGCCATGTTGGTTTGGGGAGGCCAATAAGTGAAGACCTCCGAGCCGCTGGAGGCGGGACATCCGGGGCGTGGTTTAGAAAGAGTGCTTTCGCCGTGGGTGCAGAGGGTGGGCCCGCCGGGTTGGGTGGGGGGCGTGTGATGACGGTAATGGCGACGAGATGCTCAACTCACGCGGCCTCTTTTAATCCTCACAGCAGCTCTGCGTGGAGAAACTACAGTAACGTGTTACCACGTTAAGGCGGGAAGCTGAGGCATGGGAGTATTTAGTAACGTTCCCGGGCCGTAGAGCTGCGGTGTGCGGCCGCCTGATCCACCTGATCTGTATGACTCCCGTACTCAACCAGCCTATGTTTCCTACCAGCGAATTTTTTTTTTTTTTTTTTTTTTTTTCTTTTTTTGAGACAATCTGGCTCTGTGGCTCAGGCTGGAATGCAGTGGTGCGATCTCGGCTCACTGCAGCCTCGACCTCCCAGGCTCGGGTGATCCTCACTTCTCAGCCTCCCGAGCAGCTGGAACCACAGTCGCCTGCCACCACCAGGCTCGGCTAATTTTTGTATTTTTTGTAGAGACGGGGTCTCGCCATGTTGCCCAGGCTGGTCTGGAACTCCTGGACTCAGGCGATCCTCCTGCCTCGGCCTGCCAAAGTGCTGGGATTACAGGCGTGAGCCACCACGCCGGGCCTTTCCCCGGGAATGCTGTGGTAGAGGGACCCGCAGAGGCCCCGAGGCTGCCTGCATGTGTGTGTTGGGAGGATCTGCGCTGAGGGTAGGTAGGAGTTGGGCAGGCCAGGACAGGAAGGAGGCAGAGGGCATGTCCCATGCCCGTGCAGAGGGAGGACACGCATGGTAGACCAGGACGAGGACAAGGGCAGGCTCAGTGTGTGCAAAGGGGACAGTGGTTTGGGATTTGCATGCAGATGCCCGAGCCTCCAAAGGACCTGTGGGCCACAGGGAGACCCTGGGGGAGTTCAAGCTGAGGAGTGGAGAGGGCTTTGGGCTGGTCAGCAGGTGCTCAGAGGAGAGGGGCTGGCCCTAGAGAGAAGGGAGGTCTTGGGATGGTGGCCCACACCTGACCCTGGCCCTTCATCAGGTGATTCCTGCGTGGATGCCTGCGGGGATTCCTGCGTGGATTGGGGAAGTCCTGCAGCATTACAGAATTGTTACCCAACGCCAGGGCCTTGGTCCAGAGTCCTGTTGCTAGATGCACAGAAAGCAAATCACTGAGATGTAAGTATTGCCAGGGAAGAAGGCTTTATTCAGGTGACATCAGCCAGAGAGACAGGAGACGAAACTCAGGTCCACCCCTGTCCCTCTTCCCGACTAAAGTTGTAGGTTGATATAGTCTAAAAAGAAAGCAGGAGCCAAGGAAGAGGAGGTGGCCCGCAGGCCGCAGGAGCAGCCTCTCATTGTCCAAATGTAGGTTTCTCAAGCATCCGGCTTGTTAGGAAATTGGGCCAGTTTCAGAATCATCAGCTTGTTCAAAAGTGGGACTTGGGAGGTGAGAAGGGTTGTCAGGCAGGAAACCCTGCATTCTGCTTTGGCTGAGTGGATGGGGCCCAGGAGGATGAGCAGCATGGGGAAGAGTATGACTCGTAGTGGGCACCATGAGGATAAAGAGTTACAAGCTCCTCTGGCATGGGCTGGAGGGAAGGGAGACCCTATCGCATAACCACAGCCCCACCTGCCTGGAGAGAAGAGGGAGGCGGCCCCGCTCCGTGCCACCCCACTGAGAAAGATAGGACACCTGGAGCTCCAGCTCAGCAATCCCTCAATCCCTCAATCCTTCATTTCATCCTTGCAACAGTCCCAGGAGGTTTTTTTTTTTTTTTTTTTTAAGGCAGAGCCTCCTTCTGTCACCCAGGCCGGAGTTCAGTGACGCAATCTCAGCTCACGGCAACCTCCACCTCCCGGGTTCAAGCGATTCTCCTGCCTTAGCCTCCTGAGTAGCTGGGATTACAGGCATGCGCCACCACGCCAGGCTAATTTTTGTATTTTTAGTAGAGACGGGGTTTCGCCATGTTAGCCAGGCTGATCTTGAACTCCTGATTTCAGGTGATCCGCCTGCCTCGGCCTCCCAAAGTGCTGGGATTACAGGTGTGAGCCGCCTCACCCAGCCAGGAGGTATCAATGGTTAATTCTCTCCACTGAACAAATGGAAAAACTGAGACTCAGAGAGGGCAGGAATGGCCTTGGATGCAGTGATTCCATGGTGTGGCCTGAGTCAGATGCCAGGGCCCCTCGGACGCCCGCTCCACAGGAGAGGGGTGACTCAGAGGTGCCGTGTCTGTCCTCTTCTCCTGAATATGGGTGGTTGGTGCGGGGGCAGGGGGTGAGTCACTGCACTGTTTCCCATGCCTCCCACCTCGGCTCTCATGGTTGGGAGCGGCTGAGGGAGGAGGCTGAGGCAGGGAGAGGGAAGACCCAGGAGGGAGGAGGCAGGCGCTGCTTTGAGGGGTGCCCTGGAGCCTTGGCAATCCTTTTCCTCCTCGGGCCCGGGAGCCCAGGCCCCGTCTCCACCAGCCGCAGGCGACAGCTGTCATGGTGGTCTACAGCCTGGGCCTGGGGAAGGGCTCAGAGCAGTGTGCAGCTGCAGCCTTGGGCCTCCATGGCCACCAGCAGCATCCTCAGGCGGCGCGGCGATTGCGGCGGGTAGCGGAGGGCGTTGAGCTTCTCCATCCCCGGGCTGCGCAGGAGGCAGGCGCGATGGTGGGAGAAGGTGTCGAAGGAGAACTTGCCATGGTACCGGCCCATCCCACTGGCACCTGTACAGTGGCACAGAACACAGGTGGTCAGGCGCTGGGGGTCTCCTAGTCACAGACAGTGGGGCCTAGGCGGGCTACTTCTCCCCTCTGAGCCTCAGTTTCCCCATCTGTCCAGTGGGCTGATCATGAGGCACTGTGTGTAAAGGGCTTGGCCCCGAGCTTGGCACCAGCTCAGTAAGCCCTGGGGATGCCAGATGCCAGGGCAAGATAGGCGGGTGGTGGTCAAGGGCATGGATTCCAGAGTCAGACTGCCGGGGGTTAAACTCTGGCCCTGCTGCAAACAATCCATGTCACCTTGGACTGTGCCTCAGTCTCCTCTGTCGTGGGGTGACAAGGGTACCTCCCTCCTAAGGTTGTGGTGGGGATTGAGGGGATGTTGAGACCCCTGGACCCAGTAGGTGCTATGTGCAGTGAACTCTCCTCAGCGTCTAGGTTGGGAGGCAGACGAGGCCCCAGGCCAGGGCGTTCAGAGCACAGCCTGGGTGGAGTGGGGTTGGCTGGGGGGCTTCCTGCAGTGAGTGAGCTCCAAGGATATGCAGTTAATAAGACGAAGAGAGTGGGTGGGGGCAAGAGGGACCCAGGCTTGGGGAGCCTTAGAGGTGGGTGCCATGCGGTGTGTTAGGGACCTGGGCAGAGCTCAGGCTGTGGGAGCAGCAGGTGGGGAAGCCGGGGTGGGGCCACGGCCACCAAGAAGGGTCAGCTCGGGGGCCTGGGAGCTGGGGGAGGCTTTCTTGAGGGAGCAGCAGGGTCAGATGTGCCCACAGACAGCCCCGACTCTCCTCCAGGGCAGGGAGGCGGGTTGAGGAGGCTGGGGCTGGGGCTGGGGAGGCAGCTAGGTGGGGTCGGGGGCAGCCGCCCAAACTCGAGCCGAGCCAGGACAGCAGCACAGGCACTGTTGTGCCCCTGGCTGCCCTCCAGGAAGGGCATGGACCCACCTGAGGCAGCTTGCCTGGCCCTGCCATCGTTCACTGTGGTGCTGAGTGTGGACAGGTGGCGGGACTGCCTGTCACCTGCTCGGGGCCTACTGTTCTCTGAGGAGGAAGTGGGCTCAGAAAGGGGAGATGTCACCTGGGCCACAGGGCCTTCAGCGTGTTGCTAGGACCATCTCTGAGGCTTCCTGACTCAGAGGCCAGGACTCTGCAGTGGCATCGGGGCTGCTCTGGGGGGTGGAGGATTGGCACTCATCCGGGCCTCTCAGGGTGGGGAGGTGTTGTACTGAGAGCTGGAGGGGGGATGGGGTTAGAGGAGCAGCTGCCCTGGAGTAAAGGACACCGGCGGCATTGCTGCTGAGGGGCAGACACCAGGTCATGCTGTTGGGGAGAAGAGCAAATAGCATCGCAGTGGGCAGTGTGATCATAGTTGTGTGGTATTTTTAAAAATTCACTAAATTGTGTGTCTGTGCAGAGATGGTCTAGAAGGTTCCACCACAGACTTTTTTTTGAGATGGGGTCTTACTGTGTTGCCCAGATTGGACTCAGACCCTCTGGGGTGGGGAGCAGGATGCGGGTTCTGGGGTGAGGCCTCCTTGCCTGTCCCTCTACATTGAGGTGGGGCTGGGGTGCTTTGGCAGAAATGTATGCAGGTAACACTATTGCAATTTGACCAAATGGTAACAGAAGGGCAGGGTAGCAGGCACCTACCCACTCCTCCAAAAGGCAGGCTGGCCAGGGTCATGTGCATGAAGCCGTCGTTCCCACAGAAGCCCCCGCTGCTGGTCTGGGTCAGCACCCGCTTGACCACCTGGGAGAGAACAGGATGTGCGTGAGGCTGCCTTGAGCCCCATCAGGATCCTCAGGACCCAGAGCCTGTTCCATGCTGGACTCTGTGACACTGATCTTGCCTCAGAAAGGGTCTGAGGCCACCATGTCAGCTGAAGGGCCTGTGATGGTACAGGTGGGGCAGGGGGTTGTGTAGCAGCTCCTCATGAAGCTTCCAACTTGGGACATGTTTCCTGGACATCTGCTCATGTGTGGTCCATGCTGATGGCACAGACTCTTAGGGCTGGGGGTAGGGGCAGGAAACCTAGTGTTGCTTGGGGACATGGAGGGTGTAGTGGCAGCAGGGCAGTACTGGACAGTAGGGAGGCATCCCAGGAGAGGGGTGTCATGTGCCTGCTGAGTGGAGGGACTGGGAGGGACAGAAGTTGTTCAGGCAAAGAGGGCACTGCAGACAGAGTGGAGGCTGAAGAGCTGTGTGGTGTGAACACAGGGACATGAAAACATAATGATGTGGTCAGATTTGCACTTTAGAAACAGAAGCTTGGCCCTTGCTTGAAGGTCCTTGAGAAGGACCTTCTTCCTCAATCTGTAGACTTATTTGAAGACTGAAAGGAAAAAAAGATTGGTAGACACTAAATAGTTGCTGCACAAAAACTTCAGTATATTTAGTTGCAATCACCGTGAACCTCTGATCACAGCTGGGTCAGGGCTTGTCTGATGTGGGGAAAGCGGACTGCCCCCAGTGGATTCAGACGTCACTTCATGGCATGAGACCAGCATTACCCACAATGGCAGTGGCAGCAGATGGAGGAGATGGAGCAGAAGGCAGCAGAGGGCGTCCCAGGTAGTACGGGCAAGCCACCTTGTGCATGACTTGTGTCTTAGGTGTGACTGTGTGTCCTGGGATCAGTTCTGGGTGGTCAGAAAAGTTTGAAGCCAGATGACTCCACTGTCAAAAAACCTCTGTAGAGTTTTCTAAAGGTGAAAGTATCCAGATGAAGCAGGGCTCCTTGAAGGAATGGCTGCTTCTGGAGTTGGAGCAGGGGAGATACAAGATGAGCCTGGAGCTGCTTGTAGCACCAGAGGGGAAGGAGGTGGTCACAACCCAAGAGGCTGGGACATCTTACATGGGCTTCTGAGCCCGAGCCTCAGACAAACCACACGACCTTGGATTACAGCCCCTGGAGTCAAATAAATATACCTGAGTCCGTAGTGACCTAAATAAACAATTCAAGAGATGAATCTTTCTTACAGAATTCCAGGAAATAGATGTAGATACTGCTGTTAGCCAAGAATACGGTATCCAGCTAAGACTATGCTTCGTAGATGAAGAAATAAAGCCTTTCCCAGACAAGCAAAGGCTGGGGGAATTTATCACTACTAGATCAGTCCTGCAAGAAATGCTCAAAGGAGTCTTAACATAAAAACAAGTTGGTATTTGCCATAATACACACAAAAGTACAAAACTCACAGGCCCTATAAAACAATCATACAAAGGAGGAAGAGAAAGGTATCAAATGGCAATACAACAAAATTCCACCAAACCACAAATGGAATAAGAAAAGAATGTATAAAATAACTAGATAATAACTAACAATATGATAGAGCAGCATACAGCTTAATTACCTCCACCTGGTGAGGGTGGGGTAGGCTTAGAGACTTGCTTCCAAATAATAAAGAAACAAACAATAGTAGCTTCCCAGGGAAACCCTGGCAGATACCGTCCTGACCCGGTAGTGAAGGTTCCACTCACTAGCCACGTGTGCATCTCAGGTGCCCCAGATGTGGTGTGAGAGGCAGGCTCACCTCTGTGGGATTCTCTCCTAAAACCAGTAACCTTTCTTTAATCATGAGAAATACACCAGATGACCTGAGGCTGGGGATGTTCTACAGGAGACCTGTCCAGCACTCCTTAAGCTGAGAGGGTTATTAATGCAAGGTGGGACCCTGGCTTGGATCCTGGGGCCGAAAGAGGATGTCAGTGGAAAAACAGCAAAATCCAAATAAAGTCTAGAGTGTAGTTAATAGTAAAGCACTGCTGTCACTTTTTTTTTTTTTTTATGGGTCAGGAGATCCTTCCACCTCAGCCTCCCGAGCAGCTGGCATTACAGGTGTGCGCCACTATGCGCAACTAATCTTAAAAAAATGTTTCATAGAGACGGGGTTTTGCTATATTGCCAGCGCTGGTCTCAAACTCATGAGCTCAAGCAATCCTCCCACCTTGGCCTCCCAAAGTGCTGAGATTACAGGTGTGAGCCACCGCGCCCAGCCCTGCCATCACTTTTTTAGTTTTGACCCATCTAAGCACCATTAAATGGGGGAAATTAGGTGTGGGGTACATGGGAACTCTCTGTACCATTTTGGCAACTTTTCTGTAAATCTAAAAGTATTTCCCAATACAAAGTTTATTTAAAAAAAGTTCAAGTGGCCGGGCACGGTGGCTCATCCCTGTAATCCCAGCACTTTGGGAGGCCGAGGCAGGTGGATCACCTGAGGTCAGCAGTTCAAGACTAGCCTGACCAATGTGGCAAAACCCCATCTCTACTAAAAATACAAAGAATTAGCCGGGCATAGTGGCACACGCCTGTAATCCCAGCTACACAGGAGGTTGAGGCAGGAGAATCGCTTGAACCCGGGAGGCAGAGGTTGCAGTGAGCCAAGACTGTGCTACTGCACTCCAGCCTGGGTGACAGAGTGAGACTCTGTCTCAAAAAAAAAAAAAAAAAAGTTCAAGTGGAGGGAATCGAGGAACTGGCTGAGGGCCGGGGAAGGGGGCGGGGTGGGTAGGGACTGCTGGTACCTCTTGGTGTTTTTTAATCTGAGGACTCTGGCCTTGGGCCTCCCAGGCTGCCTCTGCAGCTTAAGCAGGGGTAGGGGATCAGGGCTCATTCTTGGACCTGCACCTTTGGGTCATCCCCGACACGTTGCCTGTGCCTTCAGAGCCAGGCTTGAGGGGTCATGTGGCCACCAGGCCCCGATGTGTAAGAAGGACAAAGGCAGGGGCTGACCTAGAGGAAACACTGGACCCTAGAGAAGGCCCATACCCCAGGAAGCTGCCCACTGAAGGCCTAGGAGAGTGGGGCCCAGACTGGGGACAGGGTTGGGGTGGGTGAGGCTCAGCTGCTTCCAGGAGAGTGGGCAGAGACAGAGCCAAGAGGTCCACCATCCCAAAGTCCTGAAGCCACTGGATTTTGGTGCCCCCCCTGCTGCCACCACTTGTGCTGCCCACTGCGGGCTCCTGACCCTGCCCAGCCCGGCCGCACCCCCACCTGGCTGCTGTTGGAGAAGGCGTACAGGGCCAGGGGCTTCTCCCGCCGGTTGATGAACTCGATGGCCTCGTCCAAGCTCTGCACGTTCACGATGGGCAGGATGGGCCCGAAGATCTCCTCCTGCATCACAGGCTCCATCTCCTGCACATCCACCAGCACCGTGGGGGCTGCAGGCACCAGAGACAGCTCAGCCCTGGGGCCACAGTCAGGACCGCCCCCAGGGTGGGGGTAGAGGTGGGGACAGGGCCACAGGCCAGGGCTCTAGGCCAGGATCCCAAGGTCTGACTTCCCAAGGCTTCAGGCTTTGGAGTGTTTAGGGAAGAAAGTCTCCCCACAGCCCCCCAGAAGGGACTCTAGAGCTTCCCCAGCCTGCTCAGGGCCTGTGGGACACAGAGAATCCCCCGACCTTGGTCTCACAGTCAGGGGTGATGGGATCTTAGAACCCTTGGAGTTCATGAGGCAACAGCGTCCCAGAATGTTGGCGCCGCAGTGTCCCATGAGCTGCTGAGCCGTACGGCCCAGGAGACTGGGGGCTCAGGACGGGACTCTCGGAGTTTAGAACCTGGGGATTGTGGGCTCGGAGAATCTGAGGTTACAGCCTTTCAGGATAGCCAGTGGTGGGATGGGAGTTCATCTTAGCACGCTGAGCCCTGGAGCCCTGGGATCTGAGCTCAGCGAATCCAAGGTGAGGGACCAGAGTTTGGCCTCATAGGGCCACAGACTTAGAAGCACAGAGACGGAATCATGGCACTGGAGCTGTGGCTCAAGGCCGGGCTCTGGCAGTGGGGCCAGGTTTCAGGCGCGGGTCCAGAGTTGTGGCCCAGCCTTGGGCCCTCCAGTGAGGAGGGGTCTTGGCCCAGGTGGGCTGTGGTAGGGGCAGCAGGACTCACCGATGTAGCGATCGCTCTCATCGCTCTGGCCCCCAATGGCCACACGGCCGCAGCCCAGCAATGCCCGCAGCCGCTGGAACTGTTTCTGGTTGATGATGCGGCCCAGGTTTGGGGAGCTCTGGGGGTCGTCGCCATAGAAACGGGTGATGGTGCTCTGCAGGGCAGGCAGCAGCCTCTCCTGCATCTCAGGGCTGCATAGGACGTAGTCGGGGGCCACGCAGGTCTGGCCGGCGTTGAAGTAGCGGAACCAGGCCACGCGGTTGGCCACGGTCTGGGGGTCGCAGTTGTCGTCCACGTAGCAAGGGTTCTTGCCCCCCAGCTCCAGGGTGACAGGTGTCAGGTGCTTGGCGGCAGCAGTCATAACAATCTTGCCCACACGAGGGCTCCCTGGGCATGGAAGGAAACCAGAGTGGCCGTTCAGTGACCTGGACCAGGCGGGATGGCCCAGCCCACGGCCCCGCTCCTCCCTGGAGAGGTGGTGGAGTCAGCGGGCAGCAGCCCTCGCCTGGCCTTTCCTTGTTCCTCACTGCCACCCTGCAGCCCAGGGCCCTGCTCATCCTTCATCAGGACCAGCCCCTAAGCACAGAGTCTCAGGAGGGAATGGTGCACGGCTGCTATCGGCCCCCAGGGTCCCCCTGCTGAGCCAAACCCCTTGGCTCCTCCCGCCTCTGCTTGTGACCCTGGCTGACCCTGCAGGGGACTCTTTGCAAAATGCTGCATGGAACCCCTCCCCACCCATCTCCTTTGGAAACTTCGGGGATCCCTTATCACCCAAGGATGGAGTCCAGCTCTGTCTACGGCATTCAGGTCTCTCTTCTCTAAACCTAAACCTGGAAGTTCTGCCACCTGCCCAGCCCTTTTTTTCTGACCCTTGAGGTGGACTGTCCCAGGCTGATGCAGGCGTCCCCATGTCCTGCCTGGCTTGGCCTCACCTCTCCTCTGTGCTGGCCTCCAGGGGCCCAGCAGTCTCCGCATGCACACAGCCTTCTCTGCCCTAGCCCTGTCTGGGCCTCAAGGCCTCCTCTCCAGACCTGACTCGGGGACCACGCTGCTGCGTCTGTGGGGATGGCCCTGGCATTTCTCCCCCTTGTGGTCAAGGATTAAAGCCGGCAGGAGCCACTGTGCCTTCTCTACTCTCACCCCTGCCCCATCCTGGCACAGTGCTTCCTGGGCTCTGTGGTTCCTTCCAGGGCTCCTTTGCCTTTGCTGGGAGGCGGCCAGGTCAATCCTGCCAGGCCCTTCCCCACGACTGCCTCGACCTGTAAGGCGCAGACTCGCCTGCCAGCACCACTGTCTTCCTCTCGCTCCCTCTGCCCCTCCCTAGCTCAAAAACTCGAAGCCGGGTGTGGTGGCTCATGCCTGTGATCCCTGCACTTTAGGAGACCAAGGCAGGAGGACTGGTTGAGGCCAAGAGTTCGAGACCAGCCTGAGCAACAGAGTGAGACCCTGTCTTTACTAAAAATACAAAAAATTAGCCGGGCGTGGTGGTACATGCCTGTCACCCCAGCTACTTGGGAAGCTGAGGCATGAGCATCACTTGAACCCAGGAGGCGCAGAGGTTGCAGTGAGCCAAGATTGTGCCAAGATTGTGCCACTGCCTGGGTGACAGAGCAAGACTCTGTCTCAAAAAAAAAGAAAAAAAAAGTGACCTCTGGCGTGGATTTCTCCAAGGGCTTGTGTGCACATTCCAGCCTGTCCCCATCCTGGCCAGCAGGGTGACCCTGGGCAGGACACTGAGGCCCAGTCCCTCATCTGCCTGCAGAGAGGGCTGTGGGCACCAGTAGGGTGGTGTCTAAGAGCCTGGGGGGCAGCAGGGTCACGTATGAGGGTCTGGGGACAGTGGGGGCAGAGGCTATGGTTCCTGACGCTGTGGTTGGCACAGTGGGCTGGCCCTGGACATGGGACTCCATCCCTTCCTAAGGGGTCCTGGGGGTCCAGGACTGCTCCCAGCCTGGTCCAGAGAGAGAGAGAGAGGAGAATTCAGTCTCCCTGTGGACTCCCAGAGTTAGGGACAGGACCCCTGAGCAGCTGTCCTCCCCGACCCCAGCCTGTCCCGACCCTCGTCCCGGCCTCACCTGTGAAGAAGATGTAGTCGAACCTGTGCTCTAGCAGCTGCCCCGTCTCCTGGGGCCCGCCCAGCACCACAGCAAAGCAGCTCTGCAAGGCGGGATGGGTGAGGCTCCTTCTGGGACCCCAGCTCCGAGAACACAAGGGAGCAGCCCGCCCTGCCTGGACCCTGCCCTGCCTCCACCCCGCCTGGCCTGACCCAGCCAGGGCTCTAGGAGGGTTGGGTGGAGGCAAAGTGGGGAGAAGGGAGCTCCCCAAGGTTGGCTGGCATTGGCAGGCCCAGCTTGGAGTCCAGCTGGCGCTGGAGGGGCTGATGCCAGGGCCAGGTGGAGGCAGACACGGAACCCCTGGGCAACAGGCTGCCCTCGCTGCTCCTCAGAGGGAAACTGAGGCTGACAGGGGCGGTGACTTGGTCAAGTTTACACAACTCAGAAGAGGCAGGATTGAGGTGGGGACTCGGGTCTGACTGACAGGCCCTTCCATGCCAGGGGCTGCCCAGCCCTTGAGCCTTGCCTGTTCCCGCTCTACCTGCCCGGCAGCCCTGCTCACCTGGTCCACGTATTGGGGCAGCACCTCGGCCAGGATCTTCTCGACGTTCTTGCTAATCTCCGATGGCTTCAGCACCACACAGTTCCCTGCAGGGCAGTGCAGGGAGAGAGCTGGAGGAGGCGTAGCCAGCTCCTGGTCTCCACACACCTGCAGGGCAGGCATCAGCCTCACCCACTTTCAGATGCAGAACCTGGTTCAGAGAGGTAACATGACGGGCCCAGGGCCACACAGCCCGGGGACGGTGGACCAGACAGTCCTCTTTGCCACCTGGGCCAGTTCTCCCATGTCCTCCTGGGATCCATGGGTGGCCCTGAGGCCTCGAGCGGAGAAGGGTGACCGGAAGGGGCAGGCCCAGCTCTCACCTGCAGCGAGGGCTCCCACGAGGGGCACCAGCGTCAGGTTCAGCGGATAGTTCCAGGGCGCAATGATGAGGACCAGGCCAAAGGGCTCCTTCCGGATGAAGGCGGAGTCCAGCTGCGTGGCCTGGGCCGGGAGCCGGGGATGAAATTAAGTGCTCAGCACCCCGGCCCCTCAGCAGCCAGCTCCCACCCAGAGGGGCCACCCTGTGGGAGCAAATATCCCCTGAGCCCCCTGCCCGCCTCAGCCCGGCCGGCTCACCAGGTTCTTGGGCACACGCTCGTCCTTCATCCAGGCCCGGAGGTTCCTGAGGGCCAGGGTGACCTCGCCCTGGCTGATGGCAACCTCAGACACCTCCGACTCGAAGGCTGACTGCAGGAAGTGGGTGGGGTCAGGGTGGGCCAGGATTCCCAGAGTTGGCAGGAGGGCACAGCCTCCTCCAGGCAGGGCCTGCTTCCACAACTCATTCATTCATTTTCATTCATTCGTTCACTCACTCACTCCATGTTCAGTGCGTGCTTCCTGTGTGAGGTGCTGTCTCTGTGCCAAACAGAGGGACCGGCCCTGAGGCCGACCTTGCAGGGGGCAGTCGTTCCATGTGAAAGTGAGAACGCTGACGGCTCCATTAGGACGTGGCTGTGCTAGGGAAATCATGGAGCAGGGTGGGGGTGGAGACTGCTGGAGCGTGTGGCTGTGGGCGTGCACAGGTGTGCACATGTATACATCCACATGAGCATGTGTGTGTGTGCTGTTTTTACAAAGCGGTCAGTGCAGGTCTCCAGGCGGCGGTCACATTGGAGCAGTGACCTGAAGTCAAGGAACAAGCAAGTCGTGGGTACTGGGAGGCGGCATACTTTGGGCAGAGGCCCTGGCGGCTGCAAAGGCCCCGAGGTGGCTGTGCGCTTGCTCTGCTCCTGTTTAGCAAGAAGCAGAGTGGGCAAGGTGAGGGGGCCAGGCAGCCAGGCAAGGACTCCTGAGAAGAGCAGGGATGGGATCTGACTTAGGGTTTTGTTTTTTTTTAATTTCAAAAAAAGTTTGTTTTGATTTTTTGCAGAGTGCCTTGCTGTGTTGCCTAGGTAGGTCTTGAACTCCTGGCCTCAAACAATCCTCCCACCTCAGTCTCCCAAAGAGCAGGGTGGAGATTGGTCCACAGGAGACACAGGCACAGCCACCCCTAGGTAAATGCTGTCAGTTCCCACAGCCCAGGGGCCAGGGCCACTGTCAGGCTTCTAAGCAGGAGTGAGGAGACCCGAATCAATAGGGACATTGTCCTGCTCTCGGCTAGCCAGTGCTCCCTGCCCTCTGCGCCCCAAGGGAGGAGAGACCAGCCAGGCAGCAGGCTGCAGGCCGCTGGAGAACAGGTCAGGGACACTGGGGCCAGGCTGGCTCCCTGGCTGAGGCAGCGCCTGAGGTTATGGGGTGCAGGCTCTCCCGGGTCAGGGCAGAGGGGGACGGGCCAGTGGGGTGCTGGATGGGCCAGAGGACCAGCGAAGCCCAGAGAAGGAGATGCCCTGCCTGAGGTCACTCAGCGAACCAGGGGCAAGGCCAGGGCTACAGCTGAGCCCCAAGAGGGAGGAAGACGCCACGCCCACTGGCACCTCCTAGCCACTGAGGCTGGGGGAAGGTGCCTTCCACACGGACTTTCCCACAGCCTGTGCTCTGGCCCCATGAGCCTGGTGGCCTGCCCGCCACACCTCCTAGGTCACCTGGGACCTGACTTTGGGAGACTGGGCTATTTTGAGCCAGGTTCAAACTCTGGCTCTGCTCTTCCTGGCTGCATGCCCTTGGGCAAGAACACACTCTCTCTGAGCCTCTTCTGGGGGCCACTGGGTGTGGTTGCCCAACCAGATTCACCAAAGGGTTAACTGAGAGGGTGCACGTGACGCTGGGCAGATGCTGCCTGCTGAGGGTGGGGACAGGGGGGTGACCAGGTCCAGAGGGAGGGACCAGGTTGAATGTTCTGGGCTACTGCTGCCTTTGTAGGGCCCCGCTCCTGCAGCTGGGATGGGAAGGCAGGAGGTGGAATCAGAGCCGAAGGGAGAAAAGGGACCAGACAGACGTCAGGTCAAGTCTCATGAAGGCCGGCAGGCGGCCGGTGGCAGAAGCTCAGTGGTGGCGGGGGAGTCAGTCCCCAGGGAGCCCAATGGGCTGGGGGAAGGTCTGAACACTACAGCCTTCAAGGCAAAGGGAGGAGATATTTTGTCCAGAGAATAGGAGCCGGGGGCAGCCCCTGGGGCAGATGTGCTGAGGCAGGGGCAGGTGGTGTCCTGAGGCAGGGGCAGGTGTCCTGAGGCAGGGGCAGGCAGGTGCATGGGCCCTGATGGGTGAGGGGTTGGGGGAAGTGTGTTTCTTGGGGTTCTGCCTTGGCTGCCACTGGGATTGGGAGGGGCTGAGGCCCCAAGCCTTCAGGGTCTAGACAGAGGCCATGATGCCTGCTGTACCCAGAGAGAAGGCCAAGGCCTCACGGCCTCCGAGGCCCTACATAGTGTGGCCCATACCCCAGACCTCATCTTTGCTGTTTCTTCCTCTCCCACCCCCGACAGCTATGCTGGCCTCCTTGCTGCTCCTCAAGCAGAAACACCCAGCACCTCCTGCCTCAGGGCCTTTGCACGTGCTGTGCCCGCTGCCATCTCCCCAGCATCCATGGGGAGCCTCCCCTCCATCTTCACGTCTCTGCTCTAAAGCCCCCTTCTCAGAGAAACCTTCCCTGACCCCCACATATACAACAGCACCCTGATCCTGGCCCCCTCTCTCCCCTTCACCCTGGGTGTGTCTCCAGGGCACATATTTCAACCCAATATGCTGTGTAATTATTATCTTTATTATTATTTTTGAGATGGAGTCTCACTGTGTTGCCCAAGCTGGAGTGCAGTGGTGTGACCTTGGCTCACTGCAACCTCCACCTCCCAGGTTCAAGCGATTCTCATGCCTCAGCCTCCTGAGTAGCTGGGATTACAGGTGCCCACCACCACATCCAGCTAATTTTTGTATTGTTAGTAGAGACGGGGTTTCGCCATGTTGGCCAGGATGGTCTTGAACTCCTGGCCTCAAGCGATCCGCCCACCTCGGCCTCCCAAAGTGCTGGGACTACAGGTGTGAGCCACCATGCCCGGCCTTGCTGTGCAATTATTTATTTGCTGTTTTATTGTCTCCGATAGAAGGTCATCTTCGTAGGCATGGGAACTGTGTTTTATTCTCTGCTATATCCCCAGAGCCTAGAACAGTACCTGGCACATAGTAGGTGCTCAGCAAATAGTTGCTGCATGAATACAGAAATAAGTGACTGGATGAATGTGCAAGGGTGGCTCTGGCCTAGGGGAGGAGCTGCTTTTAGCCCCGCTTCATGGAGGGCGCAGGTGTCTTCATCCCCTGCTGTCCCAGCTGCCCTCCATGCCCCCCTGCCCCAGTGCACCCTCTCATACCCCCAACCCCAGCCCACCTTGTGCAGGTCCTGGGCCAGTGCGTCGTGCAGAAGCTGCTTGTTTTCTTGCAGGAAGCGGCCCAGGCCTTGGAGCTGCGCAGCCCGGAACTCAGCTGGCCGCGTGCGCCCCGCGTGGAAGGCCTCCCGCAGTCGCCGCAGCGTGTCCCCAAGGGGGTCCATCCTGCCAGATGGGGTGGCATGAACTGGGTGGCCAGGGCTGCCCCTCCTTCATGGGCACCACCCAGCCGCCCCAGGGTCTGGGCACCCCTGACCTGCCTGCACCCACAGGGGCTTGCAGACACCTCTACCTTATACACACACAGGGACCCACTCAGATGACCCCACAGGGACTGAGGCTGCCTGCAACCCCTTTCACCCAACAGTGAGCACTCCCAGACACACATGAAGACCCTCGCACCACTCCCCTCTGCCATGGACCTGGAGGCGGCTGCAGGACTGGGTGTG
The DNA here is from genome assembly GCF_000001405.40 of Homo sapiens. Taxonomy (NCBI): domain Eukaryota; kingdom Metazoa; phylum Chordata; class Mammalia; order Primates; family Hominidae; genus Homo; species Homo sapiens. The sequence continues at coordinate 68,015,012 of NC_000011.10, read as the reverse complement.
GGCTTGGGGACAGCTGCTCCACCACAGCCCCCGAGGGTGAGCAGGCAGGCAGAGCGCCATGCTTCTTCCTGCCGCACAGAAATTAACCCCAAGCCATGGCCTCTGCCCTGCCCTGATGCCCCTCCTGGAGGCGGGGCAGCCTCACCCCTGCCAGTCTGAATGGTGTAAGCAGGAGCTTGATGAGTAGAGGGGGTGACTCACTGCCACCATGGCCACCACCTTGGAGCACTCCAGACACAGAATTCTCCGTCTTCCTCTGTCCCCAGCCTGGGGGCACTGCCCAGGGAGGCCAGGCCAGTGGGCAATAGCCTCTTCTCCCTGTGCCTCAGCTTCCTCAGGAAGAGGGGGAGAACACCTCGGGCCTCCTGGAGGCCCTGCTGCCCACCCTGCCGGGGCTGTGGTGCTGGGAGGCAGAAACAGCTGTGGGGGAGAGGATCAGGGCGGGGGAGAGGGCGTTCCTGCCTCCGTGCTGGTGCCAGCCAGAGCTGGCAGGCAGGGTAGGGGCCTAGACATTCCCCCGAGCCCTGCCTGTTTACTTGAAGTTCATCGGAGGAGCACTCTGACGCACTCGTTCCTCGGCCTGGTGCCAAGGACCCGTGGTGACCCTTTCCTCCTTCCCTCTCCGAGTCCCTTTCCTCCAGATCTCAGCTTGGCTGATGCTTCCTCCAGGCAGCCCACCCAGATTATGCCCTCATCCACTGTCACAGTGGCCCCTTGACTCTGCTCCCCAGCGTTCTGAGTTGTGCCATGTGATAAATGTCTGGTTACACTCTACCCACCTCCCAACCCTGTCCACATCTCCCTTATTTCCCCCTCATTAGACTGGGAGGCAGGCCCCTCTGTGCCTACTTATTTGAGACCTAGTGCTTGAAGCCTCTCATGTTACCGGTGTAATGATGGCACCTGCCAGCTAATGATGAGACCACACAGTCGGTTCTGAGCCCAGGGCCCAGCATCGGTGAGCGCAAGGCTGTGGGTGATTGTTAAGTGGCCACCTTGAGGGCGGGACCTGCTCCGGTCTGCAGGATGGCCCTGCTGGACCAGTGTGCTACTGAGAGCCTGGTCAGGAGCCCCAGGCCAGCCCTCAGCTGGAGTGATTGTGGGGCCAGGCTGAACCCACCATCTTCCTGCTCTGATTGGGAGAAGCTGGGCAGTGGCCCGCACACAGGACAGGCACCATGGTCCCCATAGGGGATGGCTCGTCACGGGAGCAGGACTGAGACCCAGGAGCCAAGAACGAGCCTCTCGAGCCACCATCAGGCCTGTCTCCGGGCTCTGCCTCTTACTGGTTGTGGGACCTTGGGCAAATCACTCACCTTCTCTGCCTCGGTTTCCTCATCTGTGAAATGGGGATGCTAATGGCACCTGGTGTCATTGTGAGGATTAAATGACATCACGCTGCATAAAACATTTGCTGTTGTGCCCACAGAAAGTACTCGACAAAGGTCAGCTCTGGGTGTTTTGCTAAGTAGCCTGCAAATATTTATCTCCCTCAACTCCGCACTCTCCTGGGTCCTTCTCCATTCTACTCTCACCTTCAGACTTCTGCCAGTGGTCAAAGGCAAACCACGCCTGTGCCTCTCTCACCCTTTGTAAGAATCTCTGCAGAAACCACAAAAATGCAAGGCACGTAACGTGAATGGTGGACTGTGGGCCGGGAGCTCTGTGGGGGATGGAGTTCTGCAGGGAACATTCCAGCAACCCTCCTAGCAACGCTGAAACCAACTCACCAGGGCCACAGGACACATCTCTCCCACAGGGCAACCAGCCCTGGCATTGCCCCTACGGGTCACTCACTCTGGACTGAGGCCCCCAGGGAGTGCCCAGGGCAGGACCCTGGCAAGCGGAGAAGCCAAGGCCGCCTTCTGCCTGAGATTGGGGGGATCCTGGGCCTGTTATCTCCCGAGGGTGCTGGGCAGCCATTGTGGACACACAGAATAGGGAACTCCTGAATCAGGCACTGGGCTGGGGTCCCCCAAGCCCACCCCCGCGGCACTCATCCCACAGTGTGAGGTTGTAAGGAGTGTGATCCCCATGCCTGCCCTCGCTCATTTCACCACCACGGCCGCCCACTGAGGGACCACTATTCACCCCACTGAAGGAGATGGAGGCTGAGGCTCAGAGAGGGCCAGAGCTTGCCTGATACCACCCAGCTCCTCACATTGGAAAACCCAAATCCAGAAGAGCAGAAGGCTATCCACCTCAGCTCCCACCTCCCTCACAGTCCCCTGGGGATGGGCAGCCAAGTCCTTGGGGGAAGGGACACTGGGCTGGGGCCTGGACGGCAGACCCAAGGCTGGGTGGACTCCGGTAGGCCAGCTGTGGGAGGGGTGACCGGTGAGGGGAGGTCTCTTGCTGTTTGGATTCCATTTCCTCGGCCTCCCTCCTCACTATTGCTGCCACTCCCCACACTGCTTAGGTTGTGGGGTCTGAGACTGCCTCTTGCCTCCTGCGGCTGAGCCACTGAGGTCCAGGGGCTGATGGGCCCAAGGGTCTCTGGGGCGTGGCCCCCCATCACAGGTTGAGGTGCATTTGGCCCAGACCTGCAGCTTCTGGGGTGGGGGGGAGTTGCCACATCATTTGGTGATGAAGATAGCGGCTGTTTCCTCTGGCCTGGGGGCCAGGGCAGGACCAGCCACTTCCTCTCAAGGCCACGGGCCTCTAAAAACAATACTCAGGTGCCCATGTGCTGGGCACTATGCCAGCCTGGGTGCTCGCTGTGGGTGCCCACAGGCTCCGGGAACAGAGTGGGGAGGAACGGGGCTGACATATCACAGGGAGTGAATGGCTGGCCGAGCCGCTGCCCCCAACCTCACAGCAGGGACCGTCCCTGGGCAGGGACTCCCTGCTCGTTCACACCCTGGCCTATCAAGTGGGTTGGATTCCAGGGAAACGGAGGCTCTGCCCGTTCTCTCATTCTTCCTGCCTCAGTTTCCTCATCTACACCATGGGCCTTCTAAGAGCATCCTCCCAGCATGGCATGGTCTGGGGGCCCAATGACCTGGGTTTAAACTGCAGCAACCACATGTGTGAGTGGGGAGACCTTGGGCAGGTTGCTTGACCTCTTTGTATTCACGTTTCCCATCTGTAAAATTGGGCACTGCCTGTGGCACCCATACCACTGTCGGGAGAATTCAAGCACTGGGACCCCGGGAAGTGCTCAGTATCCATGGAGGACGGATGTACCAGAGGAGGGCTCAGGGAGGAGACCCCTGGGGCAGGGGCCTGAAGGGGCCTTGATCCAAGGTGGGTGTTGGGGAGACAAGGACATCACCCTGAGACCCAACTGAGGACAGGGATGTGGTGACAGAGGGACTGAACATGGTGGGTAGAGGGCCTGGGGGACCCCCATCAGGGCAGCCAGAAGGCGGGGATCACTAGGCCAACTTCAGGGGACCCACAGGCCCAATACCGCAGGGTCTCCGATTCTGATCTCCTGCAGTGTAGCTTCATTAAACAAACATGATGAGAGGCTGTGATTTTGAACTGAGCTCCTGTACTAGGCCCCAACAGACCAGACCAAACCAAAATGGAGGCACTCATGCCAAATGCCACATCATCAAACCGAAGCTTTAAGGAAGCAGACAGAGCCCAAAACCACAGACCAGTTTCTCCGGGAAGCAGGAGATTCCAGTCCACCTGAGCCGGCATCATCAGGTCCCCTCTGCCTTACCCCTTAGAAAAAAGCAGTCCGCTTAGAAAAAAGCAGTCTGCAGCGATCCGGTATTAGGCGGTTTGGTGTTTCCTATTTTTCTGTTTCCTCCTTTCTGCCTTATGAACCCCCTGCTCTGCCACTGCCTGGTGGGAGCTCTCACTCCATTTTGTAGAATGGAGGCTGTCCGGATTCACGAATCATGAATAGAAGCCAATTTGATCTATAACTAAATGTGTTGTCATTTTGTCTTTTGATGGCCTTAAGCTGGATTTTCATGAGGCCTCCCAAAGCTCAGCAGCCCCTCCCTTGGGGAGCCAGGGACCAGCGTATCCCCTCATTGGTGGCTCGGGCCAACCCAGCCCCGGGTCACAAAGAGGCTGAACAGCCTCGGCTCCCTGATGGGGCACAGTTCCCGGGATGAGAAGTGCCTCCTGCAGGCGGGGCGGGGCTGGCTGGCCACTCCTTTCTTGGACCCTGACAAAGTCCATTGCTAAGAATGATTCTTTCCCAGAGTCATTCATGGCCACATCCCTGCATCAGCACTGGGCATGCAGGCTGGTGCCCAGGAAACGGCTGTTGCTGGAAGGGATACTTGACCCCTGTGGGGAAGGGGCGCACAGTCCTTCCTGGGGCAGCTGGACCCAGAGCTGTTCCCTTGGTTCCCTTGGAGGGTGTCCGGGAATCCCAGGAAAAGGAGGCGGTGGCAACCCAGCTCGGACAACGGAAGGGTGCCTGCTGGCCAGGGGGGTGCCCGGGACCTCGCTGCCACTCCCCAGATCTGCCTCTCCTCCTTCCGCTTTCTCCCCCAGCAGGCAGGCAGATGAGCTCAGCCAGGACACAGTGGCCTCTGAGTGCAGCTGCCGGTGGCTAGGCCCGCCTGGGCTGCCTGTAACCCGGAGTTGCTGAGCTGGACTCTGGCCCGACTGCTGGCCCACTACAGCCCCAGCCTCCCCGGGATACTCTACCTGAGGCTCTGCCAAGCTGCCCTTCCTCCTGGCTGTCCCGCTCTGCCTGGTGGCCCTGCTGTTAAGAAATGTCCAACGCAGGGCCAGTCCCCGGGGGAGGGGTGGGGCGGAGTTGCCCTAGCCTCGTGCCTGACTCTGGCTCTGGGCGGGCTGGAGGCTGCAAGCCAAGATTTCACCACCGCCTCCCTCGGGGGCCTCGACATCTCCTCCCAGACCACAGAGAAGAAGTCAACGCCCAGAGGGCGCCAGGCTAGAGCCACACAGCAGGGCTGAGCTCCGAGCTGAGGGGCAGCCTGAGGAGGAGGAGGAGAGGCTGTGCAGCAGGGCTGAGCACTGAGCTGAGGGCCAGCCTGAGGAGGAGGAGTGGGGCAGTGGGCCCTGGGAATCCCGGTGTGGGGTGGGGAACTATTATTGTATTAATTATATTCTATTATAATATTATGTGGAATGTTATGGCCCAGAATAGCAAGGAAGTCTCGACCCCCCACTCCCAGCCTTCCCTCAATGCCTCCCCTAAGGAATAAGACCACTACTACTCCTGCTGCCCTCCTCCTACCACCTTGCCTGGTTTACAAGACAGGAGGAAAGAGAGAAGGCAAAAAGTTAGAAAAAAACAGAAGTAAGAGAAATAGCCAGAAGACCTTGGCGCCACCACCTGGCCCTGGTAGTTAAAAAAAAGTGATAATAATATCAACCCCTGACCTAAACTACTTGTGTTATCTGTAAATTCCAGACATTGTATGAGAAAGCACTGCAAAACTTTCTGTTCTGTTAGCTGACGCATGCAGCCCCCGGTCACGTTCCCCGAGCTTGCTCGATTTATCACGACCCTTTCACGTGGACCCCTTAAAGTTGTAAGCCTTTAAAAAGGCCAAGAATGTCTTTTTCAGGGAGCTCGGCTCTTGACGCAAGTCTGCTGATGCTCCCAGCTGAATAAACCTCTTCCTTCTTTAATCCAGTGTCTGAGGTGTTTTGTCTGTGGCTTGTCTTGCTACACCCTACCCAAGACTCAGTTTCCCCTTCTGCAAAACAAAGAGGTCAGACCCAAAGGTGGCTGGAGTCTAGAAATACCATCTTAGGGACCATACCTCATGCCTGCTCCTCTCCCAGCGCCCTGTGCTTCCGTGTTCCTCCACACCACCCCATGGGCCGCCCCATTCATAGAGCCTGTCTTTCTGCAGATCTAACATTTTACAAACGAGGAAGTGGGGGCAGAGAGGGGGTGGGATGTGAACATGGGGCGTGTGTGTGGCAGAGCTTCTTGCTCCAGAGCTGGGGCTGCACCCGTTTCGGATGTCCCCTCTGCCTCCCAGGAGGAGTGCCTGCCTCTCTGCTTAGGACCGTGGTCATGATGCCACGTGTCGCCTTGGTGGTTCCTGTAGTCCCGATCTTCCTCAAGTTCGGCACAGGCAGCTGTGCCTAAGCCTGTCCCTGCCTGCCCCCAGCCCGCCCCGGATACACCTGTCAGAGCCAGCGTGCTGTGGGGATGATGTGCAAGCTGCTGTGGGTGTGGACAGGCAGGGGACAGGGTGACAGGTGTGGAGGAAGAGCCTCCTCTATGCCCCTTCCTGGGCCTGCCGCTGCTACCATCTCCCTGGTGCCCTGGGCCTCCGTAGCTCCCGGCCCCGGGGCCTCTGGGCCAACGTGGCACCTGGGAGGTGCTCATCATGGCCCCCCCCACCCGCCAGCTCCCTGCCTACCTGGGAGGGCGGTGAGGTCTTCTGGACCATGCCCACACCGGTGGCCCGTGATTAGATAGTTAGGGTGGGGGTGAAGGACTGCAGAGCCCCTGTCCTCTGTGTGGGATGGAGCCCCCAGCCACTGCCAGTCACGTGGCTCAGCATGTGACAGCCCAGCCCTGCCATTCTCTGGAGCTCAGCCAGATTGAGCGGGTGCCAGGCAGGGCTGGGCAGGGGCTGAGCCTGTAGGTCTCAGCTGGGAGTGAGGCCCAGAGAGGGCAGCCACTGGTCTAAGGCCACACAGCAAATCAGGGACCCATCTTGGCGGGTACTGGCAGGTGGGAGGGGTGTTTCAGGATCCCGAGGGTCCCCTCCCTGGCCAGGGAGCTGTTGAAGAATTTCCCCCAACTCACAGGGGCCGAACTTGTCATGAATGCAGGAGCAACCTGGGAGGAGGCCCCCGAAGAGGCCTGTCCTCCCGGGACAGAACTCCTAGCCTTCCCTGGGAGTGAGGCTCCCCCCAAGGGAGGCCACACACCTCCCAGGAGGGCTGGGCCCTCCCCACTCTGGGTTGGGTGCCCCTCACTACTCCTCAAAGCTCCAGAGGCTCAGTAGGGCCTGGGAGTCCCATCTTTGTTGAGGAGCCCAGGGTAAATGGGGAGCCCTCTGGGTAGGGCACCAGGAGGACTCACTTTTGGAGCCAGCTCTGGGGTGAGGTCTGCCAAGGCCCAGGCCAGCCAGGGGGAGTGGGTGGAGGGGTTGCTCAGGGCTCCGGGCCAGACAGCTGCGGCCCCGCCTGCCCTGCCTCCTCCTTGCTGGGCTGACGCTTCGCCTCTTTGGGCCTCAGTGTTCCCATGTGAGAATGGGGCTGACTACAGTCCCGGGGGCATCTGTGGGTGAATGAGAGGGTTCGGCAGGCATGGATCTCAGCACCTGGCATGGAGGGCGTTAAGTGTGAGGTCTGGGCTCAAATCCTGGTCCTGTCACTTACCTGTGTGACCTAGGTTAGTGTCTTAACCCCCCGTGCCTCTGCCTTCCCATCTGTAAAATGGGACATAAGTGATTGTGAGGCTGAAACAAGTTATTCCATGCACGTGGGCCCGGAACTGTGACCATTCCAAGTGCCCGGCCCCCTCTGGAAGGGTCTGAGAGCTACCTTCCAGACTCTAGGACAGGAGTGTGGGCAGGGCATGAGCATGGCATCAGGTGGAATCATTCATCCATTCATAATTCATTCATTCATTCCCTCACTTCTCAGAAACACGCCCCTGAGCCTGGCTCACAGGGCCTCAGACCTGCCCAAGAGCATCTCACTGCCTCATCTGCCCACGAGTGACCTTGAAAAGAAACGTCCCCTCACTGGGCCTCAGTTTCCCCAGCTGTAAAATGGGGGCTGACTCTGCCTGCCTCACATGGCTACTGCGAGGGTGAAACGAGAGCCGACCTGAAGGCACCGACAGGGCACCTGGTTCTCAGTAGGCGCTCAGAGCATGTGAATGTCCTCCTGCCCCTCTCCTTGCCCTCCTGAGGAAGTGGCTGCCCCAGGCCTTGGCCCTGAGGCCCTGGCCCTGCCTCCCACCCCCTCCCTGGCAGTCTTGAAGGCTGGACCCACCCTGGCTCCTTGAAGAGGCAAAGTTAGAGGCTGTAGGGGCCCAGGGCCCAGGACACAGTCAGAACTCACGGGCAACGGTGAATGCGGGTCACTTGTTCATTTACGCACTCAACAAACCTTTACTGAGCACCTACTGTGTGCAGACACTTCACACAATTTTCACAATTCCCAGACATTATTGACCATGCTTTCCAGCTGGGCCACACAGTGACAAGGACTCATGGGGATCCACAACCAGCCTGGCCTGGCTCCCCGGCCCACGGTGCTTCCAAGGTGCCTGGAGCCCTCGCACAGGAATGGGCTGGAGTCTTCAGCTCTGGGTGAGCCCTTTGCCACCAACTCTCAGGAGCCTCAAGTCTCAGTGGAAAGCAGCAGCCACCTGGGCATTTGCTGTGCCAGGCACTGGGCAGAGCCTTTGGCACACCCCAACCTGGGGACCTCCCACCATCCTGTGAGCCAGACTCAGTGATCATCATCCCCATTGGCTTTAATGTTTAAAATATTGTGGAATCACATCCATGCCAGGGAAGTGGTGTGAAGGGAATCACGTGGGCTGCCCAGCACGCTCCTGTGTCAGTGCAATGCGGGGCAACAATATTCCAAGAGGTTGTTTCAGGGAGTTCCAGTTGAGAGCAATATTTATTCTCTTCTGCTTGCTTTTCTGCAAGGAACATCGATTATTTTCATAATGAGAACTGAAAGTAAAGGCTTATTATAGAGAAAAGCATTGGCAAACAGTGAGCACGGGGGGATCTGGCCACCCCTTCCTGGGGATGTGACTGTGCACTGTTGCAACCTGGATGGGTTGGTGGAGGTGCTGGCCCTGCTCAGATCTCTGTCCCGCAGGTCACCCTGGTGTGTTTATCTGGGCCACCCTATCAGCCTCTTAGATAGTCTCCAGGCTCCCCAAGAGCAGCTCCATAAACCACCTAAAAAAAAAAATCCTTTCTGGAGAGAGGAGGTGTATCAGTCAGGGTTTAGTGCCTCCAGGGCTGTTTTTTGTTTTTTTTGTTTTTTGTTTGTTTGTTTGTTTGAGAGGTCTCACTCTGTCACCCACGCTGGAATGCAGTGGCACAATCTCAGCTCACTGCAGCCTCATCCTCCTGGGCTCAAGCAATTCTCCCACCTCAGCCTCCTGAGTAGCTGGGGCTACAGGTGTCCACCATCACACCAGGCTAGTTTTTGTATTTTTTGTAGAGATGGGTTGGGGGGGGGGGTTTGTCTCACTTTGTTGAGGCTGGTCTTGAACTCCTGAGCTCAAGTGATCCTCCTTGGCCAGCCAAAGTGCTGGGATTGCAGGCGTGAGCCACAGCGCCCGACCCTCTCCAGGTGTTTTGAGTAGGAGACATTGAGTGCAGGGAATTGGTGGTACAGCACAGGTGATGGAAGAGCCCAGGATGGGCAACCATAGCAACCGCCACAACCCCCAGGCCCAGAGGAACAAGGGGAGGAAGAGATTGCACCAGGCCCCAGAAGTTTGGGGTCCCTCAGGGAAATTGAGAAGCTCGGGGGGCCCACTCCCAGCACTTTGGGGGCTAAGGCGGGTACATCACTTGAGGTCAGGAGTTCGAGACCAGCCTGGGCCAATATGGTGAAACCCCATCTCTACTAAAAATACAAAAATCAGCTGGGTGTAGGGGCACACGCCTGTAATTCCAGCTACTCACAAGGCTGAGTCAGGAGAATTGCACTTTCTCATCATACTGTGTAATGATGCTGGTGTCTGCCATCTGAGAACGGCCCCCGCCATAGCCATACTCTCCCACCTCCTCCCTGCCCCTGCGCCTCGGGCCCTGCCCTCTCTTCGGCTCCTTTCCTGTCTCCCACTTCCAGCCACCCACCTGCATGAATCCACCTGTCTGTTCCCCACATCTGCACTTGGGCATCGTCACCTGGAGAAAGTTCTACCTCCTGGAAGCCTGAAGCCACTGCAGATTCACGCCTCCCCCCACCTTCCCAGCAATCCTTGCGGGGTGGGAGGTGTTTGTCATCCAGTCACTCATGCACCCATCCAGTCACAAGTATTGATCACTCAGTAGGTGCCCAATGCCATCCTCTGCATTTGGGAGAGGATGTACCTAAAGAGCAGTGGGTGGAGGGGGGTGCACAGGGAGGGCATGGAAAACCAGAAGGGAAGTGAAGGGACTGCATTCTCTGCAGGGATGGTCTCTTGTTCTGAGAGCTGAGTGGGAAGGAAGCCACCTGGGAGGCGCAGCAGGAAGAGCATTCAAACCAGAAGGAACCCAGGGGAGAGAATCTGGATATTTTCAAAAGTGGCCCCGTGGCTCCAGCCAGGTCGGTGGTAGCCAGTGCTTTGGAGTGTCGGCCCCACCACAGGCTCCCGCTGCAGCCCGGGATCCAGTGCCCAGCAGGATGGGGGCAGGTGGCTCTGGGCCCCACTACATGGTTGTGGCAGGGTCCCCCATGTAGTTCAGTGGGGATCACAATCTCCACCTCCCAGGACCCACTCAAGCTCCCATTTGCACAGCCCAAACTGGAGCAGGATGGGGACATGGGAGGTGGGCTCTGGCTGTAGCGTCCGGTGGTGGGAGGTGGGGTCCAGGTGGTGACGCTACTGTCCCTGCAGTGCTCTTTGATGAGCTGTAACAGCAGGCTTGGAGGTGGGGCTGGGGACGACCCAGGCAACCCTGAGGGGAGCTTAAGGGAGCCAGGCAACCCTGGCACTTTTCCAAGGCTTTGCATTAACTCAATAGTTCCGCCATGGCCCCGGGGGTAGTGCCATGTATTTCTGTTTTACCGTCGAGGAAACGGAGGAAACCGAGGCACAAAGAAATGGAGTTAATTCCTAAAGTCACAGGGCCAGGAGGTGGCTGAGTGGGGATTCGAACTCACACCCCAGAGGGCACACACAGGCAGGCCCCTGCACACACGCGCGCGCGCGCGCGCACACACACATACACACACACGTGTCCTGGAGGAGGCGGCCCGCAGGGCGGGACAGGGCGGGGCGGGGGCAGGTCCCGGCCGCCGGGAGGAAGTGGCCGGGCGGTCGCAGGGACTCCGGGGCGACCGCCGCGAGTCCGCAGTAGTTCGGGCCATGGAGGCGGAGCCGCCGCTCTACCCGATGGCGGGGGCTGCGGGGCCGCAGGGCGACGAGGACCTGCTCGGGGTCCCGGACGGGCCCGAGGCCCCGGTGAGCGGGGACCCGGAGTGCGAGGCGCGGGCGTCCCCTGTGGGCCAGGGTCCCCCCGGCGGGGGCGGGGCGGGCCGGGGGGCGGCGGGCACCGGGGGACACGGGTTCGGGGCGCGATCGCGGGTGCGAGCGGCGTGCGTGGCTCGCAGCTGGACGAGCTGGTGGGCGCGTACCCCAACTACAACGAGGAGGAGGAGGAGCGCCGCTACTACCGCCGCAAGCGCCTGGGCGTGCTCAAGAACGTGCTGGCTGCCAGCGCCGGGGGCATGCTCACCTACGGCGTCTACCTGGGTAGGTGCCGCTCGGGGACCCGGGGCCGCCCCGCCCGCTCCCAGCCCGGCCCGGGAAACAGAAACCGCGGGCCGCCGCCTCCCGCCCGCTCTCACTTCCCCTCCGCTGCCCTCGCAGCTGCAGCCACGGCCCCCCGCGGCGGGGGTGGGGTTGGGGGGTCAAGTAGCGCAGCGTCCCCGGGTCCCAGCCAGAGCCTCGGTGTGGGTGGGGGACGGGGGTCCGGGCTCCCGGACAGACCTGCCACCGTCAGAATTGGAGGCCGGCGGAGCAAGGCGGGTGGGGGTCTGGGCTTAGCTGGCCAAGTGGCCGCGGGCTGGCAGAAGGCGTGGCGCAGCCCGGGAACCCCGCTGTCCTGAGGGGCGCTGTCAGCGGGAATGCCTTCGGTGATTGGAGCTCCCTGCGAGGCCTGCATGCCGTCTTCTGCTCGGTGGCGCCCAAAGCTAGGCTGCTCCCTGCACGCCGCTCTCTGTCCTGTCCCCAGGCCTCCTGCAGATGCAGCTGATCCTGCACTACGACGAGACCTACCGCGAGGTGAAGTATGGCAACATGGGGCTGCCCGACATCGACAGCAAAATGCTGATGGGCATCAACGTGACTCCCATCGCCGCCCTGCTCTACACACCTGTGCTCATCAGGTGGGCGCGGCTGCTCCTGTGGGATGCTGCGGTACTCCCATTTCGGAGGGGTACAGAGGCCGGCGGGCCAGGAGGTGTCCATCTGCCGGGGTGTTTGTGGGGCGAGGGAACAAGGGAGAGGTTTTTTTCTACCCGGAAGCCTGAGAGTGAAGGGGGTGAAACTCGGATTTGGGGAAGGAAACAGGAACTTTGCCTCAGGGCACATTTGGTTTCCAGCAACAGATTCACACGGGCTGAGCTCCCTCCCAGCTTGCCTGGGCCTCACGTGGCACCCTCCTCGTGGCCTCCTTGGAGGCCTCCCAGAGCCACTGTGGCCTTCAGGGTTGGGGCTGTAGAGTTAGGGGTTTCTGATCGGTCAGCAAAGTCCAGGCACCCATGCCTGGCCCAGTCGCTGTGACTGGTGCTGAGGGGGTGTTTCTCACAGACAGGCATGGCTGGGCAGGTGCCCCAGAGCTCTCCCCCAGATCTGAGCCCTGGAGGTATGTGGTTCAGCCTCCCCATCACCGGTCCACAGTGCCCTCCCTGATGGGACCTGGAGACCAGTGGACAAATTAGGTGAATTTGAGCTCCCTCATCTTTAAAACAAACAAACAAACAAAACAACAAGAGAAAACTCCATTTAAACAAAAATTTGAAAATTTAAAACATCTCCCGTTGCACAGGCAGGATTAGAATAACTGAAATCATAAAAAAGAAACCCCATCTAAGCCCTCCAGGAAATCGGCTACCCATGCTGTCCCACCAGCATGCATGGATTACATTCACATCCTTGTCCCCAGAGCACGTGTGTGGACGTGCCCGTGTGTGTGTGTGTGTGTGTGTGTGTGTGTGTGTGTATGCAAGCGGGCTATGTTTGCTTTTGCTTGCTTACTTTTTTTTTTTTGAGACAGATACTTGCTCTGTCACCTAGACTGCAGTGCAGTGGTGTGATCTCGGCTCACTGCAACCTCTGCCTCCCAGGCTCAAGCGATTCTCCTACTTCAGCACCCTGAGTAGCTGGGATTACAGGCGCCTGCCACCCGGTTAATTTTTGTACTTTTAGTAGAGATGGGGTTTCACTATGTTGACCAGGCTGGTCTTAAACTCCTGACCTCAAGTGATTCTCCTGCCTTGGCCTCCCAAAGTGCTGGGATTACAGGCATGAGCCACAGTGCCCAGAGCTTGCTTCCTTCTTTTCACTGAGCATATCTTAGCCTACTCTACAGCCTTCACAGTTACGACTTTGCAATGGTAGCATCTTCTGCAGATACGGTGGCACTGAACAGTGGCTTGGAATTGGACACTGCAGTTCCTTCTGTGCTTACATCTGTTTCCTTGTTTTTTTTTTTTAAATTATGTGTTTATTTATTTTATTATTATTATTATTTGAGACAGAGTCTCACTCTGTCACCCAGGTTAGAGTGCAGTGGCACGAACACAGCTCACTGCCTCCTCAACCCCCACACACTGGGCTCAAGCAATCCTCCCACCTCAGCCTCCCGAGTAGCTGGGCCTACAGGCGCACGCCATCACATCTGGCTGATTTTTAAAGTATTTGTAGCGATGGGGAGTTGCTATGTTGCTCAGGCCAGTCTCAAATTCACCCGCCCCAGCCCCACAAAGTGTTGGGATTACAGGTGTGAGCCACCACATCCAGCACTCCCCCAATTTTTTAAACAATTATTTTTCCTAGGATACATTTTCAACAATGTCTTTACTAGGTCCAAGCCATACAAAAGGCTTTATGGCTTTTGAAACCTATCACTTCTACTAATAGCAGTGAACTCTTGTCTCCTGTCTGCCCGACACTCTATTTTATTTATTTATTTTTATTTTTACTTTTTTTTTGAAATGGAGTCTCACTCTATCACCAGGCTGGAGTGCAATGGCACAATCTCGGCTCACTCCAACCTCTGCCTCCCAGGTTCAAGCGATTTTCCTGCCTCAGCCTCCTGAGTAGCTGGGATTACAGGCGCCCGCCACCACGCTCAGCTAATTTTTTGTATTTTTAGTAAAGACGGGGTTTCACCATGTTGGCCAGGCTGGTCTCAAACTTCTGACCTCAGGTGATCTGCCCACCTCCACCTCCTAAAGTGCTGGGATTACAGGCACGAGCCACCACGCCCGGCCGTGCTGGGCACTTTATAAGCGCAATTTCATTCCCAATAATTTGAGGAAGCTGCTCCAGTCTTAGACATGAAGAAACCATGGTGTTAAACAACTTGCCCAGGTCCCACAGGCAGTAACTGGCAGACTGAAGGCTTGAACCCCAGTAGAGGGACTCAAATCCACATGTTCACCCCCTGCCAAAACTACCAGGCTGCTTTCCCAAAGGGTTATGCCAGTGTGTGTGACCACTGGCTATATGTGCCACTTTTTTTTTGAGCAATCTTGCTGTTGCCCAGGCTGGAGTGCGGTGACGCGATCTCAGCTCACGGCAACCTCCACCTCCTGGGTTCAAGCGATTCTCCTGCCTCAGCCTCCCAAGTAGATGGGATTACAGGTGTGCACCACCACACCCGGCTAATTTTTGTATTTTTAGTAGAGGTGGGGTTTCACCATGTTGGCCAGGCTGGTCTCAAACTTCTGACCTCAGGTGATCTGCCCACCTCCACCTCCTAAAGTGCTGGAATTACAGATGTGAGCCACTGTGCCTGGCCTATATGTGCCACTTTCAAACCACATCCTCACCAGCAGTGAATGCACATTTTTACTGGCATTTTTACTTAAGGAGCATAAATACAGAAAACTTGAAGATACCAGTAGTGGTTTTTGGCCTGATCAGCCTCCATGGGTGGTTGAGCCCTCATCCTGTCACTCACCAAGCCCCTTCTATTGTCACTGTGTGACCTTTTCCCAGACCCAGAGAGGTGGAAACTTCCTGACTGACCACCATGGTTCATAAAAGCAATGGACTGGAGGCAGGGGTGCCGGGACTCTGGCTCTGCTGCTCCCAGCAGTGGGGCCTCTTCCTTTCTCTTCTCCCAGCCTGAGTCAAGCCCCTGGGCCCTACAGACACAGTGCATGAGCTTGGGAGGAGAAGGGGGAATGGGAGAATCAGAGAGCCCAGAACACGCATGAGGGCTGGTTACACCCATGGGTCACTCTCCATCCTCACAGTGGTGATGAGAGGCCTGTGGTTTGGGCTCCGTGCCCATATTACAGCTGGGAAAACTGAGGCACAGTAGCTTGCCTGAGGCCACTCAGCAAGTCTGTGTATCTGATATTCCATCTCAGTGCCCTCGACTCTCTCTACCTCACAAAGCCCTGTGAGCTGGGACCTGCGGTTGTGGCCCCGTTTGGCTTCAGGCCACAGTGGTCCAGCAGGCCTGTGGTGCCAGCATCTCTCCCACTGTCCGCAGGTTTTTTGGAACGAAGTGGATGATGTTCCTCGCTGTGGGCATCTACGCCCTCTTTGTCTCCACCAACTACTGGGAGCGCTACTACACGCTTGTGCCCTCGGCTGTGGCCCTGGGCATGGCCATCGTGCCTCTTTGGGCTTCCATGGGCAACTACATCACCAGGTGAGCCTGGTGGGCAGCAGGGCAGGAGGCTGGAGACCTGGCCAAGCCTCCACTTTATTGCCAACTTTGGCTGGGGGACCACAGGAAGCCCCTTCCGCCCTCTGGGCCTCAGTTTCCCCACACCGGGGCTGGTCTGCTCCTAGCTCTGGGTGCAGGACACACAGGAGTGGCACAGGTCGGGCTGGGGAGAGCCTTCTCTCCTTTGTGGTCCAGGATGGCGCAGAAGTACCATGAGTACTCCCACTACAAGGAGCAGGATGGGCAGGGGATGAAGCAGCGGCCTCCGCGGGGCTCCCACGCGCCCTATCTCCTGGTCTTCCAAGCCATCTTCTACAGCTTCTTCCATGTGAGTGCCACGTGGGCCATTGTTGGGTGGCAGGGGCAGACCCACGCATTGGAGCCCATCCACAGTCTCAACCCTCTAGTCCCACTTTCTTTCTTTTATTATTGTTATTTTTAAGAGGCCTGGTCTCACTATGTTGCCCAGATGGCTTTGAACTCCTGGGCTCCAGTGATCCTCCCACCTTGGCCTCCCAAGTAGCTGGGACTACATGCGCACACCACTGTATCTGCCCCACCTTCATTTCTTTTTCTTTCTTTCTTTTTTTTTTGGTGGGGGTTGGGGGCAGGGTCTTGCACTGTTGCCCAGGCTGGAGTGCAGTAGTGCAGTCACAGCTCACTGCAACCTTGAACTGCTGGGCTCAAGTGATCCTCCTACCTCAGCCTTCTGAGTAGCTGGCATCATATGCGTGTGCTACCACACCCAGCTAATTTTTTATTTTTTGTAGAGATAGGATCTTACTATGTTGCCCAGGCTGCCCATCTTCCTTTCTTGAGCCCACCCCAGCTTGCTCATCCATAGAGATAGAGATCTCATCTGCCCTTTTCCACAATGCTGGCCAGGAGGAGGTCTTCCTCATTGGGCGGCCCTGTAACCACACTACTCCCAGAACTGGGAAGGCCCCTGTTCCCCCAAGGCTGTGCCTGGACCCCTCCCCAGACCATGCCTGTGTCCCTTGCCTGGCTCTGTGCCTGAGTCTGGTCCCAACTGCCCTTGTTTCTGCAGCTGAGCTTCGCCTGCGCCCAGCTGCCCATGATTTATTTCCTGAACCACTACCTGTATGACCTGAACCACACGCTGTACAATGTGCAGAGCTGCGGTTAGTCCTTGTTGGGGGTTGGGGAGGAGTCCACAAAGCCTGCTTACTTCCCCAGCAGACACTGGGCCCTCACTCACAGGATTCAGGGCTGGCAGCCCAGTGCCCCACGGCTCTGGTGGGCAAGACACAGGGCCCTGTAGGAGTAAGTAGTTAGGACATCTGACCCAGCCAGGAGAGTGGGTGGGCGGGGAAGACTGCCTGGAGAAGGCACCATCTGGGCTGAGGCTGCCAGTGGGATCTTTCTTGGGGCCAGGCAAACAGTCAGAGCTCAATCAGTGCAGGGGGTGTGCATGGAAATGTGAGGTCCACTGAGCCTTGGGGAAATAGGGTGGGAAGCAGGGGAAAGATGCCCCTTTCCCGGGGAACACCCAGCCCCAGTGGTCCAAACCCAGCCCCAGTGGTCCAAACCTCCAAACTGCTCTCTGAAGGAACTCTGCCCTTGCTCTCACTCTCCCGCCCTCCACCGCTCCTCCGCGGCCTGCGTGGCTCCACCCTGGTGGCTGGATTGACTGTGTGCCCTACTCTCTGCTCACGGTGCCCTCACCCCCACCCTTCCCAGGCACCAACAGCCACGGGATCCTCAGCGGCTTCAACAAGACGGTTCTGCGGACGCTCCCGCGGAGCGGAAACCTCATTGTGGTGGAGAGCGTGCTCATGGCAGTGGCCTTCCTGGCCATGCTGCTGGTGCGGCCCGGGATGGGGGCAGGACAGTCAGTGAAGCAGAGTGTGGTTCTGGGGACCGAGTCTGCGAGAAAGGGTCTGGATCGGATGGCATGGCCTGGGTCGGGTTGTGGCCTCGGGGCAGGCCGTAGGCCTGGGAGCGCGATCTGAGTTGGGGAGCTAGGGCCGAGTGCTGCAGAGCGGGCATGAGGCTCGGAGGCGGGGCTGAGGCCTGTGGTCCGAGGCAGGCGTGGGCATCCAGAGGCCAGGGGAAGGAGGGAACAGGCTTGGTCCACAGTTTCGAGCTGGAGACAAGATCTTAGAAGACTGACTGAGACCTGTGAGGGGGTTGGGGACAGGACCAAGGGTGAGGGCTGGAAGGTGTGGCTCAAACTGGAAGTGATACTGGACGGCAGAACTAAGGCGTTGGCATGCTGCAGCCTGGCGATGGAGCTGGGAGGCAAGGCCCAGTCCGTGGCTGTGTCAGGCGGGGCCTAGTGCTGGGACGCGGGGCCGAAGTCTGTGGGTGTGTCCGAGGGGCGGGGACTAGCCTGGAAGGCGGGGCTGAGGTCTGGCGCGGGGCTGAGAAGGAAGGTTGAAGTCTATGGATTTGTCTGAATGTGAGTTGTGAAGTGTGTGTATGTGAGAGAGAGGGGATGGGGCCTTGGGCTGGGAGGCAAGACCACCGTCTTTCGGAGTGTGGTGGCGTGGCTTTGTGCTGAGAGGCGGGGCCTTGAGCTGGGATAAGGCAAGACCTGGGTCTGTGGGAGTGTCTCAGGGGCGGGGCCCTGGTTTGGGAGGCGGGGCCGAGCTGGGGCAAGGCCCAGGCACGTGGTGCATCTGAAGGGCGGGGCTGAAGCCTGGAGGCCAGGCCTGGGCCTGGCTGGCCGCCCCTTCAAGTAATGGGTTCGCAGGTGCTGGGTTTGTGCGGAGCCGCTTACCGGCCCACGGAGGAGATCGATCTGCGCAGCGTGGGCTGGGGCAACATCTTCCAGCTGCCCTTCAAGCACGTGCGTGACTACCGCCTGCGCCACCTCGTGCCTTTCTTTATCTACAGCGGCTTCGAGGTGCTCTTTGCCTGCACTGGTATCGCCTTGGTAAGTACAGCCTGCAAAGGATTGCCCGACAAAAGACAAGATAGCCAGGTAAATTTGAATTCAAGTAAACAAAGAATAATTTTTAATTACATATGTAAGTGTGTACATGTATATCCCAAATATCCCCCTCCTGCTTTCTCTTCCCTCTCTTACCCCCGTCCCCCCTTTACCTTGGGCAAGTTATTTTAACTTCTCTGAATCGAAATGGGATAGCACCCACAGAGTGTTTAGTTCCTTGTGGGGTACAGCCCACGGTGTCTAGGGACATTCCAAGCATTTTCACACCTGCCCTCAGAACCTTCCCCTGAGCCTTGGAGCGAGGTCAGGCAGTCCAGGGAGGGCAGGGTGTGGCCTAAGGAACACCTCTTGTGGGGAGTAAGAGCCAGCCCTTCTCCCCACCTGGCTCTTACTCCCCGTATCGCGGGGGGCCCCTCTCCCCACCCTGGCTCTTAGGACCCCCATCGCAGGGGGGTAAGGCACCCCCCCGCGATGCGGGGAGTAAGAGCCAACCCCTCTTTTCCCCCCGACTCTTAGGACCCCCATCGCAGGGGGGTGAGGCACCCCCCACGATGCGGGGAGTAAGAGCCAGACCCTCTTCCCCCCTGGCTCTTAGGACCCCCATCGCAGGGGGGTGAGGCACCCCCGCGATGCGGGGAGGGCTGAGACTGTGGTCTGGGCTGTTCCAGACTTCAACACTCACCCCTTGTCCCCCCGCAGGGCTATGGCGTGTGCTCGGTGGGGCTGGAGCGGCTGGCTTACCTCCTCGTGGCTTACAGCCTGGGCGCCTCAGCCGCCTCACTCCTGGGCCTGCTGGGCCTGTGGCTGCCACGCCCGGTGCCCCTGGTGGCCGGAGCAGGGGTGCACCTGCTGCTCACCTTCATCCTCTTTTTCTGGGCCCCTGTGCCTCGGGTCCTGCAACACAGCTGGATCCTCTATGTGGCAGCTGCCCTTTGGGGTGTGGGCAGTGCCCTGAACAAGACTGGACTCAGCAGTGAGTATAGCTGTGGGCACTGGGGGGGGGGGGGCGGGGCAGGGGGCTTTATGGCTATCTGTGGGTGGTTGGCGAGACATAGACATCCCAGGGACAGATATGGGGTCCCATGGTCACATAGGGTCCTGTGGACATGGCAGAGGCAGGTGGGGCTTCCTGTGGACACTCCGGGGGTGGAAGGGAAGTCTTATGGACACACTGGGGACAGATGGGTAGGGTGTGGACACCCTGGAGACAGGTATGGGGGTTCCATGCCATGGACATTCTGTTAATACCCCAGAGCGGGCACAGGGCCCCATCAACACTGGAGGGTCAGTGTGAAGTCTCGTGGCTACATGGGGCAGGTGTGGGGCTCTGTGGACACCCCTTAGGGACAGTGTGAAAAACACATCAGGGATTCTCCCTTTTCATACCAGGGGACAGGGCTTACCCTGGCATAGTTTTCATGACACTTGGAGCAGATGTTTTGGTCTCTGCTTCACGGAGCATGTGGTAGGAGCAAGTGGCCTGTTGTACACCCATGGCATAGATACAGACATGGGCCTTTGTATAGAGAGGAGCAGGCCTGCAGCCCCAACCCAGTCTGCTCAGTACCAGAGTCCAGGCCCCAGGTCTGGGCTGCTGGGGAACAGGGCCCTGTTTGCAGAAGGCAGCGGGTGGGCCCATGTTCAGCTCCAGGATGCTCCCTGACCACAGATGGGCACACGCAGTGAAACACAGCTAGCACACATGGGCAGTCCTGCCGGGCATCCATGTCAGTGTCTGTTCTGATGGGCCGAAGCTGTGAACAGTTTTGAACGTCATCCTTGGGGGTGTGGAGTAGCCGAGGTCATGCCTGCTGCTGGCAGGGCGGAGGCTGGCTCTGTGTCTCTGTCTGTAGCAGGGGCTGGAGCCTCATACTGCACCACAGTCTCTTGGCCGTTTTGCCCAAGGATAGCCAATTCTGGGCAGAGTCCAGCCTGGGTATCTTGAACCCATGTTGTGCCCTGTCTGGTCCTGGCATCCCCTCTGCCCAGCTCCATATCCCATCTCCTCCGGTGAACCCCGGGGGGTCCTTGTCTCTTCATAGCAGCACTGTGGGGGTAAAGTCACCCTGCAGGGCCCCAAAACAGGAGTGTTCATATCCTGAGTGCCTGGTGAAGGTGTTAATAGTGGCCCCTATGATTTGGCAGGTGCCATGCCCACTTTCTCACTTTAGAACTTCAGAACACAGCACACAATAGGCATAAGCTCATCTCACCATTGGGAAAAGCAGCTCTGGGGAGTTAAGTACCCAAATCACCCACAGAGCCAACATTACAGCCCTGAGAACGAGCGTGCATCTTCTGACTCCCAATCCATTACTCTTGTTGCCCACCCTGGGAGGACTCACTGGAAAGGAATCCCCCCTCTCCATGCTTAGCTTCAGGTTTGATTTGCAGAGTTGGCAGCTGCAAACAGTTCGATCTCTCTAGTCCTGGCTGAGGAGGAGAAACAGCGCCTGCAAGCTTGGCACTGCACACCTGGGTTGGGGACAGGACATGACTAAGCACAGAGCTTTCTTCTTTTGAGGCCACGCATGTGGTGCGGAGCGGGAACACCTGCATCCACACAGCCCGAGGCACCTGCTCCTACTTCTGCTTAGCGTGTGAGCAGTGTGGTGACCAGGGTCTCCACCAGGGGGCAGGCCAGGACCGCCTCACAGCACTTTCTAGGCGCTCTCTGGTCCGGGGCTGGGACCCATACAGGGCTTAGTAAAGTTCGTAGATGGTAGCTCGGTAGCCCCAGGCCCCAGGTGACACCTCTCCCCTGCCTGCCCTGTACTGCCTGCCTGCAGCACTCCTGGGAATCTTGTACGAAGACAAGGAGAGACAGGACTTCATCTTCACCATCTACCACTGGTGGCAGGCTGTGGCCATCTTCACCGTGTACCTGGGCTCGAGCCTGCACATGAAGGTGAGACTGGGCAGGGTTGGGGGCCCCATGCCCAATGACAGGTACTTCCTTAGCCCCTGCCCTGGCTTCACAGCTTCCTAAATGCCACCCCTTCCCAAGCCAGTCTCTGGGCCAAGGCCCCATTCCTGCAGCCCACTGGGTGGCCCCCAACTCAGCACCCCACTTACTGGCCCACCTCCAGCCAGTCTCAGTTTGCCCATCTCTGAGGGGATTTGTGGGTGCATCACAGCCATCCTGTGGGCTGTTTGGTACCTTGTTCTCCAGATGTTGGGTCTGTCTCTCTTCATGGCCTGAAGGGGAGCAGGCTCCTCATGCTCTGCTCACAAAAAATGGTGGCTCGGTCTAGCAAGTCCCAGTTGCTAAACATTTTTTAAAAATAGAACTAAAGGCCGGGCGCGGTGGCTCACGCCTGTAATCCCAGCACTTTGGGAGGCCGAGGCGAGTGGATTGCCTGAGGTAGGGAGTTTGAGACCAGCCTGACCGACATGGTGAAACCTCGTCTCTACTAAAAATACAAAAATTAGCCGGGCGTGGTGGCAGGTGCCTGTAATCACAGCTACTCAGGAGGCTGAGGCAGGAGAATCACTTGAACTGGGAGGCGGAGGTTGCAGTTAGCCGAGACGGGGCGTTGGCACTCCATCCAGCCTAAGCAACAAGAGCGAAACTCCGTCTCAAAATAAAAATAAAAATAGAACTAAAAATAGCAGGGAGTGGGCTGGCAGTAGTGGCTCACGCCTGTAATCCCAGCATTTTGAGACGCTGAGGTGGGGGTTCTGAGATCTGGAGTTCGAGACCAGCCTGGGTAACAGGCTGTGAAACTCTGTCTCTACTAAAAACACAAAAATTAGCTGGGCATGGTGGCACGTCCCTGTGATCCCAGCTACTCTGGAGGCTGAGGCACAAGAATGGCTTGAACCTGGGAGATGGAGGTTGCAGTGAGCCAAGATCGCGCCACCGCACTTCAGCCTGGAGGACAGAGCGAGACTCTGTCTTCCAAAAAAAAAAAAAAGGAAAAAAAAAAAAGAAAAGCAGTGAGTGGGCTGGGCATGGTGGCTCACGCCTGTAATCCCAACACTTTGGGAGGCTGAGGCAGGAGGATTGCTTGAGGCCAGGAGTTCAAGACCAGCCTGGGCAACATAGGAGACCCTGTCTCTACAAAAAATTTAAAAAATAGCTGGGCGTAGTGGCGTGTGCCTGTAGTTCCAGCTACTTGGGAGACTGAAGTGGGAGGATGGCTTGAGCCTGGAAGATTGAGGCTGAAGTGAGCGTGCCACTGCGCTCCAGCAGTGGGTGGGGGAAGGGAGGGAGGGGGCGCGGTGGGGAAACGGAGCGACCGTGTCTGGAAAAAAGAAAAGAGCAGGAAGTATGCATACAGATATGTGTGTATGTACTGGGCTATGGTGTGAAATCATTCCTGACTGCGGGTTATAGTCAAAACCCCATGAAAAGCATCACTACAGCCCACGGGTGTGTCAGGGACACAGTGTTGTGAGCCCTGGGAAGGCAGGGCCTGTGGCCAGCACTTTATCAACACTGGCGCATGCACCCTATGAGGCAAAGGGATTTGCATTGTCCCCTTACAGTGTGGGACACTGAGGTCGCCAGGGGCGTGGCGACTGTAAGGGACAGTGCTGGATGTGAGCCTCGCCTGCAGGAGGCGGTCCAGGAAGCATGGGTGGAGGGGCTGGAGAAGTTGAGGGCCGCGTGGCCCGGGAGGCTCCCGGAGGAGGGAAGGGCCTATCTCAGCGAGGGGCATAGGCGGGGAAGGTGCGGGGCGAGGCGGCCGCGGGTCCCTGGCATCCCTCTCCTTACGCCCAGGCTAAGCTGGCGGTGCTGCTGGTGACGCTGGTGGCGGCCGCGGTCTCCTACCTGCGGATGGAGCAGAAGCTGCGCCGGGGCGTGGCCCCGCGCCAGCCCCGCATCCCGCGGCCCCAGCACAAGGTGCGCGGTTACCGCTACTTGGAGGAGGACAACTCGGACGAGAGCGACGCGGAGGGCGAGCATGGGGACGGCGCGGAGGAGGAGGCGCCGCCCGCAGGGCCCAGGCCTGGCCCCGAGCCCGCTGGACTCGGCCGCCGGCCCTGCCCGTACGAACAGGCGCAGGGGGGAGACGGGCCGGAGGAGCAGTGAGGGGCCGCCTGGTCCCCGGACTCAGCCTCCCTCCTCGCCGGCCTCAGTTTACCACGTCTGAGGTCGGGGGGACCCCCTCCGAGTCCCGCGCTGTCTTCAAAGGCCCCTGTCTCCCCTCCCCCACGTTGGGGACGCCCCTCCCAGAGCCCAGGTCACCTCCGGGCTTCCGCAGCCCCCTCCAAGGCGGAGTGGAGCCTTGGGAACCCCTCGGCCAAGCACAGGGGTTCGAAAATACAGCTGAAACCCCGCGGGCCCTTAGCACGCGCCCCAGCGCCGGAGCACGGTCAGGGTCTTCTTGCGACCCGGCCCGCTCCAGATCCCCACAGCTCTCGGCCGCGGACCCGGGCCGCGTGTGAGCGCACTTTGCACCTCCTATCCCCAGGGTCCGCCGAGAGCCACGATTTTTTACAGAAAATGAGCAATAAAGAGATTTTGTACTGTCCTGACTGGGGAGTCCCAGGCCGCGGGGGACGGATGCACGGATGCCCTGGGATGCACGCACGGCTGGCCCGGCCTCTGGGCGCAGTGGTGACAGGCCCTGACCTAGGGGGACCGCGTGGTGTGGGGAGTGCCGCGCCCTACTGGGGGCGGGGCGAGGTGTCCGTAGGCCCCGCCCACCAGCCCTTCCTCCCTCCTGAGGCCCCGCCCCCCCATACCTGCCTGCCTTTGCCAGCCCCAGCCAGGAGAAGGGAGCGGCGGAGCGGCTGGCAGAGACAGAGGAGGGTGTGACGGCGTTGCTGGTCCCCCATGGGTCCAGAGGGCGAGACAGACTCCCGAGACACACCCTCCAGAGGCCTGTGTAGGCATCCTCCGCCCTCCAGCGACCACCCCCGCGTCGGACAGGGTCCACTTCCGAGCCACGGTGGGGTCACCCTGTGCCCAGTAGGGGCCTTGGAAGTGGTGGTTGGAGGCCAGGTACGCTCGGTGACTACCCTTTCCCGGCTACAGCCTCAGCTGCGATGCCCACGAGAAACAGGCTGGTGGAGGGGCAGACCCCCTACAAGGCCTGAAGGTGCCGTTCCTCCACCCGCTCCTCTTGTGGCCAGAGGAGAGGACACCCCCGCCATGAAGAGCTCTGAACGGTTGGGTGAGGACAAGTGGGGGCCGTGGGAGGGCCATGGAGCCCCCAGCTGCACCCCAGCAGGCCCGGGGCTGGCCCACACCATTCCTCACTCCCCACAGCCTCTTTACCCCTGACTTTGGCGAGACCCTCGTCCGTACCTCCAGGCTCCATGCCTGCCTCAGCATCGCTCTATGGATTCTCCCAGCCCTAAACTGGCCCCATCTCTCCTCTCTGCCCTCATGTGAGTTTGGTTCTTGAAGCCTCTAGTGGTCCCTGGGGCCAGACTCTGTGGCCTTGGACAGGGAGTCTGCCATCTGAGCCACAGGTTCCTTCTCTGTTGAGTGTGTGAGGGAACATGTTGGAGCCCTTAGTGTGGCGGCAGCAAGCGCACCAGGCCCTGTAAGAAACACAAAAGGGTGCGGCGGGAGACTTGACATTTTCTAAATCTGGGAGGGAACGCTGCCTGCCTCACGCCGACCTTCAGTGACAAGCAGACTCAGAAGCGGTCCCGAGGTGCCACCATAACCTGGGTGAAGGCCAGCACTGTGTGCTTCCAGTTCCCCCTCGGCATCTGTAGACTGAGTGTTCTCTGGAGGTGGCTGGCGACATCCTCTAGGCAGGCTCCAGCAAAACCAGTCGGAGTTGGGCAACCTGACGCTCAGATGATTCACCTCTGAATGGAGGGCAAGGTGATATTTGGAAGGGTGTGGGCCCCTGGGATGCTGGGCAAACGGGGAGCAGGTGCCTGGATAGTGGGCCTACAGCTCTTCCCAGTTCCGAGTCAATTCCAATGTCCATGGTGCCAAGGAACAGAGGCTGTGATGTTGAGCAGACTTGAAGGTGATCCAGGCACATGGAGTGGCCACTCAGGGGCTTGGCTCCTGGCTGTGCTCTTCCTATCTGGGCATTTCCCATGAGAAGGCTTCACAGGCCACCTGGCTGCTCCTGGCACACGGAGAATGCCCAGATGCTGACATGTGCCAGACAACACATATTTACACCTGATAGGCCACACACATGCAACATGCAAACACACGTGACGGGTAACACCTGTGACAGACACTACATGACAACACACATGCACACATGATGGGAAACACATATCACAGGCTGTGCGACGGGCAACACAGCGCAGGCAGTGCGACGGGCCCTGGCAGCAAGCTCAGCAGGCTGGCTCTTTTCGAGCAGGAGAAGAGCTCATTGTAAGAGATGACACTGGCGTAGGTGGCACCTCCCCTGTCTCCATCACCCCCGGATAAGGTGACTGGGTGGAGGTTCTGGACCCCTGAGTGGATAAGCAGGTTGTGTCATGGCCTCCGTGTCTGATTGCCACCCTCGCTCCCAAAGCAACTCTGTGATTTTGTCGATCTGCACTGTGGGGATTTTTCTTTTTCTTTCTCTTTTCTTTTCTTTTCTTTTTTTTTTTTTTTTTGCAACGGAGTTTCACTCTTGTTGCCCAGGCTGGAGTGCAATGGCATGATCTCAGCTCACTGCAACCTCCATCTCCTGGGTTCCAGCGATTCTCCTACCTCAGCTTCCCGAGTAGCGGGGATTACAGGCGCCCACCACCAAGCCAGGCAATTTTTTTTTTGTATTTTTAGTAGAGACGAAGTTTCACCATGTTGGCCAACCTGGTCTCAAACTCCTGACCTCAGGTGATCCACCTGCCTCGGCATCCCAAAGTGCTGGGATTATAGACGTGAGCCATCACGCCCAGCTGGGATTTTTCAATTATGTGATTCCAAGAATCTCCAGTCCAAGATTTTCCCTATCTTTAAGTTCTCAGTAGCAGGTTAGATAACCTGAGAAGTCTCCCTCTTCAAAACACCTAGAAATGCTGGGTAAGAAACAAATGTCCTTTTAACTATAGAGCTGAGGCCGGGCGTGGTGGCTCACGCCTGTAATTCCAGCACTTTGGGAGGCTGAGGCAGGCGGATCACCTGAGGCCAGGAGTTCAAGACCAGCCTGGCCAATGGTGAAACCCCATCTCTACTAAAAATACAAAAATCAGCCAGGAGTGGTGGCAGGCGCTTGTAATCTCAGCTACTTAGGAGGCTGAAGCAGGAGAATCGCTTAAACCCGGAAGGCAGAAGTTGCAGTGAGCCAAGATCACGCCATTACACTCTAGCCTGGGCAAAAGAGTGAAACTCCATCTCAAAAAATATATAAATAAAATAAAATAAATATATAGCTGAGTTCTTCAGAAAATAAGTTAAGTCCCCTAAGGCCAGAAGTGAAGAGGAGAGTGAGAACCAAGGTGGGGACAGAGGAGCTGGTGCTGCAACTGCCTGAGGGCAGGGCTGGGTTGAGCGTTGGTATCCCTTACAAGGCAGGGGGTTAGGGTTACAGTCAAGCATGATGAAGTTGGGGCCACAGAAATGCAACACCTTTAGAGAAAGGGACAGAAACATTTCCACCCAGGGGAACAGAGAGAGGTGAGAAATTTTGAGCTTTAGGTGGTGAACAAGTTTCCCATGAGATCGTTGCGTTTTCAGGCCTCTCTTATGTAAATGTGGAACTCCTACAATAAAGTCATGCCACCTGTGTGGTCTAGGAATGCCAGAGTTGAGAAATTAACACTAAAAAGTTGCTTTGGGCCGGGAGTGGTGGCTCACGCCTGTAATCCCAGCACTTCAGGAGGCTGAGGCAGGTGAATCACCTGAGGTCAGGAGTTCGAGACCAGCCTGGCCAACATGGTGAAACCCCGTCTCCACTAAAAATACAAAAAATTAGCCAAGCCTCGTGTGCCTGTAATCCCAGCTACTCTGGAGGCTGAGGCAGGAGAATAGCTTGAACCTGGGAGGCAGAGGTTGCAGTGAGCTGAGACTGCGCCACTGCACTCCAGCCTGGGCAACAAGAGGGAAACTCTGTCTCAAAAATAAAAGTTGCCTTGGCTTAGTGGTACCCTGGGACCACTAAAGCCCCTCTGAAGCTCAGCTCACGATCCAAAATTACAGAACACACAGGAAACACATCACCGCGAGAAAAGGCAACAGACATAAAAAAGAGCAGGATTCGACACCCGCTCCAAATACCCCCAGCTAGGAGAGAGAAGCTGTCCAACAGGTATGTGAGATAGGCAGCATCTATAAGGGCTGCCAGCGATCTCCCACCCTTGACTCTTCACAACTTTGTGTAATTTCCATCCCTTGATTGTGGGCTGGACCTAGTGAGTTTCTTTTAACCAACTGAATTCTTATTTTACTATTTTATTTTATTTTATTTTATTTTATTTTATTTTATTTTATTTTATTTTATTTTATTTTACTTAGAGATAGAGTGGCACTGTGTTGTCCATGCTAGGCTGAAACTCCTGGCCTCAAGCAGTCTTCCTGCCTCGGCCTCCCAAAGTGCCAGGATTATAAAGCATGAGCCACTGTGCTCAGCAGCCTTCGCATTTATTTATTTTTGAGACTCGCTGTATCGCCTAGGCTGGAGTGCAAAGGCACAATCTCGGCTCACTGCAACCTCCACCTCCCAGGTTCAAGCGATTCTCCTGCCTCAGGCTTCCAAGTAGCTGAGATTACAGGCGCCTACCACCACGCCTGGCTAATTTTTGTATTTTTAGTAGAGACTGGGTTTCACCATGTTGGCCAGGCTGGTCTCGAACTCCTGGCCTCAGGTGATCTGCCCGCCTTGGCCTCCCAAAGTGCTGGGATTACAGGCGTGAGCCACTGAACCTGGCTAACCAACTGAATGCTAAACTGGCCTGAGAGATTCTCACTCCCTGGTGTCCACACCCCGCTAATGCCCTCCTGTGAGTGAATGTGATGGGCTACAGTACTTTTGAGCTAATCAAATGGGACGCTACCTAATGGACCTGAACCAGTCAGGCAAGTCTTTTAAAAGAAAGGGACATGGCAGAGAGGCGCTCTTCTGCAGGCTTGGAGTAGGGCAAGTGGCCATGGTGCCACCTACAAGGGGGCCCCTGGAAGCCGAGAGTGGTCCCCAATGGCAGCTTACAAGAAAACAGGGACCTCAGTGCCCCAACGTAGGGAACAGCCCCTCTCCCCCCCTGGCTCTTAGGACCCCCATCACAGGGGGGTGAGGCACCCCCTGCGATGCGGGGAGTAAGAGCTAGCCCCTCTTCCCCCCCTGGGTTTTAGGATCCGCGGTGGACTCACAGCCTGTTTACCTTATTTTGAGCAACACCATCTCCCCCTCTGGAGATTATGAACTGTTTCACAGATGGGTGTATACCCTCAGTGTACAGAGGGTGTACACCTTTCTGTATTGGGAGTAATATCATCCTCTTCCTCCATGAATATTAAGAAGAGTATCACAGGGGTGTTTCCACTCCCTCGGATATCGCGTGTCATATCCTCCTGTCCCACGTTGCAATTAGAAACAATATCAGTGGGGGCGTGTCCACCTTCTGTGATATTGAAAGTAATATCATCCTCTTCCCTCCAGGATCATGGGAACAATATCCCTGGGGGGTGTTCACTTTCTGCCATATATGTAGTCATATCACCCCCTCCGCCTTGGAATATTATGAAGGACCATCTCACACAGGGGTGTATACTTCCTGCGATATTGGGAGTAATATCAACCTCTCGGCCTCTGAATATTAGGAAGAATATCACAGGGTGGGTGTACACCTCCTGCTCTATTATGGGGAGTAATATCATCCTCTCCCTTTCAGGATATTAATAACAATTTCACAGGCTGGGTGAACACAGCCTGCGTTGCTGGAATTATTATCACCCTCTCCCCCTCGGGATACTAGGAACAATATCACAGAAGAGGTGTACACTCCCTGCGATATTGGGAGTAATATCATACGCTTCTTCCGTGAATATTAGGAGCAATATCACCGGGTGGCTGTACATTGATTGCTATGTTGGCAGTCATGTCATACTCTACAAGCTGGGTATTAGGATCGGTGTCACAGGGTGAGTGTACACCTACTGTGATATGAAAACTAATATCATGCTCTCCATCCCTGGATATTAGGAACATTATCACAAGTAGATGTACACCCCCTGCGGTATTAGCAGTAATAATATTCTGAATTATTAAACATCAGTCTTATTAATAATTATCAATGGTAATATTAATTAACAGTATAACGTTATTAATCATTAATGATTATTTTTGAGATATGATTATGCATGATTAAAATTAATTATTAATATTAATGTCACTTTTAATATTAGTTATTAATCTTAATATTAATTATTGTTTTATTACCAACATCACTTATGATTGAAGTAACATTAATTAGTGATATCATTATTTTATTATTAATACTGAAATTGCTATTAATTATAAATAGTAACCGTTAATATTTTTCATCCGTACTGTTTTACTGTCTCTACAGTAATTATTAATATTGATGATTACTATTAATTGTTATTATATTTGTAATATTAATAATCAATAGAACTGTTCCCGATATCCGTGGGGGGAGGATATTACTCCCAATATCGCAGAAAGTGTACACCCCTCTATGATGTGACTCCTAATAGCCAGGGGGTAGAGGATGACATTATTGAAAATAGCGCAGTGGGCGTACATCCCTTCGGTCATCTTGTTCCTAATATCCTGGGTGGGAGCGGATGATATGACTCCCAATATCGCAGGGGGCGGAGACCTCCCCCGAGATACTGTCCCTAACATCCAAAGGTGGAGATGATGATATTTCTTCCAATTTCGCCGGGGGTGCACACCACCCTTGTGATATTGATCCTAATATCCAGGCGGCGAGAGGATGATATTAGTCTGAATATTGCAGGATGTGTACACTCCCTAGGGATATTGTTCCTAATATCCAGGGACGGAGAGGATGATATCACTCCCAATATAGCCGCGGGTGTACACCCCTTGTGTGACATTGCTCCTAAAAGGCAGCGGGGGAGAGGAAGATATTATAGCCAATATCGCAGGGGGTGTACACCCCCTTGTAACATTCTTCCTTCTATCCTGGGAGGGAGAGGAAGATACTAGCGGCAATGTCGCAGGAGCTGTACACACCCACTGTGATACTGTTCCGAATATCCGGAGGGGGAGAAAATGATGTTACTTCCAATATCGCAGGGGGTGTACATCCTCCTGTGATATTGTTTCTTATATTCAGGGGGAGAGGATGATATTACTCCCAATATCGCAGGGGTTGTACACACCTCCTGGGATACGGGGAGTAAGAGCCAGCCACTCTCTCCCCCGGCTCTTAGGAGACCCATCGCAGGGGGGTGAGGCCCCCCACCCGGGGTACGGGGAGTAAGAGCCAGCCCCTATCCCCCGCTGGCTCTTAGGACCCCCATCGCAAGGGGGTGAGGCCCCCGTGATGCGGGGAGTCATATCACCCCCCTCTGGATATGACGATTCACTTCGCAGCGGGGCGGGCGCCCCCCGCGATGCGGGGAGTCACATCACCCCCCCCTCCCCGCCTGGATATGACGATCCACATCGCAGGGGGGCGGGCGCCCCCCGCGATGCGGGGAGTCATATCACCCCCCTCTCCCCCCCGGATATGACGATCCACGGTGGTCACACAGTGTGTTCACGTTATTGTCAGTAATATCTTCTCCGCCTCTGGAAATTACTAACTATGTCACAGACGGGTGCACATCCTCTGCGCTCTTTGGAGTAATAGCATCCTCTTTCCCCTTGATATTAAGAACAATATCACAGGAGTGTTTTTACCCCAGGGGCATTCCGTGTAGTATCATCCTCTCCCACGTTGAAATTAGGAACAATATCACTGGGGGCGTGTCCACCCTGTGCGATATTGAAAGTAACATCATCCTCTTCTGTCCTGGATCATGGGCACCATATCACTGGGGTCGTGTACACTTTCTGCAGTATTGGGAGTAAGATCATCCTCTCCGCTTGGAATATTAAGGACCATATTACAGCGGGGCTGTACACACCGTGTGCTATGAAGAAGAGTATTATCCTCCCCTGCCCTGCACATTGGAAAAAATATCACAGAGTGGGTGTGCACCTCCTGCGATGGGGGGGTGATATCATCTTCTCTTCTTCTGGATAATAGCAACAATAGTACACGGGTTTGTACACTTTCTGTGATATTGGGAGTAATATCAACCTCTCCACCTTTGAATATTAAGAACAATATCACAGACAGGATGTACACCCCCTGCGATACTGGGAGTCATATCAGCCTCTCCTCTCCGTGGATATTAGGAATAATATCCCAGGATGGGTGTACGCCTCCTGCTGTATGGGGAGTCATATCGTCCTCTCACTTCCTGGCTGCTAGGAACAATATCAGAGGGTGGGTGTACACAGCCTGCGATATTGCGAGTAATATCACCCTCTCCCCTCCGGATATTAGGAACAATGTCACAGAAGGGGTGTACACTTCCTGAGATACTGGGAGTAATAGCATTCTCTTCTTCCGGGAATATTAGGAGGAATATCACCGGGTGGATGCACACCCACTGCTATCTTGGGAGTAACGTCATACGCCACCCCCTGGAGATGATATTCGGATAAATATCACCGGGTGGGTGTACTCCTACTGCGATATTGAAAGTCATATCATGCTCTCTCCCTCCCTGGACATTAGGAACAATATCACAGGTGGGTGTACACCCACTGAGGTATTAGGGATAATATTCGTATTAATTCTTCCTCATTTATTATTAACATGAATATGTATTACTAATATTAATATTAAGAAATCATTGCTAAAAAAGTGTTCAGATTATTAAAATTAATGTTAATTATTAGGAGTTAATATGACAGTTTTCTAATGAATAAGATCAATATCACTAAGACCAGGCGTCATTAATCATTAACATTCATCATTTGTTGTTATTGTGAGTATAGCTCTTTAATATGAATTATCATTATTATAGGTATTGATTTTAAGAATTATATGATCAGTTATTAATATTGATAATTATCAGTATCAATTAATAATTGATATTATTAATTGCGGTAAGTAACATTGCGCCATTCCACCCCTCCCTTGGCAGCTCGTTTACGACCCAAAACGGGGATCCAAATGCCCCTGAGAGAGCAGCGGTATACTGGGAGAGAGGAGGATGGTCACGTGGTGGAGAGGCGTGTTTTTGTGTAAAAGCCCTTCACCTCTGCCGACCTTCTCAACTGGGAAAACAATACCCCGTCCTAGAGCGAAAAGCCGCAAGCCCTAATAGATTTGCTCCAAACTGTTATCCAGACCCACAACCCCACCTGGGCTGATCGCCACCGGTTGCTCATGTTCCTCTTTAAGAGAGGTGAAAGGCGAAAGGCGGAGAGGGCTCCACGCAGCAACTAAGTGGCTAGAGGAACATGCACCAGCTGATTATCAAAACCCCCAAGAGTATGGAAGGACCTAGTTACCAGGAACCCACCCCCAGTTGGACCCACATGAAAGAGAGGATATGCAAAGGCTAAACCGAGACAGGGAAGCTCTCTTGGAAGGATTCAAGAGGGGAGCTCAGAAGGCCACAAATATTAATAAGGTCTCTGAAGTCATTCAGGGAAAAGAAGAAAGTCCAGCACAATTCTACCAGAGACTGTGTGAGGCCTATGGTATGTATACTCCCCTTGATCCCGATAACCCTGAAAATCAGCGCATGATTCAAATGGCTTTAGTCCGTCAAAGTGCGGAAGACGTTAGAAGAAAACTGCAGAAGCAGGCTGGGCTTGCAGGGAGGAATACATCACATTGATGAGAAATAGCTAAGCAGGTGTTTGTAAACAGGGATACAGTAAGCCACGAGGGAAAGCGCAAAGAGAATGGAGATCAGGCCCGGCAAAACGCCGACCTGTTTGTTAGCTGCAGCAATCAGAGCTGTCCCCCCAAAGAAGCAAGGGAAGGGGAGCCCTGGGAAAGAAACTCAGCTTGGCTGTCAGAGTTTGCAGCGTAACCAGAGTGCTTATTGTAAAGAAATAAGACATTGGAAGAACAAATGCCCTGAGCTCAAAAGAAAACAAGGTGACTCAGAGCAGGAGGCCCCGGACAAGGAGGAAGGGGCCCGGCTCAACCTGGCAAAAGGATTATTGGACTGAGGGAGACCAGGCTCAAGTGTCTCCAAAGAGCCTCTGGTTAGAATGAGAGTCGGGGGTAGAGACATTGACTTTCTTGTGGATAGCGGTGCTGAACATTCGCTAGTAACCGCTCCGGTCGCCCGTTATCCAGAAAGACCCTTGACATCACCGGAGCCATGGGGGTTTCAGCAAAGCAAGCTTTCTGCTTGCCTGGGACTTGCACTGTAGGAGGACATCAAGTGATTCATCAGTTTTTGTACATGCCTGACTGTCCCTTGCCCTTGTTGGGAAGGGACTTGCTTAGCAAGCTGAGAGCTGCTCTCTCTTTGACAGAACACAGCTCTTTGCTGCTAAAGTTACCCGCCACGGGAGTCATTATGACCTTATGGTCCCCCGAGAGGAGGAATGGAGACTTTTGTGAACTGAACCGGGCCAAGAGAGAAGACCAGCTCTGGCTAAGCAGAGGCCAAGAGTACGGGCAGAAGACAACCCTCCAGGGTTGGCTAGTTAAGACTGGGGCCCAGCCACTTAGGCAAAAACAGGACCTGGTCCCCAGAGAAGCTCTTCAAGGTATCCAGGTCCATCTTAAGCACCTAAGAACTTTTGGTATGATAGTTCCTTGTCAGTCTCCACAGAACACTCCCCTCCTGCCTGTTCCCAAGCCATGGACCAAGGATTACAGGCTGGGACAGGATTTGCGCTTGTTTAGTCAAGCTACCCTGACTTTACATCCAACAGTACCTAGCCCGTCCATGTTGTTGGGGTTGCTGCCAGCTGAGGACAGCTGGTTCACCTGCTTGGACCTGAGAGACGCTTTCTTTTCTATCAGATTAGCCCCTGAGAGGCAGAAGCTGTTTGCCTTTCAGTGGGAAGATCCGGAGTCAGGTGTCACTACTCAGTACACTTGGACCGGGCTTCCCCAAGGGTTCAAGAACTCCCCCACCATCTTTGGGGAGGCGTTGGCTTGAGACCTCCAGAAGTTTCCCACCAGAGACCTAGGCTGCGCATTGCTCCAGTAGGTTGATGAGCTTTTGCTGGGACACCTCATGGCAGTCGGGTGCACCAAGGGAACAGATTGCCCTACGCCGACACCTGGAGGACTGTGGGTGTAAGGTGTCCAAGAAAAAAGCTCAGATCTGCTGACAGCAGGTATGTTCCTTGGGATTTAGTATCCGACAGGGGGAACGCAGCCCGGGATCAGAAAGAAAGCCGGTCATTTGCAATCTAGCAGAGCCTAAGAGCAGAAGGCAGGTGAGAGAATTCTTAGGAGCTGTGGGGTTTTGTAGACTGCGGATCCCAAACTTTGCAGTATTAGCCAAGACTTTGTATAAGGTCACAAAGGGGGCGGGGATGGGAAATTTTTGAATGGGGATCCCAACAACAGCAAGCCTTTCGTGAGTTAAAGGAGAAACTTATGTCAGCCCCAGCCCTGGGGCTACCTGATCTGACAAAGTCTTTTACATCCTATGTGTCAGAGAGAGAGAAAAGATGGCAGCCGGACTTTGAACCCAAACTGTGGGGCCTTGGCCGAGGCCGGTGGCCTACCTCTCTAAACAACTAGATGGGGTCTCTAAAGGATGGCCCCTGTGTTGGAGGGCCTTGGCAGCAACTGCCCTGCTAGTACAAGAAGCAAAGAAGCTGACTCTTGGGCAGAACCTGAACAGAAAGGCCCCCCATGCTGTGGTGACTTTAATGAATATTAAAGGACATCATTGGCTAATGAATGCCAGACTCACCAAGTACCAAAGTTTGCTCTGTGAAAATCCCCGTGTAACCATTGAAGTTTGTAACACCCTGCCACCTTGCTCCCGCTATCAGAGAGCCCCGTCGAGCATGATTGTGTAGAAGTGTTGGACTCAGTTGACTCTAGCAGACCTGACTTCTGGGACCAGCCTTGGGCATCAGTAGACTGGGAACTATACGTGGATGGGAGCAGCTTCTTCAACCCCCAAGGAGAGAGAGGTGCAGGGTATGCAGTGATAACCCTGGACACTGTTGTTGAAGCCAGATCGTTGCCCCAGGCCACTTCAGCCCAGAAAGCTGAACTCATTGCTTTCATTTGGGCCTTAGAGCTCAGTGAGGGTGAGACTGTCAACATTTACACTGATTCTCGGTATGTCTTTTGAACCCTTCACATGCATGGAGCGTGATAGAAAGAAAAGGGCCTATTAAACTCTGGGGTAAAAGACAGAAAATATCAACCAGAAATCTTCTATGTATTAGAAGTAGTATGGAAACCCCACAAGGTGGCAGTTATGCATTGCAGGGGACACCAGCGAGCTTCCACCTTGGTGGGCTTGGGGAATTCCCGCGCTGACTCATAGGCTGGAAAAGCAGCATCTGCCCGTTTCCAGGCATCAGTCACAGCTCCTCTGCTCCCTCAAGCACCTGATCTTGGACCTGCTTATTCTAAAGAAGAAAAGGACTTTGTCCAGGTAGAGGGAAGGACAAGTGATGGAGGAAGGATGGAGAGTAGCTGCGCCACAGCTGCTAGGAGCTGCAGTTGTACTGGCTGTGCAAGAAACCACCTATCGAGGTCAGGAGTCACTGGAAAAGTTGTTAGGCCGGTATTTCTACATCTCGCGTTTCTCAGCCCTTGCCAAAACGGTGAGGCAGCGGTGTGTTACCTGCCGACAGCATAAAGCGAGGCAAGGTCCAGCCGTTCCACCCGGCATACAAGCTTATGGAGCAGCCCCCTTAGAAGATCTCCAGGTAGACTTCACAGAGATGCCAAAGTGTGGAGGTAACAAGTATTTACTAGTTCTTGGCCGTACCTACTCTGGGTGGGTGGAGGCTTATCCAACACAACTGAGAAAGCTCGTGAAGTAACCCGTGTGCTTCTTCGAGATCTGATTCGTAGATTGGGACTGCCCTTCCGGATCGGCTCAGATAACGGGCCTGCGTTTGTGGCTGACTTGCTACAGAAGACGGCAAAGGAATTGGGGATCACACGGAAATTGCCTGCTGCCTCCCGGCCTCAGAGTTCCGGAAAGGTGGAGGGGATGAATCGGACTATCAAAATAGTATTATTGTCTTCCGCGATGGATATGTAAAACAACACCACGAGGGGCGTCAAACCACCTGCTACATTTGAGGGAATGTTATCCTCTCCCCCCCTCCCCCGGCCCCGGATATTAGAGGCAATAACACAGGGGTAGTGTACACCCACTGCTTTATTGGGAGTAATGCCATCCTCTGCCTTCTTGGATATTAGGAACAATATCACAGTGTGCGTGTACGCCTGTCGTGAAATTCAATGGTATGTCATCTTGTGCCTCCCTGGATATGACGAACAGTATCACAGGGGATGTACAACTTCTGAGATATCGGGAGTGATCTCATCCTCTTCCCTCTGGAAGTTAGGGACAATATCACAGGGGTAGTGTACACCTTCTGGGACTTTGGGACTAATATCCTCCCACCCCCTGGATATTAAAAACCATGTCACAAGGGGCGTGTACACACACTTCGATATTGGTATGAATACCATCCTCTCTCTCTTTGGATATTCGGTGCCATATTTCAGGTGGGGTTTACACCACCTGCAATATTAGAAGTCATGTTATTTTCTCCCCCTCCTGGATATTAGAAAGAGTATCACAGGGGGGTGTGAACAACCCTTGCGATATTTGGAGTCATATCATCGTCTCCCCTCAAGAATATTGAGAACAGTATCTTAGGGGTGGGGGTTGTATACCCCCTTTCATATTCGATATCATCCTCTTCCCCCCTGGATATTAGGAACAATATCAAGAAGGGATGTACAGACCCTGCGACATTTGCTGTCATGTAATTGTCTCTCCCCTAGATATTAGGAAAAATGTCACTGGGGATGTGAACACCCCTGCGATATTGGGAGTAGTATCATCCTCTCTCCCCTTGCATGTTGGGAACAATACCACAGGTGGGGTGTACTGCCTCTGCGATATTGGGAGTACAATTATCCTCTCTTCCCCTGGATACTAGGAAGGGTATCAGAGGGGGAGGGTGTACATTCCCTGTGATATTCAATGTCACCTTATCTTCTCCCTCCCAGGGTATTCAGAACAATAGGACAGGAGGGGTGTACACCCCCTGCGATATTGGGAGTCATATCATCCTCTCTCCCTGTGGATATTAGGAAGAGTATCACAGGGCTGTGGAAACACCCTGCGGTACTGGGAGTAATATCATCCTCTCTCCCTCTGGATATAAGGAAGATTTTCACAGGGGTGTGTACACCCCCTGCGATATTGGGAGTAATATCATCCTCTCCACCAAGGAAATGACAAACAAGGTCATGGGGGGTGAACTCCCCCTGAGATATTGGGAGTCATGTCATCCTCCCCAAACCTGGATGTTAGCAACGAGATCACAGAGGGGGTGTACACACCCTGCGATATTGGAAGTAATATGATCCTCTCCCCACCTGGATATGGGGAAAGATATCACAGAGCGGGTATACATTTCCTACGCTGTTGGGAGTAATATCATTCTTTTCCTTTCTGGATATTAGGAAGAATATCACAAGGGTGCTGTACAATTATTTCAATATTGGGAGTACTATCATCTTCTATTTTCCTGGATATTGGGCCCAATAACACAAAAAGGTGTACAACCCCTGCTATATTGGGAATAATAGCATACTCTCCTTCCCTGGATGTTAGAAAACAATATCATCAGGTCTGAACACCCCTGCGATAATGGGAGTAATATTGACTCTTTCACAGGCCATTTGGTACAATATCACAGGGGGTGTTTACAGACAGGGGTGGTGTACACCCCCTGTGATATTGGGAGTAACATCATTCTCTCCACCTACTGACAATAAGAACAATATCCCGGAGGGAGGTGGTACACCCCCAGTGATATTGGGAATAATGTCATCCTCTCCTTCCCTGGATATTAGGAACAATATCACAACGGGGTGTACACCTTCCGTGATATTGGAAGCAATATCATCCTCTCCCCCGCTGGATATTAGAAAAAAAATCACTCACGGTGTACACCCACTGTGATATGAGGAATAATATCTTCCTAGAGTATTATGAATAATTTCACAGTCTGCACACACATGGTGTACACTCACTGTGATATTAGGAGTAATATCTACCTAGTAGAAAACAAATAACATCGCAGGGTGCACACCCATTTTGATATTAGCTGTAATATTTTTCTAAGTTGTTACAAATAAGATCACAGGGTGTACAAACATGGTGTACACTCACTGTGATATCAGGAGTCGTATCTCTGTAATATATTATGAATAATATCACAGGGTGTACACCCACTGTATTATTGGGAGTAATATCTCTGTAGGATATTACAATTAAGATCACAGGGTGTACAGCCACTGTGATATTAGGAGAAATATCTTTCTAGGATATTACAAATAATATCACAGGGTGTACGCCGACTCTGCTGTCAGGTGCAATATCTCCCTAGGCTGTCAAAAATCCTATCACAGGGTTTCCAATCTCTGCCTTCCAGGTTCTAAGGGATTCTCCTGCTTCAGCCTCCCGAGTAGCTAGGGTTACCCGCCACCACACCCGGCTAATGTTTTTTTATTTTCACTGGAGACGGGGTTTCACCACGTTGGCCAGGCTGGTCTGGAACTCCTGACCTCAGGTGATCCATCAGCCTCGGCTACCCAAAGTGCTGGGATTACAGGTGTGAGCCATGGTGCTGGGCCAAGAGTTATAGATTCAATTCATTTGGAAACACAGCTCCCATCTTTGAGCGTGCATGTACTTTTATGAAGAAGTGATGTCAGAAAACCGAAGGATGATAATAAATATGAAAAGTAACAGGCATGTGAAAATCTTTCGATTGAGAACTATAAGGTTCGATGTCGTTTTCAGATAATGGGGTCCTAGCTCTTGTGTCGTCCTTTTACATATTCTACATCAATGGAAGTTGTAGCACGGGGTCAGAATAAAGTAGAGTGCATTTCACGGCTTCTTAATTTCTTTCAATTAGACTGAGATCTTTTTCTTCAAGAGAAAGGACATTGTCATTGCATTGTATTTTTTCTGAAAAGAGTAGGCCGTATTTTACTGAGATCACGGATTTGTTATATATAACGTTTTGGTCTCTGATATTCTTCAGTGGATTTTCTCTAAAGTAGTATGTACAGAAAGCCTTGTATAGCAAAAAAGTAAATCACGTAATAATTCTGAGATTTTTTGGAATTGTCACAACTGAGAAACATTGCTGGCGGTGTATGGTCCGCAAGTGTGAAGATGTTCCTTGTGAATTGCTTGCATCCAGCATTAAGGGCTGGTTTTTATCTGCTATTTTTCCAATCCTCTTTCCTTCTCAAGGTGTCCAAGACACACAGAGCCACGGAATCTCACAGGTGTCTGAGAATTCCTCCTCCTGGGACTCTCAGAGGACCCAGAACTGCAGCCTATCCTCGCTTTGCTGTCCCTGTCCCTGTCCATGTATCTGGTCACGGTGCTGAGGAACCTGCTCAGCATCCTGGCTGTCTGCTCTGACTCCCCCCTCCACACCCCCAGGTACTTCTTCCTCTCCAACCTGTGCTGGGCTGACATCGGTTTCACCTCCGCCACGGTTCCCAAGATGATTGTGGACATGCAGTCGCATAGCAGAGTCACGTCTCATGCGGGCTGTCTGACGCAGATGTCTTTCTTGGTCCTTTTTGCATGTATAGAAGGCATGCTCCTGACTGTGATGGCCTATGACTGCTTTGTAGCCATCTGTCGCCCTCTGCACTACCCAGTCATCGTGAATCCTCACCTCTGTGTCTTCGTTTTGGTGTCCTTTTTCCTTAGCCTGTTGGATTCCCAGCTGCACAGTTGGATTGTGTTACAATTCACCATCGTCTAGAATTTGGAAATCTCTAATTTTGTCTGTGACCCCTCTCAACTTCTCAAACTTGCCTGTTCTGACAGCGTCATCAATAGCATATTCATATATTTCGATAGTACTATGTTTGGTTTTCTTCCCATTTCAGGGATCCTATGGTCTTACTATAAAATCATCCCCTCCATTCTAAGGATTTCATCGTCAGATGGGAAGTATAAAGCCTTCTCCACCTGTGGCTCTCACCTAGCCGTTGTTTGCTGATTTTATGGAACAGGCATTGGCATGTACCTGACTTCAGCTGTGTCACAACCCCCCAGGAATGGTGTGGTGGCATCAGTGATGTATGCTGTGGTCACCCCCATGCTGAACCTTTTCATCTACAGCCTGAGAAACAGGAACATACAAAGTGCCCTGTGGAGGCTGCACAGCACAACAGTCGAATCTCATGATTTGTTCCATCCTTTCTCTTGTGTGGGTGAGAAAGGGCAACCACATTAAATCTCTACATCTGCAAATCCTGCCCCTTAGTCACATTCTTTCTGTGGCTTGATGGCTTTTATTCCTTTCCACATTTCCTTTGTGAATATTGCTTTCTTCGCTATGCCTTTCACTGGAATGGGTGAGGATTCTGGGACCCTTTGTTTAGCAGAAACCTCATGACAGAATCCTCTATACCTAGGTGGCCTCTTTTAGTTTCTGAGCAATAACCCTGTCATCCAGGTGGAATCACAACCATCTTTTTATATACACGAAGTCCTCACTTCCTTTTGGAATTCCCTGAAAACTGACTTTATGGAAACAATGTACAGGAGGTCCTCCAACACCATCAGTTGTTCAAAGATGTGTAGTTATACTGTTGATGAAAAATAAGTGGTTTCACTATACATAATTTTGCTTAAAGGTGAAGTTTCCAAGAGACTTTCAAAGATGTTAAGTGAGGACATGCTGTACATCAAATTCATATCCTCTTCCACAGTCCACGTGGAATATCTTTATAAACTGCTTCTAGAGAATCTATTTAGGCAGGTTCTGTGTAGAGATCCATGTCGCCATTCCTCAATCTTGGCTTTGAGTCAAATCACCTGGGGAGCTTACAAATGATGAGGCCTGGGTCTCAATACCTGAGATTCTGATTTCCTTGCACCTGTGTGAGTATGTGGATTTTTTTTTTTTTCTTTTAAAGCACCAGAGGTGGTTCCAATGACGAAGTTTTTAGAGGCATCAAGCTCCAATGAGTAAGAACAGAAATTAATTGTAATATGATTTCTTCAAATATTATCTTCAAATGCATTGTCCATCAACACCATACAAATGTTTATTATGTTGTTGTTTCTTACCATTTCGCATTTTCTATTTCTTTCTTTTCCTTATTTTTTGAGTCAGATTTTCACTCTTGTTGCCCAGGCTGGAGTTCAATGGCACGGTCTCGGCTCACTGCAGCCTCTGCCTCCCGTATTCGAGCAATTCTCCTGTCTCAGCCTTCCAAGTACCTGGGATTACAGGCATGCGCTACCATGCCTGGCTAATTTTTT
Source organism: Homo sapiens (assembly GCF_000001405.40). Lineage (NCBI taxonomy): Eukaryota > Metazoa > Chordata > Mammalia > Primates > Hominidae > Homo > Homo sapiens. Next base: position 67,973,176 of record NC_000011.10, on the reverse strand, counting down.
TTTTTTTTTATATTGTTAATAGAGACAGTGTTTCTCCATTTTGGTCAGGCTGGTCTTGAACTCCCGACCTCAGGTGATCCGCCCGCTTCCGCCTCCCAAAGTGCTGGGATTACAGGCATGAGCGACTGCGCCCAGCCACCACTTAGCATTTACATTTTACATTTGTTGAAGTTGTAGATTTATACACACATTGATTGCTGCTTTGTTATACACTTGCATATACATAAGATAGGAAATAGAAAAGAATAAAATGGACACAGTATCCCTGAGGTTTCACATTCTGAGACATTTTAAAAATATTTGCTCTTCAGAAATTTGTTTCAATGAAGAAACTGTGGTATACACACCCAGTGAAGTATTATTCAGCCGAAAAAGGAAGAAACTCCTCTCCGCTGCAGACAAAATGGATGAGATTGCAGGTCTGTATATTAAATGAAAGAAGCCAGGCACAGAATGACAAATATTTCATGTCCTCACTTCTATGTAAGAAGAAAAAAGGAAACCTTGGCCAGGTGTTGTGGCTCAGGCCTGTAATCCCAGCACTCTAGGAGGCCGAGTCGCACGGATCACTTGAGTCCAGGAGTTCGAGATCAGCTTGGCCAACATGGTGAAACCCTGTCTCTACGGAAAACACAAACAATGAGCCGGGCGTGGTGACGCGTGCCTGTAGTCTCAGCTACTCAGAGGGCTGAGGCCCAAGAAGCGCTTGAACTTGGGAGGTGGAGCTTGCAGTGAGCCCTGATTGTGCCTGTGTACTCCAACCTGGGTAACAGAAAGAGACTCCATCACACACCTACACACAAAAGGAATCTCAGGAAGGTGGAAAGTATAAAGGTGATCAGCAGACGCTAGGAAGAAAAGGGGTGCGATAGGGAATGAAGACAAGTGGATAATTGGGTCCCAAAATACAGAAAGATGGAATAAGTGAGTTCCAGTGTTTCATAGCACAGTATGAAAATTTTACTTCACAAGAATTGCTTGCATATTTCCAGATGCTTTGGTAAGAAACTTCCTAACTTTCTCATTATGCTGGTTTTTAAGCTCTTCTCTTTCTGCTCTTGAAATCATGCTGGTTTTTTGTTTTTGTTTTGAGATGGAGTTTCGCTCTTGTTGCCCAGGCTGTAGTGTCATGGTGCAATGTTGGCTCACCGCAACCTCTGCCTCCTGGGTTCAAGCGATTCTCCTGCCTCCACCTCCCGAGTAGCTGGGATTACAGGCATGCGCCAGCACGCCCAGCTAATGTTGTATTTCTAGTAGAGACGGGGGTTTCTCCCTGTCGGTCAGGCTGGTCTTCAACTCCTGACCTCAGGTGATCCGCCCACCTCGGCCTCCCAGAGGTCTGGGATTACAGGCGTGAGCGACAGCGCCTGGCCCATGCTGTATCCTTATCTTTTGTCTGTTGTTGTTTGTTTGTTTTGGAGCCCAGAAATAACTTCTCATCTATATGTTCAAATGATTTTTCACATGAGTGCTAAGAAAGCTCATTGGTGGAAAAGAAGCCTTTTCAAGAAATGGTGTTGGAGAAACTTGATTTCCACATGCAGAAGAATGAAGGTGGACCCTATGTCACACCAGGTGCAAAAATTAACACAAACTGGATCAAAGACCTCACCCCAAGTGCTAAAAGTATCATACGCCTAAAAGAAAACATTGGCCATGCTTTCATGACATCAGATTGGGCAATGTTCTCTGGGATATGACACCAAAAGCATAGGCAACAAAAGAAAATTAGATTCCTTGGATTACATCTAAATGACAGACACTTTTGTGCAGCAAAAAACACTGTGAACTGAGTGAAAAGATAACCCATGGATTAGGAAAAATATTTGCAAAGCATATATCTGAAAAGAGGCTGATATCCATCATATATAAAGAACAGCTAGAACTAAACAACAAGAAACCCAAAGCATCCCATCAACAATGGTCAGAAGACTCGAGTAGACGTGTTCCTAAAGAAGATATAGCAATGGCCAATAAGCATCTAAAATGATATTCAAAGTCACTCATCATAGGGAAGCACAAATCAAACCAAGAATGTGATACCACACATTAGGATGGATATGATAAAAAAAAAACAAGCATTGGTGAGACTAGAGGGAAGTAGGAATGCTCGAATATGATTGGAGGGAATGTAAAACCGTGAAGGAACAGGGAAAATAGTATGGCGTCTACTGGAAAAATTAGAAACAGAATGATCAGATGTTCCCGCAGTTGCATTTGTGGGTACCTACCAAAAAGAATTAGAAGCCAGGAGTGGAAGACAGATTTGTGTACACCCATATTCATAGCAGCATTATTCACAACAGCCAAAATGTGGAAGCAACCCAAGGGTTCGTGGACAGATGAATGAAAAAGCACACTGCAGTTCCTTCATACAATGGAGGACTATTCAGCCTTAAAAATGCAGGCACTTCTGGCCGGTGCGGTGGCTCACGCCTGTAATCGCAGCGTCTTGGAAGACCGAGGTGGGCGGATCACCTGAGGTCAGGAATTCAAGACCAGCCTGGCCATCTTGGTGAAACCCCGTCTCTACTGAAAATGCAAAAAATGAGACAAGCATGGTGGCGTTGTACCTATAGTCCCAACTACTCGGGAGGCTGAGGCACAAGAATCGCTGGAACCCGGGAAGCGGAGGTTGCAGTGAGCCCAGATTGTGCCACTGCACTCCAGCCTGTGCGACAGAGTGAGACTCCATGGAAACATAAAACAAAACAAAACAAAGTCAAACGAACAAACAAAAAACAAACAAACAAACAAAAAAACAGAGAGGCACTTCTGAGGCAGGCCGCAACATGGATGAACCTTGCAAACATTATCCTCAGTGAAATAAATGAATCCCAAAAGGATAAACACGCCCAGGCTCAGTGACTTGCACCTGTAACCCCAGCACTTTGGGAGGCTGAGCCAGGCGGATCACTTCAGGTCAGGAGTTCAACACCAGCCTGGCCAATATGGTCTCTATTTAAAATACAACAATTAGCTGGGCGTGGTGGTGCACGCCTGTAATCCCAGCTACTCTGGAGACTGAGACAGAAGAATCGCTTGAACCCACGATGTGGAGGTTGCAGTGAGCCGAGATCACGCCACTGCACTCCAGCCTGGGTGACAGAGAAAGACTCTGTCTCCAAAACAAGAAAATTAAACACGGTTTGATTCCACTTATCTATCAAGTGTCTAGAGTAGTTAAAATCATAGAGTTGCAAACTAGAAAGGGGGCCCCCAGGGGTGGGCAAGAGAGAGGAGTGGAGAGCTTGGTGAATGGGTGCAATTTCCATTTTGAAAGATAAAACTGTTCCGGAGACGATGACGGTGATGGTTGCTAAACAATGTGAACGTACTTAATGTCATGAAACTGTAAACTGAAAAAGAGTGGAAACTGTAAATGTTTATACTGGCCATTCTATATGAACTAATATATATTTATAATTTTTCATATTTATACGTGGTATATTTTCCCATAATAAAAGATGAAAATTAAAGCAGTTGGATGTTTAAAAAGAAAAGAAAGAAGTGAAGAATACACACCAGCTTTCTCCTGATTAGAGGAAGAGCCCCAAAGCTTCTATGGACACTCACTTTTCTCTTCTTCTTGCATTATTATGAGGAAATCCTTAGTGGTTGGGGAACTTGGGTGACTTTGGCTAATGAGGAGCTCTGTGCCTTGAGCCCCCAGGCCACAGAATAGTAAATAGTCAGTCTGTGCCTCCAGCCCTGCAGTGTGAGGTTGCAGTCCTGTGGGCTCCAGAGACATCACCTGTATCAGGAGGCTCATGTCTTACCCTGTCATCTTGCCAGCCTTGAGGACGGAGTCTGAGCCTCCATGGTGCACCACACAGGGAGGACAGTGGACCTGTTCTCCGTGGTCATGGCCCAGCAGAGGGGAAGGGCAGTTCAGTGAGTGTAGGCAAAAGAAAGAGCGATCAGACTGTTACTGTGTCTATGTAGAAAGGAAAGACATAAGAGACTCCATTTTGAAAAAGGCCTGTACTTTCAACAATTTCTTTGCTGAGATGTTGTTAATCTGTAGCTTTGCCCCAGTCACTTTGAACAAACCATTTTGACCCAACCTGAATTTCACAAAAGCATGTGTTGTATGAAATCAAGGTTTAAGGGATCTAGGGCTGTGCAGGACGTGCCTTGTTAACAAGATGTTTGCAAGCAGTATACTTGGTAAAAGTCATCGCCATTCTCTAGTCTCAATAAACCAGGGGCACAATACACTGTGGAAAGCCACAGGTAGCTCTGCCCTTGAAAGCGCCGTATTGTCCAAGGTTTCTCCCCATGTGATAGTCTGAAAAGTGGCCTCGTGGGAGGAGAAAGACCTGACCGTCCACGAGCCTGACCCCCGTAAAGGGTCTGTGCTGAGGTGGATTAGTCAAAGAGGAAAGCCTCTTGCAGTTGAGAGAGAGGAAGGCCGCTGTCTCCTGCCTGCCCCTGGGAACTGAATGTCTCGGTATAAAACCCGATTGTACATTTGTTCAATTCTGAGATGGGGGAAAAACCGCCCTATGATGGGAGGCGAGACATGTTTGCAGCAATGCTGCCTTGTTATTCTTTACTCCACTGAGATGTTTGGGTGGAGAGAAACATCAATCTGGCTTAGAGACACGTCCAGTCATAGTACCTTCCCTTGAACTTCCTTATGACATAGATTCTATTGCTCACATGTTTGTTGCTGACCTTCTCCTTATTATCACCCTGCCCTCCTACTACATTCCTTTTTGCTAAAATAATAAAAATAATAATCAATAAAAACTGAGGGAACTTGGAGGCCTGTGCCGGTTCAGATCCTTGGTATGCTGAGCGCCGGTCCCCTAGGCCCACTGTTTTTTCTCCATGCTTTGTCTCTGTGTCTTATTTCTTTTCTCAGTCTCTCGTCCCACCCGACTAGAAATACTCACAGGTGTGGAGGGGCAGGCCACCCCTTCAAGTGAGTGCTGAGGGACGGTTGGGAGCCTTGTTTGTTTCCTCCTCCTCAGAACAAACAGGAGAATGCGCTGGGCAGATGGGAGGAGACCAATATGCAAACTCTGCGCTCAGCAGACTGTGGAGTTTCTGCTCTTGGTTGTGCTGGGGGTCTCAGAAATCTTATTCAAAATTTTGCTTTCCTCCCCCACTGGTTGTCCTTTTCATAGACATCTCACCCATGATAGCAGGGAATCAGTCCCTCTAAACTATTCCCTAAGAACAACAAAGAGATTATGAAGGTGATGATGAGGATAAAGAGGATGATGACAGACACCATGGCATCATGAACCCTTACTGAGGGCTTCCTAAAGGACAGGCTCTGAGCTCTGTGCTCTATGCAGCTTGTTTCTTTTCATCTGCATAGTCTCCACGTTATTAGTGCACATTTCATGATGATTTTACAGACTAGAAAAGGTGCAACGGATTTTCATGTAGCTTGTACCAGATCACGAAGTCAAAAAGGGTGACGTCCAATTTGAACCAGGCAGTCTAAGTCCAGACACATGGCATTTGGCCAGTCCTCTCCCTGCATCCAACCTGCCCTCTCAAATCCTCGTCACTGAGGCCGATGCCCCTGCTCACTGTGCCCTTCCCTTTGGGGGTTCCTTGTAGACCACAGCTAGACCAGTGGGTGCCACAATCACTGTGTCATGTATAGAAAGGGCAGCTGAGATCACATCAAGGATTCCAGAAAGAATTGGCACAGGATCATTTGGGATGCATCTCTCCCTTGCCCCTGTTCCTGGCTTTCCTTACAGCTCTCGACTTCCTCAAAGGAGTCATCAGTTCGGAGTTTGGCTTCCATTCCTATTGAGGAAGCTGGAAAGCGTTTCAAAAATGCTCCTCCAATGTGCCTGTGGTTAAGACCTCTGAGCTCTGCTTAAAACTTTTGGAAGCTGGGCGCGGTGGCTCATGTATGTAATCCCATCCCTTTGGGAGGCTGAGGCAGGTGAATCACAAGGTCAGGAGTTCGAGACCAGCCTGGCCAACATGGTGAAACCCTGTCTCTACTAAAAAAAAAAAAAAAAAAAAATTAGCCAGGCATGGTGGCGTATGCCTGTAATCCCAGCTACTGGGGAGGCTGAGGCAGGAGACTCCTTTGAAGCTGGGAGACAGAGGTTGCAGTAAACCGAGATCACACCACTGCACTCCAGCCTGGGCAACAGAGCAAGACTCTGTCTTAAAAAAATAAATAAATAAAAATTACGAAAAAATGTGCTTGGATGGGCTTGACAAACTTTAGCCATTAGCTCACGTACTACTTTGGAAGGGCATACCTTCAGTCACTTCACCCTTTAATCCCTTTGCTCAAGACTAAAGTTCTGAGAGGAAGTCTAATCGGCTGAGTTGTGTCCATGTGGGCAGTGCAGCAAAGGGTGCAGCGGGAGGCGGCTCCAGGGACGTCTTTGGCTTCCATCATGGGGGAGCAGGTGCCTGGATTATCCACCCTAACAAATCTGGACAAAGGAAAACGAGGTTCTCTGAGGAAGGAGACATAGAGCCCAAGGAGCTAACCAAGAGACAAAGAGTCACCCTGTCTTGTCATTTTCTTTTACACATGTGTGTACATTATCTTACACTTATCACTTTGTTTTCTTTCTCTCCTTTAATTGCACCCTGTTGCCAAAAGTTAAAATAAAATGAAAGTATTGAGATAGCTCAGTAACTGACTTTTGGTCAATTGCCTTTTCATGTAGTGAACAGCTGCCCAAACGATTGTCTCTGTCACTGTGCAAATTTGCAAGCGTTTGCATGATCACTCCCAATCCCCCAACACAGGGCTGTGTTATAGCACAATTCAGTTCAGTGTTTTGCTCTCTGCAACAGGGAGGCTCTCATCCATTACAGGTTGCAGTAAAAACAGGGATACCATAAGCAACCACCTCTTTCCTCAACGATGTGATGAAAGCAAAAGCCAAGTAGCTCCATATATCCAACTTAAAAATATAAAAAGTTACGCCCGTGGGCTGCAGTTGGAGCTATGGCGGCAGCAGCTGTCACTGGGCCTAGCCTGGGGTGTGGACCTGGGGACTCCCCAGAAGGCCCCGATGTGGAGGCTCACGGAGCGTCGGCGGAAGGCGCACAGGATGCTAAAGCTTTACAACGGCCTCTCAGAAGGGGAAGCGGTGGGACTCCCTGCAGGGCCCGACCCCCTGGACCCCACTGATCTGAACGGGGCACACTTTGACCCGGAAGTTTACCTAGACAAGCTGCCTAGAGAGTCCCCTCTGGCCCAGCTGATGGACAGTGAGACGGACATGGTGCAGCAGATCCGGGCTCTAGACAGCGACATGCAAACCCTGGTCTATGAGAACTACGATAAGTTCATCCCAGCCACAGAAATGACAAACAGCATAAAACTGTATGAGGAATTGCAGGAGACCCGGAATTTCTCAAATAAACTTGTAAAAGAGGAACAAAGTTGGAAGACTCACAAAAAAAAAATACATACATACATACATATATATATATATATATATATATATATATATATATATATATATATATGAAAAGTTGTGTTTTCGTTCGGTTGTAAATGTTTAGTAATTTCTATTGAGATTTTTCATTTAACTCATGAAAGGATATTTTTAATTTTCCTAATGCATGCTTGTGTTTAGCTATCTTCTTGCTGTTGACTTCTAATTTTGTTGCATTATGGTCAGGAAAATGTGGTCTGGACAATGTCAATCGTATAGTGGATTTTGTTGAGACTTCTTTATGGCCTAATATGTGGCCAGTTGGTTTTTTTTGTTTGTTTGTTTTTTTGCTTTTTTTTTGGTTTTTTTTGCAAATTTGCCACATGTTGTTAAAAGGAATGTGGATTATTTGTTTTTTTTAGGAGAGTTTTTATTTTTAAATAGATAAGTTTCTCAGTGCAATTGAAATCTAGCTTCAATTAACAATATGCTAGATCTCTCAAACCTTAGGATGTTAGTCAGTGTTAACAATAGACTGCTGCTGAGATGAATAAACCCTGAACTCTCAGTGGGTTAGCACCCATAGCATAGTCTGGTGCAGGGCAGGGGTTCTCCTTGGGGGCCGTTGTCCAACAGTGATTCAGAGATTCTGGAGGTTTCCATCTTTTAATTCTGCCATCTCAGAGTTTTTCACTTGTAGCCATATGGATAGGAAGAGAGGGAACATAGCTCACACTTGCCTTTGATAACCTTGGCCTGAAGGGATTTCTTACATTCCTATTGGTGGAAATGCAGTCACATGGTTCCAAACTAACTGCAAGTAAGGCTGGGAAATGTAGTCTTTCTGCATGTCCAGGAAGAGGAATGGTGTGAACACAGCATTGTCTTTGACACACTAAGCATGTGCTAAAGAGTTCTTCCTCTTATAGGAGGTATGTCTGTCCTGTGCAACTTTCTCAGTTTTTGCTTAGATAGTTTCAGGCAATGTTGTTTGGTGCATTCAGCTTGATGATTGTTATGTCCTCTTGGCAAAGTAGTCAAGATTCCCATCAGTTTGAATGAAAGCGTTTTACAGATAGGTCAGGAAATGTTAATACTTTAAAAGGCCCTTCTATTCCTCCACTCTACAGATAAGAACAACAGAGTCCTAGAGAGAGGAGGTCATGGGTCTCACTCATGAGTGGCAGAATTGAAACCAACATGGCAGTAACTTTGCCTTTCCCCCATCATGTTGTTCTCCCTCTATCTTCACTCTGCTGATTTCTTCACTTGCTCCATGCAGACCTCCCAGTGCCAAGTCTATAAACGTGTCTGGAATTGGTGGGTTCTTGGTCTCACTGACTTCAAGAATGGAGCCGCAGACCCTCCTGGTGAGTGTTACAGTTCTTAAAGGTGGCGTGTCTGGAGTTTGTTCCTTCTGATGTTCAGATATGTTCGAAGCTTCTTCCTTCTGGTGGGGTTCGTGGTCTCGCTGGCTCAGGAGTGAAGCTGCAGACCTTCACGGTGAGTGTTACAGCTCTTAAGGCTGCATGTCTGGAGTTGTTCACTTCTCCCGGTGGGTTTATGGTCTTGCTGGCTTCAGAAGTGAAGCTGCAGACCTTCTCGGTGAGTGTTACAGCTCATAAAGGCAGTGTGGACCCAAACAGTGAGCAGCAACAAGATTTATTGCAAAGATCAAAAGAACAAAGCTTCCACAGTGTGGAAGGGGACCCCAGCCGGTTGCCACTGCTGGCTCGGGCAGCCTGCTTTTGTTCTCTTACCTGGCCCCATCCACATCCTGCTGATTGGTCCATTTTACAGAGAGCCTGAGTGGTCTGTTTGGACAGGGCACTGATTCGTGTCTTTACAATCCCTGAGCTCCCCACACAAAGGCTCCCCACGTCCCCACTAGATTAGCTAGATACAGAGTGTCCACACAAAGGTTCTCCAAGTCCCCACCATAGTAGCTAGATACAGAGTGTCGATTGGTGCATTCACAAACCCTGAGCTAGACACAGGGTGCTGATTGGTGTGTTTACAAACCTTGAGCTAGATACAGAGTGCAGATTGGTGTATTTACAATCCCTTAGCTAGACATAAATTTTCTCCAAGTCCCCAACAGACTCAGGAGCCCAGCTGGCTTCACCCAGTGGATTCTGCACAGGAGCTGCAGGTGGAGCTGCCTGCCAGTTCCTCTCTGTGCACCCACACTCCTCAGCCCTTGGGTGGTCGATGGGACTGGGCGCCGTGGAGCAGGGGGCGGTGCTCGTCGGGGAGGCTCGGGCCGCACAGGAGCCCATGGAGGGGGGAGGCTCAGGAATGGCAGGCTGCAGGTCCCAAGCCCTGCCCCACATGGAGGCAGCTAAGGCCCAGCGAGAAGCCGAGCACAGCAGCTGCTGGCCCAGTTGCTAAGCTCCTCACTGCCCGGGGCTGGCAGGGCCATCCGGCAGCTCCTAGTGCGGGGCCACCAAGCCCACCCCCACCCAGAACTCCAGCCGGCAGGCAAGTGCTGGGGTCAGCCCCCGTTTTAGCTCATGCCTCTCCCTCCACACCTCCCTGCAAGCTGAGGGAGCCAGCTCCGACCTTGGCCAGCCCAGAAAGGGGCTCCCACCATGCAGCCATGGGCTGAAGGGCTCCTCCAGTGCCACCAAAGTGGGAGCCCAGGCAGAGGAGGCACTGAGAGTGAGCGAGGGCTGTGAGGGCTGCCAGCACACTGTCACCTCTCATAAGGAGTGATTAATCTGAGCTTCTCCAGAAAGTCCATTCCTGGTAGGCACTGGGAATAAGAAATCTCAGAGTATAAAATAGCATCAAGTGGTAGCACTTTTGTGAATGGCTCCCAAATTAGATCCCTTACCTTTTTTTTTTTCATGAAGCACAGTTGCACAAAACACGCTTAACCTGAGATGAAGCACATATTAGAGAAAGGTTCTCTCTATAGAATTATGTATTACTCGAATGAGCATTAAAAAGAGGAGATGGGACATGCTCTCTCTAGCTATTATTACCTCCACTATAGAGTTGACATACACAAGCTCATTATTGCATTATGTTTTATTCAACAAAATAACTTTAATGTTGAAGCTTAAATTGAATTTGTTAAAACATCTTTGTCTCCAGCATAATGTGCCTCAAGTGTCTTCTTGGTGCCTGAATTTTCTCCAGAATTATAGTGCTGAAGCTATGGAAATGGTGAAATTATATGCAATCTGCAAAACAATGTGGCTATAATGTGGTAATTGGCCTTCCGCATAATTAAAGGAACATTTCCTCATCAGAGCTGTTCCATCAGAGACCCAAAGGCTATCGTTGTACAAATCACCCACTTAGGAAAACCTTTATTCCCAGTAGCCTATAAAAATCTGGTTATGCAAACAGATTTGCTTATTCAGTAACATTAATGGCTTCTCATAGTTAAAAAGTCATCAATGTGATTGACCTATACCCTGTTTCCTCTGTGACCAAGTGTCATTTTTATTTTGACAGTTAGGAGCCTTTTGACTCTTTCACAGCTGGCATGAAGGCACAGGGAGGGAAATCTCAAAAACCAACAACCTGCGTATTCCCAGCCTATTAATCAATAGAAAATCACTCAACTGGATTAGGGTCTTGTACCTGGCAGAAAGGCTCTTATGGACATTGGAATTGGATTTTTACACTTGATATGACACCTCCTTGAGTCAGATCAGATTCGTGTTTGATAGACTCTTGCCGAAAAATTGCTCCAGGGTCTGTGCAGTAGCTAAAGCCTTTTTGTTGTTGTTGTTGTTTTAAAAGCAGCATTAAATGTTTTCATGAAGACCTTCCCAGCAGTGATTTTATTGGGAATATGGTCTTTAGCTCTGGTCCTGAATAACTCACACTGAGGAAACCTCCAACAAGTGTTGTATCGGAAGATATCTGATGGATGGTTGGTTTTAATAACAAATCTCTTCCCTTTTTCTGTCCCCTGTGTTCTATTCTCCTTTCTCTACACATTATTCTGGGAGGATTCACCTATTCCCAAAGTCCTTTCCTCTTTATTTCCATTCCAGAGCTCTCTGTATAACTCCAGGCTGATGAATCCAACTGCCCAGTTGTTATCTCCACTTGGCTGTCTGTCTTGCATTGACCTCATCTTACCTTTCCTCTCCTGATTTCCTCTTCTGCCTGGGCTCACCCCGTCAGATTCACACCACCATCCACCCAGCTTCCAAAACACCTGGGCCTCATCCTTCATTCCTCCCTCTTTCTCAGTCAAGTTAGTCTACTGTCTCCTCTCCATCCTCACTGCCACAGCCTTGGTCCAGCCAACCATCTTGTCTCACTTGGTGTATTGCAACCTCCTACCTGGTCTACTCACCTCCCACTCTCCTCCAGCCAGACTGCTCTTTTTATAGCACAAAGTGGATCATTACTCCCCTGCCTAAAAACATCTACTGTCTCCTTTTGTCTACAGGATAAACCTGACAAAGAGCCTTTAAGATTTGGCTCCAACTTACCTCTATATTAGTCACTTTTTACAATTATATGAACATCTCTCAGCTTCTCACCCTCTCACGTCTCGATTTTTGCACATGCTCTTCCCTCTGCTGGGAATGATCTTCCCCACCTCTCCTATCAACCTGGCTAATTCCTACCATTTTCTAGTCTTCAACTGAGGAGTCCTGTGGTGGAGAAGGACTTCCGACCACCTGATAGAAATTGCATGCCCAACCATCTCCTGGCTTTTTTTTTTTTTGATGGAGTCTCGCTCTGGCCATCCAGCCTGGAGTGCAGTGGCACGATCTTGGCTCACTGCAATCTCTGCCTCCCGGGTTCAAGCAATTCTCCCACCTCAGCCTTCTGAGTATCTGGAATTACAGGTGCCCACCACCACACCCGGCTAATTTTTTTGTATTTTTAGTAAAGACAGGATTTCACCATGTTGGCCAGGCTGTTTTCGAACTCCTGACCTCAAGTGATCCACCCACCTTGGCCTCCCAAAGTGCTGGGATTACAGGCATGAACAACTGCACCTGGCCGATTGGGTGCCCCTTCTTTGTGCTCCCATTGCCCCAGGCATACTGTCACCATAACTCCTACCATTGTGAGTTGAAAATGATTTCTTTTTTTGCTTTTTATTTCTCTCATTAAATGCAAAGCTCATTGAAAAGAGGATGTTGGTTGTTCACTGTTGTACTCCTAACCTTTGACTCGGTGTCCTGAGGTCGGCTCTAGAGCTGTGCACACATGTTCAGACATTGGAGCACATCTTGTCTAGCACCTCTTTTGAGGTGGCTTGGAGAAAATTCAGTAGGTACTTCCCCTAGGATGAAACAGAAGCTTCACCTAAATCAGGAGTTCTTCAACTTCAGCCTGCATTAGAATCCTCTGAGAGCTTGTTAAAAATACAGTCTCCTAGAGCCCACTCTTCAAGAGTCAGTGAGTTGCTTCATCATCAAAATATATACAGAATCCAGAGGGTCTTCAGCGCCAGCCTGGTCTGAGCCACTGTGGACTCCCGCCTGCAGAATCTCACTGCTGGTCTCCTTGCTTCTGCTCTTACCTTCTTATCATCCATTCAAGTAGCCATAGTGATCCTTTTTTAAAAATTTTTAAAATTTTTTTGAGATGAAGTCTCACTCTATTGCCCAGGCTGGAGTGCAGTGGTGCTATCTCGGTTCATTGCAGCCTCTACCTCCTGGGCTCAAGCCATCCTCCCACCTCAGCCTCCTAGGTAGCTGGGACCACAGGCATGCACCACCACACCTGGCTGATTTTTGTATTTTTTTGTAAAGACAGGGTCTTTCTATGTTGCTCAGGCTAGTCTTGAACTTCTGTGTGCGCCCACCTCAGCCTCCTGCATTTTTAGGAAGCCCCTCTTGTAGGGATTTTGATGCAGAGGCCTGGGTGCCTCATGTCTCCTCCCATCTCTCTCTGTCTTTCTGTCTCTGTCTCTGTCTCTGTCTATCTCTCTCTCTTTCTCTTTGCCTTATAGCTGCCCTGGGGACTAGACTCTGCCTTAGGCATCCCTCTGACTCCTGTTTCCTTTTACACTGAGGCAGCTTTAAGTCGCACCTTGATCTGAAGACTTGGGCTTCTGTTCCTATTGCTTGCTTTTGTTGGAAGGGCCGTGCAGCTTCTTGACAAATTGCAAAGGTGCCCACGAGTTTCCAAGTCCCCAACAACCAACCAGATGACAAACAAGGATGCAGCCCACGGCTGGGGAGACAGATTTCATGTCCACACAGAGACTCCAAGATGCTGAACTGAAATCCACCCCGAAACCTGTTTTCTCTCTCATTTAAGTTCAATGTCACCTGGGGGCTTGCAGGGCAGGGCTGGTGACCATTCACAGGGCAAAGATGCTTTGAAATGTCAACTGAGAATGGTGTGGTGGTTGACAGATGGCACATCAGGGCATAGATTAACATGGAAAGAGAAACTCACCCCTTGGGGGTAGTGTGTGAGGCTGGCAGCCACACAGATGGTTTTTCCTGCGAGCTCTTGCATAGATGCAAACAGCCAGGAGGTTTTGCTTTCTGAGCCTGAGTGGAACAATGTTCCTCCCTGCACATTGCCGCTCTGCAGCAAATGTTTATTCCTGTTGCATTGATTAAAAGTGCTTACCAGGCCGGGGGCGGTGGCTCAAGCCTGTAATCCCAGCACTTTGGGAGGCCGAGGCGGGTGGATCACGAGGTCAGGAAATTGAGGCCATCATGGCTAACACGGTGAAACCCCGTCTCTACTAAAAATACAAAAAATTAGCCTGGCATGGTGGCGGGTGCCTGTAGTCCCAGCTACTTGGGAGGCTGAGGCAGGAGAACGGCATGAACCTGGGAGGCAGAGCTTGCAGTGAGCCGAGATTGCGCCACTGCACTCCAGCCTTGATGACAGAGCAAGACTCCGTCTCAAAAAAAAAAAGTGCTTACTAAAAGGGTTTGAGGGGAGTGGTGACAGTGTGAGTTATGTCTCTGCCGGCTGCCAGTGGAGCCAGCCGCTCTGCACAGCTGTGCAAGGGTGTTTTGAAAAGTGGCTCAGCCAGCCAGGAGTGACTGGGTGTAAGTGTTGCTGCCACAACATCTTGTAGCCTGATTGGGGCCGTATTTGCAGAACCCCTAAACCACTACATTTGTTCAGGCTTAAAAATAAGCTTGCTTTTTTGTTTGTTTGTTTGTTTTGGTTTGTTTTATGAGATGGAGTCTTGTTCTGTCGCCGGGTTGGAATGCACTGGCATGATCTCGGTCCACTGCAACCTCTGCCTCCTGGGTTCAAGTGATTCTCTTGCCTCAGGCTCCCGAGTAGCTGGGACTACAGGCATGTGCCATCATGGCCAGCTAATTTTTGAATTTTTAGCAGATATGGGGCTTCACCATGTTGACCAGGATGGTCCGATCTCTTGACCTCGTGATCTGCCCACCTCGGCCTCCCAAAGTCCTGGGATTACAGGTGTGAGCCACCGTGCCTGGCCAAACATAAACTTACTTTCTTACCTCTTCTGCTGAACTCTATTTGCTTCTTTTCCCAAAAGTCTTTATCCAAAAGAGTTTTAGCAACAAAGTTACCCAATGCCCTTCCCTAGTCTCTCCTTGCAACTGGCTCTCAGCAGGTGGTAGGAGGAAATCCTTGACAGAACCAATTTACATGACTGTTTGGAGGACTCTGGCTAGCCCCAGAAGGTGTTTGCATTTTTAAATTGGTTACTAGTGTCAGAATGTTTCATGAGTAAGAGCACAGCCTCTCTGTTGGATGCCCTGAATTTGAATCTCAGCAAGGCCACTTTGTATATAACCAGAGGATGGATTTGGGGACCCAATGGATTTACCATGACATGAACTTGCACCAACATTCACCTGACCTCCAAAATGCCTATTCTGACTGGTAGACCCTAGTCTCGCCCTAGTGCCAGTTCAGAGCCTGTGTCCAGTGATCCTGCACAGATCTCATTAGTTCCTTTTCCCCTGTTCAGTCATCCTGGTAAAAGGCTGTGTATTCCTTTGGGGGCAGGCTGGGAGAAAAATTGACAGTATAAATTTTTGGCAGTGGAGCAGAGTCCTTTCTGGAGGGGACCTGGCTTCCCATTCAGACAAGGGACTCCGGGTCTGTGAACTGGCTTATGTCTGGGAATTGACTGGGGACTGTGACTCTGTTGTTATGATTCAGATTAGACTTCTACTCACCTGACCTAGAACTCTTCTGCAAACACAGATCAAGTAAAAATGTGGCAGGCTTCTTACCTATTTCACTTCTAGGAATGCCACGATCAGCTGGCACCATAGGTCTCTGTGAGTCAGGCTGTTCTGGTTGCAGCTTTGACTCTGCTGTCTTTTATGGTAACTGCGTCCACCTTGCCTTTGGGGATTGAGTGCTGCAATCACTTGGCCCCGGCCCCTGTAGTGTGCCTATGTCACTTACCCTCTTTATACCTCAGTCTCCTCCTCTGTAAAATGGGCATCCTAATAGCACCCACCCCCAGGGCTGCTGTGAGGTATAGATGGATTAGCATATTGAAAGTAATAGAAGAGAGTCCAAAGCCCATGTGTCGTTATCAGAATTATTTCATGACAGGGGAGAGCTGGAGGAGAGAGGAAGGTGCTGAGCAGACCCATGTGCTCTCCCACCAGTGTTTCCTGAGCACCTACTATGTGCTGCCCACTGTGAGAGCTGTTAGGGTTGAAATAGGGAGCACAGCAGGGTAGGGTCCGCCATCAGGAGCTTAGTGGAGAGACCATTGTGCAACATGGTTCCAGTGCTTGGGGTGGAGAAGCTCAGGGAGTTCAGGGGCCTAGGATCCTGGGCAGAATCATGGAAAGGACACAGCCTCCCCAGCCTCTCCTGCCTCCACTGCCTCCCTGGCCTCCTCTGCTTCCCTGGCCTCTCCTGCCTTCCTGGCTTCCCCTTCCACCCCAGCATCCCCAGTCTCCCCTGTCTCTCCTGCTTTTGAGGTGGGCCAGGAGCTGCTGGTGCTCAGCCTGTCCTGGACTCTTGGTGTAGCACCTCAATGTCCAGAAAATACCCCCGAGTTCAGCTCATCACACAGCCAAGGAAGGAGCTCCACACTGACACTAAGAGTGCATCCTGGGCTCATTCATCAGGGCGTGCCTCCAGAATATTTCTCCACGTCTCCTCCCTTTGCCCACCTGCATTGTCTCTGTGCCTCAGCCCCGGCTAGGGGCCTGCAAGGATCCCCTATCTCCTCTGCCCCTGCACGGCTGGGTCCCAGGCAATCTGTCTGCCCACCACACCTTTCTCCTCTTGCCCACCACGCTCCAGCCCCACAGTCCTCTTTCTGCTTCTTTCCCAGCCTCTGGGCTTTTGCACACGCTGTTCCCTCTGCCTGAACAACCTCCACTGGGCTGAGAACAACTCTCTGAGACGTCTCTCAGCTGTTGCTTCCTTTGGAACAGCCGCTGTTGCTGTCAATCTCCCAGCGCCAAGACATGCTGAGCCTCCTGTCTTTTTCAGTTCCCATGCCCCCAGCACTTCTTCTTGGCCTCCTTTTGCCCAATTGACAATGTCCATTCTCAATGCCTTCTCACCCAGGGCTGAGCCCTACTGTGTGAAGGCCATGCCTGTCATGTTCACCACAATATCCCCTCCCCCATCACCACGCCTGGTCCACAGAGATGCTCAAAAAAGATCTGTTGGTAGGCAACGCGAAGGTGCATTCATGTCATCCTGCAGGCGGAATTCTCCACGAATTTTGAGCAGCCTCGGTTTTCCCACCACCTCCAAATCATGCAAGACACAGGGTAAGAGCAAAGACAAGGTGGCTGTGGCTGATGTCCACCCTCTCGGGGCGTCCCTTCTCTCCTCCTTGGGCAGGGAGACCATCGGGGTGCAACCTGGTTGGGGCGGGGAGGAGGTGCAGGGCCTGGCCAGAGCGGGCATGGCCGCAGGCAGGGGACAGCGACTGCTTGGGCCAGGGCAGGCGAGCTCAGCGCAGGCCAGGGCCCGGCGTGTCCGCGGTGGGCGCGAGCGGCCAGCAGAGGGCGCCAGAGAGCAACGAGCGGCCCGCGGAGGAGCCCACGCCCGCCCCGATGCCTAGCTCCGCGCCGCGCGGACCCACCGAGCCCGCGCTCAGACGCCCCAGCTCCGCCGACAGGCCGCTCGCGCCGGGTCCTTCCTCTTCCCCAGGTGCAGGCAGAGCCCCCGGAGCCATGGCCAGCCCTTCCGGCAGCTCCAAAGCCACTGGCAAGCCCCGAGGCAGGGATGGCCGGCCCAGGAGAGAGGAGGACGACGTCACTCCCGAAGAGAAGAGGCTGCGGCTGTTGCTGGAGGAGGGAAGCGCACAGCCCGATGACGGGGAGGACGCACCGCGGCCAGGCAGGAAGGAGACCGGCACCCAGACAGGTGGCGACGGCAGAGGAGTAAGTGACGCGGGCGCGGGGGTCCGGGGGTGCCGGGGGTGCCGGGGACGCGGGGTAGGGGCGGCGGGAGGCTCCGTGGCCGGCCCCGGGTTGAAGTTGGTAACTGAGCGACAACTCCGGCGGGCGCGGAGTGACAGCTCGCGACGGCCTCCGAGACGCCAGCTGCCCCTTCTCGGCTGTGTGGCTTCGACTTCCTGATTCTCCCACGACGTCCCTGGACTAGAGACCCGCTGGACTCTGCGGCTAGCCAAAAGGGGAGGGGGAGCCCCGCGTCCTGGGGGCCCCTAGCAGGGGAAGGGGCGGGGGTTGCGCTGAGCGTCCTGTCTGGGGCATCTGTCTGGGACTCTGTCAGTGCCTCTCACCTGGCGAGGGGCTTGTGGCGGGGGTAGGGGGGAAGTCCCTGGCGCCAGGCTTGGCCAAGCCCTGCTCTGCTGGGCTGCGGGCTGGCGGTGCTCACCCAGCTCCTCACCTGCCCCGCATCTTCCTGTTTTTCTTCCCTTTCTGGTTGGGCAGCGAGAGTTGAGAGGAGGCAGATGGCTTACATCCCAGAAATCGCTCTCCTCTTTCCATCCCTACAGAGAGGGACAGAGAGGGAAAGTTCCTTGCATCCCCCGGGACGCTGTCCCTGTGAGCTCCCGGTGTCCTGCACACGTGAGCCCCTGAGTTACCGGGCCTGTGTGTGTGGGATGGGGCTCCGTGGCCAGCCTGGCCTCCTGGAGTTCACTTTCTGCTTTCCTACACCAACTCTTCCTGTGTGGCTTTGCTGGCCTTCCACTGAGGAGGCACATGGGTTTGGAGGGCAGATGAGGGCCCACTGGAGAGCTGTACCCCTCAGTGAGGGCCGCCACCTTGATGGTTTTTGATGGATAATGGGGTTGACCTCTTTGTTCTTTCCACATGTTTTTATGTTTGACCATTTGCTCAGCTGAGCTTGTCTTAATAATTGGATTCGTGGTTAATGAGCCCCACATGGGCGAGAGGGCGGCCTTCATTCGGAACCCATTTAGGCAGCACGGGCAGCCCTCCTCGCCGTGGGCGGCATCAGAGCCCCCCTGCCCAGTCTTGGGGTTGCTCCTGGATGCCGTCTGGGAGGCTTGCTCATGGTGACATCCTTATCTCCCCGTGCACGTTACCGCATTCAGAGCTTGGGTCACCTGGACACTGAACTCAGGCGAATTTTCTCTGAGATCCTGGGAGAAGGAGGACAGTTCTCTGGAAGGTTTTCCAGGGCCGATCACGGAAAGGATGAGAAGGGAGAGGTCCTGGTCGGGGACACAATTACGATGGCAGTGTAACGCCGGGAAACTTTATTGCATGAAGTCCCTCTCACTCCCTCTACCTCCTTCTTTTACGTGGACTCTGCCAAAGACCAGGATACCAGAATGCAGTGGAGTGACCAAGTGTAGTGGGACCTTGGGAACCTGAGTCTGGAGCCAGGCGGCTGGGGTTTGCATCCTGGTTCTGCCCCTCCTTAGCTGGCTGACATGGCACAAGCCACTTACCCTCTCTGAGCCTTACTGTCTTCAGTGGCAAATGGATCTGTCAACAGGCCTCGTTGCCTGGGGTTGTTACTGCTGAGATTAAGGGAAGCTCGTCCATAGAAGCACTTAGCGTTGTGCCTGGCACATAGTGTATGGTGGATAAATGGGACTTAGGACTAAAACTCATGCCTTGGTGTGTTTTTGCAGTGATGTTTTGTTCTGGGGTGCATCACAAGAGACAAGGTTCTTGGCTGGGCGTGGTGGCTCAAGCCAATAATCCCAGCACTTTGAGAGGCTGAAAGGGGAGGATTGCTTGAGCCCAGGAGTTTAAGACCAGCTGGGCAACATGGTGAAGCCTCATATCTACCAAAAAAAAAAAAAGCCAGTTATGGTGGTGTGTGCCTGTAGTCCCAAGTACTTGGGAGGCTGAGGTGGGAGGATTGCTAGAGTCTGGAAGGTCCGGCTGCAGTGAGCTGTGATCATGCCACTGCACTCCAGCCTAGTTGACAAAGTGAGACCGTTTCAAGGAAAAGAGAGAGAGACAGACAGACCCACAAGAGTCTTAAGCCAGAATCTCCATGTTAAAATGCTTTCTGGAGGCTAAAATGATGATATGTTGATAATGAAATATTTAAAAGGCAGAAACCCCACTGAATTGTTTGGTCCACGGAGGGAAATGGGAATCGCATGACCTGAAGGATGATGGAGGAACTGAACAGAAACCATCCTTGTTTCCTGAATCTGAACATGGCACCCTCTTTTCACGGTGTCTGTATCTGCTCAGTCTGGTGGCCCCTTGAAAAGAGGGAATCTTGATTTTCAAACTTAAAATTTGGCCCAAAGCCCACTGCTGCCCACAATGCCCGCCAGACCCATTCCTCTTCCCTTTTAGTTTCTATGGGAATACTCTCTTTGAAGAACCCATGAGGCAGTGTCAGGCTGGTGTGAGAATCAGCAGTGATTTATTTGAGGAGGAGAGTCCATTTCTTCACTCACAGGCCATGTCTGAGTGGATCAAGAAGAACAGAGTGCCCTTTTATGAGATTTTGTCTGCGTAGACCATTAGCTTGGTAAAAACCATCCTCGTTCTTTAATAGCAGATTATTTTGGACTTTGCAAGAAGCAGCATGGGCATTCAGATGCTTTTAAGGATAAAATGTTCTTTCTCATCACCAGGCCTGGTGCTCTGGATGGCTGAGGTTTTAATGTGACTGGATGTCCCTTGGAGTGGCTCCCAGGCTGAGATCTCGCGGTTGGGTGGCAAGGGGTTGCTTTATTCGGTGGTGGCTAGAGGATGTTTTAGCAGGTAAATCGGGACCCCAGGAGCCCCTGAGTGCCAAGTCCTGCTGCAGGGCATGTGTTTATGGTGGGGAGGTGGGGGGGTGGAGGGTGGGGGGCATTGATTTCCTGCCAATATCAGAAGTTTCTCAGGCTTCTTGTGTATCCATAAACACCCACCCCATTGAGAAGGCCTAGAAAACCTGGCCCTCCCCAAGCCTTTATTGACCGCTTGTGAATGATCCCAGGGTGTGTCTGACCAACAGCTCTTCCTGGAGGGAGAGAAAAGTCTCTCCTAGGTATTTGGTTATCACCCTCAACCACTTGCTGAGCCTTCCTCAAGACCAGGCACCTCAGCAGAGATTTCAGGGTTGTCAGGCGGAACCAAGCATTCAAGGGTAATAACTCATTGGAGTCCCTGAAATCCCTGATGGACGCACCAGGTGAAAGCATCCAGGGTTGAAACCAGATGAGGAAGGTTATTGTCAGCCTGGGGCTCCTGTAGAGGTGCATCCGTGTTGCAGGGATTTTCCTTCTTGCTGAGGAGAAACCTGGGTTTCTCAGCTTTGGCACAGTCACAACACTTGGGGTTAGACCATTCGTGGTGCTGGTCGTGGGGCCGTCCTGTGTATTGTAGGATGGTTAGTAGCATCTGTGGCCTCCATCCTCTAGGTACCATTCTACCCTCCCAGCTATGGCTACCCTAGATGTCTCCAGACGGTTTCAAATATCATGGAGCAAGGGAGTAGTACTTGAGCAAAACCACCCCAGTTGACAGCCATTGGTCTACACTTGTGGAAATGTTTGAGGGTGAGAGTGTCAAGCTTGGGTCCCTGCTGTACCCTTTATGAGCAATGCGGTCTTGGAAAATTAATACTACTCCAGGGGCCTCAGTTTTCTCATCTATAAAATGGAGATAAATGAGATACACTTTCATAGGAAGGTTATATGGGATTTACTGAGATAATAAGACAGTACATGGAAAATGCTGGGCATAGAATTTATTTATTTTATTTTTTTTAAGACAGAGTCTTACTCTGTTGCCCAGGCTGGAGTGCAGTGGCATGATCTCTGCTCACTGCAACCTCCACCTCCTGGGCTCAAGTGATTCTCCTGCCTCAGCCTCCCGAGTAGGTGGGATTACAGGTGCCCACCACCACACCTGGCTAATTTTTGTATTTTTAGTAGAGATGGGGTTTCACCACATTGGCCAGGCTGGTCTCAAACTCCTGACCTAAGGTGATCCGCCTGCCTCGGCCTCCCAATGTGCTGAGATCACAGGTGTGAGCCACCACGCTGGGCTGGGCATAGCATTGTAACACAGACAAAGCACAAAATACTTGGGCAATATCTTTTTACATTTGGCTTGTCTAGACTCCATCCTCCATCCCCTCATGCGCTGGTACGGTGCAGACCAGAATATCACCCACCTAGACTGCAGAGTGGATTTGGGTGGCATCTTGGCTTTCTGCACAAGACTTGCCTGTTCCCCACCACATCCCTCTGGTTCTCAGGGTCCAGGATTCCAGGAGGCAGGGATGTGGGCAGGCAGGGCAGGTGGCCCACCCAGTTCACTCCCACGCTGGGGACCTGCAGAGCCGGCTCTCCAAGACAGGGTGTTTGGACCAACATCTGGGTTTCTGGATTTCCATTTGAGCACAGCTGGACTACACAGGCTGAAGCTCTCTCTGCTGAGATATAGATATTTCCCTGGTGATGATCTTTCAAGCTGACATGAAGACATGGCCACCCGCTGGAATGTGGTGTGTCTGCTGTGGCGCTCTTGTAATTTGTGAGGCAGGCTCCTGAGGAATGCAGTGCGTAAGTGGGAAATGGTGGGAAGTCCTCTCGTCCCTCCCGGCCGAAAGTGCTGCCTGCGCAGGTTGGTGGACAGTCCTTTGAGCAGGAAGAAGACACGGAGCACATTCCTGTTAGCTATGACAGAGAGGGGCAAGGTACACACTGGACATTTCAAGCCCCTGCAGAGAAGCAAGTCTTATTGTGCTGGGAGTACTTGTGGAGTGGGGGCTGTGTCACCCTGGGCTTTAATTATTTCAGGAACATTTAACCGCAGGGCTGGCAGGCTGGATCTTGATATGTGTTTCTCAGTTGGAAAGACTTTGGACCATAGGGAAATGTCTTCTCAATTCTTTTAATTTCATTAAGGTGGTCATTTTTCTTCTTGTGGCCTCTGGAATGTGACACAGAACTCAAGGGACAGGAAGGAGATGAGTTGGAGGCTGGGACAGGGGTCCCTGCCAGGGATGCTGGTGACTCACATGACGGTGTTGATGTGTGGAGTCTGGTGCCTGGTTTGGGGAATGTTTGTGAGATATGTTCCAAAGCACTGATGGACCTATCAGGTACTGGAGGTGAATGGTCAAGTCTGATCTCAGGGCTGGCAGTGTCAGGCAAGGACAGGAAGTTGACGTTGGACTCACTGGCTGAGGTTGCTTGGGACCCAGGGGGCAATGTGTGCCAGGACTGATGGGTCTGGGGCTAGGAAGGCAGGTTTGGGCTGGAGACTCAGGCTTGGGAGGCATCCCAGGTAGACAGTGGTTGAGGCTGTGGAAATGACTGTGATTGCCTGGGATGAGAGTGGAGACAGACAAGATGGGGGTTTTGCTCTAAGCCTGGGGAACCCACCTCCCAGGTTCAAGGGATTCTCCTGCCTCAGCCTCCCAAGTAGCTGGGAATGCAGGTACATGCCACCATACCTGACTAATTTTTGTACTTTTAGTAGAGATGAGGTTTGGCCAGGCTGGTCTCAAACTCCTGACCTCAAGTGATCGGCCCACCTTGGCCTCCAAAGTGCGGGATTATAGGCATAAGCCACCGTGCCTGACCATTTTTAAATATTAATTTTTATGAAATATTTTCACGCACATTTTACTGTACATTGGAAAAGTCAATCATGATTTGAAAACTTTATCAATATCCAATCAAATGTCAATTAACCATTTAATTGTGGATGGGTAAGGAGACTATTTTGACCAAAACATGTTAGAACAATTACCACTTATAGAAATAATCTATGTTTTAATGTTTTAGTTGAATTAAAGAATCTTTTATATTCTGTCCAGGTGCAGTGGCTCACACCTGTAATCCCAGCACTTTGGGAGGCCGAGGCTGGTGGATCACCTAAGGTCAGGAGTTCGAGACCAGCCTGGCCAACATGGCAAAACTGTCTCTACCAAAAATACAGAAATTAGCCAGGTGTGATTGCACACACCTGTAATCCCAGCTACTTGGGAGACTGAGGCAGGAGAATCGTTTGAACCTGGGAGACAGAGGTTGCAGTCAGCCGAGATCGCACCACTGCACTTCAGCCGGCCTGGGTGACAGAGCGAGACTCTGTTTCAAAAATAAATAAATAAATAAAATAGAATTCTGAATTTTATTTTTAATAATTATTTTTGTAAAGAGAATGTCTTGTTTTTTGGAGTTGTTGAATTGACAAAAATTACGTACAAGAGGGTATACAACATGATGTGATTGAAGTATGTATACATTATGAAATGGCTAAATCAAGCTAAATAACATATCACCTCCCAGACTTATTTTTTTGTGGTGAGAACATTTAAAAATCTGCTCTCTTAGTGATTTCCAAGTGTATGATATGTCGTTATTAACTATAGGTACCATGTTGTCCCATGGATATCCTGAACTTATTCTTCTTCTCTAAAAATGACATTCTGTGTCCTTTGGCATCTGCCCACTTCCCCACCCTGGCAACCATCATTCTACTCTGCTTCTGTGAATTCAACTTTTTTCTTTTCTTCTTCTTTCTTTTTTTTTGAGACAATCTCATTCTATTGCCCAGGCTGTAGTGCAGGGTTGTGATCTTGGCTTACCGCAGCCTTGACCTCCCAAGCTCAATCAATCCTCCCAACTCGGACTCCTGAGTATCTGGAAGTACAGGCATGCACCACCACGCTCCACTAATTTTTGTATTTTTTTGTAGAGTTGGGGTCTTGCTATGTTATACAGGCTGGTCTCGAACTCCTGGGCTCAAGCAATCTGCCAGCCTCAGCCTCCCAAAATGCTGGGATTACAGGCATGAGCCACCATGCCTGGCTGAGTTTAACTTTTTTAGATTCCACATATAAGTGAGATCATGTGGTATATGTCGTTCTGTGCTTGGCTTATGTCACTTAACATAATATCCTCCAGGCTCATCTATGTTGTCTCAAATGGCAGCATTTCCTTCTTTTTGAAGGCTGAATAGTATTCCATCATGTACATACACCACATTGTTGCTGGAAGTGTAATGGAGGCCAGTTGGGGGAGGAGGGACAAAAGATTCACTCTAAGTCTAGATGCTCCAGCACCCACCCAGGGTGTGTGCAGGGAAGTGCAGGTTGCTCCTGGTCTTGCAAACTGTGGTTTGTGGGACTCCAAAGCCCCTATCCTCCCACGATGCTTTCTGTCCTGTTATCACATTTCCTTGGAGGAGAACCCAGCCTTGGTGGAGAGACCTGCTCTGGCTTTGTCCCTCCGCATGAGATGGCAAAGGATGGTGCTGCTGGGAGACCCTCACGTCTGCGCACTGGGGGCTGCTTGCCTTCTCCATTCCTCCTTCAAGTATCTGAGCAGCTCCTGTGTGCCAGCTGCTGGTCTACGAGATGGATGGGTCCTTGGAGATCACGCTGTAGCAGAGGAGGCAGGCTGTAGCCCACAGGCCAGAACCAGCCCCCTGCCTGTTCATACAAATAAAGTTTTATTGGAACACAGCCACACCCATTTCAGTGCATATTGTCTTGTGGCTGCTTTCCTGCTACAATGGAGAGTTGAATAGTTGGGACAGAGACCTATGGCCTGCAAAGCTGAGCTATTTACCATCTGGCCCTCAAGAAAAAGGAAAAAAAATTTGCTGATCCTTGTACCCCGACAGTCTTAGGTTAAGAGGACTTTGTACCACCCTGACGTCCCAGGCGGCCATGAGTCCAGCCACCCTTGAAATGTACACAAGTCTGGGCTAGCGTGCTTTCTGATTTTTGTATGGGGAAGAGAAAGGAGGGAGGAAATGGCAACTTGTTGCCCTGTTCTAACATTTTCCTAAGATGGGTCTCCAGGCAAGGGCTTGGGATCTCACCTTGCACAGCTTACAAAACCCAGTGAGGCCAGCTGTCTTGGCGCTGCCACTCTGAGGGATGGAGCCCCCAGATTACTAGGAAGAGAGATAAAAGAATAGTTTCGGCGAGTACAAGAACTGGCGTTATTGAAATTAACATTTCCCCCAAGTTTTATAATGTCTAGGCATGCATATTTCAGTGTCTGCCTCAAAAGCTCATCCTAATAACCAGATGGTGCATTTAATTTCCTTTTTTTGTTCTCTGAGCAACATGCAGCTTCCTGCACAGCCCTCCTTGCAGGCAAGTGCGCTGAGGTGACAGTCCTCCTGACTGCCAGCACAGATCCCCAGGGCCTCTGAGAGCCCTGTATTCTGGGGGGCAGCTTTTCCCCCTTCTATTCAGCCCCAGCTGGAAGGGGGCAGGTTACCCACAGGGCTCCCGCCTTAGCTTAGCTCCTGCCTAAGCACGGGGCTCCTGCCTTAGCTTCTCTAGGGAGTCTGGCTCCCTGTGACCCTCTAGACCTCACCAGCTGAGGATCAGAGCCCCGGGGCAGGAGCCAGGGCCAGGGGGCATTGGGGGGTGGTTTGAGAGTGCAGATCTGGAGGGTGGAAGGGCAGGCCCAGGAAAAGCTGCTCGGGGGAGACTGCAAAGAGATGGCACAGTTAGAACAAGAGGGCCGGGCATGGTGGCTCACACCTGTAATCCCAGCACTTTGGGAGGCCGAGGTGGGCGGATCACCTGAGGCCAGGAGTTTGAGACCAGACTGGCCAACATGGTGAAAACCTGTCTCTACAAAAAATACAATAATTAGCCAGACGTGGTGACACTTATAATCCCAGCTACTCGGGAAGCTGAGCCACGAGAATTGCTTGAACCCGGAAGGTGGTGGTTGCAGTGAGCTGAGATTGTGCCACTGTACTCCAGCCTGGGCAACAGAGCCATATTCCATCTCAAAAAAAAAAAAAAAAAAAGAGGACAGGAGGAGGAGGGAAGAGAGGGGGCTGTGGGGCAGCAGCCAGGGCCTTAAAGGCACAGGAGAGGAAGCTTGGATTTCCAATTCCAAAGGACATGAAGACAAAGTCACACACCTTTATTTAACCTGCTCCAGGTGAGGCGGGGCTTTGTGTATTTTCCTTGTTTTCCTTTTCCTTGTGTTCAGGCTGTTGTAGAAACAGGTACACAGGGGCTCTGTGTAGCGCCCTGTCCTGGTGGCCTTCAGGAAGCATGGGTTGCCCTGGTTTCCTTGGCTTCGTGTCCCCCTTTCCTCCCGCCACCCCTGACTCTGCTCCCCACCTTGTCCCTCAGACCATCCTCCTGGAGGGGCCTGGCCAGGGCTTGTGTCCTTGCTAGTCTCTGGGGAGGAAGACTCTGTGGCTTGAAAGCCTGTCGGCTTAAGTTGCAAGGTGTAGGTGCCTGGGAGGGCACATGCACAGCCCTCTTGACTGATCCATTCATGTTTTTCTTTTTTGACTCTGTTCTATGTTGTCCTGATGGAGGGGTAAGCCCCTGCCTTCTGCCTTTCCTGCCTTGGACTCTTGCAATTGGGCCAGATGAGAGGGTCCATGTGGTCTGAGAATTCAAGCAATGCAGGCCAGGTGTGGTGGCTCACACCTGTAATCCCAGCACTTTTGGAGGCCAAGGTAGGCAGGCCAGGATTTCGAGACCAGGTGGCCAAAATAGTGAAACCCTGTCTCTACAAAAAATACAAAAGTTAGCCAGGCTTGGTGGTGCGTGCCTGCAATCCTAGTTATTTGGGAGGCTGAGCCAAGAGAATCACTTGAACCCAGAAGGAGCAGGTTGCAGTGAGGAGGAGGTTGCACTGAGGAGGAGGTTGCAGTGAGGAGGAGGTTGCAGTGAGCTGAGAATGTGTCCCTGGACTCCAGCCTGTGCAATAAAGCGAGACTATGTTTCCAAAAAAAATAAAAAAAATAAAAAAAAATAAAAAATTTATAGAGAAAACAAAACATAAAACTTCCTCTTGATTTGATTTTCTTGATCTTGCTTCTCAGAGGTAACACTGGGAAGGGTTGGGGTATACCTCTCCACACCTTTTTCTTTGGTTTCTTTTTATTTTTTATTCTATGTTCTGAGATACATGTGCTGAACGTGCAGGTTTGTTACATAGGTATACATGTGCCATAGAGGTTTACTGCACCTATCAACCCGTCATCTAGGTTTTAAGCCCCGCATGCATTAGGTATTTGTCCTAACACTCTCCCTCCCCTTGTCCCCCACCCCCGATGGGCCCTGGTGTGTGATATTCCCCTCCCTGTGTCCATGTGTTCTCATTGTTCAACTCCCACTTATGAGTGAGACCACGCAGAGTTTGGTTTTCTGTTCCTGTCCACACCTTTTCCCTCTCTGCACGCAAGCACATGTATTTGCACATAAGTGTTTATTGTAACCTTTAAAAAAAAATGGAATAATGCTATATTTATTCTTTGGAAAGCCTGCTTTTCAGGCAGCATGTCTTTGACATTGTCTCACGTTGGAACCTGGGTACCACCTTCTTCTCCCAGCAGTTATTCTGACGTGTGGATGCACCACGCTTCGTTTAACCAGCCCTGCACCGATACGTCTTTGGATGGTTTCCGCCCTTTCCCAATCACAGACGGTGTTCTGATGAATTTCCTCGCACACATCACTTGGTGCTCTGTGCGTGCATTTCTGTGAGATGTTCCTGGAGGTGGGCTGTCTAGGTCAGAGGGGGATCTGTGCTTAATTTGCATCCTGTGCAAAATTCCATCCAGTCATCCGGCTCCCCAAGGGCTCACATGGTACTGTCCTCTGTAGACATCATCTTCTGCAGATGATGGCACGACCGCCTCTCTTTCTTTTACTCACACCAGTCTGCACCCTGGTGTCCTGGGGTGTCCAGCCCCTACCTGCTTGTCTGCCCCCACCCCACAGTCCCCCCAGCCCCTGCTAACAGGGACTCTGGCTTCTGAGCTCTGGCAGACTGCCTCACTCTGGAGAAGTTTGCTTTCTCAAACAGTCCTGGCAATGTTACTGCAAATCTCGAGGCCTGCATTTGCCTTCTTCAGGCCTCAGTTTCCTCAAAAGTAAAATGGGGATAATGTGATGCTACTGTCTGCATCCTAGAGCTGCCATGAGGGTTCAGTGAGATCACTGTTGAGAGCACGTTCACAGCGCCGGCCTTGTGCGCAGTCAGCACGTGTGGGGCAGGGCCGTTGCTGATACGTGGTTGACTGTCATTGCTAGACTGTGGCTTTACCAGGGGCATTGTCTTTAGTGCAGAGCCCAGAGCCACCCCTAGTACCTGCTGTGTTTATAGAGTGATTGAGTGTCAGGGTCAGAGACTGGGGCAATGGCAGCAGAAACACAGGAAAGAAGTGGGGCTTCTAATAGGTCCTGGACCAGTGGCCCTTGAGATCAAGCCTTCTTGCCAAGGTCTGGGGCTGTGCTGTGTGTTCTAGGCCCGAGACTGGAAGCTAGGCCTGGCTGCAGCCCCGACTGAGCTGGGGAAGTGCAGGTCAGCATCCTGCTTCATTAGGACACCTCCAAGCCCAGCTTAGACGTGGATGCCAGGTGACCCTCTGTTTACTCTGAGCCCAGACAGAGGACAGGGAAGTGTGCAAGGGTGGGGACATTCATCACAGCCCTTGACTCTGTAAGGCATATGGGTTTGTGCACGTGTGTGATCATGGCCGTGGCTTCTCTGTGAGTTTCAAGCTTGGGGTTGTGTTTATGCAAGGTTAGGCTCGCCAGGTAAAATGCAGGAAGTCCAATTAAACCTGAATTTCTCATTAACCATTTTTTTTTTTGGTGCAAATATATCCCATGCAATATTTGGGACCTGCTTACCCTAAAAAATGATATGTTGTTTATCTGAAATTCAAGTTTAACTGGCATCCTGTCTTTTCACTTGCTACATATGACAGTTCCATGTGGGGGTTATCAGTGTGCATTTGTGAGTTCCCATGTGAAGGACTCTCTCCAAGTGTCTGTAGGTGCCAGGATGGAGATGGACAGAGAAGATCCTCTCGGGCTGCTTTAGTGACACCTAGAGGCTGTGGGGTTGGACACTTCAGCCCAGGGGCCTAGGCAGCACTGCCTAGCACCTGTGTGCTCCTGTCTTCTTCACGGGGGCTGACTTCCCTGCCATCTCTCTCCAAATACGGTGGCAAGAGCTATCCCATCCGCCCCCATCTGGAGCTCGGCTGCCCAGCCAGACAAGATGGCAAACAGTGTGCAGATGGCTGCAAAGCTTTCCCCAGCTCCTTCTGCAAGGGGCCTGCAGATGAAATGGAAGCCCTCATCCTCACCGCCTCCCCCTTCCAGAAAACCCAGGCAACAGCCACCTCTGAATGCTGCTTTAGAAGCTTCTCCCTCCTGGTGATTAAACCACCCCAAACAAAGCACTGCATTTCCACCATAGGCTTGTTCACATGCGCGCAGCCAATTGTCTTGGATCCGCCTGTGTGCCTGATTCATCAGGGTGAGGGGTTCTCCTCTGAGGTGCTTGCAAAGAGCTGCTTGCAAAGAGCTGCTTAATTTTCATCTGAAAGACTCTCTGTAGAAACCAGGCCCAGCTTTGGAAGAAAGCCTTTTCTCCCCCTTTAGCAAATTCTGTGTCATTCTTTTTTTCTTTCTTTCTTTTTTGAGACGGAGTTTCACTTTTGCTGCCCAGGCTGGAGTGCAGTGGTGCAATCTCGGTTCACTGCAGTCTCTGCCTCCCAGGTTCAAGCGATTCTCCTGCCTCAGCCTCCTGAGTAGCTGGGACTACAGGTACCCACAACCATACCCGGCTAATTTTTTTGTATTTTTAGTAGAGAGGGAGTTTCACCATGTTGGCCAGGCTGGTCTCAAACTCCTGACCTCAGGTGATCCACCTCGGCCTCCCAAAGTGCTGGGATTACAGGTGTAAGCCACCATGCCTGGCTGGAATTCTGTGTCATTCTGGATACTTATCATGACTTCAAGCATCCAGGACTCTGTCCTGGGTATCCTGAGCCTGAGGGTGTATGTGTGTCCAGCTGGCTTGGAGGTTGTCTACAGGCAGGTTGAACTTGGCCTCTGAGTCCATGGCAGCCTCACATGGGAAATACCACCAAGGAGCTTCATCCTGTGCTTTTAGGAGATAGTTTCTATTTAGTCATTGCTGAATCTGTTACAGACAGTGTCTCAATTTCTTGCAACTCCTGTATGAGGTGGGTGCTGTGATTATCCACATGTTCACTTGTTCTCCCTGGCCTCTTTCAGGCTCTTGCACTTCCTTTGCTCTTTTCCTGCCACGGGGCCTTTGCACATCCTGCTCTTTCTGCCTGGAAAGATTTTCCCTCTCCTTACCTGTTCACCTGGTCATAGTCTCATCTGACAGTGGAGTCACTACATCCTCAGGGACGCCTGGCCACACTGACTCAGTCACAGCAACCCCCTCTTGTCTGCTTTCATGACACCAGGTGTCATGAGCTCAGCTACGGCTTCCTATTTCTGTGCATGTCATCCTTCCCCTTCAAGACTGTGGTCACCGTGAGGACCAGGGCCATGCCTGTTCCTGATTCTCATTTGTGTCTCTGGTGTTTAGTATATGCTTACCTAGAATTTGATTAATGAATGACGACATACCCATTTTACAGATGAGAAAGTTGAGGCTCAGGAACATTATGTAACTTGCTCAGTATTAGATGGTGATGGTTTGAAGCCATCTGGCTGGTCACTGGGTGCACACTCTTAACCACTTCACTATGGTTCTTCTCTCATGGTAGTTCTCCAACAGCAGGAGTGAGAGGCAACTTTAGGACAGGCGTAACCAGAATCCCAGGGGTTATCCTAGAAGGTGGTGTCAGGAACATGCTTGCCTATGGGCCTTCTTACTGTATTGCATAAAATACCCTGTTTTTCTGAGTCGCCTTTAGTAAAGACCTTAGCAATATTTGAAGCACAGTTGTCAGTAGGAAAGGGTGGGTGTTTATACTTTTTTAAAAAGGAGTCTATATCATATTTATCTTGTGGTCTGCCATGCCCCCTGATCTTCTTCAGCTTCAGTTATGCAAAATTCACACTTCTTCTCTTGACTGCCTCTCTCTTACCTGTTCAGTTTCTTTTCTGTGTTCGAGATTGCTTAGAATTTTTCCCATTACTACAGCCTGCTTCCCACCTGTATCCCCCAGCCAGCTTGTTCTGGATTTTGTCAACAAGAGTTTCAGCGTTTAGTGAGGGCTGGACTGAAGGAAAGCCTTGGAAAAGGCTGTGTGATGAAAGGTGAGATACCTAATGGGCAGGCAGTCATCAGGGTTAATTCAAAGGCTGGAAGAAGGGCTGACCTGGATGACTGGAAATGTCTTTGAGCTGAAGGTCATGTGCAGGTGGAACGAAGAGGGTGAGCCTTTTGGGGTGAACTGCAAGTATTTGATAAGATCCTTGTCCCCATGGTTGGGGAAGTCTTGATAAGCATCCTCAATGTGATGGAGGGATTAGGGAACCCATGGCTCTACCTGTCCAGCATGGCAGCAACATGACACAGCCAAGTTATTGATTATTGGTTGCCCAGCTGTCATCACTCAACATCTTCTGTTAGTTATAGCTGTAATTTGCATTAGTTGCCAATGCCAGTTTTGACTTTCCTAGTCAATAAAGTGTTCTGAGAGTGGTGACTAAGGCTGAGCACTACCCATAATCATGAGTATTACAGAGGCAAGCCCCCTTGCCCACCCACATGCAGGTGATGACACACCCTAGGAAATCACTCAATTCTTTAGAGGACCCTGAATAAATGCTCAAGTCCATCTGTTCATCTGTCCGTCCATCCATCCATCATTCCTTCCATCCATCCATCCATCCATCCATCCATCCATCCAGACATGCATACATCCATCCACCCACCTACCCACCTATCCACCCGCCCACCCACCCATCTATACATCCAATGCACTCTCTTATGCACCCAGCTATCATCCACCTACCCACCCACCAACCCATCTATCCATCCACTCATCCATGCATCTATCCACCCATTCACTCATCTACCCATCTATCCACCCACCCGTCCACCCATTTATCTATCCCTCCACCCCCTCAACCACTCATCCATTTCTCCACCCACTCAGCCATCCCTTCACCAACTCAACCACCCATTCATTCATCCACCTGCCCACCCACCTATCTTTCCATCCACCCATCTATCCACCCACCCACCTATGTATCCATCCACTGCTTGTCCTTCTGTTCATTTATTCCACAAAGACTCATTAACCACCTACTAGATTCTGGGGAGGTATCTGCTGTAGTAATTGAGAACATGGTTTCTGGAATCTGATTCCCTGAGCTCAAATTGAGCTGCCTCCTAGCTAGCTGCTTGGGTAAGTTATAGAAACTGTGCTTTGATTTTCTTATCTGAAAATTGGCTATTAATAGCTTCTACTCTTGCAGATATAGTGAGGGTTAAATAAGATGTCACGTTAAAAGTGCATCATCGACACTCAATAGAGATTAGGTTTTACCATTCATTATTATTCTTGGCAGATGCTGCAGATAACGTGGAGAGCATACGAAAGGCACATGTTTGAACCAATAGTGACATACAGGTGCTAAGTTCTGCAGTAGGGGAAGGGCAGAGAGCCATGAGGAGGGCCTGGCCCAATCCTGGAGCCTCAGAAAAAAGTTCCCCGTTGAATTGCTGTTTTAGCTGAGACTTGTGGGATGTGTAGTAGTTGGAGATCCCAGACAGGAGGTGACCGAGTTAGCCAGGGAAAAATTGGGTCCTGGCACCCATGGCAGAGTTAAATGATCCAGTCCTTCTGTCTCCTCTGGCTGGAAGTCCACCAGATCTGG
Source organism: Homo sapiens (assembly GCF_000001405.40). Lineage (NCBI taxonomy): Eukaryota > Metazoa > Chordata > Mammalia > Primates > Hominidae > Homo > Homo sapiens. The sequence goes on along the minus strand of NC_000011.10, from coordinate 67,939,853 downwards.
GAATGTCCAGTTGGGGGAGGGGGCTGACAATGTTCATGACCTTCACCTGTCCTCACATGTCCTCTGTGTATCTGCAAAGCCTCTGCCTCAGTCTCCTCTTCTGGAAAGTGGGATTGGAAACCACATCTGCTTCTCTCCCAGGACTGCTAGGAAGACAAGATTAGATGGCAGGTGAGAGCTCTTTGAAAATGAAAACATTCTGCTATTTGAATGCAAAGTATTCTTCTTTGCCTGTGATGTTTCCTAATCTGTGAAATCATACTGGACCTCGAAGCTGTCTATTAAAAAAAAATATCAAAGTGGCTGGGCATGGTGGCTCATGACTGTAATCCTAGCACTTTGAGAGGCTGAGGGGGGTGGATCACTTGAGGCCAGGAGTTCGATACCAGCCTGGCCAATATGTGAAACCCCATCTCTACTAAAAATACAAAAATTAGCCAGGTGTGGTGGCATCTGCCTGTAGTCCCAGCTACTCAGGAGGCTGAGGCACAAGAATCATTTGAGCTCAGGAGGCAGAGGTTGCAGTGAGCCGAGATGGCACCACTGCACTCCAGCCTGGGCGACAGAGCGAGGCTCTGTCTGAAAACAGAAAAAAAAAAAAAAAAAAAAAAAAGCAAAGTTAACACTTCCTCCATCTCTCCCCTAGGGGAGGCAATTTGTCAAAGATTGTTGTTGGATTTTACACACAGGGAAATCTAAGGAAGGTTTGGAAACCAGACCATGACTCCAGACTCTCGTCTCCCTGTTTACAGGGTCTTAAATGGGGGAGCCACTTTGGGTTCTTTCCACAAGATTGCTTTGTAAAAAAAAAAAAAGAAACAAACAAACAAAAAACTCAAAAAAACAGCCCTAACCTAAATATTCACAAGGGACCTTAGGCAATATCTGCAAACAAAAGTGAGTGATGAGTGGAATCTGTTGTCTTTACAACTTAGACAGCTCCAGAGTTGAAGCAAGTGGAAATATCTCTAGAGACAGAGATTTGGGCAGGTTTTGCCAGTTACAAACTATGAGAACCTGGGCAGGTTTACCTCTCTGAGCTTCTGTGACCTTGTAAAATAGGCTGCATTGCGCTAAACGTGCAGGAGGAATCCCAGCATCCTCCTGTGCACAAGGCTGGTTTCTTCCCATCCTTTTCCTTGTTCTGCCTCTCTCCTCCTCTCCAAGAGATGAATACCTTTGGACCCAGTAGGGGCCTATGTTTGCAAAAGCTCGCAGGTGATTCTCATGCAGCCAGCCTGGCTGTGGCGCTGAGTTCTTGGACACTTCTGGAGGCACATTTACTAGTGAGGAAGGTCACTGTGTGTGAAAGGCACGATTCATCTTCCATTCCTTTCTTCCATGAAGCAAGGTGCATGGGTCAACTGAGCTGGGAGAGTCCACAGTGTCAGCCTCCCCCACACTTCCCTCCCTCCTTAATCCTTGTGTGCTGTACTTTGTCTTGATTTCCTGTACTCTGCACCAAGCCAGGAGATGGTAAGATCTCGAAAAAATCATTTTTTTGGGAAATGGGACCAAGAGGGTTTTGATTTGCTTGTTTGTTTGTTTGAGACAGGGTCTGTCGCCCAGACTGGAGTGCAGTGGCATGATCTTGGCTCACTGCAGCCTTGACCTTCTGGGCTCAGGTGATCCTCCCACCTCAGCCTCCTGAGTAGCTGGGACTGCAGGTGCACACCACCGTGCCTGACTAATTTGTCTATTTTTTGTAGAGATGAGGATTCACCATGTTGCCTAGGCTGGTCTCAAACTCCTGGGCTCAAGCAGTCCTCCATCCACCTCGGCCTCCCAAAATGCCGGAATTACAGGCATGAGCTGCTGTGCCTGGCCAAGGTTTTTTTTTTTGTTATTATTATGAAAAATTTTCAATATACATAAAAGTAGAGAGACTAGTTTAATGAGCTATCATATGCCCATCACATAGGTTTAAAAACTATTAACGTTTGCAATATTTACTCCATTTGTTTTTCTGAAGTATTTAAAAAATAGTTTACAGTAGTTATGTAATTGCATCCTGATATTCACCCCTACGTAATTTACTTTCCCTCTAAAAACATGAGGGCATTTTTTATATGATCATTATCATTCCTAATCAAATTACCAGTAATTCCTTAATATCCTCTAAGATCAAGTTTACATTCAGATGTCTTCTCCTCAAAATGTCAATTGTGATTATTTTTTTCTTTGAGCAAAGATAATAAGATCTCAAGATTTAATGACAGAGATTCCATGTTAGCCCTGATGTCTAAGCTCTGTGGTCCATTGTGGCTTTACTTGAAAGTCTCAGGCTAGGCGTGGTGGCTCACACCTGTAATCCCAGCACTTTGGGAAACCAAGGTAGGTGGATCATGAGGTCAAGAGATCAAGACCATCCTGACAAACATGGTGAAACCCTGTCTCTATTAAAAATACAAAAATTAGCCAAGCATGGTGGTGGGTGCCTATAGTCGCAGCTACTCAGGAGGCTGAGGCAGGAGAATCACTTGAACCTGGGAGGTGGAGGTTGCAGTGAGCTGAGGTTGCACCACTGCACTGTACTCCAGCCTGGGTGACAGAGCGTAACTCTGTCTCAAAAAAAAAAAAAAGTGTATGTGAGGAAACTGGGATAGAGCTTGGGGATATTGGGGGATGGAGATACTTCATCTACTGAACAAAAACCATGGGATACCAATGCTGGAGGAAGAAGCATCATCCTCAGTTTCTACTAATTCAACCACACATGAGATGGGGACTTGGTGTCCAAGAGAAGAGCCTCTTTTTAGGTCTTCGGCCTTGATCAAACCATTTCTGAATTCCTCATACATATATAATCAGGTGTTATGAGTGGTACTGATTGGATAATCTTTCTGTCGTTTCCTGTGCTAGGAAGGAAAATACATGTACAGCCAACTTCCTTGAGGATTCGTTCTTTTGCATCAGGGTGTCTCAAACTCCTGCCCTTAAAACACCTGCAAGAGAATCATCCAGGTGGCTTGCTCACTCTGCATGCAGACCCTTTAGAATCAGAGTCAGAATCCCTGGGGCTGGAGCCACAAAATGAAATGACATTTCAACAAGTTTGTCATCACGTAAGAGAGAATAGGTGAGTATTTGGATACCTATAATACAAAGTAGATTCAAAAAGAATGACGATTATTTTAAATGTTGCGTTTTTAAAAATTTAATACAGAAAAGGCTGGGCACGGTGGCTCATGCCTGTAATCCTAGCACTTTGGGAGGCCAAGGCGGGTGGATCATTTGAGGTCAGGAGTTCAAGACCAGCCTGGCCAACAAGGTGAAACCCCACCTCTACTAAAAATATAAAAATTAGCCAGGCGGTAGTGGTGCACGCCCGTAATGCCAGCTACAGGGGAAGCTGAGGCAGGAGAATCGCTTAAGCCTGGGAGGCAGAGGTTTGGTGAGCTGAGATCGTACCACTGCACTGCAGTGTGGGTGACAATTGTTTAACCACCACCAAAATGGGTTCTGAGCCCAAATATTAATATGAAGGACATTGGTGACATTGTCTCAAAAAAATTAATGAATACAGAAAAGTACAAAAAGGGAGAGAAATCACCCCAAATCTCATGACCCCAAGAAATAAACCACCTAATATTAAGTGAACAGCATTCCTTGCTATGCACAAAGATGGCTAGAGACATGAACAGACACTTCTGATCACACAAAATGAGATTTTAAAAACAAGAAATAGCAAATTGAATGCTGTGTAAATTTATCAGAAGAAAAAGAAATAGAAGTGAAACTGAAGGAACTGGTCAACTCAGATAAATGTAGTTTTTCCTCACTAAAAATCAGTTTCTAGAACATCTAAGAAATCAAGATGATGAAAAATATTAAGATGTTTTATATATATGTAGAAGTCTTTACAGTTGACTGATCATCTCAGGAAAAATTTGTACAGTCACTGCATATAAAGTCATTACAAAATCTTTACTCCTTTTGCTTTTTGCCAGCACTGACATTGGCCTTTGCAGTCTCTGGACTTCATTCTGCACTTGCATTCCTTTTGCTGTTTTCTTGAGGTCATCTTCTTCTCATGCCATCTGTGTCTTGCAAGTCTATGTTTGAGTTCATTTTTCTTTGCATAATTCAAAGAAACAGATAGCATGCCAAAGCTCATTGTTTAACCACCACCAACATGGGTTCTGAGTCCAACGATTAATATGAAGATGACACCTATTGTGGTCTTGTACATTTTGTTGCCTTTCCGGGGTGAAGGACATTGGTGACCATGTGTTTCCCCTGGAGTGGTCGATTGGTCATGAACTTCCTGGTCCAGATAGTTACTGTGTCGTTCATCATGGTGGTTGATCCTCAGGTAGTTAGGGAGGAAAATAAACAAGAAGTTATATATTTAAAACCACATTTCAATTTTAGACCTGATTAATTGACTTAATAAAGGGCATCAGCACTTCTACTTCCTACAGTCCCTCCCTTTACCTCTGGAAACTAGTTATTTCTAGGTTGTTTTATGTTGTTAAGGTTGACCACCTTCTCTTTCTGTTCTGCAATAATAGTCCTATTTTTAAATGGATTCACCTCTCATAATTAGCCTTTTGTCATGGTCATTCAATTCACGAGTTGCTTATTTTTTAATTTCTTGGCTGACTAAATTTTATTATGAAGACTTTTTTTAAAAGAGCTCAGAAATACTGTGTTCTTTAAGTTCTTCAACATGTGATCATGTCTTTTGCCTATTTTGATTGGGCAATAATTTAGCTGGCTATAAAATTCTTGGATTATATTCTATTTCCCTTAGAAATTATAGGCACCCATCCACTGACATTTCATTGTGCTTTCTTTTTTTTTTTTTTTTTTTGAGATGGAGTCTTGCACTGTCACCCAGGCTTGAGTGCAGTGGTGCGATCTCGGCTCACTGCAAGCTCTGCCTCACGGGTTCACACCATTCTCCTTCCTCAGCCTCTTGAGTAGCTGGGACTACAGGTGCCCGCCTCTATGCCTAGCTAACATTTTTGTATTTTTTGTAGGGACGGGGTTTCACCGTGTTAGCCAGGATGGTCTCGACCTCCTGACCTCATGATCCATTGGGCTTGGCCTCCCAAAGTGCTGGGATTACAGGTGTGAGCCACTGTATGAGCCCAGCCTCATTGTGCTTTGTACTAACCCCCTTTCCCTGGTCTCTTCCAGCTTGTCTTCTTCTCTCCCAGTAGATTCTTCATGAAGAGGCCATGTGCTATATTCCATGAGATATTTCACACTCAAAGAAGACTTCTTTTATACTCTTTTGATAATTTGTCTGGGAATCACTGTCTTGATTTATAAGGGAGTTTGTAATAAATACAGTAAAAGAGAAACACACAACGTATTTTGAGACATCAGAGAAGGGAGACACCAATTCTATTAATATTTGGGGTTAGCAGGGAAGGCTTAGTTAAGAGGTAACATTTGAACTAAGCCTTGAAATAAGGGAAGGATTTGGCCATGCAGTAATGGGGAGAGAGTAGAAGCAAGACCTGATAGTTAGTGTTATGTATCAATTTGACTGGGCTGTGGGGTGCCCAAATATTTGGCTACACATTATTCTGGGTGTGTCTCTGAGGTATTCTGGATGAGGATAACATTTAATTGGTAGACTGAATAAAGCAGATTGTCCTCCCCAATGTGGGTGAGCCTCATCCAATCCACTGAAGGCCTGAACAAAACAAAAAGGTAAAGTCACAGAGAATTTGCTCTTTTTACCTGATTATATTTGAGCTGGGACATCAATCTTCTCCTGACTTTAGATGTGGACTCGAGTTGGAACTATATCATTGGCTGTCCTGGGTCCCCAGCTTGCTGGCTGCAGACTCCAGGACTCCTTATCCTCCATAACCATGTGAGCCATCCCTTACAACTAATCAATCTGTCTCTCTCTATGTGTATAGCTCTACCTCTATCTCTCTGCTCTTTCTCTGGAGAACCTAGAGTAATACACAAGGTTATATTAGAGAAGAGGATGACCCAAGGGAAAGCATGGAGACAGAAAAGTGCAAAGAGCATTTGGGAAGACTGGGGTCCTGATGGGGAGCTTGAATTTCACTGTGTGTAGCATGGAGAATTATTGAAAATATTCAAGAGGTGAAAATTGTATTCATGGAAGAACACCAGGAGTATGTGAAAAGAAAAACACTCACTCCATTTTAACTCCACTGAAGGGGGCATCAAAGGAATGCACTGGGGACATGGGTTGGAGGGTAGTTGAGGCCATATCTGGAGGAACTTTACTTCTAGGCTGAGTCTGAAGTTATCTTTCTGGGGAGTGGGAGATTACAAATCTTTGAGCTCCACTCAAGAGATGGTTTTGCTAACAATGGCAGGGCGACGGTGGTGGTGGTGGTGGTGGTGGTGGTGGTGGTGGTGGTGGTGGTGGGAAACTGGTATCATGAATTCTAATTGGGCTTCTGTTATCCTAGCCGAGAAAGTTGGGGAACGGACTTTCAGTAGAATAATAGAGATCTGGGAATCAACTGCATGGAGGAGGTAGTTATAGGTGATGAGATGGCTCAGGGACAAAGTTTGGTAGAAGGAGAAAATTTACTAGGCTGGTACAAAAATAATTGCTATTTTTGCCATTACTTTTAATGGCAAAATCCGCAATTACTTTTGCACCAACCTAATAGGGTGCAAACTTCGGAGCCATCTGCATCAGAGGGATTGATGAAGATCAACAAAGTTTGGGAACACAGGAAAGGAGCGGGGAAGGTAATGACTTGAGGGCATAGCAGGGATAATCAAGGTTTTTCTTGTTAGCATGTAGAGACTTAAGCATGATTCTATGTTAAACGCCTGGCACATACATGGTGCAAAATATTTATGAGTGAAATGACAAGTGAAGGTGGTGAGTCATGGGAGTTCCAAGGGAACGGGTGATAAAGGGAGGTCTCAAATGAGGCACAAGTGGAGAAGGTAGCTTGGGAAAGGAGAAGGATGCTTCTCCTTATAACATGGGAAAGGCAGAGGAAGAGGGTCAAGGTACAGTGATCTAGGGGTGAGATGGAAGTGAGTTGAGAGAACTCAACTCTGGGCTCTGAAATCCCTAGGGATGGGTTTGGGGGGCTTTGAGATATGTAAGAGGTTTAAAGTCAGTTGTTCTAGCAAATATGGTTTGGAATTTATTTGTGATGCTTAAAAATATTGCTGAACAGAAGTGAAGTCTATCCTAGAGTTGGATGGTGAGATTATTTAGTGGAACTACCAGATCCATGTTGTGATTCTTTCCAGTATCATTCAGCAGCCCTTGGGCAGTTGCGAGGCAAGTCATCAATGGGGTATGGAGATTTTCCAGGTGGGTGTGGTTGAAGGCAGGGAAGAACGAGTTCAGGAGCACATTACAAGAAGAAGGTGACTGTAAGGTCCAGGCTGAGCAGGAAGGTAAAGCAAGAAGGAAACATGAGGTTGTGAAGAGAAGTTTAGAGGGATGAGGAGGCAGGAGAGATGAACAGTTGCAGGATGTAGCTAGAGTGGCGATGTTAGATCTTGGGGCCAGAGAACTTTACAATGATTATGAAGATCAAAGGGCATTAGAATCAAGCTATAAAGAGCCACTGTTTGATGTTGGGATGTGAGGATGCTGCAGGTGGATGTCTGCACGTTGATGGTGAGAACATGGTCACCCTGGCCCTGCTGGGTCTTTGCTAAAGAGACTGTGCTCTGTTCTTGGGGCCGTTTTCATCACCTGATTAGAGCAGTGGTCCCCACATGGTGTTCTTTGGACCATCTGTATAAAATGTTCATAGGTCAAGGATAAAATGGAAAAACAGAGAAAATGTCACAGAAATGTGCCCATTGGTGAAAGACCACCAGCTGTCCTTTTTGGAGGATTGTTCTTTATTCCAAAAATGTATATATTCTATTCTATTAAAACATTTTTGTATTTGCATTTTTTTCTCTTTTATGAAATGCCATGGGGTAGAAATTTGTAATGTATCAAATTCTCCTGTCTTCATGCATTGCCCTGTGGTGGGGAAGGGGATGTTGCTAGTACTGGCCAAGAGGCTGGGGGCAGAGGTGCAGTGTGAGACTTCTAGCCTGGAGCATTTAATTCTTAGTACAAGGCTCTCTAGCATTCTTGTCCCGCTGTTCCCTGCTTGGTGATACTCGAGGTAATGCAGCCCCCATTAGCCTTAGTCTTAGGGCAAGTTTGATGGAAAACAGAGCACCCCACACCTCCCTGCAGATGTAGCATGAGTGAGAAAAACAACTACTGATGTTTGAAGTTACCAAGATTTAGGAGTTGTTTGTTATTGCAGCAAAACCTCACCTATTCTGACCAATCATGGTGGAATTTCTGTGTGTATGTGTGTGTGTGTGTGTGTGTGTGTGTGTGTGTGTGTGTGTGAAACTGGTAGTTTAAAAAAGTTCCTTCTTACCAAAAAGAAAATAAAGTAGCAACCTTATGTTGGTTCTCAAATTAATAAAATATTTTTACTGGTTTATAAAATAGAAAAATCTGAGAATCTGTAGCTTACAGAACTACAGTGTGGGATGTCTATAAAGACCAGGTTATTTTATCAGCTCCTAACACCCCTTAATAGAAGCTTAGCCAAGACTTGGACTATTTCAGTCTTTCCCATTCCACATTCCATGGACTCTTGAAGAGACATTGATGAAACGGTGCAGCCATGAATCACCCTCACTCAATCCTAGTGGCAGAATCCCCCTTTTACTGCAGAATGAGCTTCTTGCTACAGTGATACTTGAACCCCTTAGATATATCCTGTACTAATTATATTAAAACATGACCAATGCTTTTGCTTTGTTGTCCCCCAAATTAAACACCTTAACCATGAGAACCCAGAGAATTGGATTTAGTGTGACTGATTCCAAACTGTCAGTAAGAACACAATTAGGTTATATTTTTATCCAGTTCAAATAAAAGAAAATTGACAATAAAATGCTGATCAATATGTGTAGCTCAGGAGGTAGAGCCTGCTTTGAGATGCAGAAGTGTTTGTTTTTTTTAGATCTATATTCTTGAGTAAAGAAAAAATCCATCTCTTTTCCTAGAGGGGAAGACTTTCAGAGCTGGGCTTGGCAACAGCCTATCACAGGCTGAATTAAACAAATAGGTACCTCCCTTGAGTGAATGGTGCGTTTCTCCTGTTCGGGGAACCGTGCTTTTATGGTGGAGTTTGCTTTCTGTCTTGGTCTCCGGATGTGTGTATCTGTGGGTGGATGTCTGCATGTAAATGGCAGTGTATAGCTGTGTGGGTGTATACAAAATTCCCATGTGAATCTCAGCTTTGTGGGGATCTCCGGGTCTTGAGCCCAGCAGATGCCAGTTGAAGAAAAATCACTTGAAAATGAGACAGAAAGAATGGAAACTAAATCCTAGCTCTAAAGGCACCAGGCTGATTAAAAACAAAACTCTGAATCTTCTTTGTTTTGGACTCTACCTACCTCCAAATGACATTTCTGTTTCCTATGAAATGATTAGAATGACAGAAATCCTGAGCACGAAAGAGCAGATACTGTGTGATTGTGTGTATGTCAGGGTGTCAGCTGTGACGCTGCTGACATTTCGGCTCAGCAATTTCTCTGTTGTATGTGTGGGGGTTCCCTATGCATTTTAGGATGTTGAGCGACATCCCTGGATCCCTGGACTCACTGGATGCAGTAACACAACTCCCCCCAAGTAGAGACAACCCCCAGTGTCTCCAGATATTGCCTAATGTCCCCAGGAGGCAAAATAGCCCCATCTGAGAACTGCTGCTTTCATAAAGTACAATGTCAGGTGAAATAGGTGGAGGCTGTTTGTAGTCAGGGGTTAGTAGAGATGGAAGAGACCCCAGGAATATCCTGGAAGGGGCTGTAATGTTCTGTTTCTTGAATTGGGTGTCGGTAATATGGAGATGTTCAGTTTTTTGTTTTTTTTTTTTTGGCAGGATCTTACTCTGTCACCCAGGCTGGAGCACAGTGGCACCGTCATGGCTCACAGCAGCCTCTGCCTACTGGGCTCAAGCAGCCCTCCCACCTCAGCCCTCCTGAGTAGCTGGAACTACAGGCATGTGCCATCACTGTTGCCTAATTTTTGTATTTATTTATTTTTTGTAGAGTGGGGGGTCTCACTATGTTGCCCAGGCTGGTCTCGAGCTCCTGGGCTCAAGCAATCTGCTCACCTCGGCCTCCCAAAGTGCTGGGATGGCAGGCATGAGCCACTGAGCCTGGCCAGTATGTTCAGTTTGTAAGAAAAGTAGTGTTGACCTCTTCTACGTGCACATTTCTTTAAGTAATAATTCAATAAAGCATTTAGAAAAATTGGTCATAATAGGAGTGATTTGTAGAGTGATTGGCATGAAAGCTGATCACCTTAATTTGAACTACTCTGAAATGAGCACCAGGGGCCACCAAGAGGAACCTTTCAAGGTGTTATAGCCAAGGATAGGAGTGTGTTGTGTACATCTCTGCATAAAGGATTTGCTGGTTACATGGAAGGATGAAGCCTCCTTCTGAGGACACAGGCAGCAAGGCAAGTGGAAGCCCAAAGCATTGAGCTTTCTAAATGGACTTTGCTAAAATCTTGTGGATGACTCATGCTCTTAACATACACCCATGTACATATTGTCCATATAAACATTAATTCTGTAACAAGGCCCACATATAAGGGTATTTTTTTCTTTTGAGACAGTCTTGCTTTATTGCCCAGGCTAGAGTACAGTGCCATAATCGTGACTTACTGCAAACTCCACCTCCTGGGTTCAAGCAATGCTGTGCCTCAGCCCCGTGAGTAGCTGGGACTACAGGTGCACACCACCATGCCTGGCTAATTTTTGTATTTTTAGTAGAGACAAGGTTTCACCATGTTGGCCAGGCTGGTATCAAACTCCTGGCCTCTAGTGATCTGCCCACCTCAGCCTCCTAAAGTGTTGGGATTACAGGTGTGAGCCACTGTGTCTGGGCCCACACGTAAGGTTTGAGTTGAGATAGAGAAACTCTGGCAGGACTGAGGAATTTGGCCAGTCTCTGGGAAATATGCACAATTTCTGGAATCTTCTCTACTTCCAGAGTTCCCACTTTCTATCTGTCTCCTATTTATTCAAAAAACTTGTATGGAACCGCAGTGGGTCTAGAACTTGCCAGGTGTGGAGGATAAAAGATGACTGAGGTCGAGCATGGTGGCTCATGCCTGTAATCCCAGCACTTTGGGAGGCCAAGGCAGGTGGATCACTTGAGGTCAGGAGTTAGAGCACAGCCTGGCCAACATGATGAAACGTCTCTACTAAAAATACAAAAATTAGCCAGGCATGGTGGCACGCACATGTAGCCCCAGCTACTTGGGAAGCTGAGGCAGGGGAATCGCTTGAACCCAGGAGGCAGATGTTGCAGAGAGCTGAGATCACCCCGCTGCATTCCAGCCTGGGAGACAGAGCGAGATTCCATGTCAAAAAAAAGATGACTGAGATACAGACTCCATCAGAGTTGACTCTAACACAAATTTGGTAAGAGCCCAAGGTCTGGCTGGGCAAGCACCTTGATCGGCTTCATCCTGCAGCCTCTACTAGAATGAACAGCACTTTTTTCTTTACTCATGAAAATGTTTTGTGCTTCGTACCTACAAGTACAGTTTGTGTAAATTCTGCAAAATTTGCCGCATAACTCTTCCTGTATTAGCATTTTTCCTTTGAGAGATTTCTCAAAACATCATCTTTGGACTATGAGGAATTGGAAATTTACTTAGAGTCAAAAGCAAGTACAGGAAAGTCAGTTCTTAGTCAAGAGTTAGGTTTTCAAAGACAGTGGATAAAATAAAAAATCTAGTACAGTCAAGATTATACGTGCAAATCCCCTCATCATTCATAAAGTTTAGCAGTCAGTCTTACCGTGGCTCACCAGGTCCAATCCATACTTCTTCCTCCACGATTGGAGCAGAGGGTGATTTTTTTTATGAGCAACTGATGAAGTCATTTAGAGACCATTTGCAGTAGGAGCCATGTGTACTAGAGACCAATCAATGTGCCCTCATGGCACCATTTCTTCCTCTCTCCCTCTTTGTTCTTGCCAAGTACCCATAGTTCATTTTCCATAGATTAAAAGAGCCCATGTTGGGCTCTATGTAGAATTGTTTGGGAAGTTGTTAAACTGTTTCTCACAGTGGCTAAAGCATTCTAATTCCTACCAGCAGTGTATGAAAGTTCCAGTTTCTCTGCATCCTCACCAACACTTGTTATTTTCTGTATTTTTTTTTTTTGAGACAAAGTCTTGTTCTGTCACCCAGGCAGGAGTGCAGTGGCACAATCTCAGCTCACTGCAACCTCTGCCTCCCAGATTCAAGTTACTCTCCTGCCTCAGCCTCCAGAGTAGCTGGTATTATAGTCACCTGCCACATGCTTGGCTAATTTTTGTATTTTTTAGTAGAGACAGGGTTCCACCATGTTGGCCAGGCTGGTCTCAAACTCCTGGCCTCAGGTGATCCACCTGCCTCGGTCTCCCAAAGTGCTGGGATTACAGGCATTAGCCACCACACCAGGCCAATTTTCTGTATCTTCAATTCTAGCCATCCTTATGGCTATGAAGTGGTATCACATTGTGGTTTTGATTTCTGTTTCCCTGATGATGAATTTCATTGAGCATCTTTTCATGTGCTTATTGGCCACTTGTATGTCTTCCTTGGAGATGTGCCATATTTTCATATTCAAAAATGAAAGCACAGGTCCACACAAAAATTTGTGCATGAATAATTACAATAGCATCACTCCTAATAACCCACAGAGGGAATTAATCCAAATGCCCATCACCAGATGAAGAGATACACCGGTTGTTGTCTACCCACATGGTGGAATATTATTTGATCACAAAAGGAAGGAAAGTACATACGCTACAGCGTGGATGAACCTTCAAAACAGATGAAAGATCACATTCTACATGATTTCATTCAGATGGAAATCTATAGAAATAGGAAGTCGATTAGTGGTTGCTTAGGGCTGCTAGGGGCATGAGAGGATAGGGGGTGTTAGCTAAAGGGTATGAGGTTTCTTTTTGAGGTCATGAAATGTTCTAAAATTGACTGGTAATGTTTGCGTATATCTCTGAATATATTAAAAACCATTGAAATGTAAAAAATGCGAAGAAAAAACAGCCCAAGTTGCAATTTTATTCAACACTTGATTGGCTTTAAAAATAGATTCCAGGCTGGGCACGGTGGCTCACACCTGAAATCCCAGTGCTTTGGGAGGCTGCGGTGGGAGGATTGCTTGAGGCCAGGAGTTCCAGGCCAGCCTTGGCAACATGGCAAGACCCTGTCTCTACAAAAAAATAAAAAATAAATATCAGCTGGGTGCAGTGGCTCACACCTGTAATCCCAGCACTTTGGGAGGCTGAGGCGGGCAGATCACCTGATATCAGTTCAAGACCAGCTTGGCCAACATGGTGAAACCCCTTCTCTACCAAAAATATAAAATTTAGCCTTTTGGTACTCTGAGCAGCACCATGGCGGTTGTTAAGAACAAGTGCCTTATGAAAGGTGGCAAAAAGGGAGTTAAGAAGAAAGTAATTGGTCCATTCTCTAAGAAAGATCAGTATGATGTGAAAGCACCTGCTATGTTCAATATAAGAAATATTGGAAAGACTTGGTCACCAGGACCCAAGGAACCCAAATTGCATCTGATGGTCTCAAGGGTCTTGTGTTTGAAATGAGTCTTGCAGATTTGCAGAATGATGAAGTTGCATTTAGAAAATTCAAGCTGATTACTGAAGATGTTCAGGGCAAAAATTGCCTGACTAACTTCTATGGCATGGGTCTTACCTGTGACAAAATATGTTCCAAGGTTGAAAAATGTTCAACAATGATCGAAGCTCATGTTGATGTCAAGACTACCGATGGTTACTTCTTTCTTATGTTTTGTGTTGGTTTTACTAAAAAACACAACAATCTGATACTGAAGACCTCTTATGCTTAGCACCAACAGTCTGCCAAATCCAGAAGAAGATGATGGAAATCATGACCTGAGAGGTGCAGACAAATGACTTGAAAGAAGTGGTTAATAAATTGATTCCAGACAACATTGGAAAAGATGTAGAAAAGGCTTGCCAATTTATCCTCTCCATGATGTCTTCATTAGAAAAATAAAAATGCTGGAGAACCCTGGGTTTGAAAGGCATGGAGCTTCGTGGTGATGGTAGTAGTTCTGGAAAACCCACTAGGGACGAGACACATGCTAAAGTTGAATGAGCTGATGGATATGAACCACCAGTCCAAGAATCTGTTTAAAGTTCAGGCTTAAAACAGTAGCAAATAAGAAGTCCTATTTGTGAAAAACAATCAAGAAACAACAATGAAAGAGCAAAATTAGCCTGGTGTGGTGGTGCATGCCTGTAATCCTAGCTACTCCGGAGGCTGAGGCATGAGAATTACTTGAACCCGAGAACAGATGTTGCAGTGAGCCAAGATTACACCATTGCACTCCAGCCTGGGCAACAGAGTGAGACTCTCTCCAAAAAGAAGGAAAAAAAAAGTATCTGGGCTGGTGGCATGCGCCTTTAGTCTCAGCTACTCTGAAGGCTGAGATGGGAGGATGGCTTGAGGCCAGGAGTAATTTGAGGCTGCAGTGAGCTATGATTGTGACACTGCACTCTAGCCTGGACTACAGAGCAAGACCCTGTCTCTTATACATACATACATGCATACATACATACATACATGCATACATACATACACACACACGCGCACATACATACATACCCAGGCTCTACCTCCGGTGATTCTGACTCAGTAGGGTGGAGTATCCCCTAGGGATCCTGCTATTCAGCCTGGTCTGGGATCCACTTTTCACTGGGAACTGAGACACTGGCTGTGAGCCTTTCTGTCCTGTGATGTAGAGGTCATGGCGATGCAGGTTCAAGCTTAAGAAGACCTGACTGTGCATTAGGTATTGTGCTGAACATCATCTCTTACTCTCACAGCAACATCCTTAGAAGGTTAATGATGTGTCCCCGCTCTACAGATGAGGAACTGAGCTTTCAGAGGAGTTTAGCTTGTTCAAAACTTATTCTTCGTATTGGAAACTTTGTACCCTTTGAGCAGTGTCTCCTATCCCCTACCTTTCCTCCACCCCAGCCCCTGATAACCACTGTCCTACTCTCTATTTCTGTGAGTTCAACTTCTTTAGATTCCACATATAATAAAATCATGCAGTATCTGTCTTTCTGTGCCTGGCTTATTTCACTTAACACAATGTCTTTCAAGTTCATCTATGTTGTTGAAAATGACAGGATTTCTTTCTTTTTTAAGAGTTAATAGTATTCCGTTGTGTGTATATAGTACATTTTCTTTATCCTTTCATCCACTGATGGACACTTAGGTTGATTCTATATCTTGGGTATTGTGAATAGTGCTGCAGTGAACATAGGAATGTAGGGATCCCTTCGACATATTGATTTCGATTTTTTTTTGTCTATACCCAGAAGTTGGGTTGCTGGATTATGTGTTTTGAAATCTATAGCACAGCAGCGTGACTATAGTCAATAATAATGTATCTTTCAAAATAACTAAGAGACTACATTTCAAATGTCTCATCATAAAAATTGTCAGTAAATTAGTGGATGGACATGTTAATTAGTTTGATCTAATCATCCCACATTGTATACACATATCAAAACATCACATAAATGTGTACAATTATGATTTGTCAATTAAAATAACGTTAGTTAAAAAAATAAGTAACTTGTTCAAAGCCCCAGTTGGGATTGATGGAGCCGGGACATGCACCAAGGCTTTTGCTCTCAGGCACACAGAGTCCTTGGGCCACGAATGTTGAAGCCCTACCTGAGATTTCTACTGAGATCAGTGTAGGGATTCAATGTCTCAGAATCATCCCATCCTCCAGGGCCCACAAGTCCATGACCTTTGCCTCTACCCCCGACCCTGCTGACCTGAAATGTGGCCCCTGCTTTCATTTCCGGGAGCATACAACACTTACACCAAGCATTGATGGGTTTTATTGACTTCATTTGAGACGTGGAGCCATGGAGAGGGTCCCATGATCCTTGCTTGGTGTTGGCCAATTCACTGAATTCTCTCTTTGACTTCACCCTTCCCTTTTCTACTCACCTCCTCTGTCATGGATTGCTCGGGGAATTCTGAGCCCTAGTTCCTTTGTTTTGCAGATAACCTTCACTCGTCTCTGCAACGAATCCCAAAAGTATGTAGTTGAGGTGACTGCAAGGTGCTTGACACGCAAGAGACTCCACAAATGGGATTCGGCCTCTGGAAAGTGGTGGTACTTCCAGATTTATGTGGATGTTACTTTGTTTTTCCCTATAAAATATATTCTTTAAACTATCAAGCTCTTGGCTCCTGGCTGCAGTCCTTTGCTGGTGGCAGTGGGCTGGGTACTGTCACCGGGGAGAAATGCTGCCCACTTAGAGAAAGAGAAACTGGTTCTCTTTAAGAGGCAGACGGAGGTTTCCAGTGCCAGTTTGTTTGGAGGCAAAATGGCTGTTGTATTAAAATTGCCCAAACTTGGGCTGGTGCCTTGTGTGTTTAGAGCTCAAAGCCATGATTGTTTTCATTTTTTTTTTTTTTTTTTTTTTTTTTTGGTGGTCGGTTTTCCATCCTTTTGCTTGGTAGGTTTCTGCTAATAGCTTCGACCTCAAGAGTCCCATTATACAGACACTAATAGCACCTACTATGTGTCAGTCTGTAGTGCCTACTATGTGCCAGGCATTGGAGATAATATAATGATGAACAAGATAAACATGGCACTTGGAAAAGAGAGTCTAGTTCCCACTCTCAGCCCACCCCAAAGAGAGGCCAGAATTGGGCTTCCAAAGATCTCAGATGCCCTTGCATCATCTCCATGAAGAGGGTGGGTGAAGCTTTGGTGTCTGAAGAGAATTTGGCTGGACAATCCCCAAGGGTTGGAATGATGGGAAGGAGCTGCCATCTGTGTTTAAGGTGAGAAGAGGGGAGTGGCTGGATATCAGAGGAAGCCAAGATGAAGAGAAGGTTTTTGTGAGTTCCTATGCATAGTGGAGACCTGTTACAGTGAGGGTCCCTGGGGCTGAGCCTGTGGGTCAGTGGAATGATGCTGTGAGGAGGGTCTTGTTATAGCAGATGGCCCAAAAAAGGCTGATGGATCATGAGCAGCTGGAAGAATGGAGAGTTCGGGGGAAGTAGTTCCTACCTGGCTTTCCAACAGTGTGTAAGCCCAGAATTCTTACATAAGCCCATGGAGAAGGGAAAGCAATGCTGGTAACGACAAGATTGAATTCTCCACCTGCCAGGCATCCAGGGACTCAGAGCAGATTTAAGTGAAGTTACAGAAATAGGAATGTGACATTTCCTACATCCGGATGTGCTGGAGCAAAATGTATTCCCTCTCTGGTTTGTGGGGAAGGAGAATGCTAACAGACAAGACTCCAGGTTTTCGCTCTTAAACCTGATGCCTAGAAATGCATTTTCTACTGGATGCAGACAGAAGCTCCATATAGACATATCCATTGCTGCATCGCTCATGCCTTGTGTTCTCCCTAATTTTCCCTTTTTAAACCACAGAGGAAGAAAATTCCAGCATCACTTCTGGCCTCTCAAGAGTGAGTTAGGTGGCCAGGTGGGGTTATTCTTGCCTGTAATCTCATAATGAAGGGGTGGCCTGCCCCTCCACACCTGTGGGTATTTCTAGTCAGGTGGGATGAGAGACAAAAAAGAAATAAGACACAAAGTATAGAGAAACAACAGTGAGCCCAGGGGACCGGCGCTCAGCATACCAAGGACCTGCACTGGCACCAGTCTCTGATTTCCCTCAGTTTTTATTGATTATTATCTTCATTATTTCAGCAAAAAGGAATGTAGTAGGAGGGCAGGGTGATAATAAGGAGAAGGTCAGCAACAAACATGTGAGCAATAGAATCTATGTCATAATGAAGTTCAAGGGAAGGTACTATGACTGGACGTGCGCGTAAGCCAGATTGATGTTTCTCTCCACCCAAACATCTCAGTGGAGTAAAGAATAACAAGGCAGCATTGCTGCAAACATGTCTCACCTCCCACCATAGGGCGGTTTTTCCCCCATCTCAGAATTGAACAAATGTACAATCGGGTTTTATACCGAGACATTCAGTTCCCAGGGGCAGGCAGGAGACAGTGGCCTTCCTCTATCTCAACTGCAAGAGGCTTTCCGCTTTGACTAGCCCATCTCAGCACAGACCCTTTATGGGTGTCGGGCTGGGGGACCGTCAGGTCTTTCTCATCCCACGAGGCCACTTTTCAGACTATCACATGGGGAGAAACCTTGGACAATACCCAGCTTTCAAGGGCAGGGCTCCTTGCGGCTTTCCATAGTGCATTGTGCCCCTGGTTTATTGAGACTAGAGAATGGCGATGACTTTTACCAAGTATACTGCTTGGAAACATCTTGTTAACAAGGCACGTCCTGCACAGCCCTACATCCCTTAAACCTTGATTTCATACGACACATGTTTTTTCAGCTCCAGGTTGGGTCAAAGTGGTTGGGGCAAAGTGGCTGGGGCAAAGCTACAGATTAACAACATCTCAGCAAAGCAATTGCTTAAAGTACAGATCTTTTTCAAAATGGAGTCTCTTATGTCTTCCCTTTCTATGTAGACACAGTAACAGTCTGATCTCTCTTTCTTTCCCCTACATATCCCCCTTTTCGTTTTGACAAAACCACCACCATCATCATGGCCCCTTCTCCCTGGTCGCTGTCTCTCTGGAGCTGCTGGATACACCTGTAGACTAACAATAGAAAAGTCAGACATACAAGGATTAATATAAAATTTGCAATAGTGGAATTTCCGGTGGTTTTAACCCAAGTGACAGGGGGCAAGAGGACGGTGTGGGTGCTGCGGCACCCGGGCAGTCTCCCACCTCCTTTGTGTCTTAGTTGCTGTTTCTCATAGTTTTCAGTCTTTCTCCTCACCTACTGACTCGCACCTTTTATCTCTTTGTCTCCCTTCTCTTATGGTCTCTCTCTCTCTCTCTTTTACACTATCTCTCTCCCCAATCTCACTTTCTGTGTCTGTCTCTGATCTCTGTCTCTTTTTCTTTCTATTCTTCTCCCTGGCTCTCCACATGTGCTGTTTTCTTGGTGGATGGTAACTTTATCTGTTCTTCTGATATCACCATTTTGTTCACCCTGCGGGTCGATGATGCTCGATTGTGGGTTTTCTGTCTCTGCGGAGGCACTTTCATTTGCATCTCTGATGGGTTCATTGTAGAACTTCAAACGTCTAGTGGGTATCCAAACAGGAAGCTGATTTTCTCCTGGTGAAACACGAGCAAAACCTCTCCCCCATGTTATCACCTTACCTATTTCCCATGTTTTGTTTTTGTTGTCTTTCCACCAAATCAGTTTTCCCTCATGTGGGCTGTTCTTTTTACCAGTAAAATGTTCTGCAGAAGTAGTGGTCTGATTTCTATGTATGTTTAGAAAATTTAAAGTATAGAGTGTTAGATTAAGTTGCATCTGGGGAGTGTTATACTCCTTACTGTCTTTTTCCTTTTTTTGTTTAACCAATTGAGCTTTGAATGTTCTAAGCAGGACAGGTAAGATCTGCATCTGGCACAGCCAGCCAGGTCTCCTTACCCTCTGCTTCCCTTTCTGCCTGTGACTGAATGGGTATGTCAGGGTCTAGTAGGGGTTCCAGGAGGAAGAAGCCTCATTAACTTCTATTGTGCAGCAATTGATGGCCACCCAACTTGAACAGTGGGGCTTATCACCTCATGTACTAAGACCGGAGATAGCTGATGCCAAGGTTGGCTAAATTAGTAGCTTGAGATGTTAGGTTTTTCATTTGAGGTTTCTATGCTGCTATTGTCTTCTGCTCTTGGTCACAGAGGCTGCCACAATCCGCATGTCAAGTCCTCATGTGACAATATCCAGAGACAGCAAGGAAGAGGTACAGTGTATTCCTGCATGTTTCTTAAAAAAATGTTTTTGATAGAGAATAATTGTACACATTTGTGGGGTCCATGTGAGATTCTGGCACATGCATGCAATGTGTAATGATCAAATCAGGGTCTTTAGGATATTAATCACCTCAAACATTGATCATTTCTTTGTGTTGGGAATATTTCAAATCTTATTGCTATTTAGAAATATACAATAAATCCATTTATCAGGATACAAAATCTATGTACACAAATCAGTAGCAGTGCTATACACCAACATCTACCAGGCTGAGAATCAAATCAAACCCTTTTATAATAGCTGTAAAAATAATATACTTAGGAATATACCTAACCAAGGAGGTGAAAGACCCCTACAAGGAAAACTACAAAACACTGTTGAAAGAAATCATAGATGACACAAAGAAATGGAAACACATTCCATGCTCATGGATGGGTAGACTCAATATTGTGAAAACGACCATACTGCCAAAAGCAGTCTACAAATTCAATGCAATTCCTATCAATATACCATCATCATTCTTTATAGAACTGGAAAAAAAAATGCCAAAATTCAATTGGATCTAAAAAAGAGTCTGCACAGCCAAAGCAAAACTAAGCAAAAAGAACCAATCTAGAGGCATCACATTACCCAACTTCAAACTATATTACAAGGCTATAGTCACCAAAACAGCATGGTGCTGGTATAAAAATAGGCACATGACCAATGGGACCGAGTAGAGAAGCTAGAAATAAAGCCAAATACTTAACACCCAACTGATCTTCAACAAAGTAAACAAAAACAAAGTAGGGAAAGTACACCCTATACAACAAATAGTGCTGGGATAATTGGCAAGCCACATGTAAAAGAATAAAACTGGATCCTCATCTCTCACCTTATACAGAAATCAACATAAGATGGATCAAAGACTTAAATCTAAGGTCTGAAACCATAAACATTCTAGAAGATAACATTGGAAAACGCTTCTACACGTTTGCTTAGGCAAACAGTTCATGACCAAGAACCCAAAAGCAAATGCAATAGAAACAAAGATAAATAGATGGGACTTAATTAAACTAAAAGCCTCCTGCACAGCATAGGAAATAATCAGCAGAGTAAGCAGATCACCCACAGAGTGGGAGAAAATTTTCACAAACTGCATCTGACAAAGGACTAATGTCCAGAATCTACAGGGAACTCTAATCAGCAAGAAAAAAATAATCCCATCAAAAAGCGTGCCAAGGACATGAATAGACAATTCTCAAAAGAAGATATACAAATGGCCAACAAACACATGAAAAAGTGCTCAACATCACTAATTACCAGGGAAATGCAAATCAAAATCACAATGCAATACCACGTGTAAAATAAACAAAAATAGGGCCAGGTGCGGTGGCTCACGCCTGTAGTCCCAGCACTTTGGGAGGCTGAGGTGGGTGGATCAGGAGGTCAGGAGTTTGAGACCAGCCTGACCAACATGGTGAAACCGAGTCTCTACTGAAAATACAAAAATTAGCCAGGCATGGTGGCAGTTGCCTGTAATCCCAGCTACTCAGGAGACTGAGGCAGGAGAATTGCTTGAACCCGGGAGGCAGAGGTTGCAGTGAGCTGATATCGCACCACTGTACTCCAGCCTGGGTGACAGAGCGAGACTCCATCTCAAAACCAAAACAAAAACAAAAACAAAAAAAGCAAAAATTGATGTTGGCACGGACGTGGTGAAAGAAAGCTTTTACACTGATGGTGGGAATGTAAGCTAGTACCACCACTATGGAAAGCAGTATGGAGATTCCTTAAAGAACTAAAAGTAGATCTACCATTTGATCCAGCAATCCCACTGCAAGGTATCTACCCAGAGGAAAAGAAGTCATTATATGAAAAAGATACTTTTGCACACGTTTACAGCAGCAAAATTCACAGTTGCAAAACTATAGAATCAGCCCAAATGCCCATCAACAATTAGTGGATAAAGAAAATGTGTATATATATATGTGTGTGTGTATATATATATATATATGTGTATATATATGTGTGTATATATATATATGTATATATACCATAGAATACTACTTAGCCTTATAAAGGAATGAAATAATGGCATTCATAGGAACCTGGATGGAGTTGGAGACCATTATTCTAAATGAAGTAACTCAGGAATGGAAAACCAAACATTGCATGTTCTCACTCGTAAGTGGGAGCTAAGCTATGATGATGCGAAGGCACAAGAATGAAACAGTGGACTTTGGGGGCTCAGGGGGAAGGTGGGAGGGGGTGAGAGATAAAAGACTATACATTGGGTAAACTGCTTTGGTGATGGGTACGCCAAAATTTCAGAGATCACCACTAAGGATCTTATCCATGTAACAAAATACCACCTGTTCCCTAAAAACTATTGAAATTTAAAAAATATATACATACAACAAATTGTTGTAGTCACTTTCTGTGATAATGAACACTAGATCTTATTCCTTCTATTATATATTTTTATACCCATTAATCAACTTCTTTTCAAACCCCTCCTATTCCCGGCCTCTGGTAACTATCATTCTACTCTTTATCTCCATGATATCAATTTTATATAGCTCCAGGGCACACAAGTCCATAACTGCGGTCTCTATCCCTGACCCTGCTGACCTGAAACATGGCCCCCACTTTGATTTCCAGGAGCATAAACTGCTCATATAAGTGAGAACATGCAATAGTTTTCTTTCTGTGCATGGCCTAGTTCACCTAACTTTATGACCTTTAATTCCATCCATTTAGCTGAAAATGACAGGATTTCATTCTTCTTTATGGCTGAATACTATTCTATTGTGCGTATATTCCCATTTTCTTTATCCATTCATCCATTGATTGACACTTAGATTGATTCCATATCTTGGCTATTGTAAATAGTGCTGCAGTATATATGGGGGTACAGATATCCCGTTGATAGACTGATATCCTTTTTTTTGGATATATACCCAGGAGTGGGATTGCTGGATCATATGGTAGATCTGTTCTTAGTTTTTTGAGAAATCTCTGTACTTTTTTTCATAATGGCTGTACTAATTTACATTCCCACCAACAATATACGATAATTTTCTTCTCTTCACATGCTTGCCAGCATTTGTTGTGCTTTGTCTTTTTAATAATAGCCATTCTAACAAGTGTGAGATGATATCTCACTGTGGTTTTGATTTGCATTTCCGTGATGATTAGTGATGTTGAATATTTTTTCATAAACTTGGTGATTTGTATATCCTCTTTTGAGAAATGTCTGTTTATTTTTTGATAGTTTCTTTTGCTGTGCAGAAGCTCTTTCATTTAATTAGATCCCATTTGTCAATTTTTGCTTTTGTGGCAAATGCGTTTGGCATCTTCACCATGAACTCTTAGCCAATCACTATGTACCGGATGGTATTGCCTAGGTTGTCTTCCAGGGTTTTTATAGTTATGGGTTTTACATTTAAGTCTGTAGGCCGTCTTGAGTTAATTTTTGTATATGGTGTAAGGGAGGGGTGTTGTCTTTTCACTCTGTTGATTGTTTTCTTTGATATGCAGAAGGTATTTAATATAATCCCATTTGTCTGTTTTTGTTGCTTGTACTTTTTTAGTGTTAGCCATACAATCTTTGTTCTGAAGCGTTTCTCCTGTGTTTACTTCTAGTAGTTTTATAGTGGCTGTTACATTTAAGTCTTTAATCGATTTTGAGTTTATTTTTGTAAGTGATGAGAGATAAGGGTCTAGTTTTATTCTTCTGTGTTTGGATATCTAGTTTTCCTGGCACCATTTAATGAAGAGGGTGTCTTTTATTCAATGTATGTTCTTGACACCTTTCTTGAAAACCAGCTGTAAATATGTGGATTCATTTCTGGGTTCTTTAGTCTGTTTCCTTTGTTTTTGTGTCTGTTTTAATACCAATACACGCTGTTTTGGTTACTATAGCTTTGCAGTATGTGTGTGTGTGTGTGTGTGTGTGTGTGTGTGTGTGTGTGTGTGTGTGTGTATATTTTTTTTTTTTTTTTTTTTTGAGACAGAGTCTTGCCTTGTCACTCAGGCTGGAGTGCAGTGATGCAATCTCGGCTCATTGCAAGCTCCGCCTCCCTGGTTCACGCCATTCTCCTGCCTCAGCCTCGGCTAATTTTTTTTTTTTTTTTTTTTTTTAATAGAGACGGGGTTTCACCGTGTTAGCCAGGATGGTCTCGATCTCCTGACCTCATGATCCACCCGCGTTGGCCTCCCCAAGAGCTGGGATTACAGGCGTGAGCCACCACGCCCAGCTGCTTTCCAGTATACTTTTAAATCAGGAAGTGTGAGGCTTTTAGCTTTGTTCTTTTTGCTCAGTATTGCTTTGGCTATTTGGGGTCTTCTGTGGTTCCATATGAATTTCAGGGTTGTTTTTTTCTTCCTGTTTCTGTGAAGAATATAATTGATAGGGATTATACTGAATCTCTAGATTGCTTTGGGTAGTATGGTCATTTTAACAGTATTAGTAATTCCAACCCACGAGCATAAGATGCTTTTCCATTTGTTTGTGTCTTCTCAATTTATTTTATCAGTGTTTTGTGGTTTTCATTGTAGAGGTTTTTTTTTTTTCCCCATCCTTGGTTAAGTTTATTCCTAGGTATTTTATTTTTGTAGCTATTGTAAATAGAATTTCTTCCTTGGTTTCTTTTTTAGTTAGTTTGTTACTGGTATATAGAAACATCACTGATTTTTGTATGTTGACTTTGTGTCCTGAAGCTTTACTGAATTATACATCTGTTTTTTTAAAATTTTTTTATTTTTTATTTTTTGAGACAGAGTCTCGCTCTGTTGCCCAGGCTGGAGTGCAGTGATGCAATCTTGGCTCACTGCAACCTCCGCCTCTGGGTTTCAAGCGATTCTCCTGCTTCAGCCTCCCAAGTAGCTGGGATTACAGGCACCTACCACCATGCCTGTTAATTGTATTTTTAATAGAGACAGGATTTCACCATGTTGGCCAGGCTGGTCTCAAACTCCCAACCTCAGGTGATCCGCCCACCTTGGCCTCCCAAAGTGCTGGGATAACAGGCATGAGCTACCATGCCCAGCCTAACTTATCCATTTAAAGAGTTTTTTGGTGGAGTCTTTAGGTTTTTCTGTTTACAAGTATAAGATTATGTCATCTGCAAAGTGAGACAATTTGACTCCCTCTTGTCTAGTTTGGATGCCTTTTATTTCTTTATCTTGTCTGATCACTCTGGCTTGGATGTCCCATGCTGTGTTGAATAAGAGTGGTGAAAGTGGGCATCCTTGTCTTCTTCCAGTTCTTAGAGGAAAAGCTTTTCAATTTTTCCCAGTGAGTAGGTTGTTAGCTGTAGATTAGTCATATATGCCTTTTCTTATGTTGAAGTGTTCCTTCTATGCCTAATTTGTTGAGAGTTTTCATCATGAAGGAATGGTAAGTTTTATCGAGTGATTTTTCTGCATCTGCTGAGATGATCAGATAGTTTTTGCCTCTCATCTTGTTGATGTGATGTATCACATGCATTGATTTTGTGTATGTTGAGCCATCTTTGCATTCCTGGGATAAATCCCACTTGATCATGGTATATTATCTTTTTCATTCATCATTAGATTTGGCTTGGTAGTATTATGCTGAGAATTTTTCCATCTGTATTCATTAGGAATATTGGCCTGTAGTTTTCTCTTTCTGTTGTGTCCTTGTCTTGATTGGATATCAGGGTAATGCTGGCCTTATACAATGAGTTAGGAAGAATTCCCTCCTCTTCAATTTTTGGGAATAGTTTGAGAAGAATTGGTGTTTGTTTTTCTTTATAAACTGGGTAGAAATCAGCATAAAAGCCTAGTCTAGGGCTTTTCTCTTTGGGGAGACTTTTTGTTACTGATTCAAACCTGCTATTCATTTTGGGTCAGTTCAGGTTTTCTGTTTCTTCCTAGTTCAATCTTGGTAGGCTGTGTATGTCTGGGAATTTATCCCTTTCCTCTAAGTTTTCCAATTTGTTAGGATATGGTTGTTCATAATAGCCTTTAATCATCCTTTTTATTTCTTTGGTAACAGTTGTAATGTCTCCTTTTTCATTTCTGATTGTATTTATTTGGGTCTCCTTTCTTTCTTTCTTTCTTTTTTTTGTTAGCCTCACTAGTGGTTTATCAATTTTGTTTAACTTTTCAAAAAAAACAACTTTTATCTTGTTGATTCTTTGCATTTCTTTTTTGTCTCTGTTGCATTTGGTTCTGCTGTTTTTTTTTTTCTTTCTATTAATTGTGTGTTTGGTTTGTTCTTGCTTTTTGAGTTCCTTGAGGTGTATCATTAGGTTGTTTATTTGAGATCTTTCTACGTTTTTGGTGTAGGCATTTATTGCTATAAACCTTCCTCCTAGTACTGCTTTTGCTGTATCCCATAGGTTTTGCATGATGTGTTTCCATTTTCTGTTTAAAAAATTTTTTTGATCTCCATCTTAATTGCTTCATTGACCCAATGATCATTCAATAGCACATTTAATGTCCATGTATTTGTACAGTTTCCAAATTTCTTCTTGTTATTGATTTCAAGTTTTATTCCATTGTGGTCTGAGAAGATACTTGATATGATTTTAATGTTTAAAATTTTGTTGAGCCTAGTTTTGTGTCCTAACATATGGTCTATCCTGGAGAATGTTCCATGTGTTGATGAGATGATTGTGTTTTCTGCTGCTGCTGGATGAAATATTCTGAAAATATCTGTTAGGTCCATTTGGTCTAAAGTGCAGCTTAAATCTAATGTTTCTTTGTTGATTTTATGTCTAGATGAACTGTCCAATGCTGACAGTAGGATATTGAAGTTCTCAACTATCATTGTATTGGACTCTATCTCTCCCTGTAGATTTAATAATATTTGCTATGTGTGTCTGGATGCACTTGTGTTGGTTGCATGCATATTTAGAATTGTTATATTTTGTTGCTGAATTTATCCCTTTATTACGATATAATGACCTTCTTTGTCCTTTTTACAGTTTTTGACTTAAAGTCTGTTTTATCTGATGCAAGTTTAGCTACTCCTGATTACTTTTGATTTCTGTTTGCGTGGCATATCTTTTTCAGTCCCTTCACTTTCAGTCTGTGTGTGTCTTTACAAGTGAAGTGAGTTTCTTGTAGACATTGTTGGGTCATTTTTTATCCATTAAGCCTGTCTCTATCTTTTAGGTAGGTAATTTAACACATATTCAAAGTTATTATTGATAGGTGAGGACTTATTCCTGTCATTTTGTTCATTGTTTTCTGGTTATTTTGTATATCCTTTTGATTTGATTTGCCTGTGTCCCCACTCAGATCTCATCTTGAATTCCCATGTGTTGTGGGAGGGACCCAGTGGGAAGTAGTTGAATCATGGGGGCAGGTATTTTCCATGCTATTCTTTTGATAGTGAGTAAGTCTCATGAGATCTGATGGTTTTGAAAGGAGGAGTTTCCCTGCTCAAGCTCTATTTGCCTGCTGCCATCCCTATAAGATGTGACTTGTCTCTCCTTGACTTCCGCAATGATTTTGGAGCCTCCCCAGCAACGTAGAACTGTAAGTCCATTAAACCTCTTTCTTTTGTAAATTTCCCAGTCTTGTATGTGTCCTTATCAGCTGTGTGAGAATGGACTAATACAGTAAATTTGTACCAGAAGTGGGGTGTTCCTAAAAGATACCTGAATATGTGGAAGTGACTTTGGAACTGGGAAACAGGCAGAGGTTGGAGGGCTCAGAAGGAGACAGGAAAATGTGGGAAACTTTGGAAGAGATTTCCTAGAGACTTGCCCAAAATGCTGATGGTTATGTGGACAATAAAGTCTAGGCTGAGGTGGTCTCAGATGGAAATGAGGAACTTGCCGGGAACTGGCACAAAAGTGACTCCTGTTATGTTTTAGCAAAGAGACTGGTGGCATTTTGCCCCTGCTGTAGAGATTTGTGGAATTTTGGACTTGAGAGAGATGATTTAGGGTATCTGGTAGAAGAAATTTCTAAGCAGCAAAGCATTCAAGAGATGACTTGGGTGCTGTTAAAGGCCCTCAGTTTTATAAGGGAAGCAGAGCATAAAAGTTTGGAAGATTTGCAGCCTGACAATGCAATAGAAAAGAAAATCCCATTTTCTCAAGAAAAATTCGATCTGGCTGCAGAAGTTTGTTTAAGTAACGAGGAGTCAAATGTGAATCTCCAAGACAATGGGGAAAATGTCTCCAGGGCATGTCACAGAGCTTCATGGCAGCCCCTCCCATCAAAGGCCCAGAGGGCTAGGAAGAAAGATGGTTTTGTGGACTGGACCCAGAGCCCCCCTGCTGTGAGCAGCCTCGGGCGCCTGTGTCTTAGCCACTCCAGCTGCAGCTAAAAGGAGCCAAGGTACAACGTGGGCTGTGGCTTCAGAGGGTGCAAGCCCCAAACCTTAGCAGCTTCCACATAGTGTTGAGTCTATGGGTGCACAGAAGTAAAAAATCGAGGTTTGGGAACTGCTGCCTAGACTTCAGAAGATGTATGGAAATGCCTAGTTGTCCAGGCAGGAGTTTGCTGCAGGGGCAGGGCACTCATGGAGAACCTCTACTAGGGCATTGCAGAAGGGAAATGTGGGGTCGGAGCCCCCACATAGAGTTCCTACTGCAGCACCACCTAGTGGAGCTGTGAGCAGAGGGCCACCATCCTCCAGACCCCAGAATGGTGGATTCACTGACAGCTTGCACTGTGTGCCTGGGAAAGCTGCAGACACTCAATGCCAACCCATGAAAGGAGCCAGGAGGGGGTTTATACCCTACAAAGCCACAGGAGTGGAGCTGTGGCCTTTTTTCACCCAAGGCCATGGGAGCCCACCTCTTACATCAGAATGACCTGCATGTGAGACATGGAGTTAAAGGAGATCATTTTGGAGCTTTGAGATTTGACTGCCCCACTGGATTTTGGGCTTGCATGGGGCCTGTAGCCCCTTTGTTTTGGCAATTTTTCCCATTTGGAATGACTGTGTTTACCCAATGCCTATACCCCCATTGTATCTAGGAAGTAACTAACTTGTTTTTGATTTTACATGCTCATAGGCGGAAGGGATTTGCCTTGTCTCATGTGAGACTTTGGACTGTGGACTTTTGAGTTAATGCTGAACTTAGTTAAGACTTTGGGGGACTGTTGGGAAGGCATAATTTGTTTTGAAATGAGATTTGGCAAGGGCCAGGGGCAGAATGATATGCTTTGGTTGTGTTCCCACCCAAATCTCATCTTGAATTCCCACATGTTGTGGGAGGGACCTGGTGGGAAGTAATTGAGTCATGGGGGTAGGTCTTTCCCATGTTGTTCTTGTGAAAGTGAATACGTCTCACAAGGTCTGATGGTTTTAAAAAGGGTAGTTTCCCTGCAGAAGCTCTCTCTTTGCCTGCTGCCATCCAGGTGAGACATGACTTGCTTTTTCTTGCCTTCCAACGTGATTGTGAGGCTTCCTCAGCTACGTGGAAATGTAAGTCCATTAAACCTCTTTCTTTTGTAAATTGCCCAGTCTCAGTCAGGTATGTCTTTATCAGCAGTGTGAAAACAGACTAATACACCTTTGTTCCTTTTTTCTCTCATTATTTATTGTTGCAGTTTGGTGGTTTTCTTTAATGGTGACGTTTGAATCCTTTCTCCTTTGTGTGTCTGCGCTACCATGAGTTTTATACTTTCATGTATTTTAATGATGGTAGATATTGTTCTTTTTCTTCCCAGTGTAGGACTCCCTTAAGCATTTTTTGTAGGACCACAACAAACAAGACACAAACAGTGTTTTGTTTATCTGGGAAATATTTTTTCTCTTTTTTAAGCAATGGAGTCTCACTCTGTCACCCAGGCTGGAGTACAGTGGCATGATCATAGCTCACTGCAGCCTTGAACTCCTGGGTTCAAATGATCCTCCTGCCTCAGCCTTCTGAGTCTCTGGAATTGCAGATGTGAGCCACTGTGCCAGTCTTCTTCATTTGTGAAGGATAGCTTTGCTGGGTATAGCATTTTTGCCTTACTTTTTTTTTTTTTTTAACTTGTAGTATACATCCCCTTTTCTCCTAGACTGAAAGGTTTCTGCTGAGAAATCCCCTGTTAGCCTGATGAAGATTCTCTTATAAGTGACTTGATGCTTTTCTCTTGCTGTTTTTAGCATTTTCTCTTTGTCTTTTGACAATTTTACCATAATGTGCCTTGGAGAAGACCTTTTTGAGTTGTATTTATTTGGTAATCTTTGAGCTTCCTGCATTTGGAAGCTTTCAGGAAGTTTTCAGTTATTATTTTATTAAATAGGTTTTCTATGCCTTTACCCATCTCATCTCCATCCAGAACTCCCAGAATTTCAGTTTTTGGTCACATATGTGTCCCATATGTCACATAGCCTTGCTTCATTCTTTTTTCTTTCTTTTTGTCTGACTGGATTATTTTAAAAGACTAGTCTTCAGGTTCAGAAATTCTTTGTTTTGCTTGATCTAGTCTATTGTTAAAGCTGTCAATTATCTTTTGTATTTCTTTCAATGATTTCATCTCTTCCAGGATTTGTGTTTGGTTCTTTGTTATGCTGTCTATCCCTGTTGAATTTCTCATTCAGATCATTAATTATTTTCCTGATTTTTTTGTATTCATTATCTGTGCTCTCTTATATCTCCCTGAGTTTCTTTAATATTATTATTCTGAATTTTTTTCAGGCATTTCATAGATTTTCTTTTCTTTCGAATCTGTGGCTGGAGAATTATTGTGCTTCTTCGGAGATGTTATGTTTCCTTTTTCATATTTCTTGCGTCCTTATGTGACTATCTGTGCCTCTGACATAGCAGTCACTTCTTCCAATCTTCTGGGTTGGCTTTTATATGGGAAAGACCTTTTCTTATAGCTGTATCTACAGTGTTCATTGGATATCACACTTTGGCTTTGATTCTGGGTGGGTACAGTGGTATAGTCTGCATATGATTTCTTCAGCTGTAATTGGCATGAGTGGTGTCTGTGAGTTATTCAGTGGCTTAGACTGCAGGTTTTTTTGTTTGTGTGTTTGTGGTTGAGATGGAGTCTAGCTCTGTCACCAGGCTGGAGTGCAGTGACACAATCTAAGCTCACTGCAACCTCTGCCTCCCAGGTTCAAGCGATTCTCCTGCCTCAGCCTCCTGAGTAGCTGGGACCACAGGCACGTGCCACCACACCCAGCTAATTTTTGTATTTTTAGTAGAGACGGGGTTTCACCACGTTGGCCAGGCTGGTCTTGAACTCCTGACCTCGTGATCTACCTGCCTCAGGCTCTCAAAGTGCTGGGATTACAGGTGTGAGCCACCGCGCCCAGCCAGACTGCAGTTGTTATTGGAGGCTGTGGTGAGGCTTTGCTGAGGATGGGGATGCCTGGAAGTCTTGTCCTTCAGCATCAGTGGTAGTGGTGGTAGACCAGGTGTGTCAATACTAGGGACCATGGGCAGTGTATGTGGGCACTGATGATAGCCTGTCTGCATGGGCCAATCCCTGGGCCTCCAGGTGGCTTCTTTGGTTGCTGGCAGTGGCAGCACTGGGCCAGGTGGGCAGGTGTGCCACTGGGCTCCTGGGTGGTGTGTGTGGCAGGCTGATCTCTAGTTCTCCAGGTGACGTGTGCAGGTTCTGGTGGTGGGTAGGCAGGTGTTTCCTCAGGCCTCTCAGTAGTAAGTGTGAGCGCTAGCTCTGGAGGCAGGTGAGTCAATCTCCAGGCCCCCAGATGGTACATTCAGGCACCAGCATATTCCTATGCATTTCTAGATAAAAGTATTTTTCAGAAAACCTGAGCATATGTCCTATTAATACAACTTACCCTCATCAGCTCTGCATGAGAAGAAGGGGGATTTCCCTCAGTAGAACAGTCAGAATGGAATCACATACTTGTTTTGAGCCAGTCACTGGTAAGTGGGGTTAGGATAAAATGATACGCTCAGAATCTAAACCTTAGACTAGGGAATGGCAAACTTTTTCCATAAAGAAGCAAACGGTAATATTTTAGGCTTTTGGTCTAGATAACCTCTGTTGCAGTGACACAGTGGTGCCATCGTAGTCTAAAGCATATGTAGACAAGGCATAAATGAATGGACCTGGTTTTATTCCAGTAAAACTTAATTTATACAAACAGTCAGAGGGCCAGATTTGGCCCTTGGTCTATAGTTTGCCAACCCTGTTTAGACCAGTCACAATTTATTCCCTGGGGCTGGGCCAATTTTTTCAAAAAAAAAAAAAAAAGTAAGCAACCCGCTGTCAGAATAAAATAGGGTTTCTATTTAAAAAGAAGAAGAGGCTGGGTGTGGTGGCTCATGCCTATAATCCTAGCACTTTGGGAGGATGAGGCAGGAGGACTGCTTGAGGCCAGGAGTTTGAAACCAACTTGGGCAATATAGTGAGACCCTGTCTCTGCAAAGAATAAAAAAATTAGCCAGACATGGTGGCACATGTCTGTAGTCTTAGCTACGTAGGAGTTTGAAGGGGAAGATCAGGGGAGCCCAGGATTTTGAGGGTACAGTGAGCTCTGACTGTGCCACTTGTACTCTAGCCTAGGCAAAGAGTAAGACTCCGTTTCAAAAAAAAAAAAATGGTAATGGTTGGTTGGGGTGGGTTGGAGAAGAAAGTATTTCTGAATTTCTGGGTAGGTAACTGGTAGTGTCAGGCCAAACTAGCTCTACAGTCTTATTCATTATAAATAAAGGCAACTAGAAGATCTCCATCTAGCTATTAAAAATTGGTTAAAATCTACAGAGATAAAGGATGGTGACCCTTGTATCAGTTACTTATTGTCACAAAATGCTGCATAACAAGTCACTCCAAATCTCAGTGGCTTAATACAACAGTCATTTATTTTCATGGATCTATGGGTCAGCTGAGGTTGGTTAATCTAGCATGAGCATGTCTGGGAAGCTCTACTTTGCTCTTGGTGTCTCTTATCTTCTGCTGGAAGCAGCAGGCTGGCCTGGGCTTGTTCTCAGGGTGATAGCAGGAGTGAGTGAGCACAAATGAATGCATACTTTCCATGTTTTTGGTCATACAGATTAATATTCCAGTGGCCAAAGCTAGACACATGACTAAACCCAACATTAGGGGCTGGAGAAATATACTCCGATTCTTCAGTGGGAGGAACTGCAGAGACAAATGGCAGAGTCTTGGATACAGGGAGACATGGATCCATTAATGTACCTTAATCAACAACAGCCCTCTAACCACCAATACAATTAAATAAGTATTTGTTGAATGCACTTGTGCCTGAATGCTTCTGGCTGCAGCCCAGGCAATGGGGGTCTGACTGGGGAGGGACCATAGCAGGGACTCGATGTCCTGCAGGTCTGCATGTAATTGTGTACGGCCGACTCCACATTGGTCATGGCTGATTTGCTTTGTCCTGCATCCCCAAGGGGCAACGATTGGCTGATTTTATTTCTGAACAGTTTTGACAAAGTTGTTTTCAGGAGCCCAGGAAGCAAATCAATTGTAGATTTGAATTTTGCAGGGGGTCAGAATTGTTGAATATATATATAGTCTTTTACATGCTGATAATTATTTCCATACCACAAAGAAGGCTAGCTATTAGGAGGCTGCTGTTCAATTTCTTTGCCCCGTGAGCTCATGAGCTGTGTCTATGTGGGGGGCACTCACTTGTTAGAGATATTTCCCTTCAGAATAATATTAGCCAATATTCTAAATAAATGCAGGAAATTAAATAGTCTTCCCCAGACAGGTACTTTGCCCTTCTAAAGTGAATTACACAGTGTAAAATAAAACACAGTCACATTAAAAAACCAAAAGTTCTTTGTGTTAGGTTGGTCTGGCATCAGCAAAGATATTTTCCTCCAGAGTAGAACATCCTTTTAATGCACGATATTGCGTGCGGCGGCCCCACATCTCGTTTCCTTTTTTGTTGTTGTTGTTTTTAACTAAAAGAGTTGACAATTTTTTTTTCACATTTCCCAATAGAAATGAAAACTGCATCTTTTTTGGTCCCACTTCGGCCCTCCAAAACTATTCTCTTTGATAGGGCAAGGGGCAAGTCTTCCTTATGCTGTTAAGAAAACCCGGCATCACAGCAGCATGATCTCCTGGTGAAGGGAACAGGTAAATATAAAACTCATATAGGCCGGGCGCAGTGGCTCACACCTGTAATCCCAGCACTTTGGGAGGCTGAGGCGGGCGGGTCACGAGGTCAGGAGATTGAGACCATCCTGGCCAACATGGTGAAACCCTGTCTCTACTAAAATAAAAAAAATTAGTCGGGCATGGTGCGCACGCCTGTAGTCCCAGCTACTCAGGAGGCTGAGGCAGGGGAATCGCTTGAACCCGGGAGGTGGAGGTTTCAGTGAGCTGAGATCATGCCACTGCCCTCCAGCCTGGGTGGCAGAGGAAGACTGTGTCTCAAAAACAAAACAAAAACATTACAAACAAAGAAAACACAACAATAACAACAACAAAACAACACTGATGCAGTGAGGCCTCCCCCCTATCCTTATCTGTCTGGTCGAGTCATTCTGGGCTGACTGGGCACCATCATGAGATGGCAGGAGGTCTCATCATTGGGCACCCAGGCATCATGGGCACGTGGCCTCCCATGGGCGGCCTCATTCCAGGAGCAGGTCCCACTGGCATCATCCCAGGAGGAGGAGGGCCCATCATTGACATCATGGGAGGGCCCCCCATATGGGGTGCTGCCATCATTCTGAGATGTGCGAGAAGTGTCAAATACACATTAGATTGTGAAGACTTAATATAAAAAGAAAGCAAAGTATTTTGTTAATGTTAAAATATTTTATACTTGTAGACCTGGTATTTTGGATAGATTTGTTTAAATCTGTGATATTATTCCAATTACCTTCACTTCTTTTGTTTTACTTTTTAAAATGTGGTTACTACAAAATGCAAAAGTAAGTATGTGGCTTCCATCATATTTCATCACATTTAGTGTGGACCCTGAGGATCTAGGGGAGTTATGAGCCTTAAGTTGAGGGTGACCCAGGTCAACGTGAATTGCTCTGAAAGAGAAGCAAAGGGCATAAAGAGAACGTATAAATGGAGAGAGGGAGCTCAGTCTCACAGGGTGAAGAAAGGCTTTCTTTCTTACACAGTCTGGCACTTCTTCAAAAGCTTAAACACAGAGTTCTATGACCCACCACTTCCACTCCAGTTTATGAAAGAAATGAAAATATATGTCCGTGCAGAAACTTGTACACAAATGTTCATAGCAGCATTATTCATAATAGCGCCAAAGTGAAAACAACACAAATGCTTGTCTACTGATGAGTGGAGAAATAGAACATGGTTTGACTATGCAATGGAATATTATTCAGTCATCAAAAGGAATGAAGTACTAACACGTGCTACAACACGGATGAACCATGAGAATATTATGCCAAGTGGAAGAAACCAGTCACAAAAGGTCACATATTATAAGATTTCATTTATATAAAATGTCCAGAACACGCAAATCTATGAAGACAGAAACCCTGTCTCTACTAAAAATACAAAATTAGATGGGCGTGGTGGCATATCCTTGTAATCCCAGCTACTCGGGAGGCAGGAGAATTGCTTTAACCCAGGAGGCAGAGGTTGCAGTGAGCCGAGATTGTGCCACTGCACTCCAGCCTGTGACACAGACTCTATCTCAAAAAAAGTAGATTGTCAGGGCTTAGTGGGAGGAGGAAATGGCAGGTACCTGCTCATGGATACAGGGTTTCTTTTGGGGTGATGAAAATGTTTTAAAATTGATCATGGTGGTGGTTGCCGAGCTCTGTGAATGCACTGAAACCATTGATTTGTTTACTTTAAATGGGCAAATGATATGGTACCGAATTATATTTTAATAGTTATATTAAAAAAGTAAAATCTTCCTTGAAGAGATGACACTTAAGGAGAGGCCTAGGGGTGGGATGAGTTCACTATGTGGAGAAATGAGGAACAGCATTTCAGGGTGAGGAACAGTATAGTGAAGTCCCTGAGGTTGATAGGCATAGAGCAGATTTAAGGGACTGTTTTTTTTGAGACGGACTTTCACTCTTGACGCCCAGGCTTGGGTGGAGTGGTGCGATCCTGGCTCACTGCAACCTCTGCCTCCCGAGTTCAAGCGATTTTCCTGCCTCAGTCTCCCGAAGTAGCTAGGATTACAGGTGCCGTCCACCACACGTGCTAATTTTGGGATATTTAGTAGAGATGGGGTTCCACCATGTTGACCAGGCTGGTCTCGAACTCCTGATCTCAGGTGATCCACCCGCCTCAGCTTCCCAAAGTGCTGGGATTACAGGAGCGAGCCACTGCGCTCAGCCAGATTTAAGGGACTTTCAAGAAGTTTGTGTGGCTGAAGCCTGCAGGGCAAGCGAGAGAATCAGGAAATGAGGCTGGAGAAAGAGAGGGGCTAGGTCATGAAGGGTCTCACGTTAGGGTGTGGAAACTTCACACGAGTGATCCCACCTTGAGCATCCCACGTAACTACTCTCTGTCCCAGCTTCCCCACTGGTGAAATAAAGGGCTGATGTAGGGATGGACTGAGATAGTGTGTGCTCAGAAAAGGTGACCTTTTATCATTGTTTTTTTTTTTTTTTTCGAGATGGAATCTCATTCTGTCGCCCAGGCCGGAGTGCAGTGGCGCGATCTGGGCTCACTGCAAGCTCCACCTCCCGGGTTCACGCCATTCTCCTGCCTTAGCCTCCGGAGTAGCTGGGACTACCGGCGCCCGCCACCACGCGCGGCTAATTTTTTTGTATTTTTAGTAGAGACGGGGTTTCACCGTGTTAGGGAGAATGGTCTGGATCTCCTAACGTCGTGATCCGACCTCCTCGGCCTCCCAAAGTGCTGGGATTACAGGCGTGAGCCCCCGCGCCCGGCCGAGCTTTTATCATTGTTAACCCACACAGCAGAGGGAGCCATTGAAATTTGAGTGATCTGTTTGGATGCACCTTCTGAAGTGATTGCTTTGGTCCCTGTGAGGAGTGCAGATTGTCACAGGACCAGGGAAAAGCAGAGGCCAGTCTGGAGGCATTTGCAGTCAAACAGCTGGAGGTGATGGTGGCTTGGTTTATGGTGGTGTCAGGAGAGTGGCTGAGCAGTGAAGGATCTGAGAAAGATTTAGGAGGTAAAACCCACGTGACTTGGCCACTGAATGTGAGTTGTGTGGGCTGGAGGGAAGGTAAGAAAGAATGAGAAGAAAAACATACGCAGGTGGGCCCTCCAGCCTAAGGTTACTTGAGGTCCTTTTGTGAAGAGGAATGTTTGTGTTGATGATGAAGATGTCTAGACTTTGAAAGGCCATTTGCAGGACTTTTTTTTTTTTTTAACAGCCAACAACTCCTCCTTCCCTATGCCCTAAATATATGAGTGTTTTTTGACCTAATTTATCACAGAGGGATGGAGGTTCATTTGCTTTAATGAGCAATGCAGAATGCCATTAAGAAAGCATATTAAATTAATCTGGATTGCTGGGAGGGAGTTAAATCTGTTTACATGTGCACCAGTGTGACTATAATAGTTTGGTCTCAACCCATTTCTGGCCTGCGGCTGCAGGAGATTGACTCCCAGCTTGCTTTCATTTGAAAGATCCCAGCAACAAGCACATTTGGCATTTCCAGCCAAACCCACTTTGTGCAGCGAAGGAAAAGTTGAGGAGTGCCTCTGTTGTTTTCCCCCAAATCATTTGGCAGAAATGTGGCTGGGAGCTTCATTGCTGATTTTTTCAGTTTTAATATTGCTGTGGAAAGCCTGTACCAACACTCAGCCATGTTATTCATCCACAGCTCCAGTCTGGGCTGTGATTTGTTTTTCCTTTGAGTGACACAATCTTATTTTCCATTAAGACTCAATGCAAATAGGCACTCATGCACCATCACCATCACCCCTCCTGATTGGTGGAGGGAAGTCAATGCAGTGATTCTAGTTTGGTGTTCATATCGGAGGGTTTTATGTATTTATTTATTTATTTTGAGACAGAATCTCTCTCTGTCACCAGGCTGGAGTGCAGTGGTGCGATCTCAACTCACTGCAACCTCTGACTCCCTGGTTCACGCGATTCTCCTGCCTCAGCCTCCCGAGTAGCTGGGCTTACAGGCATGTGCCACCACACCTGGCTAATTTTTTGTATTTTTAGTAGAGACGGGGTTTCACCGTGTTAGCCAGGATGGTCTTGATCTCCTGACCTCGTGATCCGTCTGCCTCGGCCTCCCAAAGTGCTAAGATTATAGGCGTGAGCCACTGCGCCTGGCCTGGAGTTGTTTTTAAAAGCACATTTCTCTCAAATTAACTCCGGGGTGTCCCACTGTGACTAGGGCAAAGGTTTGGATTTTCTGGAGGTGGAAAGTCAAACTTCAAATAGAATTTGGAGGCTGCCACTGTGGTTCATGCCTGCAATACCAGTACTTTGGGAGGCTGAGGTGGGTGGATCATGTGAGGCCAGAAGTTTGAGACCAACCTGGGCAACATGATGAGGCCTCGTTTCTACTAAAAATACAAAAATTAGCTAGGTGTGGTGGTACATGCCTGTAATCCCAGCTACTTAGGAGGCTGAGGCAGGAGTTTGCTTGAACCTGGGAGGCAGAGATGTCCTGTGTCCAAATCCCATGAGGCGTATCAGCCGGCTGAAGATAAAATCGGTCACGCTGTGTTGAGATTGGGGTTGCTGTTATCATCCCTCATCTCCACCCCTGCTAGGCATCCACAAACAGTCATCTTCAATGAGACATCCCTCCTGCCCCTGGCTGCCTTATTTCATCTGCACCCAACCATATCCATTGCTTGTCAGTGGGTCTCAACCTTGGCTGCACCTTGGAATCTCCTGGGGAGATGAGACGATACCAAGGCTCTCTCTCACTCAGCATGTTGTTTCCAAGGTCCATCCACATGCAGTAGGCACCAATACTTCCACTGTATGGATACAGCACATTTTGTTTATTCATTCATCAGCCAAATGGTCAGCTTGGTTGTTGCTACCTTTTGGTTATTATATATATTACATGATTCCATTTATGTGAAAGGTCCAGAATAGGCAAATCTGTAGAGGCAGAAAGCAGGTAAGTGGTTGCCAGGAACTGGGGGAAAGGGGGGGGGGATGGAGAGTGCTTGATTGGATACAGGGTTATTTTTTGGGGGGGCGGGGGGTGTTAATGAAAATGTTTTGGAACTAGACAGAGATGATGATTGCTTAACATTGTGAATGTATTTAATGATACTGAAGTGTATGGTTTCATACAGGGACTTACGTGTTATGTGAATTTTGCCTCATTAAAAAAATACTGCTAGGAGCAATGGCTCATGCCTGTAATCCCAGCACTTTGGGAGGCCAAAGCGGGTGGATCACCTGAGGCTGAGAGTAGGAGATCTGCCTGGCCAACATGGTGAAACCCTATCTCTATTAAAAATACATAAATTATCCTTTCCAATCTTTGGGGGGTAATTTTTACAATGCAGTCTAACAACCAGCTGCCTCAAAATGAACTGGGATCCCTCGTAACCAGGTAGCTCCCCCATCTCCAACTCTCACCTGCCAAGTCAGAATCTTGTGGGTGGGGCCGAGGACTGTACATATTGAAACAGGCAGTAACCTGGGAACTATTTCTGAACACCCCTATGTTTCCCCTGTGTTTGCTCTTTCCTTTCACATTTGGACCCCTTTGTGTGCTGACCATTGGGCTGTTTCACATAGACATAACATAAATAAGACAGGCCTGGTGCAGTGGCTCATGCCTGTAATCCCAGCACTTTGGGATGCCGAGGTAAGTGAATCACTTGAGGCCAGGAGTTCAAGATCTGTCTGGCCAACATGACGAAACCCCATCTCTACCAAAAATATGAAATTAGCTGGGTGTGGTGATGTACACCTTTGATCCCAGCTACTCAGGAGGCTGAGGCTGGAGAATCCCTTGAGCCCAGGAGGCAGAGACTGCAGTGAGCCGAGATCGCACCATTGCACTCCAGCTTGGGTGACAGTGAGACTCTTAAAAAAAAAAAAAAGACAAAGATAGTCCTTCCTTTATGGAGCTCTCAGTAAAACAAGAAAGCTCAAGATGTCCTGGCATTTGTCAGAAATACATTTGGTATATAGCTGGGGTCACATGCTTGACATGCCTATTGAAAGCTTCTGGGTAGGAAGAGAACAATCATCACAGCATCACAGCCTGGCATAACTGTCTCCCAGGACAGGTCTCCCTGGGGAGACTGAGACCACACCTCTGAAATCAGAGCTCAAATCCAGGTTCTACATTTCGCTCAGTAATGTACATGATATAGGACAGTTTTTATATTAGTTATCTATTGCTGTGCAACAATATTACTGCAAACTTTGTGGCTTGAGACAGCAGACAGTTATCACTGCATGGTTTCTGTGGGTCAGGAATCCAGGCGTGACTCAGCTGGGTTCAGTGCAAGGCTGCAGCCATAGTGTCAGCCAGTGCTCAGTTCTCATCTGGAGGCTTGACTGGTGATTGGTCTGCTTCCAGGCTCATCTGGTTGTTGGCAGCATTCAGTTCCTTGCAGGCTGCTGGACTCAGCGCCCCAGTTTCTTGCTGCCCTCAGCTTCTTGCCACATGGGCCTCTCCATCTGGCCACTCATGACATGGCAGCTCACATCCTCAAAGCCAGCAAGACAGACAGCCTCCTAGCAAGACAACTTAACACCCTATCTAACATAATCACTACATCCCATCACCTCTGCCATATTCTCTTGGTTATAAGAAAGTCATAGGTCCCTTTGTCAGATGACTAGATTGCAAAAATTTTCTCCCATTCTGTAGGTTACCTGTTCACTCTGATGGTAGTTTCTTTTGCTGTGCAGAAGCTCTTTAGTTTAATTAGATCCCATTTTTCAACTTTGGCTTTTGTTGCCATTGCTTTTGGTGTTTTAGACATGAAGTCCTTGCCCATGCCTATGTCCTGAATGGCATTGCTGAGGTTTTCTTCTAGGGTTTTTATGGTTTTAGGTCTAACATTTAAGTCTTTAATCCATCTTGAATTAATTTTTGTATAAGGTGTAAGGAAGGGATCCAATTTCAGCTTTCTCCATATGGCTAGCCAGTTTTCCCAGCACCATTTATTAAATAGGGAATCTTTTCCCCATTTCTTGTTTTTGTCAGGTTTGTCAAAGATCAGATAGTTGTAGATGTGTGGCATTATTTCTGAGGGCTCTGTTCTGTTCCATTAGTCTGTATC
Source organism: Homo sapiens (assembly GCF_000001405.40). Classification (NCBI taxonomy): domain Eukaryota; kingdom Metazoa; phylum Chordata; class Mammalia; order Primates; family Hominidae; genus Homo; species Homo sapiens. The sequence goes on along the minus strand of NC_000011.10, from coordinate 67,898,928 downwards.
TCTGTTTTTGTACCAGTACCATGCTGTTTTGGTTACTGTAGCCTTGTAGTTTGAAGTCAGGTAGTGTGATGCCTCTAGCTTTGTTCTTTTGGCTTAGGATTGACTTGGAAATGTGGGCTCTTTTTTGGTTCCATATGAACTGTAAAGTAGTTTTTTCCAATTCTGTGAAGAAAGTCATTGGTAACTTGTTGGGGATGGCATTGAATCTATAAATTACCTTGGGCAGTATGTCCATTTTCATGATATTGATTCCTCCTAGCCATGAGCATGGAATATTCTTCCATTTGTTTGTATCCTCTTTTATTTCTTTGAGCGGTTGTTTGTAGTTCTCCTTGAAGAGGTCCTTCATGTCCCTTGTAAGTTAGATTCCTCAGTATTTTATTCTCTTTGAAGCAATTGCGAATGGGAGTTCACTCATGATTTGGCTGTTTGTCTGTTATTGGTGTATAAGAATGCTTGTGATTTTTGCACATTGATTTTGTATCCTGAAACTTTGCTGAATTTTGGTATTTTTAGTAGAGATGGGGTTTGCTGAATGCAGCCCCCAGTCACGTACTCCCTGCTTGGTCAATAGATCAAGACCCTCTCATGTGGACACCCTTAGAGTTGTGAGCTCTTAAAAAGGACAGGAATTGCTCACTTGGGGAGCTTGGTTGTTAGAGACATGCACCACCATGCCCAGCTAATTTTTTATTTTTAGTAGAGACGGGGTTTCACCATGTTGGTTGGCCAGGATAGTCTCGATCTCTTGACCTCGTGATCCACCCACCTCGGCCTCCCAAAGTGCTGCGATTACAGGCGTGAGCCACTGCACCCAGCCCAGAGAAGGCTTTTCATACTTGCTTCACAGCCTCCTGCATCCTAACCCAGCACCAGGCACTCACCACCTGTGGGCTGCGCTCATCTGTGATCATCTCTCCCCAGGCCTGCTATTCCTCGAGAAAGGAAGTTGTAATGGGCAGAGTTCTAGGACAGCCCCTAAGAGACCCACTCCCTTATATCTGCTCCCTGTATCATCTCCTCTTCTTGAGTGTGTGCAGAGCTTGTGATTTGGCCAAGAGGAAGGAATTTTGCAAATGTGATTATGGTCACACTTGCTTTGTTAAGCACATTTGCTCAGCTGACTTTGAGTTCATCCAAAGCAGGATGATCTCAGGTGGGCCAGACCTAATCAGGTGAATCTTTTAAAGGTGAAGTTTCAGAGATTGAACCCTTAGCCTCCAAGGAGACACAAATGGCCATGCTGTGAGCTGTCTTTGGAGGTGGCAGCTCTAGGAGTTGAGGACCTTCATTCAACAATTGTAAGTAATTGAATTCAGTTCACAGACTGAATAAGCTTGGAAGAAGACTCTGAGCATCCGATGAGACCCCAGCTCCAACTGACACTCTGGTTGCCATATTGTGACCCTGAATAGAAGACCCAGTTAAACCCTGCCCAGACCCTTGGCTCATGAAAACAGATAATAACTGGGTGGAGTTTTAAGCTGCTCATTTTGCACTGGTAAATCCACCAACAGGAAAGTAATATAGAAGTTAAATGGGCCGGATGTGATGGCTCATGCCTGTAATCCCAACACTTTGGGAGGCTAAGGTGGGTGGATCACAAGGTCAAGAGATGGAGACCATCCTGGCCAACATGGTGAAACCCCGTCTCTACTAAAAATATAAAAATTAACCAGGCGTGGTGACATGCACCTGAAGTCCCAGCTACTCAGGAGTCTGAGGCAGAAGAATCACTTGAACCCAGGAGGTGGAGGTTGCAGTGACCCGGGACCATGCCACTGCACTCCAATCTGGGCAACAGAGAAAGACTCCATCTCAAAAAAAAAAAAGAAAAATTAAATGAATACTTTTGACCGTTGATGGAAGTTACTTTCATTCCCTCTTACTTAATCATCTTTATCTTAGCCCTGAAAGAGGGATGCTTTAACCCCATTTGTAACAAGTGAGTCTGAGGCCCAGGAAAGTGACAGAATTTAGCAAAGTCCACCTTGCCACCTGGTGGCCCCAGCTAGAACTCAGCCCCAGGTCCATATACCTAAAGTCATTACAACATCCACTGAAAATTTGCCCCTCTCTCCATGCCTTCCTCTTTAGAAGCCTGTTCCTTCAGGGATAGATCCCAACCCAGTGTTACAAGGTACTGAACTCTGATTTTCACAAAATATAGTAACTACCCCCCAAAATTAATAATAGTATTTTTGAGCCGGGCACTGTGGTTCATGCCTGTAATCCCAACACTTTGGGAGGCTGAGGTGGGCGGATCATGAGGTCAAGAGATCGAGAGCATCCTGGACAACATGGTGAAACCCCATCTCTACTAAAAATACAAAAATTAGCTGGGAGTGGTGGCAGGCATCTGTAATCCCAGCTACTCAGGAGGCTGAGGCAGGAGAATCGCTTGAACCCAGGAGGCAGAGTTTGCAGTGAGCTGAGATTGCACCACTGCACTCCAGCCTGGCAACAGAGCAAGACTCTGTTTCAAAAAATATATATATATTTTTGAGTCCTTATGTGTCAACCACTGGGCTATCCCAACACCAATAGATATTATGATTATGATTAGTTTTTCCATTTTATTTTTTTATTTATTTATTTTTATTCTTTCTTTCTTTTTTTTTATTATACTTTAAGTTTTAGGGTACATGTGCACATTGTGCAGGTTAGTTACATATGTATACATGTGCCATGCTGGTGCGCTGCACCTACTAACTCGTCATCTAGCATTAGGTATATCTCCCGATGTTCTCCCTCCCCGCTACCCCCACCCCACAACAGTCCCCAGAGTGTGATATTCCCCTTCCTGTGTCCATGTGATCTCATTGTTCAATTCCCACCTATGAGTGAGAATATGCGGTGTTTGGTTTTTTGTTCTTGCGATAGTTTACTGAGAATGATGATTTCCAATTTCATCCATGTCCCTACAAAGGACATGAACTCATCATTTTTTATGGCTGCATAGTATTCCATGGTGTATATGTGCCACATTTTCTTAATCCAGTCTATCATTGTTGGACATTTGGGTTGGTTCCAAGTCTTTGCTATTGTGAATAATGCCGCAATAAACATACGCGTGCATGTGTCTTTATAGCAGCATGATTTAGAGTCCTTTGGGTATATATCCAGTAATGGGATGGCTGGGTCAAATGGTATTTCCAGTTCTAGATCCCTGAGGAATCACCACACTGACTAAAAATATGGAACGCTTCACGAATTTGCGTGTCATCCTTGTGCAGGGGCCATGCTAATCTTCTCTGTATCATTCTAATTTTAGTATATGTGCAGCCGAAGCAAGCACTAGTTTTTCCATTTTATTGATGAGGAAACCAACACATAGAAACGTAAAGGAACTTGCCAAAGGTGACGATCACACAGCCAAAGAACTGTAGAAGCAGCACAGGCATCCCAGCAAACTCACAGCCAAGCTCTGCTTTTCACCTTCACATCATACTGTCCTCAGACTAAAACCCTAACTCTGACCTTCCCAATCAAAAATCATACTCAAGGATGGGTGTGGCAGCTCCCGCCTATCATCTCAGCACTTTGGGAGGCCGAGGCAGGTGGGTCACCTGAGGTCAGGAGTTCCAGACCAGCCAGGCCAACATGGTGAAACCCTATCTCTATTAAAAATACAAAACTTAGCCAGGCGCAGTGGTGGGTGTCTGTAGTCACAGCATTTTGGGAGGCTGAGGCACGAAAATCACTTGAACCCAGGAGGCATAAGTTGCAGTGATCCATGATCATGCCACTGCACTCCAGCCTGGGCAAGAGAGTGAGACTCTGCCTCAAAAAAAAAAAAAAAAAATTGTGCTTAATAATAACTTGGAAGTGCACATATCTTCTGTGAAGTTTGATGGACAACAATTGGCTTCAAAACACAAATAAGTAACTGTGTTTAAATGAGGCCTTCTGTGTAAAAGCTAAGGAAAATCAATGTAGCTATTCATATTTTGATTCCCCTTCCAGGCACAGAGAAGTTGCCCATGTCTCTGTGATCTGCTTTGTCCAATGAACCATGAGCAAGAGCAACTTGAGTCACCTCCAGGTGGAAGTGTTAAAAGGCTGTGTGATCCACCACATTCCCTTTCCCCTGAAGTGGTGATCAAGGACACATTCAGAGATGGGGCTTTTGTCAGCCTGGATCCCTGAGTGAACACAATGAACAGACCACCCCACAATGCCCTAACACAGCCCAGACATGCAACGTGACCAAGAATAAGCCTCACTGTGGCCAGGCATGGTGGCTCATGCCTGTCATCCCAGCACTTTGGGAGGCCAAGGCGGGTGGATCATTTCAGGTCAGGAGTTCAAGATCAGCCTGGCTAACATGGTGATATCCTGTCTCTACTAAAGTACAAAAATTAGTGAGACAGTAGTGGCACAGGCCTGTAATCCCAGCTACTCAGGAGGCAGGAGAATCGCTTGAGTCTGGGAGGCAGAGGTTGCAGTGAGCTGAGGTTGCACCATTGCACTCTAGTCTGGGTGACAGAGTGAGACCCTGTCTGAAAAAACAAACAAACAAACAAATACCTCACTATATGAATCCACTGAGATTTGGGGATTGTTGTTACTGCACCAGAACCCAAATCATCCTGACTGCTAGACTGTCCTAACTAGGGTTTCTTACCAAAAGCAAAGGCATTTTTAAAGTTCATGACATTTAAACAAAAGAGCAAATACTAATGTCTGCCACTTTGTCAGGCTAACAAACCCAAACAAAGCCAACAGCCAGAAGTTAAAAGAAACAGATCATTAGGTTGAAAACAGAACTGTCAAAACAGGCACAATTGACTTCATTTAGTGATTGCAAAGAACATCAGGCAACACACAGGTGTGGTCATCATATCATTTATCACATGCTTAATTGCACATGTTTGACTAAGAAAAACACAAAGTATTTAAACTCATCTGTAGCTCAAAGTGCCTATCCATGTATTTATCCATTCATCCTGATTTATTTATTGAGCAACTCTTTTGTGCCAGGCACTGTGCTTGGTGGTGGTAATGCAATGATGAAGATGGCAGACACAGCTCTGCCCTCCAGGAGTTTCTAGGGTATGGAGGGAGACAAAAAATAAGTAAATCCATGTAAGAACTATTGATGGAACCTGCCCCCAATATTTCAACATAGGTTCTTTCCATTTTCCATAAGTGTCAGCCAGCTGAGAAATAAAGAGAGACACTACAAAGAGAGGAATTTTACAGCTGGGCCGCTGGAGGTGACAGTACATATCAGTAAGTCTGTGCTGCCTGCTGAGTCTCAGACCAGCAAGTTTTTATTAAGGGTTTCAAAATGGGAGGGGCTGTAAGAACAGGGAGTAGGTACAAAGATCACATGCTTCAAAGGGCAAAAAGCAGAACTACTACTAAGGGTCTAAGAAAGATCACATGCTTCTGAGGGAACAGGACAAAGGGCAAAAGCAGAACTACTGATAAAGGTCCAGCAAAGATCACAAAGCAAAGGGCAAAAGCAGAACCACTGATAAGGGTCTATGTTCAGTGGTGCACGTATTGTCTTAATAAACATCTTAAACAACAGAAAACAGGGTTCGAGAGCAGAGAACCAGTATGACCACAAATTTACCAGGGCAGAGTTTTTCGCCCTAGTAAGCCTTTGGGTACTGCAGGAGACCAGGGCATATCTCAGTCCTTATCTCAACTGCATAAGACAGACATTCCCAGAGCGGCCATTTATAGACCTCCCCCCAGGAATGCGTTCCTTTCCCAGGGTATTAATATTAATATTCCTTGCTAGGAAAAGAATTTAGTAATATCTGTCCTACTTGCACGTCCATTTATAGACTCCGTGCAAGAAACATATGGCTCCTTTTGCCCAACCCTGCAGTAAGTCAGACTTTATGGTTGTTTTCCCTTGTTCCCTAAAAATTGCTGTTATTCTCTTCTTTTTCAAGGTGCACTGATTTCATATTGTTGAAACACACATGTTTTACAATCAATTTGTACAGTTAACACAATTATCACAGTGGTCCTGAGGTGATGTACATCCTCAGCTTATGAATATAACAGGATTAAGAGATTAAAATAAAGACAGGCATAAGAAAGTATAAAAGTATTATTTGGGAACTGATAAATATCCATGAAATCTTCACAATTTATGTTCCTCTGCCATGGCTTCAGCCAGTCCCTCCATTTGGGGTCCCTGACTTCCCGCAACAAGAAATAATGAGGTTAAGGTGGAGAAGAGCAGGGAAGTCCACTTTATAAAGGGGTCAGGAAAGAGCTGTCTGGAAGCACCATTTTAGCTGAGACCTAAAGGATGGTCTAATTTGGGGAGGTGCAGAGGAAAATCATTCCAGGCTGAAGCAGCAAGTGCAAAGGCCCTGTTGTGGAGAAAGGTTTGAAAGTCAAAGAAAACAGAAGGAGGCCAGAGTGGCTGAAATAGAGTAGGCCAAGGGGAGGAGATAGGAGAGAGCTGGAGAGGTGGCAGGAACAGGCAGAAGACTCGGGGTCTCGATTTTATTCTATGTGCCATGGGCAGGAAAGGCAGGGATGAGACTCAATGGACACCTTAAGATCACTGAAGCTGCTAGGTAGGAAATGGATTGCTGAGCATGGAGAGCAGGTGCAGAGGACCAGTTAAGACCAGTTAGGAGGCTGCTGCTGTAGCCCAGCTGGGATAGCGGTGTCCTAGGCAAAGATAATGACAGTGAAGATAGAGAGAGTGGACAAGTTGGATAAAGTTTAGAATCACAGGACTTCTGACTGGAGAAGAGGGCAAAAGCAGAGTTAGCACAACACATGAGTTATGACCACCTTGAGCAGCTCAGCAGGGGGTGGTGCCATTTACAGAACAGAGATGGCACGGACAGAGCCCATGGAGAAGGAGGAGGAAAAAGAGTTTTGCTTTTGTTTTTTTTTTAAGACAGGGACTTTGGCTCTGTCACCCAGGCTGGAGTGCATTGGTGCAATCATAGCTCTTTGCAGCCTCAAACTCCTGGGCTCAAGTGATCCTCCTGCCTCAGCCTGCCATGTAACAGGACTACAGATCCTACAGATGCACTTCACCATGCCTAGCTTTTTTTTTTTTTTTTTTTTTTTTTTTTGTAGATAGGGAGTCTCACTGTGTTTTCCAGGCTGGCTTCAAACTCCTGACCTCAAGTAATCCTCCCACCTCAGCCTCCCATAGCACTGGGATTACAGCCATCACCTACCACTCCAAGCCATGAGTTTGGCTTTGGATTTAACAAGGTTGAGGTGTTCATGAGTTGACAAGTGGAAAAAACAAGAAAGAAGTTGAGTGTTTAAGACTGCTGTTTGAAGGAGAAGTCTAACCTCAAGACAAAAGTTCAGGACTCATCAGCTGAGAAATGGCACTGAAAATTATGCAAATGGATGAGTTCAGCTAGCAAACAAGTCCAGAGAGAGCAGCACTGGGCTACGCACCTGGCCTAATGCCACCCCACTCCTCCCAATCCGTGTGTTATGCTGGAGAGGGTTCAGCCTCTGGTGAGTTTCACCAAACCGCCACATCTCTTTCTTCTGAGACCTTCTCTAAAATCCCCTCTTTTATACTTAGTGAAATGGGATTCTCTTTTTCCCATCCAGCTTAGGCAAATACTTTTGACTATGAGAAGAATGAGGATGCATTTAATATCTGTTCTGCATGGCTAATTCCATCAAAGATTTCTCATTATTCATGCCTGGCAGTCTCATTTTCTTCTTTTGCCTCTAAGAGCACAGTTGTAGCCTTAATTACTGACCTTTTCACTCTTCTAATACCAGTGATTTTCCCCATCTTAGTTCTCAGGAAGTTCTTTTCGCAGAATTATCTCCTGAATCCTCACCTGGAGATAGAAATTGTTCTCTGGCTATTTCTTCCCCCTCTAATTCTTATCAAAAAACTCAGTGATCTCTGTGCATCAAATATTAAACTCAAGCTTAACAGATCGTGATTCTGACTTCTCTCTCTCTCCGGCCTGTGGGTTAACAGGTTTGCAACCTTTGCAGGGAAGACACCAAATTCTCAGGAGGCCAGAGTTTCCAAGGGTACTGGTCACTCTTGCTCTCTTTCTCCTGCTCAAAATTCAGCACTAGAGTGTGTTACACCATTGCACCTGCAGAGGAGTTCATCTGACTCTAGGGACTACAGAGGAGAGAGATGGACAAACTAACAGGCGTTCAGAAAATGACTACCACAATGGGGGAAAAAATGAAAGTCAAACCAAATAAGCAACGATCAAAAAAAAAAAAATCTAGAGGCCAGCTGCAGTGGCTCACACCTGTAATCCCAGCACTTTGGGAGGCCGAGGCAGGTGGATCACTTGAGATCAGGAGTTCGAGACCAGCCTAGGCAACATAGTGAAATCACATCTCTACTAAAAATACAAAAATTAGCCAGGTGTGGTGGTGGGCAGCTGTAATCCCAGCATTTTGGGAGGCTGAGGTGGTTGGATCACCTGATGTCAGGAGTTTGAGACCAGCCTGGCCAACAAGGTGAAACCCTATTTCTATTAAAAAATACAAAAATTAACCAGGTGTGGTGGCAGGTGCCTGTAATCCCAGCTACTTGGGAGGCTGAGGCAGGAGAATTGCTTGAACCCAGGAGGCAGAGGTTGCTGAAGAGAATACTCCAGAGCAGAGGTTGGGACACTAATGCCCATGGGCCAAATCTGACCTGCTTGTGCATGTGTTTGTCAATAAAGTTTTATTGAAACACAGTCATGTCCATTTGCTACATATTGTCTATGGCTGCTGGATTTGGCTGTTCTCTCATGCTATAAAGAAATACCTGAGACTGGGCAATATATAAAGAGCTTTAATTGGCTCACAGTTTTGTAGGCTATACAGGGAGCATGACACTGACATCTGCTGAGCTTCTGTGGAGGCCTCAGGAAACTTACTTACAATGATGGCAGAAGGTGAAGTGGGAGCAAGAGAGTAAGGAGGGAGGTGCTACACACTCGTAAACAACCAGATCTTGCAAGAACTCACTCACTATTGCAAGGACAGGACCAAAGGGATGAGGCTAAATCATTCATGAGAAATCCACCCCCATGATCCAATCTCTTCCCACCAGACCCCACCTCTAACACTGGGGATTGCAACATGAGTTTTGGGTGGGGACTCATATTCAACTATATCAGCTGCTTTCATGCTATGGGTGGCAGAGTTGAGCAACTACTATAAGAGACTGTATGGCCCACGAATTCGAAAATATTTACTATCTGATGCTTTCAAGAAAAAGTTTGCAAACCCTGCTCTTGAAAAGGAAGGGAAGGAAGAGGAGAGGAGGAAGGCAGGAAGGAGCAGAAAGGGTCACGGGGCTGTATTCAAACATCTGTTGTTAAGAAAGAGAAATTCAATTTATTTGGCATGGTCCAAGTTATCAAACTAGGAGCACTCCATTGAAGTTTCAGGACAAACGCTGTGCTGAATATAAGGATGACCCCATCTGTAATGCCTAACCTTGTTTTTATTAACTTTGTTCTTAGACTTTCCTTTTCTTTTAATCACTTAGCCTTGTTTCTACCTGAATTGACTTTCTTTTAGCTAAGAGAGCTAGATAGATTTTATCTTGGCCTTTTCACTGACAGCCCCTTCCTCAAGGACTTAACTTGTGCAAGCTGACTCTTAGCACATCTAAGAATGCAATTAACTCATAAGATACTGTGGCGAGCAATATCCGCAGTTCCTAGGAATTTGTCCGATTGATAATGCCTAAAGCCCCACGTCTATCACTTTGTAATAGTCTTAAAGCCCTTACACCTAGAACTGTTTACTTTCCTGTAACAATTTATCCTTTTAACTTTTTTGCCTACTTTACTTCTGTAAAATTCTTTTAACTAGACCCGTTTCCCCTGTCTAAACTGAAGTATAAAAGAAAATCTAGCCCTTTCTTCGGGGCCAAGAGAACTTTAAGAGTTAGCCATTTCTTGGCCGTCAGCTAAATAAACAGACTCTTAATTCATGTCAAAGTGTGACATTTTCTCTAACTCGCTCAAGTACAACATTCGGAGGCCCCAGCAAGAAACGCCACCAGGCAAGAGCCGGGCTCGCTCTGGGCTCCCCCAGAAGGCCGGCCGGCTTGTAGGGGGGGTGCCACCTGAAAAAAAATTTTTAGGTCCCCGAAAGGTGACCGTCTTTCAGAGGAGAGCGGATCGACTACCGTGTGGGTGTCCATAAAAATTCCACATCTGAGTCCTCGACTTCTGACCCTGAGGTCAGGTAGGTCAGATTTGACTTCAGTTCTAGTAAGAGGGAAGCGGCCCTGATGAGGGTGTCCCTCTTTTGACTCTGCCTGTTTCTCTAGGACGCTAGAAGGTAGAGCCCTGGTTTTCTGTTAGGCACCTCTGTGTCTCTTTCTAGGAGGGAAGTGGCTCTGACAGCGGCCCTCCCTTGACTCAGTCCACATCCCAGGATGCTGGAGGACTGAGTCCTGGTTTCTGGCAGACCGGTCACTCTCTCTCTCTTTCTATCTCTCATCTTTCTCTTGTTCAAGTTTCTTGAAGAATCTCCAAGAAAGAAAAAAAAAAAAACTGTTATATACTCTGTGTGAATAATGAATGAGTGAGGACAAGGGCTTGCGCTTGTCCTCCAGTTTGTAGCTCCACGGCTAAAGCTACGGAGTTCAAGTAGACCCTCACCTGCGGTTCCGTGGCGACCTCATAAGGCTTAAGGCAGCATCAGGCATAGCTTGATCTGAGCCGGAAGTTTATACCAGCCTGCCAATGTTAAGAGGAGCCCAAGTCCCCTCAGGGGGAGCGGCCAGGCAGGCATCTGACTGATCCCATCACAGGAGCCCCTCCCCTTGTCTGTCTGAAAAAAAAAAAAAAAAGGAAGAAACTGTCATAACTGTTTACATGCCCTAAAGTCAATTGTTTGTTTTATGTTGATTGTTCTGTTCAGTGTCTATTGTCTTGTTAGTAGTTGTCAAAGTTTTGCATGTTAAGACGTTGATATTGCCCAAGACGTCTAAGTAAAAACTTCTTCAAAGTCCTTAGTGCTGATTTTTTGTCACAGGAGGTTAAATTTCTCATCAATCATTTAGGCTGGTCACCACAGTCCTGTCTTTTCTGCCAGAAGCAAATCAAGTGTTGTTACAAGAACAAGTGTGAAAAACATTTCCCTAATTAAGATTTCTAGCACCATGAAAGTTGTAAGTATTTAGATCATCATATTCCACGTACAAGTGATTAGACGTCCTCTAAACTAAACCAGTAGTGAATTCAAAACAGCCACCCTGTAGATTTCCTTGCTCACCTCTCTTGTCATTCTGTAACTTTTCCTGTGCCCTTCAGTAGAACACCGTGTAAAGAAATGTACGCCCGTACTGCTTTACCTCGTTTAGATTCTTACTCTGCTCCTCTGTGGCTACTCTCCCATCTTAAAAATGATCCGAGTAGTCCTTTTCCGCCTTGTCCCTGCCCCCTATCCTGCACATCTCGTTTTCTGGTGCGACAGCAAGTTCACCGTCTCCAGGACTTGGCTCTGTTCTCACTCCTTAAACCCTTAAAAGAAAAAGCTAAGTTTAAGCTATTTGCCTTTAAGTCATAAAGACACCAAAAGTATTTAAAGCGCAGATCTAGAAGAAGAAGAAGAACGCCTAGATCAAACTGACCCAGAAGATCTCAGGCTGGCTCTAGTCCTCCTCCCTCAATCTTAAAGCTACAGCAATGTAGCAAGTAGTATTAGCTGTTTTAAGTTTTTCTGCTCTTTCTAGTCATATTGATTCTGTTCTTTCACTATGCCAGTCCCCCAAGAAATAAGTTTCTCTGTCCATGCTAAGTTTAATATCTATGCTCAAATCTTATTAAATTGCCTTAAAAAAAAAAATAAGAAACACTTCCTCCCAGCCTTGTAAAGTTAAAGCCCTCTCCAATGTATGCTGCAGAATTTTTCTCTCAGTTCAGAGGATTATAAAGTCCGCCTTAAAAAAGGTAAGCTCCAGACACTCTGCAAAATAAAATGGCCAAAGTTTAAAGTCAAGTGGCCCCCTGAAGGGTCATTGAACCTCACAACTGTTCAAGCTGTGTGGCAGGTTGTTACTGAAACTCCTAGCCACCCTGATCAGTTTCTCTACATTGATCAATAGCTAAGTTTAGTCAGGATCCACTCTCCATGGCTCCGTTCATGAGCCATTCATAATTCTACCTCCAAGGTCCTCCTAAGCCAGACCGAGTTTTCGCCTCGACCCTCAGCCAGTTCAGCTCCCCCTGTACTGCCTCCCTCTGAAGAAGAGGAGAGTCTCCCTCACCCAGTCCCACCGCCTTACAACCAACCTTCTCCCTTAAAGTTATCCCATGTCTGCTCGACGACGTCCCCTGTAGACTCGCCACCCGTTGCCTCTCAATCATGACCGTGGCAGGAAGAAGTAGCCCCTCTACTACCACTGAGAGAGGCACAAGTCCCTCCAGGTGACGAGCGCTCAGCACCCTTCTTAGTTTGTGTCCCTTTTTCTACTTCTGACTTATGTAATTAGAAAACCCATAATCCTCCCTTCTCTGAAAAGCCCCAGGCTTTGACCTCTCTGACAGAGTCTGTACTCTGGACTCACCCGCCCACCTAAGATGATTGCCAACAGCTCCTTTTAACCCTTTTCACCTCTGAAAAGAAAGAACGTATCCAAAAAGAAGCCAAAAAGTACTTCCTCACATCAGCCAATAGACCGGAAGAAGAAGCTAGAAACCTCCTTGAGGAGGTCTTTCCCTCTACCCGGCCTAACTGGGACCCAAATTCCTCAAGTAGAAAGAGAGCTTTAGACGATTTTCACCGGTATCTCCTCGCAAGTATTAAAAGAGCCGCTCAGAAACCCATAAACTTGTCTAAGACGACCGACGTTGTCCAAAGGCCCGATAAGTCACCAAGAACGTTTTTAGAGCGCCTCCAGGAGGCTTATCGGATTTACACCCCTTTTGACCCGGCAGCTCCCGAAAATAGCCGTGCTCTTAATTTAGCATTTGTGGCTCAGACAGCCCCGGATATTAAAAAGAAACTCCAAAAACTAGAAAGATTTGCTAGAATAAATATCAGTCAGCTTTTAGAAATAGTCCAAAAAGCTTTTGACCATCAAAAGGTTAAAAAACAAAAACAACACAGGCAGCTGAAAAGGCCGCTGATAAATCATTCAAAAGACAAACAAAAATCTTAGTGGCGGCTATCCAAGAAGTGCAGAATGAAATAGCCCATTAATTTAGCATTAACTGAAGCCCCTGCTTTAGCCCTCCCTAATATCTCCATAAAAGCCAAGGAGTTGCTAAAGAGGTGCTGACTCAGGCTCTAAGACCCTAAAGATGCCCAGTGGCCTATTTATCTAAGAGGCTAGATCCTGTGGCCTCTAGATGGCCAAGTTGTCTGCGAGCCATAGAGGCTACAGCAAGCCTAGTCCAAGAAGATGATAAGTTAACTCTAAGCCAAAATTTAACCCTTACAGCTCCTCATGCTGTAAAGACCTTACTACGAAGTGCTTCTGGCAAATAGATGTCAAATGCTCGCATCTTGCAGTTTCGAAGTTTACTGTTAGATCAGCCTGGTTTGACTTTCTCTCCCACAAAGTGTTTCAATCCAGCTTCGCTACATCCTGACCCAGACTGCACTATTCCTGCTCATGACTGTCAAGAACTGTTAGAAACTATCGAAACTGGCCCATCTGATCTTCAAGATGTGCCCCTGGAAAAGGCAGATGCCGCCGTGTTCACAGACAGGAGCAGCTTCCTCAAGCAGGAAGTATTAAAAGCCAGTGCAGCTGTTACCACGGAGACAGATGTGTTGTAAGCTCAAGCTTTACCAGCGAACACCTCAGCACAAAAGGCTGAATTGATCGCCCTCACTCAGGCTCTCCGATAAAGTAGAATAAACGTATTAACATTTACAGTGACAGCAAGTACGCCTTTGCTACTGTGCATGTACATAAAGCCATCTACCAGGAAAGCAGGCTACTCACCTCAGCAGATAGCTGTGATCCACTGCAAAGGACATCAAAAAGAAAACACGGCTTTGCCCATAGTAACTAGAAAGCTGATTCAGCAGCTCAGGTCGCAGCGCAACTTTCAGTCACGCCTCTAAACTTGCTGCCCACAGTCTCCTTTCCTCAGCCAGATCTGCCTGACAATCCCGTATACTCAACAACAACAACAACAAAAAAACTGGCTTCAGATCTCAGAGCCAATAAAAATCAGGAAAGTTAGTAGATTCTTCCTGACTCTAGAATCTTCATATCCTGAACTCTTAAAGAAACTTTAATCAGTCACCTGCAGTCTACCACCCACTTAAAAAGAGCAAAGCTACCTCAGCTCCTCCGGAGCCATTTTAAGATCCCCCGTCTTCAAAGCCTATCAGATTAAGCCGCTCTCCAGTGCACAACCTGCACCCAAGTAAATGCCAAACAAAGTCCTAAACCCAGCCCAGGCCACTGTCTCTGAAAAAACTCGCCGAGAAAAAAGTAAGAAATTGACTTTACAGAAGTCAAACCACACCAGGCTAAGTACAAATACCTTCTAGTACTAGTAGACACCTTCTCCAGATAGACTAAGGCATTTGCTACCGAAAACGAAACCACCAACACAGTAGTTAAGTTTTTACGCAATGAAATCATCCCTCAATATAGGCTGCCTGCTGCCATAAAGTCTGATAATAGAGCAGCCTTCACCTCGCCTATAGCTCAGTCAGTCAGTAAGGCGTTAAACGTTCAATAGAAGCTCCATTGTGCCTCTATTGCCTGGAGCTCTATCAGCCCCAGAGTTCCAGGCAAGTAGAAAGCGTGAACCACACCCTAAAAAACACTCCTACAAAATTAATCTTAAAAACCGGTGTAAATTAAGTAAGTCTCCTTCCTTTAGCCCTACTTAAAGTAAGGTGCACCCCTTACCAGGCTAAGTTCTCACCCTTTGAAATCATGTATAAGAAGGCGCTGCCTATCTTGCCTAAGCTAAGGGATGCCAAATTAGCAGAAATATCACAAACTAATTTATTACAGTACCTATAGTCTCTCCAACTGGTACAAGAGATCATCCTGCCACTTGTTCGAGGAGCCCATCCCAATCCAGTTCCTGACCAGAAAAAGTCCTGCCATTCATTCCAGCCAGGAGACCTAGCGTTTGTTAAAAAGTTCCAAAAAGAAAGACTCACTCCTGCTTAGAAAAGACCTCACACCGTCATCCTCACGACGCCAGCTGCTCTGAAAGTAGATGGCATTCCTGCCTAGATTCATCACTCCCGCATCAAAAAGGCCAACAGAGCCCAACTAAAAACATAAGTCCCCAGGCCTAAGTCAGGCCCCTTAAAACTGCGCCTAAGTCAGGTGAAGCCATTAGATACATTCTTTTTACTACCTCACTTATTTGTTTTTGCCAGTTACGTCCTCTGTACCTTCCTACTCCTTTCTCCTCACCTCTTTCACAACAGGACGTGTATTTGCAAACACCACTTAGAAGGCCAGTACCTCCAAGGAAGTCTCCTTTGCAGTTGATTTATTTGTACTATTCCCAAAGCCAGTCCATACCCACGAAAAACAACACAATCTGCCAGTCCCAGGAGCAGGAAGTGTCAACCTTGCAGCAAGATTCAGACACTCCAAGAGCCAAACTAAGTGTAGAAGCTCCAAAAGTGCAGAAAAAAGACTCCAAAATATTGACTTTTACCTCTGTCCTAGAAATCACCCTGATGCTAGCTGTCAAGATACTTATCAGTTTTTCTGCCCTGATTAGACACGTGTAACTTTAGCCACCTACTCTAAAAGATCAACCAGATCTTCAACTCTTTCCATAAGTCGTGCTTCTCATCCTAAATTATGTACTAGAAAAATTGTAATCCTCTTACTATAGCTGTCCATGACCTTAATTCAACTCAATAGTATCATGGCATGTCATGAAGATTAAGATTCTATATCCCAGGATTTAATGTTAAGTCTATGTTCACTATCCAAAAAAACCCTAGTCTCATAAAGCCCACCCAAGCCAATCAGGCCTTTAACTGATCTAAGTAACCCTATGTTCCAGAAACACCCTGACAAAGTTGATTTAACTGTTCCTCCACCATTCTTAGTCATAAAAGATACACTCCAGAAAGTGCAAGAAAATCTAGATAAGCGCCAACAAGAACAAGAAAATAACATCCCCTAGTATCAAAGCATGTTCAACTAGAACCCAGAGCTAACTATTCTAATTACTAAGTTAGCCAGACCCCCTCCCCATCCTAGTATTAAGTCTAATTTTTGGACCTTGTATATTAAATTAGTTTATTAATTTTGTAAAACAACACATAGCTTCTGTCAAACTTATGTATCTTAAAACTCAATATAAACCCCTTGTTATAACTAAAGAATCAACGATTTGATTCCCCAAAAACACAATGAGGAATGTAATGCCCAACCTTGTTTTTACTAACCCTGTTTTTAGACTCTCCCTTTCTTTTAATCACCTAGCCTTGTTTCCACCTGAATTGACTCTCCCTTAGCTACGAGAGCCAGACATACTCCATCTTGGCTCTTTCACTGGCAGCCCCTTCCTCAAGGACTTAACTTGTGCAAGCTGACTCCCAGCACATCGAAGAATGCAATTAACTGATAAGAAACTGTGGCGAGCAATATCCGCAGTTCCCAGGAATTCGTCCAATTGATAACGCCCAAAGCCCCGCGTCTATCACCTTGTAATAGTCTTAAAGCCCCTAGACCTAGAACTGTTTACTTTCCTTAACAATTTATCCTTTTAACTTTTTTGCCTACTTCTGTAAAATTGTTTTAACTAGACCCCCTCCCCTTTCTAAACCAAAGTATAAAAGAAAATCTAGCCTCTACTTCGAGGTCGAGAGAACTTTAAACGTTAGCCATTTCTTAGCCGCTGGCTAAATAAACAGACTCTTAATTCGTCTCAAAGTGTAGCGTTTTCTCTAACTCGCTCGAGTACAACAAATCCAGCAGGCACGTCATCCACTCTAAAATGCCATCCTGGGGTAGTGAAGATGATGTTGCTGGAAATATCCTTAAATGGCATGTGGATGAGTTCCCCCAGAGGCATACCTGTTGAGCTAAGTACTTTGCTGATGAAGGGTACAAGTTGAAGGGGTTTTGAACGGCAGAGTGAGGTTCCTCAGAAGGCTGTTGCTACAGAAAGCCAGGAGGAGAAATTACATGGCCAGATAGAGTGGCATGACTATCGGATAAGGACTTTTTGTTTGTTTTTGAGATGGAGTTTTACTCTTGTTGCCCAGGCAGGAGTGCAATAGCACGATCTCAGCTCACCGCAACCTACGCCTCCCAGGTTCAAGAGATTCTCCTGCCTCAGCCTCCCTAGTAGCTGGGATTACAGGCATGTGCCACCACGCCCAGCTAATTGTGTATTTTTTGTAGAGATGGGGTTTCTCCATGTTGGTCAGGCTGGTCTTGAACTCCCGACCTCAGGTGATCCGTCCACCTCGGCCTCCCAAATTGCTGGGATTACAGGCGTGAGTCACCGTGCCCAGCCTGGATGAGGGTCTTTAGCAAAGATGGAAGTTTTTGTACCTTGCAGTTCAGTCTCTTCATTTATGTCCTCCTGAAATCTTCAGGAATAGCACTATTTTGTCAATACTTCTGGGGTCGTACTTAGGGGGACTTAAAGGAGATGTGATGTGGCAGCCTTTGACTCAAGGGAGTGTCATACTAGCTCAAAGAGATCTGGGTACATGCCAGTTGAACCAACTCTTCTGAGGATGTGATAGATCCTGGGAGGCCACTCTGATCCTGCCAACCTTGAGGCCAGATGAGTCTTTGAAAAACATGGTTTGGCTTAACACCAGCACTTTGTCTAACACCCACCATGAATCTTGCTGAAGTGAAGCTACACAAATACCTTTTCAAAAGATTGTTTTTCATCCCAGATCCTTCTTAGAAATTCCTAAGGCTCAATGCTGTGTGGACGATTCTGAGAAAAAAAATAGTTTCCGATCTTTGGGATTTCCGAGATGGTCCAATCTGCAAAAAGTTCATTGCCGTTTCCATCAAGGACACTGAGAACAAGAGTCTTATCTGGATTGGATCCTGGGAATTGAGAAGCTTCAGCAGGTGGGAAATGCACCCTCCACAGGCTCACACCCTTGTGGGCTGTTTCAGTTACCTATTGCACCTAAAATTAGAAACTTTAAACCACCACAAGCCATTATTGCTCATGACCCTGTGAGTTGCGTGGGGACTTCCTGGCTGGTTTAACCTGGGCTCATTTGTGTGGCTACCTGCAGCTGGAGGGCCAGCTGGGCAGAACATCCAGGACGACCTCATGCATGTGCCTGGCAGTTGGTGCTGGTTGTCAGCCGGGGAACCTTGTTTTCCTCCATGTGGCCCCTCGCCCTCCAGAGCCCCTCTCCAAATGGCCCTTTAAGCAGGATAGCCAAGGTTTTCTTGGTGCCAGCATGCATGAGGGCAAAAATATGGAAACTACGAGAGGGCTCTCAAGGCCTAAGACTATTTGCACCCCAAAAATCTGAGGTCTCAGTTAATTCAGAAAGTTTGTTTTGCCAAGGTTGAGGACGCATGCCTGTGACACAGCCTCAGGAGGTCCTGACAACATGTGCTTAAGGTGGTAGGGACACAGCTTGGTTTGATACATTTTAGAGAGACATGAGACATCAATCAATATGTGTAAGTTGTACATTGGTTCAGTCTGGAAAGGCGGGACAACTCCAGGTGAAGGTGAGACAAGGGGAAGGGGCTTCCAGGTCATAGGTAAAGAGACAAATGGTTGCATTCTTTTGAGTTCCTGATTAGCCTCTCCAAATGAGGCAATCAGATATACATTTATCTCAGTGAGCAAAGGGGTGACTGAATAGAATGGGAGGCAGGTTTCCCCTAAACAGTTCCCAGCTTGACTTTTCTCTTTAGCTTAGTAACTTTTTTTTGGGTGGGGGGACAGAGTCTCGCTCTGTTGCCCAGGCTGGAGTGCAGTGGTGCGATCTCGGCTCACTGCAACCTCCAACTCCAGGGTTCAAGCAATTTCCCTGCCTCAGCCTCCCAAGTAGCTGGGATTACAGGCGCCTGCCACCACGCCTGGCTAATTTTCATATTTTTTAGTAGAGACGGGGTTTTGTCATGTTGGCCAGGCTGGTCTTGAACTCCTAACCTCAGGTGATCTGCCTGCATCAGCTTCCCAAAGTGCTGGGATTACAGGCGTGAGCCACCGAGCCCAGCCTAGCTTAGTGATCTTGGGGCCCCAAGGTTTATTTTCCTTTCACGGCTAGAAGTTGGTCACCATCACTTTGGCAGCATTTCACTGGACAAAGCAAGTCATAGGCAGCCCAGATTCATGTAGAGGAGTATAAACTCTACCTCTTAAAGGAAAGATTGGTTCAATTATACTGCACGAGCATTTGCAGAAAGTTGTACCCATTTTTGGAAACTACCACACACACACACACACACGCACGCACGCACACACCTTTACATGCAACCCTCCCTTGAGGTGCATCTACTTCCAGGCAGAACCAAAACTTGACAGTACTCGACAGAAGAAAAGTAGTGTCCTAAATGCCAGTTCTCTTCTTACTCAACTTCAGCCTCATTATAAGCAGATTCTAACAGTTTATGTGTCTTGAGAAACATTTTAATTAATCTTTGGAATTTAAGAATTTGAATTCATAGCAGTAGCCTGTGCATAGGAAATACACATATTGTAAGTTTTTCCTTTCTGATAAATCATGCTGGGGGAACCACAATGTAACTTTTTTTTTTTTTGAGAAGGAGTCTCACTCTGTTGCCCAGGCTGGAGGGCAGTGGCATGATCTCAGCTCACTGCAAACTCCACCTCCCTGGTTCAAGCGATTCTCCTGCCTCAGCCTCCTGAGTAGCTGTGATTACAGGCGCACAAGACGGGGTTTCACCATGTTGGTCAGGTTGGTCTCGAACTCCTGACCTCTGATCTGCCCACCTCAGCCTCTCAAATTGCTGGGATTACAGGCGTGAGCCACCGGCTCACGTATACTGTGACTGTATATTGAAAGTTTCTCTTTTTTTCAAATAATTAACAGGTTTAACAGAATGTATCTCCTGATCTATTCCTTTCACTGCAGACATCTATTGCCTTTTCAGCCTAGCAGCCCTCCCCTCTGTAGAGACTCACACTTCCTACTCCAGTCATGTGGCTCCCATGGGGGCTGCCATGTTCTCAAATGACTCCACCCCTCTGGCCTCAGTTGATTGGTCCAGGGATGAGCATCTGGCCTAAATTGGCCAATCAGAATTCTTCCCTTGAATATTTTTCCAAACTGGAACTAGACCTAGTTAATCATTCTCTGTGATGACAGGAATTGTGTGTAGTGAGAAATACAGAAGCTTTTGTGGCCACGTTTCTCGCCTTATGGAGAAAAGGCTTGAGTAAGAAGAAATTAAGCCAGGATGCAGACAAAGCTAGAGACAGAGACAGAGAGAGAGATCTTGTGGTAAGCCCCTTGGTTTTTATCATTCTAGTACATGCTTGCTACTGCATACTACCAAGACTTTCACATGAGGGCTTTCTCAAAGTCAGGCATGGAGTATGTCAGAAAAGCCACAGAAGCCGGGCGCAGTGGCTCACTCCTGTAATCCCAACACTGGGAGGCTGAGGCAGGTGGATCACGAGGTCAGGAGTTCGAGAGCAGCCTGACCAACATGGCAAAACCCCTTCTCTACAAAAAATAAAAATTTAGCGGGGCATGGTGGCAGGTGCCTGTAATCCCAGCTACTCAGGAAGCCGAGGCAAGAGAATCATTTGAACGTGGGAGGCAGATGTTGCAGTGAGCCGAGATCATGCCATTGCAGTCCAGCCTGGGTGACAGAGCAAGACTGTGTCTCAAAAAAAAAAAAAAAGAAAGAAAAAAGAAAAGCCAGAGAGTTGATGCCCTGGGACCAGTCCTCAGCCAGTGACGGATGGGAGCCAGGCTATAAATGCTTCAATATCTTTGCCCCCTGGATGGAACAACTTTGAAATATATTCCACATCACCTCCCAGAGGTCCCCAGTGGGGTCAAATCCTAGTTGCCTGGAGTGGTAAGCTGCTCATTGAAGCCCCCTGTGTGGCCTCCTGCCTTTCCATGAATCAATTCCTCACTCCCCTATTGGTGTTCCCTGGAATCATCTCCTAAATAATCCACTTGCAATCCTGTCCCTCTTTCAGGATCTGCTTGGGGTTGGGGTTGGGGAGTGCAGAGAAAAACATAATCCCTTTTCCACTCCACACTAGTAAGATGAGTTTCTGTCACTGGCAACAAAGAGTTCTGACTATTACCTCCTTCTGAGATAATTCCTAAAATGTATTTGGGAATTTCCCCACCTCCACCCCACTGCCTATGTCATCAATATGTAGATTTCTTAACAAAGTTTAATGGTATTCTTTGATCAACCTCAAGTTTCACGAAACACACTGCACTTTCATAAGGGCTCCCCATGGCTGACAGATCAGCCGCTCAAAAGAAGGGAAGTGTCAGAGATGGCTCTGCTAGACTCACGTATTTTTCAGTAGAATCTGGGTCAGGATGTTGTGGTCAGGAGATGCTTCTGGAGCTCTGGGACCCACAAGCCTGCATGTCATGGTGGAGTATTAGGACAACTTGAAAACATAGTGGCAAGAGGAGGCTTCCTCTCTCCCCTGCAGTTCATCCTCCACCACACCCAAAGTGCTAAATAGATATTGGTTAAATGGATAATGGGGCCGGGCATGGTGGCTCACGCCTGTAATCCCAGCACTTTGGGAGGCTGAGGCAGGTGGATCACCTGAGGTCAGGAGTTCAAGACCAGCCTGGCCATAGAGGCAGGAGAAGCACTTGAACCTGGGAGGCAGAGTTTACAGCACGCTGAGATGGCACCACTGCACTGCAGCCTGGGTGACAGAGCAAGACTCAAAAAAAAAAAAAAAAATGGATTTATTCCTTCCAAATTGCAACTCACCAAAAGACCAACACGCATCATGTGGTGGCCATAATCACCACAGTGACAATAATAAATATAATCAACTGTCAAGCCAGCCACCTCCACTAAACCTAGTGGATCACATCTAGTGTTTCACTTTGGGGATATTTTAGTGGTCATGGTAGATTGTCGCCTGACTGCTGGCTGTTTCTACCATGTTTCAGGAATATACAGATGTGTACAGATGACCCCTAAAATTAATAATTATGCAATTCTCAAAGAGCCAAACTGTACCCCAAAAACTACTGGAATGAAAAAAAAAAGTTTTAATTCTCAAAGAGACAAACTAGATAGTAGAAGCATTTATGTTCCCTTGGAGAATCTTCCCACCAAGGACTCAAAGTTGTCTCCAGACCAGGAAATGCCTGGGGCCTTGGACTTTCCCAATTCTGGTATCACCTCCCATTCTCCTTTAGGTCCAGTTTTCTCAGAGGGGCATGCATTGTTCATTGCCACCAAGGGTATCCAAGGACAGAAACTGAAGATAATAGTGCCTTATTGTCTCTCAGTCATCTTTCTCTCCCACATGCTGGAAGGAGAGCCAAGTCCAATTTAT
Source organism: Homo sapiens (assembly GCF_000001405.40). Taxonomy (NCBI): domain Eukaryota; kingdom Metazoa; phylum Chordata; class Mammalia; order Primates; family Hominidae; genus Homo; species Homo sapiens. The sequence continues at coordinate 67,876,507 of NC_000011.10, read as the reverse complement.
CCAATTACTAAATAGCAACATTGGCATCATGAGATCAGCTAACACAACTTTCAGAGGCAATCTATCTCCCTACCAAAAGTAACCAACATCTGTGGAGCACTTACCATGACTAAGGGTCAACATAAGTGGTTTGCATGCTGCATGCATCAGGATGGACTAGGTTATGCTGCAGTAACAAATTAACCCCAGAGTCTCAGCAGCTTAGCAACCAAGGTTGATTTCTTACATTCCATGTCCACAATGGGTTGGCTGGGTATGGTGTGCTCCATATGGCCACTCAAAGACCTAGAATGATGGAAATTCTACCATCTTAATGCAAGGATTCTCCCATAGTTACTGCACCAGGAGATGAGAGAATGAGATAGTTATTCCCAAGCCCTCAAAAGCTGTAGACTAGAGGTGATGTCAGTGACTTCCACTTATAGAGCATTGGACCCTGGCATGGATCCATCTAACTACAGGGGGTCTGGGGAATACGGGGAGCAGATGGAAATCCCATGAGCAGTAACCATTCCTGCCAGAATGCATTATTTCATCTGAACCTCACAACCCTATGGAATACATAACAGAGGCTTGGAGAGTTATGGGACCTGCCCCAAGGCATCATAGATAACGAGTTGCAGAGCTGAGATATGGCCCTCGGCCTTGCAGGATTCAAACCACTATGCTGCATACTCATCACAAAATTCTACGAAATTCCTCAGACAGCAAAACACGCTAAGTGAAAAGAAAGCCAAGTTGTGCAAATACAAAATAGAACTCACCTGACACTTCGCCTCCTCACCCACCCCACCCCCACCGAAAGAATCAACCTACGCAAATAACTGGAATGAAATTCTCAGGCAATTTCAGCAGGGGAAATGAGATTATCTCATCTGGGTCTCACATCCGACCTCGTCAAGACAAGACCTTCCCTAAACTTCACCTGAACACCTGGACACACCGTCATGTCTTGCCGCTTCTTGTTACTGGAAATCCAATGATGATGTCTTTATACAATTTATAGGTCTTTCTATAAGTGCCAAGATATATGTCATCTCTGTACCTGCATATCATTCAGAGGTAGGCAAGCTTCTATGTAAAGTGCTAGACAGTAAATATTATAAACTTTGCAGGACTCATCTGATCTCCATCCTATATATTTTTTTTGTTTTTGTTTTACAATTTTTTTTTTCTTTTTAGATAGGGTCTAAAAAGAAAATAAAACTTATCCATGTTGTGATATGGATGAATGTTAAAAACATGCTGAGTGAAAGAAGCAGACATGAAAGGTCATATATTGTAGAATTCCATTTATATGCAATGTTCAGACTAAGCCAATTGACAGAGATAGAAAGTAGATGAGAGGTTTCCAAGGGCTGCAGGAGGGGGTATGCAGAGTGACTGCTGAATGGATATGAGGCTTCCAATTGAGGTGTTGAAAAAGCCCTGAAACTAGGTAGTGGTGATAATTGCACAACATGATAAATGTACAAAATATCACTGAATTGTACACTTTCAGATACACAAAATGGTAAATGTTGCATATATTATACCACAATTTTATTCATTTATTTTAGAGATAGAGTTTCACTCCATCACCCAGGCTGCAGTGCAATGGCAAAATCATAGCTCACTGCTGCCTTTACCGCCTGGGCTCAAGCAATCCTCCCACCTAGTCTTCCAAGTAGCTGGGACTACAGGTGAACCCTACCACACCCAGCTTTTTAAATTTTTTTAGAGTTGCATTCTCGCTATATTGCCCAGACTGGCCCAAATTCCTGGCTTCAAGTGATTCTCTCATCTCAGCCTCCCAAAGTGCTGGGATAACAGGTGTAAGCCATCAGGCCAGGCAATTTTTAATTCTTATGCAAAATTTTCAACTAATTCCTAGGATTAAAAAAAATGTCGATCAACATGGGGATTAGAGGAAAGAATAATTTTAAACAAGAGAAAAAATTAGATGATGTATATGTATACAGTGCCTGGCCTCATGATCACTGAGTCCACTGCAGCTTTTTATTTTTTTTTCCATACAGGGTCTCACTCTGTCACCCAGGCTGAGTACAGTGGCATAATCGTGGCTTACTGCAGCCTCAACCTCCTGGGCACAAGTGATCCTCCCACCTCAGCCTCTCAAGTAGCTGGGACTACAGATGCACGCAACCACAGCTAGCTATTTTTGTTGTTGTTGTTGTATTTTTGGTAGTGACAGGGTCTCACCATGTTGCCCAGGCTGGCATCTTGAACTCCTGGGCTCAAGCGATCCTCCCACCTCAGCTTCCCAAAGTGCTGGGATTACAGGTGTGAGCCCCCATGCCCATCCTGTTGTAGCTATTTTAATAGTGCTGGTGAACAATAATTTGCTCTCCCTATAAAAACAGAACATACTAAGCCAAGGAAAGCACCAATCTAGTTTGTTCTCCCCAGATCTTCAAAATGTTGGAATTAGTATAAGTGTCCAAAATATTTCATGTGGTTTGATTTTTTTTTTTTTTTTTTGGAGATGCAGTCTCTTTCCATCGTCCAGGTTGGAATGCAGTGGCACAATCTCGGCTCACTGCAACCTCCGCCTCCCGGGTTCAAGCAATTCTCCTGCCTCAGCCTCCCGAGTAGCTGGGATTACAGACATGTACCGCCACGCCTGGCTAATTTTTGCATTTTTAGTAGAGGTGGGGTTTCTCCATGTTGGCCAGGCTGGTCTTGAACTCCTGACCTCAAATGATCTACCCGCCTTGGCCTCCCAAAGTGCTGGGATTACAGGTGTAAGCCACCATGCCCGGCCAGTTTGATTTTTTATTGTGGTAAAATACATACAAAATCTATTATTTTAGCCATTTTCAAAGGAAAAATTCAATGGTGTTAAGTGCATCCACCATGTTGTACGGCCATGTCCTCCATCCATCTCCAGAACGCTTTCATACTGTCCTGCAAATATGTAGCACCTTGCTACACTCCAGGTTGTTTATCCCACAACAGAGCTGGGCTGCATTATTAATGTGGACTTTGTTCAACAACGGACTAAAGAGGGCGAAGCCCATGAACTCTGTGAGGAGTGCATGACAGGTGCTCGTGGGATGACATGGTTCGGTGCCCTCCAGCTGCTGCTGCCATCGCCTGTCCTGCTGGGCGGCCACCCCCTCCCAGGGAAGAAGAGCACTCACAACTGCTGCTGATCTCCTTCCAGGGCTTCCGCTGGGACTAGGATCAGGATGTGGACACCCCCAACATGGACCATCTGGCCGGGGAGGGCGTCAAGGCCAAGTACCTCATGCCGCCCCTTGTCACAATGACCTCCCCGTTCCACTTCACTGCCATGCCAGGTAAGCGTCACTCTGCCTGTTTCACCCGATACCCATCAAAGCCCCAGCGTCTGTCATTCCCTGTGATAAGAAGCAAAAACTCTTTCAGCTCTAGGGAGGCTGAGGTGGCTCCGGGGTCTCACTCTGTTGCCCAGGCTGTAGCTCAGTGGCATAATCACAGCTCAGTGGAGCCTCAAACTCCTGGTGTCAAGCAGTCCTGCCTAGCTCAGGCTCGCCAGTAGCTGGGGATACAGACAAGCTACCATGCCTAATTTTCTCATTTTCTTAGAAATTGGGGCAGGGGGTGTCTCACTATGTTGCCTGGGCTGGTTTTGAACTCCTGGCCTCAAGTGATCATCCCACCTCACCCTCTCAAAGTGCTGAGATTGGAGACATGAGCTACCGTGACTGGCCTGATCTTTTTTAAAAAAGTAAATAAGGCCAAGCATGGTGACTCACCCCTGTAATCCCAGCACTTTGGGTGGCTGAGGCAGGTGGATCACCTGAGGTCAGGAGTTCAAGACCAGCTTGGCCAACATGGTGAAACATCATCTATCCTAAAAATACAAAAATAAGCTGGGCGTGGTGGCAGATGCCTACAATGACAGCTACTCGGGAGTCTGATACAGGAGAATCACTTGAACCCAGGAGGTGGAAGTTGAAGTGAGCTGAGATCATGACATTGCACTCCAGTTTGGGCAACAGAGCAAGATTTTGTCTCAAAAAAAATAAAAGTAATAAAAATAAAAAGGTAAATAACTAAAATCACTTTTAAATAATTGTATAAAAATAATAAAACATTGACATTTACAGAGCTCAGTTAGATGAGGTGACTCATACCTTCCAATGGTGTCCTGGTTCTCTTACATAAGAATTCAAATGTCTTTCTGTGGCCCAAAAGATTCCACACAGCCTGGCCCCTGGCCCATCTTCTGCCAGCCTCTCTCATCTCTCTCCCTCTCCTTCACTTCCTTCTGGATCACAAAGGCCTTTTGCCTGTGCCTTCTGCCCTGCTCCATCCAGCCCCAGGGCCTTGGCCTGTGCTAGTCCAGTCCCTCCAGCTCACCAGGAGCATGCAGTCCAGTTGGGGAGACAGACACCAGACACCCAAACAGGCACATACATCCTGTGACAATTCAGGAGGCATCAAGGAGGAAAAGGAGTTTTCCAGGCACAGACTACAGGGGTAAACTGGCTTCAAACTAGAGAGGGAGAAAGGGGGTCTCTGAGCATGGGGCAGTTGAGCTGAAAGAGATCTCAGGGGACCAGAGCAAGGAAAAGTGTTCCAGGCAGAGGGAAGAGCATGTGTGAGGTCTCTGAGACAAAGACCTGGTCATATCAGAATCCCAGTGGCCACTAAAATAGAGGGATTCCAACCTAAAAAGGAGGAAGAGGAGGCTGCTGGAAAGCAAAGGACTCTGTGTAAGAATCATAATAGTGGGGGTGGAGCCAAGATGGCCGAATAGGAACAGCTCCAGTCTACAACTCCTGGCATGAGCGATGCAGAAGACAGGTGATTTCTGCATTTCCAACTGAGGTACTGGGTTCATCTCACTGGGGAATGTCAGAAAGTGGGTGCAGGACACTTGGTGCAGTGCACTGAGCATGAGCCCAAGCAGGGCGAGGCATTGCCTCACCAGGGAAGTGCAAGGGGTCAGAGAATTCCCTTCCCTAGTTAAAGAAATGGGTGACAGATGTCACCTGGAAAATCGGGTCACTCCCACCCTAATACTGCACTTTTCCAATGGTCTTAGCAAACGGCACACCAGGAGATTATATCCTGCGCCTGCCTTGGAGGGTCCTAAACCCATGGAGCCTCACTCATTGCTAGCACAGCAGTCTGAGATCAAACTGCAAGGTGGCAGCAAGACTGGGGGAGGGGCGTCCGCCATTGCCTAGGCTTCAGTAGGTAAACAAAGCAGCTGGGAAGCTCCAACTGGGTGGAGCCCACCACAGCTCAAGGAGGCCTGCCTGCCTCTGTAGACTCCACCTCTGGGGGCAGGGCATTGGCAAACAAAAGGCAGCAGAATCCTCTGCAGACTTAAATATCCCTGTCTGACAGCTTTGAAGAGAGTAGTGGTTCTCCCAGCATGCAGCTGGAGATCTGAGAATGGACAGACTGCCTCCTCAAGTGGGTCCCTGATCCCAGAGTTGCCTAACTGGAGGCACCCCCCCGTAGGGGCAGACTGACACCTCACATGGCCGGGTACTCCTCTGAGACAAAACTTCCAGAGGAACAATCAGGCAGCAACATTTGCTGCTCACCAATATCCACTGTTCTGCAGCCTCCACTGCTGACACCCAGGCAAACTCCAACAGACCTGCAGCTGAGGGTCCTGATTCTTAGAAGGAAAACTAACAAACAGAAAAGGCATCCACACTAAAACCCCATCTGTACGTCACCATTATCAAAGACCAAAGGTAGATAAAACCAGAAAGATGGGGAAAAAAACAGAGCAGAAAAACTAGAAACTCTAAAAATCAGAGTGCCTCTCCTCCAAAGGAATGCAGCTCCTCACCAGCAATGGAACAAAGCTGGACAGAAAATGACTTTGACGAGTTGAGAGAAGAAGGCTTCAGACGATTAAATTACTCTGAGCTAAAGGAGGAAGTTCGAACCCATGGCAAAGAAGTTAAAACCTTGAAAAAAAATTAGACGAATGGCTAACTAGAATAACCAATGCAGAGAAGTCCTTAAAGGACCTGATGGAGCTGAAAACCAAGGCACGAGAACTACGTGACAAATGCACAAGCCTCAGTAGCCGATTCGATCAACTGGAAGAAAGGGTATCAGTGATGGAAGATGAAATCAATGAAATGAAGCAAGAAGAGAAGTTTAGAGAAAAAGGAATAAAAAGAAATGAACAAAGCCTCCAAGAAATATGGGACTATGTGAAAAGACCAAATCTATGTCTAATTGGTGTACCTCAAAGTGACAGAGAGAATGGAACCAAGTTGGAAAACACTCTGCAGGATATTATGCAGGAGAACTTCCCCAATCTAGCAAGGCAGGCCAACATTCAAATTCAGGAAATACAGAGAACACCACAAAGATACTCCTCAAGAAGAGCAACTCCAAGACACATAATTGTCAGATTCACCAAAGTTAAAATGAAGGAAAAAATGTTAAGGGCAGCCAGAGAGAAAGTTCAGGTTACCCACAAAGGGAAGCCCATCAGACTAACAGCTGATCTCTTGGCAGAAACTCTACAAGCCAGAAGAGAGTGGGGGCCAATATTCAACATTCTTAAAGAAAAAAATTGTCAACTCAGAATTTCAAATCCAGCCAAACTAAGCTTCATAAGTGAAGGAGAAATAAAATACTTTACAGACAAGCAAATGCTGAGAGATTTTGTCACCACCAGGCGTGCCCTACAAGAGCTCCTGAAGGAAGCACTAAACATGGAAAGGAACAATCAGTACCAGCCACTGCAAGAACATGCCAAATTGTAAAGACCATAAAGGCTAGGAAGAAACTGCATCAACTAATGTGCAAAATAACCAGCTAACATAATGACAGGATCAAATTCACACATAACTATATGAACCTTAAATGTCAATGGGCTAAATTCTCTGATTAAAAGACAGACTGGCAAATTGGATAAAGAGTCAAGACCCATCAGTGTGCTGTATTCAGGAAACCCACCTCATGTGCAGAGACACACATAGGCTCAAAATAAAGGGATGGAGGAAGATCTACCAAGCAAATGGAAAACAAAAAAAAAGGCAGGTGTTGCAATCCTAGTCTCTGATAAAACAGACTTTAAACCAACAAAGATCAAAAGAGACAAAGAAGGCCATTACATAATGGTAAAGGGATCAATTCAACAAGAAGATCTAACTATACTAAATATATATGCACCCAATACAGGAGCACCCAGATTCAAAAAGCAAGTCCTTAGAGACCTACAAAGAGACTTAGACTCCCACACAATAATAATGGGAGACTTTAACACCCCACTGTCAACATTAGACAGATCAACAAGACAGAAAGTTAACAAGGATATTCAGCAATTGAACTCAGCTCTGCACCAAGCGGACCTAATAGACATCTACAGAACTCTCCACCCCAAATCAACAGAATATACATTCTTCTCAGCACCACAACACACTTATTCCAAAATTGACCACATATTTGGAAGTGAAGCACTCTTCAGCAAATGTAAAACAACAGAAATTATAACAAACTGTCTCTCAGACCACAGTGCAATCAAACTAGAACTCAGGATTAAGAAACTCACTCAAAACTTTACTCAACTACATGAAAACTGAACAACCTGCTCCTGAATGACTACTGGGTACATGTGGGGAAAAGCAAGAGAGATCAGATTGTCACTGTGTCTGTGTAGAAAGAAGTAGACATAGGAGACTCCATTTTGTTATGTACTAAGAAAAATTCTTCTGCCTTGAGATTCTGTGACCTTACCCCCAACCCCGTGCTCTCTGAAACATGTGCTGTGTCAACTCAGAGTTAAATGGATTAAGGGCGGTGCAAGATGTGCTTTGTTAAACAGATGCTTGAAGGCAGCATGCTCGTTAAGAGTCATCACCACTCCCTAATCTCAAGTACCCAGGGACACAAAAACTGCGGAAGGCCGCAGGGACCTCTGCCTAGGAAAGCCAGGTATTGTCCAAGGTTTCTCCCCATGTGATAGTCTGAAATATGGCCTCGTGGGAAGGGAAAGACCTGACCGTCCCCCAGCCCGACACCCGTAAAGGGTCTGTGCTGAGGAGGATTAGTATAAGAGGAAGGCATGCCTCTTGCAGTTGAGACAAGAGGAAGGCATCTGTCTCCTGCCCGTCCCTGGGCAATGGAATGTCTCGGTATAAAACCCGATTGTATGCTCCATCTACTGAGATAGGGAAAAACCGCCTTAGGGCTGGAGGTGGGACCTGCGGGCAGCAATACTGCTTTGTAAAGCATTGAGATGTTTATGTGTATGCATATCTAAAAGCACAGCACTTAATCCTTTACATTGTCTATGATGCAAAGACCTTTGTTCACGTGTTTGTCTGCTGACCCTCTCCCCACAATTGTCTTGTGACCCTGACACATCCCCCTCTTCGAGAAACACCCACAGATGATCAATAAATACTAAGGGAACTCAGAGGCTGGCGGGATCCTCCATATGCTGAACGCTGGTTCCCCGGGTCCCCTTATTTCTTTCTCTATACTTTGTCTCTGTGTCTTTTTCTTTCCTAAGTCTCTCGTTCCACCTTACGAGAAACACCCACAGGTGTGGAGGGGCAACCCACCCCTACAGGTACATAATGAAATGAAGGCAGAAATAAAGGTGTTCTTTGAAACCAACGAGAACAAACACACAACATACCAGAATCTCTCGGACACATTCAAAGCAGTGTGTAGAGGGAAATTTATAGCACTAAATGCCCACAAGAGAAAACAGGAAAGATCTAAATTTGATACCCTAACATCACAATTAAAAGAACTAGAGAAGCAAAGAGCAAACACATTCAAAAGCTAGCAGAAGGCAAGAAATAACTAAGATCAGAGCAGAACTGAAGGAAATAGAGACACAAAAATCCCTTCAAAAAATCCATGAATCCAGGAGCTGGTTTTTTGAAAAGATCAACAAAATTGATAGACCACTAGCAAGACTAATAAAGAAGAAAAGAGAGAAGAATCAAATAGACACAATAAAAATTGATAAAGGGGATATCACCACCAAACCCAGAAAAATACAAACTACCATCAGAGAATAGTATAAACACCTCTATGCAAATAAACTAGAAAATCTAGAAGAAATGGATAAATTCCTCGACACGTACACCCTCCCAAGGCTAAACCAGGAAGACGTTGAATCTCTGAATAGACCAATAACAGGCTCTGAAATTGAGGCAATAATTAATAGCTTACCAACCAAAAAAAGTCCAGGACCAGACGGATTCACAGCCGAATTCTACCAGAGGTACAAGGAGGAGCTGGTACCATTCCTTCTGAAACTATTCCAAATAATAGAAAAAGAGGGAATCCTACCTAACTCATTTTATGAGGCCAGCATCATCTTGATACCAAAGCCCGGCAGAGACACAACCAAAAAATAGAATTTTAGACAAATATCCTTGATGAACATCGATGCAAAAATCCTCTATAAAATACTGGCAAACTGAATCCAGCAGCACATCAAAAACTTATCCACCATGATCAAGTGGGCTTCCTCCCTGGAATGCAAGATTGGTTCAACATATTCAAATCAGTAAACATAATCCAGCATATAAACAGAACCAATGACAAAAACCATACGATTATCTCATTAGATGCAGAAAAGGCCTGTGACAAAATTCAACAACCTTCATGTTAAAATCTCTCAATAAATTAAGTATTGATGGGACGTATCTCAAAATAATAAGAGCTATGTATGACAAACCCACAGCCAATATCATACTGAATGGGCAAAAACTGGAAGCATTCCCTTTGAAAACTGGCACAAGACAGGGATGCCCTCTCTCACCACTCCTATTCAACATAGTGTTGGAAGTTCTGGCCAGGGCAATCAGGCAGGAGAAGGAAATAAAGGGTATTCAATTAAGAAAAGAGGAAGTCAAATTGTCTCTGTTTGCAGATGACATGATTGTATATCTAGAAAACCCCATTGTCTCAGCCCAAAATCTCCTTAAGCTGATAGGCAACTTCAGCAAAGTCTCAGGATACAAAATCAATGTGCAAAAATCACAAGCATTCTTATACACCAATACAGACAGAGAGGCAAATCATGAGTGAACTCCCATTCACAATTGCTTCAAAGAGAATAAAATACCTAGGAATCCAACTTACAAGGGATGTGAAGGACCTCTTCAAGGAGAACTATAAACCACTGCTCAATGAAATAAAAGAGGATACAAACAAATGGAAGAACATTCCATGCTCATGGGTAGGAAGAATCAATATCGTGAAAATGGCCATACTGCCCAAGGTAATTTATAGATTCAATGCCATCCCCATCAAGTTACAAATGACTTTCTTCACAGAATTGGAAAAAACTGCTTTAAAGTTCATATGGAACCAAAAAAGAGCCCACATTTCCAAGTCAGTCCTAAGCCAAAAGAACAAAGCTAGCGGCATCACGCTACCTGACTTCAAACTATACTGCAAGGCTACAGTAATCAAAATATCATGGTACTGGTACAATAACAGAGATATAGACCAATGGAACAGAACAGAGCCCTCAGAAATAATGCCACATATCTACAACCATCTGATCTTTGACAAACCTGAGAAAAACAAGCAATGGGGAAAGGATTCCATATTTAATAAATGGTGCTGGGAAAACTGGCTAGCCGTATGTAGAAAGCTGAAACTGGATCCCTTCCTTACACCTTATACAAAAATTAATCCAAGATGGATTAAAGACTTAAATGTTAGACCTAAAACCATAAAAACCCTAGAAGAAAACCTCAGCAATACCATTCAGGACATAGGCATGGGCAAGGACTTCAAGTCTAAAACACCAAAAGCAATGGCAAGAAAAGCCAAAATTAACAAATGGGATCTAATTAAACTCAAGAGCTTCTGCACAGCAAAAGAAACTACCATCAGAGTGAACAGACAACCTACAGAATGGGAGAAAATTTTTGCAATCTACTCATCTGCCAAAGGGCTAATATCAAGAATCTACAATGAGCTCCAATAAATTTACAAGAAAAAACCAAACAATCCCATCAAAAAGTGGGCAAAGGATATGAACAGACACTTCTAAAAAGAAGACATTTATGCAGCCAAGAGACACGTGAAAAAAATGCTCATCATCCCTGGCCAGAGAAATGCAAGTCAAAACAACAATGAGATACCATCTCACACCAGTTAGAATGGCGATCATTAACAAATCAGGAAAAAACAGGTGCTGGAGAGGATGTGGAGAAATAGGAACATTTTTACACTGTTGGTGGGACTGTAAACTAGTTCAACCATTGTGGAATTCAGTGTGGCAATTCCTCAGGGATCTAGAACTAGAAATACCATTTGACCCAGCCATCCCATTACTGGCTATATACCCAAAGGATTATAAATCATGCTGCTATAAAGACACATGTACACGTATGTTTATAATGGCACTATTCACAATAGCAAAGGCTTGGAACCAAGCCAAATGTCCAACAACGATAGGCTGGATTAAGAAAATGTGGCACATATACACCATGGAATACTATGCAACCATAAAAAATGATGAGTTTACGTCCTTTGTAGGGACATGGATGAAGCTGGAAACCATCATTCTCAGTAAACTATTGCAAGAACAAAAAACCAAACACCGCATGTTCTCACTCATAGGTAGGAATTAAACAATGAGAACACATGGACACAGGAAGGGGAACATCATACACTGGGGTCTGTTGTGGGGTTGGGGGAGGGGGGAGGAATAGCATTAAGAGATATACCTAATGTTAAATGACGAGTTAATGGGTACAGCACACCAACATGGCACATGTATACATATGTAACAAACCTGCACGTTGTGAACATGTACCCTAAAACTTAAAGTATAATAAAAAATAAAAAATAAAATAAAAACCTTGGCTGTTGACTCCAAATATCCTGCTTCATCATCTCTCCACTCCAGAAACTTTTCACATTCTTACAAAGGGTGTTCGTTTCTCCTCTAAGTATTTGCTCGCCAGCCCCACCTGCAAGAAGGTGGAAGTAGGGCCTCTGCCTGGGATGGTAACTCTCAAATGTAAGGCAAGACCTGTCTCTCCACCAATATCCCCAGGACTGAAGGACTGTGAAAGTCTGCATATTGATCAAGCTTCTCCCTCCCTTATCTGAAGGGACTTACTTCCTTCAAGACACTTTTCCTCTTCCCACCTAGCTCCATGCCCCCATCCAGTCATCTTCCAACCCATCTCTCCCCACCTGCATGCCACACAAGAGGGGCGTGACCACAGCACCTGGAAGTTCCTTAAAGTTGAATGGTGTGTCAGGCCGGGTGCGGTGGCTCATGTCAGTAACCCCAGCACTTTGGGAGGCTGAGGCAGGCAGGTCACTTGAGGTCAGGAGTTCGAGACCAGCCTGGCCAAAATGGTGAAACTCCATCTCTACTAAAAATATAAAAATTAGCTGGGTGTGGTTGTGCTTGCCTGTAGTCCCAGCTACTTGGGGGGCTGAGGCAAGGGAATCACTTGAACCTGGGAGGCAGAGGTTACAGTGAGCCAAGATTGCACCATTGCACTCCAGCCTGGGTGATAGGGTAGACTCTGTCTCAAAAAAAAAAAAAAAAAAGAAAGAAATCGAATGGTGTGATTAGCTTATGATTTTTTAAAAATGGAATGATGTATTCATTTTCTAAGCTGCATAACAAATCAACACAAATTTAGCAGCTTAAAACATCCATCTATTACCTCTCCTTTCCTGTGGGTCATGAGTCTGGGGGTGCAGCTTTAGCTGGGTCCTCTGCTCAGGTTCTTACAAGGTTGTGATCAAGGTGCCGGCTGGAATTAGTGTGTCATATGAGGCTTGGGGTCTTCTCCCAACCTCACATGGTTGTTGGCAGAATTTATTTCCATGCAACTGTGAAACTCATGTGGCTGGCTTCTTCAAAACCAGCCAGGCATGGTGGCTCACGCCTGTAATCCCAGCACTTTCGGAGGCCGAGGCAGGGGATCACCTGATGTCAGGAGTTCGAGACCAGCCTGGCCAATATGGTGAAACCCCGTCTCTACATAACTTAGCCGGGCATGATGGCGCACACCTGTAATCCCAGCTACTTGGGAGGCTGAGGCAGTAGAATCACTTGAACCCAGGAGGCAGAGGTTGCAGTAAGCCGAGATCGTGCCACTGCACTCCAGCCTGGGCAACAGAGTGAGACTCCATGTCAAAAACAAACAAACAAACAAAAAACAAAAACCAGGAGGAAGGAGTCTCTCTCTTCCAGACCTTCATTGAAGATCTCACCTGAAGATGTCAGGCCCACCCTGAATAATCTCCCTTTTGATTAACTCAAAGTGAATGGATTAGGGGCTTAGTTACATCTGCAAAATCCCTTCAACTTTTCCATAGATATAGATTAGAAGCAAGCCACGGGTCCTGCCTACACTCCAGGGGAGAGGAGATTACACCTGGCATTTATCCAGGGCAAGAACCTAAGGGGTCATCTCAGAATTCTGTCCTCCAAATAGATCCTCGGTGGAGCTTACATGCCTGGGCGAGCACCAGCCTTTGTTTAAAGGCAACAGAGAATGGTGTCCTGGCTCAGATCTCCAGCAAGCCTCCACAATGATGGTCCAGTATCTGAAGCCATGGCCAAGGCAGCAGGAGCTTTGGGTGCACATGGGGGCTTCCCCCACTTTGAAGTGAGTCATCACATCTGTATTAGACCCTAGCTGTTGCTTAGGCAAAAATGATGATTTAGAAGAAGATGGAGAGAAGAGGAAAGTTAATTTAAAAGTACTTATATTCGGCCGGGTGTCGTGGCTCATGCCTGTAATCCCAGCACTTTGGGAGGCTGAGGCAGGCGGATCATGAGGTCAGGAGATGGAGACCATCCTGGCTAACACGGTGAAATCTTGTCTCTATTAAAAATACAAAAAATTAGCTGGGCGTGGTGGCGGGCGCCTGTAGTCCCAGCTACTCAGGAGGCTGAGGCAGGAGAATGGCGTGAACCCAAGAGGTGGAGCCTGCAGTGAGCTGAGATCTCGCCACTGCACTCCAGCCTGGGTAACAGAGCGAGACTCCATCTCAAAAAAAGAAAAAAAAAAAGAGAAAGTGCTTATATTCATTCCCTAGGGCTGCCACAACCAAGTACCAAAAGCTGGGTGACTTGAAACCAGAGAAATTGATTGTCTTGTGGCTCTGGTAGCCAGCAGTCTGAAACGGAGGTGCCAGCAGGGCCACGCTCCCTCCTGCACTTGTCGGGGAGTCCTGCCTTGCCTCTTCGTAGCTTCCTGTGGTCTCCTGGCAGTCTTCAGTGTTTCTTGGTTTGCATACGCATCAGTCCAATCTTCCGTCCAATCCATGGCCTTCTTCCCTGTGTCTCTGTGACTCGGCGTGTCCTCTCCTCTTTTATAAGGACACCAGTCATTGACTTAGGCCCTCCTTACTCCAGGATGACTTCATCCTAATCAATAGCATCTGCAATAACCCTATTTCTTTCTTTTCTTTCTTTCTGTCTTTCTTTCTTTTTTTTGAGACGGAGTTTCACTCTTGTTGCCCAGGCTGGAGTGCAATAGCGCGATCTCAGCTCAATGCAACCTCCGTCTCCTGAGTTCAAGCAATTCTCCTGCCTCAGCCTCCCGAGTAGCTGGAATTACAGGTATGTGCCACCACACCCAGGTAATTTTGAATTTTTAGTAGAGAAGGGGTTTCTCCATGTTGGTCAGGCTGGTCTCAAACTCCTGACCTCAGGTGATCCGCCCGCCTTGGCCTCCCAAAGTGCTGGGATTGCAGGCATGAGCCACCACGCCTGGCCTGCAATAACTCTATTTCTAAATAAGGTCACATTCTGAGCTGTTAGAATTTAGGATTTCAACATGTTTTGAGGAGAACTCAATTTAACCCATAACAATACTATGTGGGCCACACATGCTGCTTCACATCTGTTATCCCAGCACTTTGGGAGGTTGAAGCAGGAGGATCATTGCTCAGGGCATAGGGGGACACCAGGTGCATAAAACCACAGCGTTGACTGGTGTGGGGGCTCACACCTGTATGTTTGGGAAGCTAAGGCAGGGCGATCACTTGAGCCCAGGAGTTTGAGGCCAGCCTGGGTGACATAGTGAGATCTCACTTCTAAAAAAAAAAAAAAATTTAATTAGCTGGGCATGTTGGTACCCACCTACAGTCCCAGCTACTCAGGAGGCTGAAGCAGGAGGGTCGCTTGAGTCCAGAAGATCAAGGCTGTGGCGAGCTGTGATTGCACCACTGCACTCCAGCCTGGGCAACAGAGCAAGCCCTGTCTCAAAAAAAAAAAAAAAAAAAAAAAAATCATCTCCCTTGTCTTCTGATTCCCTGAGCTGTCATAGAAAGGAAGTGAAGCAGTGAAAGCATCCCCCCAAAAGGGACTTTTCAAAACCAGCCTAAGCAACATAGCAAGACCTTGCCTTTAGAAAGTATTTAAATTTGAAGGAAAAAAAAAAAAAAGCAGTATTATGGCACAGAGTTGACAGCTACAGGTGTGGCTACATCCAGGTCCTAAAACTATATCATCAGAATGACCCCTGACCCTCCCCCCGCTTTCCATTTTACTTTCTTAAGCATGAACATGAAATTTCCAAGACTGTTTCTCCTTTGGCTAATCTGCTTCTCAGACCCAATCACTGTGGCCAGGGTGGTGGAAGGATACTGACATCCAGGCTGGGACCACATGCCCCAGCTCCAGATCAAGGTGGGGAATGGCCAGTCGCACACATGTCGTGGGGAACTAGTGACTCCTCGGTGGAAAATCGGGGACTGTCATTGGAGAGGAGCGATAGAAGAAAGGCTGAAGCAGTGCAATGTATCTCCTGCACCAGCCTGGGCCTCGATGTCTTGAGTACTGATGACCCAGTACTCAGTCTAGGGCAATCCCAACTCCATCTGCGGGGCTGCCCACAGTACATGGACCCCCTCACTGGATTTGCTGACCACACGTGCAAATAGCCACTTCCCAGCCCCACTCCCCGCAGTCCCCCTGAACCCTGTCAAAATTCCCCTCAGTTCTCGCCAAGATTAAAAGCAACTCTGAGGGTGAGCGGCTCATTCTGCTAGTTTAAATCTCTCGGTTCCTTCCCTCTCCAGAACTCTGTACTTACTGCTCCGTCACTGGTAATGACAATGAACATCTTCACAATCTCAGGTTTTATTGCAAAGTGATTGAGGACCAGTTAGAATAAGTTATGCTACAGAAACTAAAGAAATTCCGTCAAACAAATGGTATGTAATAGAAAGTCTTAGGGCAGCCGTGTATATTTTCTCCCCCCAGTGAATCAATTGAAAATGAGAAGTTGTTACCGCCATGTTCCAGGCAGAAGCTATCAAAAGTATAAGCCATGATATTATAATTTGATGATTTTTCATCCGTCAAATGGATATGGCCCAGGGGTGAAAAGTGGATGCTCCGTAACTAGATGATGGTCAAGAGTTATAAAAATGAGGTCCTCTCTGTTCAACATTTCTCCTTTCTTGAAAGGGTACTCAATGTCATGCTCAGGGCCTCTAATGGCCAGAAATAAAGTTCCTCCCAGTTCCAGAGCACCTCAGGGCAACCCCAAAACCAGAGCAACTGCTTATTGCCATGTAGACTATGTACTGTGCAATTTCTGGGGTGGCATTTTCATAAATATGTGGGTGGCGCCCCCTGGAGGTATGCAATGCACAACTTGCACAAATGGTAAGTCATCGTATCCCAAGGTCCACAAAGAAGAGGTAAACAAAATTCCCATCGATGTTGCCATCAGTCATGAGTCTGCCTTTTCTTCATGGGACAGTAGCAAAAACAATTTGGCCAAGTGTGCTTGGATGATCTCTAAGATGGAATCAGGGTCTCTCACTTTCAGCACTATTGACCTTTGGGGCTGGATCATTATTTTGTCTTAGTGGGAGTTGTCCGCGGAATTGTAGGATGTTTAGCAGCATCACTGGCCTCTACCCATTAGCTGCCAGTAGCACCACCTCCTCCAGCTGCAACAACCAAAATTGTCTCCAGACATGGCCACATGTTCTCTGGGGGGCAAAATCACCCCCTGGTTGAGAAACCCTGAAGTAAAGACATAATACGCAGATCACATGTAAGTAAGAGAGCCTAAGGGCCACACAGGTGATGCTGTACCCATGACAAAGACAGAGTCTTAAAGAGGTTAGAGAGGTGGAGAAAGAGAAAAGAAATGAAGTCCCAGCTGCTGAGAGCAACAGATGCTGACTAGATGTTGTTGATAGTCATCTTTAAACTGAGTTAAAAGATGCTGAGGAGCCATCAGCTCCCATCCTGCTCTCCAGGGTCAACACTGCTGAAAAAGGCCTGGAGAGCAACAAAACCCCAAACACAGGTGCACTGAGCAAAGAAACCAGAGATTGAGACAAAAAAGACATTCCCTCAAAGACTACTCATTTTCAAGAGGGGAGAAAAAGTGGAGTCATGAAAAACAGTTGAGGCTGGGTAGAGTGACTCGCACCTGTAATCCCAGCACTTTGGGATTACTCCCAGGCTGAGATGGGAAAATTGCTTGAACTCAGGAGTTCAAGACCAGCCTGGGCAAAACAGCAAGACCTTGCCTCTAGAAAAAGGGAAAAAATTAGCCAGGTGTGGTGATACATGCCTGTGGTCTCAGCTACTCGGGAGGCTGAGGTGGGAGGATCGCTTGAACCCAGGAGGTAGAGGCTGCAGTGAGCAGGGATCGCACCACTGCACTCCAGCCTGGGCTACAGATCCTGTCTCAAAAAAGAAAAAAATTAAACAAAATTAAGGCCGGGCAAGATGGCTCATTCCTGTAATCCCAGCACTTTGGGAGGCCAAGGTGGGCAGATCACGAGGTGAGGAGATGGAGACCATCCTGGCTAACACGGTGAAACCCCATCTCTACTAAAAATACAAACAATTAGCCGGACATGGTGCTGGGTGCCTATAGTCCCAGCTACTCTGGAGGCTGAGGCAGAAGAATGGAGTGACCTCGGGAGGTGGAGCTTGCAGTGAGCCAAGATCACACCACTACCCTCCAGCCTGGGCAAAAGGGCAAGACCCCATCTCAAAAAAAATAGAAAATTAAAATTTTTTTTGAGACCAAGTCTCACTCTGTCACCCAGGCTGGAGTGAAATGGTGCGATCTTGGCTCACTGCAACCTCCGCCTCCTGGGTTCAAGTGATTCTCATGTCTCAACCTTGTGCCTCAACATGACTACAGGCATGTTGTCACCATGCCTAATTTTTGCATTTTTAGTAGAGATGGGGTTTCACCATGTTGTCCAGGATGGTCTTGAACTCCTAGGTTCAAGCAGTCTACCCACCTCAGCCTCCCAAAATGCTGAGATTACAGGCATGAGCCACCGTGCCCAACCTCTAACGTTTCATTATGGAAATTTCCCATATACACAAAAAGCAGGGAGAGAATTATACCATGAACCCCCATGCATCCATCATCCCACTGGAAGAACTTGTCAACATTTCTCCAATCTCATTCCAGTTCCCACTTTTCTTTTCCTTCTTGCTATTTTAGGACATTTTAAAGCAAATTCCAGACATTTCATTTCACCCATATCCATAACACACCAGGGTGCATTCTTGATGTAAGGATTTTGTTTTGTTTTATAACACCCATGACATTGCCACAGTTAATAGATTTAACATGAAGAAACTAAGATTCTTGCAGGTGGAGAAAAGATCTAATTACCACCTTAAAGCCTCTCCTACTAGCGCTTCTCAGATCTGGACGTGTATGCAAATCACCTGGGCATCTTGTTAAAATGCAGATTCTGGCCCAGGAGGTCCTTCCGGGTGAGCCCTGAGAGTCTTCAATTCCAAAAGCTCCCTGGTAATGCAATGCTAAGGGTCCACGAATCACACAAGAGGAAGGGTCGGCCAAACACGCACAACAACTGGGTGCAAAGTCCTGACTGTTCCTGACTGCAGGGTCTTCAGTGAACGGGGAAGCTGGGGACCATTTGGGAAAGAAGGGAGGTTTTTCGTATCAGCTCCAGGCCTTGTAGAACTGCCAGGGAATAACAGACACAAGGTCAGCAAAGTCTAACCAACAGCATGAGTGCATTCATATTCCACAACCACTGCAGCAAAGAACCATGAAATGGGTGGCTTCAAACAATGTCTGGGCTGGGTGCTGTGGCTCACACCTAAATAATCTCAGCACTTTGGGAGGCCGAGGTGGGTGGATGACTTGAGGTCAGGAATTCGAGACCAGCCTGGCCAATATGGCAAAACCTCGTCTCTACTAAAAATGCAAAAATTAGCCATGCATGGTGGCAGGCACCTGTAGTCCCCACTTCTTGGGAGGCTGAAGCAAGAGAATGGCTTGAGCCCAGGAGGTGGAGGTTGCAGTGAACCGAGATCATGCCACTGCACTCCAGACTGGGCAACAAAGCAAGCCTCTGTCTAAAAAAAAAAAAAAAAAAAAAAATTGTCTGGAGGCCAGAAGTCCAAAATCAATCAAAGGTTAGCAGGAGCATGCTCCTTTCAGAGGTTCTAGGGGAGAATCCATTCCTTGCATCTTCCAGCTTATAGAGGCTACTAGAATTCCTCAACTTGTGGCTGCATGATCCAATCTCTGCCTCTGTGATCACCTTGCCTCCTCCTCTTCTGTCTGGGTCTCCTCCTGTGGAGGAAGAGTGTCAGGCCTCTGAGCCCAAGCTAAGCCATCATATCCCCTGTGACCTTCATGTACACATCCAGATGGCCGGTTCCTGCCTTAACTGATGACATTATCTTGTGAAATTCCTTCTCCTTGCTCATCCTGGCTCAAAAGCTCCCCTACTGAGCACCTTGTGACCCCCACTCCTGCCTGCCAGAGAACAACCCCCCTTTTTCCTTTACCTACCCAAATCCTATAAAATGGCCCCACCCCATCTCCCTTCACTGACTCTCTTTTTGGACTCAGCCCACCTGAACCCAGGTGAAATAAACAGCTTTATTGCTCACACAAAGCCTGTTTGGTGGTCTCTTCACATGGATGCATGTGAAATTTGGTGCTGTGACTCGGATTGGGGGACCTCCCTTGGGAGATCAATCCCCTGTCCTCCTGCTCTTTGCTCTGTGAGAAAGATCCACCTACGACCTCAGGTCCTCAGACTGACCAGCCCAAGAAACATCTCACCAATTTCAAATCTGGGAAGCAGCTTCTTTTTACTCTCTTCTCCAACTTCCCTCACTATCCTTCAACCTCTTTCTCCTTTCAATCTTGGCACCACACTTCAATTTCTCCCTTCTCTTAATTTCAATTCCTTTCATTTTCCGGTAGAGACCAAGGAGACACGTTTTATCTGTGGACCCAAAACTCCGGTGCCGGTCGCGGACTAGGGAAGGCAGCCTTCCCTTGGTGTTTAATCATTGCAGGGACGCCTCTCTGATTATTCACCCAGGTTTCAGAGGTGTCATACCACGCAGGGACACCTGCCTTGGTCCTTCACCCTTAGCAGCAAGTCCTGCTTTTCTGGGGGAGGCACAGGAAACCCACCCTCTTATCTCTGCACCCCGATCCCTTATTTCCATGCCCCGCCCTCTTATCTCTGTGCCCTGATCCCTTATTTCCACAACCTGACCTCCTATCTCTGCACCCCAACCCTTTATTTCTGTGCCCCAACCCATTTCCTGCTTTTCTGGAAGGCAAGACCACCCCACCCCTTCTCTTTGTGTCTCTACTCTCTCTTTTCTCTAGGCTTGCCTCCTTCACTATGGGCAAGCTTCCACTCTCCATTCCCCTTTCTTCTCCATTAGCCTGTGTTCTTCAAAACCTAAAACCTCTTCAACTCACACCTGACCTAAAACCTAAATGCCTTATTTTCTTCTACAATGCCGCTTGACCCCAATACAAACTCAACAGTGGTTCCAAATAGCCAGAAAATGGCACTTTCAATTT
Source organism: Homo sapiens (assembly GCF_000001405.40). Lineage (NCBI taxonomy): Eukaryota > Metazoa > Chordata > Mammalia > Primates > Hominidae > Homo > Homo sapiens. The sequence goes on along the minus strand of NC_000011.10, from coordinate 67,855,715 downwards.
TTCCATCCTACAAGATCTAGATAATTCTTGTCATAAATGGGCAAATGGTCTGAGGCGCCTCACGTCCAGGCATTCTTTTACACATCGGTCCCTCCCTAGTCTCTGTTCCCAAAGCAACTCATCCCAAATCTTCTTTCTTTCCCTCCCACCTCTCCCCTCAGTCCCAACCCCAAGTGTCTCTGAGTCTTTCTAATCTTCCTTTTCTACAGACCCATCTGACCTCTCCCCTTCTTGCCAGGCTGAGCTAGGTCCCAATTCTTCCTCAGCCTCTGCTCCTCCACCCTATAATCCTTTTATCACCTCCTCTCCTTACACTGGGTCTGGCTTACAGTTTCATTCCATGACTAGCCCTCCCCAACCTGCCCAGCAATTTACTCTTAAAAAGGTGGCTGGAGCTAAAGGCATAGTCAAGGTTAATGCTCCTTTTTCTTTATCCCAAATCAGATAAGGTTTAGGCTCTTTTGCATCAAATATAAAAATCCGCCCCAGTTCATGGCTCGTTTGGCAGCAACCCTGAGACGCTTTACAGCCCTAGACCCTAAAAGGTCAAAAGGCCGTCTTATTCTCAATATACATTTTATTACCCAATCTGCTCCCGACATTAAATAAAATTCCAAAAATTAAATTCCGGCCCTCAAACCCCATAACAGGACTTAATTAACCTCGCCTTCAAGGTGTACAATAATAGAGTACAGGCAGCCAAGTAGCAACATATTTCTCAGTTGCAATTCCTTGCCTCCACTGTGAGACAAACCCCAGCCACATCTCCAGCACACAAGAGCTTCCAAACGCCTAAAGCGCAGTGGCCAGGCGTTCCTCCAGAATCGCCTCTCCCAGGAGCTTGCTACAAGTGCCAGAAATCTGACCACCAGGCCAAGGAATGCCTGCAGCCCGGGATTCCTCCTAAGCCATGTCCCATCTGTGCGGGACCCCACTAGAAATCGGACTGTTCAGCTCACCTGGCAGCCACTCCCAGAGCCCCTGGAACTCCAGCCCAAGGCTCTCTGACTGACTCCTTCCCAGATCTTCTTGGCTTAGCAGCTGCAGACCGACACTGCCCAATCGATCGCCTCGGAAGCCTACAGGACCATCACAGACGCTCTAGGTTACTCTCACAGTGGAGTGTAAGTCCATCCCCTTCTTAATCAATACAGAGGCTACCCACTCCACATTACCTTCTTTTCAAGGGCCTCTTTCCCTTGCCTCCATAACTGTTGTGGGTATTGACAGCCAGTCTTCTAAACCTCTTAAAGCTCCCCAACTCTGGTGCCAACTTAGACAATACTCTTTTAAGCACTCCTTTTTAGTTATCCCCACCTGCCCAGTTCCCTTATTAGGCCGAGACACTTCAACTAAATTATCTGCTTCCCTGACTATTCCCGGACTACAGATACATCTCATTGCCACCCACCTTAACCCAGAAGTAGAAGATACCTCTACTCCCTCCTTGGCGACCTATCATGCACCCCTTACCATCTCAGTAAAACCTAATCATCCTTACCCCGCTCAATGCCAATATCTCATCCCACAGCATGCTTTGAAAGGATTAAAGCCTGTTACCACTCACCTGCTACAGCATGGCCTTTTAAAGCCTATAAACTCTCCTTACAATTCCCCCATCTTACCTGTCCTAAAACCAGACAAGCCTTACAAGTTAGTTCAGGATCTATGACTTATCAATCAAATTGTTTTGCCTATCCACCCCAAGGTGCCAAACACATATACTCTCATATCCTCAATTCCTCCCTCCACAACCCATTATTCTGTTCTGGATCTCAAACATGCTTTCTTTACTATTCCTTTACACCCTTCATCCCAGCCACTCTTCGCTTTCACTTGGACTGACCCTGACACCCATCAGGCTCAGCAAATTACCTGGGCTGTACTGCTGCAAAGCTTCACAGACAGCCCCCATTACTTCAGTCAAGCCCAAATTTCTTCCTTATCTGTTACCTATCTCCGCATAATTCTCATAAAAACACACGTGCTCTCCCTGCCGATCGTGTGTGACTAATCTCTCAAACCCCAACCCCTTCTACAAAACAACAACTCCTTTCCTTCCTGGGCATGGTTGGATACTTTCATCTTTAGATATCTGGTTTTGCCATCCTAACAAAACCATTATATAAACTCACAAAAGGAAACCTAGCTGACCCCATAGATCCTAAATCCTTTCCTCACTCCTCTTTCTGTTCCTTGAAGACAGCTTTAAAGACTGCCCCCATCCTAGTCTTGGTTCCCTGACCGGGAAGCGAGGTAATTGACAGAATGTCGAGGCAGCCCGTTAGGTGGCTTAGGCCTGCCCTGTGGAGCATCCCTGCAGGGGACTCTGGCCAGCTTGAGCGACGCGGATCCTGAGAGCTCTCCCGGGTAGGCAATTGCCCCGGAGGAATGCCTCCTCAGAGCAGTGTGTTGTAGGCCCCCATGGAGGATCAACACAGTGGCTGAACACAGGGAAGGAAGAGGCACTTGGAGTCCGGACATTTGAAACTTGGTAAGACTGGTCTTTGGAACTTGCCCACTCCATTTGAGTGGAAGCGTGGCCTGATCACCCATGGCGTGCCTGTACTGGCACTTTGGTTCTTGTTTTTGACTTGACTTGAATTGCTTGATACTTTGGTTTTAGTTTGACCTGGCTTGGATTTCTGGATACTCTGATTTTGGTTTTGATTCTGGTTTGGTGAAAACTGAAAAAGTGTGTGTGTGCCCTTTTTACCCATTCTTTGTTCTGTGGTGTGCGTGTGGTGTGAGCTTGGTGTTTTGTCTCGAGGAAACATGGGTCAGATACAAAGTAAGCCCACTCCGCTGGGAACTATGTTGAAAAATTTTAAGAAAGGATGTAATGGAGACTTTGGGGAACTTAGAACTTTGTATGAAATAGATTGGCTAACATTAGAAGTAGGGTGGCCATCAGAAGGAAGCCTGGACAGGTCCCTTGTTTCTAAGGTATGGCACAAGGTAACTGGTAAGTCAGGACACTCAGACCAGTTTCCATACATAGACACTTGGTTACAGCTGATGCTAAACCCCCCACAGTGGCTAAGAGGGCAGGCAGCAGCAGTGCTAGTAGCAAAGGGACAGATAGCCAAGGAAGAATCCCGCTCCACCCGCCAAGGGAAATCAACTCCTGAAGTTCTGTTCGACCCAACATCAGAAGATCCATTGCAGGAGATGGCACCAGTGATCCCAGTGGTGCCCTCTCTTTACCAGGGAGGCAGGCTCCCCACTTTTGAGTCCACAGTGCTTGCGCCTCCACAAGACAAACATATTCCTAAGCCACCCAGAGTAGACAAGAGAGGAGGTGAGGACTCGGGAGAAACCCCTCCCTTGGCAGCTCGTTTAAGACCCAAAACGGGGACACAAATGCCCCTGAGAGAGCAGCGGTAGACTGGGATAGATGAGGATGGTCACGTAGTGGGGAGGCGTGTTTTGGGTACCAGCCCTTCACCTCTGCCCACCTTCTCAACTGGAAAAACAATACCCCGTCCTGTACCGAAAAGCCACAAGCTCTGATTGATTTGCTCCAAACTATTATCCAGACCCATAACCCCACCTGGGCTGATTGCCACCAGTTACTCATGTTCCTCTTTAACACGGATGAAAGGGGGAGAGTGCTCCAAGCAGCAACTGAGTGGCTAGAGGAACATGCACCAGCTGATTACCAAAACCCCCAAGAGTATGTAAGGACCCAGTTACCAAGAACTGACCCCCAGTGGGACCCACATGAAAGAGAGGATATGCAAAGGCTAAACAGAGACTGGGAAGCTCTCTTGGAAGGATTAAAGAGGGGAGCCCAGAAGGCCACAAATGTTAACAAAGTCTCTGAGGTCATTCAGAGAAAAGAAGAAAGTCCAGCACAATTGTAGGAGAGACTGTGTAAGGCCTATGGTATGTATACTCCCTTTGATCCCGATAGCCCTGAAAATCAACGCATGATTAACACGGCTTTAGTTACTCAAAGTGCAGAAGACATTAGAAGAAAACTGCAGCAACAGGCTGAGTTTGCAGGGATGAACACATCAGAGTTATTACAAATAGCTAACCAGGCGTTTGTAAACAGGGATGCAGTAAGCCGTAAGGAAAACCACAGAGACAATGAACGTCAGGCCCAGCGAAACACCGACCTGTTAGCGGCAGCAATCAGAGGGGTCCCCCCAAAGAGGCAAGGGAAAGGGGGCCCCGGGAAGGAAACTCAGCCTGGCTGTCAGAGCTTGCAGCGTAATCAGTGTGCTTATTGTAAAGAAATAGGACATTGGAAAAACAAATGCCCTCAGCTAAAAAGAAAACCAGGTGACTCAGAGCAGGAGGCCCCAGACAAGGATGAAGGGGCCCTGCTCAACCTGGCAGAAGGGTTATTGGACTGAGGGGGACTGGGCTCAAGGACCCCCAAAGAGCCTATGGTCAGGATGACAGTTTGGGGTAAAGACATTGATTTTCTTGTAGATAGCGGTGCTGGACATTCGGTAGTAACCACCCCGGTCGCCCCCTTATCCAAAAAGATTATTAACATCATCAGAGCCATGGGAGTTTCAGCAAAGCAAGCTTTCTGCTTGCCTCGGACTTGTGCTGTAGGAGGACATAAAGTGATTCATCAGTGTTTGTACACACCTGACTGTCCCTTGCGCTTGTTGGGAAGGGACTTGCTTAGCAAACTGAGAGCCACTATCTCTTTTACAGAGCATGGCTCTTTGCTGCTAAAGTCACCCAGAACAGGAGTCATTATGACCCTTACGGTCCCCCGAGAGGAAGAATGGAGACTTTTCTTAACTGAGTGGGGCCAAGAGATAAGACCGGCTCTGGCTAAGCGGTGGCCAAGAGTGTGGGTGGAAGACAACCCTCCAGGGTTTGCAGTCAACCAAGCCCCCGTACTTATAGAAGTTAAGCCTAGGGCCCAGCCAGTTAGGCAAAAACAGGATCCGGTCCCCAGAGAAGCTCTTGAAGGTATCCAGGTCCATCTCAAGCACCTAAGAAGTTTTGGAATTAGAGTTTCTTGTCAGTCTTCATGGAACACTCCCCTCTTGCCTGTTCCCAAGCCTAAGATCAAGGACTACTGGCCGGTACAGGATTTGCGCTTGGTTAATCAGGCTGCAGTGACTTTACATCCAGCAGTACCTAACCCGTACACATTGCTGGGGTTGCTGCCAGCTGAGGACAGCTGCTTCACCTGCTTGGACCTGAAAGATGCTTTCTTTAGCATCAGATTAGCCCCTGAGAGACAGAAGCTGTTTGCCTTTCTCTGTTTGACTTCCGGATCTGGGAAGATCCGGAGTCAGGTGTCACTACTCAGTACACTTGGACCGGGCTTCCCCAAGGGTTCAAGAACTCCCCCACCATCTTTGGGGAGGCATTGCCTCGAGACCTCCAGAGGTTTCCCACCAGAGACCTAGACTGCATTTTGCTCCAGTACGTTGATGATCTTTTGCTGGGACACCCCACGGCAGTCGGGTGCACCAAAGAAACAGATGCCCTACTCCGGCATCTGGAGGACTGTGGGTATAAGATGTCCAAGAAAAAAGCTTAGATCTGCTGACAGCAGGTACATTACTTAGGATTTACTATCCGAAAGGGGGAGAGCAGCCTAGGATCAGAAAGAAAGCAGGTCATTTGAAATCTACTGGAGCCTAAGACCAGAAGGCAGGTGAGAGAATTCCTATGGGCTGTGGGGTTTTGCAGACTGTAGATCCCAAACTTTGCAGTATAAGCCAAGCCTTTGTATGAGGTCACAAAGGGGTGGGGCGGGAACGTTTTGAATGGGGATCCCAGCAACAGCAAGCCTTTCATGAGTTAAAGGAAAAACTTATGTCAGCCCCAGCCCTGAAGCTACCCGATCTAACAAAGCCTTTTCCATTGTATGTGTCAGAGAGAGAAAAGATGGCAGTTGGAGTTTTAACCCAAACTGTGGGGCCCTGGCCGAGGCCGGTGGCCTACCTCTCTAAACAACTAGACGGGGTTTCTAAAGGATGGCCCCCATGTTTGAGGGCCTTGGCAGCAACTGCCCTGCTAGTACAAGAAGCAGATAAGCTGACTCTTGGACAAAACCTGAACATAAAGGCCTCCCATGCTGTGGTGACTTTAATGAATACTAAAGGACATCATTGGCTAATGAATGCTAGACTCACTAAGTACTAAAGTTTGCTCTGTGAAAATCCCCATATAACCATTGAAGTTTGTAACACCCTGAACCCCGCTACCTTGCTCCCAGTATCAGAGAGCCCTGTCGAGCATGACTGTGTAGAAGTGTTGGACTCAGTTGACTCTAGCAGACCTAACCTCCAGGACCAGCCTTAGGCATCAGTAGACTGGGAACTATACGTGGCTGGGAGCAGCTTCATCAACCCACAAGGAGAGAGATGTGCAAGATATGCGGTGGTAACTCTAGACACTGTTGCTGAAGCCAGATCGTTTCCCCAGGGCACTTCAGCTCAGAAAGCTGAACTCATTGCTTTAATTCGGGCCTTAGAACTCAATGAAGCTAAGAATGTCAACATTTACACTGACTCTCATTAAGCCTTTTCAACCCTTCAAGTGCGTGGAGCATTATATAAAGAAAAGGGCCTATTGAACTCTGGGGGAAAAGACATAAAATATCAACAAGAAATCTTGCAATTATTAAAAGCCATATGGAGACCCCACAAGGTGGCAGTTATGCGTTGCAGAGGATACCAGCGAGCTTCCACCTTGGTGGGTTTAGGGAATTCCCGCGCTGACTTAGAGGCTCGAAAAGCAGCATCTGCCCCCTTCCGGGCATCAGTCACAGCCCCCATGCTCCCTCAAGTACCTGATCTTGTACCTACTTATTCTAAAGAAGAAAAGGACTTTCTCCAGGCAGAGAGAGGACAAGTGATGGAGGAAGGATGAATTCGGTTACCGGATGGGAGAGTAGCTGTGCCACAGCTGCTAGGAGCTGCAGTTGTACTGGCTGTGCAAGAAGCCACCCATCTAGGCCAGGAATCACTTGAAAAGTTGTTAGGCTGGTATTTCTACATCTCGCATTTGTCAGCTCTTGCCAAAACGGTGACGCAGTGGTGTGTTACCTGCCGACAGCATAAAGCGAGGCAAGGTCCAGCTATTCCACCCGGCATACAAGCTTATGGAGCAGCCCCCTTTGAAGATCTCCAGGTGGACTTCACAGAGATGTCAAAGTGTAGAGGTAACAAGTATTTACTAGTTCTTGGGCGTACCTACTCTGGGTAGGTGGAGGCTTATCCAACACGAACTGAGAAAGTTCGTGAAGTAACCCGTGTGCTTCTTCGAGATCTTATTCCTAGATTTGAACTGTCCTTAGGGATCGGCTCAGATAACAGGCCAGCATTTGTGGCTGACTTAGTACAGAAGGCGGCAAAGATATTAGGGATCACATGGAAACTGCATGCTGCCTAGTGGCCTCAGAGTTCCGGAAAGGTGGAGCGAATGCATCAAACTATCAAAAATAGTTTAGGGAAAGTATGTCAGGAAACAGGATTAAAATGGCTACAGGCTCTCCCTATGGTATTATTTAAAATTAGATGTACCGCTTCTAAAAGAACAGGATATTTCCCTTATGAAATATTATATCGTAGGCCCCCTCCTATATTGCGGGGACTTCCAGGCACTCCCTGAGAGTTAGGTGAAATTGAGTTACAGCGACAGCTACAGGCCTTAGGAAAAGTTACACAAAAAATCTCAGCCTGGGTAAATGAGAGATGCCCTGTTAGCTTATTCTCCCCAGTTCACCCATTCTCCCCAGATGATCGAGTGTGGATCAAGGACTGGAAAGTTGCCTGTTTGTGTCCACGGTGGAAAGGACCCCAGATTGTCGTCCTGAGCACTCCCACCGCTGTGAAGGTGGAAGGAATCCCAGCCTGGATCCAACACAGCCATATAAAACCTGCAGCGCCTGAAACCTGGGAGGCAAGACCAAGCCCAGATAACCCTTGCAGAGTGACCCTGAAGAAGATGACAAGCCCTGCTCCAGTCACCCGGAAGCTGACTAGTCCAAGCACGGCCGAAGCCTGAGGAAGCTCATCATGAGATTCATTTTTCTTAAATTTTGGACTTATACAGTAAGGGCTTCAACTGACCTTACTCAAACTGGGGACTGTTCCCAGTGTATTCATCAGGTCACCGAAGCAGGACAGCAAATTAAAACAATCTTTCTGTTCTATAGTTATTATGAATGTATGGAAACAATAAGAGAAACTTGTTTGTATAATGCCACTCAGTACAAGGTATGTAGCCCGAGAAATGACCGACCTGATGTGTGTTATAACCCATCTGAGCCCCCTGCACCACCGTTTTTGAAATAAGAATAAGAACTGGCCTTTTCCTAGGTGATACAAGTAAAATAATAACTAGAACAGAAGAAAAAGAAATCCCCAAGCAAATAACTTTAAGATTTGATGCTTGTGCAGCCATTAATAGTAAAAAGCTAGAAATAGGATGTGGTTCTCTTAACTGAGAAAGGAGCTAAAGAGTAGAAATAAATGTTTGTCATGAGTCAGGGGTTTGTAAAAATTGTGCCTATTGGCCATGTGTTATTTAGGCTACTTTAAAAAAGAACAAAAAGGACCCGGTTTATCTTCAGAAGGGGGAAGCCAACCCCTCCTGTGCTGCCGGTCACTGTAACCCACTAGAACTAATAATTACCAATCCCCTAGATCCCCATTGGAAAAAGGGAGAACGTGTAACCCTGGGGATCAATAGGACAGGGTTAAACCCTCAAGTTGTCATTTTAATTAGAGGGGAGGTCCACAAGTGCTCTCCCAAACCAGTATTTCAAACCTTTTATGAGGAGCTGAATCTGCCAGCACCAGAACTTCTGAAAAAGACAAAAAATTTGTTTCTCCAATTAGCAGAAAATGTAATTTTCTTACTTAATGTTACTTCTTGTTATGTACGCGGAGGAACCACTATCGGAGACAGATGGCCTTGGGAAGCCCGAGAGTTGGTGCCTACTGATCCAGCTCCTGATATAATTCCAGTTTAGAAGGCCGAAGCTAGCAACTTCTAGGTCCTAAAAACCTCAATTATTAGACAATACTGTATAGCTAGAGAAGGGAAAGACTTTATCATCCCTGTAGGAAAGCCTAATTGTATAGGACAGAAGTTGTATAACAGCACAACAAAGACAATTACTTAGTAGGACCTAAACCACACTGAAAAGAATCCATTTAGTAAATTTTCTAAATTAAAAACTGCTTAGGCTCATCCAGAATCTCATCAGGACTGGACAGTTCCCTCTGGACTATACTAGATATGTAGGCACAGAGCCTACTTTCGGTTACCTAATAAATGGGCAGACAGTTGTGTTATTGGCACTATTAAGCCATCCTTTTTCTTATTACCCATAAAAATGGGTGAGCTGCTAGGTTTCTCTGTCTACGCCTCCCGAGAAAAGAAAGGCATAGTTATAGGAAACTGGAAAGATAATGAGTGGCCCCGTGAAAGGATCATTCAGTATTATGGGCCTGCCACATGGGCACAAGATGGCTCATGGGGATACCGAACCCATCTACATGCTCAATTGGATCATACGGTTGCAGGTCATCTTAGAAATAATTTCTAATGAAACTGGCAGAGCTTTGACTGTTTTAGCTTGGCAAGAAACCCAAATGAGGAATGCTATCTATCAGAATAGACTGGCCTTAGACTACTTGCTAGTAGCTGAAGGAGGAGTTTGTAGAAAATTTAACTTAACCAATTGCTGCCTACAAATAAATGATCAAGGACAGGTGGTTAAAAACATAGTCAGGGACATGACAAAGGTGGCACATGTGCCTGTACAGGTTTGGCACGAGTTTAATCCTGAGTCTTTATTTGAAAAATGGTTTCCAGCTATAAGAGGATTTAAAACCCTCATTGTAGGTGTATTGCTAGTGATAGGAACTTGCTTGCTGCTCCCCTGTGTATTACCCTTGCTTTTTCAAATGATCAAAGGTTTTGTAGCTACTTTGGTTCATCAGAAAACTTCAGCACACGTGTGTTATATAAATCACTATCGCTCTATCTCACAAATAGACTCAAAAAGTAAAGATGAGAGTGAGAACTCCCACTAAAAAGTGAAAATGCTCAAAGGGGGGAAATATGGTATGAGACCACCACTTCTCCTGTTGTCCTTCCCAGTTTCTCCCCAACCTCCCCTTTTCCCTAGTTTGTAAGACAGCAAAAAAGGGAGAAAGCAAAAAGTTGGAAAAAACAGAAGTAAAATAAATAGCTAGACGACCTTGGCGCCACCACCTGGCCCCGGTGGTTAAAACAACAATAATATTAACCCCTGACCAAAACTACCTGTGTTATCTGTAAATCCCAGACATTGTATGAGAAAGCACTGTAAAAACTTTTTGTTCTGTTAGCTGATGTTTGTAGCCCCCAGTCACGTTCCTCAGGCTTACTTGATCTATTATGACTTTTTCACGTAGACCCTTTAGAGTTGTAAGCCCTTAAAAGGGCTAGGAATTTCTTTTTCCGGGAGCTCGGCTCTTAAGACACCAGTCTGCCAACGCTCCTGGCTGAATAAAAAAACCTCTTCCTTCTTTAATCTGGTGTCTGAGGAGTTTTGTCTGCAACTCGTCCTGCTACACTAGCTCTCCGTGACTCATCCCAACCCTTTTCATTACACACAGCTGAAGTGCAGCGCTGTGCAGTTGAAATTCTTACACAAGGACCAGGATGGCATCCTGTAGCCTTTTTGTCCAAACAACTTGACCTTATTGTTTTAGGTTGGCTGTTATGTCTCTGTGCAGCAGCTGCTGCCATCCTAATACTTTAAAGGCCCTTAAAATCACAAACTATGCTCAACTCACTCTCTACAGCTCTCATAATTTCCAAAATGTATTTTCTTCCTCACACCTGCCACATATACATTCTGCTCCCCGGCTCCTTCTGCTGTACTCTTTGTTGAGTCTCCCACAATTACCATTGTTCCTGGCCCGGACTTCAATCCAGCCTCCCACATTATTCCTGATACCACACCTGACCCTCATGACTGCATCTCTCTGATCCACCTGACATTCACCCCATGTCCCCACATTTCCTTCTTCCCAGTTTCTCACCCTGACCACACTTAGTTTATTGATGGCAGTTCCACCAGGCCTAATTGCCACACACCAGCAAAAGCAGGCTATGCTATAGTACAAGCCACTAGCCTGCCTCTTAGAACCTCTCATTTCCTTTCCATCGTGGAAATCTATCCTCAAGGAAATAACTTCTCAGTGTTCCATCTGCTATTCTACTACTCCTCAGGGATTCTTCAGGCCCCCTCCCTTCCCTACACATCAAGCTCAGGGATTTGCCCCCACCCAGGACTGGCAAATTAGCTTTACTCAACGTGCCCCGAGTCAGGAAACTAAAATAACTCTTGGTCTAGGTAGACACTTTCACTGGATAGGTAGAGGCCTTTCCCACAGGGTCTAAGAAGGCCACCACGGTCATTTCTTCCCTTCTGTCAGACGTAATTCCTCAGTTTGGCTTTCCCACGTCTATACAGTCCCATAGCAGACCGGCCTTTATTAATCAAGTCAGCCAAGCATTTTTTCAGGCTCTTAGTATTCAGTGAAACCTTTATATTTCTTACAGTCCTTAGTCTTCAGGAAAGGTAGAACAGACTAATGGTCTTTTAAAACACACCTTACCAAGCTCAGCCACCAACTTAAAAAGGACTGGACAATACTTTTACCACTTTCCCTTCTCAGAATTCAGGCCTGTCTTCGGAATGCTACAAGGTACAGCCCATTTGTTGCGGGAAGTCAGGGACCCCAAACGGAGGGACCGGCTGAAGCCATGGCAGAAGAACGTGGATTGTGAAGATTTTATGGACATTTATTAGTTCCCCAAATTAATACTTTTGTAATTTCTTATGCCTGCCTTTACTGCAGTCTCTAAACATAAATTGTAAAGATTCCATGGACACTTATCACTTCCCCAATCAATATCCTTGTGATTTCCTATGCTTGTCTTTGCTTTAATCTCTTAATCCTGTCAGCCGAGAAGAATTTATATCATCTCAGGACCCTGTAATAATTGTATTAACTACACAAATTGTACAGCATGTGTGTTTGAGCAATATGAAATGTGGGCACCCTGAAAAAAGAACAGGATAACAGCAATTGTTCAGGGAATAAGAGAGATAACCTTAAACTCTGACCGCCGGTGAGCCGGGCAGAACAGCCATATTTCTCTTCTTTCAAAAGCAAATGGGAGAAATATCGCTGAATTCCTTTTCTCAGCATGGAACGTCCCTGAGAAAGAGAATGCACACCTAGGGGTAGGTCTCTGAACTGGCTCCCCGCCGGGCGTACCTGTCTCTTATGGTCGAGATTGCAGAGGTGAAATAAACTCCAGTCTCCCATAGTGCTCCCAGGCTTATTAGGAAGAGGAAATTCCCGCCTAATAAACTTTGGTCAGACCGGTTGATCTCAAAACCCTGTCTCCTGATAAGATGTTATCAATGACAATGGTGCCAAAACTTCATCAACAATTTTAACTTCACTTCGGTCCTGTGGTCCTATGATCTTGCCCTGTCTCCACTTGCCTTGTGATATTCTATTACCTTGTTAAGTACTTGATGTCTGTCACCCACACCTATTCGTATACTCCCTCCCCTTTTGAAACTCCCTAATAAAAACTTGCTGGTTTTTGTGGCTTGTGGGGCATCACGGATCCTACCAATATGTGATGTCTCCCCCGGATGCCCAGCTTTAAAATTTCTCTTTTTTGTACTCTGTCCTTTTATTTCTCAAGCCAGTTGACACTTAGGAAAATAGAAAAGAAACTACGTGATTATCGGGGCAGGTCCCCCGATACCCATTGGATCTCCTGTATAGACGCTCCTTTTTATTAGGCCCAAGTCTCATTCCAGACACAAGACCAACTTGGACTGTGCCCCAAAAAACTTGTCATCCCTACTATCTTCTGTCTAGTCATACTCCTATTCACCGTTCTCAACTACTCATATATGCCCTGCTCTTGTTTACACTGGTGGTTTACACTGTTTCTCCAAGCCATCACAGGTGATATCTCCTGGTGCTATCCCCAAACCACCACTCTTAACTCTTAAATAAATAATCTTTGCTGGCAAGGCTATGCTGAACCTCCTTAGGCACTCTCTAATTAGAGGTCCTAGGTCCTCCCAATTCTTCGTCCTTTAATACCTGTTTTTCTCCTTCTCTTATTCCGTTTAGTTTTTCAATTCATACAAAACTGTATCCAGGCCATCACCAATAATTCTAAATAACAACCCCACAATATCACCCCTTACCACAAAATCTTCCTTCAGCTTCATCTCTCCCACTCGAGGTTCCCACGCTGCCCCTAATCAAAGCAGCCCTGAGAAACATCGCCCATTATCTCTCCATACCACCCCCAGAAATTTTTCACCATCCCAACACTTTACCACTATTTCATTTTATTTTTCTTATTAATGTACGAAGACAGGAACGTCAGGCCTCTGAGCCCAAGCTAAGCCATCATATCCCCTGTGACCTGCATGTACACATCCAGATGGCCGATTTCTGCCTTAACTGATGACATTCCACCACAAAAGAAATGAAAATGGCCTGTTCCTGCCTTAACTGATGACATTATCTTGTGAAATTCCTTCTCCTTGCTCATCCTGGCTCAAAAGCTCCCCTACTGAGCACCTTGTGACCCCCACTCCTGCCTGCCAGACAACACCCCTTTTTCCTTTACCTACCCAAATCTGATAAAACGGCCCCACCCCTATCTCCCTTCGCTGACTCTTTTTGGACTCAGCCCACCTGCACCCAGGTGAAATAAACAGCTTTATTGCTCACACAAAGCCTGTTTTGTGGTCTCTTCACACGGATGCGCATGAAAAGGAGTGTCCTTTTTTTTTTTTTTTTTTGAGACGGAGTTTCACTCTTGTTGCCCAGGCTGGAGTGCAATGACATGATCTCAGCTCACTGCCACTTCCTCCTCTTGGGTTCAAGCAACTCTCTTGCCTCAGCCTCCCCAGTAGCTGGGATTGCAGGCATGTGCCACCATGCCCGGCTAATTTTGTATTTTTAGTAGAGATGGGGTTTCTCCATGTTGGTCAGGCTGGTCTCGAACTCCTGACCTGAGGTGATCCACCCGCCTCGGCCTCCCAAAGTGCTGGGATTACAGGCATGAGCCACTGTGCCTGGACAAAAGTGTCCTCTTATAAGGACACTTGTCTTCAGATGTACAGCCTACCTAAAATCCTCCAGGATAATCTCAAGATCCTTAATTACATCTGCAAAGACCCTTTTTCCAAATAATGCCACCTCCACAGATTCTAGGCACAAGGATCTGGATATATCTTGTGCAAAGCCACAATTCAGCTCACTACATTAGAAAGAGGAAAAACAACGAAATAATAAAAGGCGCAGAAGAAAGAACAGATGCAGCTTGTGTGGCAGTGGCCATCAAGGCAGGCTGGGGTAAAACTGTGTTAACAGAACCCCCAGATGGAACTCAAGTGTGGCCGTCTACTCCCAGCTACTCACAGAGAACGTTTCTGTTTCTGACAGCAGAGTAAGAGAAGAGGTGGGAAGAGAGAGAGCCCATTCTCTGTTGGCCTAATTCCTAAGGAATTGTGCCTCTGCCTTCGGGTCATTCTCAAGTCTTGTTCAAGGATAAAATGATTTATTGATGGCCGTAATTAAAAAGCAATGCCAACAGAAGCAGCCTCAGCATTTTTCATTTGTACTTACACATGAGCGAGAGCAGTTTAGGGAAACGGGTGCCTTCAGGTTCTGTTTTCTCCATCTAGAGAAGGGCTGCCTTCGTGGAATGCTGGTCCTGGGGAGAAGCCTCATTTCTATAGCAGGAATTGATACAGTTTTAAATTCCGATTGGTACACGGAGCTATCCGTCCTCACTTCAAACACTTCTGGTTGTTCTGGGTTCAGTGGGTGAGCAATGAGTAGAACTCTGGGGAGGAGGATTTGGAGTGAGCGTGGTTTTGATCCCCAGAGGGAGCTGTTTTTCCATCAATGTCTTGACTGTGATTCAGAATGGGCTTCTCCGCTCAAGATGGGAGTACTGGGCTGATTTAAGGCAAGTGATTGACTTGATTTGGTGGCTACTTTTATACTAGCTGGTTAACGAGATATTTTCTTCATTAGTTTCAGGCATGTGAGCTTAATGAAGCATTGGACCTTCCAACTTACAAGGAAAATAAAGATATAGCTTACGTGGTAGGTTCAAAGGAGTTAGTGAACAAACACAGTAGGGCCACAAATTATTGTTAAAGACATGAATGCATGAAAGTGTATCTATGTCCAAATGGACTCTCTGCAACCATACTGTTCCACCTGAAAATTAGTAGAAATTCAGCAAATGCTTGGACACGGGATACTCTCAGAAGTATTCTGACTAAATAGCATGGTTCTTTTCATATCACTAAAGTAATTTCTTCTCAAATTGACTCTGGACTAAATCTTATGATACCTACTTGTTCCGATTGTACTTAGCCACCTGCAAATAAGGTGGGGGCAGTGGTAAGAGGAGCTGTTGAATGAAATTAAACATTTGCTGGATGCCTACTGAAGATAAAGCCCTGTGCTTTGTGCCAGGGAGATTCCAGAATAAATGAGGCACAGACCTACTCTCAGGAAGCTTTTGCAAACTAATGGAGAAAACACATCTGCAGGCAATGACTTATGGTATAAGAGGAAATGTGGCCAGGTACAGTGACTCACACCTGTAATCCCAGCACTTTGGGAGGCCGAGGTAGGTGGATCACTTGAGGTCAGGAGTTCAAGACCAGCCTGGCCAACGTGGCGAAACACTGTCTCTACTAAAAATGCAAAAAAAAAAAAAAAAATTAGCCAGGCTTGATGGTGTGCACCTGCAATCCCAGCTACTTGGGAGGCTGAGGCACAAGAATCACTTAAATCTGGGAGGTGGAGACTGTAGTGAGCCGAGATCCCACTACTGCACTCCAGCCTAGAAGACAGAGCGAGACTCTGTCAAAAAAAAAAAAAGGAAATAAGATTGGTGTTGAATGGGAAATCTAAGCAGGATGGAATGGCAGGAGACCGCCCACTTGCCCAGCTCCAATAACACTTTTGACAGCCATGACAATATTGCAGGGACACCCATTCCTCATGGTATCTGAACTCCCATGAAGGCTTGAGTCTGGAGGCTGGTTCAGTCTTGACTTTAAGATAAGGGGATACAAGGAATGATTTTCATCTATCCCAAGCCAATAGTCCAGCCAAAAATCTAGGTCTGAGATGATGAGAGAAAGCAAGTCATCAGCCATGTCAGCCATTTCATCATCATCATCATCATCATCATCATCATCATCAAAAACAAAAGACGGACCTGTAACCATCTTGTGTGCCTGGTTCTCATCTTATTTCAAAATATAGAAGTAAATTCTATGGCCAGTGAACAATGACCAAAATAGCTCTCATCACTCTTGTCTGCCACCATGTAAGACGTGCCTTTTTCCTTCCACCATGATTTTGAGACTTCTTCAGCCACATGGAACTGTGAGCCCATTAAACCTCTTTTTTCTTTATAAATTACCCAGTCTTGAGTAATAAAATAGTGGTTGGTCCACAACATCAAGGAACAATGCTGTTACTTGTTCCAAACACGTATCATTTAGGAGGTTTGGATAAACAACAACCTAAAATAAATAAGCACTAAGCAAACTCAGGGCTACATAATCCCTGTGGTGAGATAACTAACAATGGGTACAACTGGGACAGTTTACTGTTAAATCACCTCTATCTACATGTGCCCAAGCAGTGAGATACTTGGTTTTAATCCTAAAAAATCATGGTGCACATTTACTCCTGCCTCCCAACTGGGCTCTAACGTCACCCCCTCAGAGAAGCTTGCTTTTCTGTGCTTCCACTCTACTTTTTTTCAGCATTTAGTAGAGCATCAGTAACCATCCATATCTGGGAACAAAGATTGTAAGCAACAGAAGCCCATTTGCATGAGCTTGAGGACAAGGAGAACACCTTGTCTCTAACAGGCAAACTCATGGGCACAAGAAACAAATGAGAGGCCATGAGAGAATGGAAACTGCAGTTACAGAAACCAAAATTCCTCTTTCTTGCTCTCAGAAGCCCATGGTCTCTTTTTTTTTTTTTTTTGTGAGATGCAGTCTCACTCTGTCGCCCAGGCTGGAGTGCAGTGGTGCAATCTCAGCTCACTGTAAGCTCCACCTGTTGGGGTTCACGCCATTCTCCTGCCTCAGCCTCCCAATTAGCTGAGGCTACAGACACCCACCACCACACCCAGCTAATTTTTGTATTTTTAGTAGAGATGGGGTTTCACTGTGTGAGCCAGGATGGTCTCGATCTCCTGACCTCGTGATCCGACCATCCTAGCCTCTCAAAGTGCTGGGATTACAGGCGTGAACCACCGCACCCGGAAGCCCATGGTCTTTCTTACCAGCCCTGTGGACTTTCTTATCTCTGCTTCTCTCACTCACAACCAATTTTCCCTTTTTGCTGGTGGCCCATCATGGCAGCCAGCAGAGCCCACCACCAGCTGATCAGTCAGTTACTGGATATCTTGGAGAGGGAGGGAGGGAGGGAGGGAAGAGAGGGAGAGGGAGAGAGAGAGAATGACAATTGGGCTTCTGGCCAACCAATTGAGTATAGGGAGGGGAGTACCACGGTACAAATATGGCACCAAGACCTGTTTTCCAGCATGGCCAGTGAGTAGGGAAATTGAGGGAAGGTACCTGCAAACACAGCAGACATCTCAGAACACGCTCTCTGTTCTTAGTTCTCTCTCCTGCCTTCTCCTAGATTGTAAATATCACAAGACAATCTAGGATAGTACCTGGCTCAAAATATTTGAGAAAGAGAAAAAGGAAGGCATTGGATCAAACTGTGGACTTCATGGTTTCCTAAATTCACTCTGCAAGTTTTTGTTTTTTGAGACAGAGTCTCACTCTGCTGCCCAAGCTGGAGTGCAATGGCATAATCTTGGCTCACTGCAACCTCCACCTCCCAGGTTCAAGCAAATCCCCTGCCTCAGCCTCCTGAGTAGCTGGGATTAAAGGCACGCACAGCTACACAAGTTAATTTTTGTATTTTTAGTAGAGACAGGGTTGGCCAGGCTGGTCTCGAACTCTTGACCTCGTGATCCACCCACCTCGGGTGCCCAAAGTGCTGGCATTACAGGCATGAGCCACTGTGCCCGGCCGCACCCAGGTACTTTTTGTATTTTTTGTACAGATGGTGTTTCACCATGTTGATCTAGGCTGGTCTCAAACTCCTGACCTCAGGTGATCCGCCCGCCTTGGCATCCCAAAATACAAGGATTACAGGCATGAGCCACCACACCCTGCCTATTTTCCTTACGTTTCAGAGAACCTTTGTGTCCCCTGGGTGTTCTAGCCCAGTATATGTCAAACTTTGCTGCACCAAGGACCTTGTTGAAATGCAGGTTCTCATCTGGGAGGCTCAGTGGGCCAGCAAATCTGCATTGGTTTAGGAAGCTCACCCTGAGTATCAAGCTTCAGTAAGGACCAGGCAGACCCCTGCCTGCCAACCCCCTCTCAGGTGGGCTTAACTCTGGCTCTCTCCTGCCAGCGTTCCTCCCCTCGAAATAGGAGATATTTTCAAAAATTCTCTTGGAAAAAAAGCCCTGTTTTAAGATTGGGGTGTTCAGGATTGGCCATCTGCTCACCATGGGGTTTTAAGACCTTTGCCCATACCTCTGCAACCAACTTAGAACTGACATCTTTATTTTGAAGGCCCCACTCCACACCATATTAAATTCATTAAAATCAATCCCCATTACAGGCATATCTCAGGCATCATGCCCTCAGAATGGAGTTGCAGCTGATCACTTGACAATGTTGTAAAGCATTAAACATGCATTCAGTTCAGCCTTGCAGTTTACACATTTGGGAGCCAATTGTCTTAGGTCTAAAGCATTCATGCCGAAGCATTTTTATGGGCCCCACACACTATGCTTCCCAGCCTTCATGGCCTCTGCAATGCTGGTTCCTACTGCCCCACCCCTGGGTTCTGGCCGGCTAGCCCATGCCACCTCACTGCTCCCCCATTCAAGTGTGCCTTCGATGTGTGGTTTCCAAACTCATCTACACTTTAGGGTCACCTGGGATTTTTTTAAATCTTCCAAAACCCAGGCCACACCCAAGAACAATTAAACCTCAACCTCTGGAATGGGAAATGGCATCCGTTTTTTGTTTTGTTTTTGAGACAGGTCCTCGCTCTGTTACCCAGGCTGGAGTACAGTGGCACAATCATAGCTCACGACAGCCTCCAACTCCTGGGCTCAAGAAACCCTCCCACTTCAACCTCCACGGTAGCTGGGATCACAGGTGGGCACCACAACGCCTGGTTAATTTTTAAATTTTTTGTAGAGACATTATCTCCCTATGTTCTCCAGGCAGGTCTCAAACTCCTGGGCTCAAGCGATACTGCCGCCTCAGCCTGCCAAACTGCTGGTATTATAGGCATGAGCCACCATGCCTGGACATCAGCATCTGTATTTTTTGAAGCACAAACGAGTTTGGGAACTACCGCGCTAGACTGAGCTCGGTTTCCTAGCCCTGTCTGACCGTAGGATTTGGCTGGGCTGCTTCTGAAAACAGAGCTCCCCAGGCTCCTTCCCAGGTAATTCTGATTCATTAGGTCTGGGGTGGGCCCCGGAATGTGCATTTTTTATGAGATCCCTCTGGGTGAATCAGGCTAAAGCCAATTTGGGATCTGAGACCTTGGAGATCATTCCCCAGCTTCTCTCCTAACCCAGTTCCCAGCTTGGCCCACCTCACCCAGGCTGTGTCACGTCTGACTTCGCAGATTACACCTGAGAGGGAAGCCCCAGCCATCATGATGTGAGAACATTTTACAATGACGAGGATATGCCAAATACATTTTAAAACTCATTCAGGATTAGCGTTCACCTTAAACTTGACAGACTCTGAGAACGGGCTGGCCACGTGCTGTGCACAACCCTTAGTGCTCTTCTGAGAGTAATATTTGGTTGGAAGCTCAGGAAGCCTCTCTCAGAGGGTTGAAGTTAACTTCTTTATTTCTGAGGTAGGGAAGAAAATGAGGATGTTCTGCCTTTTGCTAGACTGAATACTGTCCTCCAAAAATTCACATTCACCAGGAATCCCAGAATGTGACCTTATTAGAAAATAGGGGCAGGGCACGGTGGCTCATGCTTGTAATCTTAGCACTTTGGGAGGCTGAGGCAGGAGGATCACTTGAGGTCAGGAGTTCGAGACCAGCCTGGCAAGCATGACAAAACGCTGTCTCTACTAAAAACACAAAAATTAGCTAGGCATGGGGGCGTGCACATGTAATCCCAGCTACTTCGGAGGCTGAGGCTGAAGAATCACTTGAACCCAGGAGGCAGAGTTGCAGCGAGCTGAGACTGTGTCACTGAACTCCAGCCTGGGCAACAGAGCAAGACTCCATCTCAAAAAAAAGAAAATAGGGTCACTGCAGATCTAATTACAAAGAGGTCATATTGGAATAGCGTGGACCTTAAATCGAGTAATAATGGCATTCCTGATGGGGAGAGGAGACAGAGACACACAGGGGAGAAGGTCACATGAGAATGAAGGAAGAGAATGGAATGATGTGGCCACAAGCCAAGGATTGCCAGCAACAACCAGAAGCCAGAAGAGGCAAGGAAGGACTCATCCCTAGAGCCTTCAGAGGGAGCACGGCCCTGCCGTTTCAGACATCAAGCTTCTGGAACTGGAGAGAATGACTTTCTGTTGTCCTGAGCCACCCATTTGGGGAACTTTGTTAGAACAGTCACAGCCAGGTCATGTGCTCCTGAATGCATCTCAGGCATTAATAAGCACTGTCTTGGCCAGTCAGGGTGGCTCACCTCTGTAATTCCAGCACTTTGGGAGGCTGAGGTGGGTAGATCACCTGAGGTCAGGAGTTCGAGACCAGCCTGACCAACATGGAGAAACCCCATCTCTACTAAAAATACAAAAATTAGCTGGGCGTGGTGTTGTGCACCTGTAATCCCAGCTACTTGGGAGGCTGAGGCAAGAGAATCACTTGAACCCTGGAGGCAGAGGTTGCAGTGAGCCGAGATTGTGCCATTGTACTCCAGCCTGGGCAACAAGAGCGAAACTCCGTCTCAAAAAAAATAATAAGTACTGTCTTCACTGTGGTCATCAAAAATATTTGATTAAGGGTTAGCTAGAAAGCCTGACCCTTTCACAGATGGACGGAAGGGCCAAAAGAAAATAGATTGTTTGCAGTGGGGCAAGAAGGATAAGAATCCTATGGAAAAAAAAGAGGGATTTGTTTAGTGAGTGCTGGGGAAAGGCATTTGTTTTCTTGCTTAAAAAAGAAACACAGGTTGGGTGCGGTGGCTCAAGCCTTAATCCCAGCACTGTGGGAGGCCAATGTGGGTGGGTCACCTAAGGTCAGGAGTTCGAGACCAGCCTGGCCAACACCATGAAACCCCATCTCTACTAAAAAGACAAAAACAAAAGAAAGAAAGAAATTAGCCAGGCATGGTGGTGAGCGCCTGTAATCCCAGCTACTTGGGTGGCTGAGACAGAGAATCACTTGAACCTGGGAGGCAGAGGTTGCAGTAAGCCAAGATGGCATCATTGCGCTCCAGCCTAGGCAACAAGAGTGAAACTCTGTCTCAACCCAAAAAAAGAAAGAAGGAAAAAAATCATAGTTTTAAGTCCACTCAGTGGAGTTTAAAAATACATTCTCGTTGCACAGTGCTTTTGGAATCTTTTCTAAACTTCTGTTGCACATGATCTAATTTGATCTTCATAGCAACTCCCTGAGGTGGATAGGGCAGGCCTTTCTGAACACCTATTTTCTAGTTTGCATTAAAAGAACGGAATTGGCTGGGACCAGTGGCTCATGCCTATAATCCCAACACTTTGTGATACAGAAGGGAAGTGCTCAGAAGGGAAGAATGTGGTCCCTTTAAATGATATGGAAGTGAGGAAAGGAAGCAATGGGTAGAGGAGGGTGTGGTCCCTGGCTAGGGCTCCACTCCAGGGCCTGTGCCCACGGACCTAGGTGAGGACAGGCATTTTTGTTTTCCTGCCCAAATGTTGCATTTCCCAAGACCACCCTGGCTGCCACACCCCCATTCTATGCCTATAAAAACCCTGAGACCCTAGCAGGCAGACACATAGGCGGCTGGATTTCGAGAGGAGCACATCAGCGGAGGAACACAAGGGTGCTGGACGTCAAGAGGAACGCACCAATGGGCACCGACACACCGCAGGCCACTGACTGGCAGAACAACGCAGAGTTTGGCTGGGACAGTCAGAGAAGAGTCAGGCCACTCACCCGACTCCAGGGGTAAACCATCTCCCTTCTGGCTCCCCCATCTGCTGAGAGATACTTCCACTCAATAAAACCTTACACTCTCACGCCAGTAATCCCAGCACTTTGGGAGGCTGAGGCGAGCAGATCACGAGGTCAGGAGATCCAGACCATACTGGCTAACACAGTGAAACCCTATCTCTACTAAAAATACAAAAAAATTAGCCAGGCGTGGTGGTGGGTGCCTGTAGTCCCAGCTACTTGGGAGGCTGAGGCAGGAGAATGGCGTCAACCCAGGAGGCGGAGCTTGCAGTGAGCTGAGATCGCACCACGTCCGGTATACCAAGGCAAGAACCCCGGGACAAAGAGAGCCTTCTGTCCTTGCAATAAGGCGGGGGTCTAATTGAGCTGACTAACACAAGCTACCTACAGACGGCTAAACTAAAAGAGCACCCTGTAACACATGCCCACTGGGGCTTCAACTATAAACATTCACCCCTGGACACTGCCGTGGGGCTCCCTGCCTGTCTGCATGCTCCCCTAGAGGTTTGAACAGTGGGGCACTGAATAAATGAACCACACCCGCATCGCATGCCCTTCGAGGGGGACAACGGAACTTTTTCCATTTCATCTGAGAGGCCAAGGCAGGAGGATCGCTTGAGCCCATGAGTTTGAGACCAGCCTACACAACATAGCAAGACCCCATCTCTACAAAAAAAAAAATAAGTAAACAAAAAAAAAGCATTAAAAATTAGCCAGCTGTGGTGGCACACACCTGTAGTCTCAGCTACTCAGGAGGCTGATGTGGAAGGATTGATTGAGCCCAGGAGATTGAGGCTGCAGTGAGCCAAGATTGAACCACTGCACTCCAGCCTGGGCGACAGAGTGACACCCTGTTTCGACAACAACAAAAAGAATGGAACAAAATAACTTCTCAAATAGCTAGCAGAGGCAGATCTGGTTCTCAAATGCAGCTTTTCCAGGTTTCAATTCTTGTTTCTAGCAGTAATATGGAGAAACATGATCACTAATACATGAAGGAGAGGAGGTTTCAAGTTCTGATGAAAAGATGGTAAAGAGAGGAGTTAGTTGACTAGGAGTGACTAGGAATAGGAAGAAAACGCATGACACTACTTAGAGGAAAGAAGAAAAATAAGCATAGAGGTGACTGAGCGGACAGAAAGGACTTGGAAGAAGCGTGTTTGGCCCTGTCTCTAAATTTTTTCCCTTGCATTAGTAACTTCCCTGATGACTTGGATGAATCTTCTCTTCCAGAGTACCCAGTGTTCCCTTTCTGTCCACTTCTCCTTTCCCAGGGCCCATACAGTCTGGGAAAGCATGCTCTGCAGGCTTCTCATATCTTTCCTTCCTTAATCATACCCTAGCATCTCTACATAACCCATATACACCTGGAGTTCCACATGTCCCATCTTTGCACTGCAGTGAATTCAAAGAATAGTAGACTCTAGCTGGGCGCAGGGGCTCACACCTGTAATCCCAGCAATTTGGGAGGCTGAGGCAGGTGGATCACTTGAGCCTAGGAGTTCAAGAGCAGGCCTGGCCAACATGGTGAAACCCCATCTCTACTAAAAATACAAAAATTAGCTGGGCTTGGTGGTACATGCCCTGTAGTCCCAGCTTCTGGGGAGGCTGAGGCAGAAGAATTGCTGGAACCCAGGAGGCAGAGGTTGCAGTGAGCTGAGATCATGCCACTGCACTCCAGCAGCCTGGGCAACAGAGCAAGGCCCAGTCTGAAAAAAAAACAAAGACAAAACTAAACCAAAAAAAAACCAAAAAACAAAAAACGCACACACACACAAAAACAAAGGTAGACTCCAATAGGAAAAATTCACTCAAAAGCAATTCAAATAATTATTCAGTCAACCCAGTTCTATCTCAGTTCTTTATTATATATATAAACTTATTCTGTCCAGATGCCCTAGTTTTCTTTTTCTTATCTTTTTTGTTTTCTTTTGAGACAGGACCTCACTCTGTCACCCAGGCTGGAGTATAGTGGCACAATCATGGCTCACTGCAGCCTCAACCTCCTGGGCTGAAGTAGTTCTCCCACCTCAGCCTCCCAAGTAACTGGGACTACAGGTGCATGCCACCATGCTCAGCAACTTTTTGTATTTTTTGTAGAAACGGGGTCTCACTATGTGGGCCAGGCTGGTCTTGAACTCCTGGACTCAAGAAGTCCACCTGCCTCAACCTCCCAAAGTGCCAAGATTACAAGCATGAGCCACTGCATCTGGTTGATTCCATAGTTTTCTTTTTCTCTTTGCCCATTGCCTGGATTCCATAAGCAGAAGGAAAACCCAGGGGCTGACTTTGTAGGCAAGACTCTTTCCTCTTCAAAACGTAAATTGGCTCAAGTGGTACCAAAACTGAAACATGTTTATAACTTAACATCTTTTCTTCCTACCCCTTCAATCTCTTGAGCAATGAGAAAAGGCACTGGGCTCTTTATTTGTGTAGGGAAAAGAAAGAGAGATCAGACTGTCACTGTGTCTATGTAGAAAGGGAAGACATAAGAGAATCCATTTTGAAAAAGACCTGTACTCTAACAATTGCTTTGCTGAGATGTTGTTCATTTGTAGCTTTGCCCCAGCCACTTTGCCCCAACCACTTTGACCCAACTTGGAGTTCACAAAAACATGTGTTGTATAAAATCAAGGTTTAAGGGATCTAGGGCTGTGCAGGACGTGCCTTGTTAACCAAATGTTTACAAGCAGTATACTTCGTAAAAGTCATTGCCATTCTCTAGTCACAATAAACCAGGGGCACAATGCACCGTGGAAAGCCACAGGGAGCCCTGCCCTTGAAAGAAGGGTATTTTCCAAGGTTTCCCCCCATGTGATAGTCTGAGATATGGCCTCGTGGGATGAGAAAGACCTGACTGTCCCCCAGCCTGACACCTGTAAAGGGTCTGTGCTGAGGCGGATTAGTAAAAGAGGAAAGCCTCTTGCAGTTGAGATGGAGGAAGGCCACTGTCTCCTGCTTGCCCCTGGGAATTGAATGTCTCGGTGTAAACCCGATTGTACATTTGTTCAAGTCTGAGCTAGGAGAAAAGCTGCCCTGTGGCGGGAGGTGAGACATGTTGCAGCAATGCTGCCTCGTTATTCTTTACTCCACTGCGATGTTTGGGTGGAGAGAAACATAAATCTGGCCTACGTGCAAGTCCAGTCATAGTACCTTCCCTTGAACTTAAGTATGATACAGATTCTTTTGCTCACATGTTTTTTATTGACCTTCTCCTTATTATCACCCTGCTCTCCTATTACATTCCTTTTTGCTGAAATAATGAAAATCATAATCAATAAAAACTGAGGGAACTCAGAGGCCAGTGCCCGTGCAAGTCCTGGTCTGCTGAGTGCCGGTCCCCTGGACCCACTGTTGTTTCCCTGTACTTTGTCTCTGTGTCTTATTTCTTTTCTCCATCTCTCATCCCACCCGACTAGAAATACCCACAGGTGTGGAGGGGCAGGCCACCCCTTCAATTTGGTGACAAATAGCCTGTGGCCTCAAGGAACACTGACACCCCGGTAACATCCATTCGAAGAGCTTCTCCATACCTCCCCTCCTTTATCCCCAAGTTCTCTGGGTCAGAGATCACTGAGTCATTCACAACATGATGTTTAACACCGAGATGCTCTGGAATTGCTCCTTCAAGACGACTCAGAAGAAGACCCAGTGCTGAGACAATCGTGTTCTCTCTCTCTCTGGATCACCGCCCAGAGACAAGGACTGCCAGAGACCCTGGCTTCCCCAGCTGCTGCCTCCCATTCCTGCACCTGTGGGATGAGAGTTCGAAGCTGTGTGACTTTGACCAAGTTACTTACCCTCTCTAAGCATATGTTTCCCTAAATGTGAAATAGGGATGATGGTGATGTGTTTATTTCACAGATTTGATAGAAGGATTAAATGAGAGATGCATCAAAAGCAGTGGGCACAGGGTCAATGCTCAGTGAGCTTTCTCTTTTCTTATCAATAGACAGGTCTCCATGAGGACAGAGACTGGCTTCATCTAGACTGTAGCCTCAGGGCTGGCCACAGTGTCTGTACCCAGCAGGACTTCAGTAAATATCTGTTTATACACTAACCACAGACTTAGGCATAAAAGCCCTTTGGAAGAAAGTTGACCATTTCATGCACCTTCAGACTATGAAGAGCAGTGATGACAACTTTAGCTCGAGAGGGTCTCAGTGCCCATTCATCACCACTGTGAAAAGGCAGAAACCAGAGCTGTGTGTTTAACTCCCAGCCCCAAAACCTGTTGGCTTTGCTTTATCACTATGAACTTCCAATGCCATCCCTTTAGAATGGGACCTCTCTCTTCTTCCCCAAGGCACCAGCCTTCACCCCAGACCTCTCCTTATTAGCTGGTTCCTCCTGTCTGTACTCTGAGCCCATGCTGTGCTCATCAGATAGCAACATGGGAGAAAACAGCAGCCCAGAATGCAGGCTGCAGAGTTAGATCCCCAGAACAGGATCTCAGCCAGCTCCATCCTTCCTCAGCTGGGTGACCATGGCCATTGACCTCCTTTCTGTGCCTCAGTTGCTCCATCTGTGAAATGACGATTGTCATAGTCCCTGCTTCAAAGAGTCACTGGGAGGATTAACTGAGAAAATGCAGGGAAGGTGCTTGGAACTAAATGCTCAAAAAAAGTGCATCTGGCCAGGCACGGTGTCTCACGCCTGTAATCCCAGCACTTCGGGAGACCGAGCCAGGTGGATCACTTGAGGTCAGGAATTCAAGAGCAGCCTGGTCAACATGGCAAAACCCCGACTCTACTAAAAATACAAAAATTAGCCAGGCATGGTGGCAGGCACCTGTAATCCCAACTACTTGAGAGGCTGAGGCATGAGAATCTCTTGAACCTGGGAGGCAGAGGTTGCAGTGAGCCGAGATGGTGCCACTGCACTCCAGCCTGGGCAACAAGAGCAAAACTCTGTCTCAAAAAAAAAAAAAAAAAAGTCCATCATTCTTATTAATGGAGGACAAATCATCTCAGTGCTTCTTTGGCTGATCAGTACCCTCAAAGCTAGTGTTATCCAATAGACCAGAGGTTCCCAACCCCCAGACCACAGACCAGTAGTGGTCTGTGGCCTGTTAGGAACTGGGCTGCACAGAAGGAGGTGAGCAGTGAGCTAATGAGTGAAGCTTCATCTGTATTTACAGCTGATCCCCCTGGCTGAGCTCTGTCTCCTATCAGATCAGCAGTGGCATTAGATTCTGATAGGAGCACCAACCCTATTGTAAACTGCATGTGGAAGGGATCTAGGTTGTGTGCTCCTTATGAGAATCTAATGCCTGATGATCTGTCACCGTCTCCCACCACCCGGAGATGGGATTATCTAGTTGCAGGAAAACAAGCTCAGGGCTCCCACTGATTCTACATTATGGTGAGTTGTATAAGGATTTCATTATATATTATAATGTTCATAACAATAGAAATAAAGTACACAGTAAATGTAACACACTTGAATCATACTGAAACTTCCCCCCACAAATACATGGAAACTGGTCTTTGGTGCTAAAAAAAAAATTGGGGGTCACTGCAATAGACTATTCAGTCATGGTCCAATCAAACATTCTGCAATGGCGGGCTTGCTCTACTCTGCACTGTCCAACATGGGAGCTGCTAGCCACCCACATGGGCTGTTGAGCCCTTGAAATGTGGCTGGTGAGAATGAAGAACTGAATTTTCAATTTTCTCTTAACTATTTTTTTTTTTTTTCAGACAGAGTCTCACTCTATCCTCCAGGCTGGAGTGCAGTGGTGCAATCTCGTCTCACTGCAACCTCCATCTCCGGGGTTCAAGCAATTCTCCTGCCTCAGCCTCCTGAGTAGCCAGGATTACAGGAACCCGCCATCATGCCCGGCTAATTTTTGTATTTTTGTAGAGACGAGATTTCACCATGTTGGCCAGGCTGATCTTGAACGCCTGACCTCAGGTGATCTGCCCAACTTGGCCTCCCAAAATGCTGGGATTACAGGTGTGTCACCATGCCCGGCCTTAATTCATTTCTAAATCACAAAATCTAAACAAGTGGATAGGAGCTACCATAGTGTACAAGGCAGCTGTAGAATCACAGGAAATTGTCAATGACCCTGTCCTGCTTCAAGTTGACTTTTCCCCCTCATGGTGACACTCTAGATTCTTTCCTCTTCTCTCACATTTTTTAGGTTTTCAGGCTTAAACCATGAAAAGAAGTTCTGTCCTTCCAAGAAAATAACGTTCATAATACCTACTGTATACCAGGCTGATTTCAGTGCTTTACATGTATTAATTTACAACAACTCTGAGGCAGGAGCTGTGATTATGCCCGTTTAACAGATGACAAAACTGAGGCACAAAGTGGTGCTGGAACTTCTCAAAGTCACACAGGTTGCAGGAGGCAGAACTCGGATTTGAACTCACTTTGGGTTCAGCAACTCACAGCTCTCACCTATGACATAATATTACTTCGGTGGTCAAAACACTTAGACCTGGATTTCACAGGAATCTTGTGCTTGCCTGGCTGCTAGGGAGGTTTTCATCATCTTCCTTATCTCACAGTTCAAAACCCAGGGCCTCTCCATGCTCTTGCTGTGGTGGCCGTTCACTGGCAGGAGGCTTCTGGGAAGGTTCTCCTTTTCTGTCATTTTTCTTGTTCGTGTTTTTTTGTCTCATTGGTGTTTATCTGCAGAATTTTGTTTCCTTCTGCTCAATTCATAATCAGAGTGCTTTTCCTCTTGGCTGAATTCATAAGTGTTTATGCAAAAAGAGGTTGGGCACAGAGCCAGGCGACTGACGACACCCGGCTCGTCTGGCAAGTGGATATCAAATTGTTGTATCTCGTTCTGCCATTCACAGCTCCTGCTGTGGGGCTGGGCCATCTGCCAGCTCTGCAAGGAGCTGGCGGGAAACCGCTGCAATCAGAGCGAACCCACGGCCCGGGTCAGCCCGCCTCGGCACAGCACTCCAGCTGGCCCCCAGTGCCTTATGGGGACACATCTGCATAGCCAGACAGGGCTGTGGGAGGGCCGCCTGCCTCCTGTCCATCACAAGAAAACCTACCCTTGTCCTGCGTCCCTTCCAGGCAGCCTATGTGGAGATTGCTGCATTCACCTTTAATATGGCTAAAATTTTTCCTTCAATGACAGTAATGCTGCTAGAACCCATCAAGATACCCAGGGACTGATGTCCCTTGGCAGATGACGCTGGAAAGAAGGGATTCCCGGCAGCCTTTGCATCCCTTGCTTACAGCCCACGAGCGCCTCCACCGTCCAGCAAGGCTTCTCTCACGGTCAGGGCAGAAAGAGAGAGAGTCTATCTGGAACAGGCTCCGATTTTAAATGAGTGTCCCCGATAATTCAACATGATCGATGGCTGAGGTATTTCACCAAGTTCAGGAGTCCCAGTTCTCAGAGAGAGGCAGCCAGCCATGACTGTAAGACCTGGGCAAACCATACAAACGAGAGGGCAGGTCTCACCCCTCCCCAGAGAGCTCCAGAGAGTATCAAAGAGTGAACCAGCAGAGGGATGGTCTGGGTGGGGTCATCGTGGCAGGCAAGGGTCTGTGACAGCACCTTGTTAGGCTACCCCCAAGAGGAAATTTGGAGAGAGGGTGGGAGGGCAGCTCTCAGTGCAAGCCAAGTCTCCTGGAAAATCACTTTCAAACTTTGGAGGATTGTGAGCAAGATGGGACCAGCAACTTCTACCTAAAAGATTGTTAATAGCAAGATAACTCATCCTAATGTTGGTCCAAGCTAGGTCTTTATTATGCATCATAAAGGCTCTGAGAATAACAATGTAACCTCCAAAAGGGCTGCTGGCTTTGAGGAATCTCAGGCAACTCGCTTCCTTCTGCTCAGTGACTCCCCTGGAGCACAGCAAAGCAAGGAAACACTTAGAGCGAAGCTTGAGTTCTGAATTTCAAACATCTCTTTCTACCCAATTGTTCCCTAGAATCAGTAACTAACTCCTTCCCCTTAACGGCACGTACTTCCTACCAAAGCACAAGCGCGATGGGCTGTCCATGAGCCTCCCCCAAACATGTGTACCTTGTGACATAAATTCTGTCAGCCAAAGAGACCAGACAAAATGCAAAACCAAAGTGGAGCCTTTCCTTGAATTATAGGTTCTAAAGAGTTTTGGACTCTCTGCAAAACCCAACAGTTAGGAATTGCCTGTAAGAAGCACCAGCCCTTGTTTTAAGGAGGCAATTTAAGAATAATAGCCATGCTGATGCCACACTACGCTAAGGGAGAATAATGAACCTAATAAAACTAGCGCTTTTCCAATTGCTTTTGCTGCTGGAAACACTGATTATGCTAATTAAAGGGTAGAATAGTAAATACCCACTCTTTTGCATCCAATTAAGTGTTCAGATTATTTCTCAGAAGTGTTTGTTGAAAATAGCACTTCTGATAATCATGGGTCCCACATAAACAGTCAATTGTGGTGTGGTACATGTGTGAGAGTGTGTGTGTGTGTGTGTGTGTGTGTATGTGCACACATGTGTCTTTCTGGAGCTCATTTTATGGAGATCCCGCATAGCTCCCCAAATTCCTATGAGACCAAATAAGAAAAATCACAGTTTCCTAAGACTACAGCTTGGGATATCTTTGGAAAAGGTGTGTATTGAGAACACAGCATACGGAAACTATTTCACATTGGCAATATCTGTGATTTAACATTGCAAACATCAGAAATACAACTGGTTCTTCAGAACCACCTAAGTCCCTCATAATGGCAATATTAGCTTCTTCTAAATAATAAATTAGCCAGTCAAACTATGTTCTACAGCATGTTAGAAGTTTCATCCTTCTAGTCAAAGTCACATTTCAAGGCAAAGTCGATTTATATGTAAGTTAACAGAAGTGCTGTCACTAAAAATTGAGAATTATGACTAATGCCAATCAGAAATGGAATAAATCAGTATTAGAGGATTTGCAAGTGAAAGCAACCAAAGAAATGCTATTATCAGGAAGGAAAATGTATTACCTGCAGAGGTTACAGATAAGACGCTAGAACCCAGAAGAGAAAGAATCTCTGTAAATATTTCCATTAAGTTAATCAAGAGTGGCTGGTTACGGTGGCTCATGCCTGTAATCCCAGGACTTTGGGAGGCCAAAGCGGGCAGATCACGAGGTCAGGAGTTCGAGACCAGCCTGGCCAACATGGTGAAACCCTGTCTGTATTAAAAATACAAAAAATTAGCTGGTCGTGGTGGTGTGCACCTGTAATCCCAGCTACCCGGGAGGCTGAGGCAGGAGAATTGCTTTAATCCAAAAGGCAGAGGTTGCATCGAGCCGAGATCGCACCATTGTACTCCAGCCTGGGTGACAGATCATGGCTCCATTTTGAAAAAAAAAAAAAAAGAAAGAAAGAAAGTTAATCAGGAGTGAGAATAGGATGAGCTTTTCACCCACAAAAGGAGATGAGATTCACGCATTCTTTCAACATGCATTCCATCAATAGTGAGCAACTGCTCTGAGCTAGGCCCGTTCTAGGTCCCAGGAAATGGGTAACCAACCAGACATGGCCCCTGATTTGGAGTTCACATTTTAAAGCAGCTAAATGGGCAGTAAAGAAGTAAGCAAATTAAGATCATCTTAAATTGGGGGAAGTTCTTTAGAGAAGCACTTCCACAAAGCTGAATCGCATCATTGACTATGACTGCCAGGTGGTAGGGAAGGTAATATCTCACCTGCCTGTGGATAGCAGAGCTTCTGAGGCCTTGCAAAGTATCTAGTACTAAGATATCTGTCTTAGGTCAAGTTCCCTAAAAACAGAGCCTGAGGCAGGGATTGAGTGCATGTAATTTATTCAGGACTCTCAGGAGATAGGAGTAAGGAAAACAAGATATGGCAGGGAAGGAGCTAAGTGAGATGTGGTCTCAGCTGGAGACTGGCTCCAGTCTGATCTCACAGGGAGCTCCAGAGGATGAACTGCACCACCATGTTATCCCAGCCTGAGATCTTTTGTTCTCCTGTGTCAGCCGGTCCCTGGCCAAGGGCTGCAGACTCTCTTGGGGACCCAGCAGACTGGAGGAGAAGGAGCATGGTCTGTGGTCTACTCTTTTGTGCATACCCACCCACCTCTTCCCCAGCTGACACTGCTGGAGGAGGAGAGGGAGAGATGTCATCTCCTCTTATGGCAACCTGTGGGATAGCAATGGCCCTTTTCCTGTTGGGTGTAATCTGCTGCCATCTCTTGCTGTCTGCAGCCTGACACAGAAGGGTGAAGGTCACCAGGTTGCACTGACAGTGGTCTTTGTCTCAAGCAGCAACCCTAGGACCGCGGCTCCCTTGCAAGATTCAGCCATATCTCATGACTCTCTGCAACACACCCCATGCCTCTGATGGAAGGAACACAATGCCCCATGCTGCACCCATTTCTGCCAGGCTGGGGTCCCTGATCTCAATTTTCCTCTGCAGTCCCCAACTCTGGGTTCTGCAGACACATTTCACATCCATCCTTAGTACCTCCCAGGAGGCAGAAGCCGGAGGAAATAATCCTTGCCCCAATGCACCTGACCGTGCCACTTCACTGTATGCTCTTTCTCCCTCTCCAGGAAAAATCAAGCTTGTTGAATACGTACCAATGTGCCCACATGCATTTAGTCCCCACAACCACTTCATGGGGCAACATTATCATCCCCAAGTTACAGATGAGGAAACTGAGGACAGCATTTATATAACATGCATCTAAGTGGTGGAGAAAGGATCTAACCAGGCAGTGCGGCACCAGAGCACACTTTTTTGTTCTTTAGGGAGATGGGGTCTCTCTCTGTCCCTCAAACTGGAGTGCAGTGGCCTGATCATAGCTCACTGCAGCCTTGAACTCCCGGGCTCCAGCAATCTTCCTGCCTCAGCCTCCCGAGTAGCTGAGACTACAGGCATTCACCACCAACGCAGCTAATTTTTAAAAAGCATTTTTCTAGAGATAGGGTCTGATCCCAAACTCCTGACTTCAAGCGATCTTCCTGCCTCAGCCTCCCAAAGTGCTGGGATTACAGTCATAAGCCTCCGCGCCCAGCCCAGAGCACACTTTTTTTTTTTTTTATACGGAGTCTCACTCTGTCACCCAGGCTGGAGTTCGGTGGCAAGATCTCGGCCCAGAGCACACTTTTAACCACCATATCATTATGCCTCTGGGTAGGTCAGTCAAGCTCTGTAGCTGATCAGATGTCTGTAGAGAGAAGGAGACATCGGTCTCCCCTTCTTCCAAACACCCCCGAATTTTACAAGTGATTTTCTCAGATCCCTCAGCATCAGGAATGGGGATGAGCAGGGCAGCCTGTCCCCTTCCCAACAGCCCAGCAGATATCCGAAGATTACATCTCATTGGCTCTGACTAGGACATGAGCCCAAAGCTGAACCAGTTGCTGTAGCCATGGCATGCAGCATCCTCTGTCCTCTGGCCAGGCCAGAGCCACATCCCACCTCTGGATCCTCGAGTTGAGTGAATACATCTTGAACCAGGCACGGACTGAAGCTCAAGGGGGAGTCAGAGTAATGTGACCCAGCCCAGCATGTAGTGGGTGCTGAGCAGGCAAGCATTCATCACCCACTGCACACACCAGGGAAGGCTTGTGGTGGCTTAGTCCCACCTGGGGGCAAAGGAAAGAGTGCCTGCTCCGTGCCAAAATGTGATGCCCCACACTGTATCTTAAAGCTAGCTGGCTTTGTAATCCCAGCTACTTGGGAGGCTGAGGCAGGAGAATCACTTGAATCCAGGAGGCAGAGGTTGCAGTGAGCCAAGATCACGCCATTGCACTCCAGCCTGGGTGACAAGAAAGAAATTCTCTCTCAAAAAAAAAAAAAAAAAAAGCTAGTCGACTTAATCCTCGCAAAGATGCCATCTACTTTTTGGCATTCTACAGGTAGAAACACTGAGACACTGGAAAATTTAAAAACTCACAACCAGCCGGGTGCAGTGTCTCTTGCGTGTAATCCCAGCAGTTTGAGAGGCTGAGGCAGGAGAATCACTTAAACCCAGGAGTTCAGGACAAGCCTGGGCAAATTAGCGAGACCTCATCTCTACAAAGACTAAAAAAAAAAAAAAAAAAAAAAAAATTAGGGCTAGGCGCGGTGGCTCACACATGTAATCCCAGCACTTTGGGAGGTCAAGGCAGGTGGATCACTTCAGCCCAGGGGTTCGAAACCAGCCTGGCCATCACGACAAAACTCTATCTCAATTAAAAATGCAAAACTTAGCTGAGCATAGTGGCACGTGTCTATAATCCCAGCTACTTGGGAGGCTGAGGCAAAAGAATTGCTTGAACCCAGGAGTCAGAAGTTGCAGTGAGCTGAGATCGTGCCACTGCACTCCAGCCTAGGTGAGAGAGTGACACCGTGTCTCAAAAAAATATATATATATAGGTATGGTGGTACATGCCTGTGGCCCCAGCTACTCAAGAGGCTGAGGTAGGAGGATCGCTTAAGCCCAGGAGTTCAAGGGTGCAATGAGCTATGATTGTACCACTGCACCACTATATATACACATATATATATGTATATGTATATAGGTATGTCTATATATACACATATATATACATGTATATGTATGTATATATATGTGTATATATATAAAAAACACACATGCACAGATTCACCACCAACAACTCAGAAATTACCGTCTCCCTCTATTCTAAGGAATTATTTTTCATTTTGCCATCTCTGAAGTTGTAATACACCTTACAATCACTGGAATGTCACAGTCTCGTTGGCGGCATTTTTCTGCTTAGTAGCCCATAAAATAATAGTACATCTTGTAACTAACAGTGTTGTAGATGCTATGAGATCCTGGGGAATCCCAGAATCTAACTCCACCCTGTCTGACTCCAAAGACCACATATTTTCTATGTCTTTGGACTGGGGCACAGATGTAGACAACTCGAGCTTTGCTGATTGTGAGAAAGGTATGAGAAATGGCCCTGATGGAATTTTCTTATTGTACGTGAAGGGGAAGAAAGCAGCATCATCCCACTATTCCAGGGGAGGTGCTAAATACGAGGGTGAGGCTGTCAAGCGGTCCCTGGTGGAGTCCTACACTCACCAAAATAACAACGAGACAGAGCAGAGGGAGAACATCGATACCGTCATGAACTGCTTCACCAAGGAAGACTTTGACTTTGTGACTCTGTACTACAGACAGCCAGATAACGTAGGACATCGATTCAAGCCAGAGGCAGAGAATAGGAAGTTGATGATTCAGCAACTCGACAGGACCATCTGGTATCTGGTGGGAGCCACTGAGAAGCACAGCCTGCAGAGCACCTCAGGTCATCATCACATGAGACCATGGGATGATGACCGTGAAGAAGAGACCCAATGTCAACAAGATCCCTTGTCCAACTACATCAAGTTCAGGGACTGGGTCAAGTTTGATATTGTGGGCTATGGTGGCTTTGGGCTGCCCCTACCCAAACTGGGGCAAGAAGAAGCCCTTTACCAGGCACTGAAGAATGCGCACCCTCACCTCCACATCTACAAGAAGGAGGAGTTTCCAGAACACTTCCATCTCGCTAAACATGACCGGGTTCTGCCAATCGTGATGTATGCCAACTCTAGTTACAGTATCAATGGGATAAGTTCATTCTAAAATGAATAAAGTCACCTTGGATCTAGGAGACAACCATTAGGGAAGGGTGGTTCTGCAAAAATCAAACATGAGTGCACAGCCAGGCACAGTGGCTCACGCCTATAATCCCAGCACTTTGGGAGGCTGAGGCAGGTATATCACCTGAGGTCAGGAGTTTGAGACCAGCCTGGCCAACATGGTGAAACCCCATCTGTACTAAAAATACAAAACTTAGCCGGGCGTGGTGGCGTGCATCTGTAGTTCCAGCTACTCTGGAGGCTGAGGCAGGAGAATAGCTTGAACCTGGGAGGCAGAGGTTGCAGTGAGCCAAGATCATGCTACTGCACTCCAGTCTGGGCAACAGAGTGAGACCCTGTCTCAAAAAAATATAACATAATATAATAAAACAAAATAAAATAAGTGCACACACTACGAGTTGTAGCCCACAGGGTCCTAAATGTTCCCCACCCCCCGCCCAACCAATGCTGCCCCAAATTACCATTATACAAGATTAATGACCAATTCAACTGGACAAGGCTGATTTAAAAATAAAAATAAGGCTGGCCATGGTGGTTCACACCTGTAATCTCAGTGCTTTGGGAGGCCAAGACAGGAGGACTGCTTAAGGCCAGGAGTTCAAGACCAGCCCGGGCAACATAGGGAGACCCCATCTCTACAAAAAACAAACAAATAAATAAATAGCCAGACATGGCAATGCATGCCTGCAGTCCCAGCTACTCAGGAGGCTGAGGTGGCAGGATTTCTTGAGCCCAGGAGGTCAAGGCTGCAGTAAGCTGTGATTGCACCACTGCACTCCAGCTTGAGCAACAGAGCAAGACCCAGTCTCTAAAAAATAAATAAACAATAAAAATAAACAGCAACTTCATTATTCAAAATTGTGCATAGCGCTTCACTAAACATTGAATAGCCGTTCTTTCATTTTGCCTTCCCAACAACCCTATAAAATAGATGCTCTTAGTTCCAACATTTTAAAGAAGAAATCAAAACCTAGAGAAGTGACTTGAGATTAAAAATGTAAGCTTGGGCTGGGTGCAGCGGCTCACACCTGTAATCCCAGCACTTTAGAAGGCTAAGGTAGATAGATTGCTTGAGCCCAGGAGTTTGAGACCAGCCTAGGCAACACAGTGAAACACCATCTCTACAAAAAATGCAAAAAACTGTAGCTGGGCGTAATGGCACGTGCCTGTGGTCCCAGCAACTCAGGAGGCTGAGGTGGGAGAATTGCTTGAGCCCGGGGGTGTTGAGGCTGCAGTGAGCCATGATCACGCCACTGTGAGATAGGAGGCAGGACTTGACTCCACAGGCAGGGCTTGGACAGCAGACCAAATTGAGGACTAGCTAAAACAGGGCTGGGGCAGAAGCAGCTTTCCATCAGACATGCCCACCAGTGTGCCATGTGAGTTTACTATTGCCATGGCAACACCCAGGAGTTCCTGCCCCTTTCCATGACAATGACCCAATGACTCAAAAGTTACTACCAATTTTCTAGAAATTCCTGCATAGACTGCCCTTTAATCTGCATGCAATTAAAAGTGGGTATAAATGTGATTGCAAGCTCTCTACCGCTACTCTCTGCCTCCAGGGTAGCCCTGCCCTACAGGAGCAGTCACAGGGCTGTAACGCTGCCTCTTCAATAAAGCTGTCTTCTTCTATACCTCCAGCTTGCCCTTGAATTCTTTCCTGAGCAAAGGCAAGAACCCTCATGTGCTATTGAGAGGTGACAGCGTTCTGGCAGCCCTGGAGCTCACTCTTGGTGCCTCCTCTGCCTGGGCTCCCAGTTTGGCAGCACTTGAGGAGCCCTTCAGCCCACCACTGTACTGTGGGAGCCCCTTCCTGGGATGGCCGAGGCTGGAGGCATCTCCCTCAGCTTGCGGGGAGGTGTAGAGGGAGAGGCGCAGGAGGGAACAGGGGCTGGGCACCGCACTTGCGGGCCAGCGCGAGTGCCGGGTGGGCATGGGCTCGGCAGGCCCCGCACTCGGAGCGGCCAGCCAGCCCCGCCGGCCCTGGGCAGTGAGGGGCTTAGCACCTGGGCCAGCAGCTGCTGTGCTGGATTTCTCACCGGGCCTTAGCTGCCTCTCCGCAGGGCAGGGCTTGGGACTTGCAGCCCACCATGCCTGAGCCTCCCCGCTACCGGCCGCGGGATCCTGCATGGCCCGAGCCTCCCCAGTGAGCACCACCCCCTGCTCCACAGCGCCCAGTCCCATCAACCACCCAAGGGCTGAGCAGTGCCGGCGCTGGACGCGGGACTGGCAGGTAGCTCCACCTGTGGCCCCAGTGCAGGATCCACTTGGTGAAGCCAGCTGGGCTCCTGAGTCTGGTGGGGACTTGAAGAACCTTTATGTCTAGCTGAGGGATTGTAAATACACCAATCGGCACTCTGTATCTAGCTCAAGGTTTGTAAACACACCAATCAGCACCCTGTGTCTAGCTCAGGGTTTGTGAATGCACCAATGGACACTCTCTATCTAGCTAACCTAGTAGGGACTTGGAGAACTTTTGTGTCTATCTCAGGGATTGTAAATGCACCAATCAGCACCCTGTCAAAACGGACTAATCAGCTCTCTGTAAAACAGACCAATCAGCTCTCTGTAAAATGGACCAATCAGCAGGATGTGGGTGGGGCCAGATAAGAGAATAAAAGCAAGTTGCCCCAGCCAGCAGTGGTAACCCGCTGGGGTCCCTTTCCACACTGTGGAAGCTTTGTTCTTTTGCTCTTTGCAATAAATCTTGCTGCTGCTGACTCTTTGGGTCCACACTGCCTTTATGAGCTGTAACACTCACCTTGAAGGTCTGCAGCTTCACTCCTGAAGCCAGTGAGACTATGAACCCACTGGGAGGAACAAACAACTCCAGACACGCAGCCTTAAGAGCTGTGACGCTCACCGCGAGGGTCCGTGGCTTCATTCTTGAAGTCAGTGAG
The DNA here is from genome assembly GCF_000001405.40 of Homo sapiens. Lineage (NCBI taxonomy): Eukaryota > Metazoa > Chordata > Mammalia > Primates > Hominidae > Homo > Homo sapiens. The sequence continues at coordinate 67,816,965 of NC_000011.10, read as the reverse complement.
ACCAAGAACCCACCAGTTCTGGATACACTATGCTCCACTTGGGGGCTCCCCTGCCCTGCCCTGCATCAACTGCGCTCTGGCCTGGGTGGCAGAGAGAGAAACCCTATCTTAAGAAAAAGAAAGAAATGTAAGGTTAAGTGCTGCCCCCAAGCCTGCGTGGCTGATCATTATACAGAGTACACAAAGATCACCAAAAAATTCACCACAAAGGCCTCCCGCCACTAGTTCTCATTTGCCCATATCAAAAAATATGCAAGCCTGTTCATACAAAGACACACACAGATGCTCGTAGCAAAATTATTCATAATTGTCAAAAGGTGGCAACAACACAAATGCCTATCAACAACAGATGAATGGGCAAACCAGTAGAGTCTACCCGTGTGATGGAACATTAATCAGCCAAAATGTGGAATGACGGGCTGATTCATGCTACAACCTGGATACACTTTGAAACCATTAGGCTAAGTGAAAGAAGCCAGACAAATAGTAGATGATTCTATTATATATATATATATACACACACACACACACACACACACACACACACACACACATATATATGCCCAGAATATGAAAATCCAAAGAAACAAAGTAGATTAATGGTTGCCAGGAGCCAGGGGTGTGGATAGTCAGGGGGAAATAAGGGGTGACTGCTAATGGCTACAGGGTCTCTTCTGGGGTAATTAAAATTTCTAAAACTGATGGTGGTGATGGCTGCACAACTCTGTGAATATATTAAAAACCACTGAATTATACACTTTATTTATTTATTTAGAGACAGGGTCTGGCTCTGTTGCCGAGGATGGAGGGCAGTGGTGCAGTCTCAACTCACTGCACCCTCCACCTCCCGGGCTCAAACCATCCTCCCACTTCAGCCTCCTGAGTAGCTGGGACTACAGACACACCCACCATGCCCAGCTAATTTTTTGTAATTTTGGTTGAGACAGGGTTTTGCCATGTTGCTCGGGCTCATCTCAAACTCTTGGGTTCAAGCGATCCTCCCACCTCAGCCTCCCAAAGTGCTGGGATTACAAGTGTGAGCCACCATGCCCAGCCAAATTGTACACTTCAAATGGGTAACTTGTATGGTATGTGAATTATCTTTCAGTAAGGCTGTTATTAAAAAGCAGCTTTAAGGGCCAGGCATAAGGGCCATGCCTGTAATCCCAGCACTTTGAGAGGCCAAAGCAGGAGGATCACTTGAGCCCAGGATTTCAAGACCAGCCTAGACAATATGGCAAAACCTGGTCTCTACAAAAAATTTAAAAATTAGGCTTGGCATGGTGGCTCACGCCTGTAATCCCAGCACTTTGGGAGGCCGAGGTAGGTGGATCACTTGAGGTCAGGAGTTCAAGACCAGCCTGGCCAACATGGTGAAACCCTGTCGCTACTAAAAATATTTTTTAAAAATTAGCCAGGCATGGTGGTGGGTGCCGAGGCTGAGGCAGGAGAGTCGCTTGAACCTGAGAGGTGGAGGTTGCAGTGAGCCGAGATTACCCCTCTGCACTCCAACCTGCTGGGCGACAGAGCGAAACTCCATTTCAAAAAAAAAAAAAAATTAAAAATTAGCCAGCAGTGGTGGCTCGTGTTTGTAGTCCCAGCTACTCAGGAGGCTAAAGTGGGAGGATTGCTTGAGCCCAGGTGGTTGAGGCTGCAGTGAGCCAAGATTGTATCACTGCACTCTGGCGTCAGCAACAGAACAAGACCCTGTTTCACAATTTTAAAAACAATTAAAAGACAAGCCTAAAGAAAACACAAAAACCAATGCTAACTGTGAGACATAAATGAGGTGGTCTATTTTTTGTTAACTACCAACTAACAATTCATGCCAGAAACAAAGTTGAAATGATGCTATAGCCGGGCACCATGGCTCATGCCAGTAATCCCAACACTTTGGGAGGCTGAGGGGGGTGGATCACCTGAGGTCAGGAGTTTGAGACCAGCCCGGTCAACATGGTGAAACGCCGTCTCTACTAAAAATACAAAAATTAGCCAGGCGTGGTAGCGGGTGCCTATAATCCCAGCTACTCAGGAGGCTGAGGCAGGAGAATCGCTTGAACCCCGGGGGGACGGAGGTTGCAGTGAGCCAAGATCGTACCATTGCACTCCAGCCTGGGCGACAGAGCAAAACTCCATCTCAAAAAATAAATAAATAATTACATAAATGATGCTATAAACCTCATGTGAGGGAAGACTGCCCCAGGTAGAGCTTGAAGAACCCTTGCTGTGAATAGGAGCCAAATGTGATAATTATGTTTGCAACTTGCTTCATGTTAGCTTGTTGCAATTCCAGGGTGTAACAGGTATGAGAAAACTCTTGGGGTTACTGTTTAGTGTTGGTGGAAATATTCACATTAAAATACAACAGTTTATCACCTTAGGTATATTTTATCCCTCAAGTGGCCCGGAACACTGTGATTACTGCACACCAATCGCGCGCCCATAGCTAAGGCCTTGCCAGGGAGAAATTCCACAGTCACCTGGCCTATTTGTAAACCTGGTTTATGATGTTTTGTAACAGGATATCTTGACAGTAGCATGAGGACATTTAACGAGACAAGAACATTCCCCACTGACCAACCAGATAGTTTGAGGGAACAGGATGCTGTGCTCAGTTTAATCTTCTGCTGAACCGACCATTAGGCAGAAAAATCCTTTGGGTCAATGCCTCTCACTGAATCCACTTCTCATCATGTCCACCTGCCTGCTTTGCAGTGCAGAGTAAAGTGGGCCTTCCTTGACTCTCTTCAGGGACCAAAGTGCTTGAGGCCATCATGAGGACATTCATTCTTTTTTTTTTTTTTTTTTTTGAGAGAGTCTCGCTCTGTCTCCCAGGCTGGAATGCAGTGGTGTGATCTCAGCTCCCCACCGCAACCTCTGCCTCCCAGGTTTAAGTGATTCTCCTGCCTCAGCCTCCTGAGTAGTTGGGATTACAGGCATGCATCACCAGGCCCAGCTAATTTTTCTATTTTCTGTAGAGACAGGGTTTCACCATGTTGGCCATGCTGGTGTTGAACTCGTGACTTCATGTGATCCACCTGCCTCGGCCTCCCAAAGCGCTGGTATTACAGGTGTGAGCCAACGTGCCTGGCCGAGGGCTTTCATTCTTGATGGACTGCTCCATAGCCTCAGAGACAGTTGGACTGGTTTCTTCAACCAGAGCGGAGCAGACAGGCAATTTCTGTATCCACCAGGCCAAATATTAGACCAACTCTTCAATGTACAGAGAACATCACATTTCTTATATGCTAGAATATCTGTTGGTCTAAAATATAAATAAATAGTATTGCAGCCAGCCACAGTGGCTCATGCCTATAATTTCAGAGCTTTGTGGGGTTGAGGCAGGAGGTTCACTTGAGGTCAAGTGTTTGAGACCAGCCTGGGCAACATAGCAAAACCGCCCACCCCTCACCACCACCTGCCATCTCTACAAAAATTAAAATAATTAGCTTGGCATGGTAGTGTGGGCCTGTTGTCCCAATTACTTGGGAAGCTGATGTGGATGGATTGCTTGAGCCCAGGAATTTGAGGCTGCAGTGGGCTGTGACTGCATCACTGTACTCCAGCTAGACCTTGTCTCAAAAAAAAAAAAAAAAGTGTTGCAATTGACATTACTTTATCATTTGAAAAGAGGGACAGACAAGAAAGGTATTTGGCATTTACCAAGCAATTACCCAGAATCCTCATCCCATCCTACCCCCACCCTTCCCCTAAAAATGTATGTATGTGTATTTATACCATAAAAAATACATCTATTTGGCTCTGGAACCAGATTGCTTGGGTTCCGTTACCTGATCTAGCATTTGCTCCTGTTGACTCAGTGCAGACAATCTCTGTAACTCAGTTTCCCCAGCTGTAAAATGGGGAATGGCGCCTTTACTGGGCTGCCATGAGGGTAAAGGAGGGAACGTATATTTATGAAGCATTCAGGACAATTCATGATACATAGTAAGCTCTATATATTTGAGCTTATTATTACTGTCAGTACGATTATCATCATCTCGCTGTTTCCAATGGGTACGCTTTCTACATTCTCTTTCTTAAAGACCTTTAAATCCTTGGTATTCTCTCCACCACCACAGAGAGCAGTGTCCTTGTAGTTTAAATTCTCAAAGACTTCATGGATCCAACAAGCATGACATTAACTAACGGACAGTTTTCTTTCAGCGGATTGGAATCTAAAATGGCTTTTTTATTTTTATTATTTTTCAGAGAATTATAATGTGTTTCAACAAAGGCAGCCATGGCTTTGATAATGTCCTCATGGATATGAAGACCATATTCAGAGATTTCGGGCCAGATTTCAAGAGGAATGGCCTGGCCGAGACTTTTAACAGCATCCACATCTACCCCTTCGTGTGTAAGCTCCTGGGAGTCACCCCCAAACCCACAACGGCTCCCTGGCAGTCACCCAGGAAATGCTCGTGAACTCTTATGACCAGCAGCCAGGTGAGACACAAAAGCAGCTGCCAGAAAACTGCCAGCAGAGTCTGCTCTGTCCTGAGATAGAAAAGAATCAAAAAGGGGTCTCATGGTGGGGAGGAGGGAATTCAAGCAGAACACTCCTGTTTCCCAGCAGCTTCGGAGCCCCAGGAACATGATGCCAACAGCTCCAAACAGATAGCACGGGAGGTAGGGAATCCCTCGACCTGCTGGTAACATTTGACATAGTGCCTTTTAGGCAAAGGGAAGGTGCTCTATAGAGAAAGTCGGGCTGTAATCCTTCCGGTCCTAAGGAAATCACTGTGTACACTCTGCCCCCAAGATGCCCCTTCCAGATACGGAAATCAGCCCTGCTTCAATAGCACAAAAAACTCTTCATAGGGGAGGAGCAAAACCCTGTTCACTCGATGCTGAAAAAAGGAGACGGGAGAGTCTGAAACGAGACTGCAAATTCTCAAGACTTCAAACCCCTTCGGTCTGGGTAATACAAAGGAAGAATAAAATCATCTCAGAATTTGCTGTTGCCTTCTTTTGTGGGTTGTTTACAAACACTGGCTATCTTTCCTTTCGCCAGGAGAGACTTGGATATTGTCCAGTGATCTAACGAGCGTTTAAAGCAATTACATGCAAAAAGGAGTAATGGGCTGGGCACAGTGGCTCATACTTGGGATTTTGGGAGGACGAGGTAGGAGGATCACTTGGGGCCAGGAACTTGAGACCAGCCTGGGCAACATACTGAGACCCTGTCTCCACAATAAATTAGCTGGATGTAGTGTCACATGCCTGTAGTCCCAGCTACTGGGGAGGCTGAGGCGGGAGGATCGCTGGAACCCAAGAGTTGGAGGCTGCAGTGAGCTGTGATTGTACTATGGCACCCTGATTCCTGCCTTAAAAAAAAAGAAAAGAGGGGAGGGCAGGGGTGATATACATCCTTTCTCTTCTTGTAAGTCACTGCCCATGATCTCCTTGTGAACATACAGAAAGCAGTCCCTTTTGTAGAAAACTAATTAAATGAATGACCAATTCGCCAAATAATGGAGGATTTTTCTTCTTTTCAAGTTTTGGAGTTTTGCTACAACTATTTTGTAGCCCCTCCCCTATCCCATATCCCACTGGGAGCCTGGGATAAGCTGCGTCTGACTGTCAGTTACTGATAAGCAGGACATCCCACAAACAGATTTTCAGCGAATTGGCTTTCAGCAAATTGATCCTTTGGCAAAGTGGTCATTAGGCAAATGGGTCATTTGGCGAAGAGGTCATTTAGTAAATTGGCTTTCAACGACTTGCCCTCTGAGATTTCTCTAGAGTGAGTGTTTTCTTGGGTTCAATGTGCACTTCATTTCCATAATGAATACTCACTGGCGGCTAGATGGGAAACTTCCCGGGGAACCAGGAGCTGCCAGAACAGCCTCTTAATAATCAGGCAATTAAAAACCCTCTGGTTTCTTAACAGGAGGGAGGTACACAGGGCATCTGCTCTGCAAGGCACAGTGATCAGGCTCAGCATTGTCACAGGAGCTCTTGCGGTTCTGTTTGTTGCTTGTGTGACATACACAGCCATTCGTTGGAAAAAGGACTGAGTGGTCTTTGGGTCTCCCGTAGGTGATCATCATATGTCGTGATAACCCATGACAACTCCTTGCCACATGCCACGGGAGGTCCAGCACCCGAAGAACCCAGCAGCCAGGGCCGGCTTCATGGGCTTGCAACCTGGACAGTCCCACAGGGACACAGAAGAGTCCCCACTGTGGTTTAATAATCTGCCATCACCATCTTGGAATTCTTTATTTTTTAACAAGGGTGGCCAGGGATAGTGGCTCATACCTGTAATCCTAACACTTTGGGAGGCCAAGGCAGGCAGATGGCTTGAGCCCAAGGAGTTTGAAACCAGCCTGGGCCACATAGCAAGACCCCATCTCTACAGAAAATACAAAAATTAGCCAAGCATGTAGTCCCAGCTACTTGGAGGCTGAGATGGGAAAATTACCTGAGCCCCGGGAGGTCAAGGCTGCAGGAGCTGAGATTGTACCACTACACTCCAGCCAGGATGACACAGCGGGATCTTGTCTAAAAAAATAACCACAAGACCGGGCACGGTGGCTCATGCCTGTAATCCCAGCACTTTGGGAGGCTGAGGCAGGCGGATCACTTGAGATCAGGATTTTGAGACCAGCCCGGCCAACATGGTGAAACCCCATCTCTACTAAAAATATAAAAATTAGCTGGACAAGGTGGCGCATGCCTGTAATCCCAGCTACTCAGGAAGCTGAGGCAGGAGAATAGCTTGAACCTGGGAGGAGGAGGTTGCAGAGAGCCCAGGTCGCGCCATTGTACTCCGGCCTGGGGCACAAGAGTGAAACTCCATCTCCAAAAAAAAAAAAAAAAAACCACAACAACAACGAGGGCCCCGCATGTGGCTGAAAACAACAGAAATGTATTGTCTCACAGGCCTGGATGCTAGAAGCCCAAAATCAAGGTGCCGCCCGGGCTTCGCTTCCTCTGAAACATGTAAGAGAGAATACTTCCTTGCCTATTCTGGCTTCTGGTGGCCGCTGGCAATGCTTGGTGTTCCTTGTAGATGCATCGCTCCAATCTCTCCTCCCTCATCACATGGCTGCCTTCTCCTTGTGTCTCTGTCTTCACCTGACATTCTCCTCTATTATTTTATTTTTTTGAGATGGAGTTTCCCTCTGTCACCCAGGCTGAAGTGCAGTGGCACAATCTTGGCTCACTGCAACCTCCGCCTCCTAGGTTCCGGTGATTCTTCCACCTCAGCCTCCTGAGTAGCTGGGATTACAGGCACCCGCCACCACTCAGTGCTAATTTTGTGTTGTTAGTAGAGATGGAGTTTCACCATGTTGGCCAGGCTGGTCTCAAACTCCTGACCTCAAGTGATCCGCCCACCTCACCCTCCCAAGGTGTGCTGAGATTACAGGCATGAGCCACCATGCCTGGCCCTCATTCTCTCCTTTTATAAGGACACCAATCATTGCATCTGCCTCCTCACCAGCAGCCCCCAATCCAGTATGACTCATCATTACTTAATTACATCTACAAATACCCTATTTCCAAATAAGGTCACATTCCTGGGTACGGAGGATTAAGATTTCCAATTTTTTCCCTGACTCAATTTTTTTTAAGTCAGAGCCTCATCCTATCACCCAGGCTGGAGTACAGTTATGTGATTATAACTCACAGCCTCAAACTCCTGGGCTCAAGGGATACCCTGACCTCAGCCTTCCAAGTGGCTGAGACTACAGGCGCACACCACCATGCCCAACTAATTTTTTTTTTTTTGTACAGATTAGGTCTCACTCTGTTGACCAGGCTGGTCTCCTGACCTCAAGTGATCCTCTTGCCTTGGCCTTCCAAAGCACTGAGATTACAGGCATTATCCCGTGCCTGGCCCTCTTTCTACACCTCAATCATTGTATCATTAGCCTGAGCTGCCCATATTCCTTATTCTGCCCATCCATGACCAATCTCCTCCTTTAACATAACTTCCATCTCGATATCATGGGGCCTGCTGGGCACTGCAAACAGCCTAAGGAAAGTGGAAATTTTACTTAACCTTAAATTCTATTACAATGTCCACATTGAACATAATTTATATTTGAACTATAAAATTTTCTGTAAGTTGAAACATGACTTATAAAGGTCTCTACACCCTGAAGCAACGTTTTAGAAAGATATCAATTGGTGCTTTTCTGCAGAAACCATTAACCATAGGAGAGATAAAGGAAAAACTTCAATGTACTGATTGAACTTCCATGCCCATAGCTTAATTTCTAAAAGGCAACCATTCCATACTGTTAAACTGACTTAGGTTGTTATTGCTGTTATTAAAGAGACCCTCAAAGCTAGAAGTTGAACCTTGACTGTAGTTCTTGCACGTACACGCACACTCTTGCAACTGAAACCACTCAGATTGTCCTAATGCTGTTCCCCATAGCAACACCACCTGGAATTTTACGTTTGATTTTAAGCATCAGTCCTAATCTTCACTTGCACCCGAACACACTGCACCTGTGAGAGCCACGTGACATTAAAAAAATCCCTTCAGTGAGGCCGGGCATGGTGGCTCACGCCTGTAATCCCAGCCCTTTGGGAGGCCAAGGCAGATGGATCGTGAGGTCAAGAGATTGAGACACTCCTGGCCAACATGGTGAAACCCTGTCTCTACTAAAAATACAAAAATTAGCTGGGCGTGGTGATGCGTGCCTGTAGTTCCAGCTACTCGGGAGGTTGAGGCAGGAGAATCGCTTGAGCCCGGGAGGCAGAAGTTGCAGGAGCCGAGATCACACCACTGCACTCCAGCCTGGCAACAGAGGGAGACTGTCTGAAACAAATAAATCCCTTCAGTGCCTTGATCCTTCCAGATTCAGATCCAAGATAGATGACATTTGTCCCTCATCCGAGTTCAAACACCAAGATAAAGATTTCTTCTGGCCGGGCGCGGTGGTTCACGCCTGTAATCCCAGCACTTTGGGAGGCAGAGGCGGGCGGATCACCTGAGGTCAGGAATTTGAGACCAGCCTGGCCAACGTGTTCAAACCCTGTCTCCACTAAAAATAACAAAAATGGCTCGGCATGGTGGCTCACACCTGTAATCCCAGCTACTCGGGAGGCTGAGGCAGGAGAATCGCTTGAACCTGGGAGGTGGAGGTTGCAGTGAGCCGAGATCGCGCCATTGCACTCCAGCCTGGGCAACAAGAGAGCAAAACTCCGTCTCAAAAAGAAAACAAAAGAAAAGATTTCTTCTGCATGCATGGCTCAGCTCTGTGGTCCGCTAGGGTCCTTCCTCAATCCGCTTGCAACCTATGGAATTAGGAAAGACTGAACCAACCTAGATTTATTAATATTTTAGTATAACATAATACAGTGTTACTTATCATAGCATTGACCGTATATGCCCTTTTGCTCCTTGGAGGAAAGGTAATTAATAGCTATTATGTGAGTTAATAAAATAAGCCCAGGATTTATGAGTGTAACTAACCTGTTCCCGTTGGTTTTCCTTGTCTCCTGCAGGCAGAGAGCTGATCAAAACCACAAAAGCAAAGCAGTGCCCCTGGCCCAGTTCTGAAGCCAAGCTTCCTTAACCACCCAGACCCATCTCTGGTTACGACTTGCTGTGGATTCTCAGGTGACTCCATCTCAGGATACAGGGACTGAGAGGGTGTATGCAATATCTCAGACCCAGAAACTGTTGATTCTGTCTAAAAACACAGCAATAACCACATCCCACCCTCTTGATTTAAATGAAAGTGTTTGGGGGAATAAAAGATGAACCTTTTTTTTTTCTTTGTCAGATCTTGCGCTCATTTGGTTCTGGTGGGGAACAACAGCTGTGAGAGAACACGTGTATTCAATTAGAATTAATCCCCCTCTCTTATTCTCACAGCTGAGCAGGACTCAAGTGCCTCTCATCTGAAAGAGGTAATAAGATTTAATCTGTCTCCTCATCTACCTTCTGCAAGTATACTGAACAAATTAGCTCTCGGGACTCTTCCAAATGGAGTTTTATGAGGGATTTGCTAAGGTAAACGTTTTAGACTTTGAACACAGTTCAGATTTCAGGGGCAGTACTGAAATCTCAACACACAATAACTTTGAACTAAAGACACGTTCAACTCAAGACACAATAACTTTGAACTAAAATAATTATATTTTTGTTGTTTTCCACTCTGTCCCCACGTCTATATCACCACCACCCCCAATTCCGCCCCCCAGGAGCTAACTCCTCCTTCCTGTCCCTGCAAGATTAAAACTCCTCCTGGAAGCCCCGCTAGCTCTGTCTGCTCGCCTTCGTGGCAGATATCGCTATTGTACTTTTATACTCATTTGTGTGATAAGTACTTCAATGTCCACTTCTTCCACGACCCCCTGAGCCCCTGGAGGGCCTGGACCACACCTAGTTTTTCTCACTGTTACATCTCCCTTGCCAGACACATGGTAGGAGCTTCATAAGTATTTGGTGAACGGATGGCTTGTTTGGTGACAGTCCAAAGGCTGGGGGACAGAGGGAAAGCTCCTTCCTATCGGGCTCCAGATGTGTGGCGCTGATGGAGAGGAGGCTAGGATAACGCCTCCAGGACAGAAGCGCGCACCCCTAAGGCCCCTGCCAAAAAGACCTTCCTGAAGGCGGAGGAACTGCGAGAGTGCCTACGTTGGCCCAAGGCCTGACCCGACGATCCCGGGGACCCTCGCCCTAACCGGCCCCGCCTCCCGGGCCCCTAACCCGGACTCGGCCCCGCCCAAAGCTCCGGATCCTGGGGCCCGCCCCTGGCCCCGCTTCGGCAGACCGTGGGCTCGCTCCTGGGCCTGCCTCAAACCCTCCGCAGGTAACGCCTCCCGAACTTGAGCCACACTCCAAACCCCTCCTCAAACCCCTCCCCGTTTCTCACACCCTGGACCCCTCGCTCCGTCTCGGCCCCACCCCAAGCCCAGCTCCCTCTCGGCCCCTGAGCCCAGCCCCGACCCGCCTCCCAGTCCCTTGGTCCCTACCGACACCTGCCCCTCCCTAAGCTCCGCCTCCCAGGGCCCGCCTCCTGAGCGCAGCCCGCAGCCCGGACTCTGCCCCGCCTCCCGGACCCTGGGCCCCTCCCCATGTCGGCCCGTCCTAAGCTCCGCCTCCCAGAGTCCGAGCAGCGCCTGGCCACGTGCTACGACATAGTCAACGCCCCGCCCTGGCCCCGCCTCCTGAGCCCTTCTCCGGGTCTGCCCTTAGCCCCGCCCTAAGACCTGTCTCCTGGGCTCTGCTCCGAGTCTCGCCTCCTGAACCCAATCATCGTTTACCCCCACCCTAACGCCCCGCCTCCAGGACCCTTATCCTGCCCCCACGCAAGGCCCCGACTCCAGGACGCCTCCAACCTGGACGCTTCCGAAGCCCCGCTTCCAGGATCGCCCTGTCCTGGCCCCGCCCCAGGACCCGCCAACCAGAACTCTCCCCAGGACCTGCCCCAACGACGCTTATCCTGGCCCTACCCCAGGCCTCGCCCTCATGACGCTCATCCTGGCCCCACCCCAGGTCCCGCCTCATAACGCTCATCCTGGCCCCGCCCTAGAGCCGCCCCCACGACTCTCCTCCTCACCCTACCCCCAGGCCCCGCCCCCTCTCTGCCCCCGCCCACTGCCCTGGGCCCGCCCCCTCTTCAGTCCAGGCCTGGCTTCCGCCCGGTCTCCGGGCAACGCTGCGGCCCCGCCCACGTCATGGCGCCCGAGGAGAACGCGGGGACCGAACTCTTGCTGCAGAGTTTGGAGCGCCGCTTCCTGGCGGCGCGTGCACTGCGCTCCTTCCCCTGGCAGGTGGGCGGCGGGGCGAGCGGAGAGGCCCGCGGGGCTCGCGGGAGTCCAGGGGCAGATGGGATGGGTCTCTGTGCTGAAGCCCCCGGCGCTCACGCCACGTGAGTGCCTGGGCTCCCGCCGGTCAGGTCCGCGCGACCCGTTTCCCGTCCCTGGGGCCTGGCCAGAGTCGCTCGCACCCCTCCTGCCCCGCGTGCTGGCGGCGTAAGCTGGGGGCCTCTCCACCATCTTGGGGGGCAGAGGCGCACTCGTTGTGGGGTACAGTTCACTATCATTTTCACGACTTTTTAAAGGCAGTAACCGTTCTGGTCACTGGGACAGAGCTGCCCTCGCCCATTCTAAAAAGTCAGCGCCCTCAGGACCGCGGGTAACCACGTCCTCCTGAGCGTGGTGACCAGGTCACAGGCTGTCCCTCGTGCCTCAGTGTTCTCATCTGTATGTCGAGCACTGCACAGAATTGGCTCATGCTCTGAGGCTCTCACGCCTGTGATGGAAGAGACAGAGAAGGGGGTGGCCTCTCGTCTCCCTGGGGACCTGCCATTCTCAGCACAGGCGCATGGCAGGCAGCAGCCTCCCTTCTGCCAGTAGAGGGGCTTAATGCACCCGGCCCCATTTGTAATCCATGTGCGGTGAGCTCACTGGGATGAGTCAGTTTGGATATATATTCCTCCCTGGGTCTGCCCCATTTTATGGGGTGTTGCTTAATCATTTGCGCTATTCCATTGACATGAAATATTTAGCACTCAGAGATCATTTCTGGTCAGGAGAAATTTGTGCATTTTTAACCCAAAATAGAAACCTTCATAAAAGCATCATAGGTCTCCATTCAATATTGACTATAATTGTTCACATGCCACGCTGAAAGCTAACTTGGGCTCACCCTCAACACCCACGAGGTGGGTACTATTATCATCACTCACATTTGACCAGAGGGATTGTTTGATTAGGTGCAGTAGTTGAGAGTTCAGACCCAGGAGACAGCCTGCCTGCTTCGAATCCTGGCCCAACCCCTGGCCCTGTGTGACCTTGGGCAAGTGCATCTCTCTGTGCTGTTGTTTTCTTATTAATAAAATGGGGGATATAATGATACCTACCTCTTAGGGTTGTTGTCAGGGTTGAGTACAAAAGCCTGTGGATCAGTGCCTGGCTCATGGTAAATGCATGTTGGTGTTAGCTAGTGTTTTTATTCAGTCTCAAAATGTTTAATAAATGCCTTCCGTGAGCCAGGCACCATGGATCAGCAGTACCTATGACAGATGAGGCTCTGCTTGCATGGGAGAGCCAGAGAATAAACAAATAAATGAAGAAACAAGAAAAGACCAGATGAGAGTGGCTTTAAAGCCAATAAAACAGGGAAATGGTGAATGGAGCAACTGGGGAGAAGAGTCACCAAAGTCGGGGAATCAGGGAAGCCTTCCCCAAAGAGGTGGCATTTGAAATGGGGCCTGAGTGGTGAAGCAGCCAGCCATGGGAAGGGCTTGGGGAACAGGATATGCAAACGTCCTGTGGTGGAAACAAGCCAGCTGTTGTTGAGGAACAACAGCAAGGCAGCCAGTGTGGCTGGAGTGGAGTGAGCAGGGTGGGCCAGGGGCGAGGGAGAACAGGCCAGAGAGAGGGATTAGGACCAGGTCTTGTAGGACCTTTTACGGCATGGAAGGAGCTCTGAAGCAATGAAGTGCCTTGCCCTGTGTCACATACCAGCCGAGACAGTCTACCTAATTCGGGAGCCAAAGTTCGCTGCTGGGCTTGAGGCCCCTGTAAGAGGACAATGTAACCCAGGCTGGTATGGGAACATTCTGCATTTCCACTTAAACTCAGATGGCAAGCCCATCAAACCTTGGTGCCATGGCTGCCCTGGTAACCAGTGCAATCCTGGCTGACAAGTGCAACCAGGGAGCTGGCCCATGACCCGGGTGGCCGCTAAGTAGCCAGGACTAATGCGGCCAAGAGTCAGTCTTCTAGCCTTCTTCCTGTGACTCATCCAGGTGCACCCTGCAACATCTGAAGGTCAGGCTTTCAGCTGCTGTGGCTTCCACTTCCAACTGGCTCCACGTCCCCGGGGAGAGATCACACAGCGCTTTGCCAACACATTCTATTGCGTGCTTAATGTTCCTGTGAATGCACCCTTGAGATTTCTCTCTCTCCCCTCCACACAGAGCTTAGAAGCAAAGTTAAGAGACTCATCAGATTCTGAGCTGCTGCGGGATATTTTGCAGAAGGTAAGAATTCCAGAGTCCCTGGGACTCATGACCCTGCCTCCTGAATCTCTCCGGAAGACCTGAGAGAAGAAGCACAGGTGTGCTTGTACCCTTTAAAAACACCCCTGTTCAAAGAACAAAACCATTGAGTCAGCACTGCAGGTGGGTGTCGTCACCTCCGACAGCTCCAGCTCTTTCATTTTCTAAGACTTAGACAAAGACATCAGAATATACAAAAATCTGCATGAGAGGGGGGAATCTAGGGAAAGTTTTTAAACCATCCACAGCAAAAACAGAGATGACAGGTGCAAAACAGCTTCTAGAATTTGGTAGATGTTCAGAGACTTTCTTTTTTGCATTCATGAGGCCTGTCCTGCCCACTCCTGTCTCTTCTAGACCTAAATGGGCCCTTACTTTGCCCAGGGTGGGGTTTGGACTCAAGAGCATCTGCATGCAGGTGAGAGGCAGGATCACCACCCGGCCCAGCCACAGCCTGACCTTGGCCTTGAGGGCCAAGTGCAGATCACCCTGCATCCTGGGTCTTCACCTTCGAAGGGCCATGAGTCCTTCTGAAAAGAGAAAGCAATAGACTCCCTCCCAGAAAGAAGTGCACCAGAAGAATACATTTTCCATACAAACTCGAGGCAGACATCCTCCACCCCCACCCACCCAGCCCATCCTAGGATCCCCAGTGAAGAATTCCTGTGCTAGAGGTGAACCAAGATTATCCATGTGGAAAAGATGCAGCCACAGCAGGGAAGACTTTTGGGGCAATGCAGTAGGTCAGGGCTTCGAGCATGGAGATACCTGAAGTTATCTCGCACCCTGCTCTGAGTTTCACCCTGAGCCTCACTCTCGTAGGTGGTGAAGCATGAAATGTAGGGATAGCTGCTTTAAAACCCAGCAGAAGGCTGGGCGCACTGGCTCACACCTGTAATCCCAGGACTTTGGGAAGCTGAGGTGGATGGATCACCTAAGGTCAGGAGTTCAAGACCGGCCTAGCCAACATGGCAAAAACCCATCTCTACTAAAAATACAAAAATTAGCTGGGCGTAGTGGTGCACGCCTATAGTACCAGCTACTCAGGAGGCTGAGGCAGGAGAATCGCTTGAACCCAGGAGGCAGAGGCTGTGGTGAGCCAAGATCGGGCCACTGCACTCCAGCCTGGGCAACAGAGCGAGACTGTGTCAGAAAAAATGAAAAACCAGCACGAGCATGAAGAGCCTGTGTATTGCGTGGGGTACTTTGCTGCCCTTGGGCAGAATCTGCATCCCTCCCAGCCAGCAGGCACTGCAGACTGTCTCCTCCCTCTCCCTCCAGGCTCCTGTTTTCCCACCATCCCCACTCCTGCTGCACCAGTCCCTCTGCCCTCCTTTCCAAGTGCCAGGACATGGCCACCTCAGAGCTTGCATCACCTGTTGCCACTGTCTGGAACTTGCTCGTCCTGCACTTGGTTTCTCTCGGCTTTAGCTGGAGTGTCACCCAGAGCGTCCCCTCCCCTCCATCCCATCCCCAGGAACACACGCTGCAAGAGAGCAGTTGCCAAGTGGGCCTTCCCTCCTCTTCCATAGAGCCAGACAGTTGGCGACTGTCTTTACTGCAAACCCTGGTTCACACTGGCTCCCCTGGGAGGGAGGTGGTTTGGGCCCACGTGCCCTGCGTTCTTGCTCAGAATGGGCATTAGAAATGCTGCCATAGCCTGTGACACTGCAGTGGAAGCATTTTTAGGAAATGGCTTATATCATAAGACAAACTTCAGATGCATGGGGCCAGAACGCTGTGTCCATCTACATCTTTGCTGAGGGATCGGGTAGCCTGGAGTTTGCCCTCTGCCGTGTTGGCTTGAAGCTCATAGGAGACTTAAGACAGGCTCTTGAGCAACCAAAGTTCTGTCCTTTGCGGTAGACTGTGAAGCATCCTGTGTGTGTGAAGCACCGGCCATCAGTCAAGTATGCCTGGTGCTTTCTCTCAGAACTCATCAAAAAGGTCAGTTATGGGCAGTGTCCGCCCAGTAGCTGGACAGCATAGCCACCTGCGTGCTGGAGCCCCCATCCTTCCCAGGCCCTGGGCCTGCTTTGCAAACCCCAGCATGGCAGGGGCCTAACCAGGCAACTGGCTGCAGCCGCGTGTGACCCATGGGAGACAATGCAGGGCGGGAAGAAGGGGAGGCCAGCGTCTCTCCCTCACTCTGCCTCCTGGGGTTTCCGCCGCAGCTGCTTCTCTGGGGCCCCAGCTCCTAGCATATGGATTCTCATTCCTACCAGGCTAGCCCAGCCCACAGCACTGGAACCTGCACCCACACCCTCTGTCCTGCCTGCCGAAGGGTTTGGAGTTTCCTGCTCTTGTCCGTCTCTGGGTTGCCCCACGGGCCCCTGTTGGAAGGTTTAGCTCTTGCCATAACTTTGGAACTAGTTCCTCTGGTGAATTCTCGGCATTGATCCTGCTGGAATGTGCTCTTTCCTGACTGATACAGGATGGATTTTATTTTTTACTTATTTATTTTTTTGAGACAGGGTCTCACTGTGTTGCCCAGGCTGGATTACCGTGGCACAGTCTCGGCTCCCTGAAACCTCTGCCTCCTGGGTTCAAGCAACTCTCATGCCTAGCCTCCTAAGAAGCTGGGACTACAGGCACACGCCACCATGCCTGGCTAATTTTTGTATTTTTAGTAGAGACAGAGTTTCACCATGTTGGCCAGGCTGGTCTCGAACTCCTGACCTCAGGTGATCCACCTGCCTCGGCCTCCCAATGTGCTGGGATTAGAGGCATGAGCCACCGCACCTGGCCTAGGATGGATTTTAAAGATGGGCCCGAACATGCAGGGTTTGACATAAGGATGTCGAGAGGCTGTTGCTCAGTAGGCAGTAGCAGACCTGCTGAGTGAAAGGGCCACAATTTTAGCAAGTAAACAATCCCCTGCTTCTCCAATACCTGCTTTCTCCCTAATCCTCCCCAAAAGGGTGCATCTGTGGTCACCAGCAGGTCTGCCCTGTGCCACCAGGAGAGGGCAGCAGTCACCCAGTGTATCTTGCTGCTGCCCTGTGAATCTTAGGATGGGGCCAGCCGTGGAGAAGCAGCCTGCTGACAGCCACAGCCTGCAGCATGGGCCGCCCTCACAGTTGTGCCTGGGCTCACTTAAAAGCACCTTTGGTTTTCCTCCTCTCTGTCATGGTCATGTGGCAGCTCTCACGGAATCCTTGTCTCCTGCCTTAGACTACACCTAACACTACCCTCTCAACACCTCTCGTTGAAGGCCCTCCCATCCAGGTTTCCCTACCAAGTGAATTTTTTTTTTTAGAGACAAGGTCTCTTGCCCAGGCTGTCCTCGAACTCCTGGGCTCAAGCAGTCCTCCCATGTCAGCCTCTAGAGTAGCTGGGACTATTCGGCACACACCACCAAGCCCAATGAAGTGAATGTTTTATATGCCAGCTGGCCGGTATTACACCATTCCATCCCAAATCTCCCCTCCAAACTTGGTGAAAATCATCTGACCATTTTTACAGATTAGAACGAAAGCAAACAAGCTCTCACTCTGTCTGCCCCCAGCACGAGGCTGTCCACACAGAGCCTTTGGACGAGCTGTACGAGGTGCTGGCGGAGACCCTGATGGCCAAGGAGTCCACCCAGGGCCACCGGAGCTATTTGCTGGTATGAGAAGGACACCCTCCTCCCCCTCACAGCCCAGATACCCTTCCTGCACAGACAAAGTGAAAACGTGGGTGTGGGTTCAAATCCTGACTCACCCAGTCTGCAGTCTTAGACATGAGGTCCATCAACCTTCTTTAGCCTCAGTTTCCCTGTCTGTAAATCAAGCACTTCAACAACAACAGCATGTCTCATGGGGTTGTTGGGCATTTGTCCAATAGGTGACACACTCTACCTGCTTCACAAGGACCTGGTGTCCAGTCCTCAAAGAATACTTGACAGGTCCGGGTGTGGTGGCTCACACCTGTAATCCCAGCACTTTGGGAGGCTGAGGCGGGTGGATCCGAGGTCAGGAGTTCAAGACCAGCCTGGCCAATATGGTGAAACCCTGTCTCTACTAAAAATACAAAAATTAGGCCGGGCGTGGTGGCTCATGCCTGTAATCCCAGCACTTTGGGAGGCTGAGGCAGGTGGATCACCGGAGGTCAGGAGTTTGAGACCAGCCTGGCCAACATGGTGAAACTCTGTCTTTACTAAACATACAAAAATTAGCGGGTGTGGTAGTGGGTGCCTCTAATCCCAGCTACTCGGGAGGCTGAGGCAGGAGAATCTCTTGAACCCAGGAGGTGGAGGTTGTGGTGAGCCAAGATCACGCCAATGCACTCCTGCCTGGGCAACAAGAGTGAAACTCTGTCTCAAAAAAAAGTAGAAAAATTAGCCAGACATGGTGGCACATGCCTGTAGTTGCACCTAATTAGGCGGCTGAGGCAGGACAATTGCTTGAACCCAGGAGGCAGAGGTTGCAGTGAGCCAAGATTGTGCCACTGACTCCAGCCTGGGGAACAGAGCTCAAAAAAAAAATAAGATAAAACATAGATACAGAAAACCACAAAGGAAAAACATAGCATATTGAATCATCACAAGGCAGCCACCCCTTCATAGCCACACCCGGCCCCTGGCCACAACTGACCTGTGCTCCATCACCAGAATTCCATTGTTTCAGGAATGTTCAATGAATGAAATCCTGTGTGGCCTGAGATGAGTGTCTTTCATGCCATGTGACACCCTTGAGGCCTGTGCAAGCTGTTGGCATGTCAACAGTTAGCTGCTTCTCTTTGCTGAGTGGCGATTGGTCCTGTCATGGTTTATTCAGCCATGTGGTGGATGGCTACTTGTCTTCTAAGCCACTTGCCTTCTGATCGCTGGACTGACTCTCTCTCCCTCTCTTGGTGCAGCCCTCAGGAGGCTCAGTCACACTCTTCAAGAACACAGCCATCATCTCCCACGGCATCACAGGCCTGGTCACATGAGATGCTGCCCTCTACCTTGCAGAATGGGCCATCGAGAACCCGGCAGCCTTCTCTCATAGGTGACCTCGGGGTGCACGGCAGGGCACCGAGGCAGGCTTACCCTGGTGCAGTCGCAGACATGGTCCCCTTTCCTCCCACCAGGATGGTCCTAGAGCTTGGCAGTGGCGCCGGCCTCACAGGCCTGGCCATCTGCAAGATGTGCCGCCCCTGGGCATACATCTTCAGCGACTGTCACAGCCGGGTCCTTGAGAAGCTCTGAGGGAATGTCCTTCTCAGTGGCCTCTCATTAGAGGCAGATATCTCTGCCAACTTAGACAGCCCCAGGGTGACAGTGGCCCAGCTGGACTGGGACGTCGCGACGGTCCGTCAGCAATCTGCAATCCAGCCAGATGTTGTCATTGCAGCAGGTAATGCCCAGCCCCGGGCACTCTGTGCAGGCGGTGTCCTTGAAGCTCTACCCAGCTCTTGGCTCTGGGAAAAGGGAACAATGGACACTGTCGGGCATGGACATGATGGGGCTTCCAGAAGAGTTACTCTGGGCCTCCAGGGTGACGTCAAAGGACAGGGGTGTCTCTTAAGGTGACCTTCCAGCCACAGCCCTTTTGTTGGAGACAGGCATACTCCCGTTACAGTCATCACCACATGGCTCTGTCCCAGAGTCATGACTGTGTCTTTCAGAGACCACAGGAGGAAAACAACCACTTCTGGGATGAGGACAGGGCCCTTGAGAGAAGGTGGTGTTTGGCTGGGCCACCGAAAACCCCTCGCCCCTGCCAGCACACTCAGTCTCCTCTCTGGTCGAACAGAGCTCTGCCTGTGGTCCTGGGTCCCAGCCCTGAAAACCACAGGTCCAGCGGTGGCCAGGGACACAGGCCCACCCCTGCAAGCCAGCAGACAAATTGGCAGACGCCTGAAACACGAAGTTCATGGCAGGATCAGGCTTTGTGTCATTCACAGCCCTCTAGATAGGCCGAGAACCAGAACTCATTTTTTAAGGAACACCAGTGAGTCTGGAGATTTTTTTCTTTTGCTTCGGTCTTTTGCAGCTTTCTCTACTAAGGGTTCTCCTTTTTCACCCAAGTAATTGCCTTTCCATCTAATGGCCCAAATGGTCAAATGGCATCTACTAGTCTCATATGACCGCTGCCTCTCTGGCCTCGCCCTGCTGCTGAGGTCAGCATGACCTGGAACTGTCCGCTGGTCCCTTTCAGTAACCTGAAGCTTTCACCGTAGACGTGCTGTATAGCCCAGAAGCCATCGTGTCGCTGGTCGGGGTCCTGCGGAGGCTGGCTGCCTGCCGGGAGCACCAGCGGGCTCCTCAAGTCTATGTGGCCCTTACCATCTGCAACCCAGAGACGTGCCAGCTGTTCACCACTGAGCTATGTGAGCCCCCACGCCCACCCGGGCCTGCATGGTCCCCAAGCTGTCCCTGCGGGACTCCAGTGGAAGTGAAAGAACTGGGGGCCGGGGAAAAGCTAGGAAGCCCCACACTCCCACACCATGTGGGGAACTAGGGCAGAGGCCGGTGAGAAATGTGGGCTCGGGGTGTGGGGGCCTTGTGGCAGGAGGAGGGCAGCTCAGCACAGGGAGGGAGGATCTGAGCCCAGCAGCCCTACTGTGTGCTTCAGAGCAAGGTTCCCTAAGCCCTTGGGCCTCGGTTTCCTCATCTATAAAATGGAGGTGGCAGGAGGGGCAGTCGGGGTCAGGGCTGGACACAGCTGTGGCCTGCAGGACACTGGAGCACAGGCTGTACAGGCGGATCCACCACGCCACTGTCCTGAGCACCCAGTTGATGGAAGACGAGCAGGGTGACTATAGAGAAGGGGAACTGGCCCCGTAGTGGGCCAGCCACTGTCCTCAGACCTGACATTTGTCAGCCCCCAGCACCTGTGAGAGTGTGCTATCATTGTCCCATCCCACCGACAAAGACACTGGGACACACAGAGGCCAAGCAACCCCCGAGCTCCCACAGGCTGCAGCCCGGCCACCAGGCTCTCGTGCCTCCACACTACACCCAAGCCCCTCATTGCCACCAGCCTTTGCCCCAGCTCCCCCTGAGCACAGCCCCTCCTGGCAGCCATGTGCACAGATGCACGTGCAGCAGCCTCTGCCTGCACACAGAGACACGGGTCCAATGCCTGTCCACGTGGAGCAGCCCGTTAACTACAGAGCCAACAAACAAGCCAGCACACAAAGACACACTGGGTTCCACGACAGAGTCCCGCACAACCTAGCACAGGAGGCTGGCCGGGCGCGAGGCTCAGGCCTGTCATCCCAGCACTTTAGGAGGCTAAGGCAGGAGGACTTCTTGACACCAGGAGTTCAAGACTTACCTGGGCAATATAGTGGGACCCCATCTCCACAAAACATACAGAAACTAGTCAGGCATGGTTGTGCGCACCTGTAGTCCCAGCTACTCGGGAGGCTGAGGTGGGAGGATGGCTTGAGCCCAGGAGGTGGAGGCTGCAGTGAGCCCTGATCTCACCACTGCACTCTAGCCTGGGCAACAGAGCAAGACCCTGTCTTAAAAAGGCAAAAAAAAAAAAAAAAAAAAAAAAGGAAGTCTTTCTTCAGATACTTATGTGAAAAAATACCTGCAATATCTTTGAAGTGAAAAAAACAGTGCCAAGCAGCACACATAGTATAAGCCCCCACCCACCTTTTTTTTTTTTTTTTTTTTTTGAGACAGAGTCTGGCTTTGTATAGCCCAGGCTGGAGTGCAGTGGTGCCATCTCGGCCCACTGCAACCTCCCACCTCCCAGGTTCAAGCTATCCTCCCATCTCAGCCTCCTGAGTAGCTGGGAATACAGGTGCGTGCTACCATGCCTGGCTAATTTTTGTATTTTTTGTAGAGTCGAGGTTTCGCCATGTTGGCCAGGCTGGTCTTGAACTCCTGACCTCAAGCGATCTGCTGCCTCAGGCTCCCAAAGTGTTAGGATTACAGGCGTGAGCTACTGCACCCAGCCCCATTTTTGTTTAAAAAATAATAATAATCACCCACACATAGTTATGAGTACCTATATTCCCAACTACTCAGGAGGCTGAGGTGGGAGGATGGCTTAAGCCCAGGAGTTTGTGGCCCCCTTGAGCAACATAGCAAGACTTCATCTCAAAAACAAATTATCACAATAATCATTTTCACATAAGTATACCTATAGGGGATAACCTAGAATATATATATAGCAGGCTCGTCCAAGCTGCGGCCCAACACAAATCTGTAAACTTTCTTAAAAACAGTACGAGGTTTTTTTGTGATTTTTTTTTCTTTTAGCT
The DNA here is from genome assembly GCF_000001405.40 of Homo sapiens. Taxonomy (NCBI): domain Eukaryota; kingdom Metazoa; phylum Chordata; class Mammalia; order Primates; family Hominidae; genus Homo; species Homo sapiens. The sequence continues at coordinate 67,794,793 of NC_000011.10, read as the reverse complement.
CATCAGCTATTGCTAGCATTAGTGTATTTTATGTGTGGCCCAAGGAGATTCTTCTCCTTCCAATGTGGTGCAGGGAGGCCAAAAGATTGGACATCCCTGATATACACGTTAACAGGTGCCATCCTTGGATGGCAGGATTATAGAGACTTCTACACGTTCATGTCTGTACTACTTCATTTTTATAAATATGCATTTTCCACTCGTAACAAAAAGCTGTGATTGAAAATCATCCCGGGTCACAGTGTTTCACACCTGTAATCCAACACTGTAAGAGTCTGAGGCTTTGGGAGGCTGAGGTGAGCGGATCACTTGAGGTCAAGAGTTCAAGACCAGCCTGGCCAACACGGTGAAACCCCATCTCTACTAGAAACACAAAAATTAGCCAGGAGTGGCGGTGCACGCCTATAATCCCAGCTGCTCGGGAGACTGAGGCAGGAGAATCATTTGAACCTGGGATGCATTGCAGTGAGCTGAGATTGCACCACTGCACTCCAGCCTTGGGAACAGAGTAAATCTCTGTTTAAAAAAAAATAATAAATGAGGCTGAGGCAGGACCATCACTTGAGGCCATGCATTCAGGACCCCATCTCTACAAAATAAAAAAATTACTAGCATGGTGGCACGCACCTGTCATCCCAGCTACTCAGGAAGTGGGAGGATTGCTAGAGCCCAGGAGTCGAGGCTGTAGTGAGCAATGACTGTGCCACTGCACTCCAGCCTGGGTGACAGAACAAGATCGTATCTCAAAAAAAAAAAAAAAAAGAATCATTCTGGCTAACGGCTCTTCAGACATCTGTGCTTATGAGAACACCAGCCCCTTCTAAGCTGTGTGTGTGCGTGTGTGTGTGTGTGTAATTTTTTTTTTTTTTTTTTTTTTGAGATGGAGTCTCACTCTGTCACTCAGGCTCAAGTGCAGTGGCACAATCTCGGCTCACTGCAACCTCCGCCTCCTGGGTTCAAGCAATTCTCCCGCCTCAGCCTCCCAAGTAGCTGGGATTACAGGCACCCACCATCGTGCCTGCCTAATTTTTGTATTTTTGTAGAGATGAGGTTTTACCATGTTGGCCAGGCTGGTTTCGAACTCCTGATCTCAAGTGATCCACCCGCCTTGGCCTCCCAAAGTGTTGGGATTACAGGCGTGAGCCACTGTGCCTGGACGCTTTCTAAGCTTTGTGAATAGTGGGTTGACTGAGCAGCCAGGTAGATGTGGGTTCAGATCTCTGCATCTGTCCCGCTGTGCCAAGTGCTGGGGCAGATGCGGGCAGAGAGTGGACAGCGGCACGGTGCCTGCTGCTAGCCATTTCTATGCAAAACCAGATTTCTTGTCCCATCCTGGAGGCCAATTCTAGGCACCTGGGTGGGCCTGGGAACCTGTGAACCAAGTAAACTGACTTGGACACACCCCCCACCCCGCCAGGCCTGTCCTAGCAGCCCCACACAATACGCTCATGTCCTGTCCCCAAACACTGCCATCCTGAAACACATGTCCTCTGTTTCCAGGCCGGGCTGGGATCAGATGGGAAGTGGAACCTCGTCATGACCAGAAACTGTTTCCCTACGAAGAGCACTTGGAGATGGCAATGCTGAACCTCACACTGTAGGACTCACATACGACTCCAACGGGATTGTGAGAATCAAGTCACTCTAGTGGGAAGAGTTTTTATATGGGAAAGCGGATAAAACTTTCATTGGACTGGAATGTTTGGAGAATGTTAATTTCCAAATCAGGAACCACAAACTGCCCTCTAATAAGACATCAGCTATCTAAGCATGTGGGTGCTCCCTTTCTGCCAGCAGTTCTGGTTCTTAAGAAAATCGCCATCAATCAGACATGAAATCTCTGGCTCCAAAAATAGCATTTTCTTTGTGCAAATAAAAACGTGTGTATCAAGTATGATGTTCCCCCAATGTGGACACACTCGGTTCCCCACAAAGCCAAGCCCGCTGCAGCTGCCACATCCCTGGACACATTCGGTTCCTCACAAAGCCAAGCCCGCTGCAGCTGCCACATCCGTGGACACACTCGGTTCTTCACAAAGCCAAGCCCACTGCAGCTGCCACATCCCTGGGCTTACAGTGCAGCAGGTGCTTTTTTCAAGACAGGAATCAAAATGTTAGGAACACGGCGGAAAGATGACACCTGGAGAGCAAACGCAGGATGAGGAGTACTGCAGAGGTCACACGGAAGTCGCAGAACAGTAATCCGCTAGCAGGGGCATGGGGCGTGAAGAACAGAAGAAGATAGGAAGTGTTTCCGAGCCTCCAGAAAAGAAATCAGAGCCAAGCACAGCTTCCCGGGTCACAGAACCAATTCATTTACCAGGCGGCACCACTGCCGTCATTTCACCTTCTGGCCACTGGGAGGCGCTGCTCGAAAGGGTTTGCCCTGAGACTCCGAGAAGAAGCTGCGGGAAGGACAGCAGGGGTCCCGGGGTTTTAGCCTCTGGCCCAGGAGTTATGTGTCCATAACCAAATGGAGCACACTCTGCACCCAGCTCTCATCCCATCGGAGCTGCTGCGATTCCCGCAGGTTCTTCCAGAACTGGTTTAGCTTGCCCGCAGGATCAGGAAAGTTTGAGAAAAGCATCTGCAAAAAAATAAAGAGCAGAGCTTAACTCATTTCCTGTCCCCACCCCATCCCAGGTCACCACCTGGCTGACCCCAGGTCCCCGACCCAACAACAAACCCTCCCAAGTTCCTAACTCCCTCACTTGGACTCGAGACTCTTCACGCCCCAGCAGCGCTCCGCCTCCAACTTGACATCACGCTTTCTGTCCCACTTTCCCACACTTCGTGCCCTGGAGCACCTCCCGGCCTCTACACGCTGTATGTTCCCCTGCGAGCACCCTCCTCTTGGCCTCTGGCCAAGTCCCACCCATCTGTGGGTAACAAGGGGGTGTTGGTGTTCTTTTCAGCCTTGCTAAACTGTCTGAATCAAGGATCACAAACTACAGCCTGCAGGCCAAATCCAGCCCACAGCCTGTGTTTGTAAATAAAGTTTTATTGGAACAAAGCCACACCCCTTAATCGAAGATGATCTGTGGCTACTTTCACACCACAACAGAGTACCATGGTTCTGACAGAGACTAGGAGACACAGTCTAAATGACTTCTGACCTGGACCTTTACTGAAAATCCTGCCAATCATTCTGTTGGCAAGAATGATGTATTACTTTTAGCAATAAGAAACAAGTAACCTTTGCAGAATTCCACCCATCTTTCAAGGCTGGTCCCAGAAGTTCCCTTTGCCCATGCACCTACCTGATCCTGATCACTTCCGAAACTGCAGCCCGGCCCACCCGGCTCCAGCATCATTTGTGGAGTGTCAGCTCCATAAATCCAGAGGGCAGGTGGGGGTGTGTCCTAACTTTCCCGAGCCTACTGTACCGAAACGGGACAGCAGAGTAGGCCAGCCTCTGTGACTTCTGCTCTCTCCCTAGCTTTTCCGCCAGACCCCACATGGTCCCACCCTGGCTGTGGGAAGCAGGGATCAGGGAGCATGGCTCAGTGCCAGTCTCCAGAACCCTCTCCACCCTCGCGTGGTGGCAGATGTGGCTACCTGCAGCTGAGCTGCCAGTTCCTCTGAGTCCTCAAAGACCAGGCCATTTTCTTCATGTTTCACCAGCTCATGTAAACTGCAGAGAGAACCAAGGGAGCCTGAGAGCTGCCTGGAGAAGACACCAGACCCCTGGGGTGCCCACCTGGGCTTCAGCCTCCCACCCCATGCTCAAGCCAGGCTGAGAGTTGGAACAGGGGGTGTGTTTTCCGGGGGGTGGTTCTTAGATTTGGCATCTGAAGGGTATAAAGGGGGGTACACATCTAAATGGCCAAACCGATTTGAAGAGGGAGCCTTAAGGGGGGTTTGTACCTTCTGTGCTGGATGCTCTTCAAGGACTGAAGAATTATTTTTGCATGTTTTTCTTAACTCCATGGCCATGGAACAAGTAAAGGGAACACCCGGGGGACTGGCTCAGCACATAAAAGATGACTTTTCTAGGGCACCAGGTTTGATCCCGACATTCCCTGAGCTCAGCTCACAGGAGGGGCTCACATCCCTGGATCCCATCCAGGAGCCGGCTCCTGAGCAGGGGCCAAGGGCTCAGCTTGTGCTGGGGCTACTGCTTCTAGAATCTCCTCTAACGCCGCCCTTCCAAACACACGTCTGTGCTGGGTAGAGTGGGGCCACAGCATGACACTCATTTAACTGATTCAAACCCACCACGTGAGCTTGGCCAAAAGGGACATGGTGGGAGAGAAAGAAACAAAGAAAACCATGTAAGCCTGCAGGCAATTCCCGCCAATTCTACTCTAGGAGCAAAAGCCCCGAGTGGAGTTCTAGTATTTAACATGCTTTTTTTCCATATTAGGTTGGTGCAAAAGTAATTGCCATCTTTAATGGCAAAAACGGTGATTACTTTTGTACCAACCTAAATATAACATGAGCTCTAAATGGAAGCAACTACTTCAGTGAGGCTCAGCCCAGCCACAGTAACCGCAGGGCTCCTCCTCATGGCCTCCAGTGTGTGCTGGACTGACCGAGGGGCAGGGCCTCACTGTGGGCAGCTCACTCTACACTGCTTCCCCCTCAGCGGTGGATCTGTGAAGCTATCCCCAGAAAGATTCGGGTTCTGCTCCTACCACTTGAAGTTCACAGCACACGCAGGCAAACAGCACCCGAACATGTCCACCACCTTCATGGGCAGGTCCAGGCCACTGGAGGATGTGTGCAGACAGACACCCAGGTCCACCGACCCTGCTAGGCAAGAGGGGTGGGTCAGAGCACTGGTCTCTGCCCTGGGAACACAAATCCTCCCAGCACAGTGAGACAACATCCCCCGAGGGGAGTGAAAATCGGATAAGGCCCCCGACAGCCCCAAGCACAAGTGGCTTAAGCCGGCCAAGCAGCCACACGGCCTGGCTGGGACATCTGAAAATGTAAGTTGACACTTTTTCTACTAAATCACAATTTGGTTTTTTTGTTGTTATTTTGTTTTGTTTTGTTTTGTTTTGTTTTGAGACAGTCTCACTCTGTCACCCAGGCTGGAGTGCAGTGGCACAATCTCAGCTCACTGCAACCTCCACCTCCCAGGTTCACCTCCCGCATGTAATCCCAACATTTTGGGAGCCCAAGGCGGGCGGATCACCTGAGGTCAGGAGTTCAAGACCAGCCTGGCCAACATGGTGAAACCCCATCTCTACTAAAAAAAATACAAAATTAGCGAAGCATCGTGGCAGGTGCCTGTAATCCCAGCTACTCAGGAGGCTGAGGCAGGAGAATCGCTTGAACCCGGGAAGGCGGAGGTTGCAGTGAGCCAAGATCATGCCATTGCACTCCAGCCTGGGCTACAAGAGCGAAACTCCGTCTCAAAATAATAATAATAATAATAATAATAATAATAATAATAATAATAATAAACCACAGCACACCCACCACAAACCAGCTGTCAGTGTGAAAATAAAGCGAAACAGCTTAATATTTCTAAAGACTAGCTGGGGCCAGGCATGATGGGTCACTCCTGGAATCCCAGCATTTAGGGGGGCCAAGGCGGGAGGATCACTTGAGGTCAGGAGTTCAAGACCAGCCTGACCAACATGGTGAAACCCTGTTTCTACTAAAAATACAAAAATAAGCCAGGTGTTGTGGCGGGCTCCTGTAATCCTGTAATCTACTCGGGAGGCTGAGGTGGGAGAATCGCTTGAACCCAGGAGGCGGAGGTTGCATGAACTGAGATCGTGCACTCCAGCCTAGGCAATGGAGCGAGACTGTCTAAAACAAAGACTACCTGGAGAGTCCTGCCAGGAAAAGGCCCTCAGCCTTCAACTGCTCTGCTCACTCGAAGCTGGAAGATGCAGCTCTAGAGATGCATCAGGACCAAGCCACGACTCCCCATTTGGAAAAATCAATCGGGGAAAGAGACGGAGGCAAAGGAGAACCATCTCACTGGGAGAGGCAACGCTGTTTGACACCTCGTCCCTGTACCTCCCAAAGCCACTGCCCTCCCACACCTGGGCAACAGTGCCCCAACCCCAGGCCCAGCCCTCCTGCAGGAAGGAAGAGGACTGAATGGAGGGCGTGGCAGGCTGAAAGGACATGGCCTCCTCAAACCCCTTGGTAAAGGGCCTCTGGGGCCACCTGGCAGGGAGGGGCTGGCACACCAGGAAGTAGCCTCCTCCCGGGAGTTAGCCAGAGCCCAGGTCCTGTCCCCAAGTGGCCTCCAGAGCCACCTTTTCAGAAAAAGTACATCCTGCCCACATCTGTTCCCCCTGCTTAAGGCCCCGCCTCCTCCCTGAGCCTCCTGCTGGCCTCTCACCTAGAAGCAGGGGGTAGTCCTCGGCCTCCAGCCAAGGGTTGCAGACCTGGATGTGCTGGAAATGCTTCTGGTGGATGGGGCGGCTGTAATACTCCGTCAGAGGCCCTTGGCCTTCACAGAGAAGAGCAGATACTGCCATGGACCCGTCTCTGACCCTGCCAAGTGGCCCCAGGCCCAAGACACTCCCCACTAGGAGGGATCCCTTTCCCAGAAGATCCACCCCTCGGCAGCTCCAGTCAGGCCCCATCTGGGCCCTTCCAGAAGCAACCCAGGAGCCCCGAGACCTGCAGTGGTGTGTGCACACTGACCCCTGACGCACAGCCCTGCTCTTGCAGCCAGCTGGCCTCGGGCTGCAAACATGGCGGGGTAAGCACCGGCCTGGCACGCGACCGCCCACTGGGTGGACCCAGCCTTTTGTCTGTGTTGTGCACAGGGGACACGAGGACTCCCCCTGCCCTGCCACAGCCCCCAGAGCACATGGCGCAGGTTCCAAACCGCCCCTGCCCAGCCACAGCCTCCAGAGCACATGGAGCGGGTTCCAAACCACTCCTGGGAGCCTAGAGGCCAGAGGAGGGAGGAGAGCAGGACCAGCAGCTGGCCCAGATCCCGCCTCTTCCCACACCACTTCCGCTTTTCTCCCTCCTCACTGAGTCACCTTGAAAGGGCTCAGCAGCAGTAACTGTGGGACAGGGGCTCTTCCGTTTGAAAACTTAAAAGAGGCTTGGTTAAGGCACCAATGACATGGTCAGGCACAGTGGTTCGTGCCTATAATTCGAGCATATTGGGAGGCCAAGGTGGGTGGATCACCTGAGGTCAGGAGTTCAAGACCAGCCTGGCCAACATGGTGAAATCCTGTTTCTACTAAAAATACAAAAATTAGCTGGGTGTGGTGGGCCCCTGTAGTCCCAGCTACTCGGGAGGCTAAGGCATGAGAATTGCTTGAATGTGAGAGGCGGAGGTTGCAGTGAGCCAAGATCACACCACTGCACCCCAGCCTGGGTGACAGAGACTGTCTCAAAAAAAAAAAAAAAGAAAAAAAGACACTAATGATGTAACAACAACAACAAAAAGATGCTTGGAAACTACTGAAAAAGTAGAAAGCTTTGTATCTACAGATTCAAATCTGGGCTCCCTGCCCTGCTGTGAAACCCTCTGAGCCTCAGTTTCCCCCATGTCAAGCAGTATAAGACCCTATGCAGAGAGCTGCAGTGAAGATTAAGGAGACAAGATCGTGGGAAGCACAGGGTAAAGGCTGCGTGCCCCTCCCCCTCCGCCATCCCCCAACCAAACAGACACCTAGGGTCCCAGGCGGTACCTGTTATCACACAGACGAGAGAAGGAAGGTTGTGTCCATCAACAGTCAGTTGCTCAAACTCTGTGTTTAAAAAAAGAAACAATTCTACATGGAATTTCTGATAGAATTTCTTCTTTTTTGTTTTTCTGACAGACTCTTGCTCTGTCACCCAGGCTGGAATGCAGTGGCATGATCTCAGCTCACTGCAACCTCTGCCTCCCAGGTTCAAGTAATTCTCATGCATCAGCCTCCCAAGTAGCTGGGATTACAGGCGCCCACCACCATACCCAGCTAATTTTTGTATTTTTAGTAGAGACAGGTTTTGCCATGTTGGCCTCAAACTCCTGACCTCAGGTGATCTGCCTGCCTTGGCCTCCCAGAGTTCTAGGATTACAGGTGTGAGCCACCATGCCCATTCAGAAAAAAAGTTTTAAATATACAATAGCCAGAGTCACCTGGTCAGTTGGAGAAACAGCACTGCTCTTGTGGGGAGGCCACCAGCCTCTGTGAGATACTCTCCTGGAGGAGGCATTTCAGCCTGAGGGCCTGGTCACTCAATGACCCAACTGGGGATTCAGGGCGGCCCACCTCCACCATCTCCACTGTCCCCAGGCTTCCCCGCCCAGTGGCCCGGGACAGGAACATGCTGCAGGCCAGACAAGCAGCTCACAGCTCAGTGGCCCCCAACAAGCCCAGAGATCCTCACCACAGCTACACACCTACTTTCTAAAGCTGCCAGCAGGATGGAGAAGTCTTCATCCTCTATGAGAAGAGAATTGAATGTCAGGGGCTTGTTTCTAGACACCCCTCTTCCAGCTCATACACCCTCCCCTTCTCATTGAGACCGTGGCGGGGTGGGGGCATGCAGGACTGGCAGGGGTGAGAACACAGATTGGCCAGGTGCCCGTCACACCAAGCCCAAGTGTTTCAGGGGTCGTGCAGACCTGTCCAGCCTGTGCTGCTGACCAGCAGGGCTGGCTGCTCGCGGAGAAGCATCACCAGCCCGCTCCCAGCATCCCACTCCATGAAGGCCGACGGCTCTGTGGCTGGTTCCTCAGGTTCTGAACTGAAAGAGCAGGAAAAAAGCCTGTGAGAGGCCACAGAGCAGGCCCAGGACCCAGGACGGGCATCTCCTGCCGTGGCAAGGCCTGCAGGCTCCCAAAGGTTGGGGTGCCCGGCCACATCAGCAGCACCAGGCCACCCCTGCCATCCGAGGCCTGGGCTTGCTTTCTCTAATATTGTTGCTGGGTGCTAAGGTTACAACAGCAAACAAGACTGACTCATTCCTTTTCTCCATGGGACTTACTGTCTTATCATCCCCTGGACTCAATATGAGGGTGCAGGGACTCCCTCCCACACCACCCCAACTTACCCAGGGGCACAGCTTAGGGTGTGTGGATCTGCACAAAGGTCCCCTCCTTAACCACGTGAGACACCCCAGGGGACACACAGGTCCACAGATCCTGCCACAGGCCTGGGAACCCACTGGCAGGAGAGTAAGATAGCGCAGGGGTCCACAAACATTTCTTAAAGGGCCAGAGAGTAAATACTTCAGGCTTTGCAGGCCACGGGTTCTCTGTTGCAAAACGCGATTCTGCTATTGTAGCTCAAAGGCGGCTGTAGACAACTCAGAAGGCAATGAGTGTGTTGTGTCCCAATGAAACTTGACTTACAAAAGCAGGAGACTGGCCTGTAGCCTTAGTGTGCCAACCCCTGGATGAGTGGGTTCCCAGGTCTGCAGTGAGAACGGGAGAGGCCAGGACAGTGGTGAGCAGGAGAGAAGGCAGCTGAGGATGGGAGGCCTACCGGGCCCTGAACGGAGAGTGCGTGCCGCCCAGCTTCATGAAGAGCCGGTGCTGCAGGTCCAGAGGTGTCTCTTTAAAGAAAGATGCCGGCTTGTCATAGATGGTCACAGCCCTGCAATGAAATCATGGCAGGACTATTGGGAGGGCTGAAGAAAGGCCTCAGGAATAGAGGACTCAGAGGCTCCAGGAAAAGAAGGACGCTTGGGGAATCCAAGTCTCAGACGATGACAAGAAGAAGCCTTGCAATCACTTGGGAATGCACAGAGAGACATCCTAGGACCAAAACTGCCTGGACCCCCTGGCTGGCTGGGAAAGAAACTCTGCCCCCTCCTCTCCAGGCTTCCCCAAATTTTCCCATAATGTTGCCAAGCATTAGTCCAGTGTGGAGGCTACTTTCTGCTCAAACCACTCATTTGGGTCCTGCACCCAATGTCACCCATCCTCAGTAAAACAACCTTTATTTCCTTCTTCCTGGTTTCCAGAAAGTTCCCCTAAAGCCCTGAGGAATCACCGAATAAAAGGGGCTTTTTACAAACAGGAAACTTAAGTGGAGTGCCTATATGCATCATCGATTGCACCAGGCTAGGTCTAAGATAAAACCAGACTGTGGACAAAAGGACAGATAAGACCCACATGGCTCTGCACTGCCTGGGTCTGTTATTGTGTGGAGGAATGTCTTAGTCTGTTGCTCCTGTGGATGTTGCTAAAGCACGAACCAGGAGTTTTCATCCTTTTTTTTTTTTTTTTTTTTTGAGACGGAGTCCCACTCTGTCGCCCAGGCTGGAGTGCAGTGGAGCGATCTCGGCTCACTGCAAGCCCCGCCTCTCGGGTTCATACCATTCTCCTTCCTCAGCCTCTGGAGTAGCTGGGACTACAGGCGCCCACCACCATGCCAGCTAATTTTTTGTATTTTTAGTAGAGACGAGGTTTCACCGTGTTAACAAGGATGGTCTCGATCTCCTGACCTCGTGATCCGCCCGTCTTGGCCTCCCAAAGTGCTGGGATTATAAGAGTAAGCCACCGCGCCCGGCAGTCTTCATCCTTAGAAAGCAGTTAGACAGACACCTGAGAACCAATCCCAAACTGCAGCCTTCCACAGAACCTTCTAGAACCTTCTGGAATGCAACTCATTACTGCCAGAGGGTCTTGGATGAGAGTCTACTCTCCACCATTTGTCTTCAAAGAGAATACCCACATATTCTCTTTCCATGGAAAGGTAAGTTATTAGAGTTTATGCAGTCTGGTATATTAATTGACAGCTTTAAAGAATGTCACGTTTACGATTCAGTCTCACAGACTGAGTTAAAAAGGCAGTGTTGACTATTAAGTTGTAAATTACTATAATGATCATTGTTATTATTCAAGCAAGCTGTGAGAAATGGGCATTATCTCACAATATCTGCATTTTAGTGAAGCTGAGGGAAGAGTGTATTTGCTGGAATGACAGAAGCCTGAGAACCACAGGGGAATTCTCACTGCAGGGTATTCAGGGTCAAAGGCTGATTCTATTTTGCATGCTCAATCCTTCCTCAGTTTATTTTTATTTCTTTCTTTATTTTTTGAGACAGGTTCTCACTCTGTCGCCCAGGCTTCGTGCAATCTCAGCTCACTGCAACCTCGCCTCCTAGGTTCAAGTGATTCTCCTGCCTCAGCCTCCAGAGTAGCTGGAATTTCAGGCACCCACCACAAAGCCCAGCTAATTTTTATATTTTTAGTAGAGATGGGATTTCACCATGTTGGCGAGGCTGGTCTCGAACTCCTGACCTCTAGTCACCCTCCTGCCTCGGCTTCCCAAAGTGCTGGGATTATAGGCATGAGCCACTGTGCCTGGCCCTCAATTTTATTTTTCTATTTATTTATTTATTTAGAGTTGGATTTTTGCTCTTGTCCCCCAGGCTGGAGTGCAGTGGCATGATCTTGGCTCACTGCTACTTCTGCCTCCAGGATTCAAGCGATTCTCCTACCTCAGCCTCCCACGTAGCTGGGATTATAGTAACGCACCCGTACGCCCGGCTAATTTTTGTATTTTTATGTAGAGACAGGGTTTCACCATGTTGGCCAGGCTGGTCTCGAACTCCTGACCTTAGGTGATCCACCTGCCTCGGCCTCCCAAAATGATGAGATTACAGGTGTGAGTCACTGCACCTGGCCCCTCAATTTAATTTTAATAAAAGTATCAAGGAAATAAGCCACAAAAGGACAATGCGCAGACTTTAGAACAGAGCTGTCCAATAGAAATATAATGTAATCCACACGTGTAATATTAAATAATTTACTCACCACATTAGAAAAAGTAAAAGGGGTGAAATGAATTCTCCTAGTAAACTTTATTTAACCAATATATTCAAAATATTTTTATTTCAACATTAATGAATACTTAAAAATTCTTAATGAGATATTCTATGTTCTTTTTTTTTTTTTTTTTGCTCATGACACCTTGGAAATCTAGTGTATGTTTTATACTAACAGCATATCTCAATTGAGATGGCCACATCTCAAATGACCAGTAGCCACGTGTGGCCTGAGGCCATGACTCTGGGCAGTACAGCTTTAGGTGAGTCTAGGGCAGGGCAGAGGGGGGCACCTGGGATCCGGTGTGGAGCCTGGGGCCTTGTTTAGCACCCTTTGGTGAGGGCACATTCTTTCCATGAAACCCAGGTCAAGCGTGCCTCACAAAGGGGCCAGTGGAGGTGCCTCAGTTTACTTGGGAGCTTGGCTCCTCCAGCTTGCCTTCCTACTGCCTGGAAGAAGATTGGTGTCCTCTTGCTTTCTCTAGTCCCTTTCCCAAGAACACTCCCAGATTTCAGTCCTATGAAGGGTCAGGGGTGCAAGGAGTCACCCACACAATGACAGGACCCACCAGCAATACCAGAAGTTGGCCAGCCCTACTCATCCAAATTCCTTTCTGCCAGCTGGACATCACAAGGATTTCAGACTGCCATCCTGTGGCAACTCCATTTTGGGGTCCGGGGCTTTAAGGATTACTGTATTAGTCCATTCTCACTCTGCTAATAAAGACATACCTGAGACTGGGTAATTTATTAAGAAAAAGAGGTTTAATGGACTCACAGATCCACATGACTGGGGAGGCCTCATGATTATGGCAGAAGGTGGAGGAGGAGCAAAGTCACATCTTACATGGCAGCAGGCAAGAGAGTTGTGCAGGGGAGCTCCCCTTTATAAAACCATTAGATCAGGCTGGGCACAGTGACTCATATCTCTAATCACAGCACTTTGGGAAGCCAAGGTGGGTGGATCACCCAAGATCAGGAGTTTGAGACCAGCCTGGCCAACATGTTGAAACCGCATCTCTGATAAAAATACAAAAATTAGCCAGGCGTGATGGCTCATGCCTGTTGTCCCAGATTCTTGGGAGGCTGAGGCACAAAAATTGCTTAAATCCAGGAGGCAGAGGTTGCAGTGAGCTGAGATGACGCCACTGCACTCCAGCCTGGGCAACAGTGTGAGACTCGGTCTCAAAAAAAGAAAAAAAGAATTAGATCTTGTGAGACTTATTCAATGTCATGACGACAGCAGGGGAAAGACCCACCCCATGATTTAGTTACCTCCCACTAGGTCCCTCACACAACATGTGGTGATTATGGGAACTATAATTAGAGATTTGTGTGGGGACACAGCCACACCATATCAGTTACTGAGCTGGGCATCTTCTTCCCTGAATGCACATTGGCCTCTGAGGCACTTCCTGGTTAACCTCATTACACAGCTGAGAAAACCCAGGCTTGGCACAGGCAAGGGATCTGACGCAAAGTCTCCCATCTTATTAGTGGAAGGACCAAGACTGGACCCACAACTGTGCTCCTGTTTTGAGTCACCATGCTGCCCCCAAGATCAGATCTCAAAACAAGCAGACATGGGGGGCTCAGAAAGTCCCCAGCCTAGAACTTTCCTGTCACCCAATGACACTAAAGGCTAAGCTGGCTGCTTATTATTCTGGATTCACACTAGAATGACCTTGGGGTGTGTTTCACACATGCCGATGTCTGGAGTTTCACCCTCAGCTAACTGACTATGAATCTCTGGGTTGGAGCCTGGGCACTGATATTCATGCAGAGCTTCTGAGATGATCCTATTGCATTGCCAAGGTTGACATCTGCAGAAACATTGCACACTTTTTCATTCATTTAGTTATTAAATATATAATATTTATTATTATTTTTCCAGACACAGAAGCGTTGCAAGAATAGTACAAAGACATCCTTTATACCCTTCGCTGAGATTCCCCAGTGCTACCATTTTACCCCATTTGCTTTATTATTTTCTAAGTGGCAGATGAGTTATCCTTTACCCCTAAATATTCCTGTGTATTCCTTAATAACAAGGATTTTCTCTTATATAACCAAGGCAATGATCAAAATCAGGAAACTAACCCTGCTACAACACGGTTTTCTAATATATGGACCTCATTCAGATTTTGCCAGTTAACCCAGTGATGTACATTGGAGCAAATGATCATCCCAGATCATGCATTATTTTCAGTTGTTGTGTCTCTGTAGGTCCCTTTTAGCCTGGAACACCTCCTCAGTTTTTCTTTATCTTTCATGGTATTGGCATTCTTGAAGAACGCAAGACGGTTATTTGATAGAATGTCCCTTACTTTGGATTTGGCTGATGTTTCTTGGCGGTGATATTCTTATGCATTTGGGGTGGGACTATCACAGCAATGGTGTCATGTTCTCTGTTCGTTGCATCAGGAGGGACATGCTGATGGTTTACCCCATTACACCAAAGTGAATGTTGATCGTTCAGTGAAGGTGGGCGCAGGTTCATTGCATTATATTGTAGAAGGCATCATCAGCCATACTCGCTCTGATTAACTGATCATCTTACTCAGCCATTTATCTAACAAGGATGTAAGGGTCTTGAACTCAGGGTAAGCAAGCCTTAATGCAGTCGAGAAGGAAGAAGGGAAGGCTCTGGAACCTGGGGCTTTGGCAAAGAGGGCAGATGTGGGGAACGCACCACCAAAGTTGCTCCTGGCATTAGGATGAAGAGGAAGGAAAACATTCTATCTAGAAGGGGTTTGGGGTTAGTGAGAGGGGCGTGGGAGAGTCAGAGTCTGCCCACTTGTGGTTTTGCTGAGGGCTACACTGTGGTAGACAGGTCTTTCATTGCTGCTGTTGAAAATTTTGTTTCGCAATCCTTCATCTAAAACAGAGCAATTCCCTTTATCTAAGTTTTGGCCCACTTTGCTTCATCTGTCTTCTCTTCTCTTATTTTTAGAGACAGGTTCTTGCTCTGTTGCCCAGGCTGGAGTGCAGTGACGTGATCATAGGTCACTGTAGCCTTGACCTCCTGGGCTCAAGCAATCCTCCTGCCTTAGCCTCCTGGGTAGCTGGGACTACAGGTGTGCACCACTGCACCTGGCTAATTTATTTTATTGTAGTTTTTGTAGAGACGAGGTCTCACTCTGTTGCCCAGGCTGATCTTGAACTCTTGGCTTCAAGGGATCCTCCCGCTTCAGCCTCCCAAAGTGTTGAGCTGACAGGCATGAGCCACCACGCCCACCTCTGTCTTTTCTCTTGGGATTAATGACTTCCACATTAGCTCCAGGAATAATTTCTGTTAAGGTGATGCCTGGCTTGACACTTCTGGTAACTCCGGTTGTTTATCTATTGCTTATCTCCAGAACCCATGTGATGCTTCCTACTTCAAGGCGCACTAGTGCCTGTCAGCTTGAAGGCATCCCGTGAGCTGCTGGCAAACAAGGCCTTTTTACCCACAGATTAACCTCTTATTTGTTTTAATAAATGATCAAAAGTTGGTTTGCCTCCTGTGTGTATGTTGGTTGGGGCCAAGAGGGGATCATGGTGATTTCTGTCCACCTGGGACCTCAGGCTTCCTGGTAGCCCCTGAACAAAAGTGAGGCAGGCAGAGCAATGAGCAGTGTTCCCCGTCTGCCTCTCTGTCATCAGTATTTCTGCCTGTGGTTGTCTTTGGTGTGTTATCAGGATGCGTCACTCCCTCATCTTTGTTCCCTCTTCTTCTTATATTTACCTTCACTTGGGCTGCTAAGTGCTGCAGGAGAAACATCGGGTTGTTGTGGAGATTGTGGCCACAACAAATTTATGTTCCCCACCCTCAGGTTGTCCCTCACTGGTCTCTGCCTCATACCTTGGAAGAAAACAACTCATGGAGGTTGTCTTATTCATAAAGGTGAACATTTAACAGAGCAGGGCACTGTTGTGGATTGAATTGCATCCCCTCTCCCACAAAAGACTTCTTGGAGTCCTGACCCCCAGTACCTGAAAATGTGGCATATTTGGAGATAGTCATTACAAAGGTAGTCAAGTTAAAATGAGGTTGATAGAGTGGGCTTTATCCAGTATAATGGGTGTCCTTATGGAAAGGGGAAATTGGCCAGGTGCGGTGGCTCATGCTTGTAATCCTAGCACTTTGGGAGACTGAGGCAAGAGGATCACTTGAAGCCAAGGTTCAAGACCAACCTGGCCAATATAGGGAGGCTCCCATCTCTATTAAAAAGATAATAAATAAAATAGGCCGGGCACAGTGGCTCATGCCTGTAATCCTAGCATTTTGGGAGGCTGAGGTGGGAGGATCACTTGAGGCCAAGGTCCAAGACCAACCTGGCCAAAATAGCAAGACCCCCATCTTTAAAAAATAATAAATAGGCCAGGCGCGGTGGCTCACACCTGTAATCTTAGCAGTTTGCAAGGCCGAGGCTGGTGGATCACTTGAGATCAAGAATTCAAGACCAGCCTGGCCAACATGGTGAAACCTGTCTCTACTAAAAATACAAAAAAATTAGCAGGGCATAGTGGCAGGCACCTGTAATCCCAGCTACTCAGGAGGCTGAGGGAGGATAATTGCTTGAACCTGGGAGGCGGAAGTGTCAGTGAGCCAAGATTGCACCACTGCACTCCAGCCCGGGTGACAGAGCAGGATTCTGTCTTAAAATTAAATAAATAAATAAATAAATAAATAAATAAATAAATAAATAAATAAAATTTTATATATCTCTATATACACACACTACATATATATGTATGTGTGTGTGTAGATATAGATATAGATATGGAAAGGGGAAATTTTGGACACAGATGCACACAGGGAGAAGGCCACGTGAAGATTGGACTTCTGCTGCCACAAGCTAAGGAGCTGGCAGAAGCTGGGAGGGAGATCCTTCCCTAGCATCTTCAGAGTAAGCACGGCCCTGAGAACGCCTTCATCTCAGCCTTCTGGCCTGCAGGTGTGAGACGATGCATTTCTGTAGTTCTAAGCCACCCAGCTTGTGGTACCTTGTTATAGCAACCCGAGTCATTTAATACAGCAGCATTCTGAGCCCTTCCCATATAAACTCTTCATTTAATCTTCACCACAACTGCCCCACCCATAAGTGCTGCTGTTATTGTCTTCATTTCATCTTCGCTTTATCCATGATGTCTGCAGCACAGACAGGTTAAATAGTTTACTCATGGTCACTTGAGATAATAAAACCCCACTCTAGGGAACCTCTCATGCCTGCTTCTGGCTGTCACCTTCCCTCTCCCCTTTCCTCCTGTCCCCTTCCTCTCCATCTCCTTTATGAGGCCTTCTTTGTTGTCCCATCTCTTTTTTGTATTTTTACTTCGTATTAATTTTTTTGGTGGGGGGAAATGGGGTCTCGCTATGTTGTGCAGGCTGATCTTGAACTCCTGGCCTCTAGCTATCCTCCTGTCTCAGCCTCCTGAGTAGCTGGGATTACAGATGTGAGCCACTGTACCAAGCTGTTGTCCCATCTCCTAAATGTCTGCCTTGCCCTGCATCCCTGCCCACAGTTTCTGCCTCAGTAGCCCCTCCTGAGCCTCAGTCACCACCTGTGCTGATGAATTGCTGCTCGCCCCCCTCCCAGGCAGGATGCCCCATGGCCACTGCAGGCTCAGCCCATCCACAACAGATTCACAATGCCTGTCCTTCAATGCTGGATTTCCTAGATTTCCCAGCCAATAGTACCATCAGCTTAAAACCCTGCAGCCATGCCTAAATTCTCTATCTTCCTGTAACCCACAACCCCACGACCAACCCCTGCTGATTTTATGGCTAAATCCCTGTCTTGACAGTCAGGACCAGCTGCAGAATTTGCAAGGCCCAGTGCAAGATGCAAACATGGGCCCCCTTATTCAAAAATCAGACGAAAACCACTACTGAAGTATTAACATATATTTTCTTTCTTCTGTGGTCTCTGTGTCTCAATTTATCATGATGCTTTCATTTGTTATTTAATGTCCTTCTAAGTAAAAAAAAAATTAACATTTTAAATTACTAGCATGGATTATAATGTTCCTCTTTACATTGTGCAATGCCAGATTTCAACAGGAGGATTGGACTCAAATGTGGAATCACAGAAATTACATAATTTGTACTTTGCATGTGTGGTTTTTTTTGCCTCACACAAACAGTGAGACGTTGCAGGAAACTAATTCGATGTTTTTGTTTGTTTGTCTGTTTGTTTTTGTTTTTTTCCCTGAGACAGAGTCTTGCTCTCTTGCCCAGGCTGGAGTGCAGTGGTGAGACCTCGGCTCACTGCAACTTCTGCCTCCCGGGTTCAGGCCATTCTCCTGCCTTCAGCCTCCTGAGTAGCTGGGATTACAGGAGCCCGCCACCATACCCGCCTAAGTTTTGTATTTTTAATAGAGATGGGGTTTCGCCACGTTGGCCAGGCTGGTCTCGAACTCCTGACCTTGTGATCCACCCGCCTCAGCCTCCCAAAATGCTGGGATTACAGACATAAGCCACCACACCCGCCATTCAGCTGTTTTTATTTCACTTTTTCACACCTATACAATCTACCACCACTCTACCTTTGGCTTACTGATGTGTAAGGAAGAATTGAAAGGAAAAATAACTATGACTCCGCTATCTTTGCCTCTCCTATGTCATCATTTCCAGTGGAAGTGGTTGGCTACTACAGGGAATCAGATGGGTAGAAAAGGCTGGGAGAGGGTTCCTTGTTTGTTTCTGTTTCTTAGAATGCCATTGACTTGGTTTTCAATTCTGATTCTATAATAAGAGAAAGTGCGACCTCTTGGTGCTGTCAGCATCTCTCGCGGACTCCGTTGTGGACATAGTAGGCTTCCCTTATGCTCACTTGGAGCCTTGCTGGGCTCCCATGCACTGCGGACCCCCTAAGATTCTATGCTCAGGGCAGGGCAGACACTCCATGGGGAGTGCGGTGGCAAGGGACGGGGTAACTCTTATTGTTGGTGTCTCATCTGCCCATGCACATGTTCTATTGCCCCGTTGGATTTCACTGATAAAACATAGATTCAGACTGGGTGCAGTGGCTCACACGTGTAATCCCAGCACTTTGGGAGGCTGAGGTGGGCAGATCACTTGAGGTCAGGAGTTCAAGACCAGCCTGGCCAATATGGTGAAACCCACTCTCTACTAAAAATACAAAAATTAGCCAGGCGTGGTGGCAGGTGGCTGTAGTCCCAGCTACTTGGGAGGCTGAGGCAGGAGAATCACTTGAGCCTGGGAGGTGGAGGTCGCAGTGAGCTGAGATGGCGCCAGTGCACTCCAGCCTGGATGTCAGAGCGAGACTCTTTCTCAAAACAAAACAAAACATAGATTCAAACATAAAATGAGGAGGAATTTTAAGACAGTAAGAGCAGAGCATTAAGCCACGCTGGGGGTCCCTCTCAGCATGGGGCACTGTGTGACTGCACAGGCCAAACACCCATGAATTCATCTCAATTTCCATCCCTCTCACACTCTTCCCCACTGCTGTGGTCTCAGCACCTTCCTCATTTCTACTCTGGAGGACTGTCTGTACTCTGATTTCTTCAAGGGTCTCTCCAGTCCATCAGACGCAGGCCAACCCAGGGTTTCTCTGCATTGCAATCCAACCAGCACCACCCCCCTGCTTACCAGCCTGCAGTAGCTCCCATGTCGCTTCAGGTTAAAATTCAGACTTCTTAGCAAGGCACTGCTTATTTCTCCAGCCTCTGTGACAGGCTCACACCCTACAATTGAGCCCTGCTGATCCTGGAGAAGCTCCCTCTGAGCCTTTGCACACCTGTCCCTGCTACTTGAGGGTGATTTCCACCTGGTTACCTCCTGGCATCACCTCCCACCTGGAAGCCTTCCTCATCTCTGGGGTGGGTCAGATGTAGCCAATTTTGCCCTCTTCCTACACACCCTGCGTTTCCTCTCTCCCAGCGTTCATCCCGTGATATACAATAAGCAATTGACTAACTTGTCCTTAAGACCAGGGCCATACCATGTCTTCTTGGTGACAAACGAGGGAGCAGCGAGCACTTTTGCCCTCTAATGGCATCTCTGGATCACCAGCTGGAGGCCTTGGGACTCTAAGAGCCAAGCTATTCAAGTGCTACAAATAACACTGCATGGCCCCCGGTCTTTCCTGTTTCCTCTCTGCATCTATCAAGAAGGAGCAGCTATTTTTTGAAGCCCGGCTTTCCTTCTCACGGGTTTGCACACCCCCACCCTGCTTGGCCTCCAAACTCAGAGCCTTAACTTTCCTATAAATTCAGTTTCTCTCCAACTCAACTTGATTCATTCATGCAGGCTCCTAGTTCTCTCTCTCTCTGCCATTCCAATTCTCCTCTTTCCATTACATTTAAGAGAACCCTGGCTGGGCATGGTGGCTCACACCTGTAATCCCAACACTTTGGGAGGCCAAGGCAGGTGGATCACCTGAGGTCAGGAGATTGAGATCAGCCTGGCCAATATGGCGAAACCCCATCTCTACTGAAAAACAAAAATTGGCTGGGTGTGGTGGTACATGCCTGTAGTCCCAGCTAATCGGGATGCTGAGGCAGGAGAATCGCTTAAACCTGAGAGGCAGAGGTTGCAATCACACCACTGCACTCCAGCTTGGGTGACAGAGTGAGACTCTGTCTCAAAAAAAAACCCTAAAACGACCAAGAAAAGGACATTCATTTATGGTATAAGAGCGGAAACCAAAAGGCAGAGGTTCCTCGATGGAGCTCTGCTGGGACCGTGCTTATCAGCCATTCAACCTCTTCAGCACTTGGCGCACATCCAGGAAAGCTCTGCTGGGATTGATTTAGGGGCTATAAATAAACATTATCAAGTAGGTGAATTTGCAGCTACAGAATCTGCAGGTAATGAGGATTGATTGTAGATGCACCAATGAACTGGAGGTCAGATTTTCAACTTAACCGTCCAGGAGATGGCCAGCGACCAAGAGCTAGAAAAAAGGATTCCTGGAAGGTGGTGAAGAAAATAGAAGTCTTAGAGGCTCAGAGACAGACGAAGGTAATCCCTCAGCTGTCACCTGAGCTGTGGCTATAAAATGAGGCAACAGATTTAAGAATAGTAAGCATAAGATTGAGGCCAGGCTCAGTAGCTTGTGCCTGTAATCCCAGCACTTTGGGAGGCCAAGGCAGGTGGATCACTTGAAGTTGGGAGTTAGAGACCAGCCTAGCCAACATGGTGAAACTCTATCTGTACTAAAAATACAAAAAAAAATAGCCAGGCATGGTGGCACACGCCTGTAATCCCAGCTTCTTGGGAGGCTAAGGCAGGAGAATCGCTTGAACTGGGGAGGTGGAGGTTGCAGTGAGCTGAGATCTCGCCACAGCACTCCATCCTGGGCAACAGAGCAAGACTACATCTCAAAAAAAAGAAAAAGAAAAAGAAAAAAAAGATTGAGGCAGTCAGAAGCAAACACCCTCAGCAAAGGAAGGATGAGGGGGAGTGAATAAAGGGTCCACAGGAGAATTAAGAAAGTGTAGGCCCTTGGGGCCATTCGGTGAAGCAAAGCCCGGTCACTGGCGAGTGTGCCTGGAAATCAATTAAGGATGAATATGAAGCTTGAGACCAGGCCAGCATAATCACCATGTAGGCGCCCGTATTTCTTTACATTTGCTGACTGTGTTTCTGTGAAATACAAAGGAAGAAATGCTGTGACTTCCCCTCATTCTACGGTGAAACCAAAGAAGGAGAAACTGAGAGACCTGTGCGAAGTCCTCCACCAAGCCAATGGGGAGGCTGGAATAGACACAGCCGGTCACCCGACCTGTTCTCTAGGCACGGCTTTTTGGATTTGCCACTTACATCTGCTTCAAGTTTTAGAAACTTCCAGGCTCTGGCTTTTTTGCTGCTTTGGGGAACAAAGCATGTTCGGTCAAGTGTACGGCAAACCTGTCTTGCTCCTAAATCCAATCATCTTCAAAATAGATGTTTGAGGTTTATAGTGCTACTCTCCAAATGTCATTATCATCCCTAAAGTGAAAAAAAAAAAGGTTTAATTATTATGAGCAGTGAAATTACCATATAATCTTCCAATTAACTGAATAAGGCACCAAATAAGTGCCCTCAAGCCTTAATTTCTACCTTGAAGTTAAGGTAGGTATCATGATTACCTGGATCATCCTACACATCCTCAAAGTGGGCAGAGTTGAAAGGCTGTCTAAGCGGGTGGGGTGGAAGGCGGTGCCCTTCTCCTTCTTGTCTGTTTGTCAAGCTCTGTTGGTCCTTCTGATTGGTTAGCGACCCTGAGTGTTTCTGAGAGCCTTTTGTTGAATGTGGGGGCAGAACCACTAATCTGGCCAATTCCAAGCAGAAAAGATCAAGTACAGATTTCATATCTGAGTATTAAGTGCTAGTAAAAAGTTGCATGAAGTTATCAAATGCACTGTGATCCTGGCTTCATCGCCAAGTGGCTCTGCAGTTTGAGGATTATGATGCATCCCGAAGAAAAGAAAATTGTTCCGTTTAGATGTTTGGGGTAAAGGGGGATTGATCCAGTTACTTTTCAAATAATCTAAGTCAGATGGTGTTCGCTGCATAACTTTCTAAGGTTGGTACTTGGTCAAAGAACAAGGTGATCATTTTTATAGGATTGAAGGCCTTTGGTTGAAAAGGCATGAAGAAGTTTCTACCAGTCCTGTTTGAAATAAAATAGTAGTGTAATCTAAAGATTGTAATACAAGACCAACACAGCACATTTAGAGTAACTTTTGAAAATTGCTTGACTGATGTGCTTCTCTCTCTCTCTCTTTCCGTAGACGTGTGTGTAGCATATTACACAGAGAAATCTATAAGCCCTGGGTTATGTTGGTTGCTGATGAGGATTAATCAGAAGCTACTACTCACTTATTCACCTTTGATCTGCTCTTGTTCTGGTAGTCTTCTTCACTGTCTCATTCATTCAAGAACTGTTCATTGGGCTGGGTGCGGTGGTTCACACCTGTAATCCCAGCACTTTGGGAGGCTGAGATGGGTGGATCATGATGTCAGGAGTTTGAGACCAACCTGGCCAACATGGTGAAACCCCATCTCTACTAAAAATACAAAAATTAGCTGGGCCTGGTGGCATGCGCCTGTAATCCCAGCTACTCGGGAGGCTGAGACAGGAGAATTGCTTGAACCTGGGAGGCAGAGGTTGCAGTGAGCTGAGATTGCACCACTGCACTCCAGCCTGGGTGACATAGCAAGACTCCATCTCAGGAAAAAAAAAAAAATTCATGGTCATGTCAGCATCCTCCCCATCCCCCCTTCCCCAGATCAACCCAAAAAATGGAGAAAAATCTGGAAGTCCACTCCTTTAGACCACTCATGCTAAGTATTTAGCATTGCACACTTTGTGAGTGTGCAAGCCAGTTATATTAGTTCATTCTTGCATTGCTATAAAGAAATACCTGAGACTGGGTAATTTATACTTGATCTTAGCCAAAAGGCTGAGAAGCAATGGGATTGGGTAATTTACAAGGAAAGAGGTTGAATTGGCTCACTGTTCTGCAGACCGTACGGGAAGCATAGCAGCTTCTGCTTCTGGTGAGGCCTCAGGAAGCTTCCAATCATGGCAGAAGATGAAGGAGGAGCAGTTCTCTTACATGGCAGGAGCAGGAGCCAGAGAAAATGACTGGTGGAGGTGCTGTGCACTTTTTTTGTTTTTTTTTTTGAGATAGAGTCTTGCTCTGTCATCCAAGCTGGAGTGCAGTGGTGTGATCTTGGCTCACTGCAACCTCTGCCTCCTGAGCTCAAGTGATTCTCCTGCCTCAGCCTCCCAAGTAGCTGGGATTACAGGGGCCAACAAACACGCTGGCTACTTTTTGTATTTTTACTAGAGACAGGGTTTTGCCATGTTGGCCAGGCTGGTCTTGAACTCCTGACCTCAGGTGATCCACCCACCTCAGCCTTTCAAAATGCTGGGATTACAGGCATGAGCCACCACGCCCGGCCCCACACACTTTTAAATGACCAGATCTCACGAGAACTCACTCACTATTGTGAGTACAATATCAAAGAGAATAGTGCTAAACCATCCATGGGAAACCTGCCCCCATGATCCAGTTGCCTCCCACCAGGCCCCAGCTCCAACACTGGGGATTACAATTCAACACACAATTTGGTGGAGATAGAGATCCAAACTCTATCACCAGCCCTTCTGCTTTCACCTCCCCCGTTTTAAACAACCAGGGTTTGAATTGCCTGTTCTACTTCTGTGCCAAATTATGACTCTGAAGAGGATGCCTCTCTGCCCATTGTTGGACATTATGGGCTGTACAGAGTGCTCCTTTTTCTGAAGCAATGACGTTGGCCATCAAGATTCATGCACTATCTCCTGTTCTGTTTTTTTTTTCTTTTTTTTTTTTTTGTGTGAGACAGAGTCTCCCTCTGTCTCCCAGGCTGTAGTGCAATGGCATGATCTCGGCTCACTGCAACCTCCGCCTCCTGGGTTCAGGTGATTCTTCCACCTCAGCCTCCCGAGTAGCTGGGATTGGCTAATTTTTTTTTTGTATTTTTGTAGTGACGGGGTGTCACCATGTTTGCCAGGCTGGTCTTGAACTCCTGACCTCAGGTCATCTGTCTGCCTCAGCCTCCCAAAGTGCTGGGATTACAGGCATGCGCCACCATGCTTGGCCTTTTTTCTTTTTTTTAATTGCACTCTGCTGTTTGCATCTTCTAAAAACAAACAAAACCCAGTCCAGAGACAGTGTCTATTCCTGTCAAGACCTAGATGCAGCCCCCCAGGGCTGCCAGCATCCATCTCACTTGCCAGTTATGTTAAGAGCTTTCCCACCAGTGAATGTGCCTCGCAGCAGTGGGCAGTCTCTGTTTCTCTTGCTGGCAGACAGAATAGTTCTTTTTTTTTTTTGAGACGTTGTCCCACTCTTGTTGCCCAGGCTGGAGTCCAATGGCATCATCTCGGCTCACCGCAACCTCCGCCTCCTGGGTACAAGCAAGTCTCCTGCCTCAGCTGGGATTATAGGCAAACACCACCACGCCCCGGTAATTTTGTATATTTAGTAGAGATGGGGTTTCTCCATGTTGGTCAGGCTGGTCTCAAACTCCCAACCTCAGGTGATCCACCCGCCTCAGCCTCCCAAAGTGCTGGAACTACAGGCTTGAGCCACCGCACCCAGTGACAGAACAGTTCTTATTGGCATTTTGAGCCCAAGGGGCATGGCTAGATTCAGCCCATCTCTACACTGCTGCAGAACGGCCTTGTTCACTCATTTCATGGGCCCAGGTGACCACCTCACAGGAGCACACACAAAAAATCCACTTGGTGACTCCAGCCACCTCCTGAGCCTGGAAGGGAGTTTTTCTGATGGGCGTGAACCTGTTCTACTTCAAGGCATCTTTCACCTCTCCACAGGGCTGTGCCCCATATGGACATCCGTTAATAAGCCAGGTGGCGATTGCCCTCTTGCCTGAGTGTACAGCCAAGACACTGGTCACTGCCCAGGAGTCAGTAAAAACCCAAACAGGGGGCTTCTACCACTGTTCAACTGATCAAATATATATTTCACAATATCACACTCCTGTGGAACACTTTGGGACACATACCATGATTCTTTGAAAATCAGTTACTGGCATCATTCTAGTATAAATCAGTGGCTAGGAAAACAGCATGCAATTCAGCTCACTGAGCTGACTGATTTTTACCGTCCTTAGCCAGAGTAGCAGCCCTCCAAACAGGATGTTGTTTGTTCACCTCGAAATTGTCATTCATAGACACCAAACAGCTGGGGGTGAGTGAGTTGAGAGCTGGTTATATAGGGCACTCTCGAACTGTTGATAGAATCCAGCAGCTCCTCACCGTTCCAGAGTCAATCGTAGGAGAAAAGACACTCCCTGCTTGGGAATATCCCCTCTCTGCATTCCCCAGGTAGCATGATCCAGTATAAACCATTTCCATTTTATTATGTTTCTTTCTTTCTTTCTTTCTTTTTCTGAGATGGAGTCTTGCTCTTGTTGCCCAGGCTGGAGTGCAATGATGTGATCTCGGCTCACTGCAACCTCCGCCTCCCAGGTTCAAGCTATTCTCCTGCATCAGCCTACTGAGTAGCTGGGATTACAGGCATCCGCCACCATGCCCGGCTAATTTTTTGTATTTTTAGTAGAGACAGAGTTTCACCATGTTGGCCAGGCTGGTCTTAAACTCCTGATCTCAGGTGATACACCCACCTCGGTCTCCCAAAGTGCTGGGATTACAGGTGTGAGCCACTGCACTCAGCCACCTTCCTCCTTTTAAGGACTCTTGTGATTATATAAACCCCTTCCAGATAATCCAGGATAATCTCCCCCACTCAAAATCCTGAACTTAATCACATCTGCCAAGTCCCTTTTACCATCAATCTCTGGTAACATAATCAGTGGTCCTGGGGATTAAGGTCTGTGGACATCTTTGGGGGCCGTTATTCTGCCTACCACATGGACCATCTTTGACTTTCTTAACTTCCACCCACTTTTCATTTTTTTTTTTTTTTTTTTTGAGATGGAGTTTTGCTCTTGCTGCCCAGGCAGGCGTGTAATGGCGCAATCTCAGCTCACTGCAACCTCTGCCTCCCAGATTCAAGTGATTCACCTGCCTCAGCCTCCCACGTAACTGGGATTACAAGCACCTGCCACCATGCCTGGCTAATTTTGTATTTTTAGCAGAGATGGGGTTTTTCCATGTTAGTCAGCCTGGTCTTGAACTCTCAATCTCAGGTGATCCACCTGCCTCAGCCTCTCGAAGTGCTGGGATTACAAGCATGAGCCACCGCACCAGGCCCCTCCACTCATTTTTCAACCTTTTCCAAACAAGCTTCTGTCCCCACCACCCATTCCATATGGTTTCAAAATGGATCTTGATGGCCTCCGTGTTGCTGAAACTATGGGGTTGTCCTAGCTGTCCTTCTTCCTGAGCTTTTGGCACTGTAGACCAAACAGCTTGAGCCATCGGCAGGTAGCCAGGAGGACCAGAGCATTTGGGTGATGGCTGGTCCTCATGAGCCTGTCCTGCTGTCACCTAGCAGCCCATCCTGGTGGGACTGAGGCTGGCTATGGAAAGCGTTCCGCACCCCCTTGCTCCATGAGTTACCCAGGGCTCCACGTGCCTAGGATTTCTTTATTGTTTAAAAGTGTAGGTCAGATAACTGCAGGTGAAGTTTTCTTAAAAATTTTTGTTCACATATCCAAAGTGGATAACTGGGTGAGCTTTCACAAAGTAAAGCACATGCACGCCATGCAGATCAAGGAACAGGGCATGGCCAGCTTGCCTGAGCGCCTCATTCTCCCCTCCCTAACGCTAGCTCCTCTCCTCCCAAAGGTAATGCTATCCTGGGGATAGGGATTTTTTTTTTCCTTTTAAATAGACTTAATGTGTTAGAGAAGTTCTAGGTTCATAGAAAAATGGAGCAGAGGCCAGGTGCCATGGCTCACACCTGTAATCCCAGCACTCTGAGAGGCTGAGGTGGGCAGATCACGAGGTCAGGAGTTTGAGACCAGACTGACCAACATGATGAAACCCTGTCTCTACTAAAAATACAAAAAATTAGCTGGGCCTGGTGGTGCATGCCTGTAATCCTAGCTACTTGGGAGGCTGAGGCAGGAGAACTGCTTGAACCTGGGAGGTGGAGGTTGCAGTGGGCTGAGATCTTACCTCTGTATTCCAGCCTGGGTGACAAAGAAAGAAGAAAAGAAAGGAGAAAGAAACAGAGAGAGAGATAGAAAGGAGGGAGGGAAGGAAGGAAGGGAAGGAAAAGGAAAGAAAGAGATAAGAAAAGAAAGAAAGAAAAATGGAACAGAAAGTGCAGTTTTCATCAACCTCTACTCCCACCTGCCACACATACACACGTGCAGCTTCCCCCACTAGCAATATC
Organism: Homo sapiens; assembly: GCF_000001405.40. Classification (NCBI taxonomy): domain Eukaryota; kingdom Metazoa; phylum Chordata; class Mammalia; order Primates; family Hominidae; genus Homo; species Homo sapiens. The sequence goes on along the minus strand of NC_000011.10, from coordinate 67,767,277 downwards.
AAACCTGAGTGGGATATTTTTCATAATCAATAAACCTACATTGACACATCACTATCACCTACAGTCCATAGTTTACATGAGGGCTCACTCTTGGTGTTGTACATTGCGTGGGTTTGGACATATGGACAATGACGTGGATCCACCATTGTAGTATCACACAGAGTAGTTTCACTGCCTAAAAATCTTCTGTGTTTCACCAATTCATTCCTCCTTTGTCCTGACCTCTGGAAACCATGGATATTTTCACTGTCTCCATAGTTTTGCTTTATCCAGAATGTCAAATAGTTGGAACTATACAGTGTGCAGCCTTTTCGGATGGGCTTCTTTCACTTAGGAATATGCATTTAAGATTTCTCCATGTCTTTTTGTGGTTTGATAGCTCATTTCATTTTAGTGCTAAATAACATTCCATTGTCTGGATGTGGGCCTAGGCTTGTTTTTTTTGTTTGTTTGTTTGTTTTTGTTTTTGTTTTTCTTTTTTGAGATGGGGTTTTGCTCTGTTTCCCCGGCTGGAGTGCAGTGGCACAATCTCGGCTCACTGCAGCCTCCGCCTCCAGGGTTCAAGCAATTTCCCCACCTCAGCCTCCAGCGTAGCTGGGATTAAAGTGGGGCACCACCACACCCATCTAATTTTTTGCATTTTTAGTAGAGACTGGATTTCACCATGTTGGCCAAGCTGGTCTCAAACTCCTGACCTCAGGTGATCCACCCACCTCAGCCTCCCAAAGTGTTGGGATCACAGATGTGAGCCACCACACCTGGCTGGGCCTAGGTTTTTGAAGAAGGAATTGAACTGAGTGTAGGCCAGATTGTACTGCTGAAGTGTCTTCTTTGTACTTGGAATGTGCTAGGACAGATAGACTTCAAAGTGCAAAGCGCCTGAAGGATCTGGCATTAGTCAATTCTATGCGCTGAGCTTCGGCCCCCAGAAAACCACTCTCAGAGTAAGAATATGGTAAGGCCGGCTGGATAGGTGGGGCATGGATTGGAGGCTCAGGCCACTGCACTACACATACAGGTCTTGATGTAAACGGTCTGGCGGAGGTCAAGTTCTGTTTAGCGGGGATAGACTATGTGACAGAGTGAAGAAAGGTAATGGTCTAAACACAGCAAAAGTTTCATTCCCACTCATGTGACAGTCTGTGGAGCAGGAAGCTCCTCTCCTCATGAACCTGGGACCCAGGTATCTTCCATCTTGTGGCTCTGCTTCTCCAGAGCCTTGTCATTTTTTTCATCTAGCTATGGTGACAAGATCTTTTGGATAAGCCATGAATATTAAACCAAATTCAAACTCTGAAAATTGATCTGACGTGTGGTCAGCTGCTCATTTGGCACAGTCCAGGGAATGCTGGGGTGATGGACAAGAAGGTTTTCATGAGGAGGCTGAAGAGATCTAAGTATAGGGGTGCCAGCCTGGGGCACTGCAGAAGGGGCACTGGCCTAGGGGTAGCATCAGGGTGACCCTGATTTCCCTGTGGCAGGGTGTGGCTCATGACGGGGTGCTGAGAACCCACCCAGAAGGCTGGAACTTTCAGTACTCATTGTTTTATGAGAGACTGCCTGTGTGCCAGGAGGGAAGACACGAACCAGAGGCCCAGGGCCACTGAAGGGTCTCAGCCTGGTCTCTTGGTGCCTGGGGGGTACACTGTACAAGCGATAATGTACTTCCAAGGGGCAGGACTCCGACCCACACTCTTGGTGCCAATGTCCGTTTTGCCACTCATGTTAGATTTTGCTTCTTTAAGTGAACTTACTCAGGATAGCTGGGTTCTGGGCCATTCTTCCAGTGGTTTTCAAGGGTGAAAAAAGGAGTTTCAGCAAGACAGCTAACGTCTGGATGAGTGAACCAGGAAGTGTCTGTAGCCTTCCTCCAGAGAGCACTCTGGGCTGGTGGGCGTGAGGACACCTGTTTAATGCACATCCACGTGAAGAGACCACCAAACAGGCTTTATGTGAGCAGCATGGCTGTTTATTTCACCTGGGTGCAGGCAGGCTGAGTCTGAGAAGAGAGTCAGTGCAGGGAGATAGGGGTGGGGCCATTTTATAGGATTTGGATAGGTAAAGGAAAATTACAGTCAAAGGGGGGTTGTTCTCTGGCGGGCAGAGTGGGGGTCACAAGGTACTCAGTGGGGGAGGTTTTGAGCCAGGATGAGCCAGGAGAAGGAATTTCACAAGATAAATGTCATCAGTTAAGGTGGGAATAGGCCATTTTCACTTCTTTTGTGGTGGAATATCATCAGTTAAGGCAGGAACCGGCCATCTGGATGTATATGTGCAGGTCACAGGGGATATGATGGCTTAGCTTGGGCTCAGAGGCCTGACGTTCCTGTCTTCTTATATTAATAAGAAAAATAAAATGAAATAGTGGTAAAGTGTTGGGACAGCGAAAATTTTGGGGGATGGTATGGAGAGATAATGGGCGATGTTTCTCAGGGCTGCTTCGAGCAGGATTAGGGACCGTGTGGGAACCTAGAGTGGGAGAGATTAAGCTGAAGGAAGATTTTGTGGTAAGGGGTGATATTGTGGGGTTGTTAGAAGGAACATTTGTCATTTAGAATTATTGGTGATGGCCTGGATACAGTTTTGTATGAATTGAAAAACTAAATGGAATAAGAGAAGGAGAAAAACAGGTATTAAAGGTCTAAGAATTGGGAGGATCTAGGACATCTGATTAGAGAGTGCCTAAGGAGATTCAGCATAGTCCTGCCAGCAAAGATTCTTTATTTACTTCAAGAGTTAAGAGTGGCAGTTTGGGGATAGCACCAGGAGATATCAGCTGTGATGGCTTGGAGAAACAGTGTAAACTGGCAGTGTAAACAAGAGCAGGGCATGTATGAGTAGTTGAGAACGGTGAATAGGAGTATGACAGACAGCAGATAGTAGGGATGACAAGTTTTTTGGGGGCACAGTCTAACTTGGTCTGGTGTCTGGAATGAGACTGGGGCCTAATAAAAAGGAGCATCTGTACAGGAGCTCAAATGGGCTGTATTTTGTAGCATTCTGAGGACAGGTCTGACTTCTGAGAAGGGAAAGTGGTAAAAGTATTGTCCAGTGCTTTTGAAGTTGGTGGCTGAGCTTGGTGAGGTGTGTTTTTAAAATACCTTTAGTCCATTCTACTTTTCCTGAAGACTGAGGACTGTAAGGGATATAAAGGTTTCACTGAATACTAAGAGCCTGAAAAACTGCTTGGCTGATTTGACTAATAAAGACTGGTCTGTTATCAGACTGTATAGAGGTGGGAAGGCTAAACTGAGGAATTATGTCTGACAGAAGGGAAGAAATGACTGCGGTGGCCTTCTCAGACCCTGTAGGAAAGGCCTGTACCTATCCAGTGAAAGTGTCTACCTAGACCAAGAGGTATTTTAGTTATCTGACTCGGGGCATGTTGAGTAAAGCTAATTTGCCAGTCCTGGATGGGGGCAAATCCTCGAGCTTGATGTGTAGGGAAGGGCCTGAATAATCCCTGAGGAGTAGTAGAATAGCAGATGGAACACTGAGAAGTTATTTCCTTGAGGATAGATTTCCACGATGGAAAGAAAATGAGAGGTTCTAAGAGGTGGGCTAGTGGGTTGTACTATAGCATAGCCTGCCTTTGCTGGTGTGTGGCGATTAGGCCTGGTGGAACTGCCATCAATAAATCAAGCTTGATCAGGTGAGGAACAGGAAAGAAGGAAATATGGGGAAATGGGGTGAATGTCAGGTGGATCAGAGAGATACTGTCATGGGGGTCAGGTGCGGTATCAGGAATAATGTGGGAGGCCGGACTGAAGTCTGGGCCAGGAACAATGGTAATTGTGGGACTTAACAAAGAGTGAGTACAGCTGAAGGAGCCGGGGAGCAGAAAGTATATGCATCAGCTGTGAGGAAGAAAATAGATTTTGGAAGTTATGAGAAATGTAGAGAGTAAGTTGAGCATAGTTTGTGATTTTGAGGGCCTCTAAAAGTATTAGGGCATCAGCAGCCGCTGCACGGAGATATGATGTCTTGGCTAAAACAATAAGGTCAAGTTGTTTGGACAGAAAGGCTACAGGGTGCAGTCCTGGCTCTTGTGTAAGAATTCTGACCGCCCTAACCATGCCTAGGAAGGAAAGGGTTGTTGTTTTGTAAGGGATTGAGGTTTGGGAGATTAATCGGACATGATCAGCAGGGAGAGCACGTGTGTTTTTATGAGAATTATGCTGAGGTAGGTAACAGATGAGGAAGAAATTTGGGCTTGACTGAAGTAATGGGGGCTGTCTGTGAAGCCTTGCAGCAGTACAGCCCAGGTAATTTGCTGAGCCTGATGGGTGTCAGGGTCAGTCCAAGTGAAAGCGAAGAGAGGCTGGGATGATGGGTGCAAAGGAATAGTAAAGAAAGCATGTTTGAGATCCAGAACAAAATAATGGATTGTGGAGGGAGGTATCGAGGATAGGAGAGTATATGTGTTTGGCACCACAGGGTGGATAGGCAAAACAATTTGGTTGATAGAGTGCAGATCCTGAACTAACTTGTAAGGCTTGTCTGGTTTTAGGACAGGTAAAATGGGGCAACTGTAAGGAGCTTTAAAAGGCCATGCTGTAGCAGGTGAGTGATAACAGGCTTTAATCCTTTCAAAGCATGCTGTGGGATGGGATATTGGCGTTGAGTGGAGTAAGGGTGATTAGGTTTTAATGAGATGGTAAGAGGTGCATGATCGGTCACCAAGGAGGGAGTAGAGGTATCCTATACTTGTGGGTTAAGGTGGGGAGATACAAGAGGAGGATGTGAAGGAGGCTTTGAACTGGGGGAAAAGTCAGCAATGAGGTTTGGCTGTAGCCCAGGAATAGTCAGGGAAGCAGATAATTTAGTTAAAGTGTCTCAGCCTAATAAGGGAACTGGGCAGGTGGGGATAACTAAAAGGAGTGCTTAAAAGAGTATTGTCTAAGTTGGCACCAGAGTTCGGGAGTTTTAAGAGGTTTAGAAGCCTGGCCGTGAATACCCACAACAGTTATGGAGGCAAGGGAAACAGGCCTTTGAAAAGAAGGTAATGTGGAGTGGGTAGCCTCCGTATTGATTAAGAAGGGGACGGACTTACCCTCCACTGTGAGAGTTACCTAAAGCTCGGGGTCCATGATGGTCTACAGGGCTTCCGAGGCAATCGGGCAGCATCTGTCTTCAGCCGCTAAGCTGAGAAGGAGTCAGTCAGAGAGGCTTGGGCCAGAGTTCCAGGGGCTCTGGGAGTGGCTGCCAGGTGAGTTGAACAGTCCGATTTCCAGTGGGGTCCCGCACAGATGGGACGCAGCTTAGGAGGAATCCTGGGGTGCAGGCATTCCTTGGCCTGGTGGCCAGATTTCTGGCACTTGTGGCAAGCTCCTGGGGGAGGAGGTTCTGGAGGAACACCTGGCCGCTGCGGTTCAGGTGTTTGGAAGTTCTTCTGTGCTGGAGATGTGGCTGGGGTTTGTCTCACAGTGGAGGTAAGGAATTACAACTTTTTTCTATTATGGTACACCTTGAAGGTAAGGTTAATTAAATCTTTTGTGGGGTTTGAGGGCCAGAATTTAATTTTTGGAGTTTTATTTAATGTAGGGAGCAGATTGGGAAATAAAATGTATATTGAGAATAAGACGGCCTTTTGACTTTTTAGGGTCTAGGGCTGTAAAGCCTCTCAGGGTTGCTGCCGAACAAGCCATGAACTGGGCTGGATTTTTATATTTGATGAAAAAGAGGCTAAACGCTATCTGATTTGGGATAAAGAAAAAGGAGCATTAACCTTGACTATGTCTTTAGCTCCAGCCACCCTTTTAAGAGTAAATTGCTGGGCAGGTTGGGGAGGGCTAGTCACGGAATGAAACTGTAAGCGGGACCGGGTGTGAGGAGGGGAGGTGATAAGAAGATTACAGGGTGGAGGAGCGGGGGCTGCGGAAGAATTGGGACTTAGCTCAGCCTGGCGAGGAGCAGCCTGGGAAGGAGGGGAGAGGTCAGATGGGTCTGTAGAACAGGAAGATTAGAAAGACTCAGCAATGCTTGGGTTTGGGACTGAGGGGACAGGCAGGAGGGAAAGGAGGAAGATTTGGGATGAGTTGCTTTGGGCACAGAGACTAGGGAGGGGCCAATGTGGAAAAGAATGCCTGGATGTCAGGCACCTCAGACCGTTTGCCTATTTTATGACAAGAATTATTTAGATCTTGCAGGATGGAAAAATTGAAAGTGCCATTTTCTGGCTATTTGGAACTATTGTTGAGTTTGTATTGGGGTCAAGCGGCATTGCAGAAGAAAATAAGATGCTTAGATTTTAGGTCAGGTGAGAGTTGAAGAGGTTTTAAGTTCTTAAAAACACAGGCTAAGGGAGAAGAAGGAGGAAAGGAGGGTGGAAGGTTGCCCATAGTGTAGGAAGCAAGCCCAGAGAGAAGAGAGAGTAGAGACATGGAGGGAAGGGGTTTGGGGGTTCTTCCCCTCCAGAAAAGTGGGAAAGGGGTCAGGGCACAGAGATACGAGGTCCAGGCATGGAAATAAGGGATTGGGGTGCAGAGATATAAGAGGTCAGGTTGTAGAAATAAGGGATTGGGGCACAGAGATAAGAGGTCAGGGCATGGATATAAGGGATTCGGGTGCAGAGATAAGATGTGGTACTTGCCCCTCCCCAAGAAAAGTGGGTCTTGCCACTAAGGGTGAAGGAAAAGGGGTTGGGGGTTTCTTGTCCCCCAGAAAGGTGGAGAAGGGGTAGAGACATGGAGAAAAGTGGTTGGGGTACTTTCCCCTCCCACAGAAAAGCAGGACTTGCCGCTAAGGGTGAAGGACCAAGGCAGGTGTCCCTGCATGGTCTGACACCTTTGAAACGTGGGTGAATAATCAGAGAGGCTTCCCTGCAATGATTAAACACCAAGGGAAGGCTGCCTTCCCAGTCCGTGACCTGCACTGGAGTTTTGGGTCCACAGATAAAATGTGTCTCCTTTGTCTCTACCAGAAAATGAAAGGAATTGAAATTAAGAGAAGGGAGAGATTGAAGAGTGGAAAGGAGAAAGTGGTTGAGGGACAGTGAGAGAGGTTGGAGAAGAGAGTAAGAAGAGGCTGCTTGCCCAATTTAAAATTGGTGAGATGTTCCTTGAGCTGGTGGGTCTGAGGACCTGAGGTTGTAGGTGGATCTTTTTCACAGAGCAAAGAACTGGAGGACATGGGATTGATCTCCCAAGGGAGGTCCCCCGATCCCAGTCACTGCACCAAATTTCATGCGCATCCGTGTGAAGAGACCACCAAACAGGCTTTATGTGAGCAACATGGCTGTTTATTTCACCTGGGTGCAGGGGGGCTGAGTCTGAAAAGAGAGTCAGTGAAGGGAGATGGGGTGGGGCTGTTTTATAGGATTTGGGTAGGTAAAGGAAAATTACAGTCAAAGGGGGAGTTGTTCTCTGGTGGGCAGAGTGGGGGTCACAAGGTACTCAGTGGGGGAGGTTTTGAGCCAGGATGAGCCAGGAGAAGGAATTTCACAAGACAATGTCATCAGTTAAGGCAGGAACAGGCCATTTTCACTTCTTTTGTGGTGGAATGTCATCACTTAAGGCAGGAACCAGCCATCTGGATGTGTATGTGCGGGTCACAGGGGATATGATGGCTTAGCTTGGGCTCAGAGGCCTGACACCCAGGGCAGGCTGGCTCAGCCCCTTTGACTTCAGATTTCAGGAAGGCCAGGGAGCTGGATTGGGTGCCTGGATTTTCTGAGAATTATATTTCTGAGAGGATTTTGAGACCTAAACAGGAATACTTTACACACAGGTCATCAAGCAGGAACTGGGAATTTCAGAAGCTGCCCTTCTTCATGCCACCTCCTCCCTTCAGAGGCCAAGGGCTACCAAGCTGTCTCCCACACATCTCAGTGAAAAGTCCCTGGCTGTCCTCCCAGCCACCTCGCTGTGACCTTGTGAGGTGTGAGAAGGAGGAAGGGGATCTACGTTCTGGATGAACCTTCCTTCCTCCTTGCAGAGAAATAGTTTAGGCCCCTGCGCCTGCTGGGCCTCAGACCTTCTCAGAGCCCAGGGCCCACTGTGGCTCCTGCAAGCTGCCTGGGAATTCCACGGAGGCTGACTGGCTGCCTGTCTTATTCCGAGTCTGCTGCAACCCATTTCCTAAGCTTGGGTGGCTGAAAACGACAGAAATTCATCCTCTCACAGTTCTGGAGGCCAGAGTCTGAATGCAGTTGTTGGCAGGGCTGTGCTGCCTTTGAAGGTTCTAGGGAAGAATCCTTCCTGGCCTTTTCCAGTTTTGGGTGGTGGCTGGCAATGCGCAGCATCCCTTGGCTTCAGGTGCATCATTCCAGCTGCACGCAGCTGTCTTCCCTCTGTGTCTCTTCTTTTCTTCTTATAAGGATTCCAGTCATAGGGTGTTAAGGGCCCACCTTACTCCAGTATGTCGCCAAGTTAATTCGTTACATCTGCAACCACGCTATTTCCAAATGTCACATTCTGAGGTTCCTGATTGAAGGGGTGGGTTGCCACTCCACACCTGTGGGCATTTTTCGTCAGGTGGAACGAGAGACTTGGAAAAGAAAGAGACACAGAGACAAAGTATACAGAAAGAAAATAGGGCCCAGGGGACCACCGTTCAGCATACGGAGGACCTGTGCCAGCACCAGCCTCTGAGTTCCCTTAGTATTTCTTGATCATTATCGGATGTTTCCCAGAGAGGGGGACTTGGCAGGACAATAGGGTAATAGTGGAGAGAAGGTCAGTAGGAAAACACGTGAACAAAGGACTCTGCATCATAAACAAGGTAAAGAATTAAGTGCTGTGCTTTTGATGTGCATACACATAAACATCTTAATCCATTAAAGAGCAGTATTGCTGCCAGCATGTCCCACCTCCAGCCCTAAGGTGGTTTTCCCTTATCTCAGTAGATGGAATATACAATCGGGCTTGACACCGAGACATTCCATTGCCCAGGGACAAGCAGGAGACAGATGCCTTCCTCTTATCTCAACTGCAAAGAGGCCTTCCTCTTTCACTAATCCTCAGCACAGACCGTTTACGGGTGTCGGGCTGGGGGACAGTCAGGTCTTTCCCTTCCCAGGAGGCCATATCTCAGGCTATCACATGGGGAGAAATCTTGGACAATACCCGGCTTTCCTAGGCAGAGGTTCCTGCAGCCTTCAGCAGTTTTGTGTCTCTGGGTACTTGAGAGTAGGGAGTGGTGATGACTCTGAACAAGCTGCTGCCTTCAAGCATTTGTTTAACAAAGCACACCCTGCACAGCCCTTAATCCATTTAACCCTGAGTTGACACAGCACATGTCTCAGGGAGCACAGGGTTGGGGGTAGGGTTACAGATTAACAGCATTTCAAGGCAGAAGAATTTTTCTTAGTACAGAACTAAACGGAGTCTCTTATTTCTACTTTCTACACAGACACAGTAACAATCTGATCTCTCTTTCTTTTCCCCACATTGATGAATGTGAATTTGAAAGGACACCATTCAACCCACAGCAGAGCCCCACCATCACCTCTCTGCACAGGGCACCCTGCCTGTCTTTCCTCTCCAGCACCAAGACAGAGCCACGAGTGATTTCTTGAAATGAAACTGCACCCTCTCATCCCAATAAGACATGGCCTCACTAGTGGGAGATGAGCAAATGAAAGCCTCCCTCAGGATGGGCATCCACACGTCCAGGGGATACTCACCCCAATTTTTTTTTCCTGGTTTATAAAGGTGCTTCAGGACTTCTTGGCTCCTGGCCAATACCTTAGTGCTTCCTGAAGAGGAAAGAGCTCTCCAAACCATTCAGTGGGCCATCCCAGACCAAGGTTTCTGACCCAGACATTGAAACAGTAGCCAGACTCTCCACCGACCACCCCCAACTGAATTCCACATCTCCCCACTGTCAAAAGCCTGCCAGCATCTGCTGATGTCTGTCGGTGTGCTCTTCTGCTTCTCTGCTCCTCTCGACGTCCAGCCACTTGTGTCTGTGCCCACTAGGGTCTTGGGTTTTTTATGGACACAGAATGGGGCTCACAGCAGGCCAGAGTAGTCTTGGAAAATGCAACATTTGGACATGAAAACAGGAGTGCCTGTTCTCACTAAGGTCCAAGGGCACAAGCCCGAGGGCAGAGCCCTCGCTAGGGTCCCCACCCTTCTCTACCCAGCACTCCCCTGCCCCCTTTCCATATCAACATGAAAGCTGACATTGGCTCCTGTGCCCCACCTCTGGGCCTGGTTTTGTGACCTCTGCACCAGAGCTGCTAGGGAGGCCCTACCCCACATGTTGTTAACTCAACAGTCCTTCCCCAGGGGAACCAACGTCCTCCTGTCCCCAAACCCAAGGAGGAATGGTGGGTTCCTGGGCCTCTTGTAACCCGACTGAATATTTTCTAGGTTACCTAACCAAACTCCTGCAAAACCACACCATCTATGCCTGTGATGGGGACTATCTGAATCTACAGTGCCCTTGGCATTCTACAGTAAGTGTCCAATTGGCATTTTATGGGCAAGATTACCAAATGTGTAGTTCCCAGAAGCCTGCCTCCCAGAGGGAAGACAGCTTAACCTGTGTGGCATCCACCACCTTCCAGGTATTGCCTTTTATAGACACGTTAAGATGATACAGTTTCAACAGACACTCTTTCTGTCTCTCTAGGTATAAATATATTTGTGATTATATAGTTCAATCCAAGCAAAACTGATCCATGAAAAATCCCAACTTATACAGATCACCAGTTTTGTAGGTGAGCTATTATTTGCTTCTCAAAGGATTTGTTACCCAACAAAACTAAATAGAATTCCTACCTATTGTAGAGCCCCCTTTGTACACTTCAATATGAATGTATTTGTAGGTTTACTCCTTACTTCAGTAGAGCAAAGTACAACCAGGATAGATTCCAACCTCCAGGCCCATATCTCCCATAAATACTCCTGTAGAAAGGGAAGGTGGGTTCTTTAATGGAAACCACAAGTATCTCTTTGAGGCAGACATCTGAACTCATGACCAACTTCTTAGAAAATGTACTCAAAGGGCCAGGAACAGTGGCTCATGCCTGTAATCCCAGCACTTTGGGAGGCCAAGGCAGGTGGATCATGAGGTCAGGAGATTGAGACCATCCTGGCTCACACGGTGAAACCCTGTCTCTACTAAAAATACAAAAAATTATCCGGGTGTTGTGGTGGGCACCTGTAGTCCCAGCTACTCTGGAGGCTGAGGCAGGAGAATGGCATGAACCTGGGAGGTGGAGCTTGCAGTAAGCAGAGATCAGGCCACTGCACTCCAGCCTGGGCAACAGAGCAAGACTCCGTCTCAAAAAAAAAAAAAAAAAAAATCATTATTAAACATTTTTACTAATTAAATGGTTTTGGAGTACATTCTTTAAAAAAAAATTAACTATGTTTTCTTCAACAGTGCATATGTAATGCCAACTTTGTATGATATTGCAAAGAAAGATTTTACTATGTTAAGCAGATTAAACAAACAAACAAAGTTTTCCTTGAATTCTTTGGGAACAAAGTACAACCTGGTCCAAATCATCCTTACCTAGAATGCACCATCAGCTTGACAGTCAGTTGTTCCTGGATTTACCAGATTTGGGGCAGACTTTTCATGCTTCTCTAAGGAGGGATCCTTAACTGACACCATGCCTTGTTTTTGCCCTTTTCCTAGTAAAGGAAATGATTTGATTTGGTATCATATCATCTTTCTTGCTTTTTTTTTTTTTTAAATTAGAGATGAGGCCTTGCTATGTTTCCCAGGCTGGTCTCCAAATTCTGGGCTCAAGCGATCCTCCTCCCTCAGCCTCCCTCCCAAAATGCTGGGATTACGGGTGTGAGCCACAGTGCCTGGCCTCTTTCTTGTCTTTTAAACAAATAAATGTAAGCTGGGCATGGTGTGCATTCATATATTCCCAGGTACTTGAGAAGCTGAGGCGAGAGGATCCCTTGAGCCTAGGTTTGAGCCCAAGAGTTCAAGGCTGCAGTGAGCTATGATTGCACCACTGCACTCCAGCCTGGGTAACAGAGTGAAACCCTGTCTCTGAAAAACTAAACTAATGCTGGGCATTGTGGTTCACGCCTGTAATCCCAGCACTTTGGGAGGCTGAGGCAGGCGGATCACGAGGTCAGGAGATGGAGACCATCCTGGCTAACAGGTTGAAACCCTGTCTCTACTAAAAATACAAAATTATCTGGGCATGGTGAAGTATGCCTGTAATCCCAGCTACTTGGGAGGCTGTGACAAGGAGAATCACTTGAACCTGGTAGGCGGAATTGGCAGTGAGCTGAGATCTCACCACTGCACTCAGCTTGGGTGATGGCAGTGAGCTGAAATCTCACCACTGCACTCAGCTTGGGTGAGAAGGGTGAAACTCTGTCTCAAAAAAAAAAAAAAAAAAAAAAAGACACCATCCTGTTTTCATGGGGTGAACAGTTGAGGGAGAAAGGCAAGCATTAACCAAATAGCCAGACACATCATCATGCCCTATTGTGACAAATGCTATTTTAGAAAAGGGAAGAAGACTATAGCAGTGGAGGGGGCCTAATTTAGCTTGGGTTGGTGGTTTAAGTCTTCCAAAGAGAACCATCCTGTACGGTGAACACTAGGGTATGTGCACTAGCTGCACACTAGGGGCTGAGACGCTGAGGCTGCTGAGTGGGAGAGGAAAGGTATTGATAAGGAGGAAGATGGCCCTGGTTTAAACTGCTGAGAACAGGGTCCTGCACACAGTAGGAGCTCCATGAAGAGTGGTCCCTAGTGTTTTCACCAACATATCTGAAGTGGAGCAGGACGGTGATCAATCACACCCCAGTCCCCGACCTCATTCTAAAACAGTATGAAACAAGGAGATGCAAAAATCTGACAAGTGTGTTGACAACGGTGATTTTAAAGGTCCTAAAAGATTCTCTGGATATCGGAGCCAATTTCACATAGTAGAGGGGCACATTCCCTGCAGTGGCCTGTGTCATACACAGCCAATTTCACCTTTTCACTGCCTGGTGATTCTGCAAAGTGCATCCTAGAATGACCTTCCTCTCTGAGCTCCTCTTCAAAATTCTGATTCTTTCTCAAACTGTAAAGCCTCTGGCATTTGCCAAGAGCCAAGGCCCTCCTGAAGCCACAGTTTGAGAACAAGCCAAGAGGCAGACATGAGAAAGAAGTCCCACCCCTGGCAGGGAGAGCTGACACTTCCCGGGCTACTGCATCCTTCTCAGGGCCCAGAAATGAATGAGAGGCAATTAAAGCAGAAAGCATTTTGCAGCAGCTCAGCTCAGCTCAGCTCTCCGAAGCTGTCATGGTCCCAGGATCAGTGGTGTGCCCTGAGGACAGCCAAGGGACATTCCTTGAGGCCCTGGAAATCATCAGCCAACTCCAGCAGCTTCACCGGGCCTCCCTGGGAAGTCTCCCTTGCTGCTGATGGGCACGAAGGCACCAGGGCCTCCTGTACCTGGAAAACTCACAATCTAGGAATGTCCTGTGGTTGTTGATCCTGGGACATCCCCAGAAGAATTTAGTTAAGCCCTCCAAGAAAGGAAACAAGGTTTTCTTGCTGCTGAAGATGTCTCACTTGTTCTTTTTTTAAAAAGCAGTGCAATTGAATTTGCAGTTTGTTTTTGCTTTCTTTCCATTTCCTGTTGCTACTTCTCCAAGATCTCAGCTGGGCTGAGGAACAAACAAAAATAAGCAATTTTATGCAGGAGGAATATTTGGTTTCCACTCCCTTCTCCCAGCCTGCGGCAGTGTGCTTGGCCTGCAGAATTCTTGCTCTGCCCTCTGTTTCAGCGGGTGTTGTCATCTGCCAGCTGCTTTGCCTGGGGGTTCTGACATCCCAGGGCTTACTCTTAGCGTCAGTTCAGCAGAGTCTTCAACCACCTTCAAAGGAGTCGGTCACGCTGCCATCCTCTCTGCATCTTTCTGTCTTCCTTTCTGATAATATTTAGCAAATCACTTTAGCACAGAGTCTTCGAATTCTTTCCAGATTTACGATGGAAACACAGAGGCAAAGAGCTTGGGGTAGAAAGCAGAAGAGCAGGTGCTGGGAGAGTTTAATGGTGGATTTTGAGTTGGTCACAGTCATTTTGCTTTACTAAGTCCAGGGAAGCTCATCTTCAGAGTTAACCACTGTGTGTGTGTGCATATATATATATATATATATATGTATATATGTATATATACATATGTGTATATATGTATATATACATATGTGTATATATGTATATATACATATGTGTATATATGTATATATACATATGTGTATATATGTGTATATATATGTATATATATGTATATATATACATATGTGTATATATATATATGTATATATATATTTTTTTTTTTTTTGAGATGGAGTCTTGCTCTGTCACCCAGGCTGGAGTGCAGTGGCACACTCTCAGCTCACTGCAACCTCCACTTCCTGGGTTGAAGTGAGCACGTCCGGCTAATTTTTGTATTTTTTAGTAGAGATGGGGTTTCACCATGTTGGCCAGGCTGGTCTTGAACTCCTGACTCAAGTGTTCCACCTGCCTCAGACTCCCAAAGTGCCAGGATTACAGGCGTGAGCCACCATGCCCGGCCCAGAGTTAACCACTCTATTGAGGTGTTGTTTATTTTTCTTAAAATTCTATTACACATGAATAAAATTCAATGATTTTTAATAAATTTAGAGTTGTGCAACCATCACTACCCTCCAGTTTTAAAACATTTTCACAATCCCCCGAAGCTCCCTTGTGCCCATTTGCCATCACTGCCCCATTTCCAACCCCCCAGTCCCAGGACACCACGCATCTACTTTCTCTCTAGATTTGCCTTTTCTGAATATTTCATACAAATGGAATTATGCAATGGATGTTTTGTGTGTGTGTGCATGGCTGACGTCTTTAACTGAATGTAATGTTTCAGAGGTTCATCCATGTTGTAGCATGTATCATATCAGTACTTCACTTTTTTTTTTTGGAGTTGAAGTCTCACGCTGTCACCCAGGCTGGGATGCAGTGGTGTGATCTTCGCTCACTGCAACCTCTGCCTCCCGGGTTCAAGCAATTCTCCCTGCCTCAGCCTCCCAAGTAGCTGGGATTACAGCCTTGTGCCACCAAGCCCAGCTAACTTTGTATTTTTAGTACAGATGGGGTTTCAAATATGTTGGCCAGGCTGGTCTCGAACTCCTGACCTCAAGTAATCTGTCCACCTCTACCTCCCAAAGTGCTGGGATTACAGGTGTAAGCCACCATGCCGAGCTTTTCATTCCTTTTTATTACTGAGGTGTATTCTGCTGGATGGATATATCATATCTTGTTTTTATTCTCCATTTTTTAAATATTGCAAATTGGGCCTAAACCCACCTCTCTGGAGCATTTGATGATCACGTGGATGCCATTGGGTTGTGTGTATGTATGTGTATGTAACAGGGAGAGGGAGTGACTCCTGCACCAATTTGGAAAGTGATTTTAAAATCTTATCTACATTGCATTTAAAAATATATTAAGAGTCCACATTTTAAAAATATACCACATATTTAAAATATTTCTTCTTGGCTTTTAGTTCCCAAGAACATACTCACAGTGATTGATCCAGCCATTGCTAATCTAAAACCTTCTTTGAAGCAGAAAGATGGTGAATATGGTAATTTTTATGGCTTACTACCAGCATTTCTCTTTAAGTAAAGGTAAACAGCCCCTGGGTGACCACAGTTGGGCATACCTTGATTAGAATGGAAGGGGCTGTCAGGAGGTGTGTTTGAGGTACAGGTCCTGGTGATGATAGTGCTTTGGCCAATAGTTGCAATGAACACCAATTTATTTTGTTTTGACTTTTTTAACATCAGAAGTAGGAAAAACCTCCCCTTCATTCTCCTCTCACTTCCTAAAAGGAAAATCACTTTGAAAAGACATCTGCTCAGAAATATATTTGGGCTTCCTGGGTTACACAATGAACTTTTGCAAAGCTCAGCCCATTGGAACCTGCATAGGTGCCAGTGCCGGCTAGGACCTGAGGTCCTCTGTACATGCCACCTTCCTCTTTAGTTTACTTCTTTCCTTCCTTCCTTCCTTCCTTCCTTCCTTCCTTCCTTCCTTCCTTCCTTTTGCTTCGGAGTTTCACTCTTGTCACCCAGGGCCAGCTAGGACCTGAGGGCCTCTGTACCTCTGTACACGCCACCTTCCTCCTTAGTTTCCTTCCTCCCTTCCTTCCTCCCTCCCTCCCTCTCTCTCTTTTCTTCCTTCCTTCCTTCTTCTCCTTCCTCCTCTTCTTTCTTTCTCTCTCTCTCTCTTTCTTTCTCTTTCTCTCTCTTTCTTTCTTTCCCTCCCTCCCTCCCTCTCTCCCTCTCTCTCTCTCTTTCTCTCTTTCTCTCTCTCTTTCTTTCTTTCTTCCTTTCTTTCTTCTTTTTCTTTGGAGTTTCACTTTTTCTCACCCAGGCTGGAGTGCAGTGGCACAATCTCCACTCACTGCAACCTCTGCCCCCGGGTTCAAGTGATTCTCCTGCCTCAGCCTCCCAAGTAGCTGGGATTATAGGTGTCCACCACCACACCTTGCTAATTTTTGTGTTTTCAGTAGAGACGGGGTTTTACCATATTAGTCAGGCTGGTCTCGAACTCCTGACCTCAGGTGTTCCCCTCACCTCAGCCTCCCAAAGTGGTGGGATTACAGGTGTGAACCACTGCACCCGGCCCCTCCTTAGTTTTCACTTGGCTTTTGTAAATGGGGTGGACGGGTGGGGGGGGGGTTGACGGGGTTGAGCATTTGGATTTTCTTATCAAATCTAGAATGGAATTCAAACCCATGGGGCCCCTAATAGAAATTGCAGAGACCCAGTAGAGCATCTAAGATGTGAGGCTTTGGTGAGAGTTTTGTCTCGTGTTACCTTTATTGTATGTATTAGGTCTTTCCCCCCTAAGTATAAAAATAAAGTATGTTTGATATGAAAACCACATGAAAGCACCCCTAGTCCAAATGCTCAGAGAGAACTATGGTAATGTTCTTCTGTGTCCTTCTAGCTGGCCACCTTGGCTTTCTGGCAGGCTCTGTGTTCCTTAGCTCCACTTCTGTTTCTTTTTTTAAAAAAAAATTAACTAATTAATTAACTATTATTATTATTTTTCTAAAGACAGGGCTTTGCCAAGTTGCCCTGGCTGGTCTCGAACACCCAGGCTCAAGCAATCCACCCACTTCATCCTCCAAAGGTGCTGGGATTACAGGTGTGGGCCACCACACCCAGCCTCCACTTATTTTTCTAACAGGGTTCCCACCCGATCCATAAACAGCCTGGTCCCCCTGCAATGGGGGCCTGAGAGCCAGCGCTGTGCCATCTCTCCTCAAAGGCATCTGTCCTGTGTGACATGGCTAGGAATCCCCCAAGCCACCACCAGGCTACCCTATCACAGGCTTGCTAAGCTCCATCCAGCAGTGTAACCAGGATCTAAAAGCGGATTTGCCTCACATTTTGCTGTTGTTTCCAAAAAAAAAGTAGCCCAATACCACCTCCCTCTGTAATGGCAGTTTGTTTTCTCTCTGGCCACACAGTGGACAGCAACTCCATGCTTAACGTGAGATATTATTGGCCGGGGGCGGTGGCTCATGCCTGTTCTCCCAGCACTTTGGGAGGCCGAGGCAGGCAGATCGCCTGAGGTCAGGAGTTCAAGACCCACCTGGCCAACGTGGTGAAGCCCCATCTCTAATAAAAATACAAAAATTTGCTGGGCATGGTGGCACGTGCCTGTAATCCCAGCTACTCAGGAGGCTGAGGCAGGAGAATCGCTTGAACCCAGGAGATAGAGGTTACAGTGAGCGGAGATCGTGCCATTGCACTCCAGCCTGGGCAACAAGAGTGAAACTCCATCTCAAAAATAAATAAATAATTAATTAATTAAAATAAAATAAAGTGAGATGTTATTAAGCCTCCAAGGGGCGTGATCAATGTCACTGGCTTTAGGACAGGAAAATCCATTTGTTCCCTTCCACAGTGGAGTGGAAGACCAGCACCTGAAGTTGGAACCAATGCTTAAAACAATTTCTAATCCTTTTTGTACTTTAATATTTTTGGGGACTGCTTACTATTTAATAAGTGCTCTTCCTGGGTTAATCTTCTATAATTTAGCCAGAGGCCCATTTGTTTGATTTCTGTGACTTTTAATTATTCTGGCAGTCCCTGGGGTAGGAACAGCAGAGGTCTCTTAGAAGAGGCATACTATGAACAGCTGTAATTAATTGGGTTTGCATTTTTCATGAAACAGGTATCAACTTCGACCCAAGAGAACTGAAGGTTCTGAGGAAAGATGGAATTCTTGTTAGCAACTCTCTGGCAGCCTTTGCTTACATTAGAGATAGGTCAATGAATCAAAGATTCCTAGAATGCTGATGGATTTACTAAAGTCTTGTTAATAAATGTGCTGTTCAATTATAACACTCAGATAACTAAAGGACAATGACTTCAAGTTTGACATGCCAACCACCGCTTCTAAGATTCAGAAACACAGAGGCCTGAGTTCAGGCACAGTCGCAACCAGGCAGTCAGCAAGAGAACCACATAAACAGACAAAGTCACACTATTTAGGAGTTGAGCTCCACAGATATTCTTCGCTTTTGAAAAGTAGAAACCTGAGGAATGCATTTCCCAGCTCTAAAATTTGGGAAGGAACTAGGATTATTGAATTCCAACCCTGGCTGGAAGAAAAATGAGCCAGAAGGTCACTCAGTAAACAAGACAGATGATGCCCCATGAAGACAGAACCGCTTTCTGGGTCATGAGTGTTATTCCTAATGGTTGCAAGGATTCCTTTGTTAGTCTTCCCCATGAGGATCAATCAGACTCAGCCCTCATGAATTAACAGAGCCAAAAAGCTTATACCAAGGCCGGCCACACCTCGGGGACCTCTTCATTGAGGGGAAGGTATGTACAATTTTTCCTCACCACCCTCTCTGCTTATCTTAAGATAGAATGCATTTTGGAATGTCATCTGCAAGTTTCAGCAAGGCCTGCCTGTGTTCAGAGAGACAAAAACCAGAGACTTTCAATAAAATACATGTTAATATAACACATAACAGTATTACTATTTAAGGCCTGCAAAGATGGGGCTATTCAGTTTAAGCCTGTCTCAGAGGAAAATAGAGGCTTAGGGAATATATTTGTCCATTCTCATGCTACTAATAAAGACATACCTGAGGCTGGGTAATTTATAAAGGAAAGAGGTTTAATGGACTCCAGTTCCACATGGTTAAGGAGGCCTCACAATCTCGGTGGAAGGTGAATGAGGAGCAAAGTCACGTCTTACTTGGTAGCAGGCAAGAGAGCTTGTGCAGGGGAACTCCCCTTTATAAAACCATCAGATTTCATGAGACATATTCACTATCATGAGAACAGCATGGGAAAGACCCACCCAATGATTCAATTACCTCCCACCACGTCCCTCCCATGACACATGTGGATTAGGAGAGCTACAATTCAAGATGAAATTTGGGTGGGGACACAGCCAAACCGTATCAGGGAATGATCTCAATACATGAGATGCAGAGTTCAGTCTCGGGGTCCCCTGATGTTCTATTCTCCTCCTGCATTAGGATTCCTCCTGTGTGTGTGTGTGTTGTGTGGTTGTTGGTTTCTTCTGTGGGTCCTCTCTTTTCTAGCCACCTTCTCATTTTCATGTCTTGCTGTTCCTGGTCATTGTCAATGTTAAGAACCGTAAGGATTTTTCTTGTCAGAAATATCCCCATATTTACAAAGACCCCAGGGAGCTTCTTGGAGAAAAGCCATCATGAAAATCCTCCAGACAGAGAATAACAATTGAAGGGAAATGAGACTGACATTGTGCTCAGTGAGCTGTGGCCGTGCTGTGTGCTTTACCCCAACTACCTTGTCGGTTCCTCTCAACAACTGCCTCAGCCAGCCTAGCTGCCATAACAAAGTACCCGAGACCGGATGGCCTAAATAACAGACATTGATTTTCTGTCACTGATCTGGAGGCCAGAAGTTCGTGATCAAAGTATCCACCAATCCCTTTCTGGTAAGGGCTGTCTTCCTGGCTGGCAGACAGCAGCCTTCTTGCTTGTCCTCACATGGCAGAGAGGGAGAGAGACAGAGACATCTCTTCTTTTTATAAATCCACCAATCCTATCAGATTAGGATTCCACTCTTATGACCTCCTTTAACGTTAATTAGCTCCTAATGAGTGAAATGGAGGGAACACAATTCAGTCCACAGCAACAACCCTGAGAGATGGGACTCTGGTCTCCTGTTCTGCACTTGAAGCCGGTGGTCAGAGAAGTTGAGCCATTTGCCTGAGGACACCATGGACAACGGCAGGGCCAGGATTCAGGCTCAGCTAATACAAGGCTTGCACTCCAGCTACTCTGAATTTTGAGGGATGCAACCACCTCCCGATTCTGATCCTGAGTTGTCTAAATTAGCTTTCCTCCATCCCTTTCTATCCTTTTATGTGACTGTCATTCCCAGAAACCACAGGATAGAGATATTCATTTAGTGACTGTCTCTCCTGCTAGTGGCTCAGCTCCACAGGGGCAGGTGCTTTGTCATCTTATTTCGTGTGGTATCCCTGTATCTAGGATGCGGTGCTGGTACTGAACAGGTGCACAGTCAGTAGTTAAGGAACAATTGAATGATGACTGCTGTTCTGGGCTTATGAGCTTTTTCCTGTGCCTTATTGTCATCCAATATTTGCTATTTATAAGATGTCAATTTTTTTTTAAATGTAAGGGGTTGATGAGCTGTTATTTGGTTTTATTGAGGGGTGTTTTGGGACATTTATCTCAGCAAACCATGGCCACGCCTCCATATAATGTCCAAGAGAAAGAGCCTCTAAATGCAATGTGTTGGATGTTAGCTAAGTGAAATCACCACAAGAAGCTCATGACTCAAATCACAGAGGCTCACAAGGCCCTAGTAGAACGGGCACCTCTGGGCTTGCCTGTGGGTTTTCTTGGTATGTCTGTATCGCTGTCTGGGTGGCCACTCTAGAGGTGAGAAGCATGCAGCATATGCTCGGGGGTCTGCAGGCCAGTGTGCCGCAGAGGTGCATGCGGACATCAGGCTGGGCCATTTCGACCTAAACAGGCAGTGGCCACCAGCCAACGTCACACAGTGCTGAGCGCCATCCTCAATGCTGCTGGAGAGAGGTGCCCAGACAACTCTCAGTCACATCCCCGGCCCCACTGTGGGGATATGACCCACGGGATGAGCTGGGGTCTCTAGGCACCCCCAAAGCAGGAGCAGCTGGGAGCCAAGAGTGTGAGCAGGGCAATTTCCAGCCCAAACCACCCAAATAGGTGGCAAATCGAGTGAATCCAAAAGTACATTTGCCAGGTCAGGCTGCAAGTAGCTTTGACACAGTAGTGCAGTCCAGTGTACATGGGGACACAGAGATGAGAAACCAAAATCGAGAGGTTTGTCCCCTGATATTAAAGCACAGAGGTTGGCAGAAGGGACAGGGAGATGTCCAAGGGTCCCTGGTGAAGTGTCTGCTCGGGTCATTTGAATGATCTGTGAGGTGGTTTCCCCAACATTCAAAAAGGTTCTTAGGCATGTTTGAATTTACTGTTATTTCAATAATACACACTTACTCCCTGAATTCATTCTAGAATCAAGATCATGAGTCTGAGGAAGCTCATAGAAAAAAATTGGAAATTAGAGAAATGGAAAAGGAGTGGTGTGTGTGTATGTGTGCATGTGTGTGCGTGTGTATGCGTGTGAGCACGTGTGCAAGTGTGCATGTGTGTGCATGTGTGTGCATGTGTGCATGTGTGTGCGCATGTGTGCGAGTGTGCATGTGCATGTGTGTGCTTCTGTGTGTGCATGTGTGTCTGTATCTGTGCATGTGTCTGTGTGCATGTGTGTGCATGTGTGTGTACGTGTTTTTCTGTGCATGTGTATGGGTGTGCATGTGTGTACATGTGTGTACATGCATATCTGTGTGCATGTGTTTGCATGTGTATGCCTGTATGTGCATGCATGTGTATCTGTGTGTGTGCATGTGTGTGCATATGTGTGTCTGTGTGCATACGTGTGCATGCATGCGTGTCTCCGTGTGCATATGTATATCTGTGTGTGCCTGTGTGTATGTATGTGTGTGCGTGTGTGTTGCCTGTGTGTGCATGTGTCTGTATGCATGTGCATTTGTGTGCATGTGTCTGTGCCTTCGTGTGTTTGTGTGCATGTGTGTATCTGTGTGCATGTGTGTGTATCTGTGTGTGTGCATGTGTGTGCCTATATGTATGTGTATCTGTATGTGTGTTTGTGCGTGTGTATCTGTATGTGCTTGCATGTGTGTGTGTGGGTGCATGTGTGTATGCATGTGTGTGTGCTTGTATATGTGCGTGTGTATGTGTGTGTGTAAGTGTGTGTTGGAAGTTCTTAGCAAGGCGGTGTAATAGCTGTCTCGGCATGAACCATTGTCCCCTGGCAGATTGTGCCCAAGGAGACTTATGTATTTAGACAGTCTTGCATGAGAATATGACCTCTCCTATTCCACCGAATTACTGTTTCATTGACGTCTGGCTTTGGGTGTTTCCCTCATATGTGCCTGCAGGCATGCCTTTTGTGGCCTAATACTCCGTCGCTGCCCCTGCCCCCTTGGGACAGTGACAGATATGTCATCAGCCTCTGGCAGGCCCTGCTGTGGGCTTTGGGGGCACAGGGGTAAGGAAGCTGGGCAGAAGGGACAGGCTTGCAGCCTGGGATATCCTGTGTTGGGAGGCATCATTATTTCATAAGGGAGGAACTCTAGGGCCACAGACAAGCTCATACTGAAAGAGAAACACAACAACACGCTCCAGAGTCAGAGCTACGTGATTTCCCCACCAGGGAGGACCACTGGAAATCAGCACCACCTTGTCACGGAGATGTGGGTTCGGATGTGTTCCCACGGTCTCCAATCTCTGGTCCCATGACAGAAGGTTTCTGTCACACTCCTAAGTGCTGTCAGACCAGCGCTCGGTATGCTTTGTGCTTTCTTCTGGACAACCCTCAGGCCCTGACTGCTGCCTTGATCCTCTCAACAGCAATAGAGCCCCTACAGAGGGAACCCTCGCCATGGCCTCTGGGTGTCTTATCTGGACATGAACGAGCTGGAGTGTGTGTTTGCCCCAGGTCAGGATCTAAGGGTGGAAAGGGGCCTTAAAGGCCACAGGTCGCCCTTCGGAGGCTCCCAAGCACATACAGCAGCTGATCAAATTAAAGTCATTCACTCCAGCTGGGGATGAACCGAGGCTAAATTTAGAACAATGCCAGCAACAACACAGTGTGAAGATTCTGTTCAATCACAAGGAAAAGTTTGTTTTTCCAGAATACAGAATAGGAAAAGGAGACACAAAAGTATAAAGTAGTCCAAGTGATTCTACAGAACAGTTGACATTCCCTTAGTGTAAAGCCTGGGACCAAGGAGAGAGTCCAGGCCTGAGCTTGGGGTCCCAGCCAAGTGGTGGCTTTGCACAAGTGACTTGACTACAACAGGAGGGGTCGGAGCAGCTCATCACTAAGATTCCAGCTGACCAACATCTGGTGAGTTTGTAACTTCAAACTAGTTGATCCAGATGACTCGGAAGCCTCGTTCCCAGGGACCTTCCAAGGGTTGCGCACGTTACCCATCTGGTGGCTGCATCTCAGCAGAGTCGATGCAGACTAGCCCTAAAGAGTCTCACTTAGCAGGAGGCAGGCCTAGGCCAAGAGGCACCTGCAGTCTTTTGAGAGAGAAGCTCTCCTGGCAGGAGAACCCAGACACCCACCTCCCAGGAGAAGAGGAGAGAGAAAAATGGGAACTGATTTTATGGAGCCACATCCCCAGGGCACCAAGCCGAGGGCTCAAATCCATGATTCCCTCCTTTTATGCACTCAGCAAATATTTTCATAATGCCCACTTTGTGCCAGAGATGGCACTGGGGATTTGGCAAAGAACAAGATGGTTCCAGCCCCTGCCCTCAGGAAGCTTGCATTCTAGGTGGAGAGAAAGGATGGCACCCACTCAGCGAGTGAGTGAGGATTGTAAGTTGGGCTGTGAAGAAGACATTCAAGATACTCTGAGACTAAATGAC
Organism: Homo sapiens; assembly: GCF_000001405.40. Classification (NCBI taxonomy): domain Eukaryota; kingdom Metazoa; phylum Chordata; class Mammalia; order Primates; family Hominidae; genus Homo; species Homo sapiens. The sequence continues at coordinate 67,743,325 of NC_000011.10, read as the reverse complement.
AGGGGACCTGGCTAGGCTAAGGCAGGGGGAGGTATCTAGTAGTGCTGGATGAAGAGGGAGGAAAGAACTTTCCAGGCTAACAGAAGAGGACATGCGGAAACACCAGGGTGCGCAGGCATCTGATGCAACACGAGTGAGGAATGGGAGGCCGGAGCGGGGAGCAGAGAGGAAACGGAAGTTCTCGGGAGTTGAACTTGGAGAGGGTGACAAGGGCCAGGTCATAGCTGGCTTCCTAGGCTGTGGTCAGGACTTGACTTTTATTAGGTTGGTGCAAAAGTAATTGTGATTTCCGCCATTACTTTTTTTTTTTATCAGAGTCTGTCTCTGTCACCCAGGTTGGAGTGCAGAGGTGTGATCTTCATCACTGCAACCTCCGCCTCCCAGGTTCAAGCCAATTTCCTGCCTCATCCCCCCAAGTAGCTGGGACTACAGGCACATGCCACCACCCCCAGCTAATTTTAATTTTTGTATTTTTACTAGAGATGGGGTTTCACCATGTTGCCCAGGTTGATCTCAAACTGCTGACCTCAAGTGATCCACCTGCCTCGGTCTCCCAAACTGCTGGAATTACAGGTGTGAGCCACCATGCCCAGCCAATTTCTGCCATTACTTTTAATGGAAACAGCAATTACTTTTGCACCAACCTAATAGCTTAGGAGACAGAAGAGGTCATCTATACGTTTTAAGTCAGGCAGTGGTGTGACCCAACGGGTATTTCTAAAAGATTACAGAGGCCATGCAGGAAAGATGGTTTCCATATGGGCTGTGGTTGCTTTTGCACTACAACAGCAGAGCTGTTATATTTGCAACAGAGACCACATGGCCCATAAACCTGCAATAGTTCCTATCTGGCCATTCACTAGAAGAGGGGGGCAAGAGAGCAGGATGGGGCCCAAGTGCCTGCAGGGAAGATGGAGCAGAACAGTGTTTCATCCCTGTTTTTCAGATAATTTCATGAGGTCGAAAGACATCTTAATGAAAGTGAAAGTACAAGGTATTTACCAGGCGATATTCACACCAGATGCCATGTCTCACACCTGCAATCCCAGCTTCACACCAGTTGCAATGGCTCACACCTGTAATCCCAGCACTTGGGGAGGCCAAGGCAGGAGGATCACTTTTAGCCAGGAGTTTAAGACCAGCCCGGGCAAAACAGTCAGACCTCATCTCTACAAAAAAAAATAATAAAAAGTTAGCTGGGCATGGTAGTACATGCCTGTAGTCCCAGCTACTCAGGAGGCTGAGGTGACAGGATTGTTTGAGCCCAGAAATTTAAGGCCGCAGCACGCTATGATTGTGCCACTGCACTCCAGTTTGGGTGAAAAAGGGAGACTCTCTCTCTTTCTTGCTCTCTCCCTCTCACGCTCTCTCTCTCTCTCTCTCTCTCTCTCTCTATATATATATATATATATATATATGTATGATATATAGATAGTCACAATATATTTGCTGTCAAAGTATTATCATCAAAAGTCTATAGAAAATATACACATCCTTGGGCTGGGCACAGTGGCTCATGTCTGTAATCCTAACACTTTGGGAAGTTGAGGCGGGTGGATCACCTGAGCTCAGGAGTTCAAGACCAGCTTGGCCAACATGGCAAACCCCATCTCTACTAAAAATACAGAAATTAGCTGGTGTGGTGGCACGCACCTGTAATCTCAGCTACTAAGGAGGCTGAGGCGCAAGAATCGCTCAAACCCGGGAGGTGGAGGTTGCAGTGAGCCCAGATTGTGCCACTGCACTCCAGCCTGTGCGACAGAGTGAGACTCCATGAAAACGCAAAACAAAACAAAATAAAACCAAATTAAAAAAAAAACAACAAAAACAAACAGGCACTTCTGATGCAGGCCGCAACATGGATGAACATTGAAGACATTATCGTCAGTGAAATAAATAAATCAAAAAAGGATAAACATGCCCAGGCTCAGTGGCTCGCACCTGTAACCCCAGCATTTGCGGAGGCTGAGGCAGGCGGATCACTTAAGCTCAGGAGTTCGAGACCAGCCTGGCCAATATGGTGAAAGCTCATCTCTATTAAAAATACAAAAATTAGCTGGGCGTGATAGCGCACGTCTGCAATCCCAGCTACTCAGGAGACTGACACATAAGAATTGCTTGAACCCCGATGTGGAGGTTGCAGTGAGCCGAAATCATGCCACTGCACTCCAGCCTGGGCGACAGAGAAAGACTCTGTATCTAAAAAAAAAAAATTAAACACGGTATGATTCCACTTATCTATCAAGTGTCTAGAGTAGTTAGACTCCTAGAGTTGCAAACCAGAAAGGTGGCCCCCAGGGGTGGGCGAGAGAGAGGAGTGGAGAGCTTGGTGAATGGGTGCAATTTCCATTTTGAAAAATAAAACTGTTCCGGAGATGATGACGGTGATGGTTGCTAAACAATGTGAACGTACTTAATGTCATGAAACTGTAAACTGAAAAAGGGTGGAAATTGTAAATGTTTATACTGGCTATTCTATATGAACTAATATATATTTATAATTTTTAATATTTATACGTGGTATATTTTCCCATAATAAAAGATGAAAATTAAAGCAGTTGGATCTTTAAAAAGAAAAGAAAGAAGCGAATAATACACACCAGCTTTCTCCTGATTAGAAGAAGAGCCTCAAAGCTTCTATGGACAATCATTTTCTCTTCTTCTTCTTACATGATGATGAGGAAATCCTTAGAGGTTGGGGAATTTGGGTGACTTTGGCTAATGAGGAGCTCTGTGCCTTGAGCCCCCAGGCCACAGAACAGTAAATACTCAGTCTGTGCCTCCAGCCCTGCAGTGTGAGGTTGCAGTCCTGTGGGCTCCAGAGACATCACCTGTATCAGGAGGCTCATGTCTCACTCTGTCTTCTTGCCAGCCATGAGGATGGAGTCTGAGCATCCATCGTGCACCATGCAGGGAGGACAGTGGACCTATTCTCCGTGGTCATGGCCCAGCAGAGGGGAAGGGCAGTTCAGTGAGTGTAGGCAAAAGAAAGAGCGATCAGACTCTTACTGTGTCTATGTAGAAAGGAAAGACATAACAGACTCCATTTTGAGAAAGACCTGTACTTTCAACAATTGTTTTGCTGAGATGTTGTTAATGTGTAGTTTTGCCCCAGCCACTTTGACCCAACCTGAAGCTCACAAAAACATGTGTTGTATGAAATCAAGGTTTAAGGGATCTAGGGCTGTGCAGGACGTGCCTTGTTAAGATGTTTCCAAGCAGTATACTTGGTAAAAGTCATCGCCATTCTCTAGTCTCAATAAACCAGGGGCACAATACACTGTGGAAAGCCTCAGGGAGCTCTGCCCTTGAAAGCGGCGTATTGTCCAAGGTTTCTCCCCATGTGATAGTCTGAAAAGTGGCCTCGTGGGAGGAGAAAGACCTGACCGTCCACGAGCCTGACACCTGTAAAGGGTCTGTGCTGAGGTGGACTAGTCAAAGAGGAAAGCCTCTTGCAGTTGAGGGAGAGGAAGGCCGCTGTCTCCTGCCTGCCCCTGGGAACTGAATGTCTCGGTATAAAACCCGATTATACATTTGTTCAATTCTGAGATGGGGGAAAAACCGCCCTATGGTGGGAGGTGAGACATGTTTGCAGCAATGCTGCCTTGTTATTCTTTACTCCATTGAGATGTTTGGGTGGAGAGAAACATCAATCTGGCTTACATGCACGTCCAGTCATAGTACCTTCCCGTGAACTTCATTATGACATAGATTCTATTGCTCACATCTTCGTTGCTGACCTTCTCCTTATTATCACCCTGCCCTCCTACTACATTCCTTTTTGCTAAAATAATAAAAATAATCATCAATAAAAACTGAGGGAACTCAGAGGCCGGTGCCGGTGCAGATCCTTGGTATGCTGAGCGCTGGTCCCCTGGGCTCAATGTCGTTTCTCTATACTTTGTCTCTGTGTCTTATTTCTTTCCTCAGTCTCCCATCCCACCCGACTAGAAATACCCACAGGTGTGGAGGGCCAGGCCACCCCTTCAAGTGAGTGTTGAGGGACGGTCGGGAGCCTTGTTTGGTTTCCTCCTCCTCAGGACAAACAGGAGAATGTGGTGGGCAGATGGGAGGAGACCAATGTGCAAACTGTCCGCTCAGCAGACTGTGCAGTTTCTGTTCTTGGTTGTGCTGGGGGTCTCAGAAATCTTATTCAAAATTTTGCTTTCCTCCCCCACTGGTTGTCCTTTTCATAGACATCTCACCCATGATAGCAGGGAATCAGTCCATCTAAACTATTCCCTAAGAACAACAAAAAGATTATGAAGGTGATGATGAGGATAAAGAGGATGACAACAGACACCATGGCATCATGAACCCTTACTGAGGGCTTCCTAAAGGCCAGGCTCTGAGCTCTGTGCTCTATGCAGCTTGTTTCATTTCATCTGTGTAGTCTCCACCTTATTAGTGCACATTTCAGGATGATTTTACAGACTAGAAAAGGAGCAACGTCTTTTCATATAACTCGTACTCGATCGTGAAGTCAAAAAGGGTGAAGTCCAATTTGAACCAGGCAGCCTAAGTCCAGACACATGGCATTTGGCCAGTCCTCTCCCTGCAACCAACCTGCCCTCTCAAATCCTCGTCACTCAGGCGGATGCCCCTGCTCACTGTGCCCCTCCCTTTGGGGGTTCCTTGTAGACCACAGCTAGACCAGTTGGTGCCACAATCACTGTGTCAAGTATGGAAAGGGCAGCTGAGATCACATCGAGGATTCCAGAATGAATTGGCACAGCAATCATTCGGGATGCATCTCTCCCTTGCCCCTGTTCCTGGCTTTCCTTACAGCTCTCGGCTTCCTCAAAGGAGTCATCAATTCGGAGTTTGGTTTCCATTCCTATTGAGGAAGCTGGAAAGCGTTTCAAAAATGCTCCTCCAATGTGCCCGTGGTTAAGATCTCTGAGCTCTGCTTAAAACTTTTGGAAGCTGGGAGCGGCGGCTCACGCCTGTAATCCCAGCCCTTTGGGAGGCTGAGGCAGGCGAATCACAAGGTCAGGAATTCAGGACCAGCCTGGCCAACATGGTGAAACCACGTCTCTACTCAAAATAGAAAAAAATGAGCCAGGCGTAGTGGCGGGCGCCTGTCATCTCAGCTAATTGGCAGGCTGAGGCAGGAGAATAGCTTGAACCTGGGATGCAGAGGTTGCGGTGAGCCGAGATCACTCCATTGCACTCCAGCCTGGGCAACGGAACGAGACTCCGTCTCAAAACACCAAAAACAAAAACAAAAACCAAAAAAACCCACAACTTTTTGAGAGTTGGAAGACCAGGAAGTATAGTACCCGGGACTTCGAGTCTGGCCATGAATTTTGAATACCACCCTTTCTACTTCTCTGTATGGCAAGGGGTGAAATGTCCATCCTCTGAGACTCAGCACTCTCATCTGACTTGATTTCCAGTTCATCCGATGGAAGTGAGTGATGATTAAGCTGATCGTGGGCGCCCGCTGCGTGATCTCTAGGTGACGGATGCATAAATTAAAGGCAAAGGGAATTTTTGATACATTCCTTAAGATTTTCAGCTTCAACTCCACACAATTCAACGGAAATATCCCCTGACCTGAAGTTCTGGTTTCCCTGCATTCCAGACAGGACATTTTGTTTTGTCCTTCTATCAGTAAGTGCTGAGTACTGTGAGAGGAACAAGTGAGTCTCTTTGGTTTCTGATTCCCCAGAGCCTATATCTTTCTTGGCACATAGGAGACAGCAAAAGTCAAAATCTATGTTAATGGTTGAATTGACTCTTCCTTGCTTCATCAAAATTGGCTGTCATCAGCGTGACTTTGACTTACTTGATTCTTTTTGTGTTTTGAGACGGAGTTTTGCTCTCATTGCCCAGGCTGGCGTGCAGTGGTGTGATTTCAGCTCACTGTAGTCTCTGCCTCCCAGGTTCAAGCTATTCTCCTGCCACAGCCTCCCAAGTAGCTGGGACTACAGGCGCGCGCCGCCATACCGGGCGAAGTGTTTGTATTTTTAGTAGAGGCGGGGTTTCACCATGTTGGCCAGGATGGTCTTGATCTCCTGACCCCATGATCCGCCCTCCTCGGCCTCCCAAAGTGCTGGGATTACAGGCGTGAGCCACCGTGTCCGGCCAAACTTTCTGATGAAAACTCTAAGTCCACCTAAGCTAAGGACAGGAGTTAGAGCTTCCATGAATTTTAAAACAAGACCCACCGATTTGAGTAAGCAATTACTCTCTCGAAGGAGAAAAGTCCGAAAACACAATGATGAAATCACTAGGACCTAACTGGCATGTGGAACTATTTTCTTCTTAGGAACTATCAACTTTCATTTCATTTCCAGATGGCATGGTCTCAGCTGTTATACAGTGTTTACAAATGTTCTAAATCAAGGGAATTTGTATCCATCTAGTAGAATAAATAAAATATTTGAGTTCTTAATTTCCTTTAATTAGGATAACCTTTTTCTTAAAGTGAAGACAATGGTTTTATTACATCTTGTTCTTCGGAAAAGATAGGCTGTATTTCCTAGCAATTACGAATTTGTTATATGATGAGCTGGTTCTTGGAACGTTCTTGAAGCTAGTGTCTCTAAGGCAAGTGTGTACAGCAAGACGTGAATAACACAGCAATCGATGTTGAAAGCATTAAAAGGCAATTGAGCTTGTCAGAACTACAAAATATTGCTGAGTGTGGATTGCTCTGAAATCTGAAAACATTACTTGTGAATTGCTTATATCCAAAATGCAGACACAATGCTGGGTATTGGTTTACTTGTTTCTGATTTTTCAACCCTCTTTTCCAGGCAAAAGGTGTCCAAACTATACAGATCCACATAGTCTAACAGATGTCTCTATATTCCTCCTCCTCAAACTCTCAGAGGATCCAGAACTGCAGCCGGTCGTCGCTGGGCTGTTCCTGTCCATGTGCCTGGTCACAGTGCTGGGGAACCTGCTCATCATCCTGGCCGTCAGCCCTGACTCCCACCTCCACACCCCCATGTACTTCATCCTTTCCAACCTGCCCTTGCCTGACATCGGTTTCACCTCCACCACGGTCCCCAAGATGATTGTGGACATCCAGTCTCACAGCAGAGTCATCTCCTATGCAGGCTGCCTGACTCAGATGTCTCTCTTTGCCATTTTTGGAGGCATGGAAGAGAGACATGCTCCTGAGTGTGATGGCCTATGGCCGGTTTGTAGCCATCTGTCACCCTCTATATCGTTCAGCAATCTTGAACCCATGTTTCTGTGGCTTCCTAGATTTGTTGTCTTCGTTTTGTTTTGTTTTGTTTTTCTCAGTCTTTTAGACTCCCAGCTGCACAACTTGATTGCCTTACAAATGACCGGCTTCAAGGATGTGGAATTCCTAATTTCTTCTGGGAACCTTCTCAACTCCCCCATCTTGCATGTTGTGACACCTTCACCAGGAACATCAACCTGTATTTCCCTGCTGCCGTATTTGGTTTTCTTCCCATCTTGGGGACCTTTTCTCTTACTGTAAAATTGTTTCCTCCATTCTGAGGGTTTCATCATCAGGTGGGAAGTATAAACCTTCTCCACCTGTGGGTCTCACCTGCCAGTTGTTTGCTGATTTTGTGGAACAGGTGTTGGAGGGTACCTCGGTTCAGATGTGTCATCTTCCCCAAGAAAGAGTGCAGTGGCCTCAGTGATGTACACGGTGGTCACCCCCATGCTGAACCCCTTCATGTACAGCCTGAGAAACAGGGATATTAAAAGTGTCCTGCGGCGGCCGCACGGCAGCACAGTCTAATCTCAATATCTTCTTATCTGTTCCATTCCTTTTGTAGGGTGGGTTCAAAAAGGCAGCGAGGTCAAATAAGAATGATATCACAGGGTGAACACCCACTGTGACATTACGAGTAATACCTCCCTAGGATATAGAATATATTGTCACAGAGTAAACACACATGGGGTACACCCACTGTGATATTAGAAGCAATATCTCCCTATAAGTATGATGAAAAATATCACAGGGTGTGCACACTGTGTGATATGAGGAGTCATATTTACCCTGGATATCACGACTCATATCAAGGGTGTACACACACTGGGTACACGCACTGTGATATCAGGAGTTGCATCTCCCTAGGATATTATGAATAATATCACAGGGTATACACTATGTGTGAACATCCACCATGATATTTGAAGTCATATCTCTCTATGAGATTACAAATAATATCAAAGTGTGTACACCCCTGTGACATATTAGGAGTAACATCCTTCTAGGGTATTGCAGATAACATCACAAGGTGCACACCTTCTGTGACCTTTTGCGCACACTTTGTGCCATTCAAGGAAACATCCCCCTAGGATATTACGAATAATGACACAGGTGGTTGACACACATGGTGTACATCTCCTGTGCCATCAGGAGAATATTCCCCTAGGATATTACGAATAATATCACAGCAGGTGTACACATATGGGGTTCACCCCATGTGACATTAGGAGGAACATGCCCCTAGGATATTAGGAATAGTATCACAGGCGTTGAATACGCATGATATACGCCCCAGGTGACATTGAAAGTAACATCCCCCTAGGATATTACGAATAATATCACAGGGAGTACACCCCGTGTGACATTAGGAGTAACATCCGCCAAGGATATAACGAATAATATCAGGGGGCGTACATACATTGTGACCTTAGTGGTAACATCTCTTTAGGATATTACCAATCATATCACAGGGTGTCCACTGACCGTGATATTAGGAGTCCCATTTTCCTAGGATATTATGGATAATATCACAGGAGGTGTTCACACACAATGTGTACACCATGTGTGTATACCCAATGTGATATCTGAAGTCATATGTCCCTAGGATCTTACGAATATTATCAAAGGGTGTACACCCCATGTGACATTAAAAGTAACATCCCTTTTGGATATTCCGAATGTTATCACAGGGTGTGATATTAGGAGTGTGATATTAGGAGTAAGCTCTTCCTAGGATAACCCATGTGATATTAGGAGTAGCCCCTTCCTAGGATATTACGAATAACATCACAGGGTCTACACCCCTGTGACTTAAAAAGTAACACCCCCCTAGAATATTACAATAATATAACAGGGTGTACAACCCCTGTGACATTACGAGTAACATCTCCCTAGGATATTTCAAATGATGTCACTGGGGGCACACCCTCTGTGATATTAGCAGCAATATCTTTCTAGGAGATTACGTATGATGTCACAGGGTTTACACTCACTGTGAGATTAGAAGGAATATCTCCCTAGGATATAAGCTATCACATCACAGAGTGTACACACATGGTGTACACCCACTGTTTTATTAGAAACAGTATCTCCCTATGATATTATGAAAAATATCACAGGGTGTACCCTCTGTGGGATACTAGAAGTAATGTTTACAATGGATATTACAAATAATATCACAGGATGTACACACATGGGGTACACCCACTGTGATATTAGGAGTTATATCTCCCTAAGATATTACAAATAATATCCCAGTGGGTGTAGCCCATGTGTGTACACCCACTGTGATCATTAAAGTAATATCTCTCTATAAGATTACAAATAATATCGAAGGCTGTACACCCCCTGTGACATTAGGAGTAACATCCCCCTACAATATTGGGAGGAATATCACACGGTGTACACCCCTGTAACTTTAGGGGTATCTTCCCCCCAGAATATTACTAATAATATCACAAGGTGTACACACATTGTGACACCAGTAGTAATATCCAGCTAGCATATTTTCAATAATATCACAGAAGGAAGACACCTGTGACATTACGAGTGACATCCCCCTAGAATAGTAAGAATACTATCACAGGGTATACACCTCCTGTGATATTAGGAGAATCATCTCACCAGAATATTACAAATAATGTCACAGTGTGTTATCTTCTGTGACATTAGGAGTATAGACCCCTGGGAAATTATGAATACTATCACAGGGTGTACACCCCTGTGACATTAGGAGTAACATCCTTCTACAATATCATGAATAATATCACAATGTGTACACCCCCTGTGTCATTAACAGTACAATTGCCCTGGGATATTATGAAATAGAACACAGGGACTACACGCCGTGTGACATTAGAAGTCACATCCCCCGAGGATATAAGGAATAATATCAGAGAATGTACATGCATTGGGACATCAGTAGTCACATCTCTTTAGGATAATACGAACAATATCAAAGGGTGTACACGCATTGTGAAATTAGTAGTGAACTCCCGCTGGGATATTACGAATTTTATGACAGGGTCTACACGCCCTGTGACATTAGTAGTCACGTTTTCCTAGAATAAGATGAAGAATATTAAAGGGGGTACAGGACCTGTGATTTACGAGTAACATTTCTATAGAAGATTACACGTAATATCACTATGTGTACACCCCGTGTGACGTTAGCAGTCACATCAAACAAAATTATAACGAATAATTTCACAAGGTGTGCAACATCTGTGACATTAAAAGAAACATTTCCCTAGAATATGACGATAATATCACAGAGTGTACACCCTCACTGATATGAGGAGTGACATCTTATAAGGGTAATACGAGTAATTTGAAAAGGTGTACAAACCCTGTGACATAAGGAGTGACATGCCTCCAGGATATTCCGAATCATACCAAAGGGAAAATACTCCGTGTGACAATAAAATCAACTTCCCCTTAGGAGATTAAGAATAATAGCACAAGCTGTACACATATTGTGGCATTATTATCAACGTACCGCTAGGGTATTGCGAATAATATCAGAGTGTGTAGAGACTTGTGAAATAAGGACTCACATTTCGCGCCAATACCACGAATAATATCACAGGGTGTATAACCCCTGGGACTTAAACAGTGACACCATCCTAGAATATGGAAAATAATGTCCCAGGGTGTTAAGTAAGTGTGACAGTAGAGAAAACAAAATAGGAGAAAGGGAGTAATATCAGCCCCTCTCCCCACTGGATGTTACCAGCCACATCGCAGGTGGGTGAGAGCGCCCCCCGCGATGCGGGGAGTAACAGCAACCGCCTCTCCCCACTGGATATTACGATCCAAATCACAGGGGGGTGAGGGCGCCCCGCGCGATGCGGGAACTAATAGCACCCGCCTCTCCTCCCCGGATGTTACGATCCAAATCGAAGGGGGGCGAGGCGCCCCCCGCGATGCTGGGACTAATAGCACCCGCCTCTCCTCCCCGGATATTACGATCCAAATCGCAGTGGGGCGAGGCGCCCCCCGCGATGCGGGGACTAATAGCACCCACCTCTCCTCCCCGGATATTACGATCCAAATCGCAGGGGGGCGAGGCGCCCCCCGCGATGCGGGGACTAATAGCACCCGCCTCTCCAGCCCCTCTTGCCCCCCTGGCTCTTAGGACCCCCATCGCAGGGGGGCGCCGCGCCCCCCCACACGATGCGGGGACTAAAGAGCCAGCCCCTCTTGCCCCCCTGGCTCTTAGGACCCGCGGTGGACTCACAGCATTTTTATCATATTGTGAGTAATATCATCTCCGCCTCTGAAGATTATGAACTGTTTCACAGACCGGTGTACACCCTGGGTGTACAGAGGTTGTACCCCCGTCTGTATTGGGAGTAATATCATCCTCTTCCTCTCTGAATATTTGGAACAGTATCACAGGGGTATTTCTACGCCCTGGGATATCGGGTGTCAGGTCCTCCTCTCCCAGATTGCAATTACAAACAATATCAGTTGGGGGCGTGTCCACCTTCTGTAATATTGAAAGTAGTATTATCCTCTTCCCTCCAGGATCATGGGAACAATATCCTTGGTGGTTTCCTCTTTCTGCCATATATGTAGTCATATCACCCCCTCCGCCTTGGAATATTTTTAAGGACCATCTCACACGGGGGTGTACACTTCCTGCGATGTTGGGAGTAATAGCATTCTCTTCTTCCGTGAATATTAGGAGCAAAATCACCAGGTGGATGCACACCCAGTGCTATATTGGGAGTAACGTCATACTCCACCCCCTGGAGATTATATTCGGATCAATATCACCGGCTGGGTGTACACCTACTGCGATATTGAACGTAATATCATGCTCTCTCCCTCCCTGGACATTAGGAGCAATATCACATGTTGGTGTACACCCACTGAGGTGTTAGGGCGTAATATTAGTATGAATTATTCCTCATTTATTATTAACATGAATATGAATGACCGATATTAATATTCATATTAAGAAATAATTGCTAATAAAATGTTTTCCCATTATTAATATTAATATTACTTATTAGGAGCTAATATGACTGTTTTCTAATTAATAAGGTCAGTATCAGTTATTAATATCAGGTGTCATTAATCATTAATATTAATCATGTATTGTTATCATTAGTATAACTATTTAATATTAATTATCATTATTATCGGTATTGATTTTTAAAATTATATTATGGGTTATTAATATTGATAATTACTAGTGTCAATTAATAATGGAGATTATTAATTGCAGTAAGTCACATTGTGTCATTCCACTCCTCCCTCGGCAGCTCGTTTACCAACCAAAACGGGGACACAAATGCCCCTGAGAGAGCAGCGGTATACTGGGATAGATGAGGATGGTCACGTGGTGGAGAAGCGTGTTTTTGGGTACAAGCCCTTCACCTGCGTCGACCTTCTCAACTGGAAAAACAGTACACCGCCCTATACTGAAAAGCCACAAGCCCTAATTGATTTGCTCCAAGCTCTTATCCAGACCCACAACCCCACCTGTGCTGATTGGCACCAGTTGCTCCTGTTCCTCTTTAACAGCGAAGAAAGGCGGAGAGTCCGCCAAGCAGCAGCTAAGTGGCTAGAGGAACATGCACCAGCTGATTATCAAAACCCCCAAGAGTATGGAAGGACCCAGTTGCCAGGAACCGACCCCCAGTTGGACCCACATGAAAGAGAGGATATGCAAAGGCTAAAGCGAGACAGGGAAGCTCTCCTGGAAGGATTAATGAGGGGAGCTCAGAAGGCCACAAATGTTAACAAGCTCTCTGAGGTCATTCAGGGAAAAGAAGAAAGTCCAGCACAATTCTACCAGAGACTGTGTGAGGCCTATCGTATGTATACTCCCTTTGATCCCGATAGCCCTGAAAATCAGTGCATGATTCACATGGCTTTAGTCCATCAAAGCGCAGAAGACATGAGAAGAAAACTGCAGAAACAGGCTGGGCTTGCAGGGATGAATCCATCACAATTACTAGAAATAGCTAGCCAGGTGTTTGTAAACAGGGATGCAGTAAGCCCTAAGGAAAACGGCAAAGAGAATGGAGGTCAGGCCCGGTGACACGCCAACCTGTTTGTCAGCTGCAGCAATCAGAGGGGCCCCCGCAAAGAGGCAAGGGAAGGGGGGCCCTGGGAAAGAAACTCAGCTTGGCTGTCAGAGTTTGCAGCGTAACCAGTGTGCTGATTGTAAAGAAATAGGACAGTGGAAGAACAAATGCCCTGAGCTCAAAAGAAAACAAGGTGACTCAGAGCAGGAGGCCCTGGACAAGGAGGAAGGGGCCCTGCTCAACCTGGCAGAAGGGTTCTTGGACTGAGGGAGACCCGGCTCAAGCGTCCCCAAAGAGCCTCTGCTCAGAATGACAGTCGGGGGTGGAGACATTGACTTTCTTGTAGATAGCGGTGCTGAACATTCGCTAGTAACTGCCCCGGTCGCCCCCTTATTCAAAAAGACTATTGACGTCATCGGAGCCACGGGGGTTTCAGCAAAGCTAGCTTTCTGCTTGTCTCGGACTTGTACTGTAGGAGGACATAAAGTCATTCATCAGTTTTGGTACATACCTGACTGTCCCTTGACCTTTTTGGGAAGGGACTTGCTCAGCAAGCTGAGAGCCACTAACTCTTTGACAGAGCATGGATCTTTGCTGCTAAAGTTACCCAGAACTGGAGTCATTATGACCCTTATGGTCCCTCGAGAGGAGGAATGGAGACTTTTCTTAACTGAGCCGGGCCAAGAGAGAAGACCAGCTCTGGCTAAGCGGTGGCCAAGAGTAGGGGCAGAAGACAACCCTCCAGGATTGGCCAGTTAAGACTGGGGCCCAGCCGGTGAGGCAAAAACAGGACCTGGTCCCCAGAGAAGCCCTTCAAGGTATCCAGGTCCATCTCAAGCACCTAAGAACTTTGGGAATTATTGTTCCTTGTCAGTCTCCATGGAACACTCCCCTCCTGCCTGTTCCAAAGCCACGGACCAAGGACTACCGGCAGGTAAAGGATTTGCACTTGCTTCATCAAGCTACACTGACTTTACATCCAGCAGTACCTAAGCCGTCCACATTGTTGGGGTTGCTGCCAGCTGAGGACAGCAGGTTCACCTGCTTGGACCTGAAAGACGCTTTCTTTCCTATCAGATTAGCCCCTGAGAGGCAGAAGCTGTTTGCCTTTCAGTGGGAAGATCCGGAGTCAGGTTTCACTACTCAGTACACTTGGACTGGTCTTCCCCAAGGGTTCAAGAACTCCCCCACCATCTTCGGGGAGGCGTGGGCTCGAGACCTCCAGAAGTTTCCCAGGAGAGACCTAGGCTGCGTGTTGCTCCAGTAGGTTGATGACCTTCTGCTGGGACACCCCACGGCAGTCGGGTGTACCAAGGGAACCGATTCCCTACACTGGCACCTGGAGGACTGTGGGTAGAAGGTATCCAAGAAGAAAGCTCAGATCTGCCGACAGCAGGTACATTTCTTGGGATTTACTATCAGACAGGGGTCGGAACGCAGCCCGGGATCAGAAAGAAAGCAGGTCATTTGCAATCTAGCGGAGCCTAAGAGCAGAAGGCAGGAGAGAATTCTTAGGAGCTGTGGGGTTTTGTAGACTGTGGATCCCAAACTTTGCAGTATTAGCCAAGCCTTTGTGTGAGGTCACCAAGGGGGCGGGGACCAGGAACCTTTGGAATGTGGATCCCAACAACAGCAAGTCTTTCATGAGTTAAAGGAAAAACTTCTGGCAGCCCCAGCCCTGGGGCTACCCGATATGACAAAGCCTTTTCCATTGTATGCATCAGAGAGAGAAAAGATGGCAGCTGGACTTTGAACCCAAACTGTGGGGCCCTGGCTGAGGCCAGTGGCCTACCTCTCTCAACAACTAGACGGGGTTTCTAAAGGATGGCTCCCCTGTTGGAGGGCCTTGGCAGCAACTGCCCTGCTAGTACAAGAAGCAAATAAGCTGACTCTTGGGCAAAACCTGAACATAAAGGCCTCCCATGCTGTGGTGACTTTAATGAATACTAAAGGACATCATTGGCTAATGAATGCCACACTCACCAAGTACCAAGCTTTATTCTGTGAAAATCCCCGTATAACCATTGAAGTTTGTAACAGCCTACACCCCGCCACCTTGCTCCCAGTATCAGAGAGCCCTGTCGAGCCTGATGGTGTAGAAGTGTTGGACGCAATTGACTCTAGCAGACCTGACCTCTGGGGCCAGCCTTGGGCATCAGTAGACTGGGAACTATACGTGGATGGGAGCAGCTTCTTCAACTCCCAAGGAGAGAGAGGTGCAGGGTATGCAGTGATAACCCTGGACACTGTTGCTGAAGCCAGATCGTTGCCCCAGGCCACCTCAGCCCAGAAAGCTGAACTCATTGCTTTCATTCGGGCCTTAGAACTCAGTGAGGGTGAGACTGTCAACATTTACACTGATTCTCAGTATGTCTTTAACCCTTCAAGTGCATGGACCATGATAGAAAGAAAAGGGCCTATTGAACTCCGGGGGAAAAGACAGAAAATATCAACAGGAAATCTTGCAATGATTAGAAGCAGTATGGAAACCCCGCAAGGTGGCAGTTATGCATTGCAGAGGACACCAGCGAGCTTCCACCTTGCTGGGTTTGGGGAATTCCCGCACTGACTCAGAGGCTCCAAAAGCAGCATCTTCCCCCTTCTGGGCATCAGGGCTCCCTCAGGCACCTGATCTTGGACCTACTTCTTCTAAAGAAGAAAAGGACTTTCTCCAGGTAGAGGGAGGACAAGTGATGGAGGAAGGATGGATTCGGTTACCAGATGGGAGAGTAGCTGTGCCACAGCTGCCAGGAGCTGCAGTTGTACTGGCTGTGCAAGAAACCACCCATCGAGGTCAGGAGTCACTGGAAAAGTTGTTAGGCCGGTATTTCTACATCTCACCTTTGTCAGCCCTTGCCAAAACGGTGAGGCAGCGGTGTGTTACCTGCCGACAGCATGATGCGAGGCTAGGTCCAGCTGTTCCGCCCGGCATATGAGCTTATGGAGCAGCCCCCTTTGAAGATCTCCAGGTGGACTTCACAGAGATGCCAAAGTGTGGAGGTAACAAGTATTTACTAGTTCTTGTGTGTACCCACTCTGGGTGGGTGGAGGCCTATCCAACATGAACTGAGAAAGCTCGTGAAGTAACCCCTGTGCTTCTTCGAGATCTGATTCCTAGATTTCGACCGCCCTTACGGACCGGCTCAGAAAATGGGCCTGGGTTTTTGGCTGCCTTGGTAGAGAAGACGGCAAAGGTATTGGGGATCACACGGAAACTGCATGCCGCCTCCCGGCCTCAGAGTTCCGGAAAGGTGGAGCGGATGAATCGGACTATCAAAAATAGTACTATTGTCTTCCCCACTGGATATTTAAAACAACACCACAAGGGGGATCAAGACACCTGCTAAATTTGAGGGAATATTATCCTCTCCCCTCCTCCCCCAGCCCCGGATATTAGAGACAATAACACAGGGGTGATGTACACCCACTGCTTTATTGGGAGTAATATCATCCTCTCCCTTCCTGAATATTAGGAACAATATCACACTGTGCGTGTACGCCTGTGGTGAAATTCAATGGAATGTCATCCTGTGCCTCCCTGGATATGACGAACAATATCACGGGGAATGTACAACTTCTGAGATATTGGGAGTGATATCATCCTCTCCCCTCTGGAAGTTAGGGACAATATCACAGGGGTAGTGTACACCCTCTGGGATGTTGGGACTAATATCATCCTCCCGCCCACTGGATATTAAAAACCATATCACAAGGGGCGTGTACACACACTTCGATATTGGTATGATATCCATCCTCTCCCTCTTTGGATATTCGGTGCCATATTTCAGGTGGGGAATACACCACCTGCAATATTGGAAGTAACATGATTTTCTCCCCCCCTGGATATCAGAAACAATATCACAGGGGGTTGTGAACAACCCCTGCAATATTTGGAGTAATATCATCATCTCCCCTCACGATTATTAAGAACAATATCGTAGGGGTGGGGGATGTACACCCCCTTTCATATTTTATATCATCCTCTTTCCCCCTGGATATTAGGAACAATATAAGGAACAGATGTACAGACCCTGCAACCGTTGCTGTCATATAATGGTCTCTCCCCTAGATATTAGGAAAAAAATGTCACTGGGGATGTGAACAGCCCTGCGATATTGAGAGTAGTATCATCCTCTCCCCCTTGCATATTGGGAACAACATCACAGGTGGGGTGTACTGCCTGTGTGATATTGGGAGTGAAATTTTCCTCTCTTCCCCTGGATATTAAGAAGGGCATCAGAGGGGGAGGGTGCACATTCCCTGCGATATTCAACGTAACCTTATCCTCTCCCTCCCAGGGTATTCAGAACAATATTACAGGAGGGGTGTGCACCCCCTGCGATATTGAGAGTTATATCATCCTCTTTCGCTCTGGATGTTAGGAACAATATCACAGGGTTGTGTACCCCCCCTGCGATATTGGTAGTCATATCATCCTCTCTCCCTGTGGATATTAGGAAGAGGATCACAGGGCTGTGTAAACCCCCTGCGGTACTGGGAGTAATATCATCCTCTCTCCCTCTGAAAATAGGAAGATTTTCACAGGGGTGTGTACACCCCCTGCGATATTGGGAGTAAGATCATCCTCTCCACCCAGGAAATGACTAACGAGGTCACAGGGGGTGTACTCCCCCTGCGATATTGGGAGTAATGTCGTCCTCCCCAAACCTGGATGTTAGCAACGAGATCACAGAGGGGGTGTAGACACCCTGCGAGATTGGAAGTAATATGATCCTCTCCCCACCTGGACACTGGGAAAGATACCACAGTGCGGGTATACGTTTGCTACGCTGTTGGGAGAAATATCATTCTTTTCCTTTCTGGATATTAGGAAGAATATCACAGGGGTGCTGTACAATTACTTCGACATTGGGAGTAATATCATCCTCTATTTTCCTGGATATTGGGCACAAAAACACAAAAGGGTGTACAACCCCTGCGATATTGGGAGTAATAGCATACTCTCCTTCCCTGGATGTTAGAAAACAATATCATCAGGGCTGAACACCCCCCGCGATAATGGGAGTCATGTTTACTCTTTCACAGGCCATTTGGAACAATATCACAGGGGGTGTCTACAAACAGGGGTGGTGTACACCCCCTGTGATATTGGGAGTAACATCATTCTCTCCACCTCCGGATATTAAGAAAAATATACCGGCGGGAGGTAGTACACCCCCAGTGATATTGCGAATAATGTCATCCTCTCCTTCCCTGGATATTAGGAACAATATCACAGGGGGTGTACACCTTCTGTGATATTGGAAGCAATATCATCCTCTCCCCCACTAGATATTAGAAAAAAATATCACTCACGGTGTACAGCCACTGTGATATGAGGAGTAATATCTTCCTAGGGTATTATGAGTAATTTTACAGTCTGTACACACATGGTGTACACTCACTGTGATATTAGGAGGAATATCTACCTAGTAGATAACAAATAACATCGCAGGGTGTACACCCAGTTTGATATTAGCTGTAATATTTTTCTAAGTTGTTACAAATAAGATCACAGGGTGTACAAACATGGTGTACACTCACTGTGATATCAGGAGTCGTATCTCTGTAATATATTATGAATAATATCACAGGGTGTACACCCACTGTATTATTAGGAGTAATATCTCTGTAGGATATTACAATTAAGATCACAGGGTGTAGAGCCACCATGATATTAGGAGCAATATCTTTCTAGGATATTACAAATAACATCACAGGGTGTATGCCCACTCTGCTGTCAGGAGCAATATCCCCCCAGGATATCAAAAATCCTATCACAGGGTGTCTAATCTCTGCCTTCCAGGTTCTAAGGGATTCTCCTGATTCAGCCTCCCGAGTAGCTAGGGTTAGCCGCCACCACACCCGGCTAATTTTTTTTAATTTTCACTGGAGATGGGGTTTCACCACGTTGGCCAGGCTGGTCTGGAACTCCTGACCTCAGGTGATGCATCAGCCTCGGCCGCCCAAAGTGCTGGGATTACAGGTGTGAGCCATGGTGCTGGGCCAAGAGTTATAGATTCAATTCATTTGGAAACACAGCTCCCATCTTTGAGTGTGCATGTACTTTTATGAAGAAATGATGTCAGAAAACCGAAGGATGATAATAAATATGAAAAGTAACAGGCATGGGAAAAGGTCTTCCGATTGAGAACTATAAGGTTCGATGTCGTTTTCAGATAATGGGGTCCTAGCTCTTGTGTCGTCCTTTTACATATTCTACATCAATGGAAGTTGTAGCACGGGTCCGAATAAAGTAGAGAGTATTTCATGGCTTCTTAATTCCTTTCAATTAGACTGAGATGTTTCTCTTAAAGAGAGAAGGACATTGTCATTGCATTGTATTTTTTCTGAAAAGAGTAGGCCGTATTTTACTGAGATCACTGATTTGTTATATATGATGTTTTGGTCTTCTAATATTCTTCAGTGGATTTTCTCTAAAGTAGTATGTACAGAAAGCTTTGTATAGCAAAAAAGTAAATCACATAATAATTCTGAGATTTTTGGAATTGTCACAACTGAGAAACATTGCTAGCGGTGTATGTCCGCAAGTGTGAAGATGTTCCTTGTGAATTGCTTGCATCCAGCATTAAGGGCTGGTTTTTATCTGTTATTTTTCCAATCCTCTTTCCTTCTCAAGGTGTCCAAGACACACAGGGCCACGGAATCTCACAGGTGTCCGAGAATTCCTCCTCCTGGGACTCTCAGAGGACCCAGAACTGCAGCTTATCCTCACTTTGCTGTCCCTGTCCCTGTCCATGTATCTGGTCACGGTGCTGAGGAACCTGCTCAGCATCCTGGCTGTCAGCTCTGACTCCCCCCTCCACACCCCCATGTACTTCTTCCTCTCCAAGCTGTGCTGGGCTGACATCGGTTTCACCTCGGCCACGGTTCCCAAGATGATTGTGGACATGCAGTCACATAGCAGAGTCATCTCTCATGCGGGCTGCCTGACGCAGATATCTTTCTTGGTCCTTTTTGCATGTATAGAAGGCATGCTCCTGACTGTGATGGCCTATGACTACTTTGTAGCCATCTGTCGTCCTCTGCACTACCCAGTCATTGTGAATCCTCAGCTCTGTGTCTTCTTCTTTTTGGTGTCCTTTTTCCTTAGCTTGTTGGATTCCCAGCTGCACAGTTGGATTGTGTTACAATTCACCATCATCAAGAATGTGGAAATCTCTAATTTTGTCTGTGACCCCTCTCAACTTCTCAAACTTGCCTGTTCTGACAGCGTCATCAATAGCATATTCATATATTTCGATAGTACTATGTTTGGTTTTCTTCCCATTCCAGGGATCCTTTTGTCTTACTATAAAATCATCCCCTCCATTCTAAGGATTTCATCATCAGATGGGAAGTATAAAGCCTTCTTCACCTGTGGCTCTCACCTAGCAGCTGTTTGCTGATTTTATGGAACAGGCATTGGTGTGTACCTGACTTCAGCTGTGTCAGCACCCCCCAGGAATGGTGTGATGGTGTCAGTGATGTACGCTGTGGTCACCCCCATGCTGAACCTTTTCATCTACAGCCTGAGAAACAGGGACATACAAAGTGCCCTGCGGAGGCTGCACAGCAGAGCAGTCAAATCTCATGATCTGTTCCATCCTTTTTCTTGTGTGGGTGAGAAAGGGCAACCACATTAAATCTCTACATCTGCAAATCCTGCCCCTTAGTCACATTATTTTTGTGGCTTGATGGCTTTTATTCCTTTCCGCATTTCCTTTGTGAATATTGCTTTCTTTGTTATGCCTTTCACTGGAATGGGTGAGGATTCTGGGACCCTTTGTTTAGCAGAAACCTCATGACTGAATCCTCTATACCTAGGCGGCCTCTTTTAGTTTCTGAGCAATAACCCTGTCATCCAGGTGGAATCACAACCATCTTTTTATATACATGAAGTCCTCACTTCGTTTTGGAATTCCCTGAAAACTGACTTTATGGAAACAATGTACAGGAGGTCCTCCAACACCATTGGTTGTTCAAAGTTGTGTAGTTATACTGTTGATGAAAAATAAGTGGTTTCACTATACATAATTTTGCTTCAAGGTGAAGTTTCCAAGAGACTTTCAAAGATGTTAAGTGAGGACATACCGTACATCAAATTCATATCCTCTTCCGCAGTTCTTGCGGAATTTCTTTATAAACTGCTTCTAGAGAATCTATTTAGGCAGGTTATGTAGAGAGATCCATGTCGCCGTTCCTCAATCTTGGCTTTGAGTCAAATCACCTGGGGAGCTTACAAATGATGAGGCCTGGGTCTCAATACCTGAGATTCTGATTTCCTTGCACCTGTGTGAGTATGTGGATTTTTTTTTTTTTTTTCTTTTAAAGCACCAGAGGTGGTTCCAATGACGAAGTTTTTAGGGGCATCAAGCTCCAATGAGTAAGAACAGAAATTTATTGTAATATAATATCTTCAAATATTATCTTCAAATGCATTGTCCATCAACACCATACAAATGTTTATTATGCTGTTTTTTCTTACCATTTCGCATTTTCTATTTCTTTCTTTTCCTTTTTGTTTGAGTCAGAGTTTCACTCTTGTTGCCCAGGCTGGAGTTCAATGGCATGGTCTCGGCTCACTGCAACCTCTCCCTCCCGTATTCAAGCAATTCTCCTGTCTCAGCCTTCCAAGTACCTGGGATTACAGGCATGCGCTACCATGCCTGGCTAATTTTTTTTTTTTTTTTTGTATTGTTAATAGGGACAGTGTTTCTCCATTTTGGTCAGGCTGGTCTTGAACTCCCGACCTCAGGTGATCCGCCCACTTCCGCCCCCCAAAGTGCTGGGATTACAGGCATGAGCGACCGCACCCAGCCACCACTTAGCATTTACATTTTACATCTGTTGAAGTTATAGATTTATACACACATTGATTGCTGCTTTGTTATACACTTGCATATACATAAGATGGGAAATAGTAAAGAATAAAATGGGCACAGTATCCCTGAAGTTTCACATCCCGAGACATTTTAAAAATATTTGCTCTTCAGAAATTTGTTTCAATGAAGAAACTGTGGTATACACACCCAGTGAAGTATTATTCATCCAAAAAAGGAAGAAACTCCTCTCCGCTGCAGACAAAATGGATGAGATTGCAGGTCTGTATATTAAATGAAAGAAGCCAGGCACAGAATGACAAATATTTCATGTCCTCACTTCTATGTAGGAAGAAAAAAGGAAACCTTGGCCAGGTGCGGTGGCTCAGGCCTGTAATCCCAGCACTCTGGGAGGCCAAGTCGCACGGATCACTTGAGTCCAGGAGTTCGAGATCCACCTGGCCAACATGGTGAAACCCCGTCTCTACGGAAAACACAAACAATGAGCCGGGCGTGGTGACGCGTGCCTGTAGTCTCAGCTACTCAGAGGGCTGAGGCCCAAGAAGCGCTTGAACTCGGGAGGCGGAGCTTGCAGTGAGCCCGGATTGTGTCTGCGTACTCCAACCTGGGCAACAGTAAGAGACTCCATCACACACCTACACACAAAAGGAATCTCAAGAAGGTGGAAAGTATAAAGGTGGTTAGCAGACACTAGGAAGAAAAGGGGTGGGATAGGGAATGAAGACAAGTGGATAATTGGGTCCCAAAATACAGAAAGATGGAATAAGTGTGTTCTAGTGTTTGATAGTACAGTATGAAAATTTTAGTTCACAAGAATTGCTTGCATATTTCCAGATGCTTTGGTAAGAAACTTCCTAACTTTCTCATTGTACTGGTTTTTAAGCTCTTCTCTTTCTGCTCTTGAAATTATGCTGGGTTTTTTTGTTTGTTTGTTTTGAGATGGAGTTTCACTCTTGTTGCCCAGGCTAGAGTGTCATGGTGCAATCTTGGCTCACCGCAACCTCTGCCTCCTGGGTTCAAACGATTCTCCTGCCTCCATCTCCTGAGTAGCTGGGATTACAGGCATGTGCCAGCACGCCCAGCTAATGTTGTATTTCTAGTAGAGATGGGGGTTTCTCCCTGTCGGTCAGGCTGGTCTTCAACTCCTGACCTCAGGTGATCTGCCCGCCTTGGCCTCCCAAAGTGCTGGGATTACAGGTGTGAGTGACAGCGCCCGGCCCATGCTGTATCCTTATCTGTTGTCTGTTGTCGTTTGTTTGTTTTGGAGCCCAGAAAAAACTTCTCACCTATATGTTCAAATGATTTTTCACATGAGTGCTAAGAAAGCTCATTGGTGGAAAAGAAGCCTTTTCAAGAAATGGTGTTGGAGAAACTTGATTTCCACATGCAGAAGAATGAAGGTGGACCCTATGTCACACCAGGTGCAAAAATTAACACAAACTGGATCAAAGACCTCACCCCAAGCACTAAAAGTATCATACACCTAAAAGAAAACATTGGTCACGCTTTCATGACATCAGATTGGGCAATGTTCTCTGGGATATGACACCAAAAGCATAGGCAACAAAAGAAAATTAGATTCCTTGGATGACATCTAAATGACAGACACTTTTGTGCAGCAAAAAACACTGTGAACTGAGTGAAAAGATAACCCATGGATTAGGAAAAATATTTGCAAAGCATATATCTGAAAAGAGGCTGATATCCATCATATATAAAGAACAGCTAGAACTAAACAACAAGAAACCCAAAGCATCCCATCAACAATGGTCAGAAGACTCGAGTAGACGTGTTCCTAAAGAAGATATAGCAATGGCCAATAAGCATCGAAAATGATGTTCAAAATCACTCATCATAGGGAAGTGCAAATCAAACCAAGAATGTGATACCACACATTAGGATGGATATGATAAACAAACAAGCATTGGTGAGACTAGAGGGAAGTAGGAATGCTCGAATATGATCGGAGGGAATGTAAAACCGTGAAGGAACGGGGAAAATAGTATGGCGTCTACTGGAAAAATTAGAAACAGAATGATCAGATGTTCCCACAGTTGCATTTGTGGGTAGCTACCAAAAAGAATTAGAAGCCAGGAGTGGAAGACAGATTTGTGTACACCCATATTCATAGCAGCAGTATTCACAACAGCCAAAATGTGGAAGCAACCCAAGGGTTCGTGGACAGATGAATGAAAAAGCACACTGCAGTTCCTTCATACAATGGAAGACTATTCAGCCTTAATAGTCTTCCAGAAGGCAGGCACTTCTGGCAGGTGCGGTGGCTCACACCTGTAATCGCAGCGTCTTGGAAGACCGAGGTGGGCAGATCACCTGAGGTCAGGAATTCAAGACCAGCCTGGCCATCTTGGTGAAACCCTGTCTCTACTGAAAATGCAAAAAATGAGACGAGCGTGGTGGCATGTGCCTGTAGTCCCAACTACTCGGGAGGCTGAGGAACATGAATGGTTGGAACCAGGGAGGCGGAGGTTGCAGTGAGCCCAGATTGTGCCACTGCACTCCAGCCTGTGCGACAGAGTGAGACTCCATGGAAACACAAAACAAAACAAAGTCAAACGAACAAACAAACAAAAAAAACAAAAAACAGAGACGCACTTCTGAGGCAGGCCGCAACATGGATGAACCTTGAAAACATTATCGTCAGTGAAATAAATAAATCCCAAAAGGATAAACACGCCCAGGCTCAGTGGCTCACACCTGTAACCCCAGCACTTTGGGAGGCTGAGCCAGGTGGATCACTTAAGGTCAGGAGTTCGAGACCAGCCTGGCCAATATGGTCCCTATTAAAAATACAAAAATTAGCTGGGCGTGGTGGCGCACGCCTGTAATCCCAGCTACTCCAGAGACTGAGACACAAGAATCGCTTGAACCCACGATGTGGAGGTTGCAGTGAGGCGACATCACGCCACTGCACTCCAGCCGGGGTGACAGAAAAAGACTCTGTTTCCAAAACAATAAAACACAGTTTGATTCCACTTATCTATCAAGTGTCTAGAGTAGTTAAATTCATAGAGTTGCAAACTAGAAAGGTGGCCTCCAGGGGTGGGCGAGAGAGAGGAGTGGAGAGCTTGGTGAATGGGTGCAATTTACATTTTGAAAGATAAAACTGTGTTGGAGACGATGGCAGTGATGGTTGGTAAACAATGTGAACGTACTTAATGTCATGAAACTGTAAACTGAAAAAGCATGGAAATTATAAATGTTTATACCGGCCATTCTATATGAACTAATATATATTTATAATTTTAAATATTTATGCGTGGTATATTTTCCCTTAATAAAAGATGAAAATTAAAGCAGTTGGATGTTTAAAAAGAAAAGAAAGAAGCAAAGAATACACACCAGCTTTCTCCTGATTAGAGGAAGAGCCCCAAAGCTTCTATGGACACTCACTTTTCTCTTCTTCTTGCATTATTATGAGGAAATCCTTAGAGGTTGGGGAACTTGGGTGACTTTGTCTAATAAGGAGCTCTGTGCCTTGAGCCCCCCAGGCCACAGAATAGTAAATAGTCAGTCTGTGCCTCCAGCCCTACAGTGTGAGGTTCCAGTCCTGTGGGCTCCACTTCCGTCACCTGTATCAGGAGGCTCACATCTCACCCTGTCTTCTTGCCAGCCTTGAGGATGGAGTCTGAGCCTCCATGGTGCACCACAGAAGGAGGACACTGGACCTGTTCTCCGTGGTCATGGCCCAGCAGAGGGGAAGGGCAGTTCAGTGAGTGTAGGGAAAAGAAAGAGAGATCAGACTCTTACTGTGTCTATGTAGAAAGGAAAGACATAAGAGACTCCATTTTGAGAAAGACCTGTACTTTCAACAATTTCTTTGCTGAGATGTTGTTAATGTGTAGCTTTGCCCCAGCCACTTCGACCCAACCTGAAGCTCACAAAAACATGTGTTGTATGAAATCAAGGTTTAAGGGATCTAGGGCTGTGCAGGACGTGCCTTGTTAACAAGATGTTTCCAAGCAGTATACTTGGTAAAAGTCATTGCCATTCTCTAGTCTCAATAAACCAGGGGCACAATACACTGTGGAAAGCCGCAGGGAGCCCTGCCCTTGAAAGCGGCGTATTGTCCAAGGTTTCTCCCCATAGTTAGTCTGAAAAGTGGCCTCGTGGGAGGAGAAAGACCTGACCGTCCACGAGCCTGACACCAGTAAAGGGTCTGTGCTGAGGTGGATTAGTCAAAGAGGAAATCCTCTTGCAGTTGAGAGAGAGGAAGGCCGCTGTCTCCTGCCTGCCCCTGGGAACTGAATGTCTCGGTATAAAACCCGATTGTACATTTGCTCAATTCTGAGATGGGGGAAAAACCGCCCTATGGTGGGAGGCGAGACATGTTTGCAGCAATGCTGCCTTGTTATTCTTTACTTCACTGAGATGTTTGGGTGGAGAGAAACATCAATCTGGCTTACGCACACGTCCAGTCATAGTACCTTCCCGTGAACTTCATTATGACATAGATTCTATTGCTCACATCTTCGTTGCTGACCTTCTCCTTATTATCACCCTGCCCTCCTACTACATTCCTTTTTGCTAAAATAATAAAAATAATCATCAATAAAAACTGAGGGAACTCAGAGGCCTGTGCCAGTGCAGGTCCTTGGTATGCTGAGCGCCGGTCCCCTGGGCTCACTGTTGTTTCTCCATACTTTGTCTCTGTGTCTTATTTCTTTTCTCAGTCTCTTCCCACCCAACTAGAAATACCCACAGGTGTGGAGGGACGGACCACCCCTTCAAGTGAGTGCTGAGGGACGGTCGGGAGCCTTGTTTGGTTTCCTCCTCTTCAGGACAAACAGGAGAGTGCGCTGGGCAGATGGGAGGAGACCAATGTGCAAACTATCCGCTCAGCAGAGTGTGGAGTTTCTGTTCCTGGTTGTGCTGGGGGGTCTCAGAAATCTACTTCAAAATTTTGCTACCCTCCCCCACTGGTTGTCCTTTTCATAGACATCTCACCCACCATAGCAGGGAATGAGTCCCTCTAAACTATTCCCTCAGGAATAGTAAGAGCCAGCCCCTCTTCCCCCCCTGGCTCTTAGGACCCCCATCGCAGGGGGGTGAGGCACCCCCCGCGATGCGGGGAGTACGAGTCAGCCCTTCTCCTCCCCTGGCTCTTAGGGCACCTATCGCAGGGGGGTGAGGCACCCCCCGCAATGCGGGGAGGGCTGAGACTGGGGTCTGGGCTGTTCCGGACTTCAACACTCACCCCTTGTCCCCCCGCAGGGCTATGGCGTGTGCTTGGTGGGGCTGGAGCGGCTGGCTTACCTCCTCGTGGCTTACAGCCTGGGCACCTCAGCCGCCTCACTCCTGGGCCTGCTGGGCCTGTGGCTGCCACGCCCGGTGCCCCTCATGGCTGGAGCAGGGGTGCACCTGCTCCTCACCTTCATCCTCTTTTTCTGGGCCCCTGTGCCTCGGGTCCTGCAACACATCTGGATCCTCTGTGTGGCAGCTGCCCTTTGGGGTGTGGGCAGCGCCCTGAACAATACTGGACTCAGCAGTGAGTATAGCTGTGGGCACTGGAGGGGGCGGGGCAGGGGGCTTTATGGCTATCTGTGGGTGGTTGGCTAGGCATAGACATCCCAGAGACAGATATGGGGTCCCATGGTCACATAGGGTCCTGTGGACATGGCAGAGGCAGGTGGGGCTTCCTGTGGACACTCCGGGGGTGGGAGGAAAGTCTCATGGACACACTGGGGACAGATGGGTAGGGTGTGGACACCCTGGAGACAGTTGTGGGGGTTCCACGCCATGGACATTCCGTTAATACCCCAGGGCGGGCACAGGGCCGCATCAACACTGGAGGGTCAGTGTGAAATCTCGTGGCTACACGGGGCAGGTGTGGGGCTCTGTGGACACCCCTTAGGGACAGTGTGAAAAACACATCAGGGATTCTCCCTTTTCATACCAGGGGACAGGGCTTACCCTGGCATTGTTTTCGTGACATTTGGAGCAGATATTTTGGTCTCTGCCTCACGGAGCATATGGTAGGAGCAAGTGGCCTGTTGTACATCCACGGCATAGATACAGACATGGGCCTTTGTATAGAGAGGAGCAGGCCTGCAGCCCCAGCCCAGTCTGCTCAGTACCAGAGTCCAGGCCCCAGGTCTGGGCTGCTGGGGAACAGGGCCCTGTTTGCAGAAGGCAGCGGGTGGGCCCATGTTCAGCTCCAGGATGCTCCCTGACCACAGATGGGCACACACAGTGACACACAGCTAGCACACATGGGCAGTCCTGCCGGGCATCCATGTCAGTGTCTGTTCTGATGGGCCGAAGCTGTGAACAGTTTTGAACGTCATCCTTGGGGGTGTGGAGTGGCCGAGGTCATGCCTGCTGCTGGCAGGGCAGAGGCTGGCTCGGTGTCTCTGTCTGTAGCAGGGGCTGGAGCCTCATACTGCACCACAGTCTCTTGGCCGTTTTGCTCAAGGATAGCCAATTCTGGGCAGAGTCCAACCTGGGCATCTTGAACCCATGTTGTGCCCTGTCTGGTCATGGCATCTCCTCTGCCCAGCTGGTGAACCCCGGGGGATCCTTGTCTCTTCATAGCAGCACTGTGGGGGTAAAGTCACCCTGCAGGGCCCCAAGACAGGAGTGTTCATGTCCTGAGTGCCTGGTGAAGGTGTTAATAGTGGCCCCTATGATTTGGCAGGTGCCATGCCCTCTTTCTCACTTTAGAACTTCAGAACACAGCACACAATAGGCATAAGCTCATCTCACCATTGGGAAAAGCAGCTCTGGGGAGTTAAGTACCCAAATCACCCACAGAGCCAACATTACAGTCCTGAGAACGAGTGTGCATCTTCTGACTCCCAATCCATTACTCTTGTTGTCCACCCTGGGAGGACTCACTGGAAAGGAAGCCCCCCTCTCCATGCTTAGCTTCAGGTTTGATTTGCAGAGTTGGCAGCTGCAAACAGTTCGATCCCTCTAGTCCCGGCTGAGAAGGAGAAACAGCGCCTGCAAGCTTGGCACTGCACACCTGGGGTTGGGGACAGGACATGACTAAGCACAGAGCTTTCTTCTTTTGAGGCCACGCATGTGGTGCGGAGCGGGACCACCTGCATCCACACAGCCCGGCGCACCTGCTCCTACTTCTGCTTAGCGTGTGAGCAGTGTGGTGACCAGGGTCTCCACCAGGGGGCAGGCCAGGACCGCCTCACAGCACTTTCTAGGCGTTCTCTGGTCCCGGGCTGGGACACATACAGGGCTTAGTAAAGTTCATAGATGGTAGCTAGGCAGCCCCAGGCCCCAGGTGACACCTCTCCCCTGCCTGCCCTGTACTGCCTGCCTGCAGCACTCCTGGGAATCTTGTACGAAGACAAGGAGAGACAGGACTTCATCTTCACCATCTACCACTGGTGGCAGGCTGTGGCCATCTTCACCGTGTACCTGGGCTCGAGCCTGCACATGAAGGTGAGACTGGGCAGGGTTGGGGGTCCCATGCCCAATGACAGGTACTTCCTTAGCTCCTGCCCTGGCTTCACAGCCTCCTAAACACCACCCCTTCTCAAGCCAGTCTCTGGGCCAAGGCCCCATTCCTGGAGCCCACTGGGTGGCCCCCAACTCAGCACCCCACTTACTGGCCCACCTCCAGCCAGTCTCAGTTTGCCCATCTCTGAGGGGATTTGTGGATGCATCACAGCCATCCTGTGGGCTGTTTGGTACCCTGTTCTCCAGATGTTGGGTCTGTCTCCCTTCATGGCCTGAAGGGGAGCAGGCTCCTCATGCTCTGCTCACAAAAGATGGTGGCTCGGTCTAGCAAGTCCCAGTTGCTAAATATTTTTAAAAAATAGAACTAAAGGCCGGGCGCGGTGGCTCACGCCTGTAATCCCATCACTTTGGGGGGCCGAGGCGAGTGGATTCCCTGAGGTAGGGAGTTTGAGACCAGCCTGACCGACATGGTGAAACCTCGTCTCTACTAAAAATATAAAAATCAGCCGGGCATGATGGCAGGTGCCTGTAATCACAGCTACTCGGGAGGCTGAGGCAGGAGAATCACTTGAACTGGGAGGCGGAGGTTGCAGTTAGCCGAGACGGGGCCTTGACACTCCATCCAGCCTAAGCAACAAGAGCGAAACACCGTCTCAAAAATAAATAAATAAATAAAAATAAAAATAGAACTAAAAATAGCAGGGAGTGGGCCGGGAGCAGTGGCTCATGCCTGTAATCCCAGCATTTTGAGACGCTGAGGTTGGGGTATTACCTGTGATCTGGAGTTCGAGACCGGCCTGGGTAACAGGCTGTGAAACCCTGTCTCTACTAAAAACACAAAAATTAGCTGGGCATGGTGGCACGTCCCTGTGATCCCAGCTACTCTGGAGGCTGAGGCACAAGAATGGCTTGAACCTGGGAGATGGAGGTTGCAGTGAGCCAAGATCGCGCCACCGCACTTCAGCCTGGAGGACAGAGCGAGATTCTGTCTCCCAAAAAAAAAAAAGAAAAAAGAAAAGCAGTGAGTGGGTTGGGCATGGTGGCTCGCGCCTATAATCCCAACACTTTGGGAGGCTGAGGCAGGAGGATTGCTTGAGGCCAGGAGTTCAAGACCAGCCTGGGCAACATAGGAGACCCTGTCTCTACAAAAAATTTAAAAATTAGCTGGGCGTGGTGGCGCGTGCCTGTAGTTCCAGCTGCTTGGGAGACTGAGGTGGGAGGATGGCTTGAGCCTGGAAGATTGAGGCTGAAGTGAGCGTGCCACTGCACTCCAGCAGTGGGTGGGGGGGCTGTGGGGAAACGGAGCGACCGTGTCTGGAAAAAAGAAAAGAGCAGGAAGTATGCATACAGATATGTGTGTATGTACTGGGCTATGGTGTGAAATCATTCCTGACTGCGGGTTATAGTCAAAACCCCATGAAGAGCATCACTACAGCCCACGGGTGTGTCAGGGACACAGTGTTGTGAGCCCTGGGAAGGCAGGGCCTGTGGCCAGCACTTTATCAACACTGGCGCATGCACCCTATGAGGCAAAGGGATTTGCATTGTCCCCTTACAGTGTGGGACACTGAGGTCGCCAGGGGCGTGGCGACTGTAAGGGACAGTGCTGGATGTGAGCCTCACCTGCAAGAGGCGGTCCAGGAAGCGTGGGTGGAGGGGCTGGAGAAGTTGAGGGCCGCGTGGCCCGGGAGGCTCCCGGAGGAGGGAAGGGCCTATCTCAGCGAGGGGCATAGGCGGGGAAGGTGCGAAGCGAGGCGGCCGCGGGTCCCTGGCATCCCTCTCCTTACGCCCAGGCTAAGCTGGCGATGCTGCTGGTGACGCTGGTGGCGGCCGCGGTCTCCTACCTGCGGATGGAGCAGAAGCTGCGGCGGGGCGTGGCCCCGCCTCAGCCCCGCATCCCGCGGCCCCAGCACAAGGTGCGCGGTTACCGCTACTTGGAGGACAACTCGGAGGAGAGCGACGCTGAGGACGAGCATGGGGACGGCGCGGAGGAGGAGGCGCCGCCCGCGGGGCCCAGGCCTGGCCCCGAGCCCGCTGGACTCGGCCGCCGGCCCTGCCCGTACGAACAGGCGCAGAGGGGAGACGGACCGGAGGAGCAGTGAGGGGCCGCCTGGTCCCCGGACTCAGCCTCCCTCCTCGCCGGCCTCAGTTTACCACGTCTTAGGTCGGGGGGACCCCCTCTGAGTCCCGCGCTGTATTCAAAGGCCCCTGTCTCCCCTCCCCCACATTGGGGACGCCCCTCCCAGAGCCCGGGTCACCTCCGGGCTTCCGCAGCCCCCTCCAAGGCGGAGTGGAGCCTTGGGAACCCCTCGGCCAAGCACAGGGGTTCGAAAATACAGCTGAAACCCTGCGGGCCCTTAGCACGCGCCCCAGCGCGGGAGCAGGGTCAGGGTCTTCTTGCGACCCGGCCCCGCTCCAGATCCTCCCAGCTGTCGGCCGCGGACCCGGGCCGCGTGTGACCGCGCTTTGCACCTCCTATCCCCAGGGTCCGCCGAGAGCCACGATTTTTTTACAGAAAATGAGCAATAAAGAGATTTTGTACTGTCCTTACTGGGGAGTCCCAGGCCGCGGGGGACGGAGCGCCCCTGGGATGCACGCCCGGCTGGCCCGGCCTCTGGGCGCGGTGGTGACAGGCCCTGACCTAGGGGGACCGCAGGGTGTGGGGAGTGCGGCGCCCTACTGGGGGCGGGGCGAGGTGTCCGTAGGCCCCGCCCACCAGCCCTTCCTCCCTCCTGAGGCCCCGCCCCCCATACCTGCCTGCCTTTGCCAGCCCCAGCCAGGAGAAGGGAGCGGCGGAGCGGCTGGCAGAGACAGAGGAGGGTGTGACGGCGTTGCTGGTCCCCCATGGGTCCAGAGGGCGAGACAGACTCCCGAGGCACACCCTCCAGGGGCCTGTGTAGGCATCCTCGGCCCTCCAGCGACCATCCCCGCGTCGGACAGGGTCTACTTCCGAGCCACGGTGGGGTCACCCTGTGCCCAGTAGGGGCCTTGGAAGTGGTGGTTGGAGGCCAGGTACGCTCGGTGACTACCCTTTCCCGGCTACAGCCTCAGCTGCGATGCCCACGAGAAACAGGCTGGTGGAGGGGCAGACCCCCTACAAGGCCTGAAGGTGCCGTTCCTCCACCCGCTCCTCTTGTGGCCAGAGGAGAGGGACACCCCCGCCATGAAGAGCTCTGAACGGTTGGGTGAGGACAAGTGGGGGCCGTGGGAGGGCCATGGAGCCCCCAGCTGCACGCCAGCAGGCCCGGGGCTGGCCCACACCATTCCTCACTCCCCACAGCCTCTTTACCCCTGAGTTTGGCGAGACCCTCGTCCGTACCTCCAGGCTCCATGCCTGCCTCAGCATCGCTCTATGGATTCTCCCAGCCCTAAACTGGCCCCATCTCTCCTCTCTGCCCTCATGTGAGTTTGGTTCTTGAAGCCTCTAGTGGTCCCTGGGGCCAGACTCTGTGGCCTTGGACAGGGAGTCTGCCATCTGAGCCACAGTTTCCTTCTCTGTTGAGTGTGTGAGGGAACATGTTGGAGCCCTTAGTGTGGCGGCAGCAAGCTCCCCAGGCCCTGTAAGAAACACAAAAGGGTGCGGCGGGAGACTTGACATTTTCTAAATCTGGGAGGGAACGCTGCCTGCCT
Organism: Homo sapiens; assembly: GCF_000001405.40. Lineage (NCBI taxonomy): Eukaryota > Metazoa > Chordata > Mammalia > Primates > Hominidae > Homo > Homo sapiens. Next base: position 67,710,170 of record NC_000011.10, on the reverse strand, counting down.
CACGCCGACCTTCAGTGACAAGCAGACTCAGAAGCGGTCCCAAGGTGCCACCATAACCTGGGTGAAGGCCAGCACTGTGTGCTTCCAGTTCCCCCTCGGCATCTGTAGACTGAGTGTTCTCTGGAGGTGTCTGGTGACATCCTCCATGGAGGCTCCAGCAAAACCAGTCGGAGTTGGGCAACCTGACGCTCGGATGATTCACCTCTGAATGGAGGGCAAGATGATATTTGGAAGGGTGTGGGCCCCTGGGATGCTGGGCAAACGGAGAGCGGGTGCCTGGATAGTGGGTCTACAGCTCTTCCCAGTTCCGAGTCAATTCCAATGTCCATGGTGCCAAGGAACAGAGGCTCTGGTGTTGAGCAGACTTGAAGGTGATCCAGGCACATGGAGTGGCCACTCAGGGGCTTGGCTCCTGGCTGTGCTCTTCCTATCTGGGCATTTCCCATGAGAAGGCTTCACAGGCCACCTGGCTGCTCCTGGCACACGGAGAATGCCCAGATGCTGACATGTGCCAGACAACACATATTTACACCTGATAGGCCACACACATGCAACATGCAAACACACATGACGGGTAACACCTGTGACAGACACTACATGACAACACACATGCACACATGATGGGAAACATATATCACAGGCCGTGTGACGGGAAACACATATCACAGGCTGTGCGACGGGCAACACAGCGCAGGCAGTGCGACGGGCCCTGGCAGCAAGCTCAGCAGGCTGGCTCTTTTCGAGCAGGAGAAGAGCTCATTGTAAGAGATGACACTGGCGTAGGTGGCACCTCCCTTGTCTCCATCACCCCCGGATAAGGTGACTGGGTGGAGGTTCTGGACCCCTGAGTGGACGAGCAGGTTGTGTCATGGCCTCCGTGTCTGATTGCCACCCTCGCTCCCAAAGCAACTCTGTGATTTTGTCCATGTGCACTGTGGGGATTTTTCTTTTTCTTTTCTTTTCTTTTCTTTTTTTTTTTTTTTTTTTGCAACGGAGTTTCACTCTTGTTGCCCAAGCTGGAGTGCGATGGCGTGATCTCAGCTCACTGCAACCTCCATCTCCTGGGTTCAAGCGATTCTCCTACCTCAGCCTCCCGAGTAGCGGGGATTACAGGTGTCCAACACCATGCCAGGCTAATTTTTTTGTATTTTTAATAGAGACGAAGTTTCACCATGTTGGCCAAGCTGGTCTCAAACTCCTGACCTCAGGTGATCCACCTGCCTCGGCATCCCAAAGTGCTGGGATTACAGATGTGAGCCATCATGCCTGGCTGGGATTTTTCAATTATGTGATTCCAAGAATCTCCAGTCCAAGATTTTCCCTATCTTTAAGTTCTCAGTAGCAGGTTAGATAACCTGAGAAGTCTCCCTCTTCAAAACACCTAGAAATGCTGGGTAAGAAACAAATGTCCTTTTAACTATAGAGCTGAGGCCGGGCGTGGTGGCTCATGCCTATAATTCCAGCACTTTGGGAGGCTGAGGTGGGCGGATCACCTGAGGCCAGGAGTTCAAGACCAGCCTGGCCAATGGTGAAACCCGATCTCTACTAAAAATACAAAAATCAGCCAGGAGTAGTGGCAGGTGCTTGTAATCTCAGCTACTTAGGAGGCTGAAGCAGGAGAATCACTTGAACCCGGAAGGCAGAAGTTGCAGTGAGCCAAGATCACGCCACTGCACTCCAGCCTGGGCAAAAGAGTGAAACTCCATCTCAAAAAATATATAAATAAAATAAAATAAAATAAATATATAGCTGAGTTCTTCAGAAAATAAGTTAAGTCCCCTAAGGCCAGAAGTGAAGAGGGGAGTGAGAACCAAGGTGGGGACAGAGGAGCTGGTGCTGCAACTGCCTGAGGGCAGGGCTGGGTTGAGCGTTGGAAGCCCTTACAAGGCAGGGGGTCAGGGTTACAGTCAAGCATGATGAAGTTGGGGTCACAGAAATGCAACACCTTTAGAGAAAGGGACAGAAACATTTCCACCCAGGGGAACAGAGAGAGGTGAGAAATTTTGAGCTTTAGGTGGTGAACAACTTTCCCATGAGATCGTTGTGTTTTCAGGCCTCTCTTATATAAATGTGGAACTCCTACAATAAAGTCATGCCACCTGTGTGGTCTAGGAATGCCAGAGTTGAGAAATTAACACTAAAAAGTTGCTTTGGGCCGGGCATGGTGGCTCACGCCTGTAATCCCAGCACTTCAGGAGGCTGAGGCAGGTGAATCACCTGAGGTCAGGAGTTCGAGACCAGCCTGGCCAACATGGTGAAACCCCGTCTCTACTAAAAATACAAAAAATTAGCCAAGCCTCGTGTGCCTGTAATCCCAGCTACTCAGGAGGCTGAGGCAGGAGAATAGCTTGAACCTGGGAGGCAGAGGTTGCAGTGAGCTGAGATTGCACCACTGCACTCCAGCCTGGGCAACAAGAGTGAAACTCCGTCTCAAAAAAAAAAGTTGCCTTGGCTTAGTGGTACCCTGGGGCCCCTGGAAAAGCCAAATAGAAAACCTCTCTAGGTGGCTCCCTCAAACCTGGCCACCCAGGATTCCCCACATAAAGCCCCTCTGAAGCTCAGCTCACGATCCAAAATTACAGAACACACAGGAAACACATCACCGCGAGAAAAGGCAACAGACATAAAAAAGAGCAGGATTTGACACCCGCTCCAAATACCCCCAGCTAGGAGAGAGAAGCTGTCCAACAGGTATGTGAGATAGGCAGCTTCTATAAGGGGCTGCCAGCGATCTCCCACCCTTGACTCTTCACAACTTTGTGTAATTTCCATCCCTTGATTGTGGGCTGGACCTAGTGAGTTTCTTTTAACCAACTGAATTCTTATTTTACTTATTTTATTTTATTTTATTTTATTTTATTTTATTTTATTTTACTTAGAGATAGAGTGGCACTGTGTTGTCCATGCTAGGCTGAAACTCCTGGCCTCAAGCAGTCTTCCTACCTCGGCCTCCCAAAGTGCCAGGATTATAAGCATGAGCCACTGCGCTCAGCAGCCTTCGCATTTATTTATTTTTGAGACTCGCTGTATCGCCCAGGCTGGAGTGCAAAGGCACGATCTCGGCTCACTGCAACCTCCACCTCCCAGGTTCAAGCGATTCTCCTGCCTCAGGCTTCCAAGTAGCTGAGATTAAAGGTACCTACCACCACGCCTGGCTAATTTTTGTATTTTTAGTAGAGACTGGGTTTCACCATGTTGGCCAGGCTGGTCTCGAACTCCTGGCCTCAGGTGATCTGCCCGCCTCAGCCTCCCAAAGTGCTGGGATTACAGGCATGAGCCACCAAACCTGGCTAACCAAATGAATGCTAAACTGGCCTGAGAGAGTCTCACTCCCTGGTGTCCACACCCCGCTAATGCCCTCCTGTGAGTGAATGTGATGGGCTACAGTACTTTTGAGCTAATCAAATGGGACGCTACCTAATGGACCTGAACCAGTCAGGCAAGTCTTTTAAAAGAAAGGGACATGGCAGAGAGGCGCTCTTCTGCAGGCTTGGAGTAGGGCAAGTGGCCATGGTGCCACCTACAAGGGGGCCCCTGGAAGCCGAGAGTGGTCCCTGATGGCAGCTTGCAAGAAAACAGGGACCTCAGTGCCCCAACGTAGGGAACTGAAGTCCGGCAACAACCAGAAGGGGTGTGAAGAGGACACCAAATCCCAGCTGAGAACGTGGCTGGCCCACACCTTGATTGCAGCCTTGTGAGGCCCTGGGCAGAGTCCCCGGCTGCACCATGCCAGACTCCTCACCCACATCACCCACATCCACAGTGCGACAGTGCATGGGTGTTGCTTAGAGCTTTGGAATTTATGGTAATCTGTTACAGAGCAATAAAGAACTGATACAAGGCCGGGATTGGTGGCTCACACCTGTAATCCCAGAACTTTGGGATGCCAAGGCAGGAGGATTGCTTGAGCCCAGGAGTTTGAGATCAGTGTGGGCAACCTACGGAGACCCGTCTCTACAAAAATAAAAGTAAAAATTAGCTGGGTGTGGTGGTGCATGTCTTGTAGTCCCAGTTCTGAGGGAGGCTGAGGTGGGGAGGATCACTTGAGCCAGGGAGGTTGAGGCTACAGTGAGCTGTGATTGCACCACTGCACTCCAGCCTGAGTGATGGGGCAAGACCCTGTCTCAATTTAAAAAGAAAAAGAGGCCGGGCACGGTGGCTCACACCTGTAATCCCAGCACTTTGGGAGGCTGAGGTGGGTGGATCACCTGAGGTGAGGAGTTCGAGACCAGCCTGGCCAACATAGTGAAACACCGTCTCTACTAAAAATACAAAAATTAGCCAGGCGTGGTGGCAGGAGCCTGTAATCCCAGCTACTCAGGGAGCTGAGGCATGAGAATCACTTGAACCCGGGAGGCAGAAGTTGCAGTGAGCAGAGATTGTACCTTTGCACTCCAGCCTGGGTGACAAGAGTGAAATTCCGTCTCAAAAAAAAAAAAAAAGTAAAAAGAAAAAGAAAACTAATACAATGGCAAAAAGTAACAGGCTGTCCCTTCGGAAGGCAGGTTATGAAGACGGATTCTGTCTTGGTCACACTTTCTGGTGTTCTTTTTGAGGCCTACCTTTAAAGGAACTGAAAGCAGCCTCTGGACAACAGCCTGGGAGGAACTGAGGTCCATATTCTAACAAGCCAGGAGAAACTGAATCTTGTCAGCAACCAGGGCATGAACTTGGAAGCAGGCAGCATCCAGGCCAGCCTTGAGGTGACTGCTGCCCAGCGACAGCTTGGCTGCAGCATTTGGTAACTGATGCTGGTGTGTTATAAAAGTATTATTTGTGAACTGATAAATGTCTATATTAAAATGAAATCTTCACAATTTATGTTCTTCTGGCATGGCTCCAGCTGGTCCCTCCATTCGGAGTCCCTGACTTCCCTCAACATCTCTCCCTTTCTTTTTATATAAATGTGCCATGGTGGTGAAGGCTTGTTCGTTCTCTCGGTTTTGATGCAGGATTTTTTGACTGGTCTGGCACACTAAAAACAAGCCAATTAAACAGAGAAACATGATTCCAAAATTCACTACAGTGGAGCCCCCAATAGACTTAATCCAAGTCATGGGGTTTAGTCCAGAAAGACTTTCTGCCACTTGATCTAACACCTCAGCTCCAGGCACAATGGATAAATGAGCTTGAGAGGCTTCAAAAATTTGTTTCTTTAATTATGTCCAAGGATAAATTATCTTCCCTACCTAGGTGTCCTTTGATCATTTCCCATGAATGATCAGTCTCATTGTAGGAATATGGTGTGATACAGAAATCAGAAGTATTCCAGTCGCACTGCATGTGCATGCAATATTCAAGACTTTTAGCCGATCTCCAAGCCAAATAACAGACTGTCTTAAATCATTAATTTGATTAGCTAATTTTTGATAACTGCCCTGTTGAGAATTCCACATTTGGGTAGAATTGGCTTGCCAATCATTAACAAAATGAGCCGTTTGAATAGATTGGTGTGATGCCACTCCAGCAGTGGTGGCCAGTGCAGTGACTGTAATTAGGTCCATGATCCAGTGATTAAAATGAAAACAAATTTCTTAGATCTTTTGAGAATTCGTTGTAACACTTCATTAATTAAATGTACAGAGGGGGAGGATTCCCAAGGTCTGCGTAAAGTTACCAGTATCCAGATTCCTTCTCGAGCTCGAACCAACATTACACTTTTCCTGGAGTCAAAACGGGAGTTAACACAAGTGTATAAATGACAGTTAATGCATTGGACAGTTTGATTTTTCGTCCAAATTTTGATATTTCCCACTAATAGCATGTAAGGAGGCTTAAGACAACTCTGTATAGGAATAGTCAGGCTGGAGGTAAACAAAGCGGAATGTTTGAATCTATGTTGATACTGAGGGAGAGGAGCGGCGGTGGCAAAACCCAATGTTCTCCATCGTACAGAAGCAATCCGAGATGCCTGGGGATGCCGAAGAGGTAGAGGGGCATACCGGGGTCGAGAAGAATTATCATAATGCCAATCGCAGTCCCATAAAGGAGGATCGGCATCAAAAAGAGGAAAAGGTTCAAAGGGGATTTATCATGGGGTTCAGAATCACGGATGCAGGGGGCGGTAGTGGGGACAACAGACAGAAAAGTTTCCCCTTCCCATACCCACAGTCCGGACATGGCAATAGCCAATTTCCAAAGTTCTGGGTGTTCTGGGCTTAGAATGGGGAGTATCATACAAGGCCTCGGGGGTGGGGGGTGTAAAGCCCTTATCTTCCCATTTTAAGGGAAAGAACGAGCTGAACCTCCTATGCAAAGTAGGATGATGATCCTCATCCTCCCAACAAGAAATAAAATAAACAGCCTCCAGGCATTCCCTTCCGCCAGAGGAGCAATTGTTTTTTAAATAGCCCTTTGGTGCCCAGTCTATTACTAAACCATATGAGTCATTTTTTAATACTACTGCATGTGAATTAACCCAATATTCCCAAATTAAAGTTTTAGATGGACCCTCAAAATTTTTAGGGCATAGTTTTCCTACAGGTTTATATTGAAAGTATGGGGTATCTCCTATTACTCCCCTTTTCATTTGTCTTAAAGGAGAAAGGGAGGGGCCGGAGACCAAATGTCCCTGTTCCCCTGTGGCTAATCTCTCCAGAAGATAAGCAGCCCAGACTTGAGTTTCTAGATGGATACAACCTGGTGCATGTCCGAGGCACAGAGGAAGGAATTTATAACCCATAGTAACATTAAATGCAGTGGCTTCTTCTCCTGGTTGAGCGGGCCAATGGTTATCTGTAGCTCCACGCCTCCACACACTATCATTAGTGTAGATTTCCACAGGAGCATCCATCCAGGTGAGAGGTCGAATAAGTGGAGGAAAAGGCATATAAGCCCAATAAGAATAATTTTGTGTAGCAGGTAAATCAGTTTGAGGAAAAACTGGTGAGACAGAAAGTATAAGTAGAAAAATTATTAAATAAAACCTATTGTAAGCAAGATCCGGTACTGAAGGAGGAAGAGAAGAACAGAGGGATGTTATTTTCAGGCTAATAGAAATGGTGAGATTTTTAGGTTTGTAAGGAGAAAAAGAAAGGTAATTAGGAGAAGTGGAATTAGTTAGAGGGGTTTATGTTGTCATTAGGGAGGATTGACCCAGACCCTTTTTGATTTGGTGTGCCAGTTTTTGAGGAATCAGCACAGATTTCACCAGGTATGAGGGCGGCCTCTGACGCGGACGTCTTTTCCCTGTGGTTTTCATTGTCAGTATTCACACGAAATTTAAGTCTCCTAGTGGGAACCCAGACAGGGGATTGATGATCTCCTTGTGAAACACAAACATACTCTCTTCCCCATGTTATAATTGTTCCAGGTTCCCAGGTATTGGTCTGGGAGTTTTTCCATAACACTGGCTTGCCTTCATTTAGGGAGAATTTTTTGCCTCCATTCAGCTGCAGTCAGAGTATTGTCTTTAGGAACATTTAGAAAGTTTAAAGTAAACAATGCTAAATGTAATTGGGAGTGGGAGTGGTTAAATTATGCTTTTGTTGCTCAGACTGTTTGGACAATTGAGTTTTTAAAGTGTGATTGACCCGTTCCACCACAGCCTGTCCATGAGGATTGTAAGGGATTCCAGTAATATTGGAAATTCCCCATTGTTGCACAAATAAATCAAAAGCCTTACTAACATATCCAGGGGTGTTGTCTGTCTTTATCTGATATGGAAGCCCCATAACTGCAAAGCAAGAATACAGATGTCTTCTTTTTTTTTTTTTTTTTTGAGACGAAGTCATGCTCTGTTGCCCAGGCTGGAGTGCAGTGGCACCATCTCGGCTCACTGCAAGCTCCGCCTCCCGGGTTCACGCCATTCTCCTTCCTCAGCCTCCCAAGTAGCTGGGACTACAGGCACCCGCCACCACATCCGGCTAATTTTTTGTGTTTTTAGTAGAGACGGGGTTTCACTGTGTTAGCCAGGATGATCTTGATCTCCTGACCTCGTGATCCACCTGCCTCGGCCTCCCAAAGTGCTAGGATTACAGGTGTGAGCCACCACGCCCGGCCCAGATGTCTTTTAACATAGGCTCTGCCTTCCCCTGTTTGGCAAATAGCCCAAATAAAACCTGAGAAGGTGTCTACAGAAACATGTACATATGAAAGTCTGCCAAAGGAGCTAACATGAGTCACATCCATTTGCCGTGAATCATTAGGAGTTAGGCCTCTGGGATTAACGTCAGGTTCCTGATTTGGAAGTACAAAAACTTGGCACTGAGGGCAGCCATGGACAATAAGCTTAACCTCCTTCCAGGTGAGAACAAATTTATCTTTTAATCCAGCAGCATTGACCTGAGTGAGATTATGGAACTCCTGAGCCTCATGGATTGCAAAAGAGACCAAACAGTCGACCTTCTGGTTACCAGCAGACATGGGTCCTGGTAAAGTGGCATGAGATCTAATATGTGTTAATATAGAAAGGGTGTCTATGTTGGCGAACCACCTGTTGTAACCTTGAAAATAAAGGAGACAATTCAGAATTATCGTTATGTTCGATAGTAGCGATTTCTATATTTTTTGTGGCATGTACAACATAAACAGAATCAGAGACAATAACGTTTTGGGGAGATCTTGTAAGGCAATAATTTCAGAATTAACTCTGCCTTTTGATCAGTGGTATAAGGGGTAGAAATAAGCTTGTCTGTAGGACTCACATAACCAGCATTTCTGTTACTGGAGCCATCAGTGAACACTGTAACGGCCTCAGGAATGGGCTGATCTTTGGTCAATCGAGGGACCACCCAAGAAGTCATTTTTATAAAATCAAACAATTTGTTTTTTGGATAATGATCATCAATAACACCGATAAAATCAGCCAAGTGAATTTGCCACAGTATGCAATGTTGAAAAGCGGCTTGAACTTCGAGCTGATTTAAAGGAACCATAGTTAAATTTGGATCAAATCCAGAAATTTTAAGTATTTGACACCGAGCTTGTCCAATTACAGATTTTTCAACAGCATCTTGTAATTTAGCCAAAAAATTAGGATATAATTTATTGTGACCCTGTTTAACAGTAGTAAAAGAAACAGGAGCTTGGCAGGAGTGTGTAATTTATCCCAAGCTCTTACACACACCTTTGTTACTTGATCCGTGGTGACAGCATCAAAGCCTAATTGGGTGGTATTGTCAGAGTAATTATTGGAGCCTGTGAGCTGAGCCTGAGTAATTGGAATGCCATCAGCCTGATTTAGCTGAGCCTGCAGATGGGCCTCCTCTGACCACCAAGTACAGAATTTTAATGCTGAGATGGAGTTAGAACAGCTTTTGCCAAAAGGTCCCAGTCTAAAGGAAGCAAAATGACCTCAGTACAAAGAGTCTGTAATACCTTTTAACATAAGGAGAAGCAGGATCATACTGAGTACAAGCATCCTTGAATTTTTTTAAAAAGGTAAGATTGAGCAGCGCATATTGACGCACTTGTACCCCTTGAGCATTGGCAGGTTCCAGCGCGACCGGATAAGCCCACGCCTCTAATCCACTTGTTTCTTTGTTCTGGCATAATAAGTGTTGCATGGAAGTTTCAAGAACAGGCACATGAGACGGAGTCAGCATAGAAGTGACAGGAAAAGTATGTGTAGATAAGGGAAACTGAGGTTGAGGAGGTCGGGCCAGTATGAGAGCACGAGAAAGGGGCATTGGGGGAGCAGAAGGGGCAGAAGCTGGTGATTATTGCCCAATCCTGTGCAACCAGAGTGGCAGGGGTGTCCATGCTTGAAGAAGGGTACAGAGAAGCAGTTTGAGTGGATGGCAAAGTGACCGGTTGAGGGACCGAAATGACAGGAGGGTGAGGGGCTGTGGTGGACGGGGGAGGGTCTGCAGAATTACAGATAAATTGTAGTTTGGTCCCAGAGCCATTAGATGGCTCCGGAGGCAAAGGCTGCAAAGGTTTGAAGAGGGAAGATAGCATAGATATGGTCTCGGGCTGTCCAAGTCGGGGCCGCGGGAGCTACAAGTACCAGCAATTCGTGAAAAGAAATAAAATCATCAGGGGGTGACATTAAGCCAAAGTCACCGGAGTTAGATATTGAATCCTCAACATTCTCAGGTTGGGGAGGAGTAGGTGAAGGGAGAAGCTGAGCAGATAACAAAGGCCGAGTGGGAGAGGAAAGCTGAGGAAGAGGTAGAGGGTCTCCAGATTCAGAAAACTGTGGTAACTGCAGGGGGTCACAGGATTGGTATGTCATTAGGATGGCACGTACCAAGGCCCAATCACCCCAAACAGTGACGGGAGCATAATTTCCTGTTGGGACCGGTTCCCGGAATTTTGCACCAACACAATCCCAAAGTTCCACATCTAACGTTCCCTTTTGAGGAAACCAAGGACAGTGTTCTTCCACCGCCCTGAAATGGGTGACCATATTTTCCATGGGTACCCAAACTCCTCCCTGTTTTAACAGGAGTTTAATATAGCAGAGATAAGCATAATGTTTAGATTCTGCATGACTCATAGTTACCCCGGACAATACACAGACAACTCACCAGTTGTCAGGGAGCCGAACAAGGGTTTCTGTGGACCGGACCGATGAACGTTTCTACATACCTACCAAAGGGAATCGGGTTCCCACATGCACTTAGGAAAAAGAAAACCACGTTGGTGTGCCAGATATTGGGGGAACCCACCCCCAATATTTCAATGTAGGTTCTTTCTATTTTCCATAAGTGTCGGCTGGCTGAGAAATAGAGAGACAGTATAAAGAGAGGAATTTTACAGCTAGGCTGCCGGGGTGACATCACATATCAGTAGGACCATGAGGCCTGCCTGATCCTCAAAACCAGCAAGTTTTTCTTAAGGGTTTCAAAAGGGGAGGGGGTGTGAGAACAGGGAGTAAGTACAAAGATCACATGCTTCAAAGGGCAAAAAGCAGAACCACTAATAAGGGTCTAACAAAGATCACAAGGCAAAGGGCAAAAGCAGAACTACTGATAAGGGTCTATGTTCAGCAGTGCATATATTGTCTTGATAGACATCTTAAACAACAGAAAAGAGGGTTCAAGAGCAGAGAACCAGTCTGACCACAAATTTACCAGGGCAGAGTTTTTCCCCACCCTGGTAAGCCTGAGGGTACTGCAGGAGACCAGAGCATATCTCAGTCCTTATCTCAACTGCACAAGACAGACATTCCCAGAGCGGTTATTATAGACCTCCCCCAAGGAATGCATTCCTTTCCCAGGATATTAATCTTAATATTCCTTGCTAGGAAAAGAATTTAGCAATATGTTTCCTACTTGCATGTCCGTTTATAGGCTCTCTGCAAGAAGAAAATATGGCTCTTTTTGCCTGACCCCACAGGCAGTCAGACCTTATGGTTGTCTTCCCTTGTTCCCTAAAAATCACTGTTATTCTGTTCTTTTTCAAGGTGCACTGATTTCATATTGTTCAAACACACATGTTTTACAATCAATTTGTACAGTTAACACAATTATCACAGTGGTCCTGAGGTGATGTACATCCTAGCTTATGAAGATAACAGGATTAAGAGATTAAAGTAAAGACAGGCATAAGAAATTATAAAAGTATTATTTGGGAACTGATAAATGTCCATATTAAAATGAAATCTTCACAATTTATGTTCCTATGGCACGGCTCCAGCTGGTCACTCCGTTCAGGGTCCCTGATTTCCTGCAACAGCAACTCTGTTCAGAAGAGGGCAGGACAGACAGTGGCAGGCCTCATCAGAACCCGAAGGCCATGCAGAACCTTCTCATGACAGCCTCCTGGGGGAGACAGGGAGCCAACGGGAGTGGTAGCAGCTCCTACAGGCCTCCCACTCTCTGGAGGATCACAAAGTGTCCTGTCATGACTCAGATGAGCCTCAGTTTGAGCTTTCGCCTCTGTAGCCTGTGTGGATATGTTCAGGGCCACCAGGGTGCCATGGTGGAGCCGTTCCCTACACAGCCTGGAGGGCTTGTGTGAAGTGGCTGTTTATAATGAGCAGACTTAGGAGAAATTGAATAAAGAGGTTTTCATGAAATGTGTAAGTGGGAATATGTTGCCTCAAAAATCCAAGTAGCCCCAACAAACGTTATTAGAAAGCCTGTCTTAGTCTGCAAATTAACACCACAAATTGGACAACTGATAAAAGAAATTTATTTCTCCCAGTTTTGGAGGCTGGGAAGTCCAAGAGCATGGTGCTGGCTTTGGGCAAGGGTCATCTTGTGGCAGAAGGGTGTAAGGCAGAAGCAAGCATGTGAGACAGGGAGGAAATCAGGCCGACCTCACTTTTATAACACACCCAGTCTCGTGATCACTAACCTACTCCTGCCATAACAGGATTAATTAATTCATGGGGGCAGAGCCTTCATGACCTAATCGCCTATGGAGGGTCCCCTCCACGACATTGTTACAATGGCAATTACATTTCCTTTTTTGTTTGTTTGAGATGAGTCTCTCCTCCCAGTTTGCCAGTAAAGCTCCTCTTTCGACTGTGTAGCCGTCCTGGTGGTCTTTTGGATGACAGTTAGGACAATTTTTTTCCTTGACCTGAGTCATTTTATCTTCACCTTTTGTAATTAGGGATATTTTAGGGGGGGGGTTTATTTAATTTTTTTCTCCAGGGAGTCTCAGTGTGCATGACCATGTCACGGCAGTGAGGACAGCAGCAGTAATGTACCTGCTTGCCGAGCCCTGAGGAACCTCTGCCATGGGAATCCTGGGGCTCTGAACACCACATAAATTCTTGTTCAAACAGTGGCCCCCGCGGGGAGTTCTTGCCTTTTTACGTGCAGCGTTTGGGAAATGTGGGGCCAGCTTCTGGCTGAGACATATAACCATTCCCTCCAATGAATGATGCTACCAACTACTAGGGTCCAGTCTGGGGTCAGGATTCACTTTATGTCTGGCTCCTCAGCCCCCTTTCCCCATCATTACCTCTGGCTTAAGCTGCTACTTTTAAAGCAGATGCTTGGAAAATCCCAGGAGAACCACCCTAAAGTGATGTGGCCCAGAGCACAGGCGTGCCAGCAATCGGCCAAGACGGTCCAGGCCAGTCTGAGCCCACTACCTGTGGTATGGACCTGGTGAGTAAGCCAAGAGTGAGAGAAGAAACACATGCTATGTAGGATCGGCATCCAGCCCTCCGGTTCCCAGCATAAATTGTGTGATTTGGGTGCCTGGCATCCCTGCCGGACACTGGGCGGCCCCCACCCAGGGATTTGTGGATACTGGGATGAAAGACATTGGCACCAATGGACATGACATCAAATTTATCACTCACATAATAAACAGCAAGAGGAGAAACAGCCCTTCCTCCCACAGGAGGGCTCAAGGTTGGTCTGGAGCAGAATAAGCTGTGTGGGGAGGGAAGAAGTGGCCTCAGGTTTCTGCCGTGCAGAAGGATGACCCGGGTGGAGGTGCCCAGGTGCAGCCTGGGGCTGATGTGGTTTGAAATTCCCACTCATGCCAAGAGACAGAGGGCACCCTTGGGCTCTCTGATTGGGCCACCCAGATATGGGGCAAAGTGGAGGGATGGGGACATAGAAGCTGTCGGTGATCAAACAACAAAAATAGAGTCTCTCTGTCTATGACACCTAAGATGCCTGCTGTGGCTATTTCTGTTCAAAGCCAGGAAGGGGTTGGTGGGAAGCCTGAAGCAGGCACTGGTCCACAGCAATTCCCACATCAAGTACGATGCCTGGGTTGCAGCCTGGGAGGGACTGTGAGCCAGAGGGCCCAGCTAAGCTGCAGCCAGATTCCTGACCTGGAGAAGCCGTGGAATCATAACTGAGAACTGTTTTAAGCCTCTCAGTTTTGGGGTAATTTGTTATACTGCAGCAGATAACTTGTCTGGATTTTTGTATTGCAGGTGGGTTGCTGCCATAACAAATAGCTAAAAACAAGAGGGCAGTATTCAAACCGGGCTTCCAAAAGGAAGGGCCAGGCACAGTGGCTCATGCCTGCAATCCCAGACTTTAGGAGGCCACAGCGGGCAGATCAAGACCAGCCTGGGCAACTTAGTGAGACCTTGACTGTAGAAAGCAAAGGTTCCTCTTCAAAGCTTCCCCTTTAAATCATAAATGTTATTGATATCTTTTCTCAGAACTAACTTTCTTCAAGTTTCTTATTTTATAGTAATACCTCTCTGTTATGCCTTATGTAGCAAATGTAACAGAATAAGCATACTCTGACTTCAATATCTATGTTAAACATGCTCACAGGCACGTAGTACATTCTACGTCCTTGTACCTTAGTCAAAATATTCGTGCTGGACGTGTCCAGGCATTTCCCAGATTGCAGCGTACACTCCTCCCTTATTTGGGAATATTATTACTTTTCTAAGTCCTTTCCTAAGCAACTTCCTTTTTTTCCTTCGTTCCTCCCTGCCTTTACCTATTTAAAAAAGTTTAAACTGTTAGCCAATCGGGTTTTAGTTTAGGTGGTAAGGTCTGGCTCCAGCCAGTGACATGGCAATAGGGACCTCATGCGTAAGGGATAAATATTCTAGTGCCTTTTTTATTTTGTATGCGATCGTGGCAGGATTGCGGACGGGCAGCACTCTTTCTGCAGAAGGTAAAAATCACCTTGCTGAGGAAGCTTTTCGTCTGCTGATTCTTCTTTGTGACATCGGGGAATAAGGATTTATTTCTAACAGTCTTGGGGGCTCGTCTGGGATCACCCAGTCTCCTTCGGGTCGGGGTCTCTGATTCCCGCCCCCCCACCAAGGGGAGGCGCCCCACTGCCTTACTGCGGTGGCCTCAGGGACTGGGAATCCGGACTTACCTGTTGTGATGAATAAACCCGGACCCTCAGCAACGTGGAAAACGGCGAATAGGCTTGCATTGCACTGCCTCGGGGACCAGATAAACTCTGTTCACAGAGCAAAGTAAAGAAACGTCGCAAGGGTGCGACAAAGTACTTGCTTGGTGGTCGGGATATTCTGGAGGTTAAAAGTGTGTGTGAATAGTCACAAGCCTCACTGCAGCTGGTGTTGCTTGTGTAAATCATGATAAGTCCTACTGCTGGACCGAGCGAGTGAGTCTTGCCTGCGGTTCCGTGGCTACCTCATACGGCTTAAGGCGGATCTTGCCTTGGGGTTTATACCGGCACGCCAATGCTAAGAGGGGCCTAAATTCCCGTGAGGAAAGTGGCCAGGTAGGACAAAGCGAGTGAAGAGTGTAAAAAGCCTCCAGAAAGAAAAAGAGGAGTTAAATCCTCCTCAGGGAAAACGAAACCTCAAGCACGTTAAGGTTAAAAATATAAGCAAGCCAGGAAAAAACAGGATAGACAAGAAATCTCTAGGATTAAGAGGTTAAGTCTACCTGATATTCAATATGGGAAAGGTTTCTAGTAAATCGGGGGCAAAAAAAGATGCAAGTTATCAAATCCCTCCCGATAGTCCTTTAAGGCTCATGTTAAAGTATTGGAAAGATAATAAAAAAACTAAATTTAAAAAAAGCAGCAGATAATTAAGTATTGTTGCTTTATTTGGACTAAAAAGCCAATTCTCAAGCCAGCGGTTTTTTGGTCAAAATTTAGGTCAGATAAAGATTAAATCTGTCAACTTTTAATAATATATGTTTATAGCAAAAGTCCTGTGTCACAAGAAAAATTGATTATGCTTTATGCTAGCGGCAAGGGCCTATATTATTCTTTATCCTTTAAAAACGATCAAAGGGGGACTAGAAAATAAAAAACAGTCAAAAATGGCCTTATCTAATAAGAGATAGGACCCTCTAGACCACCTTCCCCCGTTTCTTAATAACCTGCTGACACCTCCCCAGGTAGCTGCTGCTGTCCTAGATCCCCTTCTGGACCTGATCCCTGACCCAGCTGCCACTCCAGGCCCCCCTGCCACTCCAGGCCCCCCTGCCACTCCAGGCCTCCCCCATATAACCCAGATTCTTGTGAATCCCAGGAGCCTAAAAATTCTAAATATCCTTCTTTAAAGAAAAGACTCCAACAAAAATTAAAACAATGTAAGAAGGATATTCAGAATTTCCCTTTTCCTGCCCCCCAAAAAAGTTAACTTCAACATTCTTTCCTTTAAGGAAAGTTCCCCAAGGAGGAGAAGCTATTGGTTTTGTGGATGCTCCCCTTACTGGGTCTGAAGTTTGGAGTATAAAAAGAGAACTAAAGCCACTGTTAAATAATCCTAACAGGGTGGCAGATCAAATTGATCAGTTTTTAGGCCCACAGTTATATACTTGGGCTGAATCAGTGTGCATCCTAGGTATTATTTTTTCAAGGAAAAAAAGAAATACGATCTGGGAACGTAAACATCCTCCAGGTCAAAATGTTCTGGCAGCAAATCATAAATTCCCTGCTCAGGACCCGCAGTGGGATAAAATAATGCTGCCCACCGAAATAATATAAGGAATTTTTTAAAAAATAATAATCAGGGGGATTCAAAAGTCAGCACCCAGACCCCAAAACCTTTCCAAAGCATTTAATGTCCAACAAAAGAAAGATGAAGGACCTATGAGGTTCATAGATAAATTAAAAGAACAAATAAAAAAAATGCTAACTTAGACCCAGAAAGCCCTCTTGGGCAAGGAATGTTAAAACTGCACTTTGTTACTCACAGTTGGCCAGACATTACTAAAAAGTTACAAAAATTAGAAAATTTAAAAAATCAATAAAAAAGTTATTTAAAAAGGCTCAAAAACTATATGTAAAAAAATAAGGAAAGACAAAGGCAAAAAGCAAAAATCTTTTGGCAAAATTCACTAGTCTCTGGCAGACGATGCCAGAGACCAGATCTAGACCTGGGCCTATAAAATTCTCTAGGGGAGGCAAAAGGAAAAAGTTTAGGAATTCAAAAATGCAAAACAAAAAAAGAAGGCAAGGTCAGTATTTATTTTTTTAAACTAATTTATTAATTTATTAATTTATTTATTTATTTTGAGATGGAGTCTCACTCTGTCACCCAGGCTGGAGTGCAGTGGTGCGATCTCGGCTAGCTCCGCCTCCCAGGTTCACGCCATTCTCCTGCCTCAGCCTCCTGAGTAGCTGGGACCACAGGCCCACGCCACCACACCCAGCTAATTTTTTGTATTTTTAGTAGAGACGGGGTTTCACGTGTTAGCCAGGACGGTCTGGATCTCCTGACCTCGTGATCTGCCCGCCTCGGCCTCCCAAAGTGCTGGGATTACAGGTGTGAGCCATCGCGCCCGGCCAGGTCAGTATTTTAGAAAAAAATGTCAAAGTAAGTGTCATAGGAGCTGTGGATGTGAAAATAAAGAGGAGAAGCAAAGAAGCTTTGGGCTTGGTAGGGAGGAAGGAAAAGACAGATGTTACAGATGCGGGAGACCAGGTCGTTTTAAAAGGGAATGTCCCAAGTTAGAAAAGGCAGAAAAAGCTCCCCCACTTGTGACCACTTTTAAAGAAGAATAGGGGGGTCAGGGGCTCTGACTTTTCTATTTTGAGTCCCACCAAGAGCCCTTGATAAATTTAGAGGTGGGACCCAGACATAAATTAATCACCTTTTTAGTCGACTCAGGAGAAGCCCATTCACCTGTCTGTTTTCCTTCAGCTCATTTAGTTTGTTCCCCAAAGGAATTAACAGTTTCTGGGGTTAAAGGGGAAGGATTCAAGGCAAAAGTTTTAGAAAATACAGAAGTTAAATATATAAATTGATTAGTTTATATACAATTTTTATTAATTCCTAAAGCAAAAGCCAATTTGTTAGAAAGAGATTTAACGTTAAAGTTAGGTATAGGTTTACAAGTTAGTCCAAAAGGTTTCCTAACCTCTTTAAATTTGTTAGCTATAGCAGATAAAAAATACATTCATCCAGCTGTCTGGTCAAGGGAAGGTAATCAGGGAAATTTACAGATTCCTCCAACACATGTTCAGTTAAAGACTCCAGGGGAAATAGTAAAAAGAAAGCAATACCCTATTCCTTTAGAAGGAAGAATAGGGTTAAAGCCTGTAATCAAAAGACTTATTAAAGATGGGCTATTGAACCTTCTATGTCTCCATACAATACTCCAATGTTACCAGTCAAAAAAATCAGATGAATCATACCAATTAGTGCAAAATCTTAGAGCTATCAATCAAATAGTTCAAACCACTCATCCTGTTGGGCCTAACCCCTACACTATTCTTAGTAAAATTCCATATAGTCATCAGTGGTTCACAGTAATAGACTTAAAAGATACATTTTAGGCATGTCCTTTGGCTAAAGACAGCCAAAATATATTTGCCTTTGAGTGGGAGGACCCCTATTTAGGCAAAAGCAACAATACAGGTGGACAGTTTTTACCCCAAGGATTTACAGATTTTCCCAATCTTTTTTGTCAAGTATTTAAAAAAAATTATTGTCCCAAAACAGTTATGCTTTCTTCAATATGTAGATAATATTCTTACATCTAAGGAAGAGATAGAAAAGGTAGCTGGACTTTCTACAAAAGTTCTTAACCACCTACAAGATAAAGGGTTATGGGTTTCAAAAGAAAAGCTTCAATATGTAGAACCTAAAGTTAAATATCTAGGCCATTTAATAAGTGCAGATAAAAGAAAAATAAGACCCCCCAAAATTGAGAAAATCATGTCTCTACCCTTGCCCCGAACCAAACAAGAACTTAAAAAATTCCTGGGATTAGTTGGGTACTGTCGTTTATGGATGGACTCATATGCATTAAAAAGTAAGCTCTTATATAAGAAATTAACTAAAGAGGAAACGCATCCCCTTATATGGACTTCTAAAGAAGTTAATCAAGTGGAGAAATTAAAAGAAAGACTCATCACTGCTCCCATCCTAGCCTTACCCTCTTCAGAAAATCATGTCATCTTTTTGTGAATGTAGACAATAGAGTAGGGTGGTCACTAAAGAACATGGAGGCGGTCAACAACCAGTAGCCTTTCTATCAAAAGCATTAGATCCAGTTGCCAGTAGATGGCCTCCGTGTATTCAGTCTCTAGCAGCCACAGCAATACTAGTTGAAGAAAGTAAGAAATTAACTTTTGAAGGGTACCTAACAGTGAGCACCCCTCACCAAGTTAAGGTGATCCTAAACCAAAAAGCTGGGAGATGGCTTACTGATTCTAGAATCTTAAAATATGAGGCTATTCTATTAAAAAAAAAGATGATTTAACAGATAATTCCTGAAATCC
Source organism: Homo sapiens (assembly GCF_000001405.40). Classification (NCBI taxonomy): domain Eukaryota; kingdom Metazoa; phylum Chordata; class Mammalia; order Primates; family Hominidae; genus Homo; species Homo sapiens. Next base: position 67,691,126 of record NC_000011.10, on the reverse strand, counting down.
AGCAAGCTTCTTAACAGGAAACCTACTGCTCAAAAAAAGAACATTTGTGGTTAGATTTAATTGACTATCATACAAAAGTTAGGCCAGATTTAGTAGAGACCCCTTTTAAAACAGAGCGACATCTATTTATAGATGTCTCCTCCCGGGTAATTGAAGGGACATGACATAATGGATATGCTATAATTATAGGAAGATCTTAAAAGAAGTAAAATCAGGAAGATTATCAAATAGTTAGTCTGCCCAACCTTGCGAGTTATTCACAGTCACGCCCTAAAATATTTACAGAACCAGGTAAAAACCATCTATACTGACTCTAAATATGCCTTTGGGGTATCTCATACATTTGGGAAAATTGGGGCTAAGCAAGGACTAATTAACAGTAAAGGTAAAGAACTTCCTCGTGAAACACTAATTGTTCATGTTTTTAATAATCTTCAGTTACCTGAAGAAATAGCCATTGTCCATGTTCCAGGACACCAACCTAACTTTTCTTTTAAAAGTCGAGGAAACAATCTTGCAGACCAAATAGCAAAGCAGGCTGCTGTTTCTGAGACGTGCATTTTTCATTTAACCCCTTGTCTCCCTTCTCCTATTGTAGTTCCTATTTTCTCTCAAGACGAAAAAGTTAGAAAAGATTAGAGCTCAAAAAAAATTCAAAAGGAAGATGGATACTTCCAGATCAAAGAGAAATGTTATCCAAGCATCTTATAAGAGAAATTTTGTCCCAACTACATCAGGGAAGTAATTAGGATCCCCAAGCTATGTGTGATGCAGTTCTGTTTATGGATGCATTAAAGTTTATACTTTAGCCAAACAAGTTACAGTTATTTAATTTGCAAAAAAAAAAAAAAAAAAAAAAAACACAAATAAACAAGCCTTAAAAAAAGTTACCCCTTAGAGGAAAAAATCCAGGACGATGGCCATTTCAAAGTGTTCCAATTAACTATAGTAAAATGCCCCCAATTGGTGGCCTAAAATATTTATTAGTAATAGTAGATCATTTTACCCACTGGGTAAAAGCCATTGTTTTTTCAAGTGTAACTGCCAGTAATGCAGTCAAAGCCTTAATTAAACATATTGTACCTAGGTTTAGCTTAATAAAAAATATTAATTCACACAATGAAACCCATTTTACTGCACGTGTTATTATCTAGTACTGCCCTAAGTACTAGACATAAAGTGGGAATATCACATTCCTTGGCATCCATCCTCTTCGGGAGGAGTAAAAAGGATAAATCAAACTCTTAAAAATCATGTAACTAAATCAGTCCTAATGACTTGCTTGCCATGAACTAAACGTCTTCCTATTGCTTTATTAAAAATTAAAACTGCCCCTAGGAAAGATGTTGGATTGTCCCCTTATAAAATGTATAGATTACCCTACTTACATTCTTCTGCTGATGTCCCTATGTTTTTATTGTTATTTGTGGGAGGAGGGATTTGAACCCCGTGGCTATTTGATCTCTAGCTTTGAATTTATTTGGTATACCTTGTGGAATGCTAGTTCCATCTAAATAAACATGGGGGTCAAAGGACCCAAGACTGGCTTCTCTTGTTTTACGATGTCGTGTTTTTTGTTGTTGTTGTTGTTTTTCTGGTTGATGAATTGCCAGGGTAAAAGGGATAGCCAGTTCAACTAGAGTACAAGTAAGGTCCAATTATTTGGCAGAGTGTCCAGCAAAGGCCCTCCACAATACCACTATACCTCTGCTTGGGGATGAGTAAGGGCTGACTGATGGGTCAGCTCTTGGAAGTGCCTGACCTTACCGCATCCTGTTAAGTTTCTAAGAAACACTAAATTTTCCCCTTGTCTTGAGAGCCACGAAGCAAAAGTGGTGTCAGAAGATGGAGGCTGGATGGCCCTTGGGGGCTTTTTCAACACTCCAACACTCCAACACTCTAGAACACTGTGTGCCCATAAGCAATCACTCCCCATTCCCCACACCTCCATCCCCTGGCAACTGCCAATCTGCTTTCTACCTCCGGGGATTTGCCCATGCTGGCCATTTCATACAAATAGGACCGTACAGTATGTGCCTGGCTTCTTTCACTTAGCACAGTGTTCTCCAGGTTAAGCCAGGTTGCAGCATGTGTCCATACTTCATCCTTTTTTCAAACATAGACTTCGTTTTTCAGAGCAGTTTTGGGTTCACAGTCAAACTCCATTTGTTTTGTTTTGTTTTGAGATGGAGTCTCGCTCTGTCACCCAGACTGGAGTGCAGTGGTGTGATCTCAGCTCCCTGCAACCTCTGCCTCCCAGGTTCAAGTGATTCTCCTGCCTCAGCCTCCCAAGTAGCTGGAACTATAGGCATGTGCCACCACACCCGGCTAATTTTTGTATTTTTAGTAGAGACAGGGTTTCACCATGTTGGTCAGGCTGGTCTCAAACTCCTGACCTCAGGTGATCCACCTGCCTTGGCCTCTCAAAGTGCTGGGATTACAGGTGTGAGCCACCGTGCTCCACCTCCATTTGTTTTTATGGCTAATATTGCGTTGTCTGGATGGGCCACATTTTGTTTATCTGTGATGGACCCTTGGATTGTTTTCACATTTGGGCCATTGTGAATGGCACTGCTGTAAACATTTGTGTACAAGTATTTGTTTGAATGCTTATTTTCAATTCTTTTGGGTATATACCTGGGAACACAATTGCTAGGTCACATGGCAATTCAATGTTTAACTTTTGAGGAGCCACCGCGCTGTTTTCCATAGCAGGCACACGATTCCCCATCTCCACCAGCAGCGTCTGAGGATTCCAATTGCTCCACATCCTTGCCAACACTTAGAAAAAATCAGAGCCCTCACAAATACTGTATTAGTCAGTTCAGGCTGCTGTACTAAAATACTACAGACTAGGTGGCTTAAACAGAAATTTATTTTTCATAGTCTGAAGGCTGGGAAGTCCAAGATCAAGGTGCTGACTGATTTGGTTCCTGGTGAGGGCCCTCCTCCTGGCTTTCCAAAGGCTGCCTTCTTGCTGTCTCCTTATATGGTACAGAGAGAGAGAGAGAGAGTGAGTGAGAGAGAGAGAGAGAGACAGAGAGATATCTGGTGTCTCTTCCTTTTCTTTCTTTTTTTTTTTTTTTTTTTTCTGAGACAGAGTCTCACTCTGTTGCCCAGGCTGGAGTGCAGGGGCCCGATCTCGGCTCACAGCAACCTCTACCTCCTGGGTTCAAGGGATTCTCCTGCCTCAGCCTCCCAAGTAGCTAGGATTACAGGCACCCACCACCATGCCTGGCTAATTTTTGTATTTTTAGTAGAGATAGGGTTTCACTATGTTGGCCAAGCTGGTCTCAAACACCCGACCTCAGGTGATCTGCCCGCCTTGGCCTCCCAAAGTGCTGGGATTACAGGTGTGAGCCACCGCACCTGGTCTCTTCCTTTTCTTATAAGGAAGAAAACTCCATCCGGGACCCCACCTTCAGGACCTCATCTCAACCTGATTACCTCCCTAAGGTCCAACCTCTTAATACCATCATATTGGGGGTTAGGGTTGCAACATGGGAATTTAAAGGAGATAAAAACATTCAGTCTATAGCACTACCTAACAGCATGTCCTCAAAATATAGAAATAAAACATGGACAGAATTAGGAGGAAAATTTGCCCAATCCACGCTTCCTTCAGAAACAAATAGGTCAAACTGGCAAAATAGTAATATGATAAAAGATTTGAACAACAGAATTAGCAAAATTGAGCTAATGGAAATACATACATACATATATATATATATATATATATATATATATATATATATATATATATGTGGCAGAAGGAGGCATGTGCTTTTGAGCACACATGAAACAGTCATAAAATTGATCACATACCATGCACCAAAGCAAGTCTTAAGAAATTTCAGGCCAGGCACAGTGGCTTATGCCTATAATCCCTGCACATTGAGAGGCTGAGTCACGTGGATCACCTGAGATCAGGAGTTTGAGACCAGCCTGGCCAACATGGTGAAACCCCATCTCTACTAAAAATACAAAACTTAGCCAGACGTGGTGGCACGTGCCTGTAGTTCTAGCTACTCGGGAGGCTGAGGCAGGAGAATCACTTGAACCCGGGAGGCAGAGGTTGAAGTGACCTGAGATCATGCCACTGCACTCCAGCCTGGGCGAGAGAGTGAGACTCTGTCTCAAAAAAGATAAAAAATAAAAAAAGGAAATTTCAAGAATCTGGCTATATATATGAGATTCTTTGACTATAAGGTAATCAAGTTAAAATGGATAATAAAACAATATCAGCAGCCATACATTTGAAAGGCAAAAAATATGCTGCTACATAATGTATAGATTAACTAAGAAATTATAAAGGAAATTAGCAAATGTTAATATTAAACAATAATGAAAATATCAAAAACTTGTGGAGTGGAGTGATATGATGCCTAGAGGAAAATATATCTCTCTAAATATTTATATAAGAAAATCAGTTCGAGACTAGCCTGACCAGTATTAGAAAACAGGAAAGATAATAAATGGCCTCCTGAAAGAATCATTAAATATTATGGGCCAGCTACCTGGGCGCATGGGGTAACATACCCCCATCTATATGCTCAACCACATCATAAGGTTGCAGGCAGTCCTAGAAATTACAAAGAAATTATAACCAATGAAACGTCAAGGGCACTAGATTTACTAGCAATACAAGCAACACAAATGAGAAATGCTATATATCAAAATAGATTGGCTTTAGGTTACCTCTTAGTCTCAGAAGGAGGAGTATGTGGAAAATTTAGTTTAACCAACCTTTGCCTAGAAATCGATAATAATGGCCGAGCTGTCATGGAAATCACAGCTGAAATGCGCAAGCTGGCCCATGTTCAAGTTCAGACATGGTCCGGGTGGTCCCCGGATTCCTTGTTTGGAGGATGGTTCTCAACTTTTGGAAAATTCAAAACCCTCATTGGTGGGTTCTTACTTATTCTTGGCATCTGCCTCATCCTCTCTTGCCTTTTACCGCTGCTTATTAAGAGTATTCAGTCAACTATAGAGGCAATAGTAACCTGACTCACTACCGTGCAGTTGATGGCATTAACCAAATATCAGCCACTGCCAGTAGAAGAAGCAGCTCAGCTCCACGAAGAGGTGGCAAATAGTGGTGCTTTCTATTAACACCTTTGTTATAAAAAGCACCAAAGATGGGAAAATGAAACAGGAATTAAAAGAAATTAAAGAACGTGTAAGCAAAAACTCAGTTACATATAAGAAAACACAGTTCCCCCTGAGAAAGAGAAAGAGCTGGAGTCCTTTAAAAATTAACTGCCTGTTTTTCTGTGGCTAGGGAGCCTCATCTCTTCCCCTTTCCCAGGCATTGTGAAGACCGTTTCTCTAGCTGTGCAGCTGCAAGGTCACTAGACAGATAAACTCAAGTTGTAAAACATGTTTTTCCTTGAAAAGTAAGAAATGATATAATGCATGTCTCAATTAATTAAATAACTGTCTTTTTTTCTCACTTCTGTAATATGCTTCCCCCTGCACAGATCTACCTTAAAAGGTAACTTAACTCTTTGTTCAGGGCTCAGTCCTTTGGATATTAATCTGACTGGGCCAGTACACCTAAATAATAAATATCCTTCTCAACCCCGTTGGTCTCTCTGATTCCTTATCAATCCCGCTACAGTATGGTGAAATCACGCCTCTACTAAAAATACAAAAATTAGCTGGGCATGGTGGAACACATCTGTAATCCCAGCTACTTGGGAGGCTGAGGCAGGAGAATCACTTGAACCTGGGAGGCGGAGGTTGCAGTGAGCCAAGATTGTGCCACTGCATTCCAGCCTGGGTGATAGAGTGAAACTCCGTCTCAAAAAAAAAAAAATTAGCCAGGCATGGTGCTGTGTGCCTGTAATCCCAGCTACTTGGGAGGCTGAGACCAGAGAATTGCCTGAATCTGGGAGGTGGAGGTTGCAGTGAGCTGAGATCATGCCACTGCACTCCCGCCTGGGTGACAAAGCAAGACTGTCTCAAAAAAAAAAAAAAAAAAAAAAGAGAGAGAGAAAAAGAAAAAGAAAAATTACAGGCTCATGCCTGTAATTCCAGCACTTCAGGAGGCCAAGGCAGGCAGATCACCTGAGGTCAGGAATTCGAGACCAGCCTGGCCAACATGATGAAACCCTGCCTCTACGGAAAATACAAAAATTATCCTGCCATGGTGGCAGGTACCTGTAATCCCAGCTACTTGGGAGGCTGTGGCAGGAGAATCGCTTGAATCTGGGAGGCTGAGGTTGCAGTGAACTGAGACTGTGCCACTGCACTCCAGCCTGAGTGACAAGAGTGAGATTCTGTCTCAGAAAAAAAAAAAGAAAAGAAAGAAAACATCAAAGAACTACAATTAATTGTAAACAATAAGATGATTTTAAAAAGCTACAGAGTAAATCTAAGAAAATAAAGGAATAATTAGAGCAAAAATATATGAAATAGAGAACAAAGCATAAGAGACAAGATCAACAAAATAGATGGTTCTTTTTTTTTTTTTTTTCCAGAGACAAAGTCTTGCTCTGTTGCCTAGGCTGGATTGCAGTGGCTCAGTCTCAGCTCACTGCAACCTCCACCTCCTGGGCTCAAGTGATTCTCCTGCCTCAGCCTCCCGAGTAGCTGGGATTACAGGCACCGCCACCATGCTCGGCTAATTTTTGTATTTTTTTTTTAGTAGAAATGCGGTTTCACCATGTTAGCCAGGCTGGTCTCAAACTCCTGACCTCAGGTGATCACCCGCCTCTGCCTCTCACAGTGCTGAGACCAATATTGGCCAACATCTGACGAGGCTGAGTAGGAAAAAAAATAACTATACACCATGTATATGTATCAAATCATTGCATGGCACATCTTGACTATATTCAATCTTTATTTGTAAACCCAGTTTTTAAAAATGAAAAATAGTAAAAAAAAAACCACAAAACCAAAATAACTAATTGATACTAGGACATCATAATGGCTACAGTCAAAATGTTTAAAGGGAAAGCGAATTCTGTAAATAACTATAAATACATTTGAAAACTTAGAACACATTGGTAAATTTCCCAGGGAAGTGTATATCTTACAAAATTTAACACAGGAAGAAACAGAGTGCCTGAATTGACATCTGGCCTTTTAAAAAATTGCACCAAAGCCATGCACAGTGGCTCATGCCTGTAATCCCAGCACTTTGGGAGGCTGAGGCAGGAGGATCGCTTGAGCTCAAGAGTTTGGAACCAGCCTGGGTAACATAGCGAGACCTTGCCTCCAGAAAAAAAGCAAATGAGCTGTGCGTGGTGGTGCATGGCTGTAGTCCCAGGTACTTGGGAGACTGAGGCAAGAGAATCACTTGGACCTGGGAGATGGAGCTTGCAGTGAGCCAAGGTCATGCCACTGCACTCCAGCGAGGTTGTGGAGACCAAGATTTTATCATGCAGATGAATCCTCCAGGTAGCAGGCTTGAAAGATAATAGATCGTGAATGTTTCTTACCAGACTTAAGAGTGTGTTCTATCAGTAAGTCCAAAAGGGAGGAGGGTATAACGAGGCATGTCTGGCCCCTGCTTCCCATCTTGGCCTGAAATAGTTTTTCAGGTTAAGGTTAGAATGCCCTTGGCTGAGAGGAGGGGTCAATTTAGATGGTTGGGTGTTTTAGAATTTTATTTCTGGTTTATTGTCTTCCCCTTCTGGCCAAGATTTGCCAGAGGCAAGATCAATGGCCACCAAAACTTTTATTTTATTCCCTGGCATTGCCAGGGCAGCAAGGCTGCCTGCCCCAGGTCCATCCTGTCCCTTGGTGGGACTACATATGGCCAAGAGACATAGAGTCAAAGATTTATAGCCAATTTAAATGTTCTAGGAAAGATGGATGTGAACAGGCATTCATTAACTTTTTTTGTTTTGGTTTGGTTTTTTGAGACGAGGTCTCACTCTGCCACCCAGGCTGGAGTGCAGTGGCATGATCTCGGCTCACTGCAACTTCTGCCTCCCGGGCTCAAGAAATCCTCCCACTTCAGCCTCCCAAGTACCTGGGACCATAGGTGTGCACCACCGTGCCTGGAAAATTTTTGTGTACAAACAAAAAGCCACTTTCTGGTCTCGGCCGCAGAAGCGAGATGACGAAGGGAGCATCATCGTTTGGAAAGCATCGCAATAAGACACACACGTTGTGCCGCTGCTGTGGCTCTGAGGCCTACCACCTTCAGAAGTCGACCTGTGGCAAATGTGGCTACTCTGCCAAGCGCAAGAGAAAGTATAACTGGAGTGCCAAGGCTAAAAGATGAAAAACCACCAGAACTGGTCGAATGAGGCACCTAAAAATTGTATAACACAGATTCAGGCATGGATTCCGTGAAGGAACAACACCTAAACCCAAGAGGGCAGCTGTTGCAGCATCCAGTTCATCTTAAGAATGTCAACAATTAGTCATGCAATAAATGTTCTGGTTTTAAAAAATAAAAAAATAAAATAAAATAAAATAAAAGCCAAAGGTGAGGTTATAAAATTGACTTTATGTAAGGAGACCCCTTGAAACTATTGCTACAGAATAAAAGATGAAATGCTCCTGATTATTGTAAACACAAAGTTGCATGCAGGATTGTGTAAAGACAATGCCAGGTTGGACTGCCAGAATGAGCCAACAGCGCGTGATGTGCTTCCCCCGGCAGAGAGCCTATGAATGGATATGCAGTCAGGGAGGTTTCACATCACCAAGATTCCTATCCCAGAAAAGCAGATGTTCATAGCTCTGGGAATGGAATGCGACCCTTGTAGAGAGCCTATAAATGGACACATGAGGGGCCCCTGTCCATATGGATAAGATAGGGCTAAAAATGCCCTCATCTTGCCATGGCTCTTCTAGGCCTCTTTAGGGTTAAGGCACACTCCCTTCTGAGAATTTCTGGTCTAACCGGTTGTCTAGCTTCACGTCCTGTTTCTACAGATTGTTTGTAACCAGCTTTTGCTGCAACTGTTACCGCTGATTAATATCTTGCTAATCATAGGTTATGGAAAGCCTGTGTTTCTGTTTTTAGGCTCTGTTAGAAATTACTGATGCACACGCTATATTATAAATTCTTATCCCTGTATACTGTACTTCTGCATACAGATGTTATGTTAAAGAATTACTTCATCCCCATGTGACCATCTCACCTCATAATCAAATGACCCTAAATCCCGCACTAACCTACCCCCGCCCTCACTAAACTTAATAATAAATGCTGGTATATCCAGTGCATTGTTGGCACTGCAGGACCAGAAGGCAGTGACCCCCCCGGACCCAGCTTTCACTATCTTGTGTGTGTTTATTATTTTTCGACCTGCCAATCTGCCTGGGAACAAAGAGAGAGCCCCATTGCATTGCGGGCTGCTGGCCAGATCCCGCAATAACTTTATCTATCTTTAATTTCTATGTGTTGAGCTACTGTAATCTTGGTTTTAGTTATAGACTTATAGCAATTAACTTATAGCAAAACATAAGCATTACTATAACCTTTTAAGCTAAGGAATTTAGATACTTTTGTGGTGCTGCAGTGCTTTTTGTGGCCTTCTAGTAATTTGTTCTAAGATGGCTGGTAAAACTTTTAAAAATATATATCTATCTGCATAAATCTCCTAACTAGGAGTATTATGCCCAGGAGGCTTTGTCTAGGAGGATCTTTGTATCCTCTCCGTAAAAATTGTCTTTTAATTCTACAGGAAGCAGAAAATTCTTTGTGGTTGGGAATGGATAAAAAAGTGCCTGTATGGTTTGGCTGTGTCCCCACCCAAATCTCATCTTGAACTGTGGTTCCCATAATCCCCATGTGTGGTGGGAGTGACCTGGTGGGAGGTAATAGAATTATGGGGGCAGTTTGCCCCATGCTAATCTCGTGATAGTGAGTAAGTTCTCACAAGTTCTGATGGTTTGATAAGGGGCTTCCCTCTGCTCAGCTCTCATTTTTCCCCTTCCTGCCACCATGTGAAGAAGGATGTGGTTGCTTCCCCTTCCACCATAACTGTAAGTTTCCTGAGACCTCCCTAGCCATGCTAAACTGTGAGTCAATTAAACCTCTTTCCTTTATAAATTACCCAGTCTCAGGTATGTCTTTATTAGCAGTGTGAGAACAGACTAATACAGTGCCACACATTGGCTCAGAAGTCAAAAGTCCCTTTGTCCTTTGCCCAGCTGTTTAGGCATTTGTGTACCCATCCTTGATTTGGAGGATCTGAGCTAACAATATCCCTCAAACCCTGCCCTTACAATGTCACGTGCCCACCTCTTCCACAACAGTCCCTGGGCCCAGAGGGAGGGTGCTTGTATAGTTTCAACAGCAGGGCATTTGCAGTAAAAAGCAAATTGGGCCCAGTGGGGTGCCAAATGAGAGAGGTTAGCATCTCTAGTCTTCAGAATGCCATGATTCTGCTTTCCTTGGAGGTAAAACAAGGAGAGATAAATAACATTAACAATTTGACAATTGGCCAGGTGCGGTGGCTCACATCTGTAATCCTAGAACTTTGGGAAGCCGAGGCAGGTGGATCACTTGAGCCCAGGAGTTTGAGACCAGCCTTGGCAACATGGCAAAACCCTGTCTCTAAAAAATATACAAAAATTAGCAGAGCCTGGTGGTGTGTGCCTGTAGTCCCAGCTACTCAGGAGGCCGAGGCTGGAGGATTTCTTGAGCCCAGGAGGCAGAGGTGGCAGTGAGCCAAGATCTTGCCACTGCACTCCAGCCTGGGTGATAGATACTCTGTCTCAATCATAATGATAATAATTTGACAATTAAGAGTATTTGTGTGTCAGAACAGACAAAGGAATCTATTCCATCAGGGCACCAACTGAAAATATGAAGAAAAATTATAATCTGGTACTCTTTTTTCTTGAGATGGAGTCTCACTCTGTCACCCAGGCTGGAGTGTGGTAGTGCAATCTCGGCTTACTGCAAGCTCCACCTCCCTGGTTCAAGTGATTCTCCTGCCTCAGCCTCCTGAGTAGCTGGGATTACAGGTGCGCATCACCACGCCCGGCTAATTTTTGTATCTTTAGTAGAGATGGGGTTTCATCATGTTGGTCAGGCTGGTCTCAAACTCCTGACCTCGTGACCCACCCACCTCGGCCTCCCAGAGTGCTGGGATTACAGGCATGAGACACCATGCCTGGCCTCTAATCTGGTTCTTTAGAGGCTTATTGTAGCCAAGAGATAATTCATGATTCAATCTGCACTCAAAAACAAAAGTCAGGGCTGGAATCTAGTAATAAGTGTTATAATTTTCCTTTGAAAGAATTTCTCTTTCTAGCCCTCCTTTTGTACCAGAGAGAAATTATAGTAAGACCAATTTATGTGCAAAATAAGTTTTAGGCTTATTATACTTGGCCTGATTTTTTCGCACAAAATGCAGCAAGATTTGATTGGTCATATAGGCTCTTATTAATTTGGTTTGATGGGAATGGTGTGCCTTCTGAAATGTAACTTAAAGGTTCTTACTTTTTTTTTTTTCACGCCATTCTCCTGCCTCAGCTTCCCAAGTAGCTGGGACTACAGGTGCCTGCTACCATGCCCAGCTAATTTTTTGTATTTTTAGTAGAGACAGGGTTTCACTGTGTTAGCTAGGATGGTCTTGATCTCCTGACCTAGTGATCTTCCCACTTCCACCTCCCAAACTGCTGGGATTACAGGCATGAGCCACTGTGCCTGGCTTTGTTTTTTTTCTTTTTTTTTTCTTTTGAGATGGAGTCTCGCTCTTTCACCCAGGCTGGAGTGCTACGGTGAGATCTCAGCTCACTGCAACCTCCACCTCCCAGATTTAAGTAATTCTCCTGCCTCAGCCTCCCAAGTAACTGGGATTACAGGTGCACGCCACAATGCATGGCTAATTTTTTTTGTATTTTTAGTAGAGACGGGGTTTCATCATGTTGGTCAGGCTGGTCTTGAACTCCTGACCTCAAGTGATCCGTCCACCTCAGCCTCCCGAAGTGCTGGAATTACAGATGTGAGCCACTGCACCTGGCCCCTGATTTTTTTTCCATAAGTTATTGGGATACAGGTGGTATTTGGTTACATGAGTAAATTCTTTAGTGGTGATTTGTGAGATCCTGGTGCAGCCATCACCTGAGCAGTATACACTGCACCATACTTGTTGTCTTTTATCCCTCACCCCCTTCCCACTCTTCCCTCCAAGTCCCCAAAGTCCATTGTATCATTCTTATGCTTTGCGTCCTCATAGCTTAGCTCCCACATATCAGTGAAAACATACGATGTTTGGCTTTCCATTCCTGAGTTACTTCACTTAGAATAATAGCCTCCAATCTCATCCAGATCATTGCAAATGCTGTTAATTCATTTCTTTTTATAGCTGAGTAGTATTCAAACATATATATATATATACCATTAGTGTATATATATACCATAGTATGTATATATATACCATAGCGTGTATATATATCATAGTATGTATATATATGCCATAGCGTGTATATATATATATATAGACACCATAGTGTGTATATATACACCATAGTGTGTGTGTATATATATATCATAGTGTATATATATATATATGTACCATAGTATATATATACACAGTACTGTGTGTGTGTATATATATATCATAGTTTCTTTGGTCATGAAATCCTTGCCTAAGCCAATGTCTAGAAGGGTTTTTCCAATGTCATCTCCTAGAATTTGTATAGTTTCAGCTCTTGGGTTTAAGTCCTTAATCCATCCTGAGTTGATTTTTGTGTAAGGTGAGAGATGAGGATCCAGTTGCATTCTCCTACATGTGGCTAGCCAATTATCCCAGGACCATTTGTTGAAAAGGGTGTCCTTTCCCCACTTTATGTTTTTGTTTATTTGTTGAAGATCAGCTGCCTGTAAGTATTTGGGTTTATTTCTGGGTTCTCTATTCTGTTCCATTGGTCTGTGTGCCTAGTTTTACACCGATATGTCACTGTTTTGGTGACTATGGCCTTAGAGTATAGTTTGAAATCAGGTAGGTAGTATGATGCCTCCAGATTTGTTCTTTTGGCTTAGTCTTGCTTTTGCTGTGCGGGCTCTTTTTTGGTTCCATATGAAGTTTAGAATTGTTTTTTCTAACTCTGTGAAGAAAGATGGTGGTGTTTTGATGGAGATTGTGTTGAATTTGTAGATTGCTTTTGGCAGTATGGCCATCTTCACAATACTGATTCTACCCATCCATGAGCATGGGATGTGTTTCCATTTGTTTGTGTCATCTATGATTTCTTTTAGCAGTGTTTTGTAGTTTTCCTTTAGAGGTCTTTCGACTTCTTTTTTAGGTATATTCTAAAGTTGTTTTGTTTTGTTTTTTTGTTTGTTTTTTTGCTATCGTCAAAGGGATTGAATTCTTGATTTGATTCTCTGCTTGGTCGCTGTTGGTGGATAGAAGAGCTACTGATTTGTGTACATTAATTTTGTATCCAGAAACTTTGCTGAATTCTTTTATCAGTTTTAGGATCTTTCTGGAGGAGTCCTCAGGGTTTTCAAGGTAAACAATTATATCATCAGCAAACAGGGACAGTTTGACTTCCTCTTTATCGATTCAGATGCCCCTATTTCTTTTTCTCATCTGATTGCTCTGGCTAGGACTGCCAGTAATATGTTGAAGAGGAGTGGTGAGAGTGGGCATCCTTGTCTTGTTCCGGTTCTCTGCGGGAAGCCTTTCAACTTTTTCCCGTTCAGTATTATGTTGGCTGTGGTTTTGTCATAGATGGCTTTTATTACATTAAGATATGTCCCTTGTATACTGATTTTGCTGAGGGTTTTAATCATAAAAGGATGCTGGATTTTGTCAAATGCTTTTTCTGCATCTATTGAGATGATCATGTGATTTTCATTTTTAATTCTGGTTATGTGATGCATCACATTTATTGACCCTCCTACGTTAAACCACCCCTGCATCTCTGGTATGAAACCCACTTGATCATGGAGGATTATCTTTTTGATATGGTGTTGAATTCGGTTAGCTAGTATATTGTTAAGGATTTTAGCATCTATGTTCATCAAGGATATCAGTCTGTCATTTCCTTTTTTGGTTGTGTCCTTTCCCGGTTTTGGTATTAGGATGATGCTGGCTTCATAGAATGAATTAGGGAGGGCTCCTTCTTTCTCTATCTTGTGGAATAGTGTCAAAAGGATTGGTACCAATTCTTCTTTGACTGTCTGGTAAAATTCTGCTGTGAATCCTTCTGGTCCTGGACTTTTTTTTTGTTGGTAATTTTAAAATTACCACTTCCATCCCGCTGCTTGTTATTGGCCTGTTCAGGGTATCTAATTCTTCCTGATTTAAACTAGGGGGGTTGTATTTTTCCAGGAATGTAACCATTGCTTCTAGGTTTTCTAGTTTATGTGTGTAAAGGTGTTCACCATAGCCTTGAATGCTCTTTTATATTTCAGTGGTGTCAGTTGTAATATCTCCTGTTTCATTTCTCAGTGAGTTTATTAGGATTTTCTCTCTTCTTTTCTTGGTTAATCTTGCAAATGATCTATCAATTTTATTTATCTTTTCAAAGAACAAGTTTTTGTTTCATTTACCTTTTGTATATTTTTTCTGTTTCAATTTCATTTAGTTCTGCTCTAATCTTGGTTATTTCCTTTCTTCTGCTTGGTTTGGGTTTGGATTGTTCTCGTTCCTCTGTTCCTTGAGGTGTGATCTTAGATTGTCTGTGCTCTTTCAGACTTTTTGATGTAGGCATTTAGGGCTATGAACTTTCCTCTTAGCACAGCCTTAGCTGTATCCCAGAGGTTTTGATAGGTTGTGTCACTGTTGTCATTCAGTTTGAAGAATTTTTTAATTTCCATCTTGATTTTGTTTTTGACCCAATGCTCATTCAAGAGCAGGTTATTTAATTTCCAGTTATTTGCATGGTTTTGAAGGTTCTTTTTGGAGTTGATTTCCAGTTTTATTCCACCGTGGTCTAAGAACATGCCTGATATAATTTCATTTTTCTCTTGTTGCCCAGGCTGGAGTGCAATGGTGTGCTCTCAGCTCACTGCAACCTCTGCTTCCTAGGTTCCAGCAATTCTCCTGCCTCAGCCTCCCGAGTAGCTGGGATTACAGGCACATGCCACCACGCCTGGCTAATTTTTTGTATTTTTAGTAGAGACAGGGTTTCACCATGTTGGCCAGGCTGTTCTGGAACTCCTAACCTCAAGTGATCCACCAGCTTCGGCCTCCCAAAGTGCTGGGATTACAGGCATGAGCCACCGCACCCGACCTATTTTACATTTTAACAATTGCTACTGAGGTTGAGCATATTTTAATTTATTTACGTCTATTCAGGCTTCTTGTCAGTTCAGTTTAAC
This sequence comes from Homo sapiens, assembly GCF_000001405.40. Taxonomy (NCBI): domain Eukaryota; kingdom Metazoa; phylum Chordata; class Mammalia; order Primates; family Hominidae; genus Homo; species Homo sapiens. The sequence goes on along the minus strand of NC_000011.10, from coordinate 67,675,876 downwards.
AAAACAAAACAAAACAGCTTATTGAGATAGCATTCACATCCCATACAACTCACCCATTTACAGTGTACAATTCAGTGGTTTGGAGGCAGTGGGCCTCCCCAGTGGCCATAACCCATCTGCTGCTCTTAGATGGGCCTTAGCATTCTGCCCTGTATTCCCTTCCCCATCCCGAGGTCCCTTCCTGGTGTCACATTGGCATTTACATCTTTAGCTACCGAAGATTCCAGGGCCAGGGCTTGGTCTCAGGCTGTGGCCTCCGCTGGGCTGTCTCCAGTCACAACCAAGGGTTATCTCAGATGTCCCTCCTGCCCACAGGGCTGCACACTCTGCCAAGAGACTCTCTACAGCCCTCAGCAGGGCGTGTCCTTGGTCTCAGGCTTGGGGGAAGGTGGGGTGGGGACAGAGTCAGGCCATCCATGAAGGACAGTGGCAGGACCTGAGCTCATTCTGCTCCCTGGAACCTAGAAGGTGCTCAGCAAATACTTGTGGAAACATTAGCGGGCAACATTGAGGGGCACTGATTTTGTGCCAGGAGCTGTGATCTGCCTTTTCCATTCTCACGTCTCCCTCTGTGACCCTCTCAAGAACCATGGCAATTAGGTGTTATTGTTACTTCCGAAAGGCTCAGAGACGTTAAGTAACCTACCCACGGTTGCACAGTAAATAAATAAACCAATGAACAATGCGCCATCCTAGAGCTACAGGTGCCGTCGCCCATCAAGGGTCTCTCTGCAAAGATCTGAGCCCCTTCCTCTGCCCTGAGTATGCCAGCTGGGCACACTGAGAGTGGAAATAGAGCCACAGTTGCTCATCTTGACCTGTGAAGCCTGAAGAGTGAGGACAGGAGAGGAGGGAGATGAAGATTTAGCATAGAGACCCTAGGAGGGGCCATGGGGGGCATGGGACCACTGTGGCTGGGGCCTGGGAGGACTTCCTGGCGAAGGCAGCATTTGCCACCAGGATCCTGCTGATATTTTCATCCTGTGACCTTCCCCTGGGGTTCTTTTTTCCTGATCAGGTAACTCCCTGCTAGCCCATTCCAGGAAACACAGAGCAAAGCCTCAGACAGCCTTGACTTGTCTAACCTGTTCCCAAGCCGGCTGTGCAGTGTGGTCCCTGGGGGCAGGGCCCTGGAAGAACAGGGCAGACACCGAGCAGCTATAGGTCCTGGCAGTGAGACAAGGGTAGGCATGGGAATTGGGAGGTGCAGCCCTGCCCCACGCCTGTTGGGTAACACTGAGCATCACCCCATTGATTACCCCATTGCCAGGCGTGGGCACGGGAGTTGGTTTGGGAGCTGCCAGTCTCCTGGGAGGATCGCAGTCAGCAGAGCAGGGCTGAGGCCTGGGGGTAGGAGCAGAGCCTGCGCATCTGGAGGCAGCATGTCCAAGAAAGGGAGTGGAGGTGCAGCGAAGGACCCAGGGGCAGAGCCCACGCTGGGTTATGTGGGGCCACAGGGGTGAGGGGCGGGCAGAGGGAGCTCAGGGTAAAGGACACTGGTGGGAACCAGGGGCATGGAGGGAAGGGGATGTGTGCCCATGGCCCGTGGGTCAGGGGGCAAGCCCACCAAGGGGCCTATGGCTGCAGGGGCCATGGGTACGGGGCTTGCTCAGGAGAGGGAGGTGGGTGCTGGTGTCTTCTGAGCCTCACTTTGCCCTTTGGCAGGCTCCTGGGAAGCAGCCACAGAAATGAAGCCTGTTCCCCAGGAGCCCCAGGGATGGGGACAGACCCCGTCCTCCCTTTGAGGAGCTCCCAGGTTAGAGGAGAAGGCAGCTCTGTGGACAGACAAGGATTGGGTCGGGGGCACCAGGGCTGTGATCAGGAGGTGCCGGAGAATCGGGGATTGGAAGCAGAGAGATTCTTGGCAGTTGAAGCGAAAGTCGGATCTTTGGTTTCAGATGTTAAAAGCAACATGCATTGCTTGTTTCTGGTTCTAGAAATACTACATTCGCATTTAGAAAGTCTGGAAGCTGCAGGAAGATGTTGAGAAGACAGTGAAAGGCACGAGGCACACATTGGCACATGGTGTCACAAGGCTGGTGTGAGGAGAGGGGCTGGGGGGCCTCCCTCCTCGCACTGAGGCTGTGAGGAGGGCAAATCAAGTCGTCTCTGGGAGCCTCGGTTTCCCTGTCCTTCCAACTGGGTAATAATAATAGCTGTGAGGCTCAGATGAGATGTGCATGCCAGCTACCTGGCCCCAGATGCCAGCTCTGACTTCTTTCTGGGCCCTGCACCAGGCATGGCCACTGCCAAGGGAATGAGTCCCCTCTCCATATGACAGGTCCCATCAGGCCTCCACCTTCCTGTGTGTCTTATTTCTCAGCATCTGCCCCCACAGGGCTTTTGCACACGTTGGTCCCTCTGTCCAGATCACCTGCCCTCCAAGAGGCCCTCCCCTACGGCTTCCCCGCAGCAGTCAGAGCCAGGGGTGGGTCTCTGGCCACCTCTGGAAGAAGCCCTGGCCCACCGATCATGTTTGTAATGATATTGTTTCCGGTGTCATTGTTCCGTGTGTAGACTGTGAGCTCCATGGGGGCTGGCCAAGTCTGGGGTGGTCACCTATGGGACCCAGGTCCAGTCAGGAACTGCCTGGTGAGCAGCCAGAGGTCCCCAGTGTAAACCCAGAAAATCTGAGACGGGTCTCAGTTAATTTATAAAGTTTATTTTGCCTGTAATCCCAGCACTTTGGGAGGCCGAGGCGGGCGGATCACGATGTCAGGAGATCGAGACCATCCTGGCTAGCACGGTGAAACCCCGTCTCTACTAAAAACACAAAAAATAAGCTGGGTGTGGTGGCGGGCACCTGTAGTCCCAGCTACTCGGGAGGCTGAGGCAGGAGAATGACGTGAACCCGGGAGGCGGAGTTTGCAGTGAGCTGAGATCGCACCACTGCACTCCAGCCTGGGCAACAGAGTGAGACTCCGTCTCAAAAAAAAAAAAAAAGAAAAGAAAAGAAAAGAAAAGAAAGAAAGAAAGTTCATTTTGTGGCCAGGCGTGGTGACTCATGCCTGTAATCCCAGCACTTTAGGAGGCTGAGGCAGGTGCATCACTTGAGGACAGGAGTTTGAAACCAGCCTGGCCAACATGGTGAAATCCTGTCCCTACTAAAAATTATAAAAATTAGCTGGGCATGGGGGCGCATGCCTATAATACCAGCTACTCGGGAGGCTGAGGCAGGAGAATCATTTGAACCTGGGAGGCAGAGGTTGCAGTGAGCCGAGATCATGCCAGTTGCACTCCAGCCTGGGTGACAGAATGAGACTCCATCTTAAAAAAAAAAAAAAGTTAATTTTGCCAAGGTTGAGGACGTGCACCTGTGACACAGCCTGGGGATGTCCTGACAGCATGTGCCCAAGGTGGTCGGGACACAGCTTGGTTTACACACTTTAGGGAGACAGGAGACAGCAATCAATATATGTAAGAAGGCCAGGCACGGTGGCTCACGCCTGTAATCCTAGCACTTTGGGAGGCCAAGGCAGGGATCACCTGAGGTCGGGAGTTTGAGACCAGCCTGACCAACATGGTGAAACCCCGTCTCTACTACAAATATAAAATTAGCCGGGCATGGTGGCAGGCACCTATAATCCCAGCTATTCAGCTATTCGGGAGGCTGAGGCAGGAGAATCGCTTGAATCCGGGAGATGGAGATTGCAGTGAGCTGAGATCCCACCACTGCACTCTGGCCTGGGCAACAAGAGAGAAAGTCTGTCTCAAAAAAAAAAAAAAAATACATATATATATACACACACACACACACACACACACACACACACAAAATACATACATACATATATATATATATATATATATATATATATATATATATATATATATGAAGTACATCGGTTCCATCCAGAAAGGCAGGGACAGCTTGAAGCAGGGGGTGGGGGTGAGGGTTGGGGCAGCTTCCAGGTCACAGGTAGGTGAGAGACTGCATTCTTTTGAGTTTCTGATGAGCCTTTCCAAAGGAGGCAATCAGAATGTGCATCTATCTCGGTGGGCAGAGGGGTGGCTGTGAATAAAATGAGAGGCAGGGGCCCGCACGGTGGCTCATGCCTGTAATCCCAGCACTTTGGGAGGCCAAGGTGGGCGGATCACCTGCGGTCAGGAGTTCAAGACCAGCCTCAACATGGAGAAACCCCATCTCTACTAAAAATACAAAATTATTTGGGCGTGGTGGTGCATGCCTGTAATCCCAGCTACTCGGGAGGTTGAGGCAGAAGAATTACTTGAACCTGGGAGGCAGAGGTTGCGGTGAGCTGAGATCGCAGCATTGCACTCCAGCCTGGGCAACAAGAGCGAAACTCCGTTCCAAAAAAAAAAAAAAAGGGGGGGGAGGCAGGTTGGCCCTGATCAGTTTCCAGCTTGAATTTTCCTTTTAGCTTACTGATTTTGGGGGTCCAAGATATTTTCCTTTCACACCAGTCAGCCCTGCCCCAGCAAGCGCCCGGACCCCTGCCCTGCAGCAGGTGGGCGAGACAAGAAAGCACCTTGCATGAGAGGCAGGGCTTGGGTCCAGCTCCAGCCCCCATCTGTTTCCTCATCCGTCAGGCAGATGCTGCTGGCTCCGTGATTATTTCACCGAGCACCAGATGTGCACATGTGAGGACAGGCGACGACTGCCCAGAAAGGGCAGGGGTTCCTCTGCCCCACCTGCCTCACCTGGGAAAGCTGTGACCACGCTGAGGCCAGGTTCCTGGGATGAACATCAGGACACCTGTGTGCCATAGCTCATCCCAGACTCCTCCAATCCGGGTCTTGATTCAGGCCGGAGGCGGTCATCCCTCCAAAGGCACCAGGGAGCCATGGAAGAGGTTAGAGCTGAGCTGATGTGGCCAGGAGCTGCTTGAGCGCCGGGTGGAGGCTGCTGACGCTCGCATGCCAGGCAAAGCTTTGGGTCAGGGCCCTGGAACCTGGGACCTGGAAGCGCTCCAGGCCAATACCGCCCGCTACCAGAGAAGGGCCCAGGCCCCACCCAGGTTCTAGCCCAAGGGCTTGAGCAAAGACAGTAGATGAATATTTGCAGAGCCCTGTATGCTGCGTCCTCCTCCAGGCCCTCATGCAGGGGGGCCGCACACTGAGTGTGGGGGTCCTGTGCCAGGAATGTGATCACGCTGCCCAGGGGAGGGAGGCGGCATCTGCAGGTGTGGCCAGGAAGGTGCCCAGCATGGCTTCCTGTCTCCTCACATTCTTCAGCTGGGACCTGAGCCGGGCAGGGGCTGCTCTCCTCATCTTGTCATTCACAAGACACGGACTTCTGCCATTGGTTCAGCTGGCTCTGTCCATGGGCGAGCACTGTCCCTGCATCACATATGACAAGAATGCCTGGTGCGGTGCAAGTGCAGATGGGGCCACTGGCCTCCAGGACACTCACTGGGGATGCCAAGGCCCTGCTCACCACCCACCCCCACTGCCCTCAGCAATGCGGGTCTGAGGCAGCAGCCCTGGGCACGGCCCTGTGACCTGCAGCTGAGGGCTGAGATTACTCAAGTCCACACGCAGACACACACACGACACACATGGACACAGACACCCATACACACACAGACACACATGGACACACACACCCATACGCATACAGACACCCATACACACACAGACACACGTGGACACACACACCCATACACACACAGACACCCATACACACACAGACACACGTGGACACACACACCCATACACACACAGACACCCATACACACACAGACACACGTGGACACAGACACCCATACACACACAGACACCCATACACACACACAGACACCCATACACACACAGACACCCATACACACACAGACACATGTGGACACACACACCCATACACATAGAGACACCCATACACACACAGACACCCATACACACACAGACACACGTGGACACACACACCCATACACATACAGACACCCATACACACACAGACACACGTGGACACACACACCCATACGCAGACACCCATACACACACAGACACACGTGGACACACACACCCATACGCAGACACCCATACACACACAGACACACGTGGACACACACACCCATACACACACAGACACCCATACACACACAGACACACGTGGACACACACACCCATACACACACAGACACCCATACACACACAGACACACGTGGACACAGACACCCATACACACACAGACACCCATACGCACACAGACACCCATACACACACAGACACCCATACACATACAGACACACCCATACACACATAGACACACATGGACACACACACCCATACACATATAACACCCATACACAGATACACATGGACACAGCACCCATACACACACAGACACACAGACACACAGACACCCATAGACACACAGGCACTGATACATACACAGACACCCATACACACGCAGACACACAGACATCCATACACAAACACCCATACACACACAGACATCCATACACACACAGACACACATGGACACACACACCCACACACATACAGCACCCATACACAGACACACATGGACACAGCACCCATACACACACAGACACACAGACACCCATAGACACACAGACACTGATACATACACAGACACCCATACAGACACAGACACACAGACATCCATACACAAACACCCATACACACACACAGACATCCATACACACACAGACACACACACACAGACACCCATACACAGAAAGGCACACAAAGACACAGACACACACATAGCCATACACATGAAGATGCACAGAACACAAAGACACACAGACACACAAAGAAACACAGACACCCACACAAAGACACACAGACACACAAAGACACACGGACACACGAAGACACACAGACACCCATACACGCAGAGACACAGACATCCATACACACAAAGAGACACAGACACCCATATACACATACACACACAGACACCCATACACACAAAGAGACACAGACACCCATACACACATACACACACCCATACACACAGACTCCCATACACATACAGACACACAGCACCCATACACACACAGACACCCATACACACAAAGACACACAGCACCCATACATACACAGACACACACAGACACCCATACACACAAAGACACACAGCACCCATACATACACAGACACACACAGACACCCATACACACAAAGACACACAGCACCCATACATACACAGACACACACAGACACCCATACACACAAAGACACACAGTACCCATACATACACAGACACACACAGACACCCATACACACACAAAGACAGACAGCCATACACACACACACACATAGACACACAAAGACACAAAGCTATACAAAGACACACAGACACAAAGAAACACACAGACACACGGATACACAAAGACACACACAGACACACGGATACACAAAGACACAGGATTTGCGCACCATTCTTGAGCCCCTGGGCTGGGATGCTCAGAATCCCGTTGCTAGGTGCCTGGCAATCCTCTTGAGTGTCCCCCTGAGCCCCTTCCCCCACCCCCAGGGTCCTGATCCTTCCTCCTCTCCAGACCCCACTGGGGTTCCCTTGGGCCCTCAGGCTAAAGCCCAGAGGGGTTCATGCCCTGGGGCAGTCTCAGCTCTGCCAACCTACCCCCACCTGCACCTGTGCCCACCCATACCAGCCCCGGAGCTCTCTCCTCTGCTTCTGCTTCCTTCTACGACCAGCAGAGTGCCACCCCCTCCCCAGAGCAGGTGCCAAACCCTCCTCAGGGCTAGGGCATGCCTATGGCTTCAGTTTCCCCATCTGCGACCTCAAAGCTCTGTGATCTCTGAAGCAAAGAACCCTCCGAGTCCCTCGTTTAGTCCCAGAAGGGAGGGAGGCCCAGGGGAGAGCTCTGTTCCATCTGAGTGGTCTGGGTGTAGGGGTGGCAAGGTGCCAGCGTGGGTGGGTGTGTGTCTGCGCAAGGAGGGGAGGTGCAGGGAAGAGCTGGGATGGTGGGCAGCAGGGTCACCCGAGGTGTGTGTGTTGGGCTTCCAGGGTGGGCGTCCAGGAGGGGGATCCCCTCCCTGGAGTAGGGGAGGTCAAGCCCAGGGCCCTCCCTCATGGGCACACCTGGGAGGCAGGTGAGTTGGGGGTGGTGCAGGCAGCCCCAGCCCCGTGGGGTCATTCGAGTGGGTCTGTGTGTGTATGAGGTGGGGTGTCTGTGAGCCCCCATGGGTGCAGGTGGGGCAAGGGTGTGCAGACCCTGGGGTGGCTGGAGGGTGCCCGTGAAGGAGGGGCAGCCCTGGCCACCCAGTTCAAGCCACCCCATCCGGCAGGATGGACCCCTTCGAGGACACGCTGCGGCGGCTGCGTGAGGCCTTCAACTGAGGGCGCACGCGGCCGGCCGAGTTCCGGGCTGCGCAGCTCCAGGGCCTGGGCCACTTCCTTCAAGAAAACAAGCAGCTTCTGCGCGACGTGCTGGCCCAGGACCTGCATAAGGTGGGCCGTGGAGAGTGGGCCCCGGCAGGGGCTGGAGCAGCGTCCCTGTCCTCTTTCAGGAGGGCCCGTGCCCCCTAGTGACTGGCTATGTCCCTAGTTTTATTCCTGTTTGTTTAACAGACCCCCTCCCTGGCATGTGGAGTGTGGCAGGCACCTGACCTTCACTCCTGAACACTCACAGCCACCCTGTGATGCAGGCTCCATGGCTGTCCCCATGTTGCAGATGAGGAAACTGAGGCACTCAGGGGTTAACATCGCTTGCCCAAGGCCACACAGCCAGGAAGTCACAGATCAGAATTGCAGCCATGCGCAGTTCCCAGGGGACGGCAGTGCCTCCCATAGGAGCTGTATTTATATGTCCAGTGGTGGTGGTGCCTGCGTGTGCCCTCCTCAAATTCTAGACCCCTCCTGGCCCAGGTCTGGGCCTGACCACTCTGAATTCCACCTCCACCACAGCCAGCTTTCGAGGCAGACATATCTGAGCTCATCCTTTGCCAGAACGAGGTTGACTACGCTCTCAAGAACCTGCAGGCCTGGATGAAGGATGAACCACGGTCCACGAACCTGGTGAGCCCTGCTGGCAGGCGGCAGGAGGGCAGGGCAGGGCACCGGGTAGCTCTGGCCCAGGCCCCCTTCTGCCCCTGAGGCCCCGGGCGAGTCACTGATTTTCTCGTCTCTCCTGGGATTCCATCGCACAGGGAGCTGAGGCCCCAAGTGTGCAGTGGGTGGGCTTTGGGGTGGCCCTTGGCAGGGCCTCACTGTCTACCCTGTGCCTCAGTTCATGAAGCTGGACTCGGTCTTCATCTGGAAGGAACCCTTTGGCCTGGTCCTCATCATCGCACCCTGGAACTACCCACTGAACCTGACCCTGGTGCTCCTGGTGGGCGCCCTCGCCGCAGGTGAGGAGGGCGTTCCGAACCCCATGCTCTCCCCGCCCAGTAGCCCCTCCCAAAGAGGCCCCTGGAATCTTGCTCTGAGGTACCCTGGGCCTCACATGCCCTCTGAGCCCAGCCCCTGGTTGGGCATGGGGACCCTGGGCTCCCCCAACGACGTCCCCATCTGCCCCTGCAGGGAGTTGCGTGGTGCTGAAGCCGTCAGAAATCAGCCAGGGCACAGAGAAGGTCCTGGCTGAGGTGCTGCCCCAGTACCTGGACCAGGTGAGGGTGGCCCTGCCCCAGCAGTGCCCGACGTCCCCATATATCACCCCTGTGGGCTGAGGAGGCCCGGCTGGCCCCGAGCCCGCCCCGAGCCTCTCATTCCACCTTGCAGAGCTGCTTTGCCGTGGTGCTGGGCGGACCCCAGGAGACAGGGCAGCTGCTAGAGCACAAGTTGGACTACATCTTCTTCACAGGTGAGGGGGCCAGGCCAGGGTCCCAGAGTAGGTGGAGGGGATCATCAGGAGAGAGGGTGGGAGGGTTGTGGAGGGAGGAGGCTGGGGCCAGCAGTGGGGGCACGTGGGGAGCTGGAGCTGGCACAGAGTCCGTCTGCCTGCATAGGCCACGCCCTGGGCACATTGCAGCAACTGGATCCAGGAGTGGCCAGGCTGGAGGCAGGTCCCAGTGGGTGAGCCAGACCGGCCAGGAGAAGGGTGAGGCGGGCCAGGACTTTCTATGAAGAAAGCGGGCAAGAGTCAGGTGCCTGGAGTGTGTGGTCAAGGCCAGTTGAGGATGGGGTCTCCTCACCATGTCCCTAGGAAGCCCGCCGACTCCAACACCTCTCCAGGGAGGAGCAGGCTCTGGGCTGGGCCATCCTGCCTGGTCCAGGTCACTGACTGGCCACTCTGGTTTCCTTCCACGCCCAGGGAGCCCTCGTGTGGGCAAGATTGTCATGACTGCTGCCACCAAGCACCTGACGCCTGTCACCCTGGAGCTGGGGGGCAAGAACCCCTGCTACGTGGACGACAACTGCGACCCCCAGACCGTGGCCAACCGCGTGGCCTGGTTCTGCTACTTCAATGCCGGCCAGACCTGCGTGGCCCCTGACTACGTCCTGTGCAGCCCCGAGATGCAGGAGAGGCTGCTGCCCGCCCTGCAGAGCACCATCACCCGTTTCTATGGCGACGACCCCCAGAGCTCCCCAAACCTGGGCCACATCATCAACCAGAAACAGTTCCAGCGGCTGCGGGCATTGCTGGGCTGCAGCCGCGTGGCCATTGGGGGCCAGAGCAACGAGAGCGATCGCTACATCGGTGAGTCCTGCTGCCCTACCGCAGCCCACCTGGGCCAAGACCCTTTCTCAATGGAGGGCCCACGGCTGGGCCACGAGTCTGGACTCGCACCTGAAACCCGGCCCCACTATCAGAGCCCGGCCTTGAGCCATGGCTCTGGTGCCACGATTCCGTCTCTGTGCTTCTGAGCCTGTGGCCCCATGAGGCCATACTCTGGTCCCTCAGCCCTGGATTCACTGAGCTCAGATTCCAGGGCTCCAGGGCCCAGCGTGCTAAGGTGAATTCCCATCCCACCACCGGCTGTCCTGAAAGGCCGTAACCTCTGATTCTCCGAGCCCATGATCCCCAGGTTCTAAACTCTGACGGCCCCATCCTGAGCCCCCAGTCTCCTGGGCCGTATGACTCAGCAGCTCATGGGACACTGCAGCTCCAACATTCTGGGACGCTGCTGCCTCATGAACTCCAAGGTTCTAAGATCCCATCACCCCTGACTGTGAGACCAAGGTCGGGGGATTCTCTGCGCCCCACAGGCCCTGAGCAGGCTGGGGAAGCCCTAGGGTCCCTTCTGGGGGGCTGTGGGGAAACTTTCTTCCCTAAACACTCCAAAGCCTGAAGCGCTGGGAAGTCAGACCTTGGGATCCTGGCCTGGAGCCCTGGCCCATGCCCCTGTCCCCACCTCTACCCTACCCCTGGGGGCAGTCCTGACTGTGGCCCCAGGGCTGAGCCGTCTCTGGTGCCCGCAGCCCCCACGGTGCTGGTGGACGTGCAGGAGACGGAGCCTGTGATGCAGGAGGAGATCTTCGGGCCCATCCTGCCCATCGTGAACGTGCAGAGCGTGGACGAGGCCATCAAGTTCATCAACCGGCAGGAGAAGCCCCTGGCCCTGTACGCCTTCTCCAACAGCAGCCAGGTGGGGGTGCGGCCGGGTTGGGGGCAATGGAGGGGCTGAAAGGGGCACAGACTGGCACCTTTCCTTTCACAGCCCTTCCCAGCAAGGCTTTAGAGCAGCAGATGCCTCAAGGGTGACTATATCTAGGCCACCTGGTACCACTGCATCCGGCGCAAGGATGCCTGGCAGAGAGGACAGGGTCCAAACCCACCAGACACTTAGCGGGTCCATCCTCTGTCCTGGCCAGAGCAGCCTGCACTTGGACTGTGCAAAGGTTCTGCACAGGCAAGCAGAGGCCCGGAATGGAGGTCAGGGACAGAGCAGAGCAGGGGCCTGATAGAGCCCAGCGGGTCGCGGTGGGGCCCGCATACCACACTGCAGCATCCTAACCTCACCGTCGCGACTCAAGGCTGCCGGCTCCCCATGATCCTGCAGGGCTTCCTGGTCTTTGCGCCATGGTGGTAATCACCCCCATGGCACCCCGACCGTCACTGAGAGGGTGCTGTCCCCAGAAGATGCTTAGAGCGGAGATTATTGCCCGTTAGAGGGTGGAGGGGCAGGTGAGGATGAGGCTCACCTCCGCTGTGGAATGTGCGGGGCTCAAGCCCTCTTCTCATGACTAGAGCCCAACACCCACCTTCTCACTCCCTGGCAGGTTGTGAACCAGATGCTGGAGCGGACCAGCAGCGGCAGCTTTGGAGGCAATGAGGGCTTCACCTACATATCTCTGCTGTCCGTGCCATTCGGGGGAGTCGGTGGGTCCCTGCCCATTTCCACCCCTAGGGAAGCTTGGCTTTGGTACCCCAGACCCAGGAAGTCCCTTCACTCACTGTTCAACCTTGATCCACACCCTGGGCCTCTCAAGGCCTCAGTTTCCCTATCTGTAAAATGGCTCTGTGAGTGGCCTGGCTCTCTCTGAGCTCCCTGCCAGCTGTGTGCCCTGGCCGGGGCAGTGGGCTGCTGCTGGGGCTCCATGGGCTGCCTGGTCTCAGGCCCTTGTTCTCTGTGCCCACACAGGCCACAGTGGGATGGGCCGGTACCACGGCAAGTTCACCTTCGACACCTTCTCCCACCACCGCACCTGCCTGCTCGCCCCCTCCGGCCTGGAGAAATTAAAGGAGATCCACTACCCACCCTATACCGACTGGAACCAGCAGCTGTTACGCTGGGGCATGGGCTCCCAGAGCTGCACCCTCCTGTGAGCGTCCCACCCGCCTCCAACGGGTCACACAGAGAAACCTGAGTCTAGCCATGAGGGGCTTATGCTCCCAACTCACATTGTTCCTCCAGACCGCAGGTTCCCCCAGCCTCAGGTTGCTGGAGCTGTCACATGACTGCATCCTGCCTGCCAGGGCTGCAAAGCAAGGTCTTGCTTCTATCTGGGGGACGCTGCTCGAGAGAGGCCAAGAGGCCGCAGAACATGCCAGGTGTCCTCACTCACCCCACCCTCCCCAATTCCAGCCCTTTGCCCTCTCGGTCAGGGTTGGCCAGACCCAGTCACAGGGGCAGTGTCACCCTGGAAAATACAGTGCCCTGCCTTCTTAGGGGCATCAGCCCTGAACGGTTGAGAGCGTGGAGCCCTCCAGGCCTTTGCTCTCCCCTCTAGGCACACGCGCACTTCCATCTCTGCCCCATCCCAACTGCACCAGCACTGCCTCCCCCAGGGATCCTCTCACATCCCACACTGGTCTCTGCACCACCCCTCTGGTTCACACCGCACCCTGCACTCACCCACAGCAGCTCCATCCACTGGGAAAACTGGGGTTTGCATCACTCCACTGCACAGTGTTAGTGGGACCTGGGGGCAAGTCCCTTGACTTCTCTGAGCCTCAGTTTCCTTATGTGAAAGTTGCTGGAACCAAAATGGAGTCACTTATGCCAAACTCTAATAAAATGGAGTCGGGGGGCCACATAGAAGCCCTCACACACACATGCCCGTAACAGGATTTATCACAAGACACGCCTGCATGTAGACCAGACACAGGGCGTATGGAAAGCACGTCCTCAAGACTGTAGTATTCCAGATGAGCTGCAGATGCTTACCTACCACGGCCGTCTCCACCAGAAAACCATCGCCAACTCCTGCGATCAGCTTGTGACTTACAAACCTTGTTTAAAAGCTGCTTACATGGACTTCTGTCCTTTAAAAGCTTCCCCTTGGCTGTGGCCCTCTGTGTATGCCTGGGATCCTTCCAAGCACTCATAGCCCAGATAGGAATCCTCTGCTCCTCCCAAATAAATTCATCTGTTCTGGAGAGCCTATCTTTCTGAGGTTGACACTTATCTTGCAGAATGGGGTTCCCACCCATCTTTGATCATGAAGGAAATCTCAGATTTAGAACTATGTTGCCCAGGCTGCTCTTGAACTCCTGGGGTCAAGCAGTCTACCTCGGCCTCCCAGAATGCTGGGATTACAGGCGTGAGCCACCATTCCCAGCCCACATTTCTTAAAAATGGTATTTCAGTCCAAACCTTAGTAATACAATCGATGTTTCTAATTGTGTCCTGCTTACAGGGACCAGGGTTTGTTTTTCGTTTTTGTTTTTTGTTTTTTTATTTTTTGAGGTGGCATCTCCCTCTGTAGCCCAGGCTGAAGTACAGAGGCACAATCTCGGCTCACTGCAACCTCTGCCTCCCGGGTTCAAGTGATTCTCCTGCCTCAGTCTCCCTAGTAGCTGGGATTACAGGTGCCCGCCACCATGCCCAGCTAATTTGTTCTATTTTAGTAGAGATGAGGTTTCACCATGTTGGCCAGGCTGGTCTTGAAATTCTGACTTCAGGTGATCCTCCCACCTTGGCCTCTGAAAGTGCTGGGATTACAGGCGTGAGCCACTGTGCCCAGCCCTGAGAGCAGGGTTTTTGTTTGTTTGTTTTTGTTTGTTTGTTTTACTATATATAAATAAGAATGTTCATGAATAGTTTCTGAATTTTGTAGGAATCAAGTAGGGAGAAAAAATGAATAAGTTCCACCTTTGTTCACAAAGGACCCTTGATCGAGTTATTGCAAATGTCGATCAAAAGAGTCAAACTCTGTACAATATTTAAGAGACTTATTCTGAGCCAAAGATGAATGACCACGGCCCGTGACACAGCCCTTAGGAGATCCTGAGAACATGTACCCAAGACTGTCAGGTCACAGCTTGGATTTATACATTTTAGGGAGACGTGACGCATCAATCAATACGTGCAAGATATATGTTGGTTTGGTCCAGAAAGATGGGACAACTCAAAGCAGGGGCTTCCAGGCTATAGGTACATTTAAAATTTTCCTGGTTGACAATTGGTTGAGTTTATCTGAAGACCTGGGATCAACACAAAGGAAATGTTCATGTTAAGATAAAGGATTGTGGAGACCAAGTTTTATTGTGCAGAGGAAGCTCTCAGATAGTAGGCTGTAAAATCTTTCTTTTTCTTTTTTTTTTTTTTTTTTGAGATGGGGTCTTGCTGTGTTGCCCAGGCTGGAGTGCAGTGGAGTGATCTCAGCTCACTGCAACCTCTCCCTCCTGCGTTCAAGTGATTCTCCTGCCTCAGCCTCCTGAGCAGCTGGGATTACAGGCGTGCACCACCACGCCTGGCAAATTTTTGTATTTTTGTAGAGACAGGGTTTCATCACGTTGGCCAGTCTGGTCTTGAACTCCTGACCTCAAGTGATCCACATGCCTCGGCCACCCAAAGAGCTGGGATTACAGGTGTGAGCCACTGCACTGGCCTGAAGTGTTTCTTATCTAACATAAAAGGGTGCCTGGTTCTTAGTTGATTATCTCCTGGATCTGGAAAGAAGTTAGAAAAAAGGGAAAATGGGATTCTCTACAGAATGTAGATTTTTTCCACAGGAGACAACTTTGCAGGGCAGTTTCAAGATATGGCAAGCAAATATATTTGGGGTTAAAATATTTTGATTTCTTCTCTTATTTGTTATGTGAGGTTATGCCAGAGTCAGGTCAGAAAGCAGACCACGCTATAGGGTTAAAATTAAAGCCTCTCTGATGAGACTTTATGGTTTGTAGGGTGTGACTCCCCAGGCCCCTTAGGGAGGAATTTGAGCAAAATAAGAACAAAAAAAATCAGAGTTTAGTCCTCACAAACTATAGGCAGGTTATGACAGAAAATTTCCTTGAATCTGCAAAACAAAATGAGGTGATAGTCTCACATTTAAGTCATAAAAACATTATTCATATCAATTACTTAATTTCATGTAATTATTTTTGTTTTGCTCAATCTTTTTATTTATTTATTTTTAAGACAGAGTCTCGCTCCATCACCCAGGCTGGAGGGCAGTGGTGCAATCTTGGGTCACTGCAACCTCCACCTCCCATGTTCAAGCGATTCTCCTGCCTCAGCCTCCTGAGTAGCTGGGATTACAGTTGCCCGCCACCACACCAGGCTAATTTTTTTGTATTTTTAGTAGAGGCAGGGTTTCACCTTGTTGGCCAGGCTGTTCTCAAACTCCTGGCCTCAAGTGATCCATCCACCTTGGCCTCCCCAAGTGCTGAGATTACAGGTGTGGGCGACAAGCCACCCAGGTGCCAAGGCAAGAGACTGAGGGCACAAGCTGTCCCAGTATAATAAAGAAAATATATAGAATAAGAATAGTTATACTAGAAATAGATTATAGATATGATTGTATATGAGTATCATTAATCATTAGTTTGTAGCATCACTCTTTATTCCAATATTATAATAATCTTTGTTCTATAATTATAACCCAGGAAAAACCAGGCCATACAGAGATAGGAGCTGAAGGGGCACGGTGAGAAGTGACCAGATGAGTGTGAGCCCTCTGTTACGCCTGGACAGGGCCACTAGAGGGCTCCCTGGTCTAGTGGTAACACCAGCACCTGGGAAGGCATCCATTACCTAGCGGACCTTGGTCTAGGCGTAGCATCAGTGCCTGGGGAAGGCACCCGTTACTTAGCAGACTGGGAAAGGGAGTCTCCCTTTTCCTGGGGGAGTTAGAGAAGACTCTGCTCCACCACCTCTTGTGGAAGGCCTGACATCAGTCAGGCCCACCTACAGCCATCTGGTGGCCTGTCTCCCTGTGATGCTGTGCTTCAGCGGTCACGCTCCTGTTTCACATTCATGTTATGCTCCGTACACCTGGCTCTGCCTTCTAGATAGCAGTAGCAGTATTAGTGAAAGTATTAAAGTCTTTGATCTTTCTGAGAAGAGCATAGAAGAAATAATGATGTAAGCTGTCCTCTGTCTCTCCGCCTTGGCTACCTAAAGGGAAAGGCCCCCTGTCTGGTGGACACTTCACTCGCGTGACTTTATCAATCATTGGAGATGACTCACACTCCTTACCCTGCCCCTTTTACCTTGTATCCAATAAATAACAGTGCGGTCAGGCATTTGGGGCCACTACCGGTCTCCACACCTTGGTGGTAGTGGTCCCCTGGGCCCAGCTGTGTTTTCTTCTATCTCTTTGTCTTGTGTATTTATTTCTACCATCTCTCATCTCCACACATGAAGAGAAAAAACCCACATATCCTGTAGGGCTGGACCCTACAACAAGCGTGAGCCACTGCACCTGGCCAGTTTTGCTCAATCTTAATTAGCAATTTTGGACCATAGCCAATTGTGAATGCTTCCAGAGAAGAATTTAAAACAACTGTGGGTGGCAGGGCATGGTGGCTCACGCCTATAATCCCAGCATTTTGGGAAGCCAAGACGGGAGAATCACTTGAGCTCAGGAGTTTGAGACCAGCCTGGGAAACATGAGACCTTGTCCTTATAAAAAAATAAAGACAATTAGCTGGGCACAGTGGAGCACCCCTGTAGTCCCAGCTACTCAGGAAGCTGAGGTGGGAGGATCACTTGAGCCTGGGAGGTTAAGGCTGAAGTGAGCTGTGATCACGCCACTGTACTCCAGCCTGGGCAATAGAGTGAGACCCTGACTGAAAAATAAGAATTAACTGTGGGTGACAAAAGCCCAGAGCAGCCAGTCAGAGATCTGATGACAATTTACAATTGACAGGAAATTTCAGCATTTCTTTTTTTTTCCTTTTTCTTTTTGAGACGGAGTCTCACTCTGTCACCCAGGCTGGAGTGCAGTGGCGCATTCTCAGCTCACTGCAAGCTCCGCCTCCCAGGTTCACACCATTCTCCTGTCTCAGCCTACCGAGTAGCTGGGACTACAGGTGCCCACCACCATGCCCGGCTAATTTTTTATATTTTTAGTAAAGACAGGGTTTCACCATGTTAGCCAGGATGGTCTCAATCTCCTAACCTCGTGATCCACCCGCCTCGGCCTCCCAAAGTGCTGGGATTACAGATGTGAGCCACCGTGCCCGGCCAGAAATTTCAGCATTTCTCTGGCATACAACCATGTGACACAACCATCACAGTCATGACACATATCTTGGCATATCAGAGTTTTAGGAATCTCAAACCTTTTCCCCTGTGTTAGTGACACACTTACACAAACATTACTTAAAGGAAGTTAAACACCGTTTCTATTTGACAATGCTTCCCATATTATTTACCAAGTAAGCCTGATCATTTAATATCTCCAAAAGATCAGAGACAAAACCTTTGAGGCTTGTTCCAGGAGGCCCTTTTGGTAGAATCTCAAAGTTGATTTTAGGCCAGATGGCTTAATTTAGGATTTGGATCCTGGGGAATTCTGCCAAAGAGGATGTCAAAAAGTTCAAATGGCTTCCTTCAACAGAATCAGAGATCACTGCCGAATAATAGTTACTCGTTTAACCACAGTGACAATCAAAAGAATTCAAAAGCAACACGAAAAGTTACATGCATGGAAAAACCTTAACACTTTAAAGCTCAGTCTCCCTAAGCAATCTGTGTTTCCTAGGCTGGTGAGCAGGGGAATACATTAGTAATACCATGGGAAGTCCTGGTTACATGAAACAACTCAGACACATTAAGAAAAACCAAGAACACAGAATCAGTTTATACTGGCGTAAAGCTGCTTTTCTAGACCTTTGAGATAAACCTGAAACCAAAGAAATTAGACTGATCTTAAGAAGGAATATGACAGAAACAGAAACTAATTTGTAATTCAGAGAATGGCTATTAACGAAGCAGGTTTTAGAAATAAATATCAAAACCTCTTGGAACTTTACTAAGAGTGAATTAATGTCTTAAGAAACTGCTGTTTTTTGTTTGTTTGTTTTTAAGACGGAGTCTCGTTCTGTCACCCAAGCTGAAGTGCAGTGGTGTGATCTCGGCTCACTGCAAGCTCCGTCTCCTGGGTTCACGCCATTCTCCTGCCTCAGCCTCCTGAGTAGCTGGGACTGCAGGTGCACGCCCCCAAGCCTGGGTAATATTTTGTATTTTTAGTAGAGACGGGGTTTCACCATGTTAGCCAGGTTGGTCTCAAATCTCCTGACCTCATGATCCACCTGCCTCGGCCTCCCAAAGTGCCTGGATTACAGGCATGAGCCACTGCGCTCAGCCGAAACCACTGTTGTTTTAACACAGGGGACCAAAATTGTAAGTTATGTATCATGTGTTTTAACATTCAAATTCATTCTCTAGAAAAACTGTTACAGGCCAGGCATGGTGGCTCATGCCTGTAATCCCAGCACGTTGGGAGGCCAGGATCACCTGAAGTCAGGAGTTCAAGACCAGCCTGGCCAACATGGTGAAACCCCATCTCTACTGAATATACGAAAATTAGCCAGGCATGGTAGTGCACGCCTGTAATCCCAGCTACTCAGGAGGCTGAGGCAGGAGACTCACTTGAACCCAGGAGATGCAAGTTGCAGTGTGGCAAGATCGAACCACTGCACTCCAGCCTTGGCAAATGAGCAAGACAGCCAGACTCCATCTCAAAAAAAAAAAAAACTATTACAAATCATTTCATTTAATTACAGCCAATTTAATCACACCCAACATTTCCATCATAAGTTCCCATTCACAAGCCTTATCATGACTTACTCAGACAGCTGTGGCATGCTTGGACTTGCCCTGTACTTCCTCTTTCTTAAATGTCTAGTCATTTTAGTCCAAGACAGAGATTGAACACACAAGTTTCTTTCCTATACAAAATTACTCTCATTGCTTCACATCTGTAATTTTCTTTACATCTCTGTCTCATCTACTTACTGGTTCCTTTTAATCTTTTTTCTATTTCTTTCCTAAATCCATATTTTAAAACTCCCTTTAAATAACAGCTAAATTAGACAAATTACTTTTTTTCTCAATAAAGAATATATTGTATACCTTTCTTACTGTTTTCTTATTAAGTGCTCCTTACTTTTGGCACACTTCCTATATAGAATTGTATATTAGGATTTTTAAAAACCCTTAGTACTCTTAAATTTTTGTTTTTAATTATCTTTTTTCTTTTTTTGAAACAAGGTCGTGCTCCATCACCCAGGCTGGAGTGCAGTGGCATTGATTTTGGCTTACTGGAGCCTTGACCTCCCTGGCTCAAGTGATCCTCCCACCTCAGCCTCCTGAGTAGCTGGGACTACAGTAGGCATGTGCCACCACCCCTGGCTAATTTTTTCTTTTTTGTTTTTCAGTAGAGACAGAGTTTCACTATGTTGCCCAGGCTGGTCTGAACCTCCTGATCTCAAACGATCCTCCTGCTTCAGCTTCCCAAAGTGCTGGAATTACAGGCATGAGCCACAGTGCCCATCCAGTTCCCTTAAATTTTGTTGAAAACATAGGAAGCACAAAATCTTGAACTTCCTATCACATATTGGTATTTTATGGGGAAGAGCCATTTTGTAATTGTTAGAAAAACATGTTTTCCTATAGCATAATTTTTATACGTATTTATAGGCCCAAACATATTTAGTCTTTATATTAAATTTAAGAGACCCAGGGCAAACATATTTATGGTCAGCAATTTGTTCCAGTTTTTGTCTTATTTGGAAATAACTCACATAGTTAATGAGTATCCATTACCTAATAGAGGATTTCAAATTACATTAAAAAGCCGATAGATACTTATCCCATTTACCTTTACATACTTTATTTATTTTTAGCAGTTTACCAGGATTACTTATGAGAACTGATATATTAGACAAAGCTAGTCATCATTTCAAATTATTTATCTGTTAATTACCTTTATATAGCTGGATGTCAGGCAACTATCATAAAAGTAAGAACCTTTAAGGCCGGATGCTGTGGCTCACGCCTGTAATCCCAGCACTTTAGGAGGCCGAGGTGGGCAGATCACGAGGTCAGGAGATCAAGACCATCCTGGCTAACACAGTGAAACCCCATCTCTACTAAAAAAAAAAAAAAAATACAAAAAATTAGCCGGGCGTGGTGGCAGGCGCCTGTAGTCCCAGCTACTCGGGAGGCTGAGGAAGGAGAATGGCGTGAACCCGGGAGGCAGAGCTTGCAGTGAGCCGAGATCACGCCACTGCACTCCAGCCTGGGCGACAGAGCGAGACTCCGTCTCAAAAAAAAAAAAAAAAAAGTAAGAACCTTTAAGTTACATTTCAGAAGGCACACCATTCCCATCAAACCAACAATTTTAGACTAGTTCCATTCACCAAAAGATTACTGTCATGTGAACTTGAAAAGCACTTGGTCTTATTTGCTTAGTTTATGAGTACTCATTTCTTTATAAGCCAATTCGGTACCATAGCCAAATATAACCGGACGTGTACATACTACCAGATACAAATAACGATCCTATAGCTTTAACTTTTAAAGGTTTAGCCATGGGTCAGGTAAAATTCACTACTTAAAAGACAGTTCCAACTCTGTCTCCGTCCAACTAACAATTTTAGCTAAAATTTATCTCTCCCATACAGCAGAAGCCCTTTCCTAAATTTTAGGAAGAACACGGTAGAAAGGAGACAGGCAAAAATTTGGCTCTAGTGTCGGAAAACCCGTGAGTCTCTCCCACAGCAATTGTTACCCGATCTAGGGGTTCCCAGATCATAGAGGAGTCCCCAAGTCCCATCACTTCTGGTCACTATTAGCAAACTGTAGCATCTGGTGGGCTGATTGACGGGGAAGTTTCTTTCCCTACCCACTGGGGACAGTTAGGACACTCTAGTACCCAATGGCCCTCTTGTTTACAATATGCACACTGTTGTGTTCTCAAGGGCGGGAGGCCCTTTGGCCGGGCAGTGGGGTCCCTAGGGATCTTACTTATGGCTGATCATCTCCAGTGAACTGTTTTGTTTTTTTGTTTTTTGTTTTTTTCAAGAAAGAGTTTTGCTCTTGTCGCACAGGCTAGAGTGCAATGGCGCGATATCAGCTTACAACCTTCGCTTCCTGGGTTGAAGCGATTCTCCTGCTTCAGCCTCCCGAGTAGTTGGGATTACAAGTGCCCACCACCATGCCTGGCTAATTTTTTATATTTTTAGTAGAGACAGGGTTAGCCATGTTGGCCACGCTGGTCTTGAACTCCTGACCTCAGGTGATCCTCCCGCCTCAGCCTCCCAAAGTGCTGGGATTACGGACATGAGCCACCACGCCTGGCCGCAGTGAACTGTTTCTTGTGTACTGGCTGGTTGTAGCCAAGAGACTCGATGGCTTCTTGTCTTGTGTTGCCTTTTTGTTTTTTGTTTTTTGTTTTTTTTTTGCCCTTCCTGGACCTGGCCACAGTTGCTCAATACCTTAAGGGTAATCTCAACCAATGGAGATGTCAGCATCCCCAGTGTCCCTTCTGCTTTTTGTAGTTTATCCGCATGGCTTCTGCCACTGGAGTCCTGCTACAATTACTGTTTTCCCATATTACCCACCCAGCAGCTTAGAGGCGGGATTGGTGGTGACACAGATCCCACAACTCTTGGCCCACACTCAACTAGTTTTAAAAATATATTGGTGGGGAGGGGCGGGCATGGTGGCTCATGCCTATAATCACCACGCTTTGGGAGGCCGAGGTGGGTGGATCACTTGAGCTTAGGAGTTCGAGACCAACCTAGGTAAGATGGTGAAACCCTGTCTCTATAATATTAGGTTGGTTCAAAAGTAACCGCTGTTTTTGCCATTGAAAGTAATGGCAAAAACTGCAATTACTTTTGTACCAATCTAATTTTTTAAAAATTAATTAATTAAAAAAAATTGGAAGGCATAGATTTCACTCGGCAAGGCAGGAAATCTTGTAACTGCTCTATACTGTGGCTCTGCCGACCGCCCGGCACTGCTCCAGCAGATGCAAACTGCCCGAGATTTTGATGAATTCACTGAAGGAAATAAAGACATTGTGTTTAAAAACACAGCAGAAAGGTTGGGTGTGGTGGCTTATGCCTGTAATCTCAGCACTTTAGGAGGCTGAAGGGGGTGGATCACTTGAGCTCAGGAGTTTGAGACCAGACTGGACAACATAGCAAGACCCCATCTCAAAAAAAAAATTAGCTGGGTGCGTGCCTGTAGTTTCAGCTACTTGGGAGGCTGAGATGGGAGGACTGCTTGAACCTGGAAGTTGGAGGTTGCAGTGAGCCACAGTCGAGCCACTGCACTCCAGCCTGGGTGACAGAGCCGGACCTTGTCTCAAAATTAAAAAAAAAAAAAACCCACTGCAGAAGACCTTCAGAATTGCTTGCCTCTAGAAACCATGCTTTCCTCAGAACATCTAACCCTTCAAAAACTACAGCAGCAGCCAGAACCCACCATTCACGCTGACGCATTCCTTTGTGATAAAGACTTCATTGATTCATTATGTGACAAAGGGAAAATGAGCAGAAACTACTGGGTGGTTCACACCAAACAGAACCTTTAGACCGATTGCTCGTTCCTTCTCCCTCATGGAATTGAAGTTCATTTATCTTCATGCACTCCCTGATCAATCAGGAAAGGCTGTGGCTGACGTCAGCTCCAGGCTCAGCACAGTCTTTATGGGGTGATCTTATAGCTTAGCAGTGCAACCCTGTGGAGTAGAACTGAACGGAGACTTTTGCCAGTTGCAGGAAATGGTCATTAAAAAATACCAGTTTATTCACAGAATAAAGGTGCTTCATGCAGACATCTGTCCCCAGGGTTTCTTCTGCAAAATGCTGATGCTGCTATCATGAATAATGTCTTCAAATATTCTCTTAATGAGGCAGAACAAGCCGGAGCTGGGAATACATTTGTCATAATGTAAGGAAGCAGATCATCATCAGTGACAGTGCCAAGTCTTGAAGATTCTCTCCTGGGTCTTCAGACTAATACACATTTATCTCCCTGGGTTGAAGAAGTACTGTGGGACTATGATGTATACCCACAAAAGGATATTGACAAAGAAGCTCTTTATTTATTTATTTATTTATTTATTTATTTATTTATTTATTTATTTTCTTTTGAGACAAGGTCTCACTGTGTTGTCTAGCCTGGAATGCAGCCATACGATAACGGCTCACTGTACTCACGGTACGATTACCTCCAACTCCCCGTGCTCAAGTGATTCTCCCGCCTCAGCCTCCTGAGTAGCTGGGGCCACAGCTGTGTGTGCCACCACCTGGCTAATTTTTTTTTTTTTTTTTTTTTGAGACAGAGTTTCGCTCTTGTCGCCCAGGCTGTAGTGCAATGGCATGATCTCGGCTCACTGCAACCTCTGCCTCATGCCTCAGCCTCCCAAGTAGCTGGGATTACAGGCACCCACCACCATGCCTGGATAAATTTTGTATTTTTAGTACAGACGGGGTTTTGCCATGTTGCCCAGGCTGGTCTTACACTCCTGACATCAGGTGATCCACTCGCCTCAGCCTCCCAAAGTGCTGGGATTATAGGTGTGAGCCACCGCGCCCACCCTAATTTTTTTTTTTTTTTTGGTAGAGACAGGGTCTCCCTATGTTGCCCAGGCTGGTCTTGAACACCTAGGCTCAAGCAATCTGCCCCCCTTGGCCTCCCAAAGTGTTGGGGTTACAGGTGTGAGCCACTGCACCCAGCTGACAAAGAAGCTCTTGAACAAATTCATTTAATGAGATTCTCTAGCACTAAAATAGTCCTACCTCATTGTAATGTTTTGTAGAGTATCTTATAAAACAATGAAAAAAAACCAGTATTTTAATACATATTTTTCTGTATATTTCCTTCTAGCCTTTGTACATATGATCACATATTTGTAAAAAGTTGTATGTATATATATACAACTTTACCCGCTTTGTGTGATGATATGACAAAAACATTTATCTGAAAAAAGTATTTTTTTCATCAAATGGCAGAGCTCCTGTTTCTGGTAACCCGGGGTATGGCAAGTAGGGGCTCTGGGAGATGGAGCAGCTCAGCCTCCTGTGAAAAATTCTGTTTCTCTAAAAAAGAACAAATTCTCATGCTGGGCGCGGTGGCTCACGCCTGTAATCTCAGCACTTTGGGAGGCCGAGGCGGGCGGATCACGAGGTCAAGAGATCGAGACCATCCTGGCTAACACGGTGAAACCCCGTCTCTACTAAAAATGCAAAAAATTAGCCGGGCGTGGTGGCGGGCGCCTGTGGTCCCAGCTACTCAGGAAGCTGAGGCAGGAGAATGGCGTGAACCCGGGAGGTGGAGCTTGCAGTGAGCCGAGATCGCGCCACTGCACCCCAGCTTGGGTGACAGAGCCAGACTCTGTCTCAAAAAAAAAAAAACGAATTCCCAAAACTAGTCCCACTGTTGTCTACCCAGATCCGGGATCCGGGTTGCCCTTGGCCTGGCCAGAGATGCCTCTCAATCCCCCACGGCACGTAGAGCCAGACAGAAACCGAAAGCAGAGGTGCCCTGCGCTGAAGTCTAGAGATCCCACTGCTAGGTCCAAAGAATTTACCCTTTCAGTCAACCCACGGGGCAAAGTCCACTTTCTTCCCTGAAGGAGCAGCACAGAACAAAAGCTCCAGGCAGCTGCTTCCGCTGTTTCGGGGGTAGGGCGGAGTGACAGCCCCACGGGCCACGCAGCAAGCAGAAGATCCCCGGGAGTCACCCTCAACCCTCTGGGGCCACGTGGGTGAGTTCGCCCGGGGAAGGTGCCGCGGCCCACTGCTTTACCTTAGTGAGCCTCAAGAAGTTAGGATCAGAATCCCAGTCGGCCCCATCTGGGTCGCCAGAGTTTTGTTACCCACACAACGGGTGGGCTCAGTTGCTTGGCGGGTGTTAACTAAAGAGGATTTAATAGGGGATTTTATTTCTTGCAACAAGTAAGGAGAACACCTAGACAGCTCCCAAAGCAGTGTCTCCCCGAGCTGAGGGCTGGGGCAGGTTTTATAAGCATAGGGTAATGAGGCGTGATCTGATTGCATCTTGCAATGAGGTGATGCTGGGAGGCATGATCTAATTGGATGCTGACACAGGGGGGAACCACAGCTCTGACCCCTCTCTGGGTCTCAGTTTCCCCAACTGCAGTGAGGAAATTGGCCCCCGTGATGATGCCCATGACATCACCATCCTCTGCCCTCACTCATGCTGGGGTCTCCATGTGCCCATTTTCAAGCTTGTGCCCGCCCTTTGTTCCTCACTCCCCACAGCTGCCCTTGGCCAGGACTTTCACAGGGTGGAGCCAAGGCCCAGAGAGGGCACTGAATCTCTCCAGGTCACACAGCCTGTCAGGGAGGTGGGGCCAGAGCCAGGTCACACGTGTGCACACAACACACACACACGCACACATGCTCACGCACATGCACGCACACACGCTCTCAAGCACATGCACACATGCACACACATGCACACACACTCTCATGCACACACGCACACATGTACACACACATGCATGCACACATGCACACAATACTCTCATGCACATGCACACACGTACACACGCACACATGCATGCTGTCACACATGCGCACACACGCACACATGCTCTCATGCACACACGCACACATGTACACATACATGCACACATGCACACAATACTCATGCACATGCACACACATGTACACACGCACGCACACACGCATGCTGTCACGTACACATGTGAGTGCACACACGCACACACATGCTCTCATGCACACGCACACATGTACAGATGCACACATGCATGCACACACATGCACACACGCGCACACACTGCCAGGACTGGGGGCTGCTGTTTCTGAGGGTTCCTGGACCCCGTTCTGTTCCATAAACACTCACTGAAATGCAGAAGCTGGACCCCAGCCAAGGGAAGTGAAACTTTCCAGCACCCCTACTGCTGTTCTCCCTAAACTTGGGGGCCCAGCACCTTGTGGCAGGAAGCACCCTGGCCCCCAGCAGCCCCCAAAATAGCTAGGTCTGCCACGGAGGCCCTTCCTTCCTGAGAGGTACCACACCGAGTCAGCAGGATCCCAGCCTCTGTGGGGGTTGGGGGGGCCTTCCAACAAAGACCATGGCCTGGGACTCATAAAGCAGCATGGGGGTCCCTGAGACCCCTACCCCAAGCAAGGAAGGAACAGACCCAGGCCGACAGGCTCCTCTGCTGACTCCCTCTCCCACCACCTGCCAAGGACTCAGTCAAGTCACCCAACCCCTAGAGCTTCAGTCCACACCTGCAAAATGGAGCCGGTGACAGCTGCCCCCAGGGCTGGGCCGGATACAGGAGTTGATGGCATGGCATGGCCCCCTAATGGCAGTCTCTGCCCTCCCTTTGCTGAGGCTCCAGGTGCCAGGAGGAGTGGCCCCTGGAGGGGGCTCATAGGGAGCCCCGGCCCACTGGGGGCTCAGCCTCACACTCCATCCACCCCTCTTGACACCCTGTCAAGATCCCAGCTGCCCTGATGGGAGCCAGGATGACAAATCCCCTGTCCCCACAATCGCCATGCTCTGAGCTCACGAAGCCTTGGGTGTGGAGGGCAGGAGAGCCCAGGCCACACAGAGCTGAGTGTGATCTGGGGCAGCTTCCGAGAGGGTGTAACTTAGAGGGTCCTGGCCACCCAGAGCCCCCCAGGCTGGTGGGCCTGGCATCTGGAGCAGGGCTGGACTGGCCCGGGGAGACCCAGTGTGGTGGTAAAGAAGGCCCAGGATCGATGCCTGGGGGAGGCTCCAGCTCAGGGTCCCAGCACCTGGCATCCAGCAGGCCCTGGCGGAGCAGCTTGCCTCACTCCCCAGTGACTTCGGAACTGGCCTCAGCTCCTCCCAGCAGACAGCTGAGCCTGGTGGGAGGTAGAGGCCCCAGGGCTGAGTGCAGGGGACCTCACCTTCATCCTTCCCCACTTTGCTCTTGAGAGGCAGCAGGAGGGGATGGAGCCACATTGGACGCACTGAGTGCCACCTACAGCCCGCCTCTAGGGCTCTGTGCGCCACCTGCAGCCCGCCTCTAGGGCTCTGTGTGCCGCTGAACAGTCTGCCCCTAGGGTTCTGTGGGCCACCTGCAGCCTGCCTCTAGGGCTTGTGTGCCTGCAGACAATTTTCTGAGCCTCAGTTTTCACATCTATAAAATGAGCCTGAGGGTTGTTCCCAAAACAGGGCAAACCGAGTCATCTGAGTTACACTGTCCTTGAAAATGACTGAAATCCCGGATCAAACATTTTAAAATTTTGCTTAAAGCAACAAAGAGCTGTAAAACTGGGGCTCCACATGGCACCTTTGGGTAAGGGCGACTCAGGAGTGACCACAGCCCTCTCCGGGCTGCAAGGACAGAGGCATGTTGCCGAGGTGGTGAAGGAGGGGCAGCTTGTCATCTTGGTGGCCATCAAGGTGACACCTCTATAGTAACTTTCAATAGCCTGCTCTGGTGGTGACCAAAACCAAGTCACCACCCCACTGCGGGTGTACCTCTTAGTAGTGTTAAGGAAGGTGGCCCCTCTGGGGCCCAGCAGAAGGACGAAGGGCAGGGGCAGGAACTTGCCCGCAGGACCTGGACTCGTTGGGCCGTGGCAGCACAAGTAGCAGCGTGGGGCGGGCGGGGCAGGAGCAGTGGAGCAGACCCCAGCACTCCGACCTTTGGCTGCATGAACCTCAGCCCGTCCCACCCACCCCCTGCTGTCTGCCAGCTTGCCACAAAACTTCCCATCTGTGGATCTCCAGGCCCATGAATACCAGCCTGTCTGCGAGTTAGACGCCAGTCCTGGTGGCCCGGGAAGCCCAGATCCGCATCAGCGGTAAGTACCCCCTGACCTGAGACCCCTGCACCAGCTGGGAGGAGCAAGCAGGAGGGGCAGGAAGGCGAGGCTGTTGCCTAGAACCCAGACACTCCACAGCTAACTCTGGTGACACTTTCCACTCCCCACGCTGTGCCTCAGTTTCCCTGTCTATAAAAAGGAGCGCAGTCCTCTTCCTATAGGGAGTGTGCCTTGGTGAACCCATCTTCCTGAACAGTTGGGCCCCTCTTCTCAATTTAGGAAAAAGAAACTTCTTTTCTCCAAAGGAGCAGGAAAATTGTCTCCTCAGAGAAAGGGCCACTGGGGGTGCAGGTGGGACACAGCTGAGACACTCCCAGCTGTCCACACCTCTTGACAGGTGGCTGCCCTGTGGAGCCTCCCACCGCCATCCTTGCCCTGAGCCCAGATCCCTTGCATCGGGGCCAGGGTCTCCTAAGTATGCCCACCCCCAGGTTCTGCACCCCACACCAGCATGTGCTCACTGCCTGTGCCCCGGGAGCCCCTGCGTCGCGTGGCTGTGACTGGGGGCACGCATGGCAACGAGATGTCGGGCGTCTACCTGGCCCGGCACTGGCTGCATGCCCCCGCAGAGCTGCAGAGAGCCAGCTTCTCCGCTGTGCCTGTGCTGGCCAACCCGGCAGCCACATCCGGCTGCCGCCGCTACGTGGACCATGACCTCAACCGCACCTTCACCAGCAGCTTCCTCAAGTGAGTGCTTTTGCCGCCAGGTTGGCCCAGGCAGTTGGGCACCGAGTCCCCACCACAAAACTTCCCTCCCGCCACCAGCAGGGCCCTCCCTGCCTTCACTCCTGCTTCCCCTCTGCCTATGTGGCCCATTCCTCCACGGGACAAACCGAACATTTAGAGAAACCAAGATTGATGTCACCTCCTCCAGGAAGGCCTTCCTGACTGCAAGTTGGTTCAGGACCTCTTCTGGGGATCCCAGACCTAATTCTTCCCTCAGATTAGCCCCACAGGCCATGTTTACTTGTCGTGTGCCCTGATCACTGTTCATGCCTCCTTCCAATGAATAGTCACTGCATCCTATCTCCAGGCCAGGCTCTGGCCAGCTCAGGTGAGAGAATGGGGAATAGGACCAAGGTGTTGGCTTCAAGCTTAATGGGGAGACAGAGGAAGAACCGGGCAACCATAACCCAGGGGGCTAAAGGCAGGGCCGGAGGCTACACAAAGCAGCTAACCTGGCTGAGAGCAGTCAGGGAAGGCTTCCTGGAGGCAATGGTGTCTCAGCCAAGCCCCAAAGGCTGACTAAAAGCTAGCCAGGGGAAGAGAGGTGAGAGGGAGTTTCCACTGGAGGGCCAAGCACAGCACAGGCCTGGGGGTGAGACCAGCATGGTGCTCAGGCAGTGTGGCTGGAATGAGGGCATGAGAGGCAGGCAAGTGGGCAGGCAGGTGGGAGGGCGGGCCAGGCTGAGAGCTTGGATTTTACCGGGAAGTGCAGAGCCAAGAGGGCCACGGGCAGGGGTGGACACAGCCACAACGTCTGAAGGGAAAGCCCTCGCTCGAGCTGCTCAGAGTGGCTCCTGCAGGGCCCCTGCCCCTTTCCCCTTAAACCACTGAAGACTGACTGAGACTGTGAAGATCGGTGTCCCCCATTCCCGTCTCCACAGTTCCAGGCCCACCCCGGACGACCCATATGAGGTGACAAGAGCCCGAGAGCTGAACCAGCTGCTGGGGCCCAAGGCCTCGGGCCAGGCCTTTGACTTTGTCCTTGACCTGCACAACACCACGGCCAACATGGGCACCTGCTTAATCGCGAAGTCCTCCCACGAAGTCTTTGCCATGCACCTGTGCCGCCATCTGCAGGTGGCCCCGGCCCCAAGCACACAGCTCCCCAGAGGGGAGTGGGAGGGAGGGAGGGCAGGCGGGACAATGCTGGAACCTCCTTTGCTTAGCCCCTCTTCCCCGGGCCTAGTTTCCCCTGGGCTCCAGTCCCTGGGGTCTGCCACTCGCCAGCACTCCAGGCCCCCGGTACCCCCTCCCCTACCCTGCCAGAGGGTAGAGGGAGACCTGGCCAAGGAGGGTGGTGCCCTGTGTTTCCTCCATGCAACACCTTCCCACCTCAGTTTCCCTTCCCAAGTAGGCCTGGGCCCCTAACCTGCCTCTCTCGCCCCCAGCTGCAGTACCCCGAGCTGTCCTGCCAGGTCTTCCTGTACCAGCGGTCTGGGGAGGAGAGCTACAACCTGGACTCTGTGGCCAAAAATGGACTGGGTGGGCCGCAGCCTTCTGAGAAGTGGGCGGGGCCAGGAGGGCTGGAGGGGCGGGTCCAGTCACCAAGGGGCAGGGCCTCTTCAAGGAGTATATGGGTCCTGCACCTGCCTAACCCCTTGCTTCCTGGTCCCCAGGTCTGGAGCTGGGCCCCCAGCCACAGGGTGTGCTGCGGGCTGACATTTTCTCAAGGATGAGGACCCTGGTGGCCACAGTTCTGGACTTCATCGAACTCTTCAACCAGGGTGAGACCCCAGGGGACTTTCGGGAAACAGGTCCGGGGAAGAGCAGGTCTGGCTCAGGGGTTGGGGAGCCAGGCTCACAGGCAGGCTGGGATCTAGCCCTGACGTACCCCCACGGCCCAGTCTGTCCCCTAGCCTGGAGGGAGGGATGGGCTCACACACCCAGCCTCCCACACAGGTACGGCCTTTCCTGCCTTTGAGATGGAAGCCTATAGACCCGTGGGCGTCGTGGACTTCCCCCGCACCGAGGCCGGGCACCTGGCAGGCACTGTGCATCCTCAGCTGCAGGTGTGTGTGTGTGTGTGTGTGTGTGTGGTGGGGGGTGATTTCTGGGGCCACAGCCTTGGGGAGGAGGATTGTCAAGGAAAACTGAGCCCCAGGGGGTGCAGCCAAGCCTCCCACGAGCTCACCAGCATCTCGGGTTGAGGAGCAGGATGGGAGGCTGGGCTCCGCCATCCCACTTCCCCTGGCCCTGCTGCCTTCCCTGGAACCCCACACTCAGGCCTAGCACAAGAGGCCACAGTGATCCCCATAGCTCCTGTGGAGGGCATGATGGAGACAACCCTACCCTGGCTGTAAAAGGCAGAGGGAGGGGACATGGAGCAGGCATGACTCAATTCACCTGCTTGGAGGTGCAAATACAAAACTCTCTTCTGATTTTCAATTGGTTCCTCGAGCATCCCCATGCATGTTGGCAGTATGTCTCTCTGCAGGCCTTCCCTTCCTGAATGTTCCAGGATTAGGCAATCCTGCTTCCACACCTTTCCCTTGGGTGCCTGAGAAGAACGTACTGGCTGCTGCTCTGCTTGCTGCCACAGGGGGTCATTGTTGAATAGGGTCTGGTGCAATCTTGTGGCCTTTTGTGCCCTGAAGTTTCATTTTGAGGAGTTACCTTCTTACAAATGGAGGCAGCACCATCCCGTCCATGTTTAGGGCTAGACAGTCTTAATCCAGCCGTGCCCAGCTACCTTGCAGACGTTCAGTCATAACAGTCAATTTGGGTGGCTCCTCCTACAATTTTAAAATTTATTTTATTTTTTATTATTATTTTTTGAGACAGAATCTTGCTTCATTGCCCAGGCTAGAGTGCAGTGGTGCGATCTCAACTCACTGTGACATCTGCCTCCTGGGTTCAAGCGATTCTCCTGACTCAGCCTCCCCAGTAGCTGGGATTATAGGCACTCACCACCACACCCAGCCAATTTTTGTCTTTTTAGTACAGACAGGGTTTCACCACGTTGGCCAGGCTGGTCTCGAACTCCTGACCTCAAGTGATCTGCCCACCTCAGCCTCCCAAAGTGCTGAGATTACAGGCCACTGAGATTATGAGCCACTGTGCCCAGGCTTAAAATTTATTTATTTATTTATTTGAGACAGAGTCTCGCTCTGTTGCCCAGGCTGGAGTGCAGTGGCATAATATTGGCTTACTGCAACCTCCGCCTCCTGAGTTCAAGCGATTCTCCTGCCTCAGCCTCCCGAATAGCTGGGATTACAGGCGCTCACCACCACACCTGGCTAATTTTTGTATTTTTAGTAGAGATGAAATTTCACCATGTTGGCCAGGCTGGTCTTGAACTCCTGACCTCATGATCCACCCGCCTTGGCCTCCCAAAGTGCTGGGATTACAGGCGTGAGCCACTGCGCCCAGCCAAAATTTATTTAATAAAGAATCATATTGTACTTACCGTGTGCCAGACACTGCTGTAAGCACTATTAACCTGTTTAGTCTAAACTTCAGAATGATAGGAGGAGATATTGTAATCCTTATTTTACAGACAAGAAAGCTGAGAAACAGAGGTTAAGTGACTTGCTCACAGTTACACAGCTAGCAAGAATTTGAACTCCAGCTTCAATACCTGTGCCCGTATCCATGAGGGTCCACTTCCACATGGGCACATGCCACCCCAAGGTGACCTGTGTCTTCATTTCTAGACACAGAGCAGACTGGTATCTCACCAGACCTGCTGTCATATGGATTAAGGAAGTGAAGCATGGGTGGGAAAAGCCATGAATGAGGGGCATCTTTTGGGTGTCAAGCTGGGGTCACCCCCCTCTGGGGCCAGGGCAGAGGTGGCCCCAGCAATCTTGGCCTTTGGCTCTCCTCCCAGGACCGAGACTTCCAGCCACTGCAGCCTGGTGCTCCCATCTTCCAGATGTTCAGTGGGGAGGACCTGCTCTATGAGGGAGAGTCCACGGTGTACCCCGTGTTCATTAACGAGGCTGCCTACTATGAGAAGGGCGTTGCCTTTGTCCAGACTGAGAAGTTCACATTCACCGTGCCTGCCATGCCCGCGCTGACCCCTGCCCCGAGCCCAGCTTCCTAACCCAAGACACACCTCCCCAACCTCAGTCTTCCCATCTGAACGATGGGTCCTGAGGCACAGCTCTGAGCACAGAGGTCCCTTCTGCCACCTACCATGCACCATGTTCCTTGCCAGGCCTCCCCAACCCCTGGCCTCAATTTCCCTTTCTATAAAATGGAAGATGTCCAGAGGTCCATGGTTTGTGTCCTCTGTCCTGCACGGCTCCTCTCTGGCTGGGGAAGTGGATGGAGGAAGGGAGGTTGACCACAGGATCTGGGGGAGGTCTGGCCAGTGCAGCCTTGGACCTGCAAGTGTCTTGGGGCCAGTGGTGGCTGCCTCTGTGCCCACAGCTGTCCATCCATGCCTGGGGGAGGATTCCAGAGTGTGGGAGGAGAACCTGAAGAAGGATTGCTCTGGATCCAGCGGAGGGGCTTCCAGAGGAGGCTACAACCCAGAGGGGGACCCCCCAACCCTCCTATAGTCCTGGGGCCAGACAGTGAGTGTGGGGAGCGCAGAGACAGGCCCATGTCTGTGCACACATGTGTGTTTGTCCGTGCATGGCGCCTGCCCTGGATGCTCTTTGGCGTGCGTGTCTGTGCGTTTCCCACACACACGTGTTTCCAAGAGCCTCAGTTCCTTGGGCGTTCTAAGGGGATCTCTATGTGGCCAGATGTGCATTTTTAAGTGTGTAATGAGCCCGGTGCCCATAGTGGCTCAAGCAGGGAGTCAGGGCTGGGGGAAGGGCCACAGCAGGACAAGGCTGTCCCCATGCAGGACAGCCTGTCCAACTGCAGAGATGCAGGGAGGAGGTGGCTTGGGTTGGGGCACAGGGACTTCCCAGCTCTAATTGGGAAGCCACCATTTCCGCCATCCCCAGGACACCGCGCACTGATGTCAGGCGAGCCGGCATGAGGCCCACTGCTGAGGGCCCCTCTGTCCTGATGCTGGCACCCTTCAGGGTGTCATGGCAGGACAAATAGGCAGGGCTATATGCGACCTGGCTGCAGCCTCACTGCCCGCACCTGCCTGAGCCTAATGGACTCTTGTTGGACATCTGGGGCTGCTGGAGTCCAGAGTCCCCTCGCAGTGCCACTCCCCCAGCCCTCTACACCCCCACCCTGCCCATCCATTTCCCTGCGGCCACGGCTGCCACGCCACCTCCTGGTATTGAGCAGTGATATGAGAAGGTGTGAAGGATACGGGGGCACCAGGGACAGGCTGGCAGGCAAGATGGATGAGGGGGCAGGGGGCCAGCAGGCGCCTCGGGCAGGCAGGGCGGGCGGGCCAGCCGGGGAGGGGTGTGCAGGGAGGCCTGCCTGTGTCTGTGCGCGTGCTGTGTGGTAAGTCCATGTGCACAGAAGCTGTACGTGTGTGCGCCATGTGGCGAGTCAGCAGGCTCTGAGTTCATCCGTGTGTCTGCGTGCATGTGGGTTAGCATGTCAGTGTGCTCGTGTGTGTGTGTGGGAGGGGGGTTGTTTCCCATCACACAGATCAAAATCGCACACACACACGTATCAGGGGCCACTACAATCCCAGCCTGGCCCTCCCCTGGGTGTCTCGGTGAAGGGGAGCCACCAGTACTGGAATGGATCCCCCAACTCCCTCCATCATCTCCCCACTTCCCACCCACCATGCCATGGCCAGGGCAGATGACTACACCTTGTTGTATAGCCTCAAGGGGCTGCTGGGACCCTCCAACTCACACAGAGCACTCCCATCTTGCCTGGCAGCAACTCCAAAGTGCTGGCAGCCTTTTCTCACACAGCCGGGCATGGGGTTGGGCCAGGGGCCGGCCCTCCTCCTTTTACATCCCCCAGAGCCAGCCCACCGTCTTTGTGTGGGGTCCCATCCAGCTCTGCAGGCTGAGATGTGAGACACAAGGGATTGAGCCACAGGCATCCCTGAGCTGCAGCTGCGCCCAGAACATAGCGCTCAGGGAGAAGCAGCCCTGCCGCCCCCCAGCCCCTCCATGCCCCCTCTTAGGAATCAAGGCCACTGCCAACCCAGCATCCCCAAGACAGGATTCTGGAGGAGGTATGGGGGGCTCCAGCCAGACGACCCACTCTGTGCCATTCAGCAAGAGTCAAAAGGCCAGCGAGCACTCTCAACCAAGGAACTGGCAGCCTCTCAGGGGGACCTCCAGGTTCTGCCTCCCTGCAGAGTGATCCATGTGTCCCCTGAATGCCCAGCACAGGCTGTAGACAACCTGGAGAGGGTGCCCGGTCAGGCCAGAGAGAACAGACAGACCCACAGGCAGAGCGGACGCCCACTTCTCACCTGGGCCAGCCTCACCGTTTCCACTCATGTCCAGATGGGGATTCCGTGGACACCATCAGCCAGGGCAGTGCCCCCAGTTCCAGGCGGGATGGGCTTACCGCTCTCCAGGCTGGGCTAGACCATCACAGGCGGAAGAGATTATGTGCTTAGGTTAACTGGGGAGGCTGAGGCACGGAGACTGTGGGACCTGCCAGCGTTGCGCAGCTCCCTGAGTTCATCCATGTGTCTGTGCGTGTGGGTTCACGTGCCACAGGACCTGGGCTTCCCGCCATCCAGTCTGGGGCTCTATGCTGACTGCACTCGTTGCTGCTGCCCCCTTGCGTTTCCTGCTCACACTGCTCCTGACAATTGCGCATCTGCCGGCCGGCTGGGGCCAGCCTCAGGTCAGGGGTCTGGGTCTTGGTGGGAGGGCACCTCCTCCGCCATTCAGCCCGCAATCTGCTGCTCCCACTGTGCCTCCCAACCCCCGGGGCCCCAGCCCCTCCAGTCAGCCAGGCCTGGACCCCTGCAGATGCCCAGCCGTCCTCAAGAACCACTCTCCCACCCCCTCACCCCTGCCACGCCTGGGCCCATCGATCAGGAATGGCTGGGGGGCTCTTAGCTGGGGAAGGGAGGAACTTGAAGAGGGAGGACAAGGAGGGAGGAAGGGGGGCTCTGCAACGTCAGAACCTTCCCACCTGCCCTCCTCCCGCACAGCCTTGGACAGCACAGCCCGAGAGTGGCTTGGAGAAGGGCCGCTGCACGCCCCAGAGCCTGCATCTCACCTTCGGAGACCAGGGGTCCAGCTCGAGTAGGAAGACCACGACCTCAGGACGTGGACGAAGGGCGATCGAGGAGGCAAGGACCGTCCTGCCGAGAGACTACAGCTTGTGTGAGCACCTGAGGGCTGAGCTGAGGTGCCGAGTGGACGAGTGGTGACCACCCCTTCCAGCAGGCAGGTTCCCAGCCCCAGCCAAGCAGTGTTTCTCCAGGAGCCGGACAGCCTCTCTGTCTCCATGGCAGGTAGGCTACGTTCTGAAGCAGAGGTGGCCTCATGGGTCAGGCTCAGGTTCCAGGGTGGGTGGGCAGGGTGGGAACCAAGACAGCCCCGCTGAACCCAGGTCCTTCACAAGAGGGTGGGGCAGGGGCACCCCAGGCTAAGGTCTGAGATCCCAACGGGACAGGGCTCACGGCTGCCCAAGTGCAATTATGGGAGATGCCAGGGACCAGGCTGTTCCGGGAGATGAGCGCCTCACTGGGCACGTGTGACCTCGGGCCTCTCCCTGAGCCCCAGCTCCTTGAGCATCAAAGTTGGGGCTGGACAAGAAGCCCTTAGCTTCCCTTCCAGACTTGACACTCGATGCTTCTGGCAAGCTGTCATCTCTGGGCCCTGAGGAATGCTGGCTTCTAGAGGGACTGAGCAAAGGACAGGCTCCCCCCACCAGAGTCCCTGAAAGTGTTGAGGGGCAGCACATTGGCTGCGACGGGCAGCGGGTGAGCCCCTAGAGGACTTGGGAGCCAGTGACCACCGGCAAAGCCTCCAGGCCCAGTGAAATCATGAGCCCCCCCACCTTGGGACCCATTGCCATGGACCCAGGGGGGCTGGCATCACCTGGATGACGTACCCGCCCCAGCAGGGCAGCCGGGCGACAACCAGCTACCCTTCTGATGGACTGGCCACAGGGGCAGGGGGACATCAGCCCATCTATCCATCCTGCCCAGGGTCCTCAAACCTGATGTGACCCATCCCTGTCACAAAGACGCCCCCTCCCCCGCGAGGCTGCAGAAATCCCAGGGCCTTTGCACGCAGCTCTCAGGGCTGCTGAGGACGTGGCCATGGCCCTGGGCTCCACATTCTCCCCAGGCACCTACTAAGAGCTCACCCTGGCCAGGTGCCGTCCACCTGGTACCTCAGCAGATGCTATGCCACCTGGGGGCCTCCGTCACCCGCCTGTCTGCCAGTTCATCCATCTCTCCAACACCCAGCACCCCCCTCTGCTCCAGGCATCCCATAGTCTTACAGTCGTGTAAATATCCCAAAGCCACTCGGGTGGGGACACAGCTGGGAATAAAACCTTGTCCCCTGACTCCCAGCCACTGTGGCTTCCATGGCCCTTCCAGCTTCTCAGCCCCTTATGGGGCTGCTATAAAATAATAGTTCTGTTTCTCAGGATTTTTTTCCATTTAAAACATTTTAATTGTAAAATATACATAACACAATTTACCATCTTAACCTTTTTATTTATTTATATTTATTTATTTATTTATTTATTTATTTTTTGAGACAGAGTCTCACTCTGTCACCCAGGCTGGAGTGCAGTGGTGTGAACATGTCTCACTGCAACCTCCACCCCCTTGGGTTCAAGCGACACTTGTGTCTCAGCCTCCCGAATAGCTGGGATTACAGGTGCCCGCCAGCACTTCTGGCTAATTTTTGTATTTTTAGTAGAGATAGGGTTTGCCGTGATGGCCAGGCTGGTCTCAAACTCCTGACCTCAAGTGACCTACCCGCCTCGGCCTCCCAAAGTGCTGGGATTACAGGCATGAGCCACCGCGCCCGGCCCACCTTAACCATTTTTAAATACACAGTTTTGTGTCATTAATTACATTCACATTGTAAAAAGTAAAGTAGAGGTTCCTCTTCATAGACTTTCCTGCCATCTAATTAGAATAAATAATAACTTCTCTTAGAAGCAAAATTTATTCAAAGACCTGTACTAACATTCTTAAATATCTGCTAACAATAATAAAAAAAAATCAATATATTTTATGTTCTTAGCTCCCACAATTTAGCCTAAATATTTGCCCTAGCATGCTTATATTGGTCCAAGCAAACATTAGGTCATAGCCTGTTCCTCTTCCTTATTTGAAGGTGTTTTTACCTTTCTCAGCATTCTATAAGTTACTTCCTCCTTCCTTTGTTCTCCTCTGCCTTTGCCAGTTTTAAAAGTTCTAAGTTACTAGCCAATCAGGACAAATACAGAATGTGAGGTCCCGTTCCGGCCAATGGGAACCAGACACAGCAGTAGGGTGGACACGTCAGGTTATAAATGACCCTGTCTCCTTTGTTCGGTGTACTCTCATGGCAAAGCTGCTGGCGAGTGTACCCTTTCTGCAAAAAGTAAAAAAAAATGGCCTTGCTGAGGAAATTAAATTTATGTTCAAGTGCTATTTCTTTACGGCACCGGAAAACAAGCATTTCTAACAACACTGTTGTGCAACCATCATTAGCATCCATCTCTAGAACATTTTGCATCTTGCAGAACTGATATTCTGTCCTTATGAAACAACAACTCTCCATCTCCTCCTCCCCAGCCCCTGGCAACCACCATTCTACTTTCTGTTTCTATGATTTGGCCTCACCACGTACGGCCTATGAGTAGAATCATATGGTATTTGTCCTTTGGTGTCTGGCTCATTTCGTGTAACAGCATCTTCAGGACTCATCCATGTTGCAGCATGTGTCAGAATGTTCTTCCCTGTTAAGGCTGGATACTATTACCTTGCACGGATGGACCCCATTTTGTTCATCCATTCATTTTCCAATGGACACTGGGTTGCTTCCACTTCTCAGCTATTGTGAATAATGCTCATAAGAACATGGGTGTGCAAATATCTGTTTGAGTTCCTTCTTTCAATTCTTTCTGGTATAGACCCAGAAGTGGAATTGCTGGATCATATGGTAATTCTAGGCTGGGCATGATGGCTCACGCCTGTAACCCCAGCACTTTGGGAGGCTGAGGTGGGCAAATCACCTGAGGTCAGGAGTTCGAGACAAGCCTAGACAACATGGTGAAATCCCGTCTCTAATAAAAATACAAAAATTAGCCAGGCATGATGATGCACGCCTGTAATCCCAGCTACTCGGGAGGCTGAGGCAGGAGAATCTTTTGAACCAGGGAGGCAGAGGTTGCAGTGAGCCGAGATCCATCCGGCCTGGGTGACAGAGCAAGACTCTGGAAAAAAATAAATAAATAAATAAATAAATAATATATACATATATAGTAATTCTAGTTTTAATTTTTTGAGGAGCTACCATGCTGTTTCCCCAGCAGCTGCACCTTTTACATTCCCACCAGCAGTGCACAAGAGTTCCAATTTCTTGAGGCCAGGCATAGTGGCTCACACCTGTAATCCCAACACTTTAGGAGGCCGAGGTGGGAGGATCACTTGAGCTCAGGAATTCAAGACCAGCCTGGGCAACATAGGGAGATCCCATCTCTACAAAAAAAAAAAAAAAGTAGCCGTGTGTGGTGGTGTGCACCTATAGTCCCAGCTACTTGTAAGGCTGATATGGGAGGATCACTTGAGGCCAGGAGGTCGAGGCTGCAGTGAGCTATGACAGAGCTCCCGCTGCACTCCAGCCTGGGAAACAGAGTGAGACCCTGCCTCAAAAAAAAAAAAAAAAAAAAAAAGGAGTTCTAATTTTTCCATCTCCTTACCAACACTTTTTATTTTCTGGTTTCTTTTCTTTTCTAATAGCCATCTTAATGGGTATAAAATGGTATCTTATTTAGCTAAGATTTTTTTTAATTGGAGGGGTGAAGGGTGACAAAGCATTTGGCCAAGACTTGTGCCGGGATTGCAGATCAAAAGACAAGATGCTTAGAAAAGAGTGCAGAGACCAGAGAAAAAGACGGTAGGATGGGTTTCTGGAGGCAGGCTCTGGGCGGGTTGTCAAGGTCAGGGATGGGTAATTGGTGCTGAATGGGGGGCTCTTCTTGGCTCAGCTCTCCTTCAGCAGCACCGGGAGGCAGGGTCCCACAGAGCTGGGGAAGACCCCTGCCCCCTCCCCCGCCCCACACACATATCATCTAGAACAGGTGCTGTTTGTGAAGGGCCCCCTGTGCACCAGCCCCTGTGCATGGTCACTAATCCTCACATCGGCCTTGTGAGGCAGGTATTAAGAGCCCCTTCTGACAGATGTGGAAACTGAGGCTCCAGGAGGTGAAACAATTTGCTTGAGGCCACATAGACACAAGATGGCCCAAACATTCTCTGGGGAGCAAGACAGGCCCTGACACTACCGTCAAGGAGCTTGCTGGCAAAATAAACTTTAAGTGAGCATTTACCTCACAGAGTGATGCTGAGTGGGGGATCCTGTGAGAACACAGCCCTGGCAGTCAGGGAGGGCTTCCTGGAGGAAGAGGCATATAGGTGCAGCCTGAAGGATAAGAGCTGGCTGGGTGATGCGTGGGGCCCACACTTCCGTCCTCTCTCCACAGCCTTCCTATCTGCTGGCCTCGGCATACTTGCACCCTCAGAGACCTACCCCCTACCTACAACCAGCTCTGGCTGGGAGCCCCGGCTGGGGTCACCATTCCCATCAGGCCCTTGCACCAGCTCTACTGGGGCCCAAGCTGTGGCCGAGCCCACTGGGCAGGGCCCCAAGAACCCACGTGTGTCCAGAGTGACAGTTCAGCTGGAGATGAAGCCTCTGTGGGAGGAATTCAACCAGCTGGGCACTGAGATGATCGTCACCAAGGCAGGCAGGTGTGAGCAGCGGGGGCGGGGTGAGGCAGGGGCCAGGGTTGGAGCCGCATCCGGCTGCTGAGCACCTCCCTCCCGCAGGAGGATGTTCCCCCCCTTCCAGGTGAAGATCCTGGGCATGGACTCCCTGGCCGACTACGCCCTGCTCATGGACTTCATCCCCCTGGACGACAAGAGATACAGGTGCGGGGACCGGCCTGGGGCAAAGGCTCAGGTCTCAGGTGCTGAGACCAGGAATTAGACCCTTCCTGCACCCCAAGGTGAGGCAGGGGCCTGTCCAAACAATGCCAGGGAGGTCCAGCCTAAGGGCAGGACGACAGACACGCAACAACAGCCTGAGGGCAGGAGGCAGCCCAGCTCAGGGTACCCAGCAGACTTCCATGGGTAGTGGGCTAGC
This sequence comes from Homo sapiens, assembly GCF_000001405.40. NCBI lineage: Eukaryota > Metazoa > Chordata > Mammalia > Primates > Hominidae > Homo > Homo sapiens. Next base: position 67,634,601 of record NC_000011.10, on the reverse strand, counting down.
CTTGGGCAGGCAGAGAGGTCTAGCCCAGGGCAGCAGGGGTTATCCTGTCATCCACCAGCCAGGTGCAGCCACAGGGAACTCAGGTCTCAACAGGATTCTCTTGAGCCTTGGGTTCCTTAGCAAGGTGCCCACCAGGTGGGGTGAGCAGTGTTGGAGTCGGCAGCAGCCCCTTCACCCCGCCTGTATTGTTCAGGCGTGACTCTGGTTGGGGAAGCCCTCACCACCTCGCTGTGCTCCCCAGGTATGCCTTCCACAGCTCGGCCTGGCTGGTGGCGGGCAAGGCAGACCCAGCCACACCTGGCCGCGTGCACTTCCACCCCGACTCGCCAGCCAAGGGTGCCCAGTGGATGCGCCAGATTGTGTCCTTTGACAAGCTCAAGCTGACCAACAACCTGCTGGATGACAATGGCCACGTGAGGCCGGGGCCACGGTGGGGACGGAAGGGCCTGGGGTCAGGGCTGGTAGGGACTTTGGTGTCCAATGGCCTTGGTGCCCAGCACCTCTGCCTGCTGCTGATGGTCAAGGCAGGGCGGGGAGCCGGGGTGGCGAGCTCACCTGGCTGGGGGTGGCACAGCAGGAAGGGCTGTCCAGGCAGGTGGAAAAGGGGGTGGGGGCGGGGGAATGTTCCAGCATACGTTGTCCCCCGCAAGGAGAGGGAGGACAAGGTATGGAACGCCCAGCCTAGGCCGGGCCCGCTTTATGTGTGGACACAGCATCATTAACACTTGGTCAAACAGCCAACGATCCCTGCCCTCACAGAGGTCACTTCCTGGGGCAAAGGCAGGGTCCAGAAGACACTGTCCCCAGCGTCTCAGATAGGGACAAATGCCAAAGAGGAAGCAGAGGTACGGAAGGGGGGCGGAGAAAGGGTGCTGCTGCTCTCAGGGGGCGCAGGGAGCTGAAGACCTGAAGGAGGTGGAGGATGCAGCGGCCCATGCCCGTCAGAGGGGACAGTAGGTGCAAAGGCCCTGAGGCCAGAGAATCCTGGGCCGGCAGAATTGCAAGACGCATCCATGGGGCCGGAGTGGAGCCAGGAGGGGAAGCCAAGGAGGCGAATGCCTGAGGGGTCGGGCTGACTTCGGGGGGCTCTGGCTTTTACCGTGTGGGGTGGAAGTCGCTGGACGGTTAGGAGCAGGGGGCATATGATGTGGCTTCCCGGGCAGCTGTGTGGAGAAGGAACAGAGGGGTAAGGCGGGGACAGGGGACAGGCCAGGAGGCAACCGAGGAAACTGGTGAACGCGACAGTGACGGGCCAGCACACAGGCAGTGGGTGGCAGCTGGGATGTGGGGTGTGAGAGGACATGGAGGCAAGGATCCATGATCCAAAGGGGCCTTTGACACGGAACTGCAGCCTCTCCAGCTCAGACCCTGTGCTGCCATGAAAGGAACAGGGTGGCAGGCCCAGGGCAGTCTCCCGGCTTGGAGGGAAGGACTCCAGCCTCAGGGAGTCCGCTGTACTCCGCCTCACCCCTGTACCCCTGCTCTGTCCCTTCCACAGATCATTCTCAACTCTATGCACCGCTACCAGCCCCGTTTCCACGTGGTCTTCGTGGACCCACGCAAGGACAGTGAGCGCTATGCCCAGGAGAACTTCAAGTCCTTCATCTTCACAGAGACCCAGTTCACAGCAGTGACAGCCTATCAGAACCACAGGGTGGGTGAACCAGCTCGGGAGCACCCGCTGCAGGCCCATTTCACAGGGGTGGAGACTGAGCCCTGAGGCTTGCAGCCCTCACTGGCACAGACTACTGCCCTCCCAACTTGCCCTGAGTATCTGCCATCAGTCAAGGCCCTGCCCGCACTCCTATCAGCTCAGAGTTCCTGGGCCAAGAGGCCCAGGTGCCAGGGCCTCCTGACTGCCGGTTCCCGGGAGGACAAGGTGGCTGAGCCTGGCTCATGGCCAGCCCACAACTGCACTTTGTCTCCTGCAGATCACCCAGCTGAAAATCGCCAGCAACCCTTTTGCCAAAGGCTTTAGAGAGAGTGACCTGGACTCCTGGTACTGTCTGACCCTGACCCTAGCCCCTCACCCCCACCCCAGGCATATCCTAAGGCCTCAGTTCCTGACCCTTGTTTCAGGGTCACACCCTCTGACCCATCCTGGGGCCCCACCATCTGAAGCTGGCCATGATCCCTGGCCTGGGTTCTTCCCCTTGATCCCCTCCCCCCATTCTCGCTTGCTCTTTCAGGCCTGTGGCCCCACGGCCCCTGCTCAGTGTCCCAGCCCGGAGTCACAGCAGCCTCAGTCCCTGTGTGCTGAAGGGTGCCACAGACAGGGAGAAAGGTAAGGCCCCAGGCCTGCAGACATAGTGGGACTAAGGTGTACACAGTGGGCGGAAGGCAAAGGGACAGGACCTCCAGGAAGGGGCTTCAGCAGCTCAGCGAACCCACAGGGCCCCTGTGTGGACACACGGAGGGGGAAGCAGACATGCCTAAGACAATATGGGGCTCAGGGCAAAGAGCACAGGCAGGGGGTGCCAGGCAGGCTTCCTGCAGGAGGTGGCTCTCAAGCTGGGCCTTGGAGGACTGGGAAGGGTTTGGACAGAGGGAGAAGGTGAAGAAGAAATTCCAGGCAGAGGGAAAAGCAAAGGCGAAGGCTGAGAGGTAGGTAACTTGGGAAGGAGGAGCAGGAAGGGACCAGGGCAGGCCTGGGATGAGGGATGAGGATGCGATGGGAGGCCCAGAGTCCACTCATTTCCTCCCTCAGACCCCAACAAAGCTTCAGCTTCCACCTCCAAGACCCCTGCTTGGCTCCATCATCAGCTGCTGCCCCCACCTGAGGTCCTGCTGGCCCCGGCCACCTACAGGCCTGTCACGTATCAGAGCCTGTACTCTGGAGCCCCGAGCCACCTAGGGATCCCAAGGACCCGACCAGCACCATACCCCCTCCCCAACATCCGGGCTGATAGGGATCAAGGAGGCCTGCCTCTCCCAGCTGGGCTGGGGCTCCTGTCCCCCACTGTGGTGTGCCTGGGGCCTGGCCAGGACTCCCAGTGATGCCAGAAGCCCTGGGGGGAAGCCCTGCTACCCTGGACCTTACACCGGGTGTGGGAATCAGCCTCTGCCCCGCCCCCTCCAGCCCCATCTCTGTCTCAAGGAGAGCAGGGTAGGTGAAAGTCTAGAGAAAGAGGCTACCTGCCCAGGGTCACAGCAAGGCTGGGACCATGGCAAGCTTGGAACCAGGACTTCTATCTCCCAACCCCAGCAGCCTGAATACTGTGCCCTCTTGCTTTGGGGGTAACTCCCGAAAACCCTGCCTTACCTCTCCCTTCCCCCTAACATTAAACTATTTGGCATGAGTGGTCAGAGCACTTCTGTCGTCGTGGTCAGGGTGGGTGGGGGCCTCAGGAACTCCCAGACCCATCATAGTCCCCACATCAGCCCTGTAGGCATCCCGAAGCTCTGCCCAGTGCCGTCCGCATCCCTGGGAGCACACAGTAATATTAAAAGTGGTGACTCCAGCCCAGTGGCAGGGCTGCACTTGCCCAGATGAGGATCGAAACTGGCGCTCAGAGAGGCGCGGGACCTGCTCAACGTCACACAGCAGAGCATGGCGGACACCCGCCACCCCACGTTTAAATGCTGTGCGCAAGGCTGGGGTCATCTGGTCCCCAAGCCCAGGGTCTGGTGGAAGGGCGCAGAACCACGGTGGTCAGTGACCACAGGGGCCGAGGTAGGAAAGGGGGAGGGATTTGGGAATCCGGTCAAGACTCAAGGCAGGAAGGGAGAAGAGCTCTGGACGCTGGGACAAGGAGGTCAAAGGCCTGGGGCTGGAGTCCGACGGAGCCAGAGGGGAAGACAAGACTGGGGGCGGCGCGCGCCACCCAGCGGTATCGGGAGGGAGGACCGGAGGGAGGGCTGGGCCGGACGCTCCTCTCGCGCACCGATCGACCTCGGGTTCCTGGAGGGGCGTCCCCGTGGGATCCCGGCTCCGTACATCCTGGAGCCCCTAGGGGAGGGACGGACCAGTGGGGGCCGGCGGGGCCTCATCAGACACCCCAACGCCAGGACCCAACGGGACCGAGGACGGTCGCCGGGCGCTTCACGGTTCGCGTGGTTTCAGGATCTCGGAGAACACAACCGGCAGGTCCTGCAGCTCCGCGCCCATCTCCCTCCCCGCGGCCACACCCCCGGCCACGGCCCGGCCCTGCCGGAAGCACAGTCCTCCTGGCCACGCCCCCCAGTCCTTCGTAGCAAAAGCTCCGGTCCAGGCCCCGCCCCCAGCCCGCCCCAACCTCGATTGCCTACTAGGCCCCGCCGCCCTTTGGCAGTAACGTCCGAGTCCGGCTCCCGCGCAGGCCCCGCCCCGCCCCGCCCCGCCGCCCTCCGTCCCTCCCATCCGGGGGACTCAACGCGTCCCACCGAGGCCCCGCCTTCAAACAGGCCCCGCCCCCTAACGGACCCCGTCCCACCGAGGACCCGCCTTCAAACAGGCCCCGCCCCCGAACAGACCCAGTCCCACCGAGGCCCCGTCTCCGGGAAGGCCCCGCCCACGAACAGACCCACCCCACTGAGGCCCCCCGACGCCGCTGCCGCTCTGCAGCCCCCCAGGCGGGACGCGTCGCGCGGGCTGCCCCTTCTCCCTCTCAGCTTTCGGAGGGACCCGGGCTGAGCGCCCCGCCCCGCCTCGCCCCGCCTCTTCCCTCGCCCGATCCCGCGCCCTCAGTGTCCCGGCCGCGCAGGACTTGACATGCTGCCCGACTGCCTGTCGGCCGAGGGCGAGCTGCGCTGCCGCCGGCTGCTGGCAGGGGCCACGGCCCGGCTCCGCGCGCGGCCCGCGTCGGCCGCGGTGCTCGTGCCGCTCTGCTCAGTGCGTGGGGTCCCGGCGCTGCTGTACACGCTGCGGTCCAGCCGCCTGACCGGGAGGCACAAGGGCGACGTCAGGTACAGCGGCCGGGAACTCCTCGCCCTTTGCCGGAGGCTACAGGAGCCCGGGGCTGGCAGGGACCTCTGGCAGGGCACTTAGCCCCTTCGAGCCTCGGTTTCCGCCTCCGTAAAATGGGTCTGGGGAGAGTCCCTCCGCCCAAGGGCTGCAGCGAGAGGTCAGCGATCCGTGTCCGTCGGCCCCGGTGCACCTGCCGGGGCGCCACGTCCTCGCCGCGTGGGCCCCTCGTACGCGTCCTTGCGCGCACGCCTGGGCCGGGACACCCCTTTGAGCTGTTTCCCGCTTAGAGGGCGGACGCCGCCCCCTGCCGGCGACTACGGAGAGGTTCGGGCCCCGCCCGGCGGGAATTAAGAACATCCTGAGGACAATGTCAGTGTTGCTGGGGCCACCATAGGCCGAATTTGGGTATCTGAGCCCCAGGATCTTCTTGCCCCTGCTGCAGACCCTCTTATCCTGCGCTGTCCCGGGCCTCTCTTCCTTATCCCCATTGCTCAGGGAGGTAAACTGGCCTCCAGAGGTCGCATGGCTTGCCTGGGGCCTCCCAGTAAACTAGGGGCAGAGGCAGGCGACACTTCGGTGGGCCAGTGGCCCCCCCCGCACTGCCGATACCCCGACCTCTCCGTGGCCCCAAGAGTCCAAGGACCAGACTCCTTGTGTCTGTTTAGTTTCCCAGGCGGCAAGTGCGACCCGGCTGACCAAGATGTGGTGCACACGGCCCTGCGGGAAACCCGGGAGGAGCTGGGCCTGGCAGTGCCCGAGGAGCACGTGTGGGGCCTGCTGCGGCCTGTGTATGATCCGGTAAGCCACTTGGCTGAGGCCACCCCACCCCATTCACTCACTCTGTGCCTGCCCTGGAGCTGGGCTACCAGGGACCAGGAGAGTGGTCATGGACCCCCACGGGCACAAAGTGTGGAAGGGTGCCCCTAACCTGCCTGGTCACATGCACCACCCCACACACCCCCTCGGGAAGGGATTGGGGAGGCTCTGGTGTCCTGAGTAGAGGTGGCCCAGGGCGATGGGGTGGGCCAGCTCCACTCAGTTTGGTGGATTAGGGTCAGGGAAGCTTCATGGGGTAGGCAGGGATTGAACCCAGGCTTGAATGCCAAGTGGGAGATTGTCCTAAGCAGAGGGAACAGGTCTAGTGCATTTGAGGGGACCTGAGTCAGTCAGCATGGCTGGAGGACACAGGCAGGTGGACCCGAACATGACTACCAAAGGCCTATGCATGGCAAAGGGGTCTTCCTCTCACACTCCCCTCCCCAGCCTTCAAACCCAGCGAAGGCCATGCTTCCCTGACCACCTGCCCTCTTCCCCAGCAAAAGGCCACCGTGGTGCCAGTGCTTGCTGGTGTAGGCCCACTGGATCCCCAGAGCCTCAGGCCCAACTCGGAGGAGGTGAGCTGGGGGATATGAGGGGGTTGGGCTGTTCCAGTCCTCTGTCTACCCTCTCTGCCTCCTGCCTGCAGGTAGATGAGGTGTTTGCACTGCCGCTGGCCCACCTGCTGCAGACGCAGAATCAGGGCTATACCCACTTCTGCCGGGGTGGCCACTTCCGCTACACACTACCCGTCTTCCTGCATGGACCACACCGGGTCTGGGGCCTCACAGCTGTCATCACTGAGTTTGCCCTGCAGCTGCTGGCACCTGGTACCTACCAGCCCCGCCTGGCCGGCCTGACCTGCTCAGGGGCTGAGGGTCTGGCCCGCCCTAAGCAGCCCCTGGCTTCACCCTGTCAGGCCAGCTCCACTCCAGGACTGAATAAAGGTCTTTGACAGCTCTAGAGCTCTTGCTTCTGCTGTACTGGGGCCTTGACCTTGGGCAGACCACTCCAGGTCGCTGGCTGGGGCTCCTCCTTCCAGTCACGCCATGCCCCACAGCAATGGACACTTCCTGGGTGCCAAGTACTTGGAGTCAATTCATCTCACCCTCACAACAGCCCATAAGGCAGGGCCAACACTGTCTCTGGCTGGTGAGACTGCTTTCAGGGAGGAGAGACACCTTGCCTAAGGGCCCCACGCTGGGATTGGAACCAGAGCTCTCAGACTCCACAGCCCAGACTCTTAGGCACTGCACTGCCCTGTCTCAGCCTGCACCTCCTGTTCTCTCTGCTGTGCCTGGCTGACGCTGTGCTGGGCTCCGGGATCCCAGAGAGGAGTAAGGCGCACCCATGCCCCTGGGTGTTACTGCAGGAGTCTAACATGCAGAGCCCCTGTGTGTGCCAGCTGCTGTGTGGGGGCCACAGCTGTGGACCGGTCAGATGCTCACCTGCCGTCCAGAGGGGGTGCTCAGTCTAGGGGAGACCTCAGACCAGGTCACACAGATAATCATGTGGTTCCACATTAATTAATCACAGATAATAGTGGAATTATATAAGACATCAACTAGGTAGACCAGGGTTCTGTGAAAGAGCTGAGGGAGCGGGTGGTCTGAGCTTGCCGTGGAGGATGGCTGGATCCAGGGGCTCGGGCTCCCCTCTTGCTGTGCTTTGCGCTGTGCTGGCCTCAGCCCCAAGGAGGTTGTCTGTAGTGCAGAGCGTGAGAGGTTGAGGAGAGGGCAGCAGCATCCATCAACAGAAAACACGGCCGCTCCTTCCCGGCCAGTCTAACCTAGAATTGCACTTCACTGGCCTGCCTTGAGTCACATGTCCTTCCCTGAGCCTGTCACATGGCCGGTTGTGTGTCCGGAATTGGTGGGTTCTTGGTCTCACTGACTTCAAGAATGAAGCCATGGACCCTCACAGTGAGTGTTACAGCTCTTAAGGTGGTGCGTCTGGAGTTTGTTTCTTCTGATGTTCGGATGTGTTTGGAGTTTCTTCCTTCTGGTGAGTTCGTGGTCTCGCTGGCTCAGGAGTGAAGCTACAGACCTTTGTGGTGAGTGTTACAGCTCATAAAAGCAGTGTGGACCCAAAGAGTGAGCAGTAGCAAGATGTATTGCAAAGAGCGAAAGAACAAAGCTTCCACAGTGTGGAAGGGGACCTGAGCGGGTTGCCACTGCTGGCTCGGGCAGCCTGCTTTTATTCTCTTATCTGGCCCCACCCACATCCTGCTGATTGGTAGAGCCGAGTGGTTTGACAGGGCACTGATTGGTGCGTTTACAATCCCTGAGCTAGACACAAAGGTTCTCCACATCCCCACCAGGTTAGTTAGATACAGAGTGTTGACACAAAGGTTCTCCAAGGCCCCACCAGAGTAGCTAGATACAGAGTGTCCATTGGTGCATTCACAAACCCTGAGCTAGACACAGGGTGCTGATTGGTGTATTTACAATCCCTGAGCTAGACATAAAGGTTCTCCAAGGACCCATCAGAGTAGCTAGATACAGAGCTGAAGGGCTCCTCAAGTGCTGCCAAAGTGGGAGCCCAGGCAGAGGAGGTGCCGAGAGTGAGCGAGCGAGTGAGGGCTGTGAGGACTGCCAGCATGCTGTCTCCCCTCAATCAACAGGACACCCCAACTGCTGTTGGGAATTTGGCCGATGACTGCTCTAGCTACTTCCTGCTGGATAGGGGCGAAGAAGGGGCTTTGCAGTTGTAGTGTCCTTCAGAGGGGAACTCTCTAGGCCAGGGGAAGTGCCAGCTGGTCAGTCCAGGGGTCCTCGGTAGAAGTTGTTAGTTGAACTCATTTGGGGTTCCATTTGTAAGACCATCTGTAGCTTGATGGCCTCGATTCTAGAGGAAACAAATTTGACAAGAAGGTTAAAAATACAGGGCCCAAAGGCGAGTAACAGCAAGATGGCTGCCACGGGACCTAGAAAGGGGAGAAGCCATGTTGCCCAACTCCAGAGGTTGGTATAAGAATTTGAAAGGCGTCTGATTTCAGAAGCCTTTTCCTGTAAACGCTGGGTGGCATCTCATGCTATCCCTGACTGGTTAGTGTAAAAACAACACTCTTCCCCTAAGAAGGTGCAGAGTCCTCCTTTTTCAGCAGTGAGGAGATCTAGGCCTCAGCGGTTTTGGAGAGTCACTGCTGCCAAAGAGTCTATTTGGGATTGTAAAGTAAGGATAGATTTCATTATTTCTTCCAACTTTGAGAGGCAGATATGGGTTGAAGATCCACATAAGAGAATATGCCTTGGCTGGGTAGAGAGAAATTTACCCTGGCTTTTAAAGGAATAGGTACACTGTTTTTTCTTTACTACTTCCATCTCTCTCTTTGACTTCTTCTTTGTCTCTTCCTCTCTTTTTTACCCTCTCTTTGACTTTCTGTGTCTGTCCCTCTTTCTCTCTAACTTCTTGTCTCTTCCTCTCTGTCTCTTTCTTTGACTTCCTGTCTCTTTCCTTTCTGCTGCCTCTGCCAGCTGCTTATGCTGCTGTTCTCCCCTCTCCTTCCTATTCTGATGGCTTTGTCAGTGTAAGATTCCCACCTCTTTGTGTTTTTGCATTGCGTGCAATAACTCTATAATTTCCTTGTGGTATTTAATGGGGGTTCCTACAGAGGTTAGGAACTCCCTCTCTTTCCATATTGCAGCATGGGCATGTAGGATTAGATAAGCATACTTGCTATCTGTATACACATTTATTCTTTTTCCCTTTCCCAGTTCTAAGGCCCGGGTAAGTGCCACTAGTTCCGCTAACTGGGCACTGGTCCCTGGGGGAAGAGGCTTGCTTTCAAGTATGGTTACATCACTAACCTTCGTATCCCATTCTCCACAAATGAACTTCCATCAGTATATAGGTTAAGGTCAGGATTAGTTAAGGGGACTTCTAAGAGATCATCTCGGGCGGCATAAGTCTGGACTATAATTTGTTGGCAGTCATGCTTGATTGGTTCCCCATCCTCTGGGAGAAAAGTGGCAGGGTTGAGGGCCATGCATGTGCATATTTGAAGCACTGGTCCCTCAAGGAGTAGTGCCTGGTATCTAAGTAGGCAGTTGTCTGATAGCCATAAACTTCCTTTGGCACCTAGTATGCCATTTACATCATAAGTAGTCTAGACAGTGAGATCCTTTCCTTGTATTATTTTGATAGCCTCTGATGCTAAGACGGCCACTGCTGCAACTACCCTTAAACAGTGAGGCCAGCCTTTTGCTACTACATCAATTTCCTTACTTAGGTATGCCACTGGTTGTGGGGTTGTCCCATGAGTTTGAGTGAGGACTCCAAGAGCTATCCCGGCTCTCTCTCTGACATATAAAGAGAAATTCTGTCCTGTGGGAAGGCTTAAAGCTGGAGCTTGTACTAGAGCCTGCTTTAAGGTTTTGAAGGCTGTTTCTGCCTCTGGTTCCCACTCAACTAGATGAGTATTTGCCCTCTGGGTTTCCTTGATTAGAGGGGCCTGGCTGTCTCGCTGTATCCAGGGATCCATAGTCGGCAAAAGCTGGTAATTCCAAGGAACTCCCTCAACTGTTTTAATGTCTTAGGGCGAGGATAAGCCAGTATAGGCTGTATTCACTCCTTGCTGAGGGCCCTGGTCCCTTTGGCTAAGATTAGGCCTAGATATTTAACCTGCTGTAGGCAAAGCTGGGCCTTCGACATAGACACCTTGTACCCTTGATTAGCTAGAAAGTTCAAGAGATCTAGAGTAGCCTGCTGGCACAAGGCTTCCTAACTGGTAGCCAAAAGTAAATCATCCACATATTGAAGGACCAGAGTGCCTGGACTTGAGAAGTGGCCTAGATCTTTGGCTAGGGCCTGACCAAACAGATGAGGGCTATCCCTAAACCCTTGGGGCAAGACCATCCATGTAAGTTGGGATGTGTGGTTTGTGGGATCCTCAAAAGCAAAGAGGAACTGTGAATCAGAGTGCAGGGGAACACAGAAGAAGGCATCCTTGAGGTCCAGAACTGTGAACCATTCTGCTTCCTCTGGTATTTGAGAGAGCAGGGTATAGGGTTTGGGTACAACTGGATATAGTGAAATTACTGCCTCATTAATGAGTCTAAGATCTTGCACTAGTCTCGGTCTTTGTACTTCCAGAATTGGGGTGTTGCAGGGACTGCTGCATTTCCTTACTAAGCCTTGAGCTTTCAAATGTTTAACAATATTCTGTAATCCTTTATGAGCTTCAGGCCTTAAGGGATATTGCCTTTGATAAGGAAAAGTGGTGGGATCTTTTAACCTGATTTGGACTGGGTGGGCATTTTTTGCCCTTCCAAATTGTCCTTCCAATGCCCAGACTTCAGGGTTGATTCCCTCCTCAAGTAGGGGACAACAAATGGGTAACTTGTTCCCCATATTCATGTAGATAATAGCTCCAGCCTTGGCTAATATATCCCTCCCTAATAAGGGTGTGGGACTTTCAGGCATAACAAGAAAGGCATGTGAAAAGAGCAAAGTCTCCCAATTACAACTGAGGAGGTGGGAGAAATACCTGGTTACAGGCTGTCCCAGGATTCCTTGGATGGTAATGGACCTTGAGGAGAGTCGTCCAGGACAGGAGATTAACACTGAGAAGGCCGCGCCAGTGTCCAGGAGGAAGTCAATTTCCTGGCCCTCAATAGTTAAACATACCCGGGGCTCAGTGAGGGTGATGACATGAGCTGGCGCTTGCCCCAGGCACCCTCAGTCCTGTTGTTGGATCGTCTGGCTGGGGGCTTCTGACCCAGGGAACCTTCATCCTCTGGGGCAGTGCACCTTCCAGTGATTGCCTCAGCATAGTGGACACGGACGAGGGGGCAGCTTGTTTCTCATTGGACAATCTTTTTTAAAGTGTCCCAGTAAACCACACTGATAACAAGCCTTACCAGGTGATTGGCCTGCTTCATGTTCTGTCCTCTCTGAACCACCAAGGTTTGTTTGTCTGAGGGCCATGACTAAGGCTGCGGCCTTTCTCTGATCTCGCTTTTCCTTTTGGACCTGTTCCTCTTGGTCCCTATTATAGAACACCGAGGTTGCCAGGTTTAATAATGTCTCTAGATTTTGTTCAGGGCCCAGGGCTTGCTTTTGGAGCTTTCTCCTGATATCTGCAGCTGATTGGGTAATAAACTTATCTTTTAGAATCAATTGACCCTCAAGTGATTTGGGTGACAGGGGAGTATATTTTCTTAAGGCCTCTCATAGCCGCTCGAGGAAGGCAGAAGGATTTTCTTCCTTTCCCTGAGTTATGGTGGACATCACTGAATAATTCATGGGCTTTTTTCTAATTCTCCTTAGTCCTTCTAGAACACAGGTCAACAGATGTTTACAACTCCAGTCCCCATGATCTGAGTCAAGGTCCCAGTTGGGATCCATACTGGGGATGGCTTGCTGACCGGTAGGGAATTTGTCCCTTTCTACGGCTGTCATTCTATCATTTACTTGACTAAGATACCAGGTATCTCCAAACTCTCGGGCTGCAGCTAAAGCCGCATTCTTTTCATTAAAGGCCAGGGTTTGATCTAACAGTAGCATGACATCTCTCCAAGTGAGGTCAAAGGTTTGCCCTAGACCCTGTAGGACATCTATGTACCTATCAGGATCATCTGAAAACTTCCCCAGGTCTGCCTTGATCTGCTTTAAATCAGAGAGGGAGAAGGGGACATGTACCCGGGTTGGGCCAAATTCCCCTCCCCCTACAACTTGAAGGGGACACAACTGACAGCCCGGGGGGGTTTGTGGTCCTTTGGAGACCTCTTTGCTTATTTCCTTCTGGGCAGGGGAGATTAGAGGAGGATTATCATTAATAGGAAGGGGAGCTATAGGGAGGCTGGGATATGGGGGTAAGCCGAGAGGTCCTCCTTTGGGATGTAAATGGCAAGCTTTGCATAGTTGTGTATTCTCCCTCAATGAAAAGAAAGCTTGGGCATAAGGTATTTCACTCCATTTGCCTTCCCTCTTACAGAAAAGATCAAGCTGCAGGATGGTATTGTAATTTGTACTTCCCGCAGGTGGCCATTTTTCCCCATCAGAAAGAGAATATTGGGGCCAAGCCGCAGTGCAGAAAAAAATGAGCCGCCTCTTTTTCAGGGTTTGTGGGTCAAATTGGTCCCAATGGCTTAGGATGCATTTCAAGGGTGAGCCTGTTGATGCCTGAGTGTTTCCCATCTGAAAGACAAAACCACCCACGGTTTTGGTTTGTTTTGTTTCTCCCCCTGCCCAAGAACCCGCAACAGTCCCTGGACCCTGTTGATCGGAATAGTTGCGCTCACTGACGCAGCAGCAGAAACAACCCCTGCCCAAGAACCCGCAACGGTCCCTGGACCCTGCTGATCGGAATAGTTGCGCTTACCGACGCGGCAGCAGAAACACTAGTTTTCCTCCCAGACCACATGGAGGACCGAGGAAGGTCGGATTTAGTGGTCCTTGCCGACGCATTCTCGAAAACCTGCACCCTTGCCTGTCCTCCTAGACCACAAGGAGGACCGACCGAGAAAAATCGGATTTAGTGGCCCTTACCGACGCATTCTCAAAAACCTGTTAGAGTCCTAAGCATTCTCCTGTTAGTATTGGGACTTTACCCCTGTCCTATAAAGATGTTATGCCCCAAAAATGAAGTGGAGGGCCATACCCTGAAGGAGGGAAGGGGTCTCCAGGGTTGGAAGAGTGACATCTTTTGTCCTAACTTATATGAATAGGAAGGATACAATTTCTGAGGCTCCCCATATCCTAGCTTCAGGAATAGCTTTTGTTAGGCCTGTCAGTGTGAGGAGGGATCCTAAAATTCCAGGTAGTCCCCACTACGATGGGGCTTTGGGCAAAAATTATGTCTTTCTGATTGGTGAGCCCAGGTGCCTAAAGAAGGTAACAGAGTCCTGGAGTTTATACTAGAAATCATTCTTATCGGAGAAACTAGAAAAGCACCAGAGACAGGTAGCAATTTTTAGAAGTGGGTCTAACCTCAGAGAAGGGAGGCAAGAGGAAGTTTGTCTGGCAGGCATTAGGACCCAGGGGGCTAGGGTCAGGATAGATAGGATAGATGGGCGGGTCTCGCTTGGGCGACATGCTTTTGAGAGTTCTGCTCATGGCCGCGGGGTCAACCATCATGTTGTCAGGACCCCAGAGCTGCATGGCCTTCCTCTCTGTCGACCCTCGGCTCAGCCCAGAAGTACAGGAAAAGCGGAAGCTGGTTCTAGGCAAACCAACGGTCCCAACTCCGAAGAGTCGGGGGTTGTTAGAGAGCTCTTTCCCAGAAAGTCTGACACCCATGTCTTTAGTCCAGCGGCCACGCTAGTCACTTTTAACTGGCCGACAGGTGCCTGGTATTTAGCCCCCGAATTCTAAGGAAAGATAGGACAGAATAGCAAGCGAAAGGGGTCCAATGGTACTCACTGCTTGGCGATAGGCAATGGTCTCACCGCTCGGCAATAGGTGATGGTCTCACTGCTCAGCGATTGTCTCACCGCTTGGCAATAGGCGAAAGTCCCTTCATGGTCGCCAAAATGTGTCCGGAATTGGTGGGTTCTTGGTCTCTCACTGACTTCAAGAATGAAGCCGTGGACCCTCGCGGTGAGTGTTACAGCTCTTAAGGTGGCGCATCTGGAGTTTGTTCCTTCTAATGTTCAGATGTGTTTGGAGTTTCTTCCTTCTGGTGGGTTCGTGGTCTCGCTGGCTTAGGAGTGAAACTGCAGACCTTCGCGGTGAGTGTTACAGCTCTTAAGGCGGCGCGCCTGGAGTTGTTCATTGCGCGCCTGGAGTTGTTCGTTCCTCCCAGTGGGCTTGTGGTCTCGCTGGCTTCAGGAGTGAAGCTGCAGACCTTTGCGGTGAGTGTTATAGCTCATAAAAGCAGTGTGGACCCAAAGAGTGAACAGTAGCAAGATTTATTGCAAAGAGTGAAAGAACAAAGCTTCCACAGTGTGGAAGGGGACCCAAGCGGGTTGCCACTGCTGGCTTGGGCAGCCTGCTTTTATTCTCTTATCTGGCCCCACCCACGTCCTGCTGATTGGTAGAGACAAGTGGTTTGTTTTGACAGGGCGCTGATTGGTGCGTTTACAATCCCTGAGCTAGACACAAAGGTTCTCCAAGTCCCCACCAGATTAGTTAGATACAGAGTGTCGACACAACGGTTCTCCAAGTCCCCACCAGGGTAGCTAGATACAGAGTGTCCGTTGGTGCATTCACAAACCCTGAGCTAGACACAGGGTGCTGATTGGTGTATTTACAAACCTTGAGTTAGATACAGAGTGCCGATTGGTGTATTTACAATCCCTGAGCTAGACATAAAGGTTCTCCAAGGCCCCACCAGAGTAGCTAGATACAGATTGTCCACTGGTGCATTCACAAACCCTGAGCTAGACACAGGGTGCTGATTGGTGTATTTACAATCCCTGAGCTAGATACAAAGGTTCCCCATATCCTCACCAGACTCAGGAGCTCAGCTGGCTTCACCCAGTGGATCCTGCACCGGTGCTGCAGATGGAGCTGCCTGCCAGTCCCGCGCCATGCACCCGCACTCCTCACCCCTTGGGTGGTCGATGGGACTGGGCGCCATGGAGCAGGGGGCGGCGCTCATCGGGGAGGCTCGGGCCACACAGGAGCCCACGGAGGGGGTGGGAGGCTCAGGCATGGCGGGCTGCAGGTCCTGAGCCCTGCCCCGCAGGAAGGCAGCTAAGGCCCGGCGAGAAATCAAGCGCAGCACCGGTGGGCTGGCACTGCTGGGGGACCCAGTACACCCTCCACAGCCGCTGGCCCGGGTGCTAAGCCCCTCATTGCCCGGGGCCGGCAGGGCCGGCTGGCTGCGGCGAGTGCGGGGCCCGCCAAGCCCACGCCCACCCGGAACTCCAGCTGGCCCGCAAGCGCCACGCGCAGCCCCGGTTCCCGGCGCCTCTCCCTCCACACCTCCCTGCAAGCTGAGGGAGCCGGCTCCGGCCTTGGCCAGCCTAGAAAGGGGCTCCCACAGTGCAGCGGTGGGCTGAAGCACTCCTCAAGTGCTGCCAAAGTGGGAGCCCAGGCAGAGGAGGCGCCGAGAGCGAGCGAGCGAGGGCTATGAGGACTGCCCGCACGCTGTCACCTCTCAGTTGGATTTACAGTACATTGATGGATAGAATCTGGGATGCTTGCCTGGGTAGGAGGGAACTCCCTGGACTGAGAAGCAGTGGTTCCCAAAGAACAATTGAGGTTCCCACTTTAGACAAAAATCAACTCAAAATGGCCTGTAAAAACCTGAAGTGAGCCAGACGTCATGGCTCATGCCTGTAATCCCAGCACTTTGGTTGGCCAAGGCGGGCCACCGTGACTTCAGGAGTTCAAGACCGGCCTGGCCAATGTAGTGAAACCCCATCTGTACAGAAATACAAAAAAATTAGCCAGGCATGGTGGTGCACGCTGTAGTCCCAACTACTCAAGAAGCTGAGGGGGGAAGATCGCTAGAGCCCAGGGGGCAGAGGCTGCAGTGAACTGAGATTGTGCCACTGCACTCCAGCCTGGGCGACAGAGTGAGATCCTATCTTAAAGGAAAAAAAAAAAAAAAAAAAACCTGCAATGGTAACACTACTTGAAGGAAACATATGGGGAAAGTTCTAGACATTGGTCTGGGCAATGATTTCTTGGATAGGACCCCAAAAGCAAAGGCATCAAAAGCAAAAACAGACAAATGGGATAGCACCCGACTAAAAAGCTTCTGCACAGCAAAAGAAACAACAAAGTGAAGAGAGAGACTACAGGATAGGAGAAA
The DNA here is from genome assembly GCF_000001405.40 of Homo sapiens. NCBI lineage: Eukaryota > Metazoa > Chordata > Mammalia > Primates > Hominidae > Homo > Homo sapiens. The sequence continues at coordinate 67,618,195 of NC_000011.10, read as the reverse complement.
ATCTTTGCAAACCATACACCTGATAAGGGGGCTAATATCCAAAAGAAACAAGGAACTCAAGAAACAAATATCCCCATTTAAACATGGGCAAAGGACCTGAACATACATTTCTCAAAAGACACGTGAAAAAATGCTCAACATCGCTAATCGTGAAGGAAATAGAAGTTAAAATCTCAATGAGATACCATCTCACACCTGTTAGAAAAGCTACTACCAAACCATGGGAGACAACAAATGCTCGTGAGGATGTGGAGGAAAGGGAAGCCTTATGTGCTGTTTGTGGGAAGGTAAATGAGCACAGCCATTTTGGAAAATCATATGGCAGTCCCTTAGAACACTAAAAATAGAGCTACCGTGTGATCCAGCAACCTCACTTGTGGGTAGTATCCACAGGAATTGAAGTCAGCATGCTGAAGAGGTGTCTGCCTCCGTGTTCACTGCAGTGCCATTCACAACAGCTAAGACACGGCAGCAACCTGACTGCCCAGCATCAGACGGATGGATAGGATGGTCTGTCTATACTGTTCAGCCTTAACAAAGATGGACATTCTATCATTTGTGACAACATGGATGAACCTGGAGGACGATATGCTAAGTGAAATAAGCTAGGCACAGAAAGACAAATACTATACGGTCTGATTTTTATGGGGAATCTGAAAAAGTTGAACTCCTAGAAGCAGAGAGAATGGTGGTCACCAGGGGCTGGAGAGTGGGGGACTAGGGATGGGGAGAGGGGAGACATTGCTCTTAGGGTACAAAGTTCCAGTCAGGAAGAGTAAGCTGAAGGCCCTGTTGCACAGCATGACAAACATCCCTAACAATAGCGCCTTGTGTATTTCACAGTTGCCTGAAGAGCACATTTTAAGTGTTCTTTTTTTCATTAGCCTGACTGACTCTTTCTACAATGCATATTGTAGAAATTGCATTTCTACACATATCACATCAGAACACCATATTGTACCCCATACACACCTACGGTTATGTTGATTAAAAATTAAAAGAATAACTGGGGAGAAGAGAGGAGAGGGAATGCTGGATGGTTAAAACCAGCCAAGATCCCCTGCAGGGGGTGACCCAGAAACCAAAGGTGAGTAGGAGTGGTCAGGTCAAAGGGCAGGGAGGGTGGCCCAGTTTGGGAGGGGAGCAGGCCGTTACTGTGAGATGCCAAGGGGACACTCCTTGGTGAGGTGAAAAGGGGCCGTGCCTCACCAAAGGATTCAGATTTTATTCCAAGCAGGGGTGGAGGCGGGATGATCTGGTTCATGTTTCAGAGTGTAAACTGGCCACCCCCACAGGGCTCCATCACAGGAGCCCCCTCCTGTGGCTCCCCTCCTCTCCTCCCCAGACCTCCCTCCCCTCCCACCTTCCCATGCACCCCCTCCCCTCCTCCTATGCGCTCCCTCCTTCCCACAAACCACTTATCACCTCCACAGCCCTCTGTCACCTCCGGCCCACCAGCCTCCTCACCTGGGAGCAGGGCCACATGATGGTGGCAAAAATAACTCCCTTTGACAAAGTGTGAAGGGGGCAGAGGGAGGAGGGAAGCTGAGCCCCAGCGCTAGGAAGGAGCTCTGAGAGGGTTCTGAGCTCTGGGTCACCCTCACTCACTGGGGACACAGCAGTCACGGGCTCTGCCCTCATGAGTGCGTACCCACTGCCAGCAGCAGCAACTCACACTGGGTGAAGTAGCTCCCAGAGCGGTAAGGGCCGGGAGCTGGACTGACTCCCAACACACCCAGTCCCCTCCAAAGCCTGCCACAACCCTCCAGGCTGAGGACTCCCCCAGCCCCTCCCTCAACCCTGCGCTCTGTCCTCAGGTCCCTGCATGGTATCAGCGATGCTTCTTCACCCCATTTCCGAGGCCGGGTGCGTTCCCGCCAGCCCCAGTCCTCAGGCATTTCTCTGAGTCTCCGCCCACCGCCCCCCGTCTGGGTCCCCATGGCGGGCACTGCGGCAGCAGGTGGGCAGCCTCCCCGGGTTAGCATGCAGGAGCACATGGCCATCGATGTGAGCCCGGGCCCCATCCGGCCCATCCGCCTCATTTCCCACTACTTCCCGCACTTTTACCCTTTTGCGGAGCCTGCCCTGCACCCTCCGAACCTGCGCCCCGCAGCGGCGTCCGCCGTCCGCTCTGCACCCCAGCTGCAGCCCGACCCAGAGCCAGAAGGAGACTCAGACGACAGCAGTGAGTAGGGGCGGGAAGAGGGGGACACCCTGAGCTCAGCCCAGCCAGGAGGGGGAGTGGGGTGTCCCTACCATCTGGCCATGGAGGGGCAAGGCAGGAAGCACGTGCCATGGGTGGGGGCAGACTGAGCTGAGGTAGGAGGTGACGCTGCCTTCCACCTGCCTCTAGCTGCCCTGGGCACCCTGGAGTTCACACTTCTTTTTGAAGCGGACAACAGTGCCCTGCATTGCACGGCTCATCGTGCCAAGGTGAGGATGGGGGTGGGTGTTCCTGGGACAGAGGGCTGGGGCACGGGCCTGTCTCATACCCACTGTCTGTTCCCAGGGCCTCAAGCCATTGGCCTCAGGCTCCGCGGATGCCTATGTCAAAGCCAATCTGCTGCCAGGGGCCAGCAAGGTGAGGGCAAGCCCCAGGCCCCCACTGCTGCCCTCTGGTGGAACACCCAGCCTGGGGCACCCACTTGGCTCTGCTTGGCTCCTCCCCATCCTGCAAGGCCTAGGTCTCAGTTGCTGGGATGTGCAAATAGTGGGGGGTCCTACCAGGGAGGTAGGGTTGGGGGTTACAGGACGGTCTTAGCCCTAGGAGGCCCTGACCCACCCGGCTTGGGCCCTAGGCCAGCCAGCTTCGGACACACACCGTTCGGGGCACGAGGGTACCTGTCTGGGAGGAGACACTCACCTATCACGGCTTCACCCGCCAGGATGCTGAGTGCAAGACCCTTAGGTGAGGATCTGGCCTGGGCCACCTGGGGGTGGAGCAGAGGGATGGGGCTGGCCTGGCCAGGTCTGACCTGGGCGGCCACCAGGCTGTGTGTGTGCGAGGACCCATGGTACAGCGACAGTGGCAGGCACCTTCCCTGGGGGAGCTGCGGGTGCCCCTGAGGAAGCTGGTGCCAAACCGAGCCAGGAGCTTTGACATCTGTCTGGAGAAGCGGAGGCTGGTGAGTGGGGCTGGAGCACAGGTGGGACTGCAGAGGCCAGGAACCTGTGATGGGGGGAGCTGGAGGGGAGGAACAGGGAGGGGGATCTGGGCAGCATCTGGCCAGGATGACCGGGCTCTCTGCCCTTTCAGGCCAAGAGGCCCAAGAGCCTGGACACAGCCTGTGGCATGTCCCTCTATGAGGTGGGTAGGACAACTGGGCTGAGCAGAGATGAGGGGGCAGGCCTGGTGGCAGGGGCGTAGGGGACTTGGAGGAACCTGAGGCCAGCTCTCATAGGCCCTGTGAGCCCTCATTGTCACAGGGGACAGCCAGGTGACAAAGTGAGGGTGACTCCCTTGCCAGGGCAGCCCAGAGGAGCTGTGGGGCACTGGGACAAGCAGAGTCCCTGGGGGCGCAGCTGGGCAGAGACCTGCCTTGAGGCAGAGGCTGAAACTGGCGGCATTTGTCCACGGCCCGAGATGGGAGGCTGGGCGAGGTGGAAGAGAGGACAGATGGGTGGGGCTCCCTGGCTGGGGTCTGGCCTGAGGGGAGTGTGGGGGCCACTCCTGGGGCAGGCTGTCCTAGACAGGCCCTTGTCCGGAGGCAGTGAGGGTGACTGGCAGGGGTTTGACGCCACTAGAGACCAAAGACCTAGTTAGAACCCCTGTGGTCGGTGGGGGAGGCAGCTGGGAGGCTGAGAGCGGGGCCCTCTACCAGCTCCTCCCCAAAGTGCCGGGTGCCCCGCCCCCTGGTGGAGCCACAAGTTGCTGCAGCTGTCGATTAGCTAAGCCCAAGTGGCTGAAGCCCACCAAGGTGGCATGGACAGGCCACTTCACCCAGCGCCAGCCCCGTGTACCCTCCGCCCCAGATCCCAAGCACAACAGCGCCCGGAGCATGGTGGGTGCCCACAGAGCACTTCCGCATTCCTGAGAACCGCCTGTGAGCAAGGTGGTGGGGCTTTCCGCAAATGGAAACCTACCCTGCGGGTGAGAGCAGTGCATCCTCCCCGGGCTTCCTCCCTGAGCCTGTTCAGAAGCACCAGGGCCCAGAGTGTGACAAACGACACTCAGCATCTGGTCCCCAGGGAAATAGGGGGTGAAGAGGGTGGGGTTTTGAAGAGATCTGCTTCTCCTTGGGAAGTGAACATCCTCTCAGAGCCGCTTGCCTACAGGGGTGGCTACACACACTGGATGGGAGGCCACTTAGGGAGCTACTGGCATGTCAGCCAGTTCGCTTCCCCTCCATGACAGACGTATCTGACTGGTCATGTGGTCAGCAAGCCTCGCCTTTGGTCAGGCCCTGGAGGGTACAGCTGACCCATAGGGCCACTTCCATGGCACTGGGCAAGTGGCTGTATTGGAAATGAAGTCGTTGCCCCCGATTTCTTTGGGGCCAGGTTGAGCTTTCCTGCCCAGAGCACGGAGGCTAAAGGGGGTGGGCTTTGGACTGGATTGGGGCTGACCTCAGCCTACACCTGCAGGAGGAGGTGGAGACAGAGGTGGCCTGGGAGGAATGTGGGCACGTCCTACTGTCACTGTGCTACAGCTCTCAGCAGGGTGGCTTGCTGGTAGGTGTGCTGCGCTGCGCCCACCTGGCCCCCATGGATGCCAATGGTTACTCGGACCCCTTCGTGCGCCTGTGAGTGAACTGGGGTAGGCAGGCGGGAGGTGAGGATAAGGCGGTGACTCCTCACCTCTCCAGGGCCACACCTAACCCGCCAATCTTCCCCGATCAGTTTCCTGCATCCAAATGCAGGGAAGAAATCTAAATTCAAAACCAGTGTTCACAGGAAGACCCTGAACCCCGAGTTCAATGAGGTGAGCCAGGGCCAGGCAGGTCCCAGCCAACCCTGGCCTTGACATGCTGAGCCACTACCCTACCGTGGCCTGCTTCTTAAGCTGTGGGAGAGCCGAGGCTGCCTCCTTCCCGCCTCTCTGCCCTTCTCCCTGCAGGAATTCTTTTACTCAGGCCCACGGGAGGAGCTGGCCCAGAAGACGCTGCTGGTGTCTGTGTGGGACTATGACCTAGGCACGGCTGATGACTTCATTGGTGAGTGGGAACATGAGGAGCTGGGGTGGGGGCCCAGTAGGCTCCTGGCGGTTCCTGACCCATCCCCCATGGCAGGCGGGGTGCAGCTGGGCAGCCATGCCAGTGGGGAGCGCCTGCGGCACTGGCTTGAGTGCCTGGGCCACAGTGACCACCGCCTGAAGCTGTGGCACCCGCTGGACAGCAAGCCTGTCCAGCTCAGCGACTAGCCCATGGGCCCTGCCTGCCGCCCCTCCACTACAGCTGCCTGAAACGTCCCCACAAAAATGATGGCGGCTGGGGCTGCCTTACCCTCATGCCCAGCCCCAAGTCAGAGAGGTGTTTCCTCTCTCCCCGCTTTCACATTCACCCCACCCCAAATCATGGAGCCGAAATAAACATCTCCTTCAAGCCAGATGAGACCCTGTCCTTTCTCTGGCCATGGGCCAGACTGGACCCTGTTCTCCCCTCCCACCCTTGAGGATCGTGTGCTGGGTAAAGGGTAAAGAGCACAGTCACAGCAGCGGCAGCTGGAGGGTGGGCAGCACTCGCTTTATTGTCCAGCATTCCACATGGATAGACGCAGGACAGCAGGCCAGGGTGGTGGGCTAAGAGGCAGCCTGCCGGGCCTGATGCTGCTGGGCAAACCGCTGCATCCGCTCCTCGAGCTCCGGCCGAAAGTGGCGGATCAGACCCTGGGGTCGGTGGGGGGACCATGTGAAACAGAGTCCAAAAATCCCCCAACACCCTGGGCCCTTGATGCCACCCACCCTCCGTGCTACGCAGAAGGGTGGTGAATACCTGCACAGGCCAGGCGGCCCCGTCACCCAGAGCACAAATCGTATGGCCTTCTATCTGCTTGCTGATCTCCCACAGGGAGTCGATCTCGGCCGGCCGGGCATCCCCCCTCACGAAACGTGCCATCACCTTGTTCATCCAGTCCACACCTGCAGCCACAGCCACAAGAGAGGGCCTGATGATCTCCCCAGCCAGGATGTGGGGCGGCGCTTGAGGGCTGCAGGCCACGTGGTGGGGAGGAGGTTAAATGAAGCCACAGCAAGCAAGCCCCCAACCTGCCCGATGCTCACCCTCACGGCATGGGGTACACTGGCCACAGCTCTCGTGCTTATAGAACTCAATGAGGCGGGCGATGGCTTTCACGATGTCCGTCTGGGTGACGAGGGGCAATTAGCAGGCACCCACGGCCAGACAGAAGCCTGGGCCTCAGCCCCCTAGCAGCAGCCCCTCCCCCAGTTCCAGAAGCTCTTCCCAGCCCACCCAGCGTTCTGGCCTCCTCCAGCCTCCCTGGGCCCCCTGTGCTGCCCAGACTCCGGGGTATTCTCCTCAGAGCAGCCTTCCTCCCTCCTCTTCCACCTTGCTTTATCTCAGGCTGCAGGAACTGAGACCTGAGTGCTGGCAAGAGGGTTTTCTGGGAGGCCCAGGGAGGGAGACAGCAACCAGGAGGGCAGGGACCAGGGCTGGTGTGTGAACCCTTACCGAGCGGTCCATGACGATCACCGCAGCTGTGCCCAGGCCTGTCTGTGCCTGCACCAGCGCATCGAAGTCCATCAGCACCGTCTCACACACAGACTTGGGGATCAGTGGGGTAGACGAGCCGCCAGGGATCACAGCAAGGAGGTTGTCCCAGCCGCCCGTGACACCCCCTGGGGCCCCAAGTCGGTCCCCAAAGGGATGCATGGTCAGGGCTGGGGCCGGCACACCTGCCTAGTCCTGAGCCCAGGCCCTTAGTCAGCCCCTAGACCCAGCCCCGTCTCCTGAGCCCTCCCGCCCAGGCTCTCTTTGTGGACACCTGCCCCCACTGCGCACCCCCCCACCACCTGGCTGGCCCCAGGCCTTACCAGCATGCTTCTCAATCAGTTCTTTCAAGGGCACAGACATCTCCTCCTCCACAGTGCAAGGGTGGTTGACATGGCCAGAGATGTTGAATAGTTTGGTGCCTGAGTTGCGTTCTCTGCCAAAGCCAGCAAACCAGGTACCTCCACGGCGGCAGATTGTGGGGGACACTGCCACTGTCTCCACGTTGGCCACAGTTGTGGGGCAGCCAAACACTCCTTCAGGGAAATGGGAAGAGAACTGGTGGCTGCTAGGGGGTGGGGCAAGTTTCCTGGCAGGGAGGTGTGTCCCAGGGTCCTGCACCCATGGCAGAGCCCCTGCTCTAATATCCCCTTATCATTCTTATCCCTGCTGGACCCCAAACTCCAGAGATGCCCATTGCCTTGTTCACCCCATGCCCTTAGCCTCAGAACAGGCACTGTGAAGGTGGAGCCACAGAGCAGCACTGGTGCGGAGGGGACCGAGGCAGGAGGAGGGACAGCAGGCGGCCCTGGGGGAGCCTGTGTGTTGTTGCCAGCCTACTCTCTATCTGGCCCCAGCCGGGAAGCCACTCAGAAATCCCTAAGAACAATCCAAAGGGAGCCTAGCCAGATCCCGGGTGTCACAGGACACAGTCTGACCCAGGGTTACGCCAGGCCTTACCCACGTCTGCGGGGAAGGGGGGCTTCAGGCGGGGCTTGCCCTGCTTGCCCTCAATGGACTCGATGAGCGCTGTCTCCTCTCCACAGATGTAGGCCCCAGCCCCGCGCACCACAAACACGTCAAAATCATAGCCAGAGCCACAAGCATTCTTGCCAATCAGACCTGCCTCATAGGCCTCTCGGATGGCCACCTGCAGGACAAAGGTGTGAGTTTCCCAGCCCACCCCCAGCCCAGGAGTCAGCCTATAACTTCAGGAGTCATGAAGCCCTTGAAGGCCTCCCACGGTGAAGCTCCTAATGCTCCTGGTATAAAAAATTTTGCTAGCTTAGTAAAACGAATTGGAAAACTTGACTATGATCTGGAACAGATAAGCAAGAAGGAACACATAAGTAAGCTGCTTTGCTGCCAGGAAAATAAAAACGAAGTAGCTACTATCAGGTCTCCTAACTACCCTAGTCTGTAAAGGAAAAATAAAAGTCCTTATAAAATTAAAATAAAAATGTAATTGCCTATATCCTTATTGCCTTAACCTATTTTATTTTTCTATATTTCCTACAGATATAAGTATTATTCATAGTTCCAAGCAATGAACATAATGTATTTTCTCCAAATAGGAATTGTTTATATTCATAATTATTCCGCTCTCTTGCTAAACACATAGTTCCACTTAGGTTTTTTCTTCTTGCTACTTGTTTTATAAAAAATACTATATTTTTGAAGCAAAAAAAAAAAATTTACACCAGCAGCATTAGGAGCCCTGGAAGGAGGCTTTGGGAGCCAAGTCCCATTTGGGATGCATGCAGGACTGGCCACCACTCCCCCAGTTCAACCACTGACAGACCAGGTACTAACACCTCAGAACAACTGTGCTGGGTGAGGGGTGTGTGAGTGCACACTGAACACCTTCTCATCTGTCTACATCTCTCCCTACCCACCTGCAGATTGGAGGCCTCATTGTAGAATTCCCCTCGGATGTAGATATAGGCAGCGCGGGCGCCCATGGCCCGGCCCCCCACCAGGCAGCCTTCCAGCAGCTTGTGAGGATCATGGCGTAAGATCTCCCGGTCCTTGCAGGTGCCCGGCTCCCCCTCGTCTGCGTTCACCACCAGATACTTGGGCCTGCAGGGGCCCACAGGTCAGACAGGCTACAGGGCCATCAGGACTGGGTCTTCAACTCCATGCCACCCCACTCCACCCAGGGAGGCCTCAAAGATGTCTCCTCTGACAGCCAATCCTTTACTGCCCTCCCAACATGTCCCAGGGGCTCTGCTTGCTCACCACCAATGACAGGGAGCTCACTGCCTATTCTGTCTTTGGGTGGCTATGACCACAAGAAAGGTCTTCATTCAGCTCATCCAAACATCTCTCCTTGTGTCTGCCCCTGAGAGCCAGATTCTACTCTTGGTGACAAAGAGCATTCCTCAAGCTCTACCATCAAAAGGAGGTAAAGCAGGTGACATTTATCATTTGCTTTATGTGCCAACCAGCATACAGGCCAAAAGCTGTATGAACATTATCTCTTTAATCCTTGCATGATATCACTGTACCTATTTACAAAAAGGAAGCTAAGGTTCACAAAGGCTGGGAAATTGCCCAAACCTCTATGATTAGGAGGCAGAGCTAGGATTTGAACTAAGTCTGCCTGAGTCAAAATCATGTGTTGATTCTGCTACATAAGTCTCCCCTGTGGAAGTCCACAGAGTAAGTCCCATCCATTTAAGGCCTGGGAACATGTGCCCACCTCATTCATGCTAAGTTTCTAAGGAAAGAGCCCAAAGGCCCAGGGAAACCCCAGCCACCCCCAAGGTCTCTCCCACAGCCACATCTGCCCCGCCCCCACACACACACCTGCCATCTGAGGGCTTATTCATGAAGCTCCACTTGAGGCCAGTGGGGAAGCCAGCGCCTCCACGGCCCCTCAAACCCGATGTCTTGATCTCGCCCAGGATCCAGTCGGGCCCCTTCAGCAGGATCTCCTTTGTCTTGTACCAGTCACCTCGACTCAGGGAACCTTTCAGCCTGGACAGAATAGGGAAGGCAATGAAGGGGACACCTTGCTCCGGGACCCAACACACTAAGGGCACTGTCTCACCTCCAGTCATGGCGGCCGTACAGGTTGGTGAAAATCCGGTCTTCATCCTTCAGCGAGCCAAATGAGGTTTTCTTGGGTGCTGTCTAGGGAGACAAAGGGTCAGGAGGCCCAGAGTGCTCTGGGGCCATGAGGGATTGGGCCAGAAGCTACAGAATCTTGGGTCTCCCTATTTAGGAGGGGCTGGGCTAGGGCTAGGGAAGCATCTATAGCATCATAGATACCACTGCCACTTAGTAAGCATTTTTTTTTTTTTGAGACAGACTCTTGCTCTTTTGCCTAGGCTGGAGTGCAGTGGCGTAATCTCAGCTCACTGCAAACTCCACCTCCCAGGTTCAAATAATTCTTGTGCCTCAGCCTCTGGATAGCTGGGATTACAGGCACTCACCACCACGCCCGGGTAATTTTTGCACTTTTAGTAGAGACAGGGTTTCACCATATTGGCCAGGCTGGTCTCGAACTCCTGACCTCAAGCGATCCGCCCGCCTCAGCCTCCCAAAGTGCTGGGATTACAGGCGTGAGCCACCGCGCCCGGCCATTAGTAAGCATTTTGTTTAGCAGGTACTGGATGGAAGCATTTTACATCCAAAATCCCATTTCATCCTCATAAGAACTCTGATAGGAACGATTTTCTCTGTTTCACAGAGGAGAAAACTGAGGCTTGGAGCAAAAGGAGCTTATGGAAGGTCTCACAGTCAAAAGCAGCAGGTCCAATTTGAGCCCAGGTCTGTCGGTGGCCAAACCCACAGCTGCATCACGGCACCACACAGCCCCACAAGCCGAGTGTGGCAGCTTGGCCCTTTCCCGGCCTGGCTCCCCTGCTGGACCAAAACTTGGGTAGGCCAGGGGCCTTTTATATTCCTACCTCGGCCGAAGAGGCGAAATGTGTTTACTGATGGGAAAGAAATGCCTCCTTAACACACAGGTGATGGAGGGGCTCACTTAGGATGAAATGAGGAGCCCCACGACCCAGTGGAGAGCGCACCAGCTGAGGGCGACGGGATTCCCATCCTTTTAAGAGCACTTTTCAGCCACTTCAGGGCGCAGAGCAGTGGACGGGAAATCAGGAGGTGCGCATCCCTAAATGGGGCAATGACCCCTTCACGCCCTACAAGGCTGTGACAAGGAGAGAATGAAAGACTAGGGGTCTTCACAACCTGCAAAACTTCCGCCAGGCCGAGGACTGTAAAACAAGGGAAGCCAGCAAGTCAGAGGGTCAAGGGAGTCGGCCCCGCGTTGGGACCCGTTCCCCTACTTCAACCAGGCCGGAGCGGGGGCCTTCCCGCCTGGCCTGGGGAGAAGGGCTCTCCAGAGGCCACTACAGACCCCAGGGACTGCTCGTGCACGGGCGCGGCCGCGACACCCGGCCCCAAACACCCGTGGCCCCAGCCAGGCTGGGCCTCACCGTGTCGCCGCTGAAACGCACAGATACCCGCGCGGGAAGCGACCAGCCGAGCAGCCGCCGTGTTGCCAGCATCGCGGCGGGCCAGATGGGTCACCTCACGCTGTCACCTTCATAGCACTGAGGCTGAGGAACTGGCGCGATAGAGACGCTAGGTGGCGCGCAGGAAAGACGTCACGCGCCCGACGCCAGCGCCGCGCACCGGTATCGCTGCGCCCCTTCAACTTCGCCAGCGGCCCCGCCTCCTCGGGGGAGGACTGAGAGGCCAGTGCCTTGGCGCCGGGGCTTCTGGGAGATGTGGTCCCACCGGCCTGGGGTCCGCCTTCCTCCCTCCACCGGGCTGGCATTTAGCGGTGGCTGTCCCCACCGCTCGCTCTTTCGCTCCCTCCTTAGCTCGCCGGCTCCCAGCCTTTGATGCCACAAGTAAACAAACCTCGCATGTCGCCTTCTGCTGGGTCCTGGTGTGTTCCACTTTCTATAGATTCGGCGTTTAGTGTGCACCTGCGGTATGCATCGGTGTATCATGGGAGGAGTGAAAAGTCAGGCAGGTCATAGCCCGATCCTCATGACTACGTTGCAATTATTCTGCCCAGTGCGAGCCCTGCCAGACTGTGGGCTTCCCCACCCCGGGCGTCCGTGTGCTCGAGGAAGGATTGCAGACTCCAAGGCAGGGGGTTGTTCGCGGAGTTCTTCCCAGAGGGCCTGTCACGGAATCCTAGGCTGGGGTGAGGCAGAGAGGATGCAGATGGTCAGTGCACGGCACAAACTCTTGCTGGCGCCGCTGAGTTCTCTCAGCTCTTGTCAGGAGAGTCCAGCACTTTCTGCTTCTGCCCAAAATCCTGGCATGGTCCCTGCTGCTTTTGGAATCAGCCACTGGTCCAGGATTTAAGGGCTCTGCGACCCCGTCCTTCGCCAGGGTCATCACGCCCAGGCCACTGCTGTGAACCCCACCCCCGTCCCCCAAGACCCCTTTCTGCCGTCATTAGACTTTAGGGCGTTTGTGTGGCTGTCCCCCTCCCTCGGTTTTCCCCTGACCTGAGGAGGTCCCTCTGTCCTTTGCCTTCCCAGGAGGTCTTGGAAGCCTGATGAACTCGTCTTTTTCAGTTTCCTGGAACCCTCTGCTGTGGTCCTCGTGATAAGAGTGACCTTTTTGGCCTGCTCTCCCCAGCTCTTTTCCAGTCCTCATGGTGAGGAACCATCTCTGTTCTTTTGTGCTGTAATCATCCTTCCTGATCTCTCTAAAACGTGCTGTTTACAAAACTCCTTTGCAGCTATTTTCTCACATACCCCACAGCAGCCCCACAAGGTGTTCACTCCATTTTGTCCACGAAAAAACTGAGGCTCAGGGGGATTTTGTCCTTTGTCTGTGGGCATGAAGCTGCTGAGTGGTGGAGCTGGACTGGAATCTAGGCCTTTCTTCCTTTCCACAGTGCCCCGCACACAGCAAACCCACAGAACAACTGACACGCATGTGACAGTCACTGTGGACGTCAGTGACATTCCCAAGAGAGGCACCAAGAAATCTCTTCCCTGTCTGAGGTTTCCCAGACAGATAGAGTAGTATCAGGCCCAGAGCCCAGGAGTCCTGGCTGCCAGCCGCAGGCCCCCTCTCTTGGTCAGGGAAAGAGGTTGCCTAGGCAAAGCTGGGGATTACACAGCTAATCCGGGCTCAGACCTGAGTCCTCGGATCCCTCCCTTTGGGGCAGAAGAAGGGGGGCAGGTCAGAGCCAGCCCAGCGGGTGGATTCCTTCCTCATCTGTCTCTAACTGGGTCAAAGGAATACAGGCTGAGGGAGATGCAGGTTGGGGATGCTGGGGACAGGAGATGCTGGGCATGAGGGGGGATGGAAAACGGAGAGTGAGGGAAGGATCCTCTGTTCATTCAGTGCCAGGCTCTGGGCCAAGCACTTGCCATGTGTTACCTCCTTAATCCTCCAAAACTCCAGCCTCAGGAATGATGAGCCCTGTTTTCAGAAGCAGGGTATCAGCATTGCTGAGTGGCCTGCCCAGGATGACACAACTGCCAGAACTCGGCCTGAGGTCTCCTAACAACAAATCCCCCACTGGTCCCCACCCACTGGAGCACCTACTTGCCAGGCTTCTCAAGCGAAGAAGGAGATCCACTCTGATGTCATCTCCCAGGAGCCTTCTCTGCAGCATCTCAGGTCCTGGCTCTCACCTCCTCAGCACCCATCCCATCCTGTGTCACTCTGTATATCAGCCTCCCCAGCCAGCCTCCAGGCCACAAGCCAAGAGGTATCAAGGGCTCCTCCCTGTCCCACTGGCCCCACATCCACTGTGTCTATCTGGTCAACTTTACCTTCCAAACATTCCCTGCACAGTGATAGATGGCTGTGGCCCTGTCATCTCTCACCTGAAATTAACAATGTATCCTTGGGGCCTCCCACCCTCACATCTTGGCTCCTCCAGCCCCTTCTCTGCAAACATGGAACAGTGGGATTATTATAAATCTCAGACCCGTTTTGCCCCTTTCCTGCCTGAGAGTTTTTGTGGTTCCCCACTGCCCTCAGAACAAAGCTCAAGACCCTTTGGCCTGGCATTCAAGGTCCTTTGTGCTGCCACCTGTCAACCTCCCCAGTTCCAGCTCCTTTGGCTTTGCCCATACAAGCTGGATCTGCACCAGAGGATCTGTCTTCCTCCCAACTTGGCCCTAGTCCTCCTAGGAGCCCTTTGGACGTCACCTCCCCCAGGAAGCTTTCTGCAACCACCCTACAACCGTCCCTATAAACTTTATAAAACCAATTAGTGTGGGGAAAAGCAAGAGAGATCAGATTGTTACTGTGTCTGTGTAGAAAGAAGTAGACATAGGAGACTCCATTTTGTTATGTACTAAGAAAAATTCTTCTGCCTTGAGATTCTGTGACCTTACCCCCAACCCCGTGCTCTCTGAAACATGTGCTGTGTCAACTCAGAGTTGAATGGATTAAGGGCGGTGCAAGATGTGCTTTGTTAAACAGATGCTTGAAGGCAGCATGCTCGTTAAGAGTCATCACCACTCCCTAATCTCAAGTACCCAGGGACACAAAAACTGCGGAAGGCCGCAGGGACCTCTGCCTAGGAAAGCCAGGTATTGTCCAAGGTTTCTCCCCATGTGATAGTCTGAAATATGGCCTCGTGGGAAGGGAAAGACCTGACCGTCCCCCAGCCCGACACCCGTAAAGGGTCTGTGCTGAGGAGGATTAGTAAAAGAGGAAGGAATGCCTCTTGCAGTTGAGACAAGAGGAAGGCATCTGTCTCCTGCCTGTCCCTGGGCAATGGAATGTCTCGGTATAAAACCCGATTGTATGCTCCATCTACTGAGATAGGGAAAAACCGCCTTAGGGCTGGAGGTGGGACCTGCGGGCAGCAATACTGCTTTGTAAAGCATTGAGATGTTTATGTGTATGCATATCTAAAAGCACAGCACTTAATCCTTTACATTGTCTATGATGCAAAGACCTTTGTTCACGTGTTTGTCTGCTGACCCTCTTCCCACAATTGTCTTGTGACCCTGACACATCCCCCTCTTCGAGAAACACCCACAGATGATCAATAAATACTAAGGGAACTCAGAGGCTGGCGGGATCCTCCATATGCTGAACGCTGGTTCCCCGGGTCCCCTTATTTCTTTCTCTATACTTTGTCTCTGTGTCTTTTTCTTTTCCAAATCTCTCGTCCCACCTTACGAGAAACACCCACAGGTGTGTAGGGGCAACCCACCCCTACAAATTAGGGAAGAAGTAGGGGGAAAAGATGAAAATAAACCAAGCCTGCAGCATACTCAGTATTCATCATGAGGTCAGCTGCTCTCTGACCTGCTTCCTCATGGCTGGTTGGTGCCTGTTGTCCCGGAGTGACAAAGACCCTAGATTATAGCTGCCCTTAACTGCTGTATAAATAACAACTTGAACATGAAATGCTAAATTTTCCTTTTGAAGTATTCCTTCAGATCCTGCATGCTGATAAAACTACTGACTCAACTGGTCCCCATGAGGAGCTGGCTCACCAAAGAATGCGGTTTCCAATCCCAATTATTTCATGCCCCTTGCTTAGGCAATCAACAATCCCAAATTTCCAGCCCCTTGCCCTCCACAATCTCCTTAAAAAATTCAGTCCAAAACTCCTTGGGGAGATGGATTTGAAGGTCTCCTCCCATCTCCAAACTTGGTGCCCTGCAATCATTAAACTCTTTCTCTGCTGCAAACCCTGCTATCTCAGTGTAATTGGTCTGTTACTGCATACATATGGGCATACAAACCTGTTGGTCCTACAACAACCCCATACAACTATCTTGAGCACCTATTGTCAGGCCCAGTGTGAGTAAGGCACGATCAGATCTTCCCCAACCCCCAGCATAGAGCTTCTCAAGGGAGGGACTTACTCAATATTGTAATCAAATATTATATTTGAAAAATGAAAAACATCAATTTTTTTCCTGTGTTTGAAATTGAAGAAATACCAAAAAAGCAAGAAGAAAGTAATAACATTTTATGACCATCCTGACAATACCTGTTACTGTTTCTAGGTGATTTTTTTTTTAATATTTATTTATTGAGATGGAGTCTCGCTCTTTCCACCCAGGCCAGAGTGCAGTGGTGCAATCAGCTCGCTGCAACCTCTGCCTCCTGGGTTCAAGCGATTCTCCTGCCTCAGCCTCCCAAGTAGCTGGGATTACAGGTGCACACCACCACACTTGGCTAATTTTTGTATTTTTAGTAGAGACAGGGTTTCACCATGTTGACCAGGCTGGTCTCGAACTCCTGACCTCAGGTGATCCACCCACCTCAGCCTCCCAAAGTGCTGGGATAACAGGCGTAAGCCACCGAATCTGGCCAAATTGTTACTTTTTCTCGAACTCGTGAACTCTCGGCTCACTCATGCGCCACCGTGCCCGGCTATTTATTTTTTTTTTTTAGTAGAGACAGGGTTTCTCCATGTTGGCCAGGCTGGTCTCGAACTCCTGACCTCAGGTGATCCGCCCACCTCGGCCTCCCAAAGTGTTGGGATTACAGGCATGAGCCACTGCGCCTGGACATATACTCTGTTTTTGTTTTCACTTCATATTCAGGAAGGGGGATAGAGATATTAGCTTTTGCTTGGACATGAAATTTAGGTATGATCTAAAAATTTAAGAGTAATCACTAAAAATAAAAGTAAAATGTGTAACTTCCAATAGTAGGGGAGAAGGGACTAGCACAAAAACCTCAATTCAACTGAAGACAAGAAAACAAAGTAAAGAAGAAATACAGGGAAAGAATGCTAAATAGGAAATACAGGCCAGGTGCGGTGGCTCACGCCTATAATCCCGACACTTTGGGAGGCCGAGGCGGGTGGATCACTTGAGGCCAGGAATTCGAGACCATCCTGGCTAACATGGTGAAACCCCGTCTCTGCTAAAAATACAAAACATTAACCGGGCATGGTGGCAGGTGCCTGTAATCCCAGCTACTCGGGAGGCTGAGGCAGGAGAATTCCTTGAACCCGGGAGGCAGAGATTGCAGTGGGCCGAGATCGTGCCATTGCACTCCAGCCTGGGTGGCAGAGCGACTCCGTCTTAAAAAAAAAAAAAAAAAGTTTTTCTAGTTTTTCTTCTCTGGTCTTGATGTGTTTGAGAAAGACATAGTGGGTTTCAGGTTGTATCCTGCTGTCTTGAACTGGAAATCTTTTTTTTCCATGAATTTAAACTGGAAAGAGTAAAGTCTATCAGTCACGGCTGGTGGGGCACGCAAAGGACAAGGTGAAAGTATTTAAGGCAAGCAGCACAATGAATGACGCATCAGGCCCAGGCCTCTCTCCCTGCTGGCCCAGCTCAGGGGCCATGGAATACCCTCCGCGCCGCCATCCTGGTGTGGCCACTCTCCATCACTCTGCCAGGGTCTCAGGGTCCCTCTTTGGCATATACCATCCTGATGCATTAGACATGGTCTGCAGTTTCCATCACGGAGGACCAGGGAGGTCTTGGGCATACACAGACCCCAGGTACCGGTATCAGTCCCCTGGGTCCGGTCCTGCTGGCGCCTCCCTGCAGCAAACTCACATCCGGAAACCCAGAAGATCAGGTCTAGGTAACGATTGTTTCTGCATTGGTCCTTTGCCCATCCCCCTGTTGTCACCTGAAGTCTTGCCTATACCCCCTTTGTCCCTTAACACAAAAGCTCTTGTCCCTTAACACGAAAGCTCTAGTCTCTTCTTTTTCACTCCTCATAGTCCTTGATGGCTATCTGGGATGACAGACACCAGGAAAAGCTTACACACCCCTTCAACGCCCCTTCTAAGCTGTGAGAAATGTGAAACTCGTCTTCCCCATTCCTCAATGGTTCAGGTTTTAGAAATGTCAGGCCTCATCTTATAAATCAGCAAAAAGAAAAAGAAAAAGACTGTTGAGTTTTTATGATCAGAAACAGGTTGAGCAGTTGTCTTCTATTACATTTTCTTCCTCCTGGGGCCACTTTGCACCTTGCAAAGACAATTTCCTCCCACTATGCAAAACTCAAAGCCACAAAGGACATTGAAGGGGACCTCTGTGGCTGCAGCCGGTCATGAGGCCATGGCCAGTATTTATGGCTTCCTTCCTTTATCGTGCACCCACAGTCCCCGCCAGTTGGCCCCTCAGCTGCTGGGAGGATGGGGGAGCCAGGCTGGTTCACAGGGCTTTCACCAGGTGGATGACTTAATATCATAAAAGTGTCACATCTTCAAATTAATCTGTAAATTCACTGCAAATTCCCATCAAAATCCCACCAGGGCTTTTCATGGAAGTGGGAAAGCTGACACCAAAATGTATATAGAACAACAAAGGGCCAAGAATAGCCAAGACAATTTTGAAGAAGAAGATGGGGTGGGTGGTGGGTTTCGCCCTGGCAGATAGCAAGACTGATTCTAAAGCCATAGCAATCCAGTCAAGTAGACCAATAGTTCTTACATATAGTGCATCTTTATCATCATTCGCTAGATGTTCTGCAATTTTGGTTTTGATTTCTTCTTTGACGGGAGTCATTTTAAGAAAGATTTATAAATGTACAGGGGTTAGGGGGATTTTGTTTCCCGGTTTTGTTATTTTTCATTTTATTGCCTCATAATGAAAGACTGTCATCTGTACTATTTCTCTCCCTCTCCCCACCCCTCTTAATCCCTGGAATGTTCTAAAATTTCCTTTAAGGCATAATACATAATTATTATAGTAAATGTCCCAAGAGCAATTGAAGGGTGGTGCCTCTCTGCTTTCCTATGGCAGAGTTTGAAATCTTATTTAAAACTGCCAGAGTCCTTGTCTATCTGTGAGCTTTTGTTGTATAGGTGCCCAGATATGTTACTTGGTGCACAGATGCTCTTAACTGTAGTCACTTGAGATGTGTCCTACTTTCTTTCTTTCTTCTTCTTCTTTTTTTTTTTTTTTGAAACAGAGTCTCGCTTTGTCGCCGCCCAGGCTGGAGTACAGTGGCACGATCTCGGCTCACTGCAACCTTCACCTCCCAGGTTCAAGTGATTCTCGTGCCTCTGCCTCCCGAGTAGCTGGGATTACAGGTACATGCCACTGGGACCGGCTAATTTTTGTATTTTTAGTAGAGACAGGATTTCACCATGTTGGCCAGGCTGGTCTCTATCTCCTGACCTCAGGTTACCTGCCTGTCTCAGCCTCCCAAAGTGCTGGGAGTCTCCTACTTTCATAAGAGATAAAGTGTGTATTTAGATGGAATGTGTGTTTTGGTTTTCATGGTCTTTGTGGCTTTTGGGGTATTCTGAAGGATTAGTGGGAATCCCAGCTCCACCATTAAAAACCACAGGTCCTCCCTCTTCCTGTCAAATGTTGCAAATATTTCCTTTATCATCTATCTGATAATCTAATAAACAATAATGATCATTGTACAAGAGAAAACTTCAGATAAATGCATGAGGTGATGGTCACACTAAATATCCTAATTTGTTTGTTTTTGAGACAGGATCTCCCTCTATTACCCAGGCTGGAGTGCAGTGATGGGAATATAGCTCACTACAGCCTTGACCTCTTGGGCTCAAGCAATCCTCCCACCTCAGCTCCAAAGTAGTTGGGACCACAGGCATGAACCACCACACCCCACTAATTTTTTAATTTTTTATAGAGATGGGGTCTCATAATGTTGCCCAGGGGGACCTTGAACTCCTGGGCTCAAACAATTCTTCCGCCTGGGCCTCCCAAAGTTCTGGGATGCTAGATGTGAGCCATTATGCCCAGCCTACCTAATTTGATCATTATAAAACACATATATGTATATGGAACCACCAAATTGTACTCCATAAATATGTACAAGTACAATGTATCCATTAAAAATTTAAAAAGAGAAATCTTTTGTTTTGATATAGTTAAATTCATTCATTTAGGGGCCTTATTTAAGAAATCTATCTCGGTTTTTTTGGTGGAGACGGGGTTTCGCTGTGTTGGCTGGGCTGGTCTCTAGCTCCTAACTGCGAGTGATCCACCAGCCTTGGCCTCCCGAGGTGCCGGGATTGCAGACGGAGTCTCGTTCACTCAGTGCTCAATGTTGCCCAGGCTGGAGTGCAGTGGTGTGATCTCGGCCAGCTACAACCTCCACCTCCCAGCCGCCTGCCTTGGCCTCCCAAAGTGCCAAGATTGCAGCCTCTGCCCGGCCGCCACCCCGTCTGGGAGGTGAGGAGCGTCTCTGCCTGGCCGCCCATCGTCTGGGATGTGAGGAGCCCCTCTGCCCGGCTGCCCAGTCTGGGAAGTGAGGAGCGCCTCTTCCCGGCCGCCATCCTGTCTAGGAGGTGAGGAGCATCTCTGCCCGGCCGCCCATCGTCCGGGATGTGGGGAGCACCTCTGCCCGGCCGCGACCCCATCTGGGAGGTGAGGAGCGTCTCTGCCCGGCTGCCCCATCTGAGAAGTGAGGAGCCCCTCCACCCAGCAGCCGCCCCATCTGAGAAGTGAGGAGCCCCTCCGCCCGGCAGCTGCCCGGTCTGAGAAGTGAGGAGCGCCTCCGCCCGGCAGCCACCCCATCTGGGACGTGAGGAGCGTCTCCACCCGGCAGCCACCCCGTCCGGGAGGGAGGTGGGGGCCAGCCCCTCTGCCCGGCCACCACCCCGTCTGGGAGGTGTACCCAACAGCTCATTGAGAAGGGGCCATGATGACGATGGCGGTTTTGTGGAATAGAAAAGGGGGAAAGGCAGGGAAAAGATAGAGAAATCAGATTGTTGCTGTGTCTGTGTAGAAAGAAGTAGACATGGGAGACTTCATTTTGTTCTGTAGTAAGAAAAATTCTTCTGCCTTGGGATGCTGTTGATCTATGACCTTACCCCCAACCCTGTGCTCTCTGAAACATGTGCTGTGTCCACTCAGGGTTAAATGGATTAAGGGCGGTGCAAGATGTGCTTTGTTAAACAGATGCTTGAAGGCAGCATGCTCTTTAAGAGTCATCACCACTCCCTAATCTCAAGTACCCAGGGACACAAACACTGCGGAAGGCCGCAGGGTCCTCTGCCTAGGAAAGCCAGAGACCTTTGTTCACTTGTTTATCTGCTGACCTTCCCTCCACTATTGTCCTATGACCCTGCCAAATCCCCCTCTGCCAGAAACACCCAAGAATGATCAATAAAAAAAAAAAAGAGAGAGAGAGAGAAAATAATGAAGTGAATGGTATAAAATGTTGAATAGGTAAATCTGGGTAAACGGTAAATATGGCTGTTTTTGGTAGTTTAAAAAATTTTTTTGCAACATTTTATAACTTTGAAATTATTTCCAAATAAAAAGTTTTAAACTCCAAAAAGAAAAAAAAGAAAAAAAAAAGAAATCTATTCCTAGCCCAAGGTCATAAGAAACTTTCTTTAATTATTTTTTTCTGTTAGTATTTTATTTTTCTCTCTCAAGTGTAGGTGAACCCTAGTGCAGGGCTTCTCAACCTTGACACTATGGCCATTTGGGGCTTTGCTGTGAGCTTCTCAACCTTGACACTGTGGCCACTGGGGCTTTATTTGCTAGCTGCCCTGTGCATTGGAGGATGTTGAGCAGCATCCCTAGGTGTCAATAGCACCCCACAAGTTGGGACAACAAAAATGTCTCCAGATATTACCAAATATCCTCTGGGTGACAACATTGCCTCCTCTCGAGAACCACTGATCTGTTTAGATTTTATTGTATATGGTGTGAGGTAAGGATCCAGTAATTTTTCTTAATAGGTGGAATCAGTTTCACTAATGCTATCTAAATAACTCTTCTTTTCAAACTTATTTATGATACCACTGCTAGTACATACTGAGTTCCAAGATAGGCATGGATTTGTTTTATATTTTTATTTTATTTTATTTTTCATTTTTAAAGCATGGGTTGGTTGTATGTGATAGAGACTGGCTAGATATCACAAACTCATTTCCTCTTCTCAGACACAGAGCTAAACTGTTTCTCAGTCTTCTTGCATCCAAATGGGGCAGAAATGAAGTGTGTCACTTCCAGGCCTGGGCAGCCGGGAACAAGTGTGTCTTCACCTTGTTCTCTCTCTCTCTCTCTCTCTCCTTTTCAAAGACACCTTGCAAACATATGAATCTGGGTTGAATGGGCTCAGTTCTCACTCAGGGAGATAACCAGAACAAACTATAAATATAGTCTCTGAGTCCAGGGGTCAGTTAATCAAGATTCCTAGATTGAAGCTTGAAGCATATTTTCCTGATTTGTGGTTTTAATATCTCTGTTTATGGCAGAAGGCATTTCAGCAAACTCCTCAAGTGCTCCCTACATCAGGCATGAGGGGTTTTCTCTGAAGTTTAATCCAGTTGTCCATATCCTGCTTGTAGGGCTTTAGGAACAAAGCAATCCTTGTTCTTAATGATTACAAGTCAGAAAAGTGGGAGACACTTAAATTGGAGAAACCAAAAAGAATTCGGGCTCAAGCAATCCTCCCATCTCAGCCCCCTAACTAGCTAGGACTACAGGCCTGTGCCACCACACCTGGCTAACTTTTGTATTTTTTGTAGAAACGAGGTTTCGGCATGTTGCTCAGGCTGGTCTCAAACTCCTGAGCTCAAGTGATCCACCTGCCTCAGCCTCCTGAAGTGCTGGGATTACAGGCATGAGCCACCATGCCTGGCCTGATAAATTTTTTTAAATTAGCTGGGCATGGTGGTTCATGCCTGTAGTCTCAGCTATTCAGGAGGCTGAGGCAGGAGGATTGCTTGAGCCCAGGAGCTCTGATTTTGCCACTGCACTCCAGCCTGGACAATAGAGCAATACCCCATCTGTAAAATTATATATATATATCCCATTAAGAAATATATATGATTATATACGTTCGTGTATGTGTGTGTATATATACGCATACGTATATATATGCATCTGTGTGTGTATCATATCATATCATATATATGAGATAGATAAAGCCAAATGAATAAACAAAGCTGGAGAAAGAAAGACAATGAAAAACATTGTGGCCGGACACGGTGGCTCACACTTGTAATCCCAGCACTTTGGGAGGCCGAGGTGGGCAGATCACAAGGTCAGGAGTTCGAAACCAGCCTGGCCAATATGGTGAAACCCTGTCTCTGCTAAAAATACAAAAATTAGCCGAGCATGGTGGTGGGTGCCTGTAGTCCCAGCTTCTTCAGAGGCTGAGGCAGGAGAATCGCTTGAACCCGGGAGGCAGAGGTTGCAGTGAGCAGAGATCGTGCCACTGCACTCTAGCCTGGGTGACAGAGCGAGACTCCATCTCAAAAAAAAAAAAAAAAAAGAAAAGAAAAGAGAAAAGAAAAAGGAAAACATTGTAAGAGTATAAAAGGTATATAGAAACTTTATCTTGAGTAGTGGTCAAAAGTGATTGAGATTAGATGGATCTGTTTGCAAGATTTTATTATAACTATATTTTTAGCTGTAGCATTAATAATACACTAATGTAAAGGTAGAATTTAGTTTTCTCTTTTAAACGAGATTTTCATGTAGTAGTAATAAGAGATTGTAAAAGATTTTTGTTTGCCTTTTGAGCAAACTGCAAAGTGAAAAAAATAAAAAAAGAGGAGCGAGTTTGCCTTATGCTTCCTTCATTAGGTCTTTGGATTGTTTAGAAAACTGAGTCTCCTCTCTATCAAACAATAAAGGTTTTTGCTTTCGGAAATCTTTTTTTTTTTTAGATGGAGTTTCGCTCTTTTTGCCCAGGCTACAGTGCAATGGTGCGAACTTGGCTCAATGCAACCTTCCCCCCACCCCCCGTGTTCAAGCGATTCTCCTGCCTTAGCCTCTTGAGTAGCGGGGATTACAGGCACCTGCCACCATGCCCAACTAATTTTGTATTTTTAGGGGAGACAGGGTTTCACCATGTTGGCCAGACTGGTCTCGAACTCCTGACTTCAGGTGATCCTCCCACCTTGGCTTCCCAAAGTGCTGGGATTACAGATGTGAGTCACCACACCCAGCTTTTCTGAAATCTTTCAGTTATCACTTTGGCTAAATGAATGACTATTATTTTGAAGTTCCCCATGATTCTATTTTGAACAAGTCTTTTAAACCTTTTCTATTTTAATATCAAGTGTTTTAAAGCTTTGGTATTTGACAAACTTCCAAAAATGAAAATTCAAATTCTAAATTAAGCCATTTTGACCTCAAACTAACGTTTCAACATTTGAAAAAGAAAAAAAAAACCCATGTAAGTTCAAGAGAACTTGGTATTATTTGGCATGTAAAAATTACACAGCAAGCATTGTCAAAAAAGAAATGACATTTAACTTTCTTTGAGTTATATTTGTGAAATGTGTTATTAATATGTGTTCCAAAATTATATGAGATTCCTAAAAATCTGATATGTGTTGGTATATATTATCAGTCATTATTGTAAGTATTGTGTTGAATTATAGTGATACGGAAGGGGGGCAGGGAAGTGCTGGGTAGAGGAATGTGTAGTCCCTGGCTAGGGCTCCACCCCCAGGCCTGTGCCCATGGACCTGGGTGAAGACAGGCATTTTTGTTTTCCTGCCCAAATATTGCATTTCCAAAGAGCACCCTGGCCCACCACACCCATATCCTGTGCCTATAAAAACCCTGAGACCCTAGCAAGCAGACACACAAGCAGCTGGACGTGGAGAGGAACACATTGGCAGAAGAAGACACAAGTGGCTGGACGTTGAGAGGTCATTGAGGGGTGCCAGCTCTGTCCCACAGACCCTGGCCAACAGAGGAAATGAGTACCCAGACACAGGTATGCAGTGTTAAGAGCAGCTAGGTGACTGCCTGGCTCTAGTGGAAGAAGCTGGAGCTGCTTTGCTTTTATTCAGTGCAGGCACAATGTCGAAAACCTGGAGCCGACACAATCTGTAAGTCATTAATATTTATTATTCCCCTTTCAGGGAACCTCATGTTCCCTGAAACATGATCATAGGTGATCATAGATGATCTAAGGTCAGTTCCTGGTCGACATAAGTAAACATGCCTATTTAAGATAAAATCCCCCATACTCCCTTGTACCTACTCCTTGCCCTCTGCCTCAGGGTTATAGAAGAGCTGCCTTCAGTTCTTCTCCCCCAGGGCTCTGCAGAACCTTCCCACCTTTCAGAAGGTTTGCGTCCTTTCCCTATAGTTCTTCCCACCTCTCTGACCAATCTGCCACAGAAGGGAGCAGGCTGGTGGAAGAGCACACGACAGACGCCAGCATGCCGGCAGGCCATCCACCTGCAGAACGAGGCGGAGTTTGGCCGGGCAGTCAAAGGCAAGCCCAGGCCGCTGAGCAGCCTGACTCCAGGGCAAAACCTTCCCACTCCATGCCCTTCTGGCTTCCTCCAACTGCTGAGAGTTACCTCCACTCAATAAAACCTTGCACTCATTCTCCAAGCCCAGGTGTGATCCTATTCTTCCAGTACACCAAGGCAAGAACCTGGGATACAGAAATCCCTCTGTCCTTGTAACAAAGCAGAGGGTCTAATTGAGCTGCTGGTTAACACAAGCTGCCTATAGATGGCAAAACTAAAAGAGCACCCTGTAACACATGCCCACTAGGGCTTCAGGAGCTGTAAACATCCACCCCTAGATGCTGCCGTGGGTTGGAGCCCCACAACCTGCCCATCTGTATGCTCCCCTGCAGGTCTGAGCAGCGGGGCACTGAAGAAGCGAGCCACTCCCCCATCACATGCCCTGCAAGGGGGACAAGGGAACCCTTCCCGTTTCAGTAGGCCACAAAAAAATAAAATGACCAAATTTCTTTGTTGATTGCATCTTTGACCATGACTACTTTAAATCTTGCCCTATTCCTTCTTGGAGAGCTCCCTCCAATCTTCATGGAAACTAATGAACCCATTTCACTGGTCAAATAATTCAGTTTATTTGTAACGTATGGCTGATTTTTCAACATTTCCATTGTCCATACCACCCTCAGTCTTCCAGACTTGTGAAATGCACAAATAATAAAAATCAAATTGGCAAAGCTTATAGAAACTTTTTTTTTTTTTGAGACAGTCTCCCTCTTGTCGCTCAGGCTAGAGGGCAGTGGCGCGATCTCAGCTCACTGCAACCTCCGCCTCCCAGGTTCAAGCAATTCTCCTGCCTCAGCCTCCTGAGTAGCTGGGATTACAGGCACCCACCACCATGCCCAGCTAATTTTTGTACTTTTTAGTAGAGACGGGTTTCGCCATGTTGGCCAGGCTGGTATCGAACTCCCGGCCTCAGGTGATCCGTCTGCCTCGGCCTCCCAAAGTGCTGGGATTACAGGTGTGAGCCACCGTGCCTGGCCAAGCTTATAGAAACTTGAAACTTCTCTGGCCTAAGAGTCTCCCATTGGTATTGCTTAATTCACACTCTACCCCATTTCAACAACATCGGCTTTCTTTCTTTGAAATAACAGGAAGGCCATGTGCCTGAATGCAGAAGTCTATGAGCTAGCTCTTCTTAAAAATGCTATACTTCATGATTGCCAGGGCCTTTATAAAGCTTCTCAATTAAAAAAAAATTTAATTAATGAAGAATTCTTTTAAAAAGCAATCTCCCTGGAGACAGACATCAAAGATCACAGCTTCCAACCTGGAGATTTTGTTTATTGGAAACATCATCAAATAAAATACTCCCTCCAACCATGTTGGAAGGGATCATGTCACGTACTGTTAACCAGTCTTTGTGCAGCTAACATCAGGGGCATTGACTCATGGATTCTCATTTTTTTTTTCACTTTAAAAAGGCAGCCCACCTGAGTGGACATCTTTCATCACCAGAGATCTCCCACCGAAGCTGACCACAACCAGTCACCTTGTTCTTCAAACCTGGATGAGAAGTGGAAACTCGGTTTGGAAGGATCACTCAAAAGGCTAAATGGCTGCAAGCTGTCAAAAAGCCAACCCCATTACATGATCTATTTGATTTGTTACCTTCACAAATAAGAACACTTTTCAGATCTGGATTTCAACTTGTTTTGTTAATAACTGTCTTTATTTGCATCATATTTTTTTTTTGATACAGTTTCACTCTTGTCGCCTAGGCTGGAGTGCAGTGGCGCCATCTCAGCTCACTGCAAGCTCCGCCTCCAGGGTTCAAGCGAATCTCCTGCCTCGGCCTCCTGAGTAGCTGGGATTACAGGTGTCTGCCACCACACCTGGCTAATTTTTGTGTTTTTAGTAGAGACAGGTTTCACCATGTTGGCCAGGCTGGTCTCGAACTCCTAACCTCAAGTGATCTGCCCAACTCAGCCTCCCACCTCAGCCTCCCAAAGTGCTGGGATTACAGGTGTGAGCAACTGTGCCCGGCCAGTAGTTTTTATTCTTAAATTGATTATGCTTTGCATTTCTAGATGTCTTAAGTCAACAACAAAAAATAAAATCATGATAGCTAGATGCTTAGAAATGCTCTCACATGTCACGGCTCCTTTGTAAGCGGATGGCTCGACTGAGTTCCCATTGCTTTGTCCCTCTGTGGTTCTAATCAATTTGACCTTGAGACTTCACTAAATTCTTTTTTTTTTTTTTTTTTTTTGAAATGAAGTCTTGCTCTTGTTGCCCAGGCTGGAGTGCAATGGTGCGATCTTGGCTCACTGCAACCTCTGCTTCCCAGGTTCAAGCGATTCTCCTGCCTCAGCCTCCTGAGTAGCTGGGATTATAAGCGTGCACCACCACGCCCGGGTAATGTTTGTATTTTTAGTAGAGACGGGTTTCACCATGTTGGCCAGGCTGGTCTCGAACTCCCGACCTCAGGTGATCCACCCGCCTCGGCCTCCCAAAGTGCTGGGATTACAGGCGTGAGCCACCGTGCCCGGCACCTTCACTAAATTCTTTAACCATAGGTACCTCTCCTCTTTCTCTCTGAAGTAGGACAGATGGCCTGGGAATAAGCCTTCCCAGTGACATGGGACAAACTTGCATCTAACACATTGATTCCTGAATCTTACGTGACAGTGAACAAAAATCATATGCATAAAAAAAATGTCGATCATCAATGCTTTCAGAAGAGAAAAATATCTATCAAAAGAGGGAAATGAGAAAGAAAAGTAGCTTAGAGCAGTGTGAAGAATGCGAGCTATGCAAAACGTATCAGGCCAGGAGAGACAGGAAAATGAGTCTCCCTGCCGGGGGTAGTTGTTTAAGGGTATTTTGTTCTTTCTTCTCGTGTAGTTTCCAGACTAACTGATAAATTAAAATGCTATCAGGCATCGATTTTTTTTTTGAGACGGAGTCTCGCTTTGTCACCCAGGCTGGAGTGCAGTGGTGCAATCTCGGCTCACTGTAAGCTCCACCTCCCAGGTTCACGCCATTCTCCTGCCTCAGCCTCCCAAGCAGCTGGGACTACAGGTGCCTGCCACCACACCCGGCTAATTTTTTTGTATTTTTAGTAGAGACAGGGTTTCACCATGTTAGCCAGGATGGTCTTGACCTCCTGACCTCGTGATCCACCCTCCTCGGCCTCCCAAAGTGCTGGGATTACAGGCGTGAGCCACTGCACCCGGTCAAAAGTTTGGGTTTCTTCTGGCCTATATATGGACCAAGTAGGGGCTTGTGGACCTTGGATATTGTCCTCAGAGCAATACCATTCTGCCTCTTGCATCCAATTTTGAGCTTCCTCAGGTCCTGTCAACATATGTGTAACTAGATTACTGAGGTCAGGGTGGAGCCCATTAACAAATAGGGCAGACAAAGCATTTTCTATGCCGGACAGGGATACCTTTTATTATTGCTCTGAGCTTAAGATTTTAACTATGGCATAAGGGTAAAGAAGCAGACATGGTTGATTTGACAGCCTAACTTGTATAACTTATCTAGCTGGGTTTTTTTTCATTGCATCGTCAAGGTGGGAAGGTAACCAAGCAAAGAAGTCAGCAGATTCAGAGGAGGCTAGTGAGAAAGATGGAGAACTTAGAACCCTCTGCTTGCCAACCAAAAATACAACCCATTATTTCTGGGGTGTTTGGGATCCCCCCTCTTTTTTTTCAATGCATTCTGGAGATGAGCAGTTTTATTTAGGTTAAAACTTCCCCACTGTGGCCACCAAAATTCTAAATTATTTTTGGTAAGATTCAATCATCTCTCTAGAAGAGCACAAGTCCTGCGATGGAGTCCCAGACCCCCTGGATTTAAATGAGCCCAGAATTGTTTGTTTTCCTGGAACCTTACCTATTAGAGGTCTTTCACTAAAACCATTTCAGTTTCTGTCTGACCCAGTCAGATACCTGAAGCCTC
The DNA here is from genome assembly GCF_000001405.40 of Homo sapiens. NCBI lineage: Eukaryota > Metazoa > Chordata > Mammalia > Primates > Hominidae > Homo > Homo sapiens. Next base: position 67,589,467 of record NC_000011.10, on the reverse strand, counting down.
CCTACAGGATGCGTTAAACTTCTACCACAACTTCCAAACCCAGTCCAGATCGGCTCAACTCAGAGAACTCGATTTAAGTTCTGGAGTTTGTATGTGATATGGTTTGGCTGTGTCCCCACCCAAATCTCATCTTGAATTGTAATCTCCACGTGGTGAGGGAGGGACTTAGTGGGAGGTGATAGGATCATGGGGGCGAATTTCCCCCTTGCTATTCTCGTGACAGTGAGTTGTCACGTGCTCTGTTGGTATAAAAGGATGTGGAACTTCCCCCCTTACCTCCCCTGCCACCATGTAAGATGTGCCTTGCTTCCCATTCGCCTTCTGCCACGATTGTAGGTTTCCTGAGGCCTCCCCAGCCATGCAGAACTGTGAGTCAATCAATCTTCTGTCACCCAGGCTGGAGTGCAGAGGCGTCATCTCAGCTCACTGCAGCCTCTGCCTCCCGGGTTCAAGGGATTCTCCTACCTCAGCCTCCCGAGTAGCTGTGATTACAGGCACGTGCCACCATGCCCAGCTGATTTTTTAAATATTTTTAGTAGAAATGGGGTTTTCACCATGTTGGCCAGGCTGGTCTCCAACTCCTGACCTCAAGTGATCTGCTCGCCTCAGCCTCCTGAAGTGCTGGGATTGGCTGGGTGCAGTGGCTTACGCCTGTAATCCCAGCACTTTGAGAGGCCGAGGCGAGTGGATCACCTGAGATCAGGAGTTTTGACACCAGCCTGGCCAACATGGTGAAACCCTGTCTCTACTAAAAATACAAAAATTAGCCAGGCATGGTGGCATGTGCCTGTAATCCTAGCTACTTGGGAGGCAGAGGCAGGAGAATCACTTGAACCCAGAAAGTGGAGGTTGCAGTGAGCTGAGATTGTGCCACTGCACTCCAGCCTGGGCGACAGAGTGAGACTCTGACTCAAAAAACAACAACAACAACAACCAGAAAAAAAACCAAAGTGTTGGGATTACAGGTATGAGCCACCACACCTGGCTTAGCCTCTTTTCTTTATAAATTACCCAGTCTCAGGTAGTTCTTTATAGCAGTGTGAGAAGGGACTAATACAGTATCTGAGTGGGACTTACCAGTGATGACCTTCAAATATGCTGCAGGAAGCAGCGTGCAGGGGGCTCAGTGAAATGCCTACACCTGTTTGCTCATTGCTCCTGGAGACCATCACTGGGCCCAGGATGGGGAGAAATCCTTCAGATCCTTCTGATGTCCTTCTGAAGGATCCTACCTCTGACATCAGATCTGCTAGAAGATAAACTTAAGCCCATTTACATTCTAAAGAGTTTATTTGAGCATTCAGTGACACATAAATTAAGATAGCACAAGACCAAAGCAGCTAGTGCTTCTATTAGAGGGGAAGTGAAACTTAATCATTTTGCAGAAGCCAGACAAAGAAAACAATTTTGACTGGTTAGAGTGAAAAGTCCCAAGTTAGAGGTTAGTTGGCAGTTTCTGATTAATATAGCGTATTAGGCTGGGTGCGGTGGCTCACGCCTGTAATCCCAGCACTTTGGGAGCCCAAGGCGAGTGGATCACGTGAGGTTAAAAGTCCGAAACCAGCCTGGCCAACATGATGAAAGCCCATCTCTACTAAAAATACAAAAATTAGCCAGGCGCGGTGGTGGGCACCTGTAATCCCAGCTACTCAGGAGGCTGAGGCAGGAGAATTGCTTGAGTCTGAGAGGCAGAGGTTACAGTGAGCAGAGATTACACCACTATACTCCAGCCTAGGCACCAGAGTGAGACTCCATCTCAAAAACAAAACAAAACAAAACAAAACAAAAACAGTGTATTAGTCCATTCTCACACTGCTACAAAGACCTATCAGAGACTGAGTAATTTATGAAGAAAAGAGGTTTAATTGACTCACAGTTTTGCAGGCTTAACAGGAAGCATGACTGGGAAGCCTCAGGAAACTTACAATCAGGGTGGAAGGTGAAGGGGAAGCAGGCACATCTTTACAAGGTGGCAGGAGAGAGAGAGCGATTCTCATGCCTCAGCCTCCCAAGTAGCAGGGACTACAGGTAACCGCCACCACACCTGGCTAATTTTTGTATTTTTAGTAGAGACGGGGTTTCACCATGTTGGTCAGGCTGGTCTTGAACTCCTGACCTCAAGTGATTCACCTGCCTCAGCCTCCCAAAGTGCTGGGATTACAGGCATGAGCCACTATGCCCAGCCTAGATAAATTTGAATGCTTTTCTCTTGCTCATGTCTTTAGTTCTCAGGCCCAGCCAAAAAACCCTAAAAGGACAGAGATAAAATTTTGCCTGCCCTACAGCATCTTACTGGCTTAGCTTCTCTGGAGAATCCTAATACAGTAGTGTCATTGCTTGCCTAGGATGCACCAAAACTCACAAGTCAGCAGGAAGCCAGGAAAGCCCCCATCCAAGCAGAATGACCCTCCCACCAACCTGGGCTGCTCAGAGCTACTCAGCTAATCCCCCAGGACAGGGAACTCCTCACATCCCTCCTTCCCAGAATCCCTCATTTCCCTCCATCCTGGAGTCTGTCCATCTGACAGGCACGTGCTGTGCCTAGAAAGCATGTTTCTATGAGACTTTTCTCCTTCTATATACACTGTGTGGTGCTCCAGGACAGTGACCATGGTTATTTCTCTTTGTTTCTCTCTCTCTTTTTTTTTCTTCCTCTTCTAGTTTGTGAGGTTCAGTAAACACAGCCAGGCTGAGGGCTCCAGGAAGCCACTGACTGTGCTGGAGGAGCTGTTTTCTAGTCCTCTGCTCTGCCCTCCCACCGACCTCGAGGCTGAGAACCCCTAAGCCCCGTCCCAGGAAACACAGTGCTCATAGTAGCTCTCTTAGAAATTTTATTGGTCCTGGAGAAAGGAAGGCAAACTCTGCCTCCCGCTCAGAGTCCCCCCAACCCTCACTGTTTCCCGTTGCCATTGATGGGGAGGTTCACGTACTCAGGGGAGGCCAGGAAGGCCTTGAGCTTGGGCCGGGCACTGAGGCGCCCCACATATGCTGAGAGCAGGGGGAACGCATCCAGGCAGCCAGGGGCTAGGACCTCATGGATCAGCAGCAAGTCCAGCAGGTTGTAGTCAGCGAAGGAGATCTGCAGGGCAGGGGGGCCAGGGACTCAGCCAGCGGGAGCAGGCTGGAGGAATTGGGGGCAGAGGGCCTAAGCCCATCCCCTAGGTCTGCTCTGCTTTGCTAAACAAATGGCTCACACCTGTGTCCATCTGGAAGCAGAGGGTGGCGAGGAAGGAACAGCATGGGGCCAGATGCTCACCTGGTCTCCCACAATGAAGGTCTTGCCTCCCTGGTTCTGGGACAGCAGGGTCTCAAAAGGCTTCAGTTGCCCGGGCAGTGCCTTCACATAGTCATCCTTGCCCGCCTCCTGCCAGACACCACCATGTATCATCCTACTCTCATCCCTCCCAGCCCCTGAGACACCCCCGTCTGCCCCAGGCCAGACACCAGAGTCCCAGATTCTCCTCTGCTTGCTCCCCACAACCAGGCTAGTACCAAATCCTGTCCACTTCAGCTGCCAACTCATCTCTATTCCATTCTGCCTGTCCATCCTTGCTGGGTTCTCTCACCAGATGATTGCAAAAGCTTTAGAGCTGGCTTCTCTGGAGGATCCTTCTAGACCTCACATTCAGACACAGCCCTGTTCAGACTTCTCAATGGCCCCCATTGCCCTTAGGAGACTCCAAACCAGTGGGTTCAAGGCCTTCGGGACCTGGGCCTACTGCCCGCCCATCTCTATCTCCTTACCCACCCGACACAAATGCAAGCGTACACACACACACGCACACACATGCACACGCACGCGCACACACGCTGCCTCTGCTGAACTGGTCCCAGGTCCCCAAATGTGCTCTGTGTCTGCATATTTTCCTCAGCTAAAAGTGCCAGCACCTCCATCCAGAAACTGGCGACAAATCCTCCTCCACCTCTGGCTACTCCAGGAAGCCCTCGCCACCCCAGGAGATCAGAAACCACCAGTTGCTGGAGGTCTCTGTCCTTGCACTCGCCCCCATGACCCGTTACTTGGCTGGTTGATGTCCCAGGCAATAAGGGTGCAGGTTGTGTCTTGTCCCAGGCCCCTGGGCCCCTGGCCCAGAGCTGACCCAGCCCCTGCACCCTGACCCAAGAAGGGGTCAGCCCAAGCCACCTGAGGGGTAAGGGGGGTGAGGGCACAAGAAGCCCCTTTCTTTGTTCAGCCCCCAGTGCCCAACCCTGGTGCAGATGCTCACATAGTTGGTGTAGATGAGGGAGATGTATTTGCAGCGGAGGTCCTCCACGCCGTCATTCACCATGTCCACCAGGGCTGCCTCCTGCTGGTCCTTCCCATAGAGCCCTGGGGTTGGGTGGAGGGGAGCAGGCCGCGTGACTGGGCGCCTGATCAACACACAGTCACTGGGGATGGGCCAACCAGGGGGCTGTCTGTGAGCCCCAGCCTGGGAGGAGGGGAAGAGGATGTGCGTGGAAGGATGAGAGACTGCCACACAGCAGGTGCTCAGAGCTCACCTGACACCTGGGAGGCAGCCTGGCACAGGGCAAGGATTGCAGGCACCCAGGCTTGACCTTGGGCAAACTACGTAACCTCAGTGGGTCTCAGTTTCCTCCACTCCAGAGGGCTGCGGGGCAGCTGATTTAAACAAAAGGGCTCCGGGGGCAGAGGCTTGCCCATGCCTGCCCTGGACTTGGAGGTTCAAGACTCACCAAGGGTGCGGCCCAGGTGACGCAGGATGGTATTGGACTGGTACAGGGTGAGGTCTCCGTCCTGGAACTTGGGGAGCTGCCCGTATAGCTGTTGGGGGAGGCATGGCTCAGGGAGGGGCACTGAGCTTGGGCGTCCCCCGATCCTAGTCACAGCCCCCTAAGGCCCAGCACCCCCTCCCCTTGCCCGGGCATGGTCACTTACGCAGGAGGCTTTGAGTGAGCCCTCCTGCCACGTCTCCACGGTCACCACCTCCTCCTTCCAGCTCTGGCCCTGATCTGCCAGCAGCATGCGCAGGGCCGCGCAGCGGCCTGCGGGGAGGGAGAAGTACGAGATGTGGGGACCGGGCCGACTCCGCCTCGCAGCAACCCGGGGAGGGGTCAGGAGTGCAGGGAGGGAACAGGGAAACAGGTTCCTCCGAAGATTTCACACAACACTGGGGCGGGGAGCAGGCATGGCGGGAGAGGCGGGGAACAGGAAGGAGGCCCGGGGTAAAAGCCACACGACGGAGGGATAAGGGGGTTCGGATCTCTCCGGGTGGGCGAGGGGCTGTGGGCTGCAGCCCCAGCCCCTGCCTCCCTTCCCTGCCAGACACATGCTCCTACCTCGAACTGGGAAATAGACCACGGTGTAGGGCGGCACTGCAGCGAACAAAGAAAAGTTTGCTGGAGCCCGGGGGAGGATGCCAAGGCGCGGTGAGCGCAGTCTGCCCCCCCTCCCCGCCCCCGGGGTCCCATCCCTCCCCGAGGCGCTCCGGGCCCCCTGAAAGCCGCTAACGGCACTGGGGACGTCCTGGGTCCCCTAGGCCCCCGTCCCGGGTCTCGAGGTGGGCGAGGAGCCCTGCCGGGAGCCCGGGCCTGATGCTGCGGGTTGGCCCCATGCTGGGAGCTCTGAGCCCCATCCCCGGGGACGCGGGCCGCGCGTACTCACTGGTGGCGAAGACTGCGGCGGCGAAACTCCAGCGAAGGCCTCGCGGCCTCCGAGCCTTATAAGGGTGGTCCCGCCCCGCTCCGCCCCAGTGCTGAGTCACGGCGCCGGCCGCTCTTCTGGAGGGTCCCGCGGACTCCCGCCGGCCCCAGCCCCGGCGGCCGCTGCACCCCGGGCGTCGGCCGCAGAGGGGCGCCCTGGAGTCCCCGGAGTCGCCGCGCAGCTGGCCGGGGAAGCCTTTCCCTCTTTCCCAGGTCCCCAGCGGGGCCTAGGGAGTAAACAGACAGCAGGAAGAGGACCGCAGCGAAGTGTGCGCAGCGAACTGGCGCGCCGGGACATCGCGGGGGGAAATTCCCTAAGACCGCTGCGATCCCGGAGCTTGCACACCCGCTTCACAGGGCAGGGGAGAGGGGTGGAGGCCGCTTAGAGGAAAGGAAATTGCTTTATTTTATTTTATTTTATTTTATTTTTTTATTTTATTTTATTTTATTTTATTTTATTTTATTTTATTTTATTTTATTTTATTTTGTGTTATTTTATTTTATTTTATGACGTAGTCTCACGCTGTGGCCCAGGCTGGAGTGCAGTGGCGCGATCTCGGCGGCTCACTGCAACCTCCGCCTCTCGGGTTCAAGCAATTCTGCTTCAGCCTCCCGAGTAGGTGGAATTATAGGTGCGTGCCACATCTGGCTGATTTTTGTATTTTTAGTAGAGACGGGGTTTCACCATGTTGGCCGGGCTGGTCTCGAACTCCTGACCTTAGGTGATCTGCACGCCTCGGCTTCCCAAAGTGCTGGGATTACAGGCGTGAGCCACCACGCCTGGCCGTCCAACTTTTATTTGAAGTTCTGGGGTACATGTAGAGGATGTGCAGGTTTGTTACATAGGTGTGTGCGCCATGATGGTTTGCTGTACAGATCATCCCATCACCCAGGTATTAAGCCCAGTATCCCTTAGCTATTCTTCCTGGTACTCTCCCTCCCCAGCACCCCGCTCAACAGGCACCAGTGTGTGTTGATCGCCGCCATGTGACCATGTGTTCTCATTGTTCAGCTCCCACTTATAAGTGAGACCATGCGGTCTCGCTGGTTTTCTGTTCCTGTGTGAGTTTGCTGAGGCTAACGGCTTCCAGCTCCACCCATGTCCCTGCAAAGGACATGATCACGTTCCTTTTAGTGGCTGTGCCTTAGGCTATTTTCTTTGGCTTTGCTGCCTACTTTCTGTTGATTTGCAGATCTCCATTTATTCTAGATATTGATCTCTTGTTGGCTTTAGACATGACAGACAGCTTCTCCTATTCCATCAACTGTCAAGTTTGTCCAAGGAGTCTTTCATGAAACAAAACTCGTTAATTTAAGTGTAATCAAATTCAGCAAGGGATTTTTGTGGTGGGGAAGAGGTTGGTGTTTATGTTGTATCTTTAAAACTTCATTTAATGCAGCCATTAAAAAGAACTAGATCATGTCTTTTGTGGGAACATGGATGGAGCTAGAGGCTATTATCCTTAGCAAACTAATGCAGGAACAGAAATCCAAATACTGGATGTTCTCACTTGTAAGTGGGAGCTAAATGATGAGAACTTATAACACAAACAAGGAAACAACAGACACTGTGGTTGACTCCAGGGTGCAGGATGGGAGGAAGGAGAGGAGCAGAAAAGAGAACTATTGGGTACTCGGCATAATACCTGGGTGATGAAATATTCTGTACAACAAACACCGAAGACACGAGTTTACTTATGTAACAAACCTTCACATGTACCCCCAAAACAGAAATAAAAGTTAAAAAACAAAGAAATTTCATTTAAAAGTCTTTTTTAAGAGACTTATTATCGGGGGAAATTCAGCCCCCAATATTTCACGTGGGTCCTTTCCTATTTTCCCTAAGTGTCGGCTGGCCTGAGAAATAAAGGGAAAGAGTACAAAAGAGAGACATTTTAAAGCCGGGTGTCCAGGGGAGACATCACATGTCCGCAGGTTCCGTGATGCCCCCTGAGCCGTAAAACCAGCGAGTTTTTATTAGCAATTTTCAAAGAGGAGGGAGTGCACGAACAGGGTGTGGGTCACAGAGATCACATACTTCAAGGGCGACAAAAGATCACAGGGCAGAAGGTCACGGCGAAACTAGAATCACTAATGAACTTCCAGGTCCCACTGTGCACGCACTGTCAGGGTTCAAGAGCAGAGAACCGGTCTGACTAGAATTTGCCAGGCTGGAATTTCCTAATCCTATCAAGTCTGGGGGTGCTGCAGGAGACTAGGGCGTGTTTCATCCCTTTCTACTTCTGAATAAAGGCAGGCACTCTCAGGGAGGCCATTTCAGTGGCCCGGCCCTGGGAATGCATTCTTTTCTCAGGGCTGTTAATTATTAATATTCCTTACTGGGGAAAGAATTCAGCGATATTTCTCTTACCTGTTTGCGGTAATAAGAGAAGTATGGCTCTGTCCTGCCCAGCCCACAGGCAGCCAGACTTTAAGGTTATCTCCCTTGTTCCCTGAAAATTGCTGTTATCCTGTTCTTAAGATGCCCAGATTTCACATTGCTCAAACACACAACAATTGTCCTCTACAAACAATTTGTGCAGTTAACGCAGTCATCACAGGGTCCTAAGGCGACATACATCCTCAGTTTACGAAGATGACAGGATTAAGAGATTAAAGACAGGCATAGGAAATCACAAGAGTATTGATTGGGGAAGTGATAAATGTCCATGAAATCTTCACAATTTATGTTCTTCTGCCATGGCTTCAGCCAGTCCCTCCGTTCGGGGTGCCTGACTTCCCACAACATGTATGTTGCCGCAGCTGGTCTGGAACTCTTGGCCCCAAGTGATCCTCCTGCCTTACTTAGCCTCTCGAATAGCTGGGACTACAGGCATGTGCCACCACACCCAGCTAATTTTTGTATTTTTTGTAGAGATGGGGTTTCACCATGTTGCCCAGGCTGTCCTTTTTTTTTTTTTTTTTTTTTTAAATTTTCACCAATGGACTGAGGTCACAAGGAAGCTTTTTAAATTTTTGTCACCTTGGGTTTTCTTTAATTTCACTCTAATTGTCTAGCTTTGGTGCTCTTCCTGGCTTGCCAAGCTGTCTCTCTGGTTTGGCCTCTTGGCCCTTCGGTCTGAGGTTGGTCATCTTTCTTCAGTTTTGAGAAATGTATCTCCATTGTTTCTTCTGAGATGCCCTCTTCTCCGTCTTCTTCCTCTTCCTCCTCCTCCTCCTCTTCTTCTTCTTCTTTCTTCCTTGCACTATCTGGAAAATGGCCCTTCTAATCTATCCTCCTATCACTTTACTGCCTTTTTTTTTTTTTAGACAGGCTGTCACTCTACTGCCCAGGCTGGAGTGCACTGGCACCATCTCAGCTCACTGCAATCTCTGCTTCCTGGTTCAAGTGATTCTCCTGCCTCAGCCTCCTGAGTAGCTGGGATCACAGGTGCCTGCCACCACACCTGGCTAATTTTTGTATTTTTAGTAGAGACAGGGTTTCATCATGTTGGCCAGGCTGGTCTCAAACTCCTGACCTCAAGTGATCCACCTGCCTCGGGCTCCCAAAGTGCTGGGATTACAGGCGTGAGCCACTGCGCCTGGCCACTTCGATGTCATTTGTGTTTCTTCTGGTTTGTCTTTCCTGGGAGAGAGTTCCCCAGCTGATCTCATCACTCACCTCTTCATCCATGAGTCGCATACCTCGTATGATTCATCCCATCTGTTGTTGGCTTTCTTCGATTATTGTTTTTATATCTACTCTTTCTTTTTGTTGCTTTTTGTAACTTCCTATTGCCAGTGCCTTCTCTCATGTCCTCATGATTTCTCTTGTGTGTATTCTCCGTCTGTGTGCTGCACTCATTCAGCGTCAGGGGATGTTCCTGTCCCCTGAGATGTCTCCCCTGGAACCAGTGAGCTTGTGCCCTTCCCTTGGTGGCACTGGTCATTCTCTCGGGTAGTATGCCAGCCTGTGGTTTCAAAGCAAAGGAAGGAGATAAGCACCACCAAACCACAGCCAACCTCTCCCCTTTGCTATCGCTCTTCAAACAGAGCTTGAGGTCAGAGTTTCCCCTTCCGAACCTTGGGAAGCAGCGCTGGGGAAGGTGGCTCCCCATGTTCTAATGTGCTGGTGCTGGGTGTTTCCAGGGGAAGTGTGGGAGGGAGAAAGCCCGCCCCATTCAGTCCCACTGTTCTCCCCAGTGCCTCACCCAGCAGAGGGTAGCAGAGGCTAACTTCGGTTTAGCCTGCACCAGGGTCAGTGTTCAGCAGTGACATCCCCTCAACAACTCCAGAGAGTACTAATAAAGGAACTGAATGCAAACTCCTTCCTTCTGGCATCCTACCACAGCCACCTCCAGCCACGCTCAGTCTCCACCCACACACACATCTCCACGCGCATCTACTCACATCCCTGTACACCCAGACACACACAGGTTCAACACAGCCTGCAGCCTCCAGGAGGGGCGACGTCTCACTTTATTTGTTTAATTTTACTGTTTTCCTGAAATCTCTGTTTCTCTCTGTGGTTTCTCCCATATTTCTACCGGAGAGGGCAACGAAAGCTCATGATAGTTCACCATCTAAATCAAGGATTGGGACACTATGGACCGTGGTTCATCACCTGCTTGTGTAAATAAAGTTTTATTGGGCCCCAGCCATGCTCACTCATGTGTGTGTTATCTATGTTTGTTTTTGTGCTACAGTGGCCCAAATGAGTGATTGCAACAGAGACTATGTGGTCCTCAAAGCTTAAGATATTTTCTTTTTTCTTTTTTTTTTTTTGAGATGGAGTCTGGCTCTGTCGCCCAGGCTGGAGTGCAGTGGCACGATCTTGGCTCACTGCAAGCTCCACCTCCCGGGTTCACGCCATTCTCCTTCCTCAGCCTCCAGAGTAGCTGGGACTACAGGCGCCCGCCACCACACCCGGCTAATTTTTTGTATTTTTAGTAGAGACGGGGTTTCACTGTGTTAGCCAGGATGGTCTCGATCTCCTGACCTTGTGATCCGCCTGCCTCAGCCTCCCAAAGTGCTGGGATTACAGGTGTGAGCCACCGTGCCCGGCCAGCTTAAGATATTTTCTGTCTACATTTTCAAGAAAAATTTGCTGACCCCTGATCTAGACCAAGGTCCAGACCCCAGCCTCAGGAAAAGCTAGACTTCCAATGTCACCCATTCGACCTTCACCAAGAGTGGCTCCATAGCAATGCCATCTTCCCCTTGCAGTACCCAGCGCCTCCCTGATATCTCGGCAGCACAGGAGGGTTCCAGGCCAGGGTGGGAGCCATTGAGATGCTCCTGAAATGTACTGTGAGGATGAGCAGATCTGGTCCAGCTTAATCTTCAAAGTTCTGAACTCTTATCCAAGGTGAAGGTGCCCCAGTGGCCTCACTGAGCCCAGGCGCAGGGATGGGTGGGCCACAGGCATGGGTTCATGCTTCCCTGAAAGGAGTTGAGGACGCTCATCTCAGGGCTGGGAGCTCTACTTGGTGCTTGGAGCACCAGTTGTCCCGAGCAGGTGGACTGAAGCTGGGAAAGCCCTTGGCCTCTGTCCCTTTCTTGGTCTTGATCCACGGCTACCCTGTGCCCACCAAGCTGCCATGTGCAGCCTGACCAAGGGCTGGGGCTCCGTCAGGGCAGCAAAAGCTAAGCCGGGGTTGACTGCCCAGCTCAGCAGGGCACGGAAGCAGGCTTGGGCTTCAGTCCAACACTTTTCCAGAGACAGCTACCGGCGTGGGGGCTGGATGGCCAGTGCTCCAGGCCTTTGCCCACATCATTTGTGGTGTCCCAGCCAAACCTGACTAACTGGGGCTGCATTTAGTGGCTTAGCACTCAGAGTCATCCTCCCTAAACCCCCCAGAGTAACTGGAAGCCCAGTTCATCTTCTGTCCTTGCTAGAGCAGGGCCCATGGGTGGCAGTGAGCCTTTTCCAGGGTGTGTCCACTCGGTGCCAGGATGCCAGTGTTGACGGTGCTTCGGGGATGGTGGGGACAGCCTCGGACCCCGCTGACAGTCACATTCCTTCAGACTGCATCTGAAAGTCACCTTGTCATCCAGATAGACAAACCCTCACCTCTGCACTGACTCTCCAGGGCTGGCGGCCAGTGTCCTGCCTGCTTTCCTGAAAGCCCGGAAAGATGCAGTTAGCAGAACAGCTCTTCAACGAATCAAGCGATAAAGAAGATAAGCGCCCTGCCCTCGCGGCACTTACAATATCATCTTCCATCCATGGCCTCAGGGGCGAGAGCGCAGCCTCTAGGCCGGGCAGTCTGGGATCAATTCCTGGCTCCTCCCTCACCCTCTGCAACCTTGGCCATGCTACTTGCAACCTCATGCTCCCTTTCCTCACTTGCAGTGAGGACAAGCTGAAGGGTTCAACGAGACGATGCTTCACGCACAGCGAGTGCATGGTAAGTGCCAGCAGCAGTCACTCATACTCTGCCTGCCTGATCCCCTGGGGCTGCATGGCCCCATCCTGCTGAACCTTCCCGAAGGAGACCCTCGGCTTCCCCTCCTCCTGCCTGAGGGGACTCTGCAGAGGGTGGGGGCTCAGAGTCCCCTGGGCTGAGCTCAGGCCCCATACCTCTGGTCCTCTCCCGGATATTTCCAAATGCCAGTTCTGCTGCCAGGATCTCCGCCCCCGCCAAGACTGGCTCCAGGGACTGAGGGCGCTGACATGCTCTGGGTTCAATCCCAAAGCACCCCCGAGAGCCTTCCCACACCTACCAGGGGCCAATGAGCTTCATCCCAGAGTGGGAGAAGCACCCGGCCTCAGGAGTCAGGCCCAGAGGAGGCTTTTTCCTCCCTGCTCCCAACACGTGTCTTAGGATACCCACCAGGGGACCCACCCACCTTGCCCCTCCCCTCCAGGCTAAGCCCCAGGCATCATCCATCTCAGACCCAGTCCTGCCTGTCCCAGACCCAGTCTCCAAGGTTCTAGCACCCTCCTGAGGCAACACCAAAGAGTGCAGAAGCGAGGACAGCTCCCCTAAAGAAAGAGACATGCAGCTTCAGCCTGGAGGGGACCCAGAGCAGCAGAGCTGCACCGCCCCCCACCTTCCTCCTTGAACACATGTTTCCTGGGCACCTACTATGTGCCAGGCATGGCTGAAGGCACTGGGGACGCAGAGGGAAGAAGACAAAGTCCCCGCGCTTTGGAGCTTGCGTTTTATCTACTTCTCCATGTGGAGGAAGACTGTCAATAAGTGTTCACAGGAAAAAGGGTGTCAGTCCCTCTCTCTGTGTTGGAAAAACTACCCAGAATTATTTCTATAATCACCCCCTGCTGTCTTAGGCTGGGTCTCTCAAAAGGCAGAGCCCAAGACGAGGCTTGTATGCAGTGGCTTGTTTTGGGGAGTGGTTCCAGGGCACGGGAGTGGAGGATGATGGAGAGTGGGACAGGGCAGGAGGACGAGCCCCTCCGAGGTGCGTCATCGGGCTGGCATCTAGGGACTTCTGAGGAGCCAGGTGGGACAGAGGAGAGGGGACTGTATGTCCTGCCTCCCACCCCATCACTCAAGGGCTCATGACTGCTGACGCCCTGCACTCCAGGTCTCATCTGAGACCACCAGGGAGGTTCCAGCAGGTGATCTGTGCTAGAGAGGCCTCAGGGCAGAAACTGATAGCCACAGGTGTTCTGAGGCAGGGGCTGTCAAGTGTCACCAGTGGGAAGCTGATTGTGGCAGCCGTGGCTGGAGACCAGGCGGGCAGAGAGCGTGGGGTGTATCAAGGGGCGGCAGGCCCGGGGTCTCCACACGCCCCATCTTCCTGATGTTCCTCTTTCCTTTTTTTTTTTTTTTTGGGGGGGACGGAGTCTCTGCCACCCAGGCTGGAGTGCAGTGGCACAATCTCAGCTCGCTGCAACCTCCACCTCCTGGGTTCAAAGCGATTCTCCTACCTGAGCCTCCTGAGTAGCTAACACTCGCCACCACGCCCAGCTAACTTTTGTATTTTTAGTAGAGATGGGGTTTCACCATGCTGGCCAGGCTAGTCTCGAACTCCGGACCTTAAGTGATCCACACACCTCAGCCTCCCAAAATGCTGAGATTACAGGCATGAGCCACCATGTCCAGCCTGTTTGTTTATTTCTTTTCAGAGACAAAATCTTGCTCTGTTGCCTAGGATGGGGTGCAGTGGCACAATCACGGCTCACTGCAGCTTCTACCTCTCGGGCTCAAGCGATCTTCCCACCTCAGCCTCCTGAGTTGTTGGGACCACAGGCACGCACAGCCACATACGGCTAATTTTTAAAACTTTTTGTCCTGGTGGGGTGGCTCACGCCTGTAATCCCAGCACTTTGGGAGGCCAAGGCAGTCGGATCACCTGAGGTCAGGAGTTTAAGACCAGCCAGGCCAACATGGTGAAACCCCGTCTCTACAAAAATACAAAAAAAATTAGCCAGGCATGATCGCGGGTGCCTGTAATCCCAGCTACTCCGGAGGATGAGGCGGGAGAATCACTTGAACCCAGGAGGTCTCAAAAAAAAAATAAACAAATAAAAAGAACTTTTTCATAGAGACCGGGTCTTGCTGTGTTGCCCAGGCTAGGAGGCCCAGGTTTTTAAGTTAAAAAGACAGAGGCAGTTCCTAAGTTGTTTACCAAGAATTTACAATAAAATAACATAAGTTATCAACTGGCTGTACATTGTTCTTTGTATCACAAATCCCAGGAACATGAACATAATGAGTGAGGCAGGAAACAGGAATGAAATGCCTTTAAACAATTGCGCGGGTGGGGTGTGGCTGCAGGTGTGAGGGTCGCTGGAGTTTCATGATCACATCTCCCTGAGCCTGATGAATTTTTCAGACTTTGCACAGCTAAGACTTCTCTGAGCTACTTTTCTTTGCTCATTTCCCTCCTTTTCATCAAGATCTTTCAAAAAAAGCAGCATCTCAAGTGAACTCATTTTCACTCCTTAGTCTTAGCCTTGTATCTCTAGGAAGGCTCCTCCCTGGCTGGTCCCGTCTGATGCTGTGGGATGCCGGGGGAGAATACATCTCAAAGAGGAATTTTAAGAGCACCAAAAGCCAAATTAGGATGGCATTGCAGGGTGGCAAAAATGAGACCTCCGTCTGATTTATATACCTGCTGTCACTTCGTCTCTAGTGTTCAGAATACAATGAGCGTAGTTTTCTCGGGAGTAAAACAGGCCAGGTGTGGTGGTTCACACCTGTAATCCCAGGACTTAGGGAGGCCAAGGTGGATGGATTGTTTGAGCTCAGGAGTTTGAGACCAGCCTGGGCAACATAGTAAAACCCTGTCTTTACAAAAAAGTACAATAATTAGCCGGGAGTTGTGATGTGTGCCTGTAGTCTCAGCTACTCGGGAGGCTGAGGTAGGAGGATCCCTTGAGCTCAGGAGGCGGAGGCTACCGTAAGCCAAGATCACACCACTGCACTCCAGCCTGGGTGACAGAGCCAGACTCTGTCTCTTAAAAAAAAAAAAAATGGAGGGGTGTATATAAAAATCACAACCGGCCAGACGCGGTGGCTCATGTCTGTAATCCCAGCACTTTGGGAGGCTGAGGCAGGCAGATCACCTGAGGTCAGGAATTCGAGATCAGCCTGGCCAACATGGTGAAACCCCATCTCTACTAAAAGTGCAAAAATTAGCCAGGTGTCGTGGTGGACACCTGTAGTCCCCGCTACTCAGGAGGCTGAGGCAGGAGAATCGCTTGAACCAGGGAAGCAGAGGTGGCAGTGAGCTGAGATCGTACCACTGCACTGCACTCCAGCCTGGGCGACAGAGCAAAACTCTACCTCAAAAACAAAAAAAGAATCACAACCAAAGAATTTGTATGTCAGAATGACAACAAAAACCTATTCTATCAGGGAATCAACTAAAAACATCAGGAAGAAAATTAAAACCCAGTCCTTCTTTAGAGACTTGTGGCCAGGAAATAATTCAAGATTTAGTCAAAATTGTAGGAAAACAATAAAATCTCAAAAACAATGGTCAGGGCTGGAATCTAATAACAGATGTGCCACAGTTTGCTTTTTAAAGATTGATTCTCTCTCACTCTCCAGTTCTGCATTTCTATCAAAAGAAATCTTAGTAGGGCTGATTTTGTTGCCAAATAAGTTTTAGTATTATACTTGGCCTGATTATTTGTAAAAAGTGCAATGAGAATAGTGAATGGCCATACAGGCTCTTTTAAATTGGCTTTGCTGGAGCTTTTTCATGAAGAATCTCAGGTTGGACTTTTGAAAGCCTCCCCAGGCTTTGAAGCCAACCCATGGATTCATGATCAGCCTGTGCCTGTAGTACCTGTATGAATTGGGTGAATTCCTCTCTTCTCAAGGTCCCAAATATCTTGAGGTTCCTGGGCTTGTCAGAAAGTGACATTCTTTCCTTACCACAATGTAGGGTCCAGCCCTACAGGGCCTATGGGTTTTTCTCTTCGTGTGCGGAGACGAGAGATTGTAGAAATAAAGACACAAGACAAGGAGATAGAAGAAAAGACAGCTGGGCCTGGGGGACCACTACCACCAAGACGCGAAGGCCCAAATGCCTGGCCGCGCTGATAATTATTGTATACAAGGCAAGAGGGCAGGGTAAGGAGCGTGAGTCATCTCCAATGTAAAGTCCAATGTAAGGGTAAGGTCACGCGAGTCATGTGTCCACCGAACGGGGCCATTCCCTGTTTGGTAGCCGAGGCGGAGAGAGAGAGGGGACAGCTTACGTCATTATTTCTTCTATGCATTTCTCGGAAAGATCAAAGACTTTAATACTTTCACTAATTCTGCTACTGCTATCTAGAAGGCGGGGCCAGGTGCACAGAGCGGAACATGAAAGTGGACCAGGATCGTGACCACTGAAGCACAGCATCACAGGGAGACATTTAGGCCTCCGGATGGCTGCGGGCAGGCCTGGCTGATGGCAGGCCTTCCACAGGAGGTGGTGAAGCAGAGTGTTCTCTAACTCCCTGGGGGAAAGGGAGACTCCCTTTCCCAGTCTGCTAAGTAACAGGTGCCTTCCCAGGCACTGGCGTTACTGCTAGACCAAGGAGCCCTCTAGTGGCCCTTGTGCGGGCTTGACAGAGGGCTCACATTCTTGCCTTCTGGTCACTTCTCACCGTGTCCCTTCAGCTCCTAATTCTGTATGGCCTGGTTTTCCTTAGGTAATAAGTATAGAACAGGTAATAATTATAGAACAGAGATTAATATAATAAAGAGTAATGCTACAAACTAATGATTGATAATATTCATATATAATCATGTCTATATTCTATTTCTAGTATAACTATTCTTATTCTAATTATTTTCTTTATTATGCTGGAAGAGCTCATGCCTTCCGTCTCTTGCCTCGGCACGTGGGTGGCTTGCCGCCCACACCACAAGGTCAGGAAGCTTGTAAGGGAACCATAAAAACCAGGTACCAGACCAATCTCTCCAAGGGACTTTTTACTGGCTCTATAAAATCAGCCTCAACTCCTCAAAACAGTCTGGCTGTATCTGAAAATATGCCAGTACAGTCAAAGCCTTGGTAAAATTACGAGTGTCTTCAGTGTGCCCAGTTACAAAAGAAAACATAGTCTTACTGAACTTATGCAAATAACTGTATTGCAATAAAATAAGAATCGTCACAAATAGTGTCCAAATTTTGGAGAAATCAGGTAGAGAGAAAGGTAAATATTTCAATTTTGCTCACAAAAGTATACTTTGCCCAATGGCTGTGAGTTATAAATAGCTCAAAAGAAAAAGTTTTCTTGTTTCTAGAAAACAAAATATAAAAAGAATCAGCAACGTTTCAAACAAACAAAAGTCATAAAAATCATTTTAGTCCCCTATCGGTTCTGTCCTACGTAATTAATTCTCGTTCTGCTTGATGTTGTGTTCACAATCTTCATGAATGCATCAGTTCTTTATTAGGGTTCTGGAAGTTTTTACTTAGTTCAGTGGTATGATCTCTAAAGTTACCAGAGCAGGGTGCGGTAGCTCGTGACTGTGGTCCCAGTGTTACCAGATGGAAAGTCTTGACTGTGAGTTGTCCAGGTTCTTGGCGTGTTGAACAAAGAACTGAACAAAATGCACAAAGCAACAGAAGATGAAAGCATAGATGTATTAAAGCAAAAGTACGCTCCACAGAGTGGGAGCAGGCTCAAGCAGCCCCAATTACAATATGCTTCAGGGTTTTTATTAAGCCAAAAGAATTTGGTAACACCATAGGTGCCCTGCAGAGGCTTCCAATTGGTTACACCCTGTAAGCGATTGGCCCGTGACCAATCAGAGGCTGAAGTGCAGACCCTGCCTGTGGTCAATCGGAGGCAGAAGTGGAGACTCCTGTCTTGTTATCACAGGAGTGAGGACGTGGCCTGCGTGCTGCCTAATCTTGCCTAGAACTGGCTGCCCCTGCTGTTTTTTGCTTATGCCTTAACCCTTTGTTACCCTAATTCCCTGTTCTCCTATCTTACCAGCACTTTGGAAGGACAAGGCAAAAGGATCACCTGAGGTCAGGAGTTTGAGACCAGCCTGAGTGACACAGAAAGACTGTACAAAAAATTTAAAAATTAGCCAAGCGTGATGGTGCATGCCTGTAGTCCCAGCTACTCGGGAGGCTAGGGTAGGAGGATTGCTGGAGCCCAGGAGGTTGAGGCTGCAGTGAGACATGTTCACACCACTGCAGTCCAGCCTGGGTGACAGAGTGAGACCCTGTCTCAAAAAACATACACAAGCAAACAAATATTTAATTAATAAATAAATTTACTGGAAACCTATACTCAAGAGTACTTTTCAGCATCGTTTTCTGTGAATTTCCTTAAGAAGCAAATTTTGGACTGTAGCTGATTATAAACTAATTTTTGAGAATCAAAGTAAAACAATAATTGTCTGTGGATGACAAAAAACTTAGACTAGCCATGGTTAAAGATGCAACTGACAAGGAAACTTGGTTATTTCTGTGACATACAAAAATTTAACAACATTATCACTGAAAACATATACCGAGACATGTCATTTTAAGAATCTCATACAATTTTGGAACACATATTAATAACACATTTATAGAAATATAACTCAAAGAAAGTTAAACACCAGCTGGGCGTGGTGGCTTATGCCTGTAATCCCAGCACTTTGGGAGGCCAAGGCGAGTGGATCACGAGGTCTGGTGTTCGAGACCAGCCTGATTAACATGGCAAAACCCCATCTCTACTAAAAATACAAAAATTAGCTGGGTGTGATGGGGTGCGCCTGTAATCCAGCTACTCAGAAGGCTGAGGCAGGAGAATTGCTTGAACCTGGGAGGTGGAGGTTGCAGTGAGCCGAGATTGTGCCACTGCACTCCAGTCTGGGCGACAGAACGAGACTCCATCTCAAAAAAAAGAAAGTTAAACACCATTTCTTATTTGACAATGCTCCGTATATGATTTTAACATACCAAATAAGCCCAGTATTTCTCTCTTGGACTTCCAAGGGCTCCTATTTCTTGTGTCCAAGATAGTTCAGATAAAAAAAGACTTAATTAACTTTGGGAAATATGTCAAAAATTTTTCTAAATTTGAAATTTAAATTAGGTGCCCAGGTGTGGTGGCTCACCCCTGTAATCCCTGCACCTTGGGAGGCTGAGGCGGGTGGATCACTTGAGGTCAGGAGTTCAAAACCAGCCTGGCCAACATGGTGAAACCCCGCCTCTACCAAAAATACAAAAATTAGCCAGCCATGTTGGTGTGCACCTGTAGTCCCAGCTACCAAGAGGCTGAAACAGGAGAATCATTTGAACCCAGGAGGCAGAAGTAGCAGTGAGCTGAGATCACGCCACTGCACTCCAGCCTGGGCAACAGAGTGAAACAACTGTCTCAAAAAAAACAAAAATTTTGAAATTTAATTTTTGGAAGTATGTCAAATATTAAAGGTTCAAAACACTTGATATTAAAATAAGTAAGGTTTGGCCGGGCACAGTGGCTCACGCCTGTAATCCCAGCATTTTGGGAGGCCGAGGCGGGCGGATCACGACGTCTGGAGATCGAGACCATCCTGGCTAACACGGTGAAACCCCATCTCTACTAAAAATACAAAAAAATTAGCCGGGCGTGGTGGCGGGCGCCTGTAGTCCCAGCTACTCAGGAGGCTGAGGCAGGAGAATGGCGTGAATCTGGGAGGTGGAGCTTGTGGTGAGCCGAGATCGCGCCACTGCACTCCAGCCTGGGCAACAAGAGCAAGACTCCATCTCAAAAAAAAATTAAATAAATAAATAAAATAAGTAAGGTTTAAAACACATAATCAAAATAGGATACAGGTTACTATAAAATAAAAGTCATTAATTTAGGCCAGGTGCAGTAGCTCATGCCTGTGATTCTAGCACTTTGGGAGGCAAGGCAGAAGGATCACTTGAGCCTAGGAGTTTGAGAACAGCCTGGGCAACATAGTGTGACTCTGATTCTATAAAAACAAAAAAGTCAAATATTAGCCAGCCTTGCTAATATTTAAAATTTTTTTTAAATAGAGACAGGGTCACACTATGTTGCCCAGGCTAATATTATTAGCTAATCGGGAGGCTGAGGCAGAAGGATCCCTGGAGCCCAGGAGCTTGAGGCTGCAGTGAGCTATGATCTTGCCACTGCACTCCAGCCTGGTGACAAAGTGAGCCCCCATCTCTAAGAAAAAATATTTTTTTTTTTGAGACGGAGTCTTACTCTGTCACCCAGGATAGAGTGCAGTGGTGCGATCTTGGCTCACTGCAACCTCCACCTCCCGGGTTCAAGTGATTCTCCTGCCTCAGCTTGCCTGTAATTCCTGAGTAGCTGGGATTACAGGCATGCACCACCATGCCCAGCTAATTTTTGTGGAGACCAGGTTTCACCATGTTGGTCAGGCTGGTCTTGAACTCCTGACCTCAAGTGATCCACCTGCCTCGTCCTCCCAAAGTTCTGGGATTACAGGCGTGAGCCACTATGCCTGGCCTCTAAGAAAATTTTTTTAAAAAGTTATTAATTTAGCCAAAATGATAACTCAAAGATTTCAAAAAGCAAAAAACTTTACTCTTGGATTAGAGAGGAGACTCAGTTTCCTAAACAATTTAAATACCCAATAAAGATAGCCTGAGGCAAACTCTCCCACTCATTTTTTTTTTTTTTTGCAGTTTATTCAAAAGGTAAACAAATCTTTCACTATCTCTTTTTTTTTTTTTTTGAGATGGATTCTTGCTCTGTCAGCCAAGATAGAGTGCAGTGGTGTGATCCCGGCTCACTGCAACATCCGCCTCCCAGGTTCAAGAGATTCTCCTGCCTCAGCCTCCCGAGTAACTGGGATTACAGGTACCCGCCACCACGCCCGGCTAATTTTTGTATTTTTAGTAGAGATGGGGTTTCACCATGTTAGTCATGCTGGTCTCGAGCTCCTGACCTCGTGATCCGCCAGCCTCGGCCTCCCTAAGTGCTGGGATTATAGGCATGAGCCACCGCGCCCGGCCTAGTATCTCTTATTAATACAACGCTAAATTCTTGTTCAAAGGAGAAAACCAAATTTTACCTTATACTAATGTATTATCAATATGAAAGCCAATTTTAATAAAATATTACAAACAAATTCAACCAATCTCAGTCAGCTTTGACCACACAAGGTAAGATTTCCATAAATCTTTCTTTACCTCTTGGGATTTTCTATTAAAGAGCAGGTCACTGCTGAGCGAAAACCCTGTTGTTCCGACACAGGCTCAGCCTCTGGCCTTGCATCAGTGCTTTTGATATTAATGCTCGCTTTTTAGAAAAACTTATAAATAATTCCCTTCCAATTTTAACCAACTTGATCACACACAAAATTTCTCTCATGAGATTAATCTCCTGTAAATCTACGACTTGCTTAAACCTTCAGTTTTATCCTATACTCCCTTTTTTATGTTAGCATTCAATCTTAGAACAAAAATTTACCTTACTTTCCCCCTTGTCAGTTTTTGGTTTTTCTGTTTGAGATGGAGTCTCGCTGTGTCTCCCAGGCTGGAGTGCAGTGGCACAATCTCGGCTCACGGCAACCTCCACCTCCTGGGTTCAAGCGATTCTCATGCCTCCACCTCCTGAGTAGCTGGGATTACAGGTGTGTGCCACCATGCCCAGCTCATTTTTGTATTTTTAGTAGAGACAGTGTTTCACCATGTTTGCCAGGCTGGTCTCGAACTCCTGACCTCAAGTGACCCACTCGCTTTGGCCTCCCAAAGTGCTGGGATTACAAGCGTGAGCCACCATGCTCGACCTATTTTCCCCCTTGTCAGTTTAACCACACAGAGTTTTCTCATGCAAAAGAAAAGCATATTCCCTCTTTTCAACTTATTTACCAAAAACACATTTTTTTTTCTAGACCAGTTCTCACTCTGTCACCCAGGCTGGAGTGCAGTGACATGATCATAGCTCACTGCAGCCTCAAACTCCTGGGCTCAAGCAATCCTCCTGCCTCAGCCTTCCAACCAAAAACATGTCTTACTTTCTGTATACACTCTATAGATAGAATTGTTTCTGTTATAGTTAGTATTTTTACTTACATATATTAACTAAAATTTTAAGTCTTTTTTTTTTAATGGAGTCTCGCTTTGTCACCAGACTGGAGTGCAGTGGTGCAACCTCCATTCACTGCAACCTCTGCCTCCCAGGTTCAAGCAATTCCCCTGCCTCAGCCTCCCAAGTAGCTGGGACTACAGGCATGCGCCACCATGCCCGGCTAATTTTTTTGCGTATTTTAGTAGAGATGGGGTTTCACCATGTTGGCCAGGATGGTCTCGATCTCCTGACCTCGTGATCCACCCACCTCGGCCTCCCAAAGTGCTGGGATTACAGACGTGAGCCACTGCACCCTGCCAAATTTTAACTCTTAGTAATCCTAATTTGCAGTGAAAAACCTAGGAAGTATGTCATTTTAAACTGTTTCTTTCTGTTTGTTTGTTTTTGAGACGGAGTCTTGCTCTGTCGCCCAGGCTGGAGTGCAATGGCGTGATCTCAGCTCACCACAACCTCTGCCTCCCAGGTTCAAGCGATTCTCCTGACTCAGCCTCCTGACTAGCTGGGATTACAGGCGCCCACCACCATGCCTGGCTAATTTTTGTATGTTTTTAGTAGAGACGGGGTTTCACCATGTTGGCCAGGCTGGTCTCGAACTCCTGATCCGAGTGATCCACCCGCCTCGGCCTCCCAAAATGCTAGGATTACAGGTGTGAGCCACCGTGCCCGGCCTTAAACTGTTTTATACCGGTATTTGTAGATGAAAACCATTTCATAATATTTTTAGAAAAATGTTTTATTGGTTTTTTGTTTATTAACAGATCTAAATATATTTAGTTTTTCTATACCATATAAACAACTCAGACATTTTATGATGATGAATTACTTAATATGTCGTTAACATAACGGCATTAAGTTTCTGCAAAAGATGTTTGAAACTATGAAAAGTTCCTTTTTAAACTTTTACCCCATTGACATTTATTTAATTTATTCATTCTCAACAATTATGCTTGAATATTTCAATAAACAAAGCTCACCATCCTCCTAAGTTCTTTCTTTCTTAATCATTTTTATAGCCTTCAAATGTTAGGCAGTCATCACCTAAGAGCTCTGTTGAATGTTGGCATTCAACTTTCGAACATAAATTTACTTTACTTTCCCCCTTGTCAGTTTTTGGTTTTTTGTTTGAGAAGGAGTCTCGCTCCATCTCCCAGGCTGGAGTGCAGTGGCGCAATCTCAGCTTACATACATGGGTATTTTGCTGATCAGAAGACAGAGCTGGTTTTTTGGTTTGTTTTGTTTTTTGTTTTCTTATTCTCTCTGAGAGCTGTTTTTATTAAGCCAACTATCTTATTATAGCTGCAAATGGGTTCCAATCCACATTTCTGTCCAGCCACATTCCAGGATCTCACCTTTTTGAGACAGGATCTTTTTGTGTCATCCAGGCTGGAGTGCAGTGGCATGATCATGGCTCACTGAAGCCTCAGTCTCCTGGGCTCAAGCTATCCTCCTACCTCAGCCTCCTGAGTAACTGGAATTACAGGTGCACACCACTGTGCCTGGCTAATTTTTTTTTTTTTTTTTTGGTAGGGACACAATCTCGCTATGTTGCCCAGACTGGTCTTAAACTCCTGGGTTCAAGTGATCCTCTAGCCTCGGCCCCCTAAAGTCCTGGGTTTATAGGCATGAGCCACCATGCCCAGCCAAGCCAACAATATTGAACTAGTCTTATTTACCAAAAATGTACCCAAGTCATGTGAACTAAAAGATTTTTGAGTTAGTTTCTGTTTTCCTGATGAAACATTTGATTAAAACACTTTCTTTTACCGTAAGCTAATTAATTGGAGCTCTTTCATATATTTTGGCGGTGAAATATCACAAACACATGACATATAAAAATATATAGACGTGGTCGGGTGCGGTGGCTCATGCCTGTAATTCCAGCACTTTGCGAGGCCGAGGCGGGCTGATCACAAGGTCAGGAGTTCGAGACCAGCCTGGCCAATATGGTGAAACACCATCTCTACTAAAAATACAAAAATTAGCCAGGCGTGGTGGCACACATATGTAGTCCCAGCTACTCAGGAGGCTGAGGCAGAAGAATCAATTCAACCCGGGAGGCAGAGGTTGCAGTGAGCCGAGATCGCTCCAGCCTGGACGACAGAGTGAGACTCTGTCTCAAAAAGAAAAATCTATATATCTATATATAGATATAGAGGTGTAAAGACACACAGAAGAAGCAGAGTTTTTGATTTTGGTTTTGGGGTTTTTTGTTTTTTGTTTTCGGTTTTTTGTTTGTTTGTTTGTTTGTTTGTTTGTTTGTTTTTGAGATAGAGTCTTGCTCTGTCACCCAGGCTAGAGTGTAGTGGTGCAATCTTGGCTCACTGCAACCTCTGCCTCCCCAGGGTTCAAGTAATTCTCCTGCCTCAGCCTCCTGAGTAACTGGGATTACAGGCGTGCACCACCGTGCCTGGCTAATTGTTTTTTTTTGTTGTTGTTGTTGTTGTTTTGAGATGGAGGTTTGCTCTTATTGCCCAGGCTGGAGTGCAATGGCATGATCTTGCCTCACCGCAACCTCCACATCCCAGGTTCAAGTGATTCTCCTGCCTCAGCCTCCCAAGTATCTGGGATTACAGGCACCCACCATCATGCCTGGATAATTTTTGTATTTTTAGTAGAGACGGGGTTTCACCATGTTGGCCAGGCTGGTTTCGAACTCCTGACCTCAGATGATCCATCTGCCTTGGCCTCCCAAAATGCTGGGATCACAGGCATGAGCCACCGTGCCCGGTCTTAGCTTGTTTCTTGATCACATAACTGACTTCAGGGTGAAGCTTATTAAAGAGCTTCACCCTGAAGCAAAGAAAGCATTCTCCATGCCTGGACTCAGCATGGATAGCTCTGAAAAAGAAGAAAGGCTACTTTACCTGAAGGCCTATCATTTATGAACATTTAATTCACCTTAAAAAAAAAAAGTTCCTTTTCAAGTGACTCACCAAAACCAGTAACCCTTAACCAAGGTTATGACTTAGCCAAGAACACACAAGACATCTCCAAAGAAGTGCAAAGTGATCCTCACGAGATCCAGAACCACCCTAAAGACAGCTCAAAGAAGGAAAAGTCTCACTGTTACTGGAAAGGGGTCCCGATCGAGACCCAGGAGAGGGTTCTTGGATCTCACGCAGGAAATAATTCAGGGTGAGTCCATAGAGTAAAGTGAAAGCAAATTTGTTAAAAAAGTAAAGGAATAAAAGAATGGCTACTCCATAGACAGAGCAGCCCCGAGAGCTGCTAGTTGCCCATTTTTATGGTTATTTCTTGATGATATGCTAAACAAGGGGTGGATTATTCATGCCTCCTCTTTTTAGACCATATGGGGTAACTTCCTGACGTTGCCATGGCATTTATAAACTGTCACGGTGCTGATGGGAGTGTAGCAGTGAGGACGACCAGAGGTCACTCTCGCCGCCATCTTCGTTTTGGTGGGGTTTGGCCGGCTTCTTTACTGCAAACTGTTTTATCAGCAAGGTCTTTATGACCTGTATCTTGTGCCAACCTCCTATCTCATCCTGTGACTCAGAATTCCGTAACCGTCTGGGAATGCAGCCCAGTAGGTCATTCAAGATGGAATTGCTCTGGTTCAAATGCCTCTGACATCACAAGCTGCAAATGGAGCGTGACCCACATTTCTGTCCAGCCATATTCCAGGATGTCACCTTCTCAGCCGACCACCTATGCATAAAGGCTCAAAATCCCCATATGCCCCACAGATGGGAAAAAACAGGAAATCGGAAGCTGCCCATGGGAAGGACGAGGACCAATAACAAATGGCTACCCAAAAGGTGAAGAGTCACTCCAATAATTTAAAACAAACAAGACTGGTTCCCTGACCAGGAGTCCAACCCGGGCTGCCGCTGTGAATGCCCGGAATCATAGCCACCAGATCCCATTGCTTTGTGAGGCCTGCAGCAGAAGCAAAGCAGGCAGTTTGAACATGTAAAGGATTTTAACTTGTTTCAGATCTGATCTCAACTAGAACATGGCTTAGCCAATTCCCTGGAAGTTAACATTTCAAATACCTGGTAAGATTTACATCTCCAAGGGACTGTGAAGTCCAGCAGGGCTTTTAAAGGGTATTGTCCGATATTGGGTCAATAAATCATCAGTGTCATTCATTCATCCTTGTTTAGAGAAAAAAAAATGTTGGATCTGTATTTTATAATGTTAGTAAGTCATTCTCATTGTGAAGTGGTTCCATTTGTTTCCTTTGTTCCAAATTTAGACACATTCCCCCCTTTGGAGAGAAGGAAATGTGTGTATTGTGGAATTCCAAAAATCTCTGCCTGAGAGATGTATGGGAGCCGAGGGAACTAGCAGAGAGAGGTGAGTTCAGATCGCAGGGGAGAGGACGAAGGGGCAGCTGGAGGAGAAAGAGAAAAAGCCTCCGAAGTCTTTCTTAATTTAGAACTAGTTTCAAATATCCTTTTGTTTACCTCTTGAATGGAGGCAATTTTTTCTCTCAGAATGTCTTTTAGAAGCTTCTAGGTGCTATTGGAAGTAAGTCGCTCATTCCATTTGTTTAGTTCTTTTTTTTGGAGACAGAGTCTCGTGCTGGAGTACAGTGGTGTGATCTTGGCTCACTGCAACCTCTGCCTCGCGGGTTCAAGCAATTCTCCTGCCTCAGCTTCCTAAGTAGCTGGGATTACAGGCGACTGCCACCACGCCCGGCTAATTTTTGTATTTTTAGTAGAGATGGGGTTTTGCCATGTTGGCCAGGCTGGCCTCAAACTCCTGACCTTAAGTGATCCGCCCGCCTCTGCCTCCCAAAGTGCTGGGATTACAGGCGTGAGCCACCACGCCCGGCCCCATTTGTCTGCTCCTAAAACCAGCTTTTTCCAGTTGTGCATGCAGATGAACTCATGTAGGCATTTCAAAGTCCTCCATTTTGGCCATTATAAGCTGGGTCATCACAAGTTATGCATGACCAGTTTTCTAAATATTTGCATGAAGAGGCGCGCCACAGTGTTAAACACAAATCCAGCCTATGTTTTCATGTGGATCTTGCCTTCAGGAGGAACACTCAGTTTTAGACCATTGAACCGAGCCTCAGAACCTGGCCAGTTTGAAAGATTACAGATTTGACACTGAAGCCACAAAGATTTCACTTTCTCTTTTCGGAGAGAAACTATTTTCTCCCTGATCAAAATTTGAAATGAGAAAAAAGGTTGCAAATTCTAATGAGTAAGACAAACAAAATCTTAACCTCGGAGAAAACTGAAAATTATGAATATGTGATCAGCAGAGTCTCTAGAGAATAACAGATGAAACTCCCACCTCTCAGTAGAGTTTTGACTCCAACCCCACCGAGTAAAGAATATGTGTAGCTTGAAGCAAGTCTGAATTCACAACCAAACCTGGGAGGAATTCGGCCCTGAGAGGGGCCTTATTAGAAATCCTTGCTGGCTTGGGCAAAGTAAAGTGAGTAAGTTGCTCATGCTGGTACCAAGGCTCTGGTTGCTGGGGAAGCGGTGGGATCGCTGGAGGCTCCCTTCAGGTTCCATCTGGGGTGCAAAATGTCGACTTTAAATAACAAGATTCAGGCCAGCACAATGGCTCACGCCTGTAATCCCAGCACTTTGGGAGGCCAGGGCAGGTGGATCACAAGGTCAGAAGTTCAAGACCAGCCTGGCCAAGATGATGAAACCCCGTTTCTACTAAAAGTACAAAAATTAGCTAGGTGAGGTGGCAGGAGCCTGTAATCCCAGCTACTCGGGAGGCTGAGGCAGGAGAATCGCTTGAACCTGGGAGGCAGAGGTTGCAGTGAGCCGAGATTGCGCCATTGTACTCCAACGTGGGCAACAGAGTGAGACTGTCTCAAAAAAACAAACAAACAACAACAACAACAACAAAAACAAGATTCAGAAAATATTATTAAGTATAGAGTCTAAAGCCTGAGGGTGGCCGCCTGGGAGCACAGACTCAAGTTGCCCTAAATGTACACTCTGATTAGCAGCAGTTAGAAGCTGGTTTTTAAGGAAAAAGAAAAGAGGCAATCCCTAAGTTGTTTACCAGAATTTTTTTTTTTTAGAGGAGGTTTTCACTCTATTGCCCAGGCTGAAGTGCAGTAGCATTACATCGGCTCACTGCAACCTTCACCTCCCAAGCTCAAGCAATCCTTCCACTTCAGCCTCCCCAGTAGCTGGGACTACAGGCGTACAACACCACGCCTGGCTAATTTGTGTATTTTTTGTAGAGATGGGTTTTGCCATATTGGCCACGCTGGTCTTGAACTCCTGGACTCAAGTGATCCACCTGCCTCGGCCTCCCAAAGTGCTGGGATTACAGGCATGAGCCACCATACCCAGCCCCTTTACCAGGAATTGACATTAAAATAATAGGAGTTATTGCAAGCTACTTGGGAGGCTGAGGTGGGAGGATCACTTGAGGATCACAGGAGTTTGAGGCCAGCCTGGGCAACATAGTGAGACCCTATCTCAGTAAAATAACATAAGCTATTGATTGGCTATACATTGTGCTTTGTATCACAAATTCCAGGAGCATGAAGATAATGGGTGAGGCAGCTAGTCAGTCAAAATGCCTTTATATGATTACCTCCAGGCAGGGGGTATGCAACTGAAGTCCACATCCATGTCTCTCCCGGCCTGATTCATTCGTGCACCTCACGTAGGTCAGACTGCTCTGAGGGATTTTTCTTTTCTCAAACACTAAGCTGGTATCTGGAGAGTCAGAGAAGTGGTTGCTGGTATTGGAAAACACCCCAGTTTATCTTTGATTTTCTTTTTCTCTTTTTTCTTTTTTTTTTTTTTTTTTGAGACAGAGTCTTACTCTGTCGCCCAGGCTGGAGTGCAGTGGCATGATCTCGGCTCACTGCAAGCTCTGCCTCCCAGGTTCACACCATTCTCCTGCCTCAGCCTCCTGAGTAGCGGGGACTACAGGCGCCCATCACCATGGCTGGCTAATGTTTTGTATTTTTAGTAGAGACGGGGTTTCACCATGTTAGCCAGGATGGTCTCGATCTCCTGACCTCGTGATCCGCCCACCTCAGCCTCCCAAAGTGCTGGAATTACAGGCGTCAGCCACCGCGCCCGGCCTGCATCTTTGATTTTCAGAAAACATATGATCCCTTAGGCCTCCTGCCCATTGCAGATTTACTTAGAGCTCAGTCTGAACCCCAATTCCCAGGCCTAGGCAGCTCAAGGCCACTTCCCTCCTCTGCAACAGAGCAAACCAAGCCTGTAGCTTTCTCCCCTCCTCAGTCTCCATCATGGAGAGCCCACTTTCTCACTCCAGTCCTCCTGGGCATTGCAGGGAATCGGCCCGTGATGGAGAATCAGGGTGGGGCATGGACAGGAGGCGGCACCTGGCATAGCCCAGTCCTCCATCTCCTCCTGCTGGTGCCCTCCACCCCTGCCTGCCTGACCCCAGGAAAAGCTGTTCATGGGACATCCAGGCCCTGGGCATAGAGATGGCCCCTCTCTGTCCAAATCACCCACCAGCCTATCTCCAGTCTTCCCTTAGGATTTGTTTTTTTAATATACATATTTTAAATGGAGATGGGATCTCAGTGTGTTGCCCAGGCTCGTCTCAAACTCCTGGCCTCCCACCTCAGCTTCCCAAGGCACTGAAATTATAGGCGTGAGCCACAGTGCCTGTCCAGGAATTTTTGAGAAATAAGTTTTCTCCACTTCATTACATATTGTTTTTATAATGAGCAGTACAGGAAAAAGCTGGCCAAAGGCATCATCTGGGCACAGCAAAGAAGGCACAGAGGGCACCTGAGGTCTTCGTCAGCTAAGCATCCTTTGCCTCTTCCTTTGGTAACAGAACCTCTCTTTCTTGGAGGAACCAAATCCATGTGATTGAACTGAAAGTGACCACTTCTGCCAAGGGGATAGGAACTGCATTCTCCTAGCCAAAGTGATTATTCAGGGAGGGGCAGGACCCAGTGAGCCACGCCAATGAAAGGCAACCCCAGAACTCATCAAAGAAAGCCTTAAAGTGACTTGGCCATATTTGCCACCCTGCAGGTACAGGCTGCCTGAGAATGAAGCCACAGAGAAGTAAGCAGTGTAGAGAAAAAGAATGCTGGCTGGGTGCAGTGGCTCATACCTGTAATCCCAACATTTTGGGAGGCTGAGGCGGACAGACCACTTGAGGTCAGAAGTTCGACACCAGCCTGGCCAACGCGGTGAAACCCCGTCTCCACTAAAAATTCAAAAATTAGCCGGGCACCTGTAGTCCCAGCCACTCGGGAGGCTGAGGCACGAGAATTGCTCGAACCCGGGAGGCGGAGGTTTCAGTGAGCCGAGATCGCACCACTGCACTCCAGCCTGGACGACAGAGCAAGACTCTGTCTCAAAAAAAAAAAAAAAAAGAGAGACAGAGGGAGAAAAACAATGTTTCATGGGGAGGAAGAGTGAGAAATGATGAAGAATTTGATGGAGCTCCTGGATCCAACGTGCGTAAAGCAGAAGCATCCGTTATCTTCCAGTTAACTGAGTCAGCAAATTCGCCTTTGATTGGGTTTCTGCTGCTTTCAATCAAAATCAGCCCAATACAAGTCGAAGAGTGAGAATGAGGAGTGAGCCCCGCCCCTGCTGCTGTGTGTGGCACATTTGCAGGCTCTGGGAGACGCTGGTTAGAGTCAGGGACAGTCGACGCTGTGGACCCCGTAGCGTGGCCTCAGCAAGCTGGAGCTGGGCCCAGGCTTCCCAGAATGAACCAGTAATACAGCAGTCAGTGTGCCTCCCCGCCCTCCTTGATTCCTGAAATAACTGGTTAAATATAAATTGGCCCCACCCCACTGAAGTACTCAAGAAGGAGAAAAAACAACTTAGTGATAGCAGTGTAGTCTCCGTCGAGTGTTTCTGGGCGGCACATTCACTAGAAGTCACGCCAGTTGCAAGTCAGAAACCCGGTGCTGCATGGGGTATGCTGCGTGTTGCCAACAAGTGACTTATTTTATCATCTACATTGCAAACCTAGAAGATGCCTCTTCAAAAGGTGTTGTTCAGAGAACCCCTGATCCCGCGGGGCTGGAACATGGACGTGACAGGGATGGCATCCTTGGCATGGCAGAGAGAGCAGGGGGAGCCTGGGTCCCTAACACCACGGAGTGCCCATTGCTTCGTGCAGAGGACACCGGACTTGTTGCAGAGTGAAAACATACTTCTAGCTTGTTTCAGCTGCTGCGGTTGGGGGACTTTGTAACCTCAGTGGGACTTGTATCTGATTAATATACAACCTGAAGTGAGAACAAGAACCAAAGAGAAGTAGGAAATGGTTAGGATTTTTTTAGCCCCGGAAGGTGAATTTATTTCTGAAAACAATCTTTTGTTTTTCTTTAAATAAAAAGCGGCTTTTTAAAATAAAGAAACAGCCAAACTAAATACATGTTGGGCAAATATGTAAAGACTTTGGGCTGGGCGCAGTGGCTCATGCCTATAATCCCAGCATTTTGGGAGGCCAAGGCGGGCAGATCATTTGCGGTCAGGAGTTTGAGACCAGCCTGGCCAACATGGTGAAACGCTGTCTCTACTAAAAACACACAAAAAAGAGCCGGGTGTGGTGGCACACACCTGTAGTCTCAGCTACTCGGGAGGCTGAGGCAGGAGAATCACTTGAACCCAGGAGGCAGAGGTTGCAGTGAGCCGAGATCGCACCACTGCTCTCCAGCCTGGGTGACAGAGTGAGACCCCTCTCAAAAAAAAAAAAAAAAAAGACTTTGAAAGGGGCCAGTTGTGGTGGTTCACGCCTGTAATCCCAGCACTTTGGGAGGCCAAGGCAGGTGGATCACTTGAGCCCAGGAGTTCGAGACCAGCTTGGGCAACATGGCAAGACCCCATCTCTACCAAAAAAAAAAAAAAAAAAAAAAAAGACTTCAAAGGGACAATAAATTACTAGCCTATCTGTGTCCATATTTCATAGTCTAGTCCCTAATATTTAAAACAAATAGCCTTAAGACGATTTGTGTGCCATTATTATACACCCCTTAAGCATATAAAAAGGTAAAAACATGTTCAGTGTCATTAGGAAATGCAATTTTTTTTTTCAAGATGGAGTTTCACTCTGTCGCCCAGGCCAGAGTGCAGTGGTGTGATCTCTGCTTACTGCAACCTCCACCTCCCAGATTCAAGTGATTCTCCTGCCTCAGCCTCCCGGGTAGCTGGGATTACAGACATGTGCCACTATGCTCGGCTAATTTGTGTATTTTTAGTAAGGACGCGGTTTCACCATGTTGGCCAGGCTGGTCTCCAACTCCTGACCTCAGGTGATCTGCCTGCCTCAGCCTTCCAAAGTGCTGGGATTACAGGCATGAGCCACCATGCCCGGCCAGAAATGTAAATTAAAGCCACAGTGAAATATCACTGCACGCAGGGCACTAACAATTCCAACTGTTGGGCCAGGCGTGGTGGCTCACGCCTGTAATCCCAGCACTTTGGGAGGCTGAGACGGGTGGATCACGAGGTCAGGTGTTCAAGACCACCCTGGCCAAGATGATGAAACCCCGTCTCTACTAAAAATACAAAAATTAGCCGGGCGTGGTGGTGGGCACCTGTAGTCCCAGCTACTCAGGAGGCTGAGGCAGAGAATTGCTTGAACCCAGGAGGTGGAGGTTGCAGTGAGCTGAGATCGCACCACTGCACTCCAGCCTGGGCAACAGAATGAGGCTCCGTCTCAAAACAAAACAAAACAAAACAAAACAAAAAACAACAACAATTCCAACTGTCAACAGGAGGGAGAGCAACTGGAACTTCCATGCACTGCAGATGGGAGGGATTGTTAAACTGTTCAGCCACACTGAAAAACTGTATCAGCTGTAAAACTTCCAAGGTATATACTAGTGATAGGTGATTTTATGGGTTAAATTGGTCAGGCCCCAACACCCAAGTATCTGGTCAAACATTATTCTAGATGTTTCTGTGAAGGCATTTTTTAGATGAGATTGACAATTAGATCAGTAGATTTTGAGTGAAGCAGATGACCCTCCATAATGGGGGTGGGCCTCATCTAATCAGCTGAAGGCCTTAAGAGAGACAACTGAGGTTCCCTGAAGAGGAAGGAATTCTGCCAGAGACGGCCTTCAGCCTCGAGCCACGGCATCACCTCTTCCTGGGGTCTCCAGCCTGCCAACCTATCCTGCAGAATTGGACTTTTTTGAACATACCCAGCCTCCACCAAGCACATAAGCCAATTCCTTGGAGCCTTTCTCTGTCTCTGCCTCTCCCTCTCTCTGTCTCTGCCTCTCCCTCTCTGTCTCTGCCTCTCCCTCTCTCTTTCTCTCCACACACATCCCATTGGTTCCGTTTCTCTGAAGGAAACTAATACAAAGCTCAAAGGAAAGAGCGTATGCGTCCACCAGAAGACCTTTACAAGCACGCTCAGAAACCGAGCTCCCATGTTTATTGCAGCATTGTTCACAACAGAACAATTTATTTTGTATTTTTAAAAAAATTTGGCCGGGCGTGGTGGCTCATGCCTGTAATCCCAGCCCTTTGGGAGGTCGAGGCGGGTGGATCACCTAAGGTCAGGAGCTCAAGACCACCCTGGCCAGCATGGTGAAACTCCATCTCTACTAAAAATACAAAAGTAGCCAGGCATGGCGGCACACGCCTGTAGTCCCAGCTGATCGGGAGGCTAAGGCAGGAGAATCGCTTGAACCTGGGAGATGGAGGTTGTGGTGAGCCGAGATTGTGCCACTGCACTCCAGCCTAGTAGACAAAGCAAGACTCCGTCTCAAAAAAAAAAAAAAAAAAAAAAAATTGGGGGCTGGGCAAGGTAGCTCACGCCTGTAATCCCAGCACTTTGGGAGGCCAAGGTAGGAGGATTCCTTGAGCCCAGGAGTTCGAGACTGGCCTGGGCAACATAAGGAGACTCCGTCTCTACAAAATTAAAAATTAAAAAATTAGCCAGATGTGGCGGTGCATGCCTGTAGTCCCAGCTACTTAGGAGGCTGAGCCAAGAGGATTGCTTGTGTCCAGGAGGTTGAGGCTGCAGTGAGCCATGATCACACCACTGCACTCCAGACTGGAGGACAGAGCAAGACCCTGCCTCAAAAAAAAAAAAAAAAAAGAAGAAGTCAGAATGAAAAACAAAAGAAAATCAAATTATATTCTATTTACAAGGAGCACATTTATAGCATAAGACTATAGGAAGGTTGAAAATAAAAGGATTAAAAAAGATAGGCCACATAGGAACAAACTGAAGAAAAGCTGTCATATATCTATACTGACGTCAGGTCAATAGCACTTTTTTCTTTTTTTCTTTTTTTTTTTTTTTGAGACAGAGTCTTGCTCTGTCCTCAGGCTGCAGTGCAGTGGTGCGATCTCGGCTCACTGCAACTTCTGCCTCCCGGGTTCAAGCCATTCTCCTGCCTTAGCCTCCCAAGTAGCTGGGACTACAGGCGCCCGGCACTACACCCAGCTAAATTTTGTAGTTTTAGTAGAGAGGGGTTTCACCATGTTGGCCAGGCTGGCCTCAAACTCCTGACCTCAAGTGATTCACCCACCTCAGCCTTCCAAAGTTCTGGGATTACAGGCATAAGCCACTATGCTTGGCCTACCAATAGCACCTTAAGGGAAGAAAAATAAATAAATAAATAAATAATGAATTTTAAAACAAAATCTTTACTACTTGGAAGGCTGAAACTGGAAGATGGCTTGGGGCTAGGAGTTCAAGGCTGTAATGTACCACGATACAGCCTGTGAATAGCCACGGCACTCCAGCCTGGGCAACACAGCGAGACCATCTCAAAACAAAGAAAACAAAACCTTTACATATGAGATGGGAATTTGCTAATGTGAAAAGATTCAGTATTTATTAAGACGTTGCAAAAATTCTAAATTTGTATGCCCTTAATAACATGGCCACAAACTATATACAGTAAAGTATGATGGAATTATGATGAGAAATACACAAAACAGCTGTGTGTGTGTGTGTGTGTGTGTGTGTGTGTGTGTATGTGTGTGTGTGTGTGTGTATTTGCCAATCTCAATCTTAATTCATTTCTATTTCCTTCCAGCCTAGAGTGGGATATTTTGAAATAGTGCTTCAGTAATTGATAGAAGAGACTGAGAAAACGATCAGAATAATATTGAATATTTGAATGACTGAAAATACGCTTTGTTTTCAAGCACACAAGGAGTACCTATCAGATCCTATACAGCCAGAAACACCCACACTCTTCAACAGATTGAAATCTTAGAGCATGTTTTCTGTACGCAATACAACTGAGCTAGAAACCAACTATAAAAAGATAACTTGAGTCTTTGATGAGGGCTATTTATTTTCTTTCTTTTTTTTTTTTTGAGGTGGAGTCTCACTCTGTCACCCAGGCTGGGGTGCAGTGGCGCAATCTCAGCTCACTGCAACATCTGCCTCCCAGGTTCAAGTGATTCTCCTGCCTCAACCTCCCAGGTAGCTGGGATTACAGGCATGCACTACCATGCCCAGCTAATTTTTATATTTTTAGTAGAGATGGGGTTTCACCATGTTGCCCAGGCTGGTCCCAAACTCCTGACCTCATGATCTGCCCACCTCGGCCTCCCGTAGTGCTGGGATTACAGGCATGAGCCACTGTGCCTGGCCTCTCCCACTTCTAACTTTACTTTTTAACCTCTTAACAGAGTGTTCTGCAAAGCAAACATTTCCTTTTTTTTTTTTTTTTGAGATGGAGTCTCGCTCTGTCACCCAGGCTGGAGTGCAGTAGCGCAATCTCGGCTCACTGCAACCTCCACCTCCCAGGTTCACACCATTCTCTTTCCTCAGCCTCCCAAGTAGCTGGGACTACAGACGCCTGCTACCACGCCTGGCTAATTTTTTTGTATTTTTAGTAGAGACAGGGTTTCACTGTGTTAGCCAGGATGGTCTCAATCTCCTGAGCTCATGATCCACCTGCCTCAGCCTCCCAAAGTGCTGGGACTACAGATGTGAGCCACCGCCTCTGCTGCCCAAGCTGCCTCTGTTGCCCAAGCTGGAGTGCAGTGGCGCAATCATGGTCCACTGCAGCCTTGACCTCCCAGGCTCAAGTGATCCTCCCACCTTAACCTCCTGAGTAGCTGGGACTACAGGCATGTACCACCATACCTGGTTAATTTTTTTTATGGTTTGTAGAGATGGAGTCCCACTGTGTTGCCCAGGCTAGTCTTGAACCCCTGGATTCAAGTGATCCTACTGACTTAGCCTACCAAAGTGCTGGGATTAGAGGTGTGAGCCATAGTGCCCAGCCAAACATTTTTATTTTTATGAGGTGCAATTTATCCATTTTTCCTCTTATGGATCATGCTTTTAGTATTAAGTCTAAGAATTCTTTGCCTAGCTCTAGATCCTGAACATTTTCTCACATTTTTTCCCTTAAAGTTATATAATTTTTCATTTTGTAATTAAGTCCATAATCCATTTCAGTTAATTTTCTATAAGTTGTGAGGTTTAGATTAACATTTCTTTTTTTGCCTATGAAATTCTAATTGCTCCATTACCTTCTGTTGAAAGGTATATTCGTCCGTTTTCACACTGCTATGAAGATACTACCCAAGGCTGAGTAATTTATAAAGCAAAAAGGTTTAATTGACTGACTGTTCTGCATGACTAGGGAGGCCTCAGGAAACTTACAATCACAGCAGAAGGGGAAGCAGGCACATCTTACATGGCAACATGCAAGAGAGAGCAAGCAAAAAGCCCAGGGAAACTGACTTTTATAAAACCATCAGATCTCATGAGAACTCCCCAACTATCATGAGAACAGCATGGAGGCAACATGCTGATTCACGATCCAATCACCTCCCACCAGGTCTCACCCTCAACACCTGGGGATTACAATTCAAGATCAGATTTGGGTGGGGACACAAAGCCTAACCAAATCATTCCACCCCTGACCCATCCCAAATCTCATGTCCCTTTCACATTTCAAAACACAATCATGCCAAAGTCTTAACTCATTCCAGCATTGACTCAAAAGTCCACGGTCTAAAATCTCATCTGAGACAAGGCAAGTCCCTTCTGCCTATGAGCCTGTAAAATCAAAAGCAAGCTAGTTATTTCCTAGATACAATGAGGGTACAAGCATTAGGTAAATATTCCCATTCTAAATGGGAAAAACTGCCCAAAAAAAAAGGTGCTACAGGCCCCATGCAAGTCTGAAATCCATTGGGGCAGTCATTAAATCTTAAAGCTCTAAAATGATCTCCTTTGGCTATATGTCCCACATCCAGGGCATGCTGATGCAAGGGGCAGGATTTTTCACAGGCTGGCATTCAGTGCCTGTGTCTTTCCCAGGCACATGGTGCAAGCTGTCAGGGGACCTACCATTCTGGGGTCTGGAGGACAGTGGCCCTCTTCTTACATCTCCACCAGGCAGTGCCCCAGTGGGGACTCTGTGTGGAGGCTCCAACCCCACATATCCCTTCCACATTGCCCTAGCAGAGGTTCTCCATGAGGGCTTTGCCCCTGCAGCAGACTTTTGCCTGGACATCCAAGCACTTCCATACATCTTCTGAAATCTAGGCAGAGGTTCCCAAACCTCAGTTCTTGACTTCTGTGCACCTGCAAGCCCAACACCACAAGGAAGCTGCCAAGGCTTGAGGCTTGCACCTTCTGAACTAATGCCCCAAGCTTACCTTGGCCCCTTTTAGACATGACTGGGGCCCATGAAACCATTTTTTTCTCCTAGGCCTCTGGGCCTGTGGTGGGAGATGTTGCCAACAAGATCTCTGACATGCCCTGGAGACATTTTCCTCATTGATGGAAATGACTCACAGTTCTACATGGCTGGGGAGTTAAATAGTGATTAACATTCAGCCCCTCATTACTTATGCAAATTTCTGCAGTGGGCTTGAATTTCTCCCCAGAAATTTTTTTTTTCTGTTGCATCATCAGGCTTGCAAATTTTCTAAACTTTTATGCTCTGCTTCTCTTTTAAATGTAAGTTCCAATTTCAAATCATCTCTTTGTGAATGCATAAAACTGAATGCTTTCAGAATAATCTGGGTCATGTCTTGAATGCTTTGCTGCTTAGAAATTTCTTTTGCCAGTTACCCTAAATCATCTCTCTCCAGTTCAAAGTTCCACAGATCTCTAGGGCAGGGGCAAAATGTCACCCAGTCTCTTGGCTAAAAAGCATAGCATGAGTGACCTTTACTCCAGTTCCCAATAAGCTCTTCAACTCCATCTGAGACCACCTCAGCCTGGACTTCATTGTACACATCCTTATCAGCATTTTGCTCAAAAGCATTCAACAATTCTCTAGGAAGCTACAAACTTTTCCATATCTTCCTGTACTCTTCTGAGCCCTCCAAACTGTTCCAACCTCTGCCCATTACCCAATTCCAAAGTCGCTTCCACATTTTCAAGTTTCTTTATAGCAATACCCCACTCTCTGCAGTACCAATTTACTATAATAGTCCATTTTCACACTGCTATAAAAATACCACCTGAGACTGGGTAATTTATAAAGGAAAGGGGTTTAATTGATTCACAGTTCCACATGGCTGAGGAGGCCTCAGGAAACTTACAATCACAACAGAAGGGGAAGCAGGCAGGTCTTACATGGTGGCAGGCAAGAGAGAGAGAGAGAGAGAGAGCAAAAGCCCAGGGAAAACTGCTTTTTTCTTTTATTATTTTTTTTTATTTTTGAAACAGAGTCTCTCTATTGCCCAAGCTGGAGATCTCGGCTCACTGCAACCTCTGCCTCCTGGGTTCAAGTGATTCTCCTGCCTCAGCCTCCTGAGTAGCTGGGATCACAGGCATGCACCACCACGCCCAGCTAATTTTTGTCATTTTAGTAGAGATGGTGTTTCACCATGTTGGCCAGGCTGGTCTCAAACTCCTGACCTCAAGTGATCTGTCTGCCTCAGCCTCCCAAAGTGTTGGAATTACAGGTGTAAGCCACCATGCCTGGTGGGGAAACTGCCATTTATAAAACCATCAGACCTCGTGAAAACTCCTTCACTATCTCAAGAACAGCATGGGGGAACCATCCCCGTGATCCAATCACCTCCCACTAGGTCTCTCCATCAGCTCTGGGGGATTACAATTCAAGATGAGATTTGGGTGGGGACACAAAGCCTAGCCATATGAAAAGGGCTATCTTTTCTCCACTGAACTGGTTTTGCATCTTTGTAAAAAATCACTTGGAAGGAAATTCTGATACATGCCACCACATAGATGGACCTTGAGGACATTATGCTAAGTGAAATAAACCAGTCATGAAAGACAAATACTGTATGATTCCACTTATATGAGATACTTCAGAGTAGTCAAAATCATAGAAACAGAAAATAGAATGTGGTTGCCAGGGACTGGGAAGAGGAGAATGGGAAGTTAGTGTTTAATGGGTAGAGTTCTGATTTTATAAGATAAAGAGAGTTCTGGAAATGGATAGTAGTAGTGGTTGCACAACATGAATGTATTTAATACCACTAAACCTTACACTTAAAAATGGTTTGGGCACAGTGGCTCACGCCTGTAATCCCAGCACTTTGGGAGGCCGAGGCGGTGGATCACAAGGTCAGGAGTTCAAGACCAGCCTGGCCAAGATGGTGAAACCCCATCTCTACTAAAAATACAAAAATTAGCTGGGCATGGTGGCAGGTGCCTGTAATCTCAGCTACTCAGGAGGCTGAGGAAGAGAATTGCTTGAACTCAGGAGGCAGAGGTTGCAGTGAGCCGAGATCACTCCACTGCACTCCAGCCTGGGTGACACAGCAAGACTCTGTCTCAAAAAAAAAAAAAAGAAAAGAAAAAGAAAAAAAAATTGGTTAAGATGGTAAATTTTATGCTATGTGTATTTTACTACAATTAAAAAAAAAAGTTGGAAAAAAAATCAGCTGGGGCAGACACGGTGGCTCACGCCTGTAATCCCAGCATTTTGGGAGGCCAAGGTGGGCAGATCACTTGAGCCCAGGAGTCTGAGACCAGCCTGGACAACATAGTGAAACCCCATCTCTACAAATAATTTTTAAAAATTAGCCGGGTGTAGTGGTGCCCGCCTGTAGTCCCAGCTACCTGGAAGGCGGCTGTGGGAGAATCACCTGACCCCAGGAGGTCAAGGCAGCAGTGAGCCGTGATCTCACCATGCACTCCAGCCTGGGCAACAGAATGAGGCCATCTCAATTTAATTGCTAATTTGTGTTTCAGTCTGTCTTTTTTTTATTTTTGAGATGGAGTCTCGCTCTGTCGCCCAGGCTGGAGTGCAGTGGTGCAATCTCAGCTCACTGCAACTTCCGCCTCCCGGGTTCAAGCAATTCTCCTGTGTCAGCCTCCCAAGTAGCTGGGACTACAGGCGCCTGCCACCACACCCGGCTAATTTTGTAGTTTTAGTAGAGACGGGGTTTCGCCATGTTGGTCAGGCTGATCTCGAACTCCTGGCCTCATGTGATCCTGCCACCTTGGCCTCCCAAAATGCTGGAATTACAGAAGTGAGCCACCGTGCCCAGCTGGAGTTTCCACTATTTGAGCTGAGGTCCCATGTCACAGTGAGGGCAACCAGACCAGCGAGACTCAGCCAAGCTGGCCCAGCTCAGAAGGGACACTCAGTCCAGTCACAGAGCTGGGAGGGATAAGTGTGTTGTTTTAAGCCAATAAACGTCAGAGTGGTTTGTTAAGTAGCAAATAACAAATACAGTTACATCAATTTTAGGCTTTCTTGCAACCCATGACACTAGCAAACAGAGAGCAACTCTTTGCTTTGGGGGCGGGGAATGTTCAACACCTTGATTTGTTTGTGGTTACACAGGTACACAGGTATACGTATGTAAACATTTACTGAACTATATGCTTAAGATAAGTGCGTCTACTGTGTATAAGTAATAGCTCAATTCAAAAGCTGGAAAAGAAAAGAAAAAATAATCCAGTCCCTTCTCTCAAGAGATTTCTAGTCATAATACGGAAGCAGACATGTAGATGAGCATTTTATTTTATTTATTTATTTATTTATTTTAGACTGAATCTCACTCTGTTGCCCAGGCTGGAGTGCAGTGGCGCAATCTTGGTCCACTGCAACCTCTACCTCCTGCAATCAAGCTATTCTCCCATCTCAGCCTCCTGAGTAGCTGGGATTACAGGCTCATGGCACCACTCCCAGCTAATTTTTTTTGTATTTTTAGTAGAGATGCGATTTCATCATGTTGGCCAGGCTGGTCTCCAACTCCTGAACTCAGGTGATCTGCCTGCCTTGGCCTCCCAAAGTGCTGGGATTACAGGCGTCAGCCACCATGCCTGGCCAGGTTTCCATTCTTAAATAATATGTTGATTTTGAATATTGAGCAATTAAAAATTTGGTTTCAAAGAACTTTACTTGGAGGCCGGGTATGGTGGCTCACGCCTGTAATCCCAGCACTTTGGGAGGCCAAGGCAAGCAGATCACTTGAGGTCAGGAGCTCGAGACCAGCCTGGCCAACATGGCGAAACCCCATCTCAACTAAAAATACAAAAATTAGCCAGGTGTGGTGGCAGGTGCCTATAATCCCAGCTACTCAGAAGGCTGAGGCAGGAGAATAGCTTGAATGTGGGAGGTAGAGGTTGCAGTGAGCCGAGATCTCGCCACTGCACTCCAGCCTGGGCGACAGAGCGAGACTCCATCTGCAAAACAAACAAACAAAAAAAAAACAAAAAACAACAACAAAAAAAGAATTGTACTTGGAGAGAAAATTGCAATGTAATAATATTTCTTTGTTTCATACTAGACTCGAGTGCCCAACTCATGGCTTGGCTGAAATTTTCAAAAGTCAAGTTTTGCCAGAGGTCAATTCACTACCTATTTTTTTTTTTCTCTTGCTGTTAGTTGAGATGAACATATGAAAGCAGGAGATTGTGCTCAGTTGCTTGTTTGTACAAAATACATAGCAAAAGAAGAGATGCTGATTTCTGAAGACGTTGAGACAGCACCAAAGCTAATGGTAGTGAGAAACTTTGAAGCTGTTTCTGTTGTTGTTGTTTTCTTTTGTTTTTTGAGACGGAGTCTCGCTCTGTAGCCCAGGCTGGAGTGCAGTGGCACGATCTTGGCTCACCGCAACCTCCGCCTCCTGGGTTCAAGCAATTCTCCTGCCTCAGCCTCCCGAGTATGTGGGACTACAGGCGTGTGCCACTATGCCAAGCTAATTTTTGTATTTTTAGTAGAGACAGGGTTTCACCGTGTTGGCCAGGCTGATCTCAAACTCCTGACCTCAAGTGATCCACCTGCCTCAGCCTCCCAAAGTGCTGGGATTACAGGCATGAGTCACCACACCCGGCTGAAGCTGGTTTTTTACAAAAGTTGTTTTCAGCCATTTATTGAGCACTTACTGTGTTCCAGACACTGCGCTAAATGTTTTAGATGCATTATCTCATTTGGGCATCTAGCTCAAGGTCACATGGCAGAGTTGGGACCTGAAGCCAAGCCCAGCACCTGCTCTCTTACACACTGCTCCTTCCTTCCTCTCCAGCGTGAATGAGCTGCAGCCACACAGACTCACAATCAGGAATCAGAGACCATCAAAGGAAAGACTCCTGTCTGAAGGATGTGCCTTTATCCCAGACACTGACAAACACCTTTGCCAAGAGAGTTCAGAAACGACTGCAAACCCCAACCCAAGCAACTGGACTCTGGAAAACAGCTCATGAAATCTCAGCATCTGCCTTGTCTGGTGAGCCTCGTAGGGCACTCACCTCTATTACGGAGGCTTGATGGCAGCGGCTTGGTTTGAACTCTGTATTACTTATCTATTGCTGCATAGCGAATTACCCCAAAGCTTAGCCGCTTAAAACAACACGCATTTATTATATTCGTTTCTGAGTCACAAATTTGGGAGTGCTTTAGCTAGGGGTTTCTGCTGGGGTCTCTCATGAGGTGGCCATTAAGATGGTCTCTGGGGCTTAAGTGGGGCTGCAGGATTCACTTTCATACTGGTGCACTCACATGGAGAGTGATGAAGTGCTGGCTTTGTCAGAACGCCTCAGTTCCTCACCACCTGGACCACCACAGGGCTGCTTAAGTGTCCTCATGACATGGCAGCTGGCTTCCTCAGAGCATGTGATTCAGGAGAGCAAGATGGAAGCCACAGCGTCTTTTCCGACCTAGTCTTGGAAGTCGTGCACTATCACTTCCACGCACTAAATCCAGCCTGTGCTCAAGGGGTAGGGAGTTGGGTTTATTTTTCATATTTTGAGGTGGGAGACATGGTCTCCCTCTGTAACCCAGGCTGGAGTGCAGTGGTATGATCACAGCTCACTGAAGCCTCAACCTCCCAGACATGCTCAAGTGATCCTCCTGCCTCAGCCTCCAGAGCAGCTGGGACTACAGGTGCATGCCACCACATCCGACTAATTTTGTTGTTTAATTGTTTCTAGAGATGGGGCCTCATTATGTTGTCCAGGCTGGTCTTGAACCCCTGAGCTCAAAAGATCCTCCTGCTTTGGCCTCCCAAAGTGCTAGGTTTACAGGTATGAGCCACCGCCCTCGCCAGGTTCCAAATTTTGAGGGAGAAATTGTCAAAGGATTTCTGAACACATTTTGAACCTGTCGCAATCTCTTTCAGCTGAAAGTACAGAAACTCAACTCCAAGAGAGAGGCATTTATGGACCCAAACAGGGAAAGTGGAGCTGGACTCTCACAGAATGGAACCAGGCACCTAAAAACTGCACCGCCACCTCTCTCTCTTTCTCTCTCTCTCTCTCTCTCTCTCTCTCACACACACACACACACACACACACACCTGCTCCACTCTCTCAGCCATAACCTACATCACAGTCCACTTCAGATTCACCTTCTACCAGCCTCTTGGCCTGAATAGAAGCTCCCATCTCAGAGGGAGCTCCTGGCCCCTGGCCAGCTGTGTTTGGGATGGGCCAGGGAGGACTCTGATAAGCTCGACTCTGCTCACGTGCTCTCCCCGCTGGACCAATTGCTGTTGCTGAAGCTGAGGCTCTTTGATTGGCAGGGTTTGGGTCAATCCCTGCA
This sequence comes from Homo sapiens, assembly GCF_000001405.40. NCBI lineage: Eukaryota > Metazoa > Chordata > Mammalia > Primates > Hominidae > Homo > Homo sapiens. The sequence goes on along the minus strand of NC_000011.10, from coordinate 67,545,494 downwards.
TCTAGGGAGCAGGGCCTGGTACCAGCAGGGGACGCTGGGCCAGGGTGGGTAGAGGAAGAGAGCTGAGCGGCCACCCCAGTTGTGTGTGCAACTGTTGCCTTAGCTGAATTTATAAGCCAAAGGTCGCAGTTGTCCTATTTTTGGAATAGCAGGAAAAAGCAACTGCTTCAAACTCTGGCAATGGCAATCCTCCACAGGAGTGGCCTAGTCGCTCGTTCTACCTGAAGACTTAAACCTACTGAGCCTGAACCTCTGAGAGGTCACCACCTTCTCATTTTAAGGTGGGACACACTTTAAGCCAGGAGACTGTGGCAGGCACAGCGGGCAGGTGGGCCAAGGCTTTTATCGTATTTTCTGCCCTGGATGCTGCTTCTAAGTAAGGACAAGGCTTATGACGTTCAGTTTAAGGGGAAGCAAGCATCGCTCACGTCTGCATCATCCAGGGCCATGTTCCTGACCTTGTTTGCAGCAGAAAATCCCATCTGGAAATGCAAAGTTCCCACCCTGACCCTGTTCAAAGTCTTCCGGTGGAGAGGTCTGGAGTTCAAGTGTGGTTTCATTGCCAAAAACAACTCCCAGAAAAACACCCAGAAGTTCCCAGGAGTAACTGTCTCTGCAGGTGCAGGGAGAGGAGACTTCCGGCTGTATCTGAGCACTCCGACCACACCCCACATATTTCAGAGCTGGCTTTCCACTGTGCTGGCTGTGAAGGCAAACTGCAAAATGGGCCAGAAGAGTGCATGAGTGCTTTTGCTTCTGAAATTCCTGGGGCTTCAACTTAATTTCAGTCAGGATAGTTAACATTCAACTAACATTAACCTTTTAAATAACTACTTCCGGCCACTTCATTCGTCCAGAGTTTTTTTTTTTTTGAGACAGAGCCTTGCTCTGTCACCCAGGCTAGATTACAATGCAGTGATGTGATCTCGGCTCACTGCAACCTCCACCTCCCGGGTTCAAGTGATTCTCCTGCCTCAGCCTCCTGAGTAGCTGGGATTACAGGCAACCGCCACTACACCCCGCTAATTTTTGTATTTTTTTTAGTAGAGACAAGGATTCACCATGTTGGCCAGGCTGGTCTTGAACTCCTGACCTCTGGTGATCCACCGCCTCAGCCTCCCAAAGTGCTGGGATTACAGGCGTGAGCCACTGCGCCCAGTCAGAGCACTTTTGAGAGTATTTTCTGAGGCTGTTTGGGACAGGATGAAGGCTTGGTAATCAGCCTCCTGGGTACAAATTCCAGTTCTGACCTCAGTTTTTTCATCAGTAAAATGGGGGTCTGAAGACCCGCCAAGTGTCTGGCATGGAGGAGGTATTTGGTAACAGGATGGTACTTTGTGATGGGTTGGGCTATTGGAGGAAGAAATAGGCCCACATGCACAGATACTCACAGCTATAATCCCAGTACTTTGAAAAGGTGAGGTAGGAGGATCACTTGAGCCCAGGAGTTCGAGACCAGCCTGAGCAACACGGGGAGACCCCCACCCCGCTTTCTACAAAAAATTTTAAAAATAGCCAAGCATGGTGGTGCACACCTGTAGTTCCAGTTCCTCCAGAGGCTAAGGCAGGAGGATCACTTAAGTCCAGGAGGTCCAAGCTGTAGTGAGCCATGATTGCACCACCACATTTCAGCCTGGGCGGCAGAGCAAGACCTTGTCTCAAAACAAACAAACAAAAAGAAACAGGCCCAGAGAGGGCTGACCACTTTTCCAAGGTCACACAGCTGGGTAAAGGCAGCCATGAGCCCCAATATCTAGTTGCAGGGTCCCCAAGCAGGGCTAGGAAGGGTTCTCAGGCCACTTATGAGGGTGGAGAGAAATGGAGCCCGAGCCTGAGCCACAGCCAACTGGGACCTTGGCCAAGCAGGGAACAAGCAGGGGAGGCAGGAGGAGAGGCAGGGAGGGATGGAGCCAAATTCCTGCAGCTGCCCTGCCCGGATGGTGCAGCTGGGGACCAGATCTGTGGGCTGAGACCTGATGCCAAGGCCTGCAAGCATCCTCAGGTTTTGCCCTTGAGGTCTGGGGTCACTCTCTACACCCCTTAGCCCTCCCTCCCCATGCTGGTACCCCAGACCTCTCAGTCCCAGGGCTACTACCAAAGGGCAAACCCCTGGGTGAACAGATGCCAGCCCCCTGGATCTGCCCCTTCTGCCTGCTCCTGAACAGCAGCTGGCCGGGGCCAGAGGCTCCTCCTGAGAACAGCAGCTTTTTATCTGTAACCTGCATGGCCGCCCTCCCCAGCCGGGGAGCAAATCCAGCCACTAGTTCCAAATGTTCCAACCTTCAAACCAAAGCCGCTCCCACTCCCACCCCCATCCTGATTGGCTGAAGCCGAGCCTTTCTCTTGGGCTTCCTGTCCCCCGTATAATGAAGGGGAGTAAACAGAGTTACTGGCCTCCTGCAGTCACTCTGTGCCAGAATTTAAGGACAAAACAAAAAACAAACAAACAACAACAACAACAAACAGTAGCTTGAGCCACCACCTGTGGCAGAGGTGATTCAAGCACAGGCGTGGAGCCAGAAAGCTTTAATTCAATTCCTGGGTCAGCCTCTTACCAGCTATGTGAACTTTGGCAGTTACTTTACCTCTCTGTGTCTCTGTTTCCTCATCTCTAAAATGGAGATAATGGGTCGGGCACGGTAACTCACCCCTGTAATCCAAGTACTTTGGGAGGCCAAAGCAGGCGGATCACTTGAGGTCATGAGTTGGAGACCAGCCTGGCCAAAATAGTGAAACCCCATCTCTACTAAAAATACAAAACTTAGCCGGGTGTGGTGGTGGGCACCTGTAATTCCAGCTGCTCTGGAGGCCTAGGCAGGAGAATCGCTTGAATTCAGGAGGAGGTTGCAGTGAGCCAAGATCACGCCACTGCACTCCAGCCTGGGTGACAGAGCAAGACTCCGTCTCAAAAAATATAAAATTAAAAAAATAAAATGGAGATAATAATAGCATCCACGGGGTGGATTTTTTCTGCCAATTAAATGAGTTGATAGATGTCAAGTGCTTGGGGCACTGCCTGGAGGAAGCTTACCCTCCTCCCTCCCATATGCTGCTAGGGAGTCCCGACCACATGCCCTGGGTGTCATCTGTCAACTTTACAGCTAGAGGGGCTCCCAGCCTCTCACCAATGACCATCTGATCACTCCCACGCCTTGCAGCACCAGCTCACACATGTGGCTTCATGCCAGTCCTGAGGTACCCAGACAGGGGCCCAGTCCCTTTTCCTGGCCACAGGGAGCCTCTCCATCCACCTTCTTGCAGTCTCAGAGCTACACAGCCAAAATGTCCAGCCCAGTCACCCTGAAGAGTGTGAAAGTGATTGTCTGAAGGAAGCTTTCTTTTAAAAATATTTTTATACAGTCACAGTGGCTCACACCTGTAATTCCAGCATTTTGGGAGGCCAAGGCGGGTGGATCACTTGAGGTCAGGAGTTCGAGGTCAGCCTGGCCACCATGGCCAAACCCCGTCTCTTCTAAAAATGCAAAAATTAGCCAGGTGTGGTGGCGTGCGCCTGTAATCCCAGCTACTTGGGAGGCTGAGGCATGAGGATCACTTGAATCCAGGAGGTGGAGGTTGCAGTGAGCTGAGATCATGCCACTGCACTCCAGCCTGGGTGATAGAGTAAGACTGTCTCAAAAAATAAAATAAAAAATGTTTTTAGAGATGGGGTCTCGCTCTTTTGCCCAGGCTGGAGTTTAGCGGTGCAATCATAGTTCACTGCAGTCTTTAACTCCTGGGCTCAAGCAATCCTCCCACCTCAGCCTCTGAGTAGCTGGGACTGCAAGTGTGAGCCGGTGCATCCAACTCCTGCGGGAAGCTTTGAAAAGAGCAACTCCTCTCCTCCTGCTGCTCTGGAACCTGCGGGATGCTCGAATGTCCCCTAGGCCTGCTCTGTGGCCTACCACGGCCACTGTCTTCCCTGCCTACACAGTGAACCACTGTGGTCCAAGGAGTCCAGCCCTTCCCATGCCAAGCCACTGGTAAGGCTGCCTGCCCTCAGGCACCAGGGCATCCCAAGCATACTCCAAGGCCTGGCCCAGGCGAGGCTGGAACCTGAACACGCCCTCCTGAATGCTCGGGGCACTGAGGAGGCTCACAGGCCACAGGCTGCAGGCCCTGGGCCCTGCCTGGCAGGCTCCTTGGGGCAGGGTTACAAGACCCACTGGAACAGCTCCCCCCTCAGGCAACAGTCTGTCTTCTGGGCTGTGGAAGCTTCGGGATTTCACTGAGATGATGGGTGTGCAGCACTTTCCTCTTGGGGACTGGGGGGGTCGTTCCTGGACCATGCCTCCCAAAAGGGGTCAGCTCTCCTTCACCAGAAACAGAACTGCCAGTCAGCCCCTCAAACCCAAGGTGCATAAGACCCCTCCCCATGGAGCCTCTGCTAAGCATCTCAGTCAGGCAAACGCTCCTTTGAGGGGCAGCCAGGCCTCCAACCTGGGAGCTTAGCACCCAGGACACCAACTCGACCCATCTACCCACTTGCTTAGTGAACCTAGGCAGTCCAGTCCTCTCTCTGGGCCTCAGTTTCCCTGTCTATTAGGTGTTGAGTTAGGTGGTGCCCAAGGCTTCCTGAGCTATCACAGGCTCTGATTCCTAAAAGTCACCATCCCTGTTCAAAAGCCTGCAGTGGCTCCCTAGTGCCCTGGGAGTCAACTCCCACTCCTTCATCCAGCAGACAAGGCCTCTGCCAAGGTCACCAGCGCCCCTGTCCACTCAACCCCTGGGAGGGTCATCTGTAGCCTCTGGTCCTGCCTATGCCTGGGTCATTCCCAGCAGCCTGGGATGGGGTAGAAGGTCCCTTATGCCCACCCAGCCCCTCAATGACCTCAGCACAGCTTTCCTCTCATTGCTTTTATTGATTCCCAAGGGCAACCCTGCTCCCATGGGGAGGCCAAGTGGGCTCACATCTTGTAGCCTCCAAAGATGGGGTCGTTCCCATACTCAGGGGAAGCCAGGGAGGCCTCGAGCTTAGGCTGGGCGCTGAGGCGTGCCACGTAGGCTGAGAGCAGGAGGAGGGCACCCAGATAGCCGGGCACCAGTGTCCCTGGTAGAGGGTTGTGACTGCAAGTTGTCCAGGTTCATGGTGTTTTGAACCAAGAATTGGACAAAACACCCAGCAAAGCAAAGAAAGAATGAAGCAACAAAAGAATGAAAGCAGTTTTTTGTTTTTTGTTTTTTTTGAGACGGAGTCTTGCTCTGTCACCCAGGCTGGAGTGCAGTGGTGTGATCTCTGCTAACTGCAACCTCTGCCTCCCAAGTTCAAGTGATTCTTGTGCTTCAGCCTCCCAAGTAGCTGGGATCATAGGCGTGTGCCACCACACTCAGCTAATTTTTTTTTTTTTTTTTTTTTTTTGTATTTTCAGTAGAGACAGGGTTTCACCATGTTGGCCAGGCTGGTCTTGAACTCCTGACCTCAGGTGATCCACCCACCTCGGCCTCCCAGAGTGCTGGGATTACAGGTGTGAGCCACCACACCCGGCCTAAAAGCAGGGATTTATCGAAAACGAAAGTACACTCCACAGTGTGGGAGTGGGCCCAGCAGCAGCTCAAGGGCCTGGATACAGAATCTTCTTGGGTCCAAATACCCCCTAGAAGTTTCCCATTGGTCACTTCATGCTCACCTCATGTAAATGAAGTGGTAGCCTGCAATCTGATTGGTTGCGGAAAACAGCCAATCAGAGGCTGAAGTGAACTTACAAAGGTCACACTCCTGTGCCAACATCTGATTGGATCAGATGTTTGCTAGGGTGAAGTTACAAAGTTATGCTTCTATGCAAACGAAGACTCCACCCACAATCAGTCTGATTGTTTGTGGACAGCAACCATTCATAGGCTGGAGTGAAATTACCAAGTTGCAAACGAAGACTCCACCCACAACTAGTCTGATTTGTTGGGGACAGCCAATTTCGCATCTGCTGTGCAGAAAAGGTCAAATGGAGTAGCCTCTGGTCCTTTTGTTACTTAGGTGTGGAAAGTTAGGGTTTTCCTTTCAATTTAGTTCTAGGAAGTTGGCATGAAACAGCCTTAGGTTCCCTGCCTCCACACCCTATTCTCCTGCCTCACCAGGACCTGGTGGGCCAGCAGCAAGTCCAGCAGGTTGTGGTCGGTGAAGGAGACCTGCAGGGCAGGGAGTGTGAGGGAGCTTGAGCTGGGTCAGGAGAGAGCAGCTTCAGGAGCCAGAACCCTGGCTGTCTCTGCTGCAGTGAACTGGCCCACCCTGGGCCTCAGTTTGCCCTTCTAAGAAATGGACCTACAATGATCTGGGAGAGGCTGGAGCCAGCGCTCACCTTGTTGCCCACAATGAAGGCCTGTCATCCCTGGTTCTGGGTCAGAGGGTCTCAAAAGGCTCCAGGTGCCTGGCAGCTCCTGAACACACTGGGCTTTGCCCACCTCCTGTGAACAGGACTGATTCCAGTTGGAGGTGTGTGGTGAGACTGACCAGGGTGACCTCCTGTCCCTGACCACATTGTCCCAGAGCACCAGCCGGCACCCAGGCTCACTCAGAGCCCTGGTGGATAAGGCAGCTGCAGCGCCTGCCCACGATGGTCCTCCGCCCCGTCATTCACTGTGTCCACCAGTGGTCTTTGCTGCCTAAAAATACAAAAAAATTAGCCGGGCGTAGTGGCAGGCTCCTGTAGTCCCAGCTACTCGGGAGGCTGAGGCAAGAGAATGGTGTGAACCCAGGAGGTGGAGCTTGCAGTGAGCCGAGATTGCACCACTGCACTCCAGCCTGGGCAACAGAGCAGACTCCGTCTCAAAAAAAAAAAAAAAAAAAAAACAGGTTTAGATGAACAAGGGTTTTATTACTTGGTATAAGTAAGGAGAACACTGAGAGGATTCTGGAAAGCAGCATCTCCCCACAGGAAAGTGACAGGAGGGTTTTATGGGGTGATGGAGAGGGGAGAGGGGGCATGATGGCATGCAGAGGAGAGGTCCCAGTTGCGCAGACGCAGTGAGTCATTAATCCAGTGTTCCCAGAAAAAGCGATCCAGATCCAGATCCCAAGAGAGGGTTCTTGGACCTCGTGCAGAGAGGAATTCAAGGCGAGTCACAGGGTGCAGTGAGAAGAGAGAGCTTATTGAAAGCCACTCCATTACAGAGTAGGGCGTCCTCAGAAAGCAAGAGGAGGGATGCACCATATTTGTTTTAAGTTCTTCTTATACAGGATTCTTATCTATGCAAAGACTAAACTAAGTTGTGCCTATGTGTGAGTGGGCTGACAGCATGACAAAATTTATTATTTTATTGATTTAAAGAAAACTATCCTGGACATTTTAGTGTGTGAGTGCATCAAAGCATAACTGTAATTATCTTGAAAGCATATGTTGTTACGGGTATTGGGACGTCGAACTTTCTGTGGCTGCAGGAATGTGTCCTTGCAGGCAGTACCAAGCCGATTCCTTAGCTGTAAGCATCTTAGAACCGTGGGTCGTGACTAGTGTGGAAAGTGCCTTGCTAGGTTTTTTTTGTTTTGTTTTGTTTGTTTTTTGTTTGTTTGTTTGTTTTGTTTTTTTTAGATGGAGTCTTGCTCTGTCACCCAGGCTGGAGTGCAGTGGTGCAATCTCGGCTCACTGCAAGCTCCACCTCCTGGGTTCACGCCATTCTCCTGCCTCAGCCTGCCGAGTAGCTGGGACTACAGGCACCCACCACCACACCCAGCTTATTTTGTTTTTGTATTTTTAGTAGAGATGGGGTTTCACCGTGTTAGCCAGGATGGTCTCAATCTCCTGACCTTGTGATCCGCCTGCCTCGGCCTCTCAAAGTGCTGGGATTACAGGCGCGAGCCACCACACCTGGCCATTTTTACATTTTTAAAGGTTTCTTTTAATTCCCTTTGACCAAGAGAGGGGTCCATTCTGTTGAGAGGTTTAGGGTTTTATTTATTTCTTTAGTGGATATATCCCCTTTTTTGTCAAGGTATGCCAGAGGCAGTATCAATAGCCAAGCTTTTATTATTTATTATTTATTTATTTTTAAGACAGAGTCATGCTCTGTCACCAAGGCTGGAGTGCAATGGTGCGATCTTGGCTCACTGCAACCTCCACCTCCCGGGTTCAAGCAATTCTCCTGCCTCAGCCTTCCTAGTAGCTGGGATTACAGGTGCACGCCACCATGTCTGGCCAATTTTTGTATTTTTAGTGCAGACATGGTTTCACCATGTTGGCCAGGCTGATCTTGAACTCCTGACCTCAGGTGATCTGCCTGCCTCGGCCTCCCAAAGTGCTGGGATTACAGGTGTGAGCTACCACACCCGGCCTGGCCTAGCTTTTATTTTGTCCCATATTGATGCCAGGGTGGTGTGCTACCTGTCCTGGGTCCATTATGTCCCTTGGTGGGACTTTATGGCCAAGGGACTTAGAGTCAAAAGTTGTATAGTCAATTAAACATTCTAGGTCAGGTGGGAATGGAGGTAGGCAGGCATTCATCAGCTTTAGGACCCCCTTTAAGCAACATAAGAGCCAAAACTCAAAAGCCAAAATGCAAGGTTATAAAATTAACTTATCTATAAATTCTATGCATTGAGCCATTGTAATCTTGGCTTGTAGCAATTAGTTATACAAAACACAAGCGTTTTATTAGCTGCTTAGGCATCTGTGTGCCCATCTTTACAGGTGGTACACACCTGTAATCCCAGCTACTCAGGAGGCTGAGGCAGGAGAATCACTTGAACACAGGAGGCAGAGGTTGCAGTGAGCCAAGATTGTGCCATTGCACTCCAGCCTGGGCAACAAAAGCGAAACTCCATCACCAGGATAAAAAAAAAAACAAAAGAAAAATAACAGGTTTAATCTTGGACAGGTGTACCCAGCTAGTGATTCCCTGAAGTTTAATCTTTGATTAACTTCAGTGAGCCAAGAACTAGTTCCTGATTAGCTTCACGTTGCAGTGAGATGAGATTATGCCATTGCACTCCAGCCTGGGCAACAAAAGCAAAACTCCAGAAAAACAAACAAACAAACAACAAAAAAATCAAGTTTAATCTTGGACAGGTATACCCAGCTAGTGATTCCCTGAAGGTTCCATCTTTGATTTGGAGGGTCTGAGCTAATTTTATCCCTCAAAATCAGCTCTTACAATCTCATATGATAGTCTCTGGGCCTGGAGGGATTGAATCATTTCAAATTCTGGAGGTAAAACAAAATATAAGTAATTAGCAACATTTTAAACAAAAGGTCATAAGCCATACCTAGTTGTTTTTTGTTTTTTAATGAGATGGGGGTCTCACAGTATTGACCAGGCTGGTCTCGAACTCCTGGCCTCAAGTGATCTTCCCATCTCGGCCTCCCAAAGTGCTGGGATTACAGGCGTGAGCCACCACACCCAGCCAGCTCTACCTAGTTTTGAGCAGGGCAGGAAAGGAAGTTCACAAGTAGCCAAACATTTAAATTATTTAGCATCAAGGCATAGAATAAATTAGATTATTTCAGATAGAGGAAAAATTATTAAATGGATCTTAATGTTTTTGAATACAGGCCTGTTCCTGTGTCTCATGAGAACAGTTTACTTTGTCACTTTTGCCCAGTTCTAAAGACAAGGCTTTGGTTAACTTGAGTTTGGCATCAGATACTGGCAGGAGTTGATGCCTTTTTCAGATGAGATGTGGATACCCAGAAGTCAAAGCCCTGTAATTTAACAGTACGAGGATTAGTCAATAGCACCTGATAAGGACCTTCTCCAAGGGGCTGAAGGTGGTGATACTGGTCTTCATGGTCTAACTAGAAGGTGTAAAAAAAATTCTACAACCTTGCAGCAATTAACTTTTATAGCTTTAGTAAGCCCCAGCAATAAAACTAAGTTAGAGACTTAACAGGATTTTGATTTTGAGGATGTTTGTTAAAGATGTTAAAAGATTAAAACATTTGATCAAAACAGAAGCACAGGTCATTGCAAAATAGTTACTCATTTAACCAAAGTGATAATTAAAAACCATGTAACTGGCTGGGCATGGTGGCTCATGCCTATAATCCCAGCACTTTGGGAGGCCAAGGTGGGCAGATCACCTGAGGTCAGGAGTTTGAGACCAGCCTGACCAACATGGAGAAACCCTGTCTCTACTAAAAATACAAAAAATTAGCCAGGCATGGTGGTGCATGCCTGTAATCCCAGCTACTTGGGAAGCTGAGGCAGGAGAATTGCTGGAACCTGGGAGGCAGAGGTCGTGGTGAGCCGAGATCGCACCCTTGCACTCCAGCCTGGGCAACAAGAGCAAAACTCTGTCTAAAAAAAAAAAAAAAAAAAAAAAACTACCATGTAACCACTCCATTACAGAGTGGATAAAACCTAAAACCTTTTAAATCTTAGGGGTTTTTTTAGCAATCCAAAACCTAATAAAGACAGCATAGCAATTATAAAATCTTGGGTTTTTTTTGTTTTTTTTTTGTTTGTTTTTTTTGAGATGGAGTCTCACTCTGTTACCCAGGCTACAGTGCGGTGGTGCAATCTCAGCTCACTGCAACTTCTGCCTCCCAAGTTCAAGTGATTCTTCTGCCTCAGCCTCCCAAGTAGCTGGAACTACAGGTATGCACCACAATGCCCAACTAATTTTTTGTATTTTTAGTAGAGACAGGGGTTCACCATATTGGCTAGGCTGGCCTCAAACCCCTGACCTCATGATCCACCCATCTCAGCCTCCCAAAGTGCTGGGTTACAGGTGTGAGCCACCGTGCCCAGCCAAAATCTTGTTTCTTAAGCCAGCTACAAAAAAGCAAAGAAAACCCTTCTGCAGTGACTGCTTCTCCTTCTGGGAAGCCCATTTACATAACTTGGAATTCAAACTCAATGAAAAAAGTGTTTGAATTTAACCAAACACAAGAAGAGTGTGTTCAAAGCTATGCATATAGCAAGGGAATACCTGACTCTTAGAAACAGTGTGAGAAGTTTTCTGATTACATTAGAAACTTAGATATATCAAGAAAAGCCAAGAGTACAGAATCAAGTTATCCTTCTCAAGGAGAGAAAAACAAGACATAGCAAAAGTTGAACTTCTGAGATATGATTCTGAGAAGTTTTCAAAAGAAATAGATTATAAAATACAAGTAAAATATCTTGCAATTTTATTAAGAGCTAAGCAATAGTTTTTTTAAAAAAAAAAACCTTGTTGTAACGTAGGGGACCAATCTTGGACTATTATAAATGATTTCCTTTTAATTATAATCGACTTAGTGACATCCAAAATACTTTCATAAATTCCCCTTCCCAAAGCTTATCATGACTTACACAGACCATCTACAACATGCTTCGACTTTCTGCCTTGTCCTAAACCTCCTAAATAATCAGTCATTTTACTTTAGGACAAAAATTTACCACACAAGATCCTTTTTCATACAAAATTATTCTCTTTTCTTTATAACCTTCCTTACCAAAAATACGTCTGCATGTCCATAACTTTCTTCACACCTCTCTCTCCCCTACTTACTGTTCCTTTCTACCTTGTTTAACAAGTAATTTTCAAGGCCATAATTGACTTTTAGATAACTTCTGAATTGGAAAAAATTACTCTTTTCTCAATAAGACTAGTTCCTGGGAGGCTTTTGCCCTCCAATGCCACCCAGAGATATGCCAAATTAAACAACCCAAAGAACGAAAATCATCAAGACCAGAAGGGAAATGCTAGGTGTAAGCTTCAGGGCATGGAAGTGCAGGGCAACATGTGTCACTAGTGAGGCACAGACAGCAAACATGTGGCCAAAAAAGGGGACAAGGGGGATGGAGAATCAGTAGGTGCTGGCACACATCCCTCTGAGCCTCGGTTTATCTGACAGGGCAACATGGCAGCCCTGGACCCATAAAAGCCAAAAAGCCCCATGCAACAGGGTGGCACCCAAGCCAGAGGACCCCACAACTCCAGGCTCCCTGGCAGGCATAGCCCACAGGATCCAACAGCTCTGAGTGGGGGCCTGTAACCCCCAGTCCCAAGGGAATATAAAGGAACATGAGCATCCCTGTGTACCCTGGGGCTCAGCAGACTGAGCATGAAAAAAGACAACAAAGGAAAGGGAAGGGACAACAAAGACACTCACCCATACATGACTCCGAGAACTTAGGAAGCAAGAAACCCTGAACTGTTTGTCATATGTTAGCATTTTACAGAGAAAACCATTCTACAACTGTGAAACATATTTTCCCATATCATAAACTTTTCTTAACTGAGAATGACCCAGACATCTGACAAGCCATCCAAAGAAAGCTGTGAACCAACGTTTTGGGTAAAGAAGACTTCATGGAAGTTTGGTTTTCAAAAAGCCCCTTTCGCCTTTTTTTTTTCTTCAGATTCAAAGGCATTTCTCATGTTTACATTTTAGCCAGAACAAAATCTCCACGTAACCTTGAACAGCAAGTTTTATCTCAACACCAGTAGCCTAATAATAGCAGATTCAAAGCAAGCAGAAAATAAAAGAGAGAAATAGCTTTGGAAGTGGTAATCAGAGGTGAGTGAACCTGTGGGCCAGCCATACAGGGCTGCCATAAGGCCACAGTAAAGTAAAGGTGACAACTGGGAAATGACAAGAACTGTAGCTTTCCCACACCCAGCAAAGGGGACAAGGTAGATTAGTTCACAGCACACACTGGCAAATGTCTTGCAGGGCTCCTTCTATTTTTATTATGCCCCAGGAACTCTAACCCCTTAAGCAGGGACTCCCACCCCATGGGCCAGAACTCTAACCCAAATATTAGCCTTGCCTAATATGACACCAAGACAGATCCCACTTTCCAGAGGTGGCCAATTAGTGCTGCACAGACTGAATTTCCTTGGCATAGGGTCTTGTCTGTTCTCACACTGCTAATAAAGACATACCTGAGACTGGGTAATTAATAAAGGAAAGAGGTTTAATTGACTCACAGTTCTGCATGGCTTGAGAGGCCTCAGGAGACCTACAATCATGGTGGAAGGGGAGGCAAACATGTCCTTCTTCACGTGGTGGCAGCAAGGAGAAGTGCCAAGCAAAAAGGGGAAAAGTCCCTTATAAAACCATCAGACTTGTGAGAACTCACTCACAATCATGAGAACAACATGAAGATAACTGCCCCCATGATTCAATTACCTCCCACCGGGAACCTCCCATGACATATGGGGATTATAGGAACTACAATTCAAGATGAGATTTGGGTAGGGACACAGCCAAACCATATCAGTCCCTTAGTGGTGGTCACCAGAAGATGCTACCAGAAAAAGGGGTCCCAATCCAGATCCCAAGAGAGGGTTCTTGGATCTCACACAGGAAGGAATTCAAGATGAGTCAAAGAGTGCAGTGAGAAGAGAGAGTTTATTGAAAGCTACTCCATTACAGGGTAGGGTGTCCTCAGAAAGCAACAGGAAGAGTGCACCGTCTTTGTTTTAAGTTTTATATATATATATATATATATATATATATATATATATGTCTTGTCTATGCAAAGACTAAACTAAGCTGTCCCTACGTGCAGATGGGCTGACAGAATGACAAAAATTATTATTTTCTTGATTTAAAGAAAACTATCCTTGACATTTTATTAAAGTGTTATTTTATCAAAGCACGTTTATCCCAAAGTGCTGGGATTATAGGTGTGAGCCACTGTGCTCAGCCAATGTCTTGATAGTCTTGATTTCACTTTGGAAGGCTAAGGCAGGAGAATTGCTTGAGCCCAGAAGTTGGAGACCAGCCTGGGCAACACAGTGAGACCCCGTCTGTATTTAAAAACAAAAACGGCCAGCACAGTCGCTCATGCCAGTAATCCCAGCACTTTGGGAGGCCAAGGCAGGCAGATCACTTCAGGTCAAGAGTTCGAGACCAGCCTTGCCATGGTGAAACCCCATCTCTACTAAAAATACAAAAATTAGTCAGGCATGGTGGCGGGCACCTGTAATCCCAGCTACTCGGGAGGCTGAGGCAGAAGAATCTCTTGAACCTGGGAGGCAGAGGTTGCAGTGAGCCAAGATCATGCCACTGCACTCCAGCCTGGGCAACAGAGCAAGACTCCGTCTCTAAATAAATAAATAAAATACCAAAATGGACATGATTTAAAAATGGTGTCACCCTGGCTTTCCTAGGCTCCCTAACATCAGCACATGGGCCGCATGTTATGGTCATGAAGCTATAGCTCCTGGGCTGGAGACTTTAGCATGGTAATGAAGAAAGTTCACTTTCTGTAAGTTGCTGGGGTCTGTCAGAAGCTGTTTCCTACCAACAACACCTTGTGGTCACCACCACTTTCCACACAGGGTTTGGGGAAAAACAGGCTGCAGGACAGCAGGCTATAAAACAGGCAATTATGTAAGTTGATAAAATTCCTATAATTCCTATAATCCCTGGAGACCCTCCTTGTCTGCTTTCAGAACCTGCAAATAAACCTCCCTCCATTAGTTTCTTGCCATAGATTTACCTTCCCACAGTAGTCGCTCTTGTAAGCCTAAAGCTGCTTTTTTTTTCCTGTCATTTCTCTAAAATGTATTGCTCTTTGTTGAAGACACCATGTGAGTGAAATCTCATCACTGCTTGGAGTTACTTTTCATTGAGGTTTCTCCTGCGTGATTGTAGGTTTTTCTTTTGTTCTACTGTTACAGGGGTCCATTCCAACTAACAACTCATGAATGTTGAGGAAAAGATTATTTTTTCTCCCCCACATAGTCTGCAAACCATTTCTTGACTGAGTATGAAGGCAAATGCAGCCTTCAAATGCGGCTGGCCAGGGGCTGGGATGGGCAGAGCTTCCTGGACCCCAGAGGGCTGCGTCTCACCAGGCCGAGCCCAGTGCTGCCTCCTTGCAAGCTCACCTGGCCCCCAGTCCGGGTCTCCTCCTGGCTGCCCCTCCCCCGGAAGGCTCAGAGCCATAAGGAGGGAGGAAGGTGTCCTTCCCAGGTGCAGAACCGCCCACCCAAAGCCTGGGCAAAAATTAAAAACATCGCACTGATCAGGGGCACCCCCTGCACCGAGCGCTCAGGGTTGGATGCGCTTCCCCTCCTCCTCATTTGAGCTCACAGCTGCCTAGGCCTAGGGGGAGGAGGAGGAGGTGGCACCAGGATTGGGATCTCATCCCTGACTCACAGCTGGAGGAACATCTGCCCAGCATGTAGCAGCTTA
Organism: Homo sapiens; assembly: GCF_000001405.40. Classification (NCBI taxonomy): domain Eukaryota; kingdom Metazoa; phylum Chordata; class Mammalia; order Primates; family Hominidae; genus Homo; species Homo sapiens. The sequence goes on along the minus strand of NC_000011.10, from coordinate 67,530,432 downwards.
CAAAGAGCTTTCATAGAAATGATCTCATTTCATCTCCACGCAATCTGGGAGGGAGGGAGTCCTGTTCCCATTATACAGATGAGGACACCAAGGCTCAGAGGAACCTGCTCTGGCCTGGAGCACCCGCTCCTGCTTTGTGCAGAAGCATCACAGATCTGAGAGGGTGAGAGGACCCCTTGTTGTCCAGCAGACTGCCTGTCTCCCGCCACCGGACGGGCTGAACCTCCAGATGACTTGCCGCCACGGTGCTGTGGTGTTCCGGTTGGCTGCTTTTACCCACAGCCCTCTGGCTCCATGGGCCTTCCCTGTGGTCTAGCTCCGTGGCTACCCTGGGGCCACGGCTCCCAGCAGCACAGCTTTTCCCGGCCCATCCCCCACCTCCATTGCATGTGCACATCACGCCTTTTTGGTGGGTTTTAAAGTGTACATAAACAGTTTGTTTTGTTTTGAGACCAGGTCTTGCACTGTCACCCAAGCTGGGGTTCAGTGGCATGATCTTGGCTCACTGCAGCCTTGATCTCCTGGGCTCAAGCGATCCTCCCACCTCAGCCACCCGAGTAGCTGGGGCTACAGGCACATGCTACCATGCCCAGCTAATTTTTGTATTTTTAGTAGAGACGGGGTTTCGCCAGCCATGTTGCCCACGATGGTCTTGAACTCCTGAGCTCAAACCATCCGCCCACCCTGGCCTTCCAAAGTGCTGGGATTACAGCCGTAAACCACTGCGTCCAGCCTAAACAGCTTTATTGTTACATAAGATTCACCCTTGCAAAGCCTGCATTCTGTGGTTTTTCATATATTCGGTGTTGCGCAATCATTACCCTATCTAATTCCAGAACATGTTCATCATGCCGAAAGGACACCCCATGCCCATTAGCAGTCACTCCTCTTTCTTCCTCCCCCCAGCGCATGGCAACCACTAATCTACTTTCTGTCACTATGGATTTGCCTATGCTGGACATTTCACATAAGTGGAATCATACAGTATTTGTCCTTTTGTATCTGTCACTTAGCATAATATTTTCAAGGTTCATCTATGCTGTAGAATGTGTTAGCACTTCATTTCTTTTTATGGCCAAGTAATATTCCATTGTAGTAATAGACCACCCTTGTTTACTCATTCATAGTTTGTTTTTTGGTTTTTGTTTTGTTTTGTTTTTTGTTTTTGAAACAGAGTCTCACTCTGTCTCCTAGGCTGGAGTGTAGTGGCGCGATCTCGGCTCACTGCAACCTCCGCCTCCTGGGTTCAAGCTATTCTCCTGCCTCAGCCTCCCAAGTAGCTGGGACTACAGGTGCATGCCACCATGCCCGGCTAATTTTTGTATTTTTAGTAGAGATGGGGTTTCACGATATTGGTCAGGCTGGTCTGGAACCCCTGACCTCAGGCTATCCACCCTCCGTCTCCCAAAGTGCTGGGATTACAGACGTGAGCCACCATGCCCAGACTTTACTCATTCATAGTTGATGGACATTTAGGTTGTTTCACTTTTTGGTCTACTATGAATAATGCTTTTAGGAACATTTATGTAGAAGTTTTTGTGCGGACTTATAGGAGTTTCTTTGTTTTGTTTTGTTTTTTTAGGGACAGTGTCTTGCTCTATCACTCAGGCTGGAGTACAGCTCCTGAGTAGCTGGGACTATAAGCAATCATCACTGTGCCCGGCTAATTTTTATATTTATTGTAAAGACGGGGTCTCACTTTATTGCCCAAGCTGGCATTGAACTCCTGGCCTCAAGTGATCCTCCTGCCTTGGCCTCCCAAAGTGCTGGGATCACAGGCAAGAGCCAAACTTATGTTTGCCTGGCCCCAAACTTATGTTTTTGGTTCCCTTGACTATATACCTGGGAGTGGAATTGCTGAGTCATGTGATAACCCATTTTGAGGAATTGCCAAATTCCTTTCCAAAGTGGCTGCACCATTTTACAATCCCATCAGCAGAGTCTGAGGGTTCCAATTTCTCCACATCCTTACCCACAGTGGTCAGTGTCCGTCTTTTTTACCTTATCCTGGTGGTTACGAAGTAGATTCTCAACATGGTTCTATTTGGGGTGCTTACCAGGTACCAAGTTCTAGATTCAACTTGTGGGGAAAACAGGGGAGAGGGAGCCATCGTCTTTGCCATTAGAGGAATCACAGTAAAGTGTGGAGGGAGATAGACAGACACAAGTCTTCATTCATGCATTGATTAGTATGTACCAGGCAATGAATGGGCTAGACACCATGGGAGACACCAAAATAGGCAGGATATAGTCTGTACCCTAACGAAGTCTTTCAATGAAGAATATAGGACCTTTGTTGGGAGCCATGGCTCATGCCTGTAATCTCAACACTTTGGGAGGCCAAGGCAGGAGGATTGCTTGAGGCCAGGAATTCAAGACTAGCCTGGGAAGCATAACAAGATGTCATCTCTGCAATAAATAAATAAAATGGCTGGGCATGGTGCCACATGCCTATAGTGCCAGCTACTCAGAAGTCTGAGAGAAAGATTGCTTGAGCCCAGGAGGTCAAGGCTGTAGTAAGCCATGAGCCACGATTGTACCACTGCACTCCAGCCTGGGTGACAGAGTGAGATCCTGTCTCAAAACACACATACACACACACACACACACACACACGACCTTCACCAGCAGTCCATCCTCCCAGCCATCTATCCACTTCCATCTATCTCTCTATCCATCTAAACCCTCATCTACCCAATCATCCATCAATCCATCAATCAAATATTCAATAGCCAGTCCATCAAGACATTCATCTATCCATTTGTCCACCTATTCATCCAACTACCCATTTACCCATATGATCGTCGGCCACCTGTCTATACATCCATCTTCCATTCACCCATCCATCTATCCAACCCTCTACCCAACCAACTATCTATGCAATCATCCATCCATCCATTTACCAATCATTGCACCACCAGCCCATCAAATCACCTACCCATCCTTCCAGCCAGCCAGCCATTCACCTGTCCATCCATCCAACTTCTCATCTACTAACCCAACTATCCATCCTCCGGTCCATCCATTCATCTATCCATCCATCTGTCCATTTAAACACCAGTTCATCAAATTATCCACCCATCCATCCAACCACCCATTTTACCCAACCAACCATCCTTCTACCCATCCTTCCCTCTGTCTACCCATTAGTCAAACCCCTGATCCACCCATCCTGGACACTGGAGCCAGGACCCCAGCTTGGCTAAGTCAGGCTGGGCAAGTTGAGGGCACCAAGATGAGAGCTCCAGGATGCTGCTGATTGAACACAAGCAGGGGGATCTCCAAGCCAGGCTTTCTCCTCCACTTAGACACAAGGCCTTTGCTCCCTGACTGAAAACTTTTTTACCCCCTATACTCTGAGTGGTTACAGACCCCACTGTTTTGGATTATACTTTGGGACATACATTTCTCACCATTTTCCACTTTCAAAGATGGTTCTTTAGACCATTCATCACGTGTGGTGCCCACCACGTTCTGCACCTTCCTATGTGCCAGGAACCTGCCAGGTCCTGTCATCTAATTTCCACAATGGCACTGGGAGGCAGATGCTAGGTCAACCTCCACTTTTCAGATGACGAAACTGAGGCTCAAAGAGGTGACATACCTTTCCCAGGGTGACACGGTGTGTGCATGGGGGAACCTAGGCCTGCCGGCCCTTTCTGTGGTCTTGCAGAGGAGAATTTCTGTCTCCGATGAATGTTTTCAGAGACGTTACCGCCTGGGAAACCAGGCCGCTCCTGCTCTCCATGTGCAGAGGTGGGACTGAAGGACACTGAAGGCTGAAGCAATGGGAATGATCACAACCAGCCTTTCCACTCACTTCTCAACCCCGGCCTGTCCTCAGATGTGGAGGCTTTCCTCTGTCTGTGAGGCCACCCCCTCCCTTTGCTCAGCCATTCCCATCATCCTCTGCTCTTGGCTAGCATGTCAGTTCCTCAACCCCATCAAGCAAGGCCCTCCCTCTTTTTTTTTTTTTTCTTTCTTTCTTTCAAGACAGAGTCTCAGTCTGTCACCCAGGCTGGAGTGCAGTGGGGCGATCTCGGCTCACTGCAACCTCCACCTCCCAGGTTCAAGTGATTCTCATACCCCAGCCTCCCGAGTAGCTGGTATTACAGGCATGCGCCACCACGCCAGCTAATTTTTGTATTTTTAGTAGAGATGGGGTTTTGCCATGTTGGCCAGGATGATCTCAAATTCCTGACCTCAAATGATGCGCCTGCCTTGGCCTCCCATGGTGTTGGGATTACAGGCGTGAGCCACCACGCCCGGCCAAGTCCTCCCTCCTGAGAACCTTGGCCCTTCCTGCACTTCCCTGGCCACTGTCATTCTGGTTTGCTGAATAGGCATCTCCCAGCAGGTGAAAGGTTCCAGGATGTAGGGACTAGTTCCAGCACCCAGGAAGGTACAGAGCAGGGGCCGGACAAACGTTTGCTGCAGATTCAGCCTCTCAAAAATTTTCTCTGACCTCCTGCCACCTATACCCTCTCCAGAGGCCACTAGCCCCTTCCTCCCTCCCAAGGGCCTCCATCCAACCCACCTGCCAGGTTCCAGCTCCTGGGGCACTCCAAGTTCAAGGCTGATCCGTGCCAGGGACCCTGGCTCTCTCCCAGGGCCAGGCACAGGTTAAACATTGATAGGCAATGCCTGCAGCATTGCCTTATCCCCTCACCTCCTCCATGAAGCCTCCCTGATGCCTGGGCCAAGGACCCCAAGTACTTGGAGACTGTCTGGTGGCTCTTTTCCTGGTTAGACATGCCTGAGAGTGGGCTTCTCTGGACAGATGGGGTCTGTCACATAGCCCCAGAAGCTGGCCCAGCCAGCCTCAGCTGTTTGCTGAGGGAATACATGAATAGATGGCCGCATGTGGCTGAGAGAGGCCAGAGCCACCAGCTCAGGTGGCAGCACCTAGTGGGATCTGGTTCCCTTAGACAAAGGCCAGTGTGGGGGACAGATGAATAAATCATGAGGGGCCTGGAATGGAGCCGGGGCAGGATGATGACCTCATTCTGGGAGTTGAAGAGCGGGCAGCTGGGTGGGGAGTGGGCTGGGGTCATGGCAAGGAAGCCTGAGAGGCCAGCAGGGGCTGCCCGGCCCACCTCCACCCCTTTTCCTTGAGAAGCAAGAGGTTGAAGGTCAGCAGGACCAGGTGGAGGTCCTGGCAGAACGCAGGGAGGTGGGCAATGCAGAGGGACCCTGGGGAGGAGAGGGGGCTAGCACAGAGGGACCCTGGGGAGGAGGGAGGGAAGGAGGGGGCTAGCACAGAGGGACCCTGGGGAGGAGGGAGGGAAGGAGGGGGCAGCACAGAGGGACCCTGGGGAGGAGGGAGGGAGGCAGGGAGGTGGGCAGCACAGACGGACCCTAGGGCTCTGGGCTGGGGAGATGGGGAAGGCCTTTCCAGAATTCTGGAGCTCTCCTGGGAGCGGGATGGTGGGGAGAATAGGAAGAGCAAGGAAGGACAGACAGAAAGACCAATGCAAGAAAGGACCTTGCAGCAACAGAGGGAAGGAGCCAGCAGAGAGATGGGCTGAGTGGGTCAGAGACGGCAGAGACACCACTGGATCCAGACTGACAGAGATGGCGGCGAGTCAGAGGGGATGGAGACGGGGCTGCAGGCAAAACAGACACAGAGGCAGAGGGGGCACAGAGGGGCAGGCGGTGAGATGGAAACTGAGCAAGGAGGTGTGTGGGGCATCAGGTGCGCGTGAGCCAGAGAGATGCAGGCAGAACACTGCGGGGGAGGAGGCCAAAGGCAGGCAGGAGGGCCGACCACTGGGGCCACAAGGATGATCAGGTGGAGCCCCGGGCACAGTCTGTGACCAGCATGAGGGGCTTCACCAGGCTGACAGGGCCACACGAGGGGCCACGGGGAGCTAGGGAGGATACAAGACTCTGGGGACACGGGGCTCTCCCAGTTTATGGAGGAAGGGACAGAAAGAAGAGTAGCAGGGACCCAGGCCACACCTGTGGCTGCCCACAAGACCACTCTCCCGCAGGACTGGGGAGGCCGGACGGAGCAGCGTCCCTCAGCCAGGAGGAGGTACCAAGCCCTCATCTCCATGGCCCAGCCCCAGGGCCCAGCAGAGGGCAGCCTCCCAACGGGGGACCCCAGCCCCTCTGAGGGCACTCCAGGAACCAGCCAGGCCCCTGGCAGCCCAGCAGCCACCCGGCGACGAGAGCTTCTCCGGGAGCTCGAGGCCCAGGTGCAGGCAGCCTACGGGCAGGTAATGCGGGCAGGGGTATGAGGGGACCAGGAACAAAGAGCAGGGACCCCACACCCCAACTGGGGGCCCCGGAGGACAGACCCAGGACTTAGTCCAGGGAGGGGACCAGGAGGCAGAGTCCAATGGGAGACTCTCTGAGGTCGGCAGGGCCGGGGTGGCTTCCCTTCCCAATCTCCACCCTCACCGAGCCCTGTCACTGCCCACAGCACATAGGCGGTTCCCTTCTGCTCCTCATCCAAGGGCGGGGCACCAGTCCAGGCAGGGGGAGCCAAGTGCAAGCAATTGGGGCTACCCCGAGGTGAGGAGCCCAGGGCCCAGCTGGGGTCCTGGCAGGGAGAGGCAGGGGCTTCCTGGGCTGAGCCAAGTGGCTGCCTCTTTCTGGGAGGCTGTGTGGGAAGGCCCGCGTGTCCATACCAACCGGAATCTGTGCCATTCGGAGGGCCCAGCCCACCCTGGCACACTGCACGCCTGCCTTCCTCCTCCTGGGACCCAGGCCCTGCTTCTGAAGACATTAAATCTCCCCTGATTGGGAGAGATTAGAGGCAGGGGTTGGGGGAGGGTGCTGGAGAAGGGGCGTCTGGAAGACCCTCAGGAGGCAGTCTGGGGAGGCTGTGCTCTCCAGGGGGCCTTGGGCCCAAGTGGCTCCCCTCAGCAGCGGAGACGCTCAAAGATAATCCCGGATTAGGACCCAAGCCCCAGGCCCAAGTCCCCCGCCTGCCCACCCGCCCCCGATCTTCCCCACAAAACCCCAGGAAAATCCCCGGCAGTACTCCCAGGCTCTCATCGGGAGCAGCTGGGGGCTGGCAGGAGTCCTCAGGCAGCAGCATCCGCCGAGGCCCACCCGGGCCACCCCCGGGGTTCCAGGCCTGGCATGGTTCAGGGCCCATGGGGAACTGTGCCAAGCGGCCCTGGCGCCGGGGCCCTAAGGTAGGAGGGGTCAGGGGAGAAACCCAGGCCAGGAGGCTGGAATGGACCCTGAGGGTCAGATGGGATGGGCAGAGCCCTCCGAGGGCCGGGCGGGGTTGGGGGCTGCCCACTGCCCCAGGTGGAGATTTTTTTCCTGGAAGCCACAGCCTCTGGCCATCCTGATCTTGGCTCCCACCGACCTCTGGGTCTCCCCTGCCAGGCTCCAGGTCCCCCAGCTGCCCGTCCAGCTGCCCCATCCCGGCTGCAGGTCCCCGCTCTCTGCTAGCCAGCCTCCATCTAGGAGACAGAGCTGGGCACAAGGTCCCTCTCTGCCGCTGGCTTTCTCAGTGGCCTTGGCCAAGTCTCTTGCCTTTTCTGGTCCTCAGTTTGCCCAACAGAACAGTTAGAGGATTGACCCTTTCTGCCTAAAGAGTTCACGGGTGAGGGTCCTCTCTCTACCCCCCAGCCCCTTCCCTACTGTCCCATGCCGGGCTCCAAAGACAGGAGCAGCTGGTGAGAGGAGTGGGGAGGGCTATCAGGCCCAGAGCTCAGCGGCCACTGCCCCAGCTCACGGCCGGCTCTGCTGCAGGACCCCTTGCAGTGGCTCGGCTCCCCACCAAGGGGCTCCTGCCCCAGCCCCAGCTCCAGCCCCAAGGAGCAGGGGGACCCCGCGCCAGGCGTCCAGGGCTACTCGGTGCTCAACAGCCTGGTGGGGCCTGCCTGCATCTTCCTGCGGCCCAGCATTGCCGCCACCCAACTCGTATGTACGGCCACCCGCCCGCCAGCCTGCCTGCCCTTGCCCCTCTCCCACCAGCTCACCTGCCCTTGCCCCTCGCACTCCAGCCCACCTACCCTTGCCCCTCGCTTTGCCTCTCCTGGAGCTAGGGGGAAGAGGATTGAGTGGGGACATCAGAGCAAAGGTACACAGATCTGGGGTGGGGGTGCAGAGAGGGGAGAGAGCAATGACTCTAGAAATGGAAGAGAGATCAACAGTGACATTGAGGCTGGCGGGACCAAGTCTGAGGTTCTGCCCAAACCCCAGATCCACCACCAGCAAAGGGAGCCCCCTGCCCCAGAAGAGGGTGATGGAGTAGGTGAGGACGGCCCAAGGAGTGACCTAGGCCAGAAGCAGGGAAGGGGGCACCCGGTTACCCAGGCCAGTGAGTAGGATGGGGTGGGAACCAGGGCCGAGCAATCAGACAGACACAGGCCCTGCGTGTGCGTGTTGGATTGTGGGGCTGGGTGGGGAGCCCCGGGAAGCAAGAAGGAAGGGCACAGTCATCAGTAGGAGCAGGGAATTCCTAACCCCTCTGTGCCCTTCAGGACCGGGAGCTGCGGCCCGAGGAGATTGAAGGTAAAGGGTTGGAGAAGGAACTGGTTCCCTGAAGGGGAGGTGGCATGGGGGGCATGGGGTGGGGACACAGGGTTGGGGGGGCATCGGGTGGGGGCCTCAGTGTTTCCAGGAGGAAGTGGGAGCAAGAAGGCTGCAGGGGACCAGTTTAGGGAAATGGGGACAAGACTGAGCAGGGAGGGGATGACAGACCCCCACCCAGCTGTCATTCCTTGGTCTCACTCACCAGGCAGGTGACAGGGCCCCTTTTATATTTGTTCATTCAGCTGACACTTCCTGGGTGCCCACTGTGTGCCTGGCCCTGGCTGAGCACTGGGAAACATGGCCAGCTAGACAGATATGGCCCGTGCCCTCTGGAGACCAACGTCAATTAGTCAGCTACAAGTACAAATGGTGCATGTGCTCTCCAGGAAAGGGACAAATGGGCCGGGGGAGGCCACATGTAGAGGGATGGCTTCCTTTAGTAGGTGACATAGGACCAAAGAGGAAGGGGAAGAGTGAGGAAATCTCCAAGAGGTCAGAATTTGTTTCCCCCACTTTCTTTCTTTCTTCCTTTTTGAAAAATTTCACTGCTGTATCCCCAGTGCCTAGAGCAGAGCTTGGCACATAGTAGATGCTCCTCAAATATTTGCTGAAAGAACAAATAACAGGAACAGCACGTGCAAAGGCCCCGAGGCAGCAAAGAGAATCTGATGTTCAGAAGGAGGGATGATTGGACCAAGGGAGAAGGGTAGGCGGGTCCAGGCCAGGATCAGGGGGTTGTGGGGGAAGGACTGACCCCACCCTGCCTGGCAGAGCTGCAGGTCGCCTTCCAGGAGTTTGACCGAGACCGGGACGGCTACATTGGCTGCCGGGAGCTGGGTGCCTGCATGCGGACCCTGGGCTACATGCCCACCGAGATGGAGCTCATCGAGATCTCACAACAAATCAGTATGTGCCTCGGACCCATCCCCATCCCCAGTCCTCCAGATGCCCCCGCTGGGCCCATGAAGCCAAGCAGTCCAGGTACACAGGTGACTGCACAGGCTGTCCCCAGAGCCCATGACCTTGGTCATTCTCAAGGCAAGCTCTCTGCCTCTGGAGAATCTCACCAGCTTCTAGGAGGTGGGCACAGCAAGGACTGTGATCCTCATTCTGCAGATGAGGCAACTGAATGGCTAAGTGACTTGTCTAAGGTCACACAGCAAGTTCCTTGGAGCCAGGACTTGAACCCAACCGAAGAGTTCAGGAAAATTAAGGAAAGTTCCAAGAAGTTTTTTGGTTTTTTTGTTTGTTTGTTTTTTGTTTTTTGTTTTTTGTTTAGATGGGGTCTTTTTCTGTCACCCAGGAGTGACAATGGCGCTATCTCGGCTCACTGCAACATCTGCCTCCTGGGTTCAAGCAATTCTCCTGCCTCAGCCTCCTGAGTAGCTGGGATTACAGGCACCTGCCACCATGCCCAGCTAATTTTTGTATTTTTAGTGGAGACGGGGTTTCACCATGTTAGTCAGGCTGGTCTCGAACTCCTGACCTCAGGTGATCCACCCGCCTCAGCCTCCCAAAGTGCTGGCATTACAGGCGTGAACCACCGTGCCCGGCCCAATAAGTTTTGAGAGTGGTTTTCCTTTCACTTTTGGCCAAATCTGTGCCTTGTTTGGAGGGCGATTCCCATTGGGAAATACAGATGACCCAGGCTTCTGGCGCAGAGGGAGGAAAGGATCCATTCACGAAGGGAAGGCAGAGGGCAGAGGAGGGAGGGCCAGGGAGGGGCAGGGGTCTCTGATGCCCTGGGTCTGTAATGGACGGGACCCCCAGGTGGCGGAAAGGTGGACTTTGAAGACTTCGTGGAGCTGATGGGCCCCAAGCTGCTGGCAGAGACGGCAGACATGATCGGTGTCCGGGAGCTACGGGACGCCTTCCGGGAGGTGCGGCCACTGGGGCTGAGGGCGGGCAGGGCTGCGTGTCTGCCGTGAGTGAGGGGCTGCGCGTGTGAATGACTGTCAGTGACCAGACGCCACAACCAACGCCGCCACAGTTCGACACCAATGGGGACGGCCGCATCAGCGTGGGCGAGCTCCGGGCGGCCCTCAAGGCCCTGCTGGGGGAGCGCCTCAGCCAGCGGGAGGTGGACGAGATCCTCCAGGACGTGGACCTCAATGGGGACGGTCTGGTCGACTTCGAAGGTACCCCCTGCCGCACATAGCAACACACGCCCTGGAAGGGTCCTAGCAGATAAGAAACCGCACAGCAAGAGTCACCACTGGGCACCAGACCCTGTGCCACGCACTCCCATGTCCTCTCCTAGTTAATTATCATGGAGAATCCGAGAGGAAGGAATTGTTATCCCCATAGGCAAGAGAAGAAAGTCCATTCTCAGGAAAGCCTAGGCACTTAGCAAAAAAGCAAGTAGATGGAGTCAAGATTTGAATCTGGGCAGCCTGATCCAGAACCCAGCTCTTCCTCTATGCTGCATTCCCATAAAGGGGTAAAATGATTAAATAATAATAGAAGCCAAGGAAAATTACTATGTGGAAATGTATTGCCATAAGTAGGCCTCAAAGTTGCTCCTGAGCTTCCTAGCTGTCAAAGCAAAAAGGAAAACAAGTTCCATTACAAGGGTTTGTTTGTTTTTCCCCCATAAGACAAAGCCTCCTCTTCCCGGCTCTGAGGCCTATTCCCTATCAGATCCAGAGGATGCCCTTGAAGACCCTCCCCTCAACCACACTCCCACCCGCCCCAAGGCCTGCAGATGATCCTCACTCCTAGCGCAGTCCAGAGAACAGACCCAAAACCTTGGCTTCGTCCTGGCAGAGTTTGTGCGAATGATGTCTCGGTGAGCCTGTACAGAAGCTGGAGGCAGCATAAAGGACTCAAGGACCACAGCCTCTGCCCACCAGCATGTTCCTTGAAGCCCATCGCCTCTAGCGGGGACCCTCCTTTCCTCCCCATCCCACCTGTGTGCAGTGCCCTTGCCTGCCTTCACCCCCACCACCACTTCTCCAATAAAGCCGCCTGGCCTTGTCTCTGTCTCTCTGACAATAAAATATCTCCAAGCCTGGGGAGATGGCTTTTGCCTCTCACTTGCTTATCCTGGAGGCTCCAGTATTTGGCCCCCAAAATCAAGTACTGGGGCTGTCCCCTTGGATCACAAGCCCCGTCCATTGTGAGCTCCAGGGAGATGGGGACCCTCTCTTATTCCTCTCTGGATCCTGGACCCAGCCCAGAGCAAGTGTCAGGAAACATCCCTAGCGAGTAAACAAAGCCTTCTTGTCCCAAGCTCAGGCGTATGTTGGCCTCCACAGTTCCTGCCGTGTATCCTGAGAACAGCTCCTGCTACCTGCATGATTACATTCGAGCGTGGAGCAAGTACTATAAGAAGACCTTTCCCAAGCTTGGTCTCACTTTTCCTGCAGTAGCCTTGGAGGCACACTGCTCAGAGCTCACTTCAAGTACACGCAGTTCAACTTAGAGAAGTGGGTGAGTTAGCAAAAGGGCTCAGCCACTGGCCCCTTCAGGAGACACCTCAGCTTTTGGGCTGACACCTCACTCATCCAGGGAGCCCCCAGCCACTAACTGAGCACAGCATGGGGAACCAGGACCTGGACATTTCTGCCTAATGCAAGGCTCCTCTAATGGGCAGTCTTTGCTCTGAGCTCCCCTTTGGGGCGGCCAAGGCAGACAGATCTGCGTGGAGTCAGAGGCTCGCCTGCCCAGTCCTGCTTCCTCCCCCTTTACCTTCCTCCCTCCCTAACTCCATCTCAGCATCTTCCTCCTGGAGGACCCCAGACACTCAAAGCATATCCCAGTCTTCAGGGCCCCATTTTCCAGATTGAAGAAATTGACAGGCTGAGTGCCCTCATCCTTTCCTGCTGCTATAACAAAATACCTTAGACTGGTATTTTATAAACAGTATGAATTTATTGCTCACAGTTATGGAGGCTGGGAAGTCCAGGGTCAAGGTGCAGGCAGTTGGGTGTCTGGAGAGGGCCAGGTCTCTGCTTCCAAGATGGTGCCTTGAGCTGCTTCCTCCAGAGGGTGCCTCACGTAGCAGAAAGGCAGGAAGCACATGAGGGCCTGGCTACTCCCCCCGCCCCACCGCCACCCCCAGCCCTTTTATAAGGCACTAATCCCATCCATAAGGGCAGAGCCCTCATGGCCCGATCGTCTTCTAAAGGCCCCACCCCTTACCGTTGCTGCACTGGGGATTGAGTTTCAACATGCATTTTGGAGGGGACACGAACATCAGAGCCACAGCACGCGGGCCAGGTGCAGTGGCTCATGCATGCAACCCCAGCACTTTGAGGCCAGGAATTTGAGACCAGCCTGGGCAACATAGCGAGACCCTATCTCTACAAAAATAAAGCAAAAATTAGCCAGGTGTGGTGGTGCATACCTGTAGTCCCAGCTACTTGGGAGGCTGAGGTGGGAGGATCACGGGAACCCAGGAGGTCAAGGCTGCAGTGAACTATATGATTGCACCACTGCACTCTAGCCTGGGCAACAGAACAAAACCCTGTCTCTAAAAAACACTTTTTTAACTAAAAATAATAATAACATAAACAATAGCACCAAGTCAAAGTGACCTGCTAGAGACTACGTGGCCTCACTGCCCTCTATCCCTACACGCGGCTAGGCTATTCTTCCTAAAATGCCACTTGCATTTTGTCACACCCCTGTTCAGGACCTCGCCATGACTTTCCATTACCCCCAGGTTAATCCAGGGCCTTTGCCTGCACAGAGGTTCCAGGAGAACACGGGAGTGGCATAAAGCCACACACAATCAGGATGAAGGGTGGTGGGACTTGCACCCAGGCCCAGGGACTCTGAAACTACAGTGCCAACTAGGGAGGGTGCCTCGGAGTCAGGACCGGCCCAGGCCAGATCTTGGCCTCTTCTAGCTATGCCGCAAGCCTCATCTGCAGCTTCTGCCTGCTGGGAGCGAACGACCCCTGACCTTCCTCATCATGAAGGGGTGAGAGTGCCCAGTGCCTGTGCCTGGTCCTCACATGGCGCCTGCCAACAAGATGGCCCTGGGACAAAGCAGGCAGGCGGCCTGGGGATGTGCGCTGCGCATTCTGGAGACTGGATGCTGAGGTGCTGGAGCTGGCTGCAGTGGCCTCAGCACCACTCTCCTGGCAGATCTCAATTAATCCTTAATCCTCAATTAGGTAATCACCTCTGCCAATCTGGCAGGACTAGGGATGTGGATAAGTTGCCCCAGCCTCAGTGGCTTCTCTGGGAGCCAGGATCCACACTCCCACCCTTCCTTCCACCACCCTCACGGCTGGTACAGATGGTATTGCTGCCTGAGAAGATGCCTGTCCCTGCTGCAGGGGCTGAGGGGTAGTGATGGCCATGAGGAAAAGGGAAATCAGAACCCTACTCAGGGTCAGCCTCCCACCACCTCCCCAGGCCTCAGCCTGGCAGGCTCTGCGGCTAGAGAACTGGGAGTGGCTGTGGGGTGGTCTGAATCAGGGCAGTGTGTCTGCTGGCAAAAGAAGTGCTCCCAGCTCCCCCAAATCTCACACACACTTCCCAACAGATAGCAACTGGAGCAGGGGATCCCTTAAGCCTGTGAGATCGAGGCTGCACTAGGCTGGGGAAGGAACAGTGGGCAGGGTTGAAACTATGGCAAGTCCAGAACCCCTGCCCCCGCTACAGGGGGCACCTGCTGCCCAACTCCTCCGATTCTTGCCAGAGCAGCCCCAAGCTATAAGATCTTCTGATTTAGGCCGGGTGCAGTGGCTCATGGCTGTAATCCCAGCACTTTGGGAGGCCGAGGCGGGTGAATCGCCTGAAGTCAGGATTTCGAGATCAGCCTGGCCAATATGGTGAAACCCCGACTCCACCAAAAATACAAACATTAGCCAGGCGTGGTGACAGGCTCCTGTAATCTCAGCTACTCGGGAGACTGAGACAGGAGAATTGCTTGAACTCGGGACACAGAGGTTTCAGTGAGCCAAGATTGTGTCAGTGAGCCAAGACTGTGTCACTGAACTCCCGCCTGGGCAACAGAGTGAGACTCCATCTCAAAATAAACAAACAAACAAACAAACAAAAGACCTATAGGTTTACAGAATGACTGTGAAGATAGCACAGAGGGTTTCCCAATACCCCACGCCCAGATTCCCCTATATATCAGTCAGGGTTCTCCAGAGAAACAGAACAATAGGATATCTTGGTAGATGATTGATGATTGATAGATAGATAGATAGATAGGTAGATAGATAGATAGGTAGATCGATCCATAGGGAGTCTTTCAATTGGCTTTGTGTCCCCATCTTTGTGTATGTTTGTTTATTTTTAGCACTTTTTATGCTTTGGCACTACAAGCTGCTCCAGGATCATCTTGTATATTTCCTGCCCCAGTCCTACTATCAGTCATTTCTCCGAGGAGCCCTGGTTCATTTTATTGGAGAATGGTATTAGACACCAAGATCTGGGGCGGGGCATGGTGCCTAATGCCTGTAATTCCTATACTTTGAGACGCCAAGGTGGGAGGATCACTTGAGTCCAGGAGTTCAAGACCAGCCTGGGCAACATAGTGAGACCCCATCTCTACAAAAAAATTTTAAAAATTAGCCAGGTGTAGTAGTGTGCGCCTGTAGTTCCAGCTACTTGGAAGGCTGAAGTGGGAAGATCACTTGTCCCTGGGTGTTCAAGGCTTCAGTGAACTAGGATAGCACCCAGTTCACCACACTGCAGCCTGGGCAACAGAGCAAAGCCCTGTCTCTCTAAAAAAACAAAAAAGTGGGGGCAGGGGCCGGGCACAGTGGCTCACACCTGTAATCCCAGGACTTTGGGAGGCCAAGGCAGGCAAATCATTTGAGGTCAGGAGCTCAAGACCAGCCTGACCAACATGGTGAAATCCCACCTCTACTAAAAATACAAAAAGAATCCCGGCGTGGTGGCGGGTGCCTATAATCCCAGCTATGCAGGAGGCACCATGCCCCACCCCAGAGCAGGAGAATGGCTTGAACCCGGGGGGCAGAGGTTGCAGTAAGCTGAAATCCCACCACTGCATTCCAGCCTGGGTGACAGAGAGAGACTTCATCTCAAAAAAAAAAAAAAGAAAGAAAAAAGAAAAGAAAAGGAAAAGAAACCAAGATCTGGGTGCTTGTTGCTAGTGGGTGTAGCAGGGAGGGGAAATTGTTTCCAGGTCTTCTCTGCTGATAACATGAGGAGATACGTGTGTGTGCATGCTATTCTGTGTATACAGACATTCATAAATATTCCTGTATGTAAGCAACTGAATCTCTATTAAGCTGTACATGAGTTCATCCTGATGCTTCCAACTCCAGCCCATTACCACATGGATCATTCTAGCCACCCCACTTGCTTATCTGTAACTTCTCATTCCAACAGTGACCCCCATCATCCATCCTCTGTTTACTTAATTGTTCAGTTCCAGCTACATGTGGAGTGATTTTGGAACTGTTAACCCATATTCCTGTGGGGTACAACTTTCTCAACGAGTGCGGTGCTTATGTGCAGTTCCTTTTGCCTTTAGTCTTACAGACTCCCTCATTTCTAGGTCAGCACCTTATTCCTTCAGCCCCTACAGTGAGGTTGTTGCACACATTTGTAATATAGCTAGTTTCTTTGGTTGCATTCTGCATTCCATCCTGGGATCCGCTGACCTCCAAGATGAATTTTTTTACATTTGCATACATTAAAGTTTACTCAGCCGGGAACCGTGGCTCACGCCTGTAATCTACTTTGGGAGGCCAAGGAAGGAGGATGGCATGAGCCCAGGAGTTGGATGCAGCAGTAAGCCATGATCACACTACCGCACTCCAGCCTGGGCAAAGAGCAAGACCCTGAATAAAAAATAAAAAATAAAAACACAGAAAGTTGGTCAGGAGTGTTGGCTCACGCCTGTAATCCCAGCACTTCGGAAGACCAAGGTGGGTGAATCACCTGAGGTCAGGAGTTCGAGACCAGCCTGGCCAACATGGTGAAACCCTATCTCTATTAAAAATACAAAAATTAGCTGGGCATGGTGGCGTGCAGTTGTAATTCCAGCTACTGGGGAGGCGGAGGCAGGAGAATCGCTTGAACCCGAGTGGCAGAAGTTGCAGTGAGCTGAGATTGTGCCACTGCACTCCTGCCTGGGTGACAGAGTGAGACTCCGTCTCAAAAAAAAACAAAAACAAAAACAAAAAGTTTCCTCATACAGAAGAGTTTCACTCCCCTATGCCTCACCTATTCAGTTTCACTCCCTCTACCCCAGGCCCCAGCAATCACAGATCAATTTCTGTATAGTTTTCCCTTTTCCAGAATGTCACAGAATTGGAATCATACAGTATGTGGCTTTTTCAGACTGGCTTCTTTCACTTAGCAAAATGCATTTAAGATTTATTGATGTCTTTTCATGGCTAGATAGGCGATTTCCTTCATTGCCCAATAATATTCCATTGTATGGATATGTCAGTTTGTTTAACCATTCACCTATTTTTTTTTTTTTGAGATGGCGTCTCACTTTGTCACCCGGGCTGGAGTGCAATGGCATGATCTCAGCTGACTGCAACCTCTGCCTCCCGGGTTCAAGTGATTCTCCTGCCTCAGCCTCCCCAGTAGCTGGGATTACAGGCAACCGCCATCATGGCTGGCTAATTTTTTTATTTTTAGTACAGAAGGGGCTTCTCCATGTTGGTCAGGCTGGTCTTGAACTCCTGACCTTAGGTGATCCACCTGCCTCGACCTCCCAAAGTACTGGGATTCCAGGCGTGAGCCACCGTGCCCAGCCCCATTCACCTATTAAAGGGCATCTCGTTGCTTCCAGTTTTGGAGATTATAAAACTGCTATAAATATTCACATGCACGTGTTTTTGTGTGCTCATACATTTTCAAATCAGTTGGGTCAACACCCAGGAACACAACTGCTGGATCACAGAGTAAGTCTATGTTTAGTTTTGGAAGAAGCCACCAAACCATCTTCCAAAATGGCTGTACCATTCTACATCCCTACCAACAGTAAATGCGAGTCACTGCTGCTCCACACCCTTGCCAGCAACTGACATTGTCAGGTTTTGGATTTTAGCCATTCTAACAAGAATGTAGTAGTATCATCTTGTTCATCCATTCATTTTTTTTTTTTTTGAGACAGAGTCTCACTGTGTCACCCAGGCTGGAGTGCAATGGCACAATCTCAGCTCACTGCAAGCTCCGCCTCCCAGATTCAAGAGATTCTCCTGCCTCAGCCTCCCAAGTAGCTGGGACTATGGGCACGTGTCACCATGCCTGGCTAATATTTTTGTATTTTTAGTAGAGACAGGGTTTCACCATGTTAGCCAGGATGGTCTCGATCTCCTGATCTCGTGATCTGCCCGCCTCAGCCTCCCAAAGTGCTAGGATTACATGCGTGAGCCACCGCGCAAAGTTGAAAGGATTGTACAGAAATACAATGCTGCTCACTAAGATGAAGTTTTAATTCACTGGGCAAGCCAACGAGAGCCCATCTATGGGCTGAATTTAGCAATGGTTAAAGGCTCCAAAATCCAGGGGATGAGCTGTGGGTCTGAGGGCTGAGACCAGAGGGGAGCCCCTAAAGCGTTGTACCAAGGAAGCTGTGCTATCTTCCCCCGAGGTAGACAGAGTCCTCTCTCTAAGATAGGCCACAGTTGTCACCACCCACCTCCCTCACGGAACTCTGTGCCCCTCCTGCCATAGCCCACTGCTCCAAGGAGGAGGGACATCTGAACCTGCTGTAGGGCCAAGCCAGTGGCTCCTGCCTGTAATCCCAGCACTTTGGGAGGCTGAGGTAGGAGGATTGCTTGAGCCCAGGAGGTCAAGACTGCAGTGAGCCATGTTTGCACCACTGCGCTCAAGCCTGGGTGACAGGGTAAGACCCTGTCTCAAAAATAAATAAATAAATATAAATGAATGAATTCAAGGTTCAACCCCTCAGGCACCTCCCAAGCAAACCCCTTCCCCCAAACATGGGTGTTATGGACTAAATGTTTGTGTCTCTCCAAAATTCATATGCTGAAGCCTAACTCCCAGTGTGGCTGTGTTTGGAGATGGACCGCTAAGGAAGTAATTAAGGTTAAATGAGGCCATAAGGGTAGGGCTCTGATTTGATAGGACTAGTGTCCTTTTTTGTTTTTTTACTTTTTTATTTTTTTAAGACAGGGTCTTGCTCTGTTGCCCAGGCTGGAGTGCAGTTGCATGATCACGGCTCACTGCAGCCTCAACCTCCTGGGCTCAAGCAATCCTCCCACCTCAGCCTCCCAAGTAGCTGGGACTAAAGGCACATGCCACCATGCCAGGCTACTTTTTGTAGAGACAGGGTCTCACTATGTTGCCCAGGCTGGTCTTGAACTCCTGGGCTGAAGCAATACTCCCGCCTCAGCTTCCCAGTGTGCTGGGATTACAGGAGTGAGCCACCGAGCCTGGCCCTTCTTTTGTTTTTTAGATGTCGGGTCTCACTGTGTTGCCCAGGCTGGACTCAAACTTCTGGGCTCAATCAAGTCTTCCATGTGAGCTCCCAAGTAGCTGAGATTACAGCCTTGCACCTCCCTGCCCAGCTTCCAGGATTAACGTACTTATAAGAAGAGACACCAGAAAGCTTGTTCTTTCTCTCTGCACCAAGGAGCACATATGAAGACGTGGCCAGAAGGTGGCTATTTACAAGCCAGGAAGGGAGCCCTCACCAGAAACCAACCGTGCTAGCATCCTGATCTCAAACTTGCAGCCTCCAGAACCATGAGAAAATAAATTTTAGTTGTTTAAGCCACCCAGTCTATGGTATTTTATTTTGTTTGTGGAATTAGGCCAGTGGCTATTGCCTGTAATCCCAGCACTTTGAGAGGCTGAGGCAAGAGGATTGTTTGAGCCCAGGAGGTCAAGGCTGCAGTAACTAATAGAATGGGCAGTGGAGAAAGTAGGAAGGTCTAAGGTGTGGAAGTGTCAGAGGTGTTTGAACCAGAGCAACTCCATCTTGAATAGGAGCTGGGTAAAATGAGGCTGAGACCTACTGGGCTGCATTCCCAGATGGTTAAGGCATTCTAAGTCACAGGATGAGATCGAAGGTCAGCACAAGACACAGGTCATAAATACCGTGCTGATAAAACAGGTTACAGTAAAGAGGCCAGCTAAAACCCACCAAAACCAAGATGGTGATGAGAGTGACCTCTGGTCGTCCTCACTGCTACACTCCCATCTGTAAACTGATGCCATGGCAATGTCAGGCAGTTACCCTATATGGTCTAAAAAGGGGAGGCATGAATAATCCACCCCTTGATTAGCATATCATCAAGAAATAACCAGAAAAATGAGCAACCAGTAGCCCTTGGGGCTGCTCTGTCCGTAGCCATTCTTTTATTCCTTTACTTTCTTAATAAACTTGCTTTCACTTTACTCTGTGGACTCACCCTAAATTATTTCTTGTGCAAGATCCAAGAACCCTCTGGTGGGATATGGATCCAGACCCCTTTCCTGTAACAGAAGGAGTTGGGGCTTGGTGGTTTCCAAAGGAGGTATAACCCTCAGTGGCTCCTCTTCACCTACTATCCACAGTAGATTTCTCTGAAGCGCACCCTCAGTGCCACCAGTAGGAGCAGAAGACCTTGGGTGACCTGATCAACACCTTTTCTTTTTAACAGTAGTTGAGTCTGAATATGTATTAGAAAACTATAAATACTGAGCACATGATTAAATGGACATTATGCCTTTTCCTTTCTATTTAAGATTTTGTAAAAGTGAATTAATTACAAGGAAATGTTAAATAGATGGCAAAACTGATGGAGTTTTCCTAATGGCTGGAGTTAGGGAAGCACTGGACTCCGTGGTCAACTCAGCTTCCTTACATCCACGTCACCTAAGGTCCCCTTCCTGACCCTGTGGTTATTTCCACGGCTCCACCTCCACTTCCCAGTGAACTCTCCAGCAGAAAAAAAAAAGGAAAAAAAAAAAAGGCTGGTTCTCAAACACATGTTGTGCTCTCCCATTTCCCAAGATTTTGCACATGACAGTCCCTCTACCTGGAGTGTCCCCTCGGTCTCCGCTTCCACCCCCACCTACTCAAATGCCACCTAGTCTGTAGAGATTTCTGTGATGCCACCCGGCAGGCCCTTCCTCTAAGTTCCAATGCATCCTGTCCCGTTATCCCTTGTGGCCATTGACTTACTGCAATGTAAAGAAGACGTTGCTTCCCTGTCTCAGAGTATAAGGCCTCCTTGAGTACAGAGGCCATGGCCTGTTCATTTCTGTAACCTCAGCGTTCAGCACAAGGCATGGGACGGAGGAGGGAGTCAGAACATGGTTTTTGTGTGTTTTTTTTGGGGGGGGGGTTTGAGACCGAGTCTTGCCCTGTCGCTCAGGCTGGAGTGCAATGGCACGATCTCGGCTCACTGCAACCTCTGTTCAAACGATTCTCCTGCCTCAGCCTCCCAAGTAGCTGGGATTACAGGCGCCCGCCACCACACCGCTAATTTTTGTATTTTTAGTAGAGATGGGGGTTTCACCATGTTGGCCAGGCTAGTCTCGAACTCCTGACCTCGTGATCCGCCCGCCTCGGCCTCCCAAAGTGCTGGGATTACAGGCGTGAGCCACCGCGCTCAGCCAGAACATGCTTGTTGGATGAATGAATGAATGAATGAATGAATGACTGTCCTAGAGATGAAGATCTACAAAGCTGGGAGCATGAAGATACACAAGGCCAGAGAAGTTTGAGTTTGGAGAAGGAGCCTGGGAGAAAGGGTTAGGGAGTGGAGGAGGGTCTGAGGTCTAACTCTGTGGGGAGTGAGACTTGAGGGGAGGGGTCTGAGTGGTGGAGTGGAAAGGTATGGGGGCCCTGTGGGACAGGAAGGCGGAGAATGAAACAACAAGCACTTTATGACTATTCATTTAATCCACACAACCCAATGAGATCGTCATTTTCCCCATTTTACGGATGGGGAAACTGAGGCATACTGAGGTGAGAAACTTGCCTGGGGGAAATCGCTAGTGGGGGTGGTGCTGAGATTTGAACCCAGACGGTTGGCTCCAGTCGGTGCTCTTGACCAGTTTGGTCCGGGGCCCGGCACGCAAGTAATCCCGAAGGTTTGCCCTACGGCCATTGTCACTAACTTAGGCAGCAGCGCGGGGCCTTGGGGGTGCGGGTAAAGGGGTCTTTGAGGTCGCCCTTAGACCTGAGGACGAGCCAAGCCGCAGGAAGAACGGTACGTGGCGGCATCCATGAGGGGCCTGTTGCCATGGGAACAAACGCAGGCCTCGGGCGGGCGCATGCGCAGATCGGGGAGCGGGTGTTGAACCGGTGAAAGGTGACGTAAAAGCGCACGGGGTGGGGCGCAGGGCTCGGGACGTCAAAGCCCTGCGTCCTTCGGCCCCCAGAGCGGAGAAGCGCGCAAGGCACCGGTGGCAGCGGCGACGGCAGCTGCGACAGCAACCCCTGCTGGGCCGAAACTGGGCAGAGCGGAGCAGACGTCTGAAGCAGCGCGAGTGAGGCGCGAGGGTAGCGCCCGCGCCCGGGAAGACCCCTCGGCGCGAACCGGCAGCCCAGCCCCGGGTCCCGGTTCCCAAGGCCCCGCCTCTAGGGCCTGGGGACTAATCGGATTGAGAGCGCGCCGGCCCGGGCCGCGAACTCGCCAATTGCGGAGGGCGGTGGCCACCGCCCAATCCGGAGCAGACAGGTGCGAGGTCCGGAAGGCGGAGGCCAATCGGCGGCGGTTGCGACCTGCTGGGGCAGGTCTCGGCCAATAAGGAGGCTCGAGTGACATCTTCGCGCACCAATCGGGAGTGAGGGAGCATTCGTGCCCGCTCGCCCTTCCGGCCAGACCTCTATTTACCAGGGGCGTGCAGCCCGCTTGCCAATCAGAGCGCGGCTGAGCGGCCCCGCAGCCAACCCCCGAGGAGCGGCCGGCTGGCGTCCGCCGCGCCCAGGAGTTGGGGATGTCCTACAAACCCATCGCCCCTGCTCCCAGCAGCACCCCTGGCTCCAGCACCCCTGGGCCGGGCACCCCGGTCCCTACAGGTGAGGATCCAGCTCCACCCCTGCTCGCCTGCCGGGCGGTCGAGGTCTCGAAGAGAAGACGGCCTGAGTTCTGCAATACTGGGCCTGCCGCCTACCCTCGCTGAGCCTCAGTTTGCTGGCCTGTGAAGTGGGCGTGGTCACGTAAGGGCTTGTAGGTGGAGCGCAGTGGGAGGGATTTGTCCCTGAAGTTGATCAGCATGGAATGAAGCATCCTTTGGAGGGAATCGGGCGAACCCGGTCCTGGGCTTGGAAAAGCTGGGAGGCGGCGTCCCTGCCCCGCGCTGACCTCTTACTCGCGCCTGTTGCTGCAGGAAGCGTCCCGTCGCCGTCGGGCTCAGTGCCAGGAGCCGGCGCTCCTTTCAGACCGCTGTTTAACGACTTTGGACCGCCTTCCATGGGCTACGTGCAGGTGAGTGGGGCCAAAGCCTTGCTTATGGATGCGGACTGGAGTCCCCCTCCCCGCCAGGTGCCTGAGCTCACTGCCCTGTTCTCTTTTGACATAGGCGATGAAGCCACCCGGCGCCCAGGGCTCCCAGAGCACCTACACGGACCTGCTGTCAGTCATAGAGGAGATGGGCAAAGAGATCCGGCCTACCTATGCTGGCAGCAAGAGCGCCATGGAGCGCCTGAAGAGAGGTAAGTGAGGCCAGGCCGCCCTGCTCAGGAAACCGACACTGGACTATCCTTCATGAGGGAAGGAAGGACATCTGGAGGCCACCTGAGCCAAGCCTAGAGGATGTCCAGTATTACTACCAGAGAGGTGTTTTGAATCGAATTGAAATTGAGTCCATTTCCAGGGAAGAGCATGGGAATTTGTATTTCAACAGGGCAACCTTGAGGATTAACCAAACCTCTAATTTCATCTAGCCGTCATTAGATTTGAATTTCTTTTGCCGAAAGTGGAAAGGGAGTGGGGAGGCAGGGGTCCTCCTCTGGAGGGCAGTGGGTGGGGCTGTGGAGGGTTGCTGAGACCCCACCCCACCCCCAGGTATCATCCATGCCCGGGCCCTAGTCAGAGAGTGCCTGGCAGAGACAGAGCGGAACGCCCGCACGTAACAGGAAGCGCCTCGGCCTCAGCGTCTGGACCTATCCGGCCACTGCAGAGCACCCGCTTCTCCCTGGCCTTCATCCCGAGTTGCACTAACCATCCTGGGCTTCCTGTCCTGTGTCCCTTGGTGGGTCCCCTCCAGGAACCAAGGAGTGGCCCTCCAGGTGGCAGCACTAAGGACACCCCCCCACAACAAGAGTTAGCAGCGAGGTCCCCATGAGTCCCACCCATGACCTGCCGACAGTGTTGCCCACCGGAACTTTTGTGGCCCCTACCGCTCAGCCCTTCCCAGCACTTCTCCCACTTTGTCCCGAGCCTCCTTCTCCCCCAGCAGGGGCACAGGCCTGGCACCTCCCTGCCTTGTGTCCTGAGCCATAGTGACTCTTTTATCTGTGTGTCTTTTGCTAAATATGCCCTTTTTATATTAATAAAAGATGATTTGGAGTTGTGCTCTCAGCTCTGAGCCTTTCTGGGTCTGGTTCTTCAGCTAAGCCTGGGTGGGCCAGGCAGAGACAGGGGAAGAGGAGACTATGGATGGGGAGGGTGTGATTAAATGAGGTTTGACTTGCCTCTGTAGGCCATCAGCCTTTGGTGGGACCTGGGCCCTCTCCGCCCCAGCCGTGGCGCTGAGAGCCCTGGGCCTTCCTGTGGTGCCACCAGGGGGCAGCACAGGGCCTGGCTGCTTCCACAGCCCTTGGCGCTGTGGGCAGCCTGGGCCTGGAGGGCGCTTCCTCTGGATTGGCGGTGATGCCTGGCAGCATGGAAATGCCAGTTCACGTAAGCCACTCCCTCACACGCCCTAATGCCCTGACAACACCCCAGCCTCTGAATCAGCCCTGAAGGTCTCTGACTTCTCAGAGAGAAAGGGCACTGCTGCTTCCAGCACTTGGCCTCAGTGTCAAGGGGAGGGGCTGGCGGGGTGCTGCCGTCACTGCCCCAGCACCTTGTAGCAGGCTGGGTGGGATCCCATGAACCCAGCCTTGGGGTGCCTCGTGAGGCCTTTGCCCAGACTCCGGGTGGCTGGGTGACCGGACTTGTGGACCCGGAAGGCAGAGGTGGGGGAGGCTTTGTGGCACCATGCAGGGGCTAGCCCAGCCACTCACAGTGACAGCCCGTTTCTGCCTGGGCGTGTAGCTGGGTGACCATAGAGGCCTGGGGCCCTGGAGCCGAGCCCAGCCCTAGGTGGAGGCATGTCAGAGCCACCAGCTTCTGGCTAGACTGGTGGGGAGGCATTTCCTCAACCCTGGGTCCCAAATCTAAGGACTGCAGAGAGTGAGAAGAGGAGAGTGGGCCTGGGACCCCCCATATCAAACCACCCTGTGACTGCACACAGGAGGGCTGGGCTAGGGTGGAGATAGGAACTAAGAGTCTTTGGGGACCCCAATCAGCACAGAGGGACTAGGAAGAGCCAGAATTTAGGCAATGGCCTTTTTCCCACTGCCCGGGGGAAGGAAGGCAGGGGCCTCCCTCCCTGCCTCCTCCGCTGCAGGCGGGGCTGCCCGGACCCCGCCGGGGTGGGGAGGGCCAGCCGGGCCCAGGAAGGGGGCGGGGCGGCCGCAGTGACGCGGCGGGCGTCGGGGAGGGACTGCAGGGGCGCCGGCGGGCGGATCGAGAGGAAGGTCGGGGCCATGGGCCGGCACTGCGCCTCGGGAGGGTCCGGCCACCGCTGGAACCCGAGGCCGGGGCTGGGGGCGCTCCGGGCTCCGACCCACGGGCCGGCCGGCCCTGCCCGGGCTGGGTGAGGGGCGCCCGCCTCAAGCTAGAGGTGAGCCGGGGCGTCGGCAGGCGGGCCAAGAGCGCGGCAGGGGACCGGGACGCCGGCGAGCAGAGGGAAGTGGGGACAACGGGGCCTCTCGCTTGCTCGCGGGGTGCGAGTGGGGGATGGAGGGGTGCCTGCAGCGGAACCTCGGTGCCAGTCTGGGGCGCAGGTGGACGGAGCGGGTCTCCAGGGCCATGGCCCGTGGGATACCAAGTGGAGCCACTCTGGCCTCAGCCTGAGGAGGGCTCACCCCCTGGGAAGAGGACGGAGTGGCTGCCTAGGCGCGTGGAGAGCCGGCGAGGGCCAGGGGTCCAGGAAGGATGCTGGGAGGGGGAGGTCGAGGACCCGGCTGCCCAAGAAGGCAGATCTGGAGGGCGGAGGAGATTACCGGTCCCGGAAGGTAGGTTCGGGTGCAGGGCGTGGGGAACCCTGGCAGAGATGCTGGGCGCACTGGGCCACTCCGCGCAGAGACACTCGGGGAACAAAGCTCTAGGTGGACGTCCGAGAGTGGGGGACTTGGGACCCCGCCGACTCCGGGAAGGGGATGCAAGGGGCGGGTCCCCGAGGGGCCGGTCGCGGAAGGCGGGCCCGGAAGGAGGGGCCCCGGGGCTTCGGGGGCGCGCCCAGAGGGATGCCGTTTCCCGGGGTTAGGACGCGGTCGCAGCGGGAGAGGTGAGGTGGCCCTCCCGCCCGCCGGCCGGAGCCTGGCGCTCCGGGGGGCCCGCGTCAGCGCGCGGTTGCCATGGCGACGGGCGGGCGGGGGGCGGGGGCTGCGCGGAAAAGAGGTCAGCGCTCAGCCTCGCTGCGGCTCCCGGCCCCGGCGGCGCGGGCGGCGGTGCTAGGCTCGCCTCTGCCTCCCTCGTGGCGGGCCCGGACATGGGGTCCCGTGGCCTGAGTCCCTCGGCCGGCGCGCAGGGCTCGGGGCCGCGCGCAGCCTCCCCGCACTGACTGTCGCGCCGTGCCCTGCGCCAGGAGGAGCGGAGGCCGCGCGCGGCCCGCCGAGCGCCTTCAGGATGCTCATCAAGGAATACCACATTCTGCTGCCCATGAGCCTGGACGAGTACCAGGTGGCCCAGCTCTACATGATCCAGGTGAGGGCGGCGGGGAGAGGGCACCCGGGCAAGGGGTGGAGCCCTGCCGACCCCGCCAGCCCTGCCCCGGGGCTGGGACCGGCTGGGAGCCCGGAGGAGGCAAGAGAGGCCCCCCTTCAGATGTGGGAATGGGGAAGGACTGTGGGAAGAGGGGCAGGAGGGCCGAGTGGTGCTTCCCATCCGCTAAGTGCCCAGCCCTCCTCTGATCTCCTGTAATCCTCCTCAGGATCTGTAATCCCATCGGGGAAGGAAAAAGCGCCCAGGAGGCGGCAAGAATGAGGAGGGGGGCCTCCGCGGCAGAGGAAGGCGGGAGGGGGTCTGGAGAAGTGGAGGGTCCTGGCCATCCCTGGAGGTCAGGGAGATGTGGTGAGGACCAGGTGTCAAACCTGGAGCAGGGACAGGGCAGCAAGGATGGGAGGGCGAGGAGGCTCTGGTGTAGGGCAGTGAGAAGAGTGGGCCAGGGCAGGCCCTCAGCAGTGGCCGGGTTGGTGCGGGGCCTGGGGGAGTCTGCTCCAGATCTGTCCCCAGCACAGCAGGACCAGAATCTCATAAAGCAAGAGGGCCCGGACCCCGCCTCGGGCTTGAAAGGGCCATCTGAGCCCCGGAGCAATAGAAGGCAGGATCTGGGGGCTCTCAAGCTCTGAGGGGTGTGGCGGAGCTGGGATTGGGAGGCGGCCAGGGCCTCCCAGAGAGGGAGGGGGCCAGGGTCAGGGCCTCTGAGAGCTGGAGGCCCCTTTTCCTCTCCTAGTCCCTTCTTCCTTGCCAGCCACCCCGGCCTCCTTGCCACCTGCCAGCACATCCAGTATGCTCCCACCTTGGGGCTGCACTGGCTTCCCCCGGCCTTGAGCACCTCCTCCTACCTCACCTCCTTAAAGTCATGTTCAAGCCATGGTCACATTGTGTTATTAGCAAGGCCTTCCCTGACTATCAGATCAAAACTGCAGCCCCCAACCCTCATCACCTATACCCTACTCTAGGCTTTCTTTTCCTATAGCACCTAGCGCCTTCTAACACACCACATAATTTGCTTTTTCCTTTTGTCTGTCTCCTTCCACTAGAATGTAAGTTCCACGAGGGCAGGGATCTTTGTTCTATTCATCAATATATCTCAATTGATATAATCCCAAACACTGCCTGGAGTGGAGCAGACACTCAATGAATACTTGAATGACTCAACTGAGTGCTGGGTTGCAGACCCCATGCGGGGCTGGGCTGCATCTGTGATTCTGATCCCAGGGAGCTTTGGTGGGGCGGGGTCTGGTTTCAGGGAGTTGAAAAGGCTGGGACCAGGGCCCCAGAGCTGTGTAGAACACCAGGCTGAGCTGGGGATCCCAGATGCTAAGCTGGGGCTGAGCTCCCTGTCCTGCTCTCCCTTGGGCCACAGAAAAAGAGCCGGGAGGAGTCTAGTGGTGAGGGCAGCGGCGTGGAGATCCTGGCCAACCGGCCCTACACGGATGGGCCCGGGGGCAGCGGGCAATACACACACAAGGTGTACCACGTGGGCTCCCACATCCCAGGCTGGTTCCGGGCACTGCTGCCCAAGGCTGCCCTGCAGGTAGAAGAGGAATCCTGGAATGCCTACCCCTACACCCGAACCCGGTGAGTGGGTGAGCTGGGCATGGTCCGAGGCCAGGAGGGGAGCGGCCCTGGTGGGTACAGCAGTGAGCCTCACCCGTGCCTTCTGCCCAGGTACACCTGCCCTTTCGTGGAGAAATTCTCCATTGAAATTGAGACCTATTACCTGCCTGATGGGGGGCAGCAGCCAAACGTCTTCAACCTGAGCGGGGCCGAGAGGAGACAGCGCATCCTGGGTGAGGCCTGGAGCTATGGGGGGACCCTGGCGCCCCTCTCAGGCTCCTGGCTGCCTCAGTGGGCAGCCTCTGAGAAGTCCCAGCCCTCTCCAGGCCTCATGTCCTGTCTGCAAAAGGACGGGAACTGTCATCCAGTCCCAAGAGGGTGCCAGGAGCGGGGGCTCAAAGGGGCTGGCGCTGCTCAATGCTTGCCGAACTCCCTCAGACACCATCGACATCGTGCGGGATGCAGTGGCCCCAGGCGAGTACAAAGCAGAAGAGGACCCCCGGCTTTATCACTCGGTCAAGACGGGCCGAGGGCCACTGTCTGATGACTGGGCACGGACGGCGGCACAGACGGGGCCCCTTATGTGTGCCTATAAGCTGTGCAAGGTTGAGTTCCGCTACTGGGGCATGCAAGCCAAGATCGAGCAGTTCATCCATGATGTAGGTGAGCACCCAGCTGCGGGAGGTCCCACTTACCCAGCATGCCCCAGACCCCATGTTTAGGGCCAGGGATGCTCCCATCCACTGGGGACACAGAAGCAGAAAGCCATCGTTTCCATTTGAGGTGGGGAGCACTAGGGCAGAAGCGGCCGCACAGCCTAGCCAGGCATCCACAGAGCAGGAAGCTGGTAACATGATCTACAAGGTCCATACTGGCTCTGACATTCAGAAATGCTGCTGCTTCCATTAAGATTCTAAGATTCTCCATCATCCTATGAGTTAGATGAGACTTAGAGACACTCAGGAAGGTCACCGGCTCTAACTGGCAGCATGCTAAGGAGTGCAGGCTGAGGCTGTGACTCTGATGTCATTCTCTCTGGGATTCCCCACCTCCACTCCCAGTTTCTAGTGTTCCAGCCTTTGGCCCTGGTGTTCAGGAGCCCCAGTCCCACACCTCCCCTCAACCTGACCCCACCACGCCTACAATTCAGCCCTGCCTCAGTGCCCAGGTCATCTGCACACAGAGGGATGGTCCCTAGTTGGAGAGACCAGCGGCCTGGCTTCTGTCCCACTACTGACCCCCACCCCATGGTACCTCCAGCAAGGCACTGGCCATCTCTGCACTTTAAATTTCTCTTCAGTAAATGAGGAAGAGGTTGAGTCAGATATGAAGAGCTAATACTGACAGTGATTGCGACACACAGACCCATGGCTAATTACTTTTTGTGCAAGATCTCCCTTAACACCCACAACACCCCACCAGGTAATGACGATGATTATTCCCATTTTACAGGTGAGGAAATTCAGCTTAGAGAATAATGAGGACGCCTTGTCTTGCATTTGGAAAAATGCCAAAAAGCACAAATAAGAAAAATATAGCCACTACTAAGATTCCAATATATCTCCTCGCAGAAGTTTATAATTATCATTCAACCATCATTACTTTATTTCCTAGACATTTAAGAGTTTCTAACTTTTTCTTCTGCTTAAGATAAAAATATCCCAGAATGGGTATCATCTTTCGCTACAACCTTCATTGAGTGCCAACACTTCCATTAACTGTTAACACCTTCATTAACCATCAACAATTTCATTAACTGTTAAACCCTTAATTAACTGTTAATTCCTCAGAAGTCAGCAGGAAGCCAGCCAAAAGCAAGAACAAGCATTGGTCCCTGCTTCTGGAGTGATGGGGTGGGGACAGTGCTGAGAGTTAGGGTGTGCAGAGAGACAGGAAAGGCAGTGGGCGGGGGGGAGTCAGGCAGGAAGACAAATGCCCCACTTTCCACTCCCATTCCTGGACTGCACTGGCCCTGCCCTACTTTGTGGCTCTGGGTGGGTGGTGTCCCCAGGGGAGCCATTATCCAACCTCAAGGCTGGGCATGTAGCTGCGGTGGCAGGGAAGCAGGGGGAGGGGGCAGTTCTGACGCCTGGGCACCTGCAGGTCTGCGTCGGGTGATGCTGCGGGCCCACCGCCAGGCCTGGTGCTGGCAGGATGAGTGGACAGAGCTGAGCATGGCTGACATCCGGGCACTGGAAGAGGAGACTGCTCGCATGCTGGCCCAGCGCATGGCCAAGTGCAACACAGGCAGTGAGGGGTCCGAGGCCCAGCCCCCCGGGAAACCGAGCACCGAGGCCCGGTCTGCGGCCAGCAACACTGGCACCCCCGATGGGCCTGAGGCCCCCCCAGGCCCAGATGCCTCCCCCGATGCCAGCTTTGGGAAGCAGTGGTCCTCATCCTCCCGTTCCTCCTACTCATCCCAACATGGAGGTGAGGCTGGGGCACAGGGATGGGAGGAACGGCCCTCCCCAGGCTGGGCTCCTGGGCTGAGGCTGAGGCTGAGCTGGCCCGGCAGGGGCTGTGTCTCCCCAGAGCTTGTCTGAGTGGCGCATGCAGAACATTGCCCGAGACTCTGAGAACAGCTCCGAGGAAGAGTTCTTTGATGCCCACGGTCAGCACTGAGGCCCTTTTTGGGAGTGGGGATGTCCCCGAGCAGCTCCTCCCACCCCATGACACAGCCCCCTGTCCCCTCAGAAGGCTTCTCGGACAGTGAGGAGGTCTTCCCCAAGGAGATGACCAAGTGGAACTCCAATGACTTCATTGATGCCTTTGCCTCCCCAGTGGAGGCAGAGGGAACGCCAGGTAAAGATACCGCCTAGGACACCGGCCCCCAGCACCCGTGTACAGCAGGTCATGAGTTTAATGGCATCTTAAGATGAGAGGCAATCTGAAGAGGTGCTCATTAAATACATAGACGAATAATGAATGGTGGATGGATGGATGGATGGATGGATGGATGGATGGGTGGATGGATGGATGATTAGAATGTAGTCATGATTCAGACATAGCACTAAGAATGAAGGAATTAATTTGGACTCCCTGAATGCTTCACTTGAGAGGTGATGTCTATGCTGGCTTTGGAGGACTTGGGCCAGCACTGTCCAGCAGAACTTCTAGGTCCATGCTGCCCAAGGCAATAACCACCAGCCACACTGGCTCCCAGGCACTGAAAATGGGGTTAGTGTGACTGAGGAACTGAGGTTTTTATGTATTATATTTTAATTCATTTAAATTTAAATGGCCACTTGTAGCTAATGGCCACCACATTGGACAGGGCAGGGTTAGAGAAGTTTGCCAGGCAAACAGGCATTGTGTGGAGAGGCAGCCCTGACTGCAATAAGACCAGTAGGAGCAAAGGCCTGGAAATACAAACTGACCTGGGAGAGTTGGTGGGAGGAGAAGTTTGGAGGAAGGTAGGGACTGGGGGCCTCAGGCAGATGCCAGAACTGGGGTGCCTGAAGTGCCAGATGAGGGGATCCCAGTGGTCCTCTCCGTCCCTCTCACTGGCTTCGTTGCCCTGCAGAGCCTGGAGCCGAGGCAGCTAAAGGCATTGAGGATGGGGCCCAAGCACCCAGGGACTCAGAGGCGAGTATGGTCAGCCACCCCATGTCAAAGCTCCCCCTACTCACTGGCCCGGCCACTGCTGTGACACCCACTGCACCCCATTGTTCCCCCCAGGGCCTGGATGGAGCCGGGGAGCTGGGGGCTGAGGCATGCGCAGTCCACGCCCTCTTCCTTATCCTGCACAGCGGCAACATCCTGGACTCAGGCCCTGGAGACGCCAACTCCAAGCAGGCGGATGTGCAGACGCTGAGCTCCGCCTTCGAGGCCGTCACCCGCATCCACTTCCCTGAGGCCTTGGGCCACGTGGCGCTGCGACTGGTGCCCTGTCCACCCATCTGCGCCGCCGCCTATGCCCTTGTCTCCAAGTACTAGCCACGGGTGGAAGGGCAGGGAACTCGTAGGATCAGGCCAGGGAGCGGGGCAGGGAGCGGGGAAGGGGTCAGGAAGCCAGACACCTGGGTCGGTCACTGGCATGGCTGGACCTGTTCTGGAGAATGGCTCCATTTCAGTTGCCTCTTGGGGCTAACGCTCCCCACAGAGGACCCACAGAGCCAGGGCCTGCCAGCAGGCCCAGGGGACTTGGATGGCAGGAGTGGGTCTGGAAGCCCCTCACCCACGCACATTTCCCCCTCCTACAGCCTGAGCCCTTACAGCCACGATGGGGACAGCCTGTCTCGCTCCCAAGACCACATTCCACTGGCTGCCCTGCCACTGCTGGCCACCTCATCCTCCCGCTACCAGGGCGCCGTGGCCACCGTCATTGCCCGCACCAACCAGGCCTACTCAGCCTTCCTGCGCTCACCTGAGGGTGCCGGCTTCTGTGGGCAGGTCAGCGGTTAGGGACAGTCCATCTGCTGCCCTCCACTGCAGCCCCCACTGTAGTCTGGCCTGGGTGAGGACAAGGCCTCTCCTGATGGTGCCCCTGCTCCCACCCAGGTCGCACTGATTGGAGATGGTGTTGGTGGCATCCTGGGCTTTGATGCACTCTGCCACAGTGCTAACGCGGGCACCGGGAGTCGGGGCAGCAGCCGCCGTGGGAGCATGGTCAGTATAGCCAAACCCGGCCTCCTCAGGAGCGGAAAGGCCCTCTCTGGCTCTAGGTCTCTGCCCCCTGGAATGCCACCCCTCTGCCAGCAGGCAGGCCCCCTGCTGCCCTGCCAGTTCATGTCTTCTCTGGAATTCTGCTCTGCCCAACCCCCAAGCCTCGCTCCTCACTTCTAAGTAAGTAGAATTCGAATGGTCCCCAGGCCTAAGAATGTTTCTGTCTCCTGTTCCATCCAGAACAATGAGCTGCTCTCTCCGGAGTTTGGCCCAGTGCGGGACCCCCTGGCAGATGGTGTGGAAGGCCTGGGTCGGGGCAGCCCAGAACCCTCGGCCTTGCCTCCCCAGCGCATCCCCAGCGACATGGCCAGTCCTGAGCCCGAGGGCTCTCAGAACAGGTGACGTCCCTGCCCCATCACCCCTACCCTGGGCACATGATGGACTACAGAGGCAGCAGCACTGAGCACCCCTCCTCCCCCACAGCCTTCAGGCAGCCCCCGCAACCACCTCCTCCTGGGAGCCCCGGCGGGCAAGCACGGCCTTCTGCCCACCCGCTGCCAGTTCCGAGGCACCTGACGGCCCCAGCAGCACTGCCCGCCTTGACTTCAAGGTCTCTGGCTTCTTCCTCTTCGGCTCCCCACTGGGCCTGGTGCTGGCTCTGCGCAAAACTGTGATGCCCGCCCTGGAGGGTGAGTCCTAGGGGCTGCGGGGGCGCCTCTAGTCTCTGTCTGCCCCTTCCTTCCCCACCTCCTCTGGCCTTCCCTCTCATCCGAGGCATGAGCAACTTCCCCACTGTACTAATTCAAAGGCCTGGCTACAGAAGGGGAACCTGAGGCCCAGAAAGAAGGGACTCGCCAAGGGTGAGTCTCCCAAAGCCACTGGGAGGAGCTTCACACCCGTGGGATGTTCTGCACTAGAAGGGGTCAATCAGACACCACAGCAGCAAATCGAAGCCGCTGCCCTCTTCTCAGCCTTTTTTTTTTTTTTTGAGACAGAGTCTCGCTCTGTCACCCAGACTAGAGTGTCAGTGGCCTGATCTTGCTCACTGCAACCTCCTGGGTTCAAGTGATTCTCCTACCTCAGCATCCCAAGTAACTGGGATTACAGGCACCTGCCACCATGCCCAGCTAATTTTTGTATTTTTTTTAGTAGAGACAGGGTTTTGCCATGTTGGCCAGGCTGGTCTCGAACTCCTGACCTCAGGTAATCCACCCACCTCTGCCTCCCACAGTGCTGGGATTCCAGGAATGAGCCACTGAACCCAGCTAATTTTTGTATTTTTAATGGAGACGGGGTTTCACCATGTTGGCCAGACTGGTCTCGAACTCCTGACCTCAAGTGATCCATCTGCTTCTGCCTCCCGCAGTACTGGGATTCCAGGCATGAGCCACGGTGCCCAGCCCCTGTCTCACTTTAAGCAGGGCCCTACTGACTTCCCAGGGAGTGCAGTTTGGGAAGTGCTGGCTCGGGGTCACACCAGACATCAGGGTGCTGCTCCCACACCCCCTACCTCCCAGAGTGCCCAGCTGAAACCCTGACCCCACAATCTTTCTCTGTCTTCTGGGTACCAGCAGCCCAGATGCGCCCAGCCTGTGAACAGATCTACAACCTCTTCCACGCGGCTGACCCCTGCGCCTCACGCCTCGAGCCCCTGCTGGCCCCGAAGTTCCAGGCCATCGCCCCACTGACCGTGCCCCGCTACCAGAAGTTCCCCCTGGGAGATGGCTCATCCCTGCTGCTGGGTACGCCCCCAAACAAGATAAAGGGGAGAAGGAGGAGGGCACACACAGGAAGGGAGGAGGTAGCAGAAGACATGAGGAGGCTCCCAGACGATGGAAAACCTCTCAGGCCACCACTCCCAGGACCAGGCGCTCCTTCCCCCTGGGGGGGTCTGGATCCCCAGGACCCTCTGACCTCCTGGGCCTAGAAGTTGGGTGGGGGTGGTTAGCCAAGCTAGAGAGGGTGCCCCCTGGCAGCATGATGCTGGTGTGCTGCCATACAAGCAGCCAGCATGTGTGCGCTGCTGCATCTGTGTGGGGTGTGCTGCAGACATTTATTGCGGGGCATGCCCAGGTATGTATGGGCCAAGCGGGCCTGTGTTGGGCACAGGTGTGCAGCGTTTGGGGCGGTGGCAACAGGCATTCTGGCAGGAGTGCAGCTGGCCACTGGGCTGAGAGGAGAGAATGCCACAGTGCAGCCTCAGCCAGGACCTGACCAGAGGGGCCACAGGAAGATGGCAGAGGTGCGGGGAGCCCTGGGTGAGAAGACAGGAGAGCCACCTGGCCGGCCCCTGCTGACCTTGCCCTCCTTCCCCCAGCCGACACTCTGCAGACGCACTCCAGCCTCTTTCTGGAGGAGCTGGAGATGCTGGTGCCCTCAACACCCACCTCTACTAGCGGTGCCTTCTGGAAGGGCAGTGAGTTGGCCACTGACCCCCCGGCCCAGCCAGCCGCCCCCAGCACCACCAGTGAGGTGGTTAAGAGTAAGTCAGCCAGCCTAGGCAGTCCAGCCTGGGGGTGGGGGAGGCCCGTATTCCACCTCCGAAGCCCAGCTGAGAAACCCTTTCCCCCAGCACACAGCCTGGACTTGGCAAAGAGCAGGCTGGGTGAAAAGGGGGGAGGGAAGAGCACCCAGCGCCCAGGCAGATGGGTGTGGGGCAGGAGGCCATCCTGACTCGCTGCCATGGCCGCGCAGTCCTGGAGCGCTGGTGGGGGACCAAGCGGATCGACTACTCGCTGTACTGCCCCGAGGCGCTCACCGCCTTTCCCACCGTCACGCTGCCCCACCTCTTCCACGCCAGCTACTGGGAGTCCGCCGACGTGGTGGCGTTCATCCTGCGCCAGGTGGGCCTGGGAATATGGAATGGGAGATGAGAATGGGACGGGGATGGGCTGCTTTGGGCCGGGGGAGGGGCAGCCCTCCCTCCCCTAAGAGACAGAGGCCTCGCCCCCTGTCCCGTGCAGGTGATCGAGAAGGAGCGGCCACAGCTGGCGGAATGCGAGGAGCCGTCCATCTACAGCCCGGCCTTCCCCAGGGAGAAGTGGCAGCGAAAACGCACGCAGGTCAAGATCCGGGTAGGTGCCCTGCCCCTCGCCCCCTCGCCCACTCGCCCACTCTCGCCCACTCACCAGAGAGGCCCCGCCCCTCCCCCCAGCACCCCCCTCCTCGGGTCCTAGCCGATCCAACTCTCTCCCAGTCCTGCCCCGCCCCTGGGGTCCTGGCCCCACCTCATTGCCCCAGCCCCGCCCCTGGGAACCGCTGGTCTCCCCGCCCTCTGCGGGAAGTTTGGGTCTAGGGTCTGGATCTGCGCTGGTCCCCACCTCGCCTCATCCTCTGCATCCCGTCCTGTCACAGCTCTGCCCCTGGAGGCGCGGCCCACACACAGGCTCTCAGGCCGGGGTCCACAAAAGTGCGCCCCCCGGGCTTGCCCTTTTCCCTCAATGCCCCGCCGCCTCTAGGCCCCCACCCCGGTGTTTGCGTGTGGATCCTCACCCGCTCCCCCTCCCCAAGCATCCCCATCCTTTGCTGGCCGCGGACTCACGCCCTCTCCTCCCTCTAGAACGTCACTTCCAACCACCGGGCGAGCGACACGGTGGTGTGCGAGGGCCGCCCCCAGGTGCTAAGCGGGCGCTTCATGTACGGGCCCCTGGACGTCGTCACGCTCACTGGAGAGAAGGTCAGGACCCAGAGGCCCTGTCGCCTGGTCCCATGGCCCCATCTCCTGTCCTCGGAACAGCTCCTGGTCCCTGGTGGTTGTGCCCCTAGACCCACCCATCCCCGACGACAGCCCCGCCTCTGCCCACCTCCACGCAGGGCCCCCATTTACCTCCCGCCCCTTCTCCCCTCCAGGTGGATGTCTACATCATGACGCAGCCGCTGTCGGGCAAGTGGATCCACTTTGGCACCGAAGTCACCAATAGCTCGGGCCGCCTCACCTTCCCAGTTCCCCCAGAACGCGCGCTGGGCATTGGTGTCTACCCCGTGCGCATGGTGGTCAGGTGAGCGCGGCTGGCCGGGCCTCTGCGGGAGGGCTCCGCCAGGCCTCGCCCCGCGCCACTCACGCCCCGCCCCGTGGGCCGCAGGGGCGACCACACCTATGCCGAATGCTGCCTGACTGTGGTGGCCCGCGGCACGGAGGCTGTGGTCTTCAGCATCGACGGCTCCTTCACCGCCAGCGTCTCCATCATGGGCAGCGACCCCAAGGTGCGAGCTGGCGCCGTGGACGTGGTCAGGTAGGAGTTGCCACTGCCACCACCACCCATTTCACCGGGGTGACCGGCCCCTCACCCCTGGCCAGCGGAGCTGACCGCTGCCCCCGCCCCACAGGCACTGGCAGGACTCCGGCTACCTGATCGTGTATGTCACAGGCCGGCCGGATATGCAGAAGCACCGCGTGGTGGCATGGCTGTCGCAGCACAACTTCCCCCACGGCGTCGTCTCCTTCTGCGACGGCCTCACCCACGACCCACTACGCCAGAAGGCAATGTTTCTGCAGAGCCTGGTGCAGGAGGTGCGGCGGCTGGGGGAGGCTCCGGGTCCTGACCCCGCCCCCGCTCCCCCTTACCCTCCACCCCCGGATCGGCGGAGGCCCATCTGTTCCCAACTGGATCGGCCCGGGCCCTGCCTGACTGCAGCGGCCCGCTACGGTCCTGCTCCCCTAGTTTGAGGGGCCCCGTGTACTTAGGGGCAACTAGGGAGATGCAGCTGGTCCCGCCCCTGTCCCCGTGGGACTGGGACCTGTCTTCGCCTCCGTCTGCCTGGACCCACCCCCAGAACAATCTGGGGAAGCCCAACAGGCCCCGCCCCCAGCTGCACGGCTCCACCCCTGGGGCGGCTGATTGGCATCTCCCGCCACAGGTAGAACTGAACATCGTGGCCGGTTATGGGTCTCCCAAAGATGTGGCTGTATACGCGGCGCTGGGGCTGTCCCCGAGCCAGACCTACATCGTGGGCCGTGCCGTGCGGAAGCTACAGGCGCAGTGCCAGGTGAGGCCCAAGTGAAGGCCAGGAACAGGACCCCACCAGGGGGCAGGGCCCTCAGTCCCAGGCCTTGGGAACCACGGACTCTGGGGAAGATGTGAGAAGGCCTAACCGGCCTCCAGGGAACCTGGGATCCTCCGAGGACAAGGGCCATGAGCAGCTTGAGCTGCCAGCTGCCAGGCAAGCCAGAGGGGACAGCCCACACTGGAAAGTGCTCAAGACCCTAGGCGCTGGTT
Organism: Homo sapiens; assembly: GCF_000001405.40. Classification (NCBI taxonomy): domain Eukaryota; kingdom Metazoa; phylum Chordata; class Mammalia; order Primates; family Hominidae; genus Homo; species Homo sapiens. Next base: position 67,492,703 of record NC_000011.10, on the reverse strand, counting down.
CCACTCGGCCATGGCTTTCCACTGTGACCTTTCTGAGCCTCAGCTTCCCATCTGTAAATGGAAATGATCATGGCACTGCCCATGTCAGCTTATGAAGATCACATCAACAGGCACAGGGCTGGGCACAAAGCAAGTGCTGGCTAAACATTGGCTGCTGTTATTTTTCCTCTAAGACCCCATTTTCCAGATGAGGAGACTGAGGCCCAGAGAAGGGCAGAGCTAGGAGCACAGCCAAGGTGCCCTGGCTCCCAGCCTGGGGTCCTATCTATTGAGAAGGCTTCAGCTCAGGCTGTGCCAAGCCTGCCACCAGTCCCCCAGCCTGCCTCAGGTGCCTCTGGAGGACCGTGGAGGGCAGCGTGTGGGCCCTTGGCCAGCACCCCCTCATCGCTGCCTACCTCTGCCCACAGTTCCTGTCAGACGGCTATGTGGCCCACCTGGGCCAGCTGGAAGCGGGCTCGCACTCGCATGCCTCCTCGGGACCCCCGAGAGCTGCCTTGGGCAAGAGCAGCTATGGTGTGGCTGCCCCCGTGGACTTCCTGCGCAAACAGAGCCAGCTGCTTCGCTCGAGGGGCCCCAGCCAGGCGGAGCGTGAGGGCCCGGGAACACCACCCACCACCCTGGCACGGGGCAAAGCACGGAGCATCAGCCTGAAGCTGGACAGCGAGGAGTGAGGCCCACACCAGCCTGGACCTGGGTTATTTATTGACACACCCAAGGGGCCCGAGGGGCTGCGTGTGGGAGGCTGGGGACCCAGACTTTTGGCCCCAGCGCTGGCCCCCCCAGCCCCACACCCTATATCTCCGTGTGCTCCTCGGTGTTACTTCCCTTTCATATGAGGGGACCCAGCGCCGGGGGGAGGGAGGAGGGCGTGGGCATGGGCGCAGAGGCTTTTCCAGTGTGTATAAATCCATGAAAATAAACGCCACCTGCACCCCACCCACTCACCCCATGCCTGGCATCACAGGGCAGCCAGCCCAGTTTCCAGTTCAACAGGGGACACTGATGTGCACAGAGAGGCCAACACACACCCAGGGCCATCCAGCTCACAGGCAGGGTCAGGATGGGGGCCTGGGCCTCAAAAGGTCGCACGAAACCCACGCCCAGGGCCATCCATGTCACAGGCAGGTCAGGATGGGGGCCTGGGCCTCAAAAGGTCTCACGAAGCGCTCGGCCCTCTCCTCTTTCTGGACAGTCAGCCCACCCCAGCCCAACCCGGCTCACCTCAGCCCCAGCGTAGCTTCTCATGGAAACCCTGCCCCCAGACACCGAGGCCAGGAGACCATGGGATCCGAGGCTGGAGTGGGAGGGCAGCACCAGGAGACTACCTCCCTCAGGTGCCCAGCTACCTAGCTTGTACCCACTTCATCTCCCCCTTAAGACTGTGGGCTCCTGGGGCGCCCCAGCCCTGGCCAGCGAGAGACACTTCCTTGGTGAAAGAGCTCATCGTAATTTCTCTAACAGGGACACCAGAGCCTCAGAGCTGGTGGGTGGAGGGGCTAGGATTTGAACCCTGATTCTTTGCCTCCCAACAGCCACCCAAGTACCAGGAATGCCAGGTGATGACCCGGCTCTCCCAGTGGAGCAGCTCAGCAGACTCAGAGAGAGATAAATAAAGGCCTTTATATACACAGAAGCATGACGCAGCACGGGCAGGGGGGCTGGCAGCTGCAGCAGTGGGCTTGGCAGGTAAGGCAGGGCCAAGTGCTCCTGTCAATGGGAGAAGATCCCCCGGAACCGGGCTTTGTCCTCTTCGTCCTTCTGCCGGATCCGTGCCTCCAGGGCCCGCAGCTCTCGGCTCACCACAGGCGCCAGGGCTGGGTCCAGCTCCAGCACTTTGGCAAAGTCAGCCTGGGCCTCCTGGGCATTCCACACGGCCGCGTGGGCCTTGCCCCGCTTGAAGTAGGCCTTGACGTTGTCTGCAGGGGAGGCCAGTGGGCAGTGGGCATGCAAGGGCATGAGGGGGGATCCTGGCCAGCTGCCTGCCCTCATGTCTCCTGGCACCATGGGCCCACAGGGGAGAGAGAGCCCTCCCTGACCTGAGGATGCCACCCCACCCCCAATACACCATTCATGCTTCATTGGCACAATGGGGCCCACAGCCCTGCCGAGTAGAGGCATTTAGTCAGGCCCCCGTGGGAGCTCAGAATGGGGGTTGTGAAAGGCTAGGTCTTGACCCCAGCAGTGACAGGAGAAAGGCCACTCTCTGACCACTCGCAGCCCCCGGCAGCCCAGGGCCCGGTGCTCACCGTCGTACTTGTTGAGGATGGAAGAGCAGTGGTCCAGCACCTCGTAGTACTCCTCGACCACCAGCTTGCACTGGCAGTAGTTGAGCAGCAGCGGCGTGATCTGCTGGTCCAGCTGGATCCATTCAGGGGACCCAGGCTGTTCCTGGGAGTATGGGGGCAGGGAGCGGGGAGAAGCTGTAGACCTGGGCCCCCTGGCTCCACACCCCCCTCCATCCATCCTCCCCCTCAGCCTCCAGGCAGTACCTTCATCTGCAGGTTCTTGAGGCAGGCAATGGCATCGTAGTACTTGGCAGCAGCCTCCTTCACATGCCCCTCGCGGTACAACCGGTTGCCCTCCTGGTGGATAAGTGGCACTGCCTTTGCCTTCTCTTCGTCTGTCATGGCCCATGGGTCCTGCTGGTACGTGCCAGGGCTCTCCACCTGCAGGGCATGGGGCATATCACAGCGGGGCTCGGGGACACCACAGCTGCGTCCGTCAGCAGCAGACCTGACCCACATCTGGGCTGGCTGGGCCCCCAGACATCACACACCAGCAGCAGAGCTACTTGTCACTCAAAAAGCATCAAACATCGATGTCACATCTCCTGTGTGCCCAGCACTGTGCCAAGTGCTAAGAATAGAACAGTGAACAAGACGGTGAAAAGCCCTGCCCTCGCAGAGATCATGCTGCATGGCAGGTTCCCTAAATGGACAAGGAAATCCATGAATTCCAAGGGACTTCAAGGTGCGGCAGAGGCTATAAAGGAAATGAGCTGCTGCGAGACAGAGAATGAGGAGACCGGGTGGGCAGGGCCGGTTTCCTGGAGGAGGTGACATTTGAGATGTGAAGGAGGAGGAAAGGAGACCCAGGGTACTGCCAAGGGTCCTGCACAGGTTTTCTTGTCTCTGTCCGCTCCCCCAGCAGTCCACCTGCGGATCCCACCACCCCTGGGTGGACAGGCCAGCGCCGCCCTGAGGCTGGGCAGTGGGGGCCTGGTGAGACCAGGCGCGGTGGCCCCTCACCTTCAGCATCTCCATGTGGAAGATGAGGGGCTGGGGGTTCTGCTGCAGGGCGTCCAGGTCAGCATGGCCCAGGGAGCTGTGTTCACGCATCTGTGCAACACCGCAGCAGTGCCGCTGGCCCTCCAGGGGGTCCTTGCCCACCGCGATGTTGCGGAGACTCTTGGCCACCAGCGGGTACAGGACCACATGCTGCGGGAAGGCAAGGGCGCCGGGGGCTCTGTCACCGTGGGCTGGCTGGTCACCGGGTCCACAAGGCCCAGCCCCCTTCCCCACCACCATCTGAGAACAAACACCAAGGCCCAGAGAGTGACAACTGGGACCCTACTCCGTTTAAGCACAGGAGGCTTTTAATTCAGGACTCCTCCAGTCGCTCAGCCCTCTCTCCTGGTGAAGCCCCAGCTTCTGCCACATTCTCTGGCCACCAAACAGAGCACCTAACCCCCTCCTCACCCCCACCACAGACACATGCCTACCATCAACCCCTGTCTCCCTGGTCCTTACAGGCCCAGTAGAATTCTTACCTCCTCTCCCTCCAGAGGATAAGGCCCTTTGCTGGACTATGCAAAGAACTGGGGCCCCCCACATTCTGTTCCCAGCAGCTCCTCCTTCTGCCCCACCCACACCCCACTGAGGGCCTACCTCAGAGCTGGGCCCAGGCCAGCCACTTCAAAACCCTCAGGGAGGCCGGATGTGGTGGCTCACGCCTGTAATCCTAGCACTTCGGGAGGCCAAGGCGGGCGGATCACCTGAGGTCAGGAGTTCAAGACCAGCCTGACCAACATGGTGAAACCGCGTCTCTGCTAAAATACAAAAATGAGCCGGGCACGATGGCAGGTGCCTGTAATCCCAGCTACTCAGGCAGCTAAGGCAGAGAATCAGCTGAACCCAGGAGATGGTGGTTGCAGTGAGCCAAGATCACGCCACTGCACTCCAGCCTGGGCAACAGAGTGAGACTTAGTCAAAAAAAAAAAAACCCCACAGGGAGACAGGCATAGGGGACCTAGCCTCTAATCTCTTGCTTGGCAAAGCTGCTAGGCTGGTGGGAACCAGATAACCAGATTCCTCCTACCCGGGTCCTCCCCACTCCTCCCACTGCCCTGTTGTCTGGACAGGGGCTGACTGCCGGGCTGCCATCAGCGGGCATTTCCTGAGTCTTGGCTCTGGACTGGCTCGCGCTGGGCATCCCAAAGCTAGAAGTAAACAGGCCAGATCCCTGCTCTGCAATAGCCTAGGACAAGGCAGAAGAGCAGATCCTGGCCATGCAGGGCATGAGGGTTGGAGGACCCAAACATGGGAGTTGAGCCAACCACTAGCAGTCAGGGAGGGCTTCCTAGAGGTGGTGACCCAGGAATAAGCTTTGAAGGAAGAGGGAAGATCTTGGCTAAGAAGGGGAATGGAAAGGAAAAGCAGGGAGGTTGAGTAAGAGGGTGAGACGGCAGGGGCCAGCCCCCAAAAAGCTATGTGAGCAGCTATAGCTTATACGGTTTAAGTCCTCACTTAACGTCCTAAGTAGGTTCTTGGAAACTGTGACTGTAGGCGAAACAATACATAACGAAACCAATTTTTCTTCTCATCAATGTTCTAACAAAATTTTGCTGAGAGAAATGACGGTGGCTGAGAAAAAACCTGATGTATGTTTTTTCTCTTAGTCACAGTTTCCAAGAATGTATCAGCAACATGAAGTGAGGACCCCCTGTGCTCTATCCTTACAGTGACCAGGAGTCATAGAGGTTTGAAACAAAGGGATGTACAGGTCATTTGCATTTGAGAACGAGTCCCCTGGCCTCAGTCTGGCTAATAGGGGAAGGCGGAATGGAGGCCAGGACGCCATCAGCAGGCTGGTGTGGTGGTCTGGAAAGAGTGGGTGGGCCGGGCGCGGTGGCACACGCCTATAATCCCAGCACTTTGGGAGGCCAAGGCGGGTGGATCACCTGAGGTCAGGTGTTCAAGACCAGCCTGGCCAACATGGTGAAACCCTGTCTCTACTAAAAATACAAAAATTAGCCAGGCATCATGGCGGGTGTTTGTAATCCCAGCTACTCGGGAGGCTGAGGCAGAAGAATCGCTTGAACCCAGGAGGTGGAGGGTGCAGTGAGCTGAGATCGTACCACTGCACTCCAGCCTGGGCGACAGAGCAAGACTCCATCTCAAAAAAAAAAAGAAAGCGGGTGGCAGTCTAGCAGAGGGTGGAGGGAGGAGGAGCCCTGGGGATAGGGAATAGGAATAGGGCTTGGCTGGACAGCCACCGCAGACAGGTACAGGACAGACACCTTGATGTCACAGAGGAACTGGGCAATCTCCCCTTCTCGCATGGTGCACACGATGGTCTCCCACACAGGCAGCTTGAACTTCTTGCCAATGATGAGCTCCATGGGCTTGCCACGAGCCCGGCTGTCGTCCAGCACGGTGCCCTCGTCGTCACTGTGCAGCGTCCGGTAGTGGAACGTGGCCTGTGGGCCACATGCGAGGTCAGGCAAAGGCACAAACCCTCACCCTGACCCCCAAGGAGAAGTCCAGTCCCCGGCCTGCAGACGGCATAAGGGACGGGGCTTCCCCGGGGACACCACCTGACCTTACACCTGGCTTCATCCTCCCACGCTGGTGAGAAAACAAAGCCACAAGGAGGGGAGGAATAGGCCCAAGCCACACGGCTAGTGGGTGGCTGAGTGGGAACAAGAGTCCAAGCAGTCTGACTCCAGTCATTCCTCAACAGATATTTACTAAGCACCTACTATGTGCCCAAGCTCTGTGCTAGACACCAGAACATGGCAGCAAGCAAAACACAAAAAAGTCCCTGCCCCCCTGGAGCTCACATGGCGCTTCTAGAGGGAGGAGATGGGCATCAAACAAAACAATATGTCATGGCAGGTGAAGCCACGTGCTTGGGAAACAGCAGGGCAAGAGGGTTGGGGCTGGATTAAACAGAGTGGGGGGTTGGGGAGTAAGGAAGAAAGCAAGCCAAGTGGACCCTGGGATAGGAACTTTCTAGGCCAAAAGAACAGCATGTGTAAAAAAGCCTTGCAGTGGGACAATGTGATATGGAAGTGCTGGGAAGGGAGGAGCATGGTCCTGTTAAATAATTTGGAAGGGGAGAAGGGAAGTGCTGGGTAGAGGAGGGCGTGGTCCCTGGGTAGGGTTCCACCCCCACAGACCTAGGTGAGAACAGGCATTTCCTGCCCAAATGTTGCATTTCCCAAGACCACCCTGGCCTGCCACACCCCTATCCTGTGCCTATAAAAACCCAACACCCCTAGGGGGTAGACCCACAGGCAGCCAGATGTCAGAGGAGCCCATCAGCAGAAGACGAGCTCCTGGTCATTGAGAGGATGTCAGGGGAGCAAGAAGCAGAAGATCACACTGACAGGCACCTGCACGCTGGCAGGTCATCAACTGGCAGGAAGAGGCGGAGTTTGGCTGGGGCAGTCAGAGGAGAGGTGGGGCCACCAAGTGGCCCAACCCCAGGGGAAGACCATCTCCAAGGCGGGTGGATCACCTGAGGTCAGGAGTTCAAGACCAGCCTGGCCAATGTGGCAAAACCCCGTCTCTACTAAAAATACAAAAATTAGCTGGCCATGATGGCGGGTGCCTGTAATCCCAGCTACTTGGGAGGCTGAGGCAGGAGAATCACTTGAACCCAGAAGGTGGAGGTTGCAGTGAACCGAGATCATGCCACTGCACTCCAGCTTGGGCAATAGAGCAAGACTCCGTCTCAAAAAAAAAAAAAAAAAAAAAGGCGTTTGAAACCAGCTTGGCCAACATGGTAAAAGCCCATCTCTACTAAAAACATTTTTAAAAATTAGCCGGGCCTGGTGTCAGGCACATGTAATCTCAGCTACTTGGGAGGCTGAGGCAGGAGAATTGCTTGAACCTGGGAGGCAGAGATTGTGCCATTGCACTCCAGCCTGGGCAACAAGAGTGAAACTCCATCTCAGAAAAAAAAAATAAAATAAAAAATAAAAAAAAATTTGCAATCATTCTCCAAGCCCACAAGTGATCTAATTCTCCAGTACTCCAGTACATCAAGGCAAGAAAACCCCAGACTACAGAAAGCCCTCTGTCCTTGTGATAAGGAAGGGGGTCTAATTGAGCTGGTTAACACAAGCCTCCCATAGACAAACTAAAAGAGCACCCTAGAACACACGGAGCTGTAAATATTCACCCCTAGACACTGCCATGAGGTCGGAGCCCACAGCCTGCCCATCTGTATGCTCCCCCAGAGGTCTGAGCAGCGGGGCACTGAAGAAGCGAGCCACTCCCCCATCGCACGCCCTGCGAGGGAGACAAGGGAACTTCCCGTTTCAAATGCATGATGTGTTCAAGAGCAGCAATGCCAGTGTGGCAGAGCAGAGTGAAGGAGGGGGTGGGGTACACCACAGGGTCAGCAGGGGAGCTCACCCAGGTCAGTAGGGGTGGACCTCACAGGGCCTGTAGGCTATGGTGAGGCCTCTGTTTTTCACTCTGTGATGGAAGCCACTGAGTGGCTCCGAGCAAAAAAGGAATTGAATCTGGCATGGGCTCGGCTGCTGGGACGAGAACAGACCACAGAGGGACAAAAGAGGCAGGAGAGTTAGAGGTCGCTGCAGTAACCCAGGCTGGAGATGAGGATGGCCTGGACCCAAGCAGTGATGGCAGAAGTGGTGAGAACTCAGATCCTGGCTGGATATTGAGGATGTGATGTTGGATGTGAGACTGGGAGGACCACAGAGATGCTAAGGTTTTTGCCCTGAACAACGGGAAGGTTGTTGGTTCCCCTGACACGGAGAAGCCTCAGGTGGAGCAGGTTAAGTGTGAGTTGCCAACCAGGCTTCCAGGTGGATATGGTGAGTAGGGAGCTATATATCAGGTTTAAGAGACAGTTAATGACTGGAGAGCTGCATCTGGGAGTAATCCGGGCAGGGAGAGTTTTTAGAGATAACACTGGGGGTGGGTGCAGAGAAAAGAGGTTTGGAGATTGAACTCTCGACAGGATATGGTTAGAGGAGCCCACGCTCTTAACTGCCGCACCATGCTGCATCTCTGAAGTCAGTTTCCACATCGGTAAAACGGAATCAACAACAGTACCTATCTCACATTGTAGGAAATAAACGTGTGAAGCATGTAGCACAATGTTCGAATAGTGAGCACTCAATCAGTGCTGGCGATTGGTTATTTAACACCACCTGTTTCTGATCTTGGGGTGCCATTGTTCACATCTCTCCTTCTGATGTCTGTTCCATCCAGGATCCCCCTTGCCAGCCCCTTCTTCCAACGCCACCAACCCCCCAGCACATGGGGGCATGAACCCACACCACACATCCTGTCTCTTCTTAGAGAAGATATCTTTTCATACAGCGGATCACTCCAGCCATGCAGCTCCCCTCTGCTCTCAGGGCACTTATACTGCACTGGGCTAGGATGCTTAGCTGCCCGATTCGGCACGGTGCTGGCCAGGGGGCATGTGCTCATTTGCTCAATGTGCATGTCCTGCCTGACTGCTCTGCTGGGCACAGGGGCTGCCCCTGGGAGGTTCCCTACTCTGCAAACAAGTGGCAGCTGGGAAAAGCACTCCGGGAGGAGGCAACTACAGGAGAAGCAGGGAAGCCTGGAGTTGTAGGTTGGGGGAGAAGCGGGCAGAGGGGCTGGATCTGGGGGCCTGGCAAAAAGGAGAAAAGTGGGAGGTTCTTTACTTCCCAACCCTCATCTGTCCCAACAAGCCCCTAGTGCAGCAGGAAGGCTGCTAAAGAGTCCCTGTCTGGGAGACCTGACCTCTGGGCCCGTTCTCCGGCTTTGCACGTCCCAGGGTCTTGGTTTTCCACTCTAAACAGCGGCAGTTGGTCTAAGTGTTTTCAGAAGGCCCTTCCATCTACAAAGGATCATGAGCCTTGAAACCCAGATACCCGAGGACCACTCCCGGCCCTGGGTTTCCTCCAGCGTGGGGTCTGCCCAAGCACTGAGATCAACCCCCAACCCCAACCCGCTTGTGATGACTGACGGCCTCCCCCACCAATGCTGCTACAAGGCCGAGCCAGGGGGCGGGGCAGACAGGCCCGAATTCACCCCCTACTTAAATTCAGCCCAATCAGCGTCGAGTTCTGCATGTGAGCGGTAGGGGCAGTGGACGCTGCCCTCTGGGCATGCGCAACCTCTCGCCTAAGGCCTCCTCCCGCCTCGCATGCGCACCACGCCGCAGAGGGGGAGAAGGGTAGGGTAGACACGAACCTTGGTCCCATCTTGAAAGTCCGGGAGCTCTCCTCGGCCTTCCTGTATCACACGTTTTTGGATCCCGTCCTCCCGGAGTCTTGCGATGATATCCGCCATCCTCCTTCCCCGCTGCTCCCTTTCGGCAACTTCCGGACTCGCTCGGTAGCTTCCGGACTTGCTTCGGCAACTCCTAGCACCTCGGCAGCTTCCGAGCTAGCGCCATTTTGGTTGAGGGCAGAAGCCAAAAGGGACTGAGCGTGGAAACGGATGGTGATTGGTTCTCTGCGCTGGGGCTGAGCGCGCGCGTCTGCTCGGGGGCGGAGCCTAGGAATGTCTCGGGGCTGGACCCCAGCCTGTCAAGGAGGAAGGGCCGGGGTCCGCGGGCCGGGCGGGACGAGGACGTCCCTAACAATTGTCATTGAATTGATTGGGACTGCGGCCGTGTGGCACTTTGTTTGAAGTTGTGGATGGAATATAACAGCACTGCAGAGTTAGGAAAATGAAAAAAAAAAAAAACACCCGTAAGCCACACCCTCAAAGTGTTATGATTTTTGTGTATTTTCTTCCGGCTTTTTCTCTTTCGCATATCTAGTATGATTGTCGGGACTCTTGCATCCTGGATCTTCCTCTTTCAAAAAATAAAAAGAGGAAGAGGGAAAGAAAGGTGGAGAAGGAGACCAAGAGAGCCCATTGCGGGGTCGGAAATGAGTCATAGTTGTGCCCAATTAATATTAGGGAATAATCGATGAATGATAGAAATGAGGTACTTTAGCGCCGGGCGCGGTGGCCCTGTAACCCCACCACTTTGGGAGGCCGAGGCGAGAGGATCGCTTGAGCCCAGGAGTTCGAGGCTGCAGTGGGCCGTGTTCGTGCCACTGCACTCCAGGCTAGCCGACAGAGCGAGATGCTGTCTCAAAACAAAACAAAAAAAAAAAATTAAATTAAAAGAAAAGAGAAATGAGGTACTTTGGGGCTAAAACAACTTTTGTTTTTCTTTTTTTGAGACGGAGTCTCGCTCTGTCACCCACGCTGGAGTGCAGTGGCACAATTTCAGCTCACTGCAAGCTCTGCCTCCCGGGTTCACGCCATTCTCCTGCCTCAGCCTCCCGAGCAGCTGGGACTACAGGCGCCCGCCACCATGCCCGGCTAATTTTTTGTATTTTTAGTAGAGACAGGGTTTCACCGTGTTAGCCAGGATGGTCTCAATCTCCGGACCTCGTGATCCGCCCACCTCGGCCTCCCAAAGTGCTGGGATTACAGGCGTGAGCCACAGCGCCCAGCTGATATGAAACATTCTAAATAAAATACTAGGCTAATTGAATTCACTAATGTCATGTAAAAATGCATCAGTATGGGGCAGGTGTGGTGGCTTATGCCTCTAATACCAGCACTTTGGGAGGCCAAGGCAAGTGGATCTCCTGGATCTCCTTGAGCTCACAAGTTCAAGACCAGCCTGGACAACATGGCAAAATACCATCTTCACCAAAAATACAAAAAATTAGGTGGTGTGGTGGTGCACGCCTGTGGTCCCAGCTACTCAGCAGGCTGAGGCTGGAGGATTGCTTGAGCCCAGGAGATGGAGGTTGTAGTGAGCCAAGATCGCACCACTGCACTCCAGCCTGGGTGATAGAGTGAGACCCCATCTCAAAAAAAAAAAAAAAGCATCAATATGCTAAGTGAAATAACAGTACCAGTCACATACAGGAAAATACTGTATTATTCTACTTATGTAAGGTACCTAGAGTAGTCAGATTCACAAAGACAGAAAGCAGGGCCGGGCGCGGTGGCTCACACCTGTAATCCCAGCACTTTTGGAGGCCAAGGCAGGCAGATCACCTGAGGTCAGGAGTTTGAGACCAGCCTGGCCAACATGGAGAAACCCCATCTCTACGAAAAATACAAAAATTAGCTGGGTATGGTGGCACGTGCCTGTAATCCCAGCTACTCGGGAGGCTAAGGCAGGAGAATCGCTTGAACCCAGGAGGCAGAAGTTGCATTGAACCAAGATCGCGCCACTGCACTCCAGCCTGGGCGACAGAGCAAGACTCCATCTCAAAAAAAAAAAAAAATGACAGCAGAATGGTGATTGCCAAGGGCTGGGGGCAGGGGGGTGGGAAATGGAGACTTGTTCTTTGATGAGTGTAGAATTTCTGTTTTGAAAGACGAAACTGTTCTGGAAATTGGTTGCATAACAGTGTGCATATACTTAACGCCACTGAGTATACACTTCAAAACGGTTGAGATGGTAAATTTTATGTTATGTTATGTGTATTTTACCACAATTAAGAATAATTTTTTTGCCGGGCGTGGTGGCTCACGCCTGTAATCCCGGCTCTTTGGGAGGCTGAGGCAGGTGGATCACCTCAGGTCAGAAGTTCAAGACCAGCCTGGTCAACATGGTGAAACCCCGTCTCTACTAAATATACAAAAATTGGCCAGGCGTGGTGGCGGGCACCTATAATCCCAGCTACTCAGGAGGCTGAGGCAGGAGAATCGCTTGAACCCGGGAGGCAGAGGTTGCAGTGAGCCGAGATTGCACCATTGCACTCCAGCCTGGGCAACAAGAGCGAAACTTCATTCCAAAAAAAAAAAAGAATAATTTTTTTTTCCGGGCTGGCACGGTGGCTCACGCCTGTAATCCCAGCACTTTGGGAGGCCGAGGCGGGCAGATCACGAGGTCAAGAGATCAAGACCAGCCTGACCAACATGGTGAAACCCCGTCTCTACTAAAAATATAAAAATTAGCCAGGCGTGGTGGCAGGCGCCTGTAATCCCAGCTACTCAGGGAGACTGAGGCAGGAGAATCGCTTGAACCCAGGAGGTGGAGGTTACAGTGAGCCGAGATCACACCACTGCACTCCAGCCTGATGACAGATCGAGACTGTCTCAAAAAAAAAAAAAAGAATTTTTTTTCCAAAGAAAATGCATGAAGATCAAGTAGAGTTTATTCCAAGAATGTAAGAATGGTTCAACATTATAAACATCTATTACTGTAATTCACCACGTCGGTTAACTAAAGGAGAAAATGCATATGGTTATCTCAAAATATGCAGAAAAAGCATTTTATGAACTTCTGTGACTATTTATGATAAAAACTCACAGTTAGGAACAAAGAGGAATTTTCTCAGGTTGATAAAAGCTGCATACAATTAAGTATGATGGAATAAGTATCCACAATTTCTTCAAGATCAGGAACAAGGCAATGATGCTCTCTAGGAATGATGCTGATCAGTAAGTGTTAGAAGTCCTGCCTAGAATCCCAGCACTTTGGGAGGCTGAGGCAGGAGGATAGCTTGAGCCCATGAGTAACAACTTGGGCAAGATAGCAAGACCCAGTCTTTACAAAAAGAAAAAAAGAAAGAAAATTAGCTGGGCATAGTGGCACATGCCTGTAGTCCCAGCTACTAAAGAGGCTGAGGCAGGATGATCCCTTGAGCCCAGGAGATCGAGGCTGCAGTGAGCTATGATCTCACCACTGCACTCCAGCCTGCACAACAGAGCAAGACCCTATATCCAAAAAAATAAAAGAAATTTAATTTTTTTTAAAAAAAGAAGTCCTGGCCAAAACAATAAGCCAAGAAAAAGAAACGAGAGTAAACTGTCATTGTTGGCAGATTATATCGGTATAGAAAATCCAACATAATCTATAGACTGCTTTAACAAATTAGAAGGCCAGGCATGGTGGCTCATGCCTATAATCCCAACAATTTTAGAAGTCAAGGCAGGAGGATTACTCGAGGCCAGGAGTTCGAGAGCAGCCTGAGCAACATAGCAAGACCCTGTCTCTACAAATAAATCAAAAAATGTAGTTGGGCATGGTACCACGCGCTTGTGGTTCTAACTACTTGGGAGGCAGGAGGATCCCTTGAGCCCATGAGGCTGAGGCTGCAGTGAGCCATGATCAGACCACTGCACTCCACCCTGGGCGACAGAGTGAGACCCTATCTCAAAAACGGAAACAAAAAACCCAGAGTTCAGCAATGTTACAGGGATAAAATAAAAAAAAAAAAAAAGCGGCCGGGCGCAGCGGCTCACACCTGTAATCCCAGCAGTTTAAGAGGCTGAGGTGGGCGGGTCACCTGAGGTCAGGAGTTCAAGACCAGCCTGGCCAACATCGTGGAACCCCCGTGTCTACTAAAAATACAAAAATTAGCTGGGTGTGGTGGCGGGTGCCTGTAATCCCAGCTACTCGGGAGGCTGAGACAGGAGAATCGCTTGAACCCAGGAGGCGGAGGTTGCAGTAAGCCGAGGTTGTGCCACTGCACTCCAGCCTGGGCAAGAAAGAGCGAAACTCCGTCTCCAAAAAAAAAAAAGCTAACAAAAATTAATAGTACTCTTCACACCAGCAATAAGCAACTGAAAAGTATAATAGAATATAAAGGGCCAGGCATGGTAGCTGACACCTGTAATCCCAGCACTTCGGGAGGCTGAGGCAGGCAGATCACTTGAGGTCAGGAGTTCAAGACCAGCTTGGCCAACATGGTGGAACCCCATCTCTACTAAAAATACAAAAATTAGCCAGGCATGGTGGCACATGCCTGTAATCCCAGCTACTCGGGAGGCTGAGGCAGGAGAATAGCTTGAACCTGGAAGGCGGAGGCTGCAGTGAGCCATAATCACACCACTTCACTCCAGCCTGGACGACGGAGACTCCAACTCAAAGAGAAAAAAAAGGGAGAGACTAAAGTATCATTCACAACAGCAATAAAACCCATGAAGTAGGAAATACAAACACAACTCAGAACTTTTTGAAGAAAAACAAATTTTTTTTTTTTTTTTTTTTTTTGAGATGGAGGCTTGCTCTGTCGCCAGGCTGGAATGCAGTGGCGCGATCTCAGCTCACTGCAACCTCTGCCTCCAGGGTTCAAGTAATTCTCCTGCCTCAGCCTCCCAAGTAGCTTGGACTACAGGTGCCTGCCAACATTCCCAGCTAATTTTTGTATTTTTAGTAGAGACAGGGTTTCACCATGTTGACTAGGGTGGTCTCGAACTCCTGACCTCAGGTGATCCGCCTGCCTCGGCCTCCCAAAGTGCTGGGATTACAGGCATGAGTCACTGTGCCCAGCCTGAAAAACAAGATTTTATAACACAAAAGAAGATCTCAATAACTGAAGAGACGTATCTTGTTAATAAATAGAACAACTCAACACAAAGATGTGATTGCTTCTGAAATTAATCTAGAAATTCAATGAAATCCAAATAGAAATCAGGAGAATTTTTTCGCCCGGCCAGCCACCCCATCCGGGAGGTGAGGGGCACCTCTGCCCGGCCGCCCCTCCTGGGAAGTGAGGAGCCCCTCTGCCCGGCCACCACCCCGTCTGGGAGGTGTACCCAACGGCTCATTGAGAACGGGCCATGATGACAATGGCGGTTTTGTGGAATAGAAAGGGGGGAAAGGTGGGGAAAAGATTGAGAAATCGGATGGTAGCTGTGTCTGTGTAGAAACAAGTAGACATGGGAGACTTTTCATTTTGTTCTGTACTAAGAAAAATTCTTCTGCCTTGGGATCCTGTTGATCTGTGACCTTACCCCCAACCCTGTGCTCTCTGAAACATGTGCTGTGTCCACTCAGGGTTAAATGGATTAAGGGCGGTGCAAGATGTGCTTTGTTAAACAGATGCTTGAAGGCAGCATGCTCGTTAAGAGTCATCACCACTCCCTAATCTCAAGTACCCAGGGACACAAACACTGCGGAAGTCCGCAGGGTCCTCTGCCTAGGAAAACCAGAGACCTTTGTTCACTTGTTTATCTGCTGACCTTCCCTCCACTACTGTCCTATGACCCTGCCAAATCCCCTTCTGCGAGAAACACCAAGAATGATCAATTAAAAAAAAAAAGAAAAAAAGAAATTGGGAGGATTTTTTAAGAACTCGGAAAACATTTTTGTAACATTTCTATAAAAAATAAAGGTCCATGAAAAGCTAAGTCAAGTTTGAACAAGATGACCAAGGAGAAGGGGCTTGGTCTCTTGCATTAAACCACACCGAAAACCGTACAGACAAGGATAAGATACTGGTGAGAATTAGTGAAGTGGGTCAAAGTGTGTCCGGAATTGGTGGGTTCTTGGTCTCACTGACTTCAAGAATGAAACTGCAGACCCTCGCAGTGAGTATTACAGTTCTTAAAGGAGGCGTGTCCGGAGTTTGTTCCTTCTTATTTTCGGATGTTTTCGGAGTTTCTTCCTTCTGGTGGGTTCAGGGTCTCGCTAGCTTCAGGAGTGAAGCTGCAGACCTTCGCGGTCAGTGTTACAGCTCACAAACGCAGTGTTGACCCAAAGTATGAGCAGCAGCAAGAGCTATTGCAAAGAGCAAAAGAATAAAGCTTCCACAGTGTGCAAAACAACCCGAGCCAGTTGCCACCGATAGCTCGGGCAGCCTGCTTTTATTCTCTTATCTAGCCCCACCCACATCCTGCTGATTGGGCCACTTTACAGAGAGCCAATTGATCCATTTTCCAGAGAGCTGATTGGTCCGTTTTGACAGGGTGCTGATTGGTGCGTTTACAATCCCTGAGCTAGACAAAAAAGTTCTCCACGTCCCCACTAGATTAGCTAGATACAGAGTATCCACACAAAGGTTCTCCAAGTCCCCACCAGAGCAGCTGGATACAGAGTGTTGACTGGTGCATTCACAAACCCTGAGCTAGACACAGGGTGCTGATTGGTGTGTTTACAAACCTTGAGCTAGATACAGAGTGCCCATTGGTGTATTTACAATCCCTTAGCTAGACGTAAAGGTTCTCCAAGTCCCCACCAGACTCAGGAGCTCTGTTGGCTTCACCCAGTGGATCGCGCACCGTGGCTGCAGGTGGAGCTGCCTGCCAGTCCCGCACCGTGCGCCCGCACTCCTCAGCCCTTGGGTGGTCGATGGGACTGGGCGCCCTGGAGCAGGGGGCGTCGCTCGTCGCGGAGGCTCAGGCTGCGCAGGAGCCCACGGCGGGGCTGTGGGGAGGCTCAGGCATGGCGGGCTGCAGGTCCCCGAGCCCTGCCCCGCGGGGAGGCAGCTAAGGCCCAGCGAGAAGTCGAGCACAGCAGCTGCTGGCCCAGGTGCTAAGCCCCTCACTGCCCAGGGCCGGCGGGCGGGCCGGCCGCTCGGAGTGCGGGGCCTGCCGAGCCCACGCCCACCCGGAACTCGCGCTGGCCCGCAAGCACCGCGCGCGGCCCCGGTTCCCGCCCGCGCTTCTCCCTCCAGACCTCCCCGCAAGCTGAGGGAGCCAGCTCTGGCCTTGGCCAGCCCAGAAAGGGGCTCCCACAGTGCAGCGGCGGGCTGAAGGGCTCCTCAAGCGCAGCCAGAGTGGGCACCAAGGCCGAGGAGGCGCCGAGAGCGAGCAAGGGCTGTGAGGGCTGCCAGCAGGCTGTCACCTCTCAAAAGGAACCAAAAAGAGAGCTTAGAACATACATATGTGTAGGCAGCTCTACAACTGCTGTATGATAAAGATGGCACCACAGTCCAGAGGGAAAAAGAACTGGTTGTTTGGAGCGGCCAGTGGTAGTGGCTCACACCTAATCCCAGTACTTTGGGAGGCCGGGGCAGGCAGATCACATGAGGTCAGGAGTGCAAGACCAGCCTGGCCAACATGGTGAAACCCCGTCTGTACTAAAAATATAAAAATTGGCCGGGCGCAGTGGCTCACACCTGTAATCCCAGCACTTTGGGAGGCAGAGGCGGGCGGATCACGAGCTCAGGAGATCGAGACCATCCTGGCTAACACAGTGAAACCCCGTCTCTACTAAAAATACAAAAAATTAGCCGGGCGTGGTGGCGGGCGCCTGTAGTTGCAGCTACTCTGGAGGCTGAGGCAGGAGAATGGCATGAACCCGGGAGGCGGAGCTTGCAGTAAGCCGAGATTGCGCCACTGCACTCCAGCCTGGGCGACAGAGAGAGACTCCATCTCAAAAAAATATATATATAATATATTATATTATGTATATTATATATATTATCATATATTATATAATATATATTGTATATAATATATATTATATATTTATATATTATATAAATATATATAAATTAGCTGGGCATGGTGGTGGGCACCTGTAATCCCAGCTACTCGAGAGGCTGAGACGGGAGAATCACTTGGACTCAAGAGGCAGAGGTTGCAGTGATCCGAGATCACCCCACTGCCCTCCAGCCTGTGTGGCTGAGCAAGACTCCATCTCAAAAAAAAAAAAAAAAAAACGGGAATCTTGCCCTGTCATCCAGGCTGGAGTGCAGTGGCACAATCTCGGCTCACTGTAACCTCCGCCTTCTGGTTCAAGCGATTCTCCTGCCTCAGCCTCCCGAGTAGCAGGAACCACAGGCACCCACCACCATGCCCTGCTAATTTTTTTGAGACTTTGTCTAAAAAAAAAAAAAAAAACTTGGAACAGAGGCGAATGTACAATAGCTACCCTTGCCCCTCCAGAGGTCACAGTCTATAACCCCATAAGACCCAAGAACAGCAGAAGTAAGTGAGCAATAGGATTAATTTTGGCGGGAATCAGGGCAACAATAGGACTGGTGGCACCCTAGGGTGGCCTTGCTTACCACGAGTCAACCGTAAAGAACTTGACTCAAACCCTAGAATCCTTAGCCACCAACACGGGTCAGGCCTTAAAGGGAATTCAAGAATTTCTAGACTCTTTGGCAAACATAGTTCTCTGTAACAGATTAGCATTAGATTATTTACTAGCTGAACAAGGTGAAGTTTGTGCAGTTATTAATAAAACCTGCTGCACATGTCTTACCAGCTCCAAACAGACTGAGGCTAACATTCGAAAGATCTATGAACAAGCTACTTGGCTACATAGATAGAACCATAGCACCAACCCCAGCAATATCTGGTCAACTATCAAAAATGCCTTCCCGAGTCTCACCTGGTTTTTTACCTCTCCTAGGACCTTTGATAGCCATCTTGTTATTCCTAATTTTTGGCTGTGGTTGTTTAAACTCTTAGTAAGTCTTTGAGATTGCAACAGTTTCAGGTAAACACAATGCTGGCACAAGGCTTCCGACCCATTCATCTACTGACCTGGGTAATGAAAGTATCCTGTCTTTTGGACCCTTAGATCGGGTATCAGGAGATTTTTTTTTTTTTTTTTTTTTTTTTTTTGAGACAGAGTCTCGCTCTGTCACCCAGGCTGGAGTCCAGAGGCGAGATCTTGGCTCGTTGCAACCTCCACCTCCCGGGTTCAAGAGATTCTCTGCCTCAGCCTCCCAAGTAGCTGGGATTACAGGCGTCTGCCACCATGCCCAGCTAATTTTTGTATTTTTAGTAGAGACGGGGTTTCTTTTTTTTGTTCGTTTGTTTTTTGAGACGGAGTCTCGCTCTGTCGCCCAAGCTGGAGTGCAGTGGCGCGATTTCAGCTCACTGCAACCTCCACCTCCCGGGTTCACGCCGTTCTCCTGCCTCAGCCTCCCAAGTAGCTGGGACTACAGGGGCCTGCCACCACGCCCAGCTAATTTTTTGTATTTTTAGTAGAGATGGGGTTTCACTGTGTTAGCCAGGATGGTAGAGACAGGGTTTCACCATGTTGGCCTGGATGGTCTCGACCTCCTGACCTTGTGATCCACCCGCCTCAGCCTCCCACAGTTCTGGGATTACAGGCATGAGCCACTGCACCCGACCGGGTATCTGGAGATTTTTACCTCTCCAGTGCTAGGAAGGGGCTATGCCCATAAACTCAACAGGAAGCAGTTACAGAAGATGGATCTCTGCCCTTCCGCTGCCCTCTTAAGATTAAGAAGGAGTATCTAATCTCTGAGCGAGGAATGAGGTAGGTGGCAGGACTCAGCTCTGGAGGTGGGACACAGACACCAGACCAGATTGAGAACTAGCTAAAACAGGGAATGCTGCGCATGGTGGCTCATGCCTGTAATCCCAGCACTTTGGGAGGGTGAGGCAGGTGGATCACTTGAGGCCAGGAATTTGAGACCAGTTTGGCCAACATGGTAAAACACCATCTCTACTAAAAATACAAAACTTAGCTGGGTGTAGTGGCGGATGCCTGTAATCCCAGCTACTCCGGAGGCTGAGGCAGAGAATCGCTTGAACCCAGGAGGTGGAGGTTGCAGTGAGCCTAGATCGTGCCACTGCACTCCAGCCTGGACAACAGAGGGAGACTCCGTCTCAAAAAAATAAAACAGGGAAGAGGTGAAAGCACCTCTCCATAAGACCTAAGACCCGTAAGACCAGTGCATGTCAGTTTACCATTGCCATGGCAACACCTAGAAGTTACCACCCCCTTCGGTGGCAATGACCTGACGGCCCAGAAGTTACCACTCTTTCCCTAGAAATTTCTGGATAATTCACCCCTCAATTTGCATGTAATTAAAAGTGGGCATAAATATGGCTGCAGAACTGCCTCTGAGCAGCTGCTGGGGGCACACTGCCTGTGGGATGGCCCTGCTCCACAAGGAGCGACGCCTGTGCTGCTGCTGTGCGCTGCTGCTTCTGTAAAAGTTGCTTTCCAATAAGTAAAAAATAAGGCCAGGCACGGTGGCTCACGCCTGTAATCCCAGCACTTTGGGAGGCTGAAGTGGGCAGATCAACTGAGGTCAGAAGATGGAGACCAGCCTGGCCAAAATGGCGAAATCCTGTCTCTACTAAAAATACAAAAATTAGCTGGGCGTGGTGGCAGACGCCTGTAATCCAAGCCACTTGGGAGGCTGAGGCAGAAGAATCGCTTGAACCCAAGAGGCAGAGATTGCAGTGAGCCGAGATCACACCACTGCACTCCAGCCTGGGCGACAGAGCAAGGCTCAGTCTTAAAAAAATAAAAAATTTTAAAAAATGTTTAAGTTGCTGTCTAACACCACCAGCTCACCCTTGAATTCTTTCCCAGGTGAAGCCAAGCACTCTCTTGGGCTAAGCCCCAATTTTGGGGATCACCTGCCCTGCATCAGCCTTGCTACGCTGAGGCTGATCTTGAATTCCTGGCCTCAAGTGATCCTCCTGCCTCAGCTTCCCCAAAGTGCTGGGATTACAGACATGAGCCACTGCACCCAGCCTGAAAAGGAGTGATTATTCTTTGAGAGCATGTTAGACAAAGAGTCAAAGACAGACAGATAGGAAATATGTGCAAGGTCATAAACCAGCAAGGAATTAATGATTAGATATGTTGATATGCAAATTAGTGGAAAAAGGCTAGAAACCCAATAGCAAAAAGAAAGACCAAAGATATGAAAAGCCAGTTCACAGACAAGGGACACCCAATGGCTGACAAGGGCACAAAGAGCAGCTCAAACTCTCCAGCCATCAGAGAACCCAGAGGAACATGAGGTACCACTTTAAATTCATCAGATCGGCAAGCCATTAAAAAGTTGGATGGTACCAAGTCCTGAGAGAACCAGAAGCCTCAGGTGGAGTGTCAACTCTCACAGCCACTCAGGAGAGCATCTGTGGTACCCTGTGAAGTCATGAGTGCGTGTGCCCTATAACCTGGAAATCCTACCCCAAGGGGAATTCTCCCACAGTCCATAAGGGGACAGCAGGAAGATGTTAACTGCAGTGATGCCTGTGATGGCGGGGTTGAGGCCAGTTTGAGTGTACAACACTGTGGAGGTGAGGTGGATCATAAAGGTGCTAGACACTCAACATGGTACAACATGCATGTAGCCTGTAGAAACAATAAACAAATGCATATGGAAAACAGCATCGAGAGCAAAAATGTAAACGTGTAAGTAACAGAACTGAATTTTCTGCATGACATCATGTTTGTAAATTGCAAACACATCCACATAGGAGACAGTGCCATACATGGTACAGAGCCAGGCAGGCTTTAAGGACGCCGACTGAGCATGCTGACATGGGTCTGATGGAAGGCAGGGGAGAGGAAGGAACCTGGGAAGTGAAAGAGGGTAAGTGAATTAACATAACTCGAGAGGGGCCTTATTCATAGTGTTGATGTGTAACAAACAGAAGTAGACTTGACTCAGCTCTGTACATGAGGCCATAAAATGAACATGAGGCCGGGTGTGGTGGCTCATACCCAGCACCTTGGGAGGCCGAGGTGGGCAGATCACGCCTGTAATCCTAGCTACAGGGGAGGCTGAGGCAGGAGAATCGCTTGAACCCAGGGGGCGGAGGTTGCAGCAAGCCGAGATCTTGCCACTGCACTCCAGCCCGGGTGACGGTGCGAGACTCTGTCTCAAAAATAATAATAATAATAATAATAATAATAAGGCAGGGCACTGTGGCTCATGCCTGTAATCCCAGCCTCCTCGGGAGGCTGAGGCAGGAGAATCACTTGAACCCAGGAGGTGGAGGTTGCAGTGAGCTGAGATCGCACTCCAGCTTGGGCAACAGAGCGAGACCCTGTGTCGAAAAAAACAAAAACAAAAAAGAACTCTTGACTAAGGTCCATAAAGCTCTCAAGGCTCTGGGGCCCATCTACTCCTCCCAGGCTCATCAAGTCGGCCTGCCCCTTTCCTTGCTGCTCAGCCACACTGGTTTTCTCACATTCTTCCTCCACAGGCCAAGCTCCTTCCCACCTCCTGGCCTTTGAACGTGCTGTTCCCTGGTGCCAGGAAAACACTGAACCTTGCTTTTCTCACAGCTGGCTCCTTCATCATCGGCATTCCTGCTCAAATGTCACCTCTTGGAAAGGTCATCTTTGAGTACGAAATCTAAAGTCAGTTTTGCATCACACAGCACTTGAAACTGTCTCATTTTGCACTGTTTTATTCACCACTGTATCTATAGTGCCCAAAACAGTGTTTGGCCCTAAATAGATGCTTAATAAATACTTGTGGCAGAAATGAATGAGGGGTTTGCCAAAGTCCCAAGTACTTACAAGTGGTAGAATGGGGATTTGAAACCAGGTCCACCTAATTCATAGAGTACTTCTGCTCTTCCACCCCCACCGCCCCCCACCACGGTTCATTTTTTTTTTATGGAGTCTTGCTCTGTTGCCCAGGCTGGAGTGCAGTGGTGTGATCTCCACTCACTACAACCTCTGCCTCCAGGGTACAAGCGATTCTCCTGCCTCAGCCTCCCAAGTAGCTGGGATTACAGGCACTGGTCACCGTGCCCAGCTAATTTTTGTATTTTTAGTAGAGACTGGGTTTCACCATGTTGGCCAGGCTGGTCTCAAACTCCTGACCTCAAGTGATCCACTCTCCTTGGCCTCCCAAAGTGTGAGCCACCGTGCCCTGCCAAGAGTTCAGATTTTATTCTAAGTGCAATGGAAAACCAAGGGAAGGTTTTTTTGTTTGTTTTGTTTTGTTTTTTGAGACGGAGTCTTGCTCTGTCGCCCAGGCTGGAGTGCAGTGGCTCAATCTCGGCTCACTGCAACATCTGCCTCCCGGGTTCAAGCAATTCTTCTGCCTCAGCCTCCCAAGTAGCTGGGACTATAGGCATGCACTACCACGCCCGGCTAATTTTTGTATTTTTAGTAAAGACGGGGTTTCGCCTTTTGGCCAGGCTGGTCTTGAACTCCTGACCTCAAGTGATCCACCCGCCTCGGCCTCCCAAAGTGCTGGGATTACAGGAGTGAGCCACCGAGCCAGGCCAGCAGCAAAATTTTTAAAAAGGGTTTTCAGAATAACACACGCAGATAAAAAGATTTGTTTTAAAAGATCACTTCGGCTGCTGCGTGGAGACTGACTGGAAATTGGAAGACACATAAGCTCTCTGAGCCTCGGTTTCCACATTTGCAAAAATGGGGAGAGCACCCCTCCGGTGCGGGGCTGTTGTGAGTAAGGTGGGGAAACAGTTCCCAGGAGTCTCCTTGGCACTCGAGGAACAGGCTGCGGTGCAAAAGGCCCTGTCAGGGACCTGGAGGTTGGGGCGTGGAAGCCCCTCCAAGCCCCCGCACATACACGCCTGGGGGATGTGTCCGAGCCCGGCACGGGCTGTCGCTTGCCATGGCGGCCACTGAGTGGCGTCACGGGGCGGGCGCGCTCCGTCTGGAAGAGGCTCCCACCCATCAGCCCGCTCAGGGCTCGGCAACTCTGGCCTGCTTAGGGCGGACGGGGGCGGGACCGGCGCGTGGGGCGGAGCCAGGGTCGGAGGGGCGGGGCATGCGGGGGCGGGGCAGCGGCGACGCTGGGTGTGTGGGCGCAGATGGCGGCGGCGCACGGCGCCTGAGCGGGCCGGGGCCATGAGCGCCGCCCGGCCCCAGTTCAGCATTGATGATGCCTTCGAGCTGTCCCTGGAGGACGGGGGCCCTGGGCCCGAGTCCAGCGGGGTCGCGCGCTTTGGGCCGCTGCACTTCGAGCGTCGGGCCCGGTTCGAGGTGGCTGACGAGGACAAGCAGTCCCGGCTGCGCTACCAGGTGAACCGCCCGGCCCACCTAACCCCCTGCCCCCGGCCGGACGGGACCCCAGGCCGGGCCCCAAAGGCCTCAACTCGGGGAAGCATCTGCCTAGAGGCCCCAGCTGAAGCGCGAGACCGCCCCCCCGCCCCGCGGACGTGACTCTTGATCCAGAGCCCTGCCCAGGCCCTCCCGGTTCCCATACCGGGCCCCAGCCAGCCGGGAAGAGCCCAGTGCCCGGGCCCGGGAGCTCATCCCTCAGCTCCAGCTGGGGAACCCAACCGGATTCCCCACTCATCCTGGCTACTCGCACCTGGCCCCCGCTGGGTTGGGGGAGCTCCTCTGTATCTGAACCAGACCTTGCCCCACACGCAGGAGCATCCCCTGTGCCCCAGGCCAGCTAAGCTGATGGGAACCCGCACGCCTTTCTCTATTCTGAAAGCCCTCTCCCTAATCCCACCACCACCCCTAAGAGCTGGAGCTCCTCTCACATGACCAGTCCTTGCCCACCCTTTGGCTCCCACTAAACCAGAAAAACCCATTTTCCCAGAAAACCTCCACCAACCCTAGGCTGCTTTTCTTGGAGACCTGGACCAGAACCCTGTGCCTTGAACCTGGGAACTCTGGGCCTGGCCTTTCCTGGCACCCCAATTCCCAAGCTCCCATTCTAGGCCACTGAATGAGAGCTCCACCCTAACCCAAAGTTGGGAGCTCTCCTTTCCCTGGGATCTATGCAGGCTCCTGCTCCCCAAAGCCCTGGCATCCACCCACCTCCTACCTGGTTTCTGTGAATCACCAAACCCGTTCTGCGGGGAGGGCAGAGGGCCAGGTGAACAGCTGCCAGGCGGCCAGGCAAATGGTTGTGTAGGCCTGCTTTTCTCTTCCCGGGAGGGAGTGAGGAAGGGCCCCAGCCCAGCAACCCCCCTGAGACCTGTGTTCTGCAACAGAACCTGGAGAACGATGAGGATGGAGCCCAGGCCTCTCCGGAGCCGGATGGGGGAGTCGGCACCAGGTTAGGGCCAGGTGGGGACCCAACCCTGTACCCCAGCCCCAGCTCCTATCCCCAGGGACCCTGCTCAGTCACCCACCCCACTTCACTCACTCTCTTCCATCCCGTCCTATTGATTCCTAGCCTGACCCTCACTTTCCTCACAGGGTCTCCTACACTGTAGGGTCACCCTACCCTAGTGCCCAGCTGTACTCACCTCTTTCAGAAACCCCCAGTCTGGTCTGGCCCCCACCTTCATACAGGTCACCTGTCCTACAGAATCCCCTAGCTCATCCCCAGCCCCTGAATTCATGCTCACCCACCGAGGCCTCTCAGGGCCCACTATCCTGCAAGGGGCCAGCCCCAGTCCCTGCACCATGCCCTGCACTTCATCAGGACTCCTGTCCCAAAGCAACCCCGTCCTTGCCTCCCTGCCCCTCACTGGGCGCCTGTCCTGGCAGGGATTCCAGCCGAACTTCCATCCGCAGCTCCCAGTGGTCCTTCAGCACCATCAGCAGCAGCACCCAGCGCTCCTACAACACCTGCTGCAGGTGAGCCTGCCCGCCTAAGCCCCCAGCCGAGCAGCCCTGGCTCCACCCCCACAGCCTCCTGCACCCCCTCCCTCCACCTCCTTCACATTCACCCTGCTCTCCTGCCACCCAGCTGGACCCAACACCCTTTGATCCAGAAGAACCGCCGAGTGGTGCTGGCCTCCTTCCTGCTCCTGCTGCTGGGGCTGGGTGAGTGGCCCTGAGGGTTGGGGTCAAGAGGGGCCCCGTGGGAGGCTCTGCCCTCCTTTTGTACAGGCTCTGCCTCCCCCTTGACACTGAGCCTCCCAGCATCCTGAGGAGGCAGCTGGCTGCCATCATCACACTCCCATTTTACAGGTGAGGAGACAGAGGCCTTGTGACCTGGGCACACAGCCAGGAAATCACACATAGCTGAAAATGGAACCTGGCTTATCACTGCAAAGACTTTTCCTTTTTTAAAAAATTTAACCTGTTTAAATCCATTAGAGGACAGAAGAGTAGCAGCTACCATTTATTCTGTGTCTACTCTGGGCAAGGTGCAGGGCAGTTTTATTTTCCCATCTTACAGAAGTCCTACAAGTGAGGTGGTGCCCAGAAGCCACGTGTAGGGGCTCAGGGATGCCGAGTGCCCAGCCAGTGCAGAGCCGCAGGGCACCTGGCACTTCCCCTTGTCTGGCATCTAAGCACTGACAAGCACCCCTCTCCTACCCATTGCTCAGATGGGGGAACTTTTGGTCCAGAGCAGGCAGATCTCACACCAGGTGTTCTTTGGCTCCCAGGCACCTCGTTCTTTGGGGTAGAGGAGGCAGAGTCCCCAGAAAGGATCCAGGGTTGGGGTCACGAGTGATCCATAAGAAGGGACTAACTGTGGCTGCTACCCTGGCTCATCTCTCCGCTTCTCCAGGAAGGCCAAGGCTCCCCAGCCAGCCAGGCCCCTGGCACAGAGTCTGGCCTCTGCTCAGGGTGTTTGAGTGTGGGGGAGGGGGCTGCCACTTCCCAGCACCGCTGTACACTGGCCCTGGTAGTGCTGCCAAGTTCTTTCATTTTTCCCCTCAACCCAGCAAGGCAAGCCTGGGGCTACCAGAGCGCCTTAGAGGGCCTTTGTAGGGTGCAGGGAGTGAGTTTCAGCCCCCATCATACCCTATACCCCTTTATTTTTATTTATTTATTTTTTGAGGAGGAGTCTTGCTCTGTCGCCCAGGCAGGAGTGTAGTGGCGCAATCTCGGCTCACTGCAACCTCTGCCTCCTGGGTTCAAGGGATTTTCATGCCTTAGCCTCCAGAGTAGCTGGGATTACAGGCGCGCGCCACCACACCTGGCTAATTTTTTGTATTTTTTTAGTAGAGATGGGGTTTCACCATGTTGGCCTCAGGTGATCCACCCACCTCAGCTTCCCAAAGTGTTGGGATTACAGGCGTGAGCCACCACGCCCAGCCCTTTTTATTTTTTAGAGACAGGGTCTTGTTCTGTTGCCCAAGCTGGAGAGCTGTGGTATGATCACTGCAGCCTCAAACTCTTGGACTCAAGCCATCCTCCCAGCTGAGCCTCCCTAGTAGCTGGGACTACAGGCATGTACCACCATGCTCAGCTAATTTTTTTTTTTTTAAAATAATAATAGAGACAAGGTCTCACTATGTTGCCCAGGCTGGTCTTGAACTCCTGAACTCAAGTGATCCTCCTGCCTCAGCCTCCCAAAGTGCTAGGATTACAGCCATGAGTCACCACGCCTGGGCTGGGCTAATTTTTTTTTAACCTTTTATAGAGATGGGGATCTTGGTATGTTGCCCAGGCTGGCTTCAAACTCCTGGCCTCAAGCGATCTTCCTGCCTTGGCTCCCTGAAGCACTGGGATTACAGGCATGAGCCACCACACCTGGCCCACCCTTTTTGAAGTAGTCTGGGCAATGCACAAAGCAGTCCATGGTGGCCCCCCAGTCCCCCAGGCTTACTACCCCCCTTGTTGCAGAGCCCAAAGTCCAGCTCCTCATTCCCCCATCACTCTTCTAACTGGGGACCCAGGACTCCTGCACTGCCCTGTTCTTACCCCCTATATCCCAATCACCTGTACTGTTAGCTTTCAGGTTCTTATTGGTTCCTCCACTAAGGACGGGCCATGAGGGCAGGGACCTTATCTGCCCTTCAGGGCGGAATTCCCAGTACCAGGCACGCAGTAGGTGTTCCATAAATGTTTGCTGAATGACTAAAAGCCCACCCCAAGGAACAAAGAAAAATCTCTCCTTTCACACACTTCCCAGGGCCTGCTCAGTGCCTTGCTCTGGAAACAGAGCTTGGTGAGCTTCCTGGGGAGGGTCTCTGCCTAGGGCACCTTCAGCTCAGGTGGTGGGTGAGCCGGGCTGGGGGTGGGAGCCCCCGCCCTCACCACTGCTCCTGCCCCCACCCCCGCGGCTCCGTCTGTGTGCAGTGCTGATCCTGGTCGGCGTGGGACTGGAGGCGACCCCCTCTCCAGGTGAGCGACCCTCCCGCCCCCACAGGCAGAGGACACCCCTGTCTTGTGTCCACGGGTCCACGGCAAGCCCTCCCACCTCCCGGCAGTACACGGCTCCTTTTCAGCTGGGAGTGAGGCTTGCCCGGGCAGTCAGCGGCAGCCCGGAAGGCCTCGAAGCCTCCGCCCCCTCGCCCTGACCGGGCTCTGGTCCCTCCCGCAGGTGTCTCCAGCGCCATCTTCTTCGTGCCGGGCTTCCTGTTGTTGGTGCCTGGAGGTGCGAGCGGGCACCGGGGCGGAAGGGGCGGGGGCTGTGGGGCGGCACTGGGGGCGGTGTTGCGGGGAGGGGCGGGGCTTCTGCGCTGACAGGCCCCGCCCCGCAGTCTATCACGTGATCTTCATCTACTGCGCGGTCAAGGGCCACCGGGGCTTCCAGTTCTTCTACCTGCCCTACTTCGAGAAGTGATCGCGGCGCAGCGTGGACCCCTTGCGCCCATGGGGGCGCCCCTCTTGCCCTGTTCCGTTCCCCTCATCTCAAGGGAAGAGGCCCTCCAGGACCCTCGAAACCCCAGCCCCTAGGGAGTTTGCTCAGGAAGTTCGGGGCATGCAGGCCTGGCCCTGGGAAAGCCGCCCGTCGCCTGCTCTGTGCCTTAACTTATTCTCGGGCCGTGCGGCTGCTAGGTTGCTGTTATTTTGTGCTAATAAAAGAGTAATTAATTCCACCAGAGGCAATTGCTCTCCTCCTGTCCTGCCACTGCTAGCCCAGCCCACCAGCCTGACCACAGCCCCCCTCCCAAGGACTGACCCTGACGCTGAAGGGCTTCGAGCACCACCGAACGCGTGGCAGCCCTGATGCTGAGGCTTGCCCAAGGGCACGGGGCATGTTAGGGGCAGAGCTGGGCGTAGGACTCCTGCCTTGCCAGCCAGGAGCCGGCCGGAACAGCCTGCCCCACCCCCAGCCCTTGGATGACTCAACCAGCCCGTCTCTGTCTGGTGGCCCTGGCCGAGGGCACGCAGAGATGACGCAGGCCTGGGACCTGGAGGCTGGTATCCTAGTTCCAGCCTGGCTCTGGGGCCCTGGGCTGCCACAGCCAGCCCTGAATGTGGGCCATGTCAAGGCAATGGCCCAGCCCCCTCCACCCACTGCCCTCCTTCCCAGTCCCAGAGGTTGGGAGAACCTGGGGGCAGAGGGCATAGGAAGCCGCGCCTGACAGACACCCTCAGTGGTCAAAGACTTAGAAATGCAGAACGTTAGAAACAAACCATCTCAGAATTTTGGAACATCAGCATTTCAGAATCTTACGAAACAAGAAACAGAATCTTTGAGAAACCTGAAATCTGAGATCATAGTAGCTACCAGTTATCAATTTGTTGAAAGACCCCAGGATGGCCGGGCACGGTGGCTCAAGCCTGTAATCCTAGCACTTTGAGAGGCCAAGGTGGGAGGATCGCTTGAGCCCAGGAGTTCGCGACCAACCTGGACAACATGGCGAGAACCCATCTCTATTTAAAAAAAAAAAAAGAAAAGAAAATATACTAGGCCCTGCGCTAAGCACTGAACACGGGTTATATCTTGTAATCTTCACTACCTCCGTCCCATTTTACAGATAAGGACTGACTCACCCAAGGACAGCCAGCAGGTGGTAGGTAGAATTAGGAACGTAGCCCAGGGCTCTTCCCATGACACTGTCGGGGAGGGAGAAGGAAACCGGCACTGAGCTGGTCTCCCCTACCGGCCAACCAAGAGGCTGGCTGAGTGAGCAAGGGTTGGGAGGCCCTGTTGGTGCACCTGCCCGTACTGTCTATCTCCCCCACCAAAACACGGGTCCCACAAACCACTGTCTGCAGCACCCAACACAGCGGGGCCTTCAGGATTCTGAGTTAGAGGAATGGACACCCAGACTCTTGCTCTCGCTCCCACCTTTCCAGGCCCCGCAGACTTCCCACCCTCATCCCCCATTCAAGGCACTTAGGGGGCACCCATTGGATGCAGGAACTCCTAAACCAGTGGTCCCCCAACTAGCTATGGTAAAGGACCAGTTTTCATTTCTAATCCATCACGGTCCAGTACTTTCATAAGAAGAACTAGCCGGGTGCCGTGCCTCATGCCTGTAATCCCAGCACTTTGAGAGGCCACGGTGGGAGGATCACTTGAGCCCAGGAGTTCGAGACCAACCTGGGAAACATGGGAAAACCCCATCTCTACAAAAAATACAAAAACTTAGCCAGGCATGGTGGGGCGCCTGTAGTCCCACCCACTTGCGAGGCTGGAGTGGGAGGATCACGGAGCCTGGGAGGCTGCAGTGGAGTCATGATTGCACCACTGCACTCCAGCCTGGAAGACAGACTGAGACCTATTTAAAAAATAAATAAATAAATAACATAAAAATTTTAAAAACTAGAAAAATGAAATAAAAAACATACAGAGGCTGGGCGTGGTGGCTCATGCCTGCAATCCCAGCACTTTGGGAGGCCGAGGCAGGTGAATCATGAGGTCAGGAGTTCGAGACCAGCCTGGCCAACAGGGTGAAATCCCATTTCTATTAAAAATACAAAAAAATTACCGGGCATGGTGGTGCGCACCTGTAATCCCAGCTACTCAGGAGGCTGAGGCAGGAGAATCGCTTGAACCCGGGAGGCAGAGGTTGCAGTGAGCCGAGATCACGCCACTACACTCCAGCCTGAGCGACAGAGCGAGACTCTGTCTCCAAAAAAAAAAAAAATACAGAATACAAGTCCACAGTTTATCAGATTAATTAGACATAAAATTACATTTCAATAAATATAATCAGAACAAACATAGGAAAAAGGAAAAATGACAAAAACCATTGAATATGAACAAACAGGCAATTAACACAGAATCGCAGCTAACAACTTTTTACTCCTTGTTTTTTTTTTTTTTGTTTTTTTTTTGAGACGAGTCTCACTGTCTCCCAGGCTGGAGTGCAGTGGCCCGATCTCGGCTCACTGCATCCTCTGCCTCCCGGTTTAAGCGATTCTCATGCCTCAGCCTTCTCAGTAGCTGCGACTACAGGCACATGCCACCATGCCCAGCTAATCTTTGTATTTTTAGTAGAGACAGGGTTTCACTATGTTGGCCAGGCTGGTCTCCAACCCCTGAGCCACCTCGCCCGACTTCATTCTACAGTCTTAACAGAAAGCAATTTCAGAAGTGGTGATTCCCATCATTAGAAGTCTGCGTTAGGAATCAGCAAGGTATAGTCCACAGAGTGGTTTTTATATTTTGTAATGGTTGGAGAAAAGTCAAAGAATAATAAGATTTTATGACATAAAATTATATAAAATTCAAATTTCCATGTCAATAAATGAAGTTTTACTGTTATTTATTAAAATTTCTGATATAGCCACACTCATTTGTTGACTTGACTTTGCACTACAAACTTCAACAGCAGAGTTGCGTGAGCAGCTGCAACAGAGACCAAAGCCTCAAAGCTGAAAATAATTATTCTCCAGCCCTTTACAGAAAGTTTCCCCACCCTTAGTCTACATGAACACTTTGACAGAACACCGTGAATCTGACTTTTCTCTCCAGTTATTTATAAGATTTGCTTTTTATATTCTGTGGTTTCAATGGGATATATCCAGATATATATTTATTTTTATTTACCCTACTCTGACTTCAGTTTGTTCCTTCAATCTGGGGAGTTGAAGTCTGTGGAAGTCTTTATGGAAAATTTTCAGCCATTATCTCTTTGGTTATTGCTTCTTGTTCATTCTCTATGTATGTCCTCCGTCTGAGACTCCCAAGGACTTATCTGTCTTTTTCTTTGAGACAGGGTCTCTTGCTCTGTCACCAAGGCTGGAGTGCAGTGGCACGATCACTGCAGCCTCCAACTCCTGGGCTCAAATGATCCTCTCACCTCAGCCTCCTGAATAGCTGGAACTACAAGCATGAGCCACTACACCCAGCTTATTTTTTTATTATTTTTTTTAAGAGGCAGGGTCTTGCTGTTAGGCTGGTCTCAAACTCCTGGCCTCAAGTGATCCTCCTGCCTTAGCCTCCCAAAATGCTGGGATTACAGGCATAAGCCACCACACCCAGTCTTCCAGTGACCTTTTTTTTTTTTTTTTTCCGAGACGGAGTCTCGCTCTGTAGCCCAGGCTGGAGTGCAGTGGTGCAATCTCGGCTCACTGCAAGCTCCGCCTCCTGGGTTCACGCCATTCTCTTGCCTCAGCCTCCCTAGTAGCTGGGACTACAGGCGCCCGCCACCACGCCCAGCTAATTTTTTTTTGTATTTTTAGTAGAGATGGGGTTTCACTGTGTTAGCCAGGATGGTCTCGATCTCCTGACCCTGTGACCCGCCCGTCTCAGCCTCCCAAAGTGCTGGGATTACAGGCGTGAGCCACCACACCCAGCCTTCCAGTGACTTTTAACTACCCTGTAATATTTTCCATCCTTTTGTCTCTCAGTGTTACATTATAAGTGATTTCTTAGATATAGCTTCCAGTTCATTAATCTTTAAATTGTGTTTAATCTGCTGTTTAGCTTATCCATTATTTTTTCATTCCAATGGCTGTGTGTGTGTGTGTGTGTGTGTGTGTATATATAAAATATACTTTATTTTTTTAACAGAAGCCATGGTTTGTTTTTTTCTTTTTGACGGATTCTCACTCTGTTACCCACGCTGGAGTGCAGTGGTGCGATCTCGACTCACTGCAACCTCTGCCTCCTGGGCTCAAGTGATCCTCCCACCTCAGCCTGTAGAATACCTGGGACCACAGATGCAAGCACCACCACGCCTGGCTAATTTTTGTATTTTTAGTAGAGACAGGGTTTCACCATGTTGCCCAGGCTGGTCTCGAATTCCTGAGCTCAAGCAACCCACCCACCTTGGCCTCCCAAAGTGCTGGGATTCCAGGCATGAGCCATGCGCCTGGCCTGTTGGGTTACTTTTTAAATCTTCCGGTTCTCTCTTCATACTATCCTGTTACTGCATGTTGATCTCTCTTCCCCTTTTAGCCGTCTTTTATTTGCATGTATCTTGTGGTCTCTTAGGCGGCTGTATTATGTACACTGAGATGCCAGTCCTCTTGTTTTTGTCTCTGTCTCGTCTCCTTCATGGTGGTTTCTTTACTTTTATAATCAGTATGGTTTTTTTGTTTTGTTTTTGAGACGGAGTCTCGATCTGTTGCTCAGGCTGGGGTGCAATGGTGTGATCTCAGCTCACTGCAGCTCCACCTCCCGGGCTCAAGCGATTCTCCTGCCTCAACCTCCGAGTAGCTGAGATTACAGGTGCATGCTACCTCGCCCAGTTAATTTTTGTATTTTTAGTAGAGATGGGGTTTCACCATGTTGGTCAGGCTGGCCTCAAACTCCTGACCTCAGGTAATTCACCCGCCTCAGCCTCCCAAAGTGCTGGGATTACAGGCGTGAGCCACCACTCCCAGCCCAATAATCTGTAATTTTTATCACAAGTTCCCCTTTGGGAGCGGCAGGGTTTTTTTCCAGTTTTTCACACCCTGGAGAGAGACTACACGCCTGCTTGAAGGGCAGGCCCTGGAGTTCCAGGCTCTTTAGGGCAGCTGTTTCCACTCTGGGCCCTGAACATCTGTATCCTTGCCACTTTCTATGACTGGTCAGTGCAGACAGATTAATATCTTAGCCTTTGGAGACCCTGGAATATATCCGGGGGGTTTGTTTCTTGCTCCCCAGACTCATATGGTTCTTCTGTCACTCATGGTTGTAGGAGTCCAGGCGGCCAAGCCTCCATCCAGATCTGAAACCCCCACAGCGTCAGCTCCCTCTTACAACCCCAGCTTTGATTTCTTTGTCTTTGATACATGGAGCCATCCCTTTCTTTCTTTCAAGCTCACTTTTTTTACACTTGGGTTTTTTGGTTTTTTGTTTGTTTTTTTGTCTTTTATTTTTCCTTTTTGTGGAGAATGGGGTCTCAGTATATTGCCCAGGCAGGTCTTGCACTCCTGGGCTCAAGCTATCCTCCCGCTTCTGCCCCCTGACAGCTGGGCTTACAGGTGTGAGCCACTGCACCCGGCTCAAGTTCATTAAAAAAAAAAAAAATTATAAACATAAGTAGTGGAAGGGGTCCAGCCATCCTCTCCATTCATCATGCCACTGGGGGGTCCCCACTGAATGCTGCCAGTGCCAGGGAACTCCCTACCTCCCAGAGGTCTGGAGAGACCCAAATCTTGCTCACACTGAGGAACGGTGGGCAGCTGAGAGCAGGTCTTCTCCAGGCAGCTTGAGTAGGAGGAGGTAAGGATGAGGGTGGGCAGGTAACATAACAAGCCAACATTGAGGCCAGGTGTTTTCAGGGATAGAAGTAGTCTGGGGGCTGCTGGGTCTCCATCTCCATCCTGGAGGCTCCTGGGGGAGGCCTGCAGCCTGGGTCTGGCTGGTGTCTGGGGCCGCAGGGGCAACAGATATTCCCTCCTGGAGCCTCAGTGGCGGGAGAGCATCATCACAAACTCTGCGGGAGAGAAGGGCAGGGCTTGGGTCAGTCCACGTCAGGGATCCCAGGAGGTGCTGGGCTCAGCCTAGGCCCTGGAAGCACGGGAGGGTTTTCCGGGAAGGAGACTCACCGTCAAAGTCTACGGTGCCATCCCCATTGAGGTCCACTTCTCGGAGCATCTCGTCCAGCTCAGGACCCGCCAGCGGCTCCCCGAGCAGAGCCGGTACCGCCTCCCGCAGCTCCGCCACCGTAATTCGTCCATCCCTGTCCCTGTCAAACTAAGGTCCCCGCAAAGCTCAGCCCCTCCCACCCAAAGCTGCCTCAGCCTCAGCCAGCTCCACTCTTTTATTTTTTATTTTATTTTATTTTATTTATTTTTATTTTATTTTTTGAGATGGAGTCTTGCTCTGTCACCAGGCTGGAGTGCAGTGACGCAATTTCGGCTCACTGCAACCTTCGCCTCCAGGGTTCAAGTGATTCTCCTGCCTCAGCCTCCTGAGTAGCTGAGATTACAGGTGCCCACCACAACCCTTGGCTAATTTTTGTATTTTTAATAGAGATGGGGTTTTGCCATGTTGGCCAGGCTGACCTCAAACTCCTGACCTCAGGTGATCTGCCCACCTTGGCCTCCCAAAGTGCTGGGATTGCAGGCGTGAGCCACCGCGCCTGGCCAGCCAGTTCCACTCTTACCGCTGCCTGTACCTAGATGCTCCCCTGCCCACCATCTCTGCCCATGCACACCTTCCACACCCTCCCACACCAAGGTGGTTTGCCTCCTGCTCCAGGAAGTCCCCCTGGACGGATCCTCTAGCTGGTAGTGATCTGAACCATCTCTGACCCATCCCTGGGCCCCAGTCCCACCGCCTGCAGGGCTCTAGGCCTTCCCAAGGCTGAGACCTGAGTGAGAGGCCAGCAAGGATGCCACCCAGCCCTGCCCCCCTCTGCCCACCTCACCACACTCCGCACCTCTCGGAAGGCGATGCGCAGCTCTCGCACCCCCAGCATGTGCGCCGTCTCCTCCCTCAGCTTTGGGCCTATCAGTTCTACAAACTCCTCAAAGTCCACACGGCCGCCCACTGCAGACCCAGGAAGAGTGTCACAATGGTGAGGGCATAAGGTCTGAAGCCCAAGGAGGGACATCCCACAGGCCAGGCACCCCCACCCCCAGGCTCTGCACCTAGGAAGAAACACCCGTGTCCACGCCTGCAGCAGATAGGAGGCTGGAACCCCCGTCCTTGGCTGCTGGGGTACCAGGGCTGCTTCTGCTCTTAGTGGAGAACCCAAGTGTGCAAGGAAGAGACCAGGCTTTGGAGCCAGATAGTGCCCGGTTCAAATCTTGGCCCTGCTGCTGATGTGCGTGGCATTGGCTGACTTACTGCCCTCCCTTCCTCATCCTAGGAGCAGGGTGAGGAGCCTACTCCATGGGGTTCAGGTTCATGGCCATGAAGTACTGGAGCCCAGTGGGCAGCAATAAATGCCACCTCCGAACACACCCATGTGGTCCGTGCCTCAGTTCTAAGATGCCATCAGTCACTCAAAGCACTCATGGTCACCCAACAGCTTTGGGGACAGAAAAGCATGACACCAAATGTCCAGCTCAATTGTAAATCACATCCCCATTTTGGGAATTTTAAGGAAAAAATGCAGGAGTCCTGGAATGAAGTGAATATGAGATTTGTCTGAGGACAAACCAGCGAAGGGGAACCACACAGTTCCTGCCATCAGACACTGAGTCGCAAGGCATAGGTGGGGTCCTCTCCCATCAGGGCGACCCCAATTCAGGCAGCTGCCACCAGGGCACAGGGCTGAGGCAGGGTCACAGAAAGAGAGAGAAAGAGAGAAGGTGCCAGGTGACTAGTATCAGCGGACAGCACTTTATCACTGAGTCAGGGGCTTCTGGGCCAGCGAGGCAGGAAGGGCTCGGGTGAAAGGAGCAAATGTGTATAGTGGCCATGGCAACAGACATCCCGAGCCAGGGTCCTCAACCTGAGCCCCAAGGGGCTCTCCTGGGTCTCCGGGCCGCCTTGCTGGCCTGCCTTCCCACACAGAGAGGCAGGAGCTTGAACCCGGTGCCCCTGCCTGGAAACCGCCACCCTCCCTCACTCCCACTAGCACCCCGATGGACTCCCAAGGGCCACCTCCTGCCAGCCCCTCGTGACCCCCTGAACTACGCAGGCTGCCCGGGCGGGCGGGCTCCCTGACTGACTGCGCATCTTGATGTGCTGCGAGACCTCCAGGAGCTCCATCTCGGTGGGCATGTAGCCCAGGGTCCGCATGCAGTCACCCAGCTCCCGGTGGCTGATGTAGCCGTCACGGTCAGTGTCAAACTCCTCGAAGGCGGCCTGAAGCTCTGTGGAGGAGGGAGGTCAAGCCCAGGTGGCCAGGCTCAGGGACAGCTCCCACCCCCTGCCAGCAGCAAGAGCCACTCACCGTCTAGCTCCTCGGGGCCCAGTTCGCGGTCCTGCAGGGGGAGAGTCCAGGATGTCCCCAGGGCCAGCCACGGCTCTGTCATCCTTCCTCCTTCATCCCCTGCTCATGTTGGCCTGGGCAGGGCCCAGCCCCATCAGAGTAGGAAAAGGACCCTGAAGCCTCGTGGGACCCAGGAGGAGCAAGCTCCCTTTTGTGCTCCTAGAGCCTGGAGCTCCCACAGAGCCCTGGTGTGAATTCTGGCTCTGCCCACCGCCCACGCTGGCCCGAGACCTACCCTTCCCCAAACCGCAGCAACCCTGCCCCACAGCCCAGGCTCAGTCTGGGGCAGAAGAGGCAGAGGGCCTCTCAGGGGCAGGGTGAGCTGAGCCCAAGGGGTGTGTCTCCAGCCCCACCCCCAGGACCCCCAGCCCAATCCAGGTCCCACCTAACCTTCCCGAAGACTCGATTGAGCAGGGGCCCGTATGTCCTCTGAGCAGCGTCGTGCAGGGAGTCAGGACGATGTCGGTGGGACTGGCGAGAAGAGGCCGGCCCAGGGGATGCAGGGGGTGCGCCCGCCGGCCCCTCTCCAGTGCTGGGAGGGTTATTGCTGCTCCCCGGGGCCTCGGGGCCTGTCTGCTCCCCAGAGCTGCCAGTGCGCTTTCGAGACCCTCGGAGCCCCCTCTCCTTCTTGCTCCTCTTCCTGGTCAACGGGGGCTCCTCTGCATCACTCTTGGGAGTCACAACCCCCGCAGGGGGCTTCTGACGGCCAATGGCCAGATTTGGGCCCTGCTGCCCCCTTGCCTGCTCTGTGGTCATGGGGGAGGGATAACAGGGCTCAGAGACACCACACCCCTGGGCACCCTTGGCTTTCAGGACCCATAAAGCTGCTTATGCACCCCCACTCTTAGAGCTGAGAGCCTAGGATCGGGCTCTGAGGGGGATTAGGGTAAGTGAGGCAGGCAGCCCTGGCCCTAATCCCAGTCCTCTGCCCCAGGGCTGGCCAGGGCAGAGCCAGATGGGTCCAGAGAACTGTCCTTGGTCAGAAGCAAGGGGCACCAGGACGTGGTGGCTGCCATGAGCCTCAGATGCCAGATCTGCTACTTATTAGCTGGGGGATCCAGCAAATTCCCCTCCCAGCCTCAGTTTCCCTATCTATAAAACATGGGGAATAATGCTAGAGCGCAGAAGACTCAGCTCATGTGTGACATGGGCAGAGGCCTTCGTTAGGCAGAGAGGACCAGGGAAGGCATCTCAGGTGGCAGGAGGCATGCGGACAACGGCTGGGAGGTGGGAAAGGATGAGCGAGTGGCCTACTGGGGCCCCCCCATGGGTGACATCCTGGCCAGAGCAGAGGGTGTGTGAAATGGAGGAAGAGGCCAGATCACAGATGCCTCGAATGCCGTTTTGAGGAGCACGGGGGGTGATGTGGGAGGAGGTGGACCTTGGGGTCTTAGAGTCTGCTCTGGGCTAGAGAGGCCCTGGGGAGGAGGGTCTGACTGTCCAGGCCCATCAGGGCTGGGGGAGGGGGTCTGGCTGGTCACTTGGCCCTACTGGGCCAGGGTTAGGGTTTCCCAGCAAGCAGCCCCATAAATAATTGATGTCCTCTCAGCTTGGGTTTCCTGCCCACCCGCCTTAGCGCTGCCGGGTGCCACAAAGCAGGCCCCAGTGAGGGCCGGGGGGACAGCTGGAGTGCTGGGCAGGCAGGCACGCCCTGCTCCTGCTCCTTCCACCCATCGGCCTCTGCCTCCCAGGTAAGCCAGGCCTCACTGGTCAGGGCCCCAGTCTCGGGGTGCCTGGGGCTCTGATCCAATAGGGAATGGAGACAGCAGAGGGGGTCAGCCTGAGGAGGAACCCTGAGGGTACGGAGGGCACCAAACTAAAGGCCAAGTGGCTGGAGCCGTGGGCCGTGGGCAGGGGCCAGCCCTTCAGGGCATCCGTTCCCTCCCCAGACTATACCACCACCTGGGCTCTCATCGCCCTCAAAGGGAAACTCCCTCCCCGCTGCCAGCGGGGAAGGGCGAGGTGGGGCTGCAGGCCTCTTGGATCCCAGGTCTGGGTGCCCTCCAACTCCCCTCACCCTCACCATCCCACCACCATCCCACTGCAGAGCCCCTCCCCCTCTCTTTAGCAGCTCCAGGAGACAAACAGGGGTCACCTCCTGCCTGAGCTGTGGGAAGCGGGAGAGGGCCGCGGTGGGGTGGAAGATGCTGGAGAGGCACCAGGGGCTCCTAGGATGGCCCTCCTGACCCCAGGCTGTGGGGTCCTGAGGCTCAGAGACCTCATCCTGAGCCCATGAGTGACACTCGCTGGAGGGGAGGGGGTTCCCACTGCCCCAGACTCCCTACCTTCGGGTCCCCTGGGCCCATGGGAACCAGAGCCCTCCCTTCTTGGAATCCTAAACACTCGAACCCCAGAGGAGCAGGCATAAAGGGGCCTTGTGATGAGCGGACCAAACGGTCTTCAAACTGTGTTCCCTGGAACCCTGGGGGGTAGGGGTACTCTTCCCTCCCTTAATTTGAGCACCCCCTTTTAGTCCATATAGGAGTTCCACTAGAATACTTTTTTTTTTTTTTTTTTTGAGACAGAGTTTTGCTCTTGTTACTCAGGCTGGAGTGCGATGGCACGATCTTGGCTCACCACAACCTCTGCCTCCCGGGTTCAAGCGATTCTCCTGAGTAGCTGGGATTACAGGCATGCGCCACCACGGCCAGCCAATTTTGTATTTTTAGTAGAGATGGGGTTTCTCCATGTTGGTCAGGCTGGTCTCGAACTCCCAACCTCAGGTGATCCTCCCAAAGTGCTGGGATTACAGGTGTGAGCCACCGTGCCCGGCCTTAGAATACTTTACTTACAGACAAAATTCCATACCTTTAACAATGTTTGAAAGCCTCCGGGTTAGTCTATCCGGACCCATTGGGATTCTACATGGCAGAAGATTAAGTCTGTCTGGACAGTGTCTCATGCCTGTAATCTCAACATTTCAGGAGGCCAAGGTAGGAGGATCACTTGAGCTCACGAGTTCAAGACCAGCCTGGGCAACACAGTGAGACCTTGTTTCTACTAAAAATTTAAAAAGTAGTGGGTGCACACCTGTAGTCCCAGCTACTAGGGAGGCTGAGATGGGAGGGTCGCTGGAACCCAGGAGGTGGAAGCTGCAGGGACTGTGCCACTGCACTCATCCTGGGCAATAGAGCAAGGCCCTGTCTCTCAAAAAAAAAAAAAGAAAAGAAAAGAAAAGTCTGGGTTGAGCCCTGGCACCTCCCTTCCTACCTTCACTGATTCTCTGAACCTTCCTGTCCTCGCCTGTAAAGTAGATTGTATGAGGACTCCATGAGGTCATCCACTTCAAGTCCTTGGCATAGGATAATTACTCAAAAGGTGATGACAATGGCGCAGGGAGGGATGGTGACTTGCCTGGAGATGCACAGCACCGTCTCTCCCATACTCGGTCATTCACACCATCATTGATTCACCAGGCACCCACTCCGTGTCCAGCAGGACTCTGGGGACCCCAAATGGACACTACCATGGAAGCTGACCTGGGTGCCACTGGCCACAGGCCCCGCACAGAGCTTGATGATGAGGACTCCTACCCCCAAGGTGGCTGGGACACGGTCTTCCTGGTGGCCCTGCTGCTCCTTGGGCTGCCAGCCAATGGGTTGATGGCGTGGCTGGCCGGCTCCCAGGCCCGGCATGGAGCTGGCACGCGTCTGGCGCTGCTCCTGCTCAGCCTGGCCCTCTCTGACTTCTTGTTCCTGGCAGCAGCGGCCTTCCAGATCCTAGAGATCCGGCATGGGGGACACTGGCCGCTGGGGACAGCTGCCTGCCGCTTCTACTACTTCCTATGGGGCGTGTCCTACTCCTCCGGCCTCTTCCTGCTGGCCGCCCTCAGCCTCGACCGCTGCCTGCTGGCGCTGTGCCCACACTGGTACCCTGGGCACCGCCCAGTCCGCCTGCCCCTCTGGGTCTGCGCCGGTGTCTGGGTGCTGGCCACACTCTTCAGCGTGCCCTGGCTGGTCTTCCCCGAGGCTGCCGTCTGGTGGTACGACCTGGTCATCTGCCTGGACTTCTGGGACAGCGAGGAGCTGTCGCTGAGGATGCTGGAGGTCCTGGGGGGCTTCCTGCCTTTCCTCCTGCTGCTCGTCTGCCACGTGCTCACCCAGGCCACA
This sequence comes from Homo sapiens, assembly GCF_000001405.40. Classification (NCBI taxonomy): domain Eukaryota; kingdom Metazoa; phylum Chordata; class Mammalia; order Primates; family Hominidae; genus Homo; species Homo sapiens. Next base: position 67,452,070 of record NC_000011.10, on the reverse strand, counting down.
GCCTGTCGCACCTGCCACCGCCAACAGCAGCCCGCAGCCTGCCGGGGCTTCGCCCGTGTGGCCAGGACCATTCTGTCAGCCTATGTGGTCCTGAGGCTGCCCTACCAGCTGGCCCAGCTGCTCTACCTGGCCTTCCTGTGGGACGTCTACTCTGGCTACCTGCTCTGGGAGGCCCTGGTCTACTCCGACTACCTGATCCTACTCAACAGCTGCCTCAGCCCCTTCCTCTGCCTCATGGCCAGTGCCGACCTCCGGACCCTGCTGCGCTCCGTGCTCTCGTCCTTCGCGGCAGCTCTCTGCGAGGAGCGGCCGGGCAGCTTCACGCCCACTGAGCCACAGACCCAGCTAGATTCTGAGGGTCCAACTCTGCCAGAGCCGATGGCAGAGGCCCAGTCACAGATGGATCCTGTGGCCCAGCCTCAGGTGAACCCCACACTCCAGCCACGATCGGATCCCACAGCTCAGCCACAGCTGAACCCTACGGCCCAGCCACAGTCGGATCCCACAGCCCAGCCACAGCTGAACCTCATGGCCCAGCCACAGTCAGATTCTGTGGCCCAGCCACAGGCAGACACTAACGTCCAGACCCCTGCACCTGCTGCCAGTTCTGTGCCCAGTCCCTGTGATGAAGCTTCCCCAACCCCATCCTCGCATCCTACCCCAGGGGCCCTTGAGGACCCAGCCACACCTCCTGCCTCTGAAGGAGAAAGCCCCAGCAGCACCCCGCCAGAGGCGGCCCCGGGCGCAGGCCCCACGTGAGGGTCCAGGAACACGCAGGCCCACCAGAGCAGTGAAAGAGCCCAGGGCAGACAGAGGAACCAGCCAGTCAGACAGGTGGGGAGCCGCCGACAGCTTTGTCCTTAAAAACCCTGCTGAGTCCGTCAGGCCTGGAAGGAGGACTTGAGGGAGGGGAAACAATCCAGCCAGAAGTCTCAGGCAGTTCCATGTCAGCGACCCCTGCTCCCGGCCATCAGCCTTTTCTGTGGTTGCTCCCAACACACACACAGTCGCCCGACAGCCCCCAAACCGCAGCTAATGGCATCTTGCGGGGTACTGTCCCTCAACACCCCAGACCCCGCTGACTATTCTTCCCTGGGCCTCAGTCCTGCTGGAGGAAGACAACAGGGGGCACTTTCCCCGGGCTTGACCTGACCTCCCTTTGGTCCTTCCCTCCCTCTCCTCCTCCGGGCCTGGACACAAGGACGTGAAACAAAAAAGTCCCTGAAGAGAAGGGGGCCTCCCAGGAGCCACCAGCCCCAAGCAGGAGCCTAAGGCCCTGGTGAACCACAAGCTGGCCTGGCATGGCCAAGCCTGGTCCACTAGTCCCCTTCCCCCAACAGTCATTGAGGCTGGGGCAGGGCCTCCCTCAGCAAGGCGCCAGAAGAGGCAAGAGCTGCCTAGCCTGGATTCAAATCCAGCTCTGCCATGTCCCAGCTGAGCGACTCTGGAGGAGCAACTTCACCTTCCGAGCTCCCGTGTCATCAGCTGTTGAGAGGATGCAATAAGAAAGTGTGTAAGGCATTACAAGAGCCTGGCGCACGCAGGGGCCTGGTGAACTAGCCTTTCTTCTCCTTCATCCACATACAGGATGTCCCTTTAGAGGCTGGGGATGGATAGAGGAGGCAGTGGGGAGAGCCACCACCTGGCCCAGGCATCTGGGATCTTGTGACCTGTCTGGGCCGTAGACACCCAGGTGGCCTAAGACCAGGAGGCCGCCTCTGTGCCTTGGGGGCCTGCAGGGGACTTCAAAGTCTGATTCTATTTAAAAGTTCAATTAGCATCCACCTGCTCCCCACCTCCCGTGGAGGGCTGCACAAGATTCTTTGTGGGGGCTGCAGGTACAGAGGGCCCCGATCCTGCCTGAATAACAGCCTCCCTCTGTCTGAGCCCAAGTGCACAGATAGGAAGTTGTCCAAGCACACAGAGCTCAGGGCACCAGTGGGTCTAGGAAGGGCAAAGGCAAAGACGGCCGGGCGCGGTGGCTCACGCCTGTAATCCCAGCACTTTGGGAGGCCGAGGCGGGCGGATCACAAGGTCAAAAGATCAAGACCATCCTGGCCAACATGGTGAAACCCCGTCTCTATTAAAAGTACAAAAATTAGCTGGGCGTAGCGGCGCACACCTGTAATCCCAGCTACTCGGGAGGCTGAGGCAGGAGAATTGCTTGAACCCGGGAGGCAGAGGTTGCAGTGAGCCGGGATTGTACCACTGCACTCCAGCCTGGCGACAGAGCAAGACTCCATCTCAAAAAAAAAAAAAAAAATTAGAAAGGGCAAAGGCTCCCAGAGGTCACACAGCTTCTCTAGGGCAGAACCAGCTCTTCCCTCTCAAGCTGCTGATGCTGCAGAAAAAACTAGAAGTGCTGAAGGTCTATCTTCCAACCCCCACTCCACTTCCCTTTTCCTACCCATCGTCCTCTCCTGGCACCCACCCCACCTGCGTTCTCCTTACCCCCAGTGTTCCAGTCATGCCCCCTTATCCCATTAGCTCAGTATCGTGACCTTCAGCAACTGAGACGCCCTTTCCGGCAGGTGTAAATGACAATGATGTCAGATGTGCAACCCTTCCCAGAGACACCTGCATTTTCCAAATGCAGCAGGCTGTGCAGGCAGCCTAGAGTGATACAGTCAGGTCTGGGTTCTGGTTCCTAACTTCCTTCCTCTCAGCCTGTTTTCTCCTCTGTAAAATGGAGTGATCATGTTCCCCTTGCAGGCTTGGCAGTTCTGATCATTGACTGAGCCCAGGGATGGGAAGTGCTGTGGGCGGTGGTGGTGGTGATACCAGAAGCATAGTCGTAGTGATGGAATTGCGGGCACTGAGGCCCATGGGAGAGAGATTTCTGGCCAGGCATGCATTTATTGAATTCATTCATCCAGTATTTCTTGGGCACTCGCTAGATGCCTTTCTGGCCAGCCTTCCATTCTGGAGCCACTTGGGTGAGGTTAAGGGTTTGCCCTCTTGGCTGGGCGCAGTGGCTTACGCCTGTAATCCCAGCACTTTGGGACCCTGAGGCAGGCAGATCACAAGGTCAGGAGATCGAGACCATCCTGGCTAACATGGTGAAACCCTGTCTCTACTAAAAATACAAAAAAAAAAAAAATTAGCTGGGCGTGGTGGTGGGCACCTGTAGTTCCAGCTACTCGGGAGGCTGAGGCAGGAGAATGGCGTGAACCTGGGAGGCGGAGCTTGCAGTGAGCCGAGATCGCACCACTGCACTCCAGCCTGGGCACACAGAAAGACTCTGTCTCTAAAAAAAAAAAAAAAAAAAAAAAAAAAAAGAGTGCACTCTCTGGTGACCATCAGGGGTTGTTTGAATCCTGGCTCCACCACTCACAGGCTGTGTGACCTTCCACAAAGCTCTTAGCCTCTTTGGGACTCAGTTTCCTCGTCTGTAAAATGAGGATCATAATAATGGTACCCATCTTGCAGGAGCGTGAATCCCTATGAAGTGTTCGTGATTGTTAGCCATTAATTTGATGACAGCAGTGGGCACCCCCCGGTCTCACTCAGCCCTGGGACCAATACTGAGCCACAGGCCAGCGCCTGAGTGGCAGATCGCCTGCCCCCCAGGCCTCCCCACCATGGCACTGCCTCCTGTTCCACAAGGGAAGTTCTCACCCTCCCCATCCCACTGCAGTCCACACTCTGAGCGCAGGGCCTGGACTTCGGTCCCCATTAGGGCACTCCGCAGTGCCCTTCTCCCTTTTTCTGGGCAGGGCTCCCAGGGCCTTTTCAGCATGGCAGGCAGATTGGGAAATAAAACCTCAGCATCAGCCACTTGCTTTCAGCTCTGGTCCACACTCCAAACCCTACCTCTTGGGGAGTGGGCCAGTCCCACGTCCAAGGACCCCAAAGGGAATCCCACCCATAATGCGTGATTTCTGTCCAGAAGAAAGAGCAGCAGACCATCACCCTTGGTCAGCCAGAGCAGCGGATGCTCAAGAAAGGAATAAGTGAGGTAGCTGGTACCCCAAAGCCGCCAGCCTGAGGGAGGCGGGGCAGACTCCACCTGTGGGACAGGATGGGGTAGAATGCCTGAAGGGTTTTGCGGAATAAAGAGGAGTTCTCAGGCCAGGCACGGTGGCTCACGCCTGTGATCCCAGCACTTTAGGAAGCCAAGGCAGGCAGATCAACTGAGGTCAGGAGTTCAAGGCCAGCCTGGCCAACATGGTGAAACCTCATCTATACAAATACAAAAAATTTGCCGGGTGTGGTGGCGCATGCCTGTAATCCCAGCTACTCGGGAGGCTGAGGCAGGAGAATTGCTTGAACCCAGGAAGCGCGGGTTGTGTAAACCCCCGAGGGGTTCGCCTTGCCTGCTGCCTAGACAGAGCCAATTCACGCAGAGCCGGCTGTGCAGGAGACTGCAGTTTTATTCTTACTCAAATCAGACTCCCTGAGCATTCTCAGGGAGCTGAGTTTTTAAGGATAACTTGGTGGGTGGTGGGAAGCCAGTGAGCCAGCGGTGCTGATTGGTCAAGGATGAAATCAGAGGGAATCAAAGCTGTCATCTTGCACTGAGTCAGTTCCTGGGTGGGGGCCACAAGATCAGATGAGCCAGTTGATTGATCTGGTGGTGCCAGCTGATCCATCAAGGGCAGGGTCTGCAAATATCTCAAGCGCTGACCTTAGGAGCAGTTTAGGGAGGGTCCGAATCTTATAGCCTCCAGCTGCATAACTCCTAAACCATAATTTCTTTTTTGTTTGTTTGTTTGTTTTGTTTTTTTGAGACAGAGTTTTGCTCTTGTTGCCCCAGGCTGGAATGCAATGGCGTGATCTCAGCTCACCACAACCTCCGCCTCCCGGGTTCAAGCGATTCTCCTACCTCAGCCTCCCGAGTAGCTGGGATTACAGGCATGTGCTACCACACCCAGCTAATTTTGCATTTTTTAGTAGAGACGGTGTTTCACCATGTTGGCCAGGGTGATCTCGAACTCCCGACCTCAGGTGGTCCGCCCGCCTCGGCCTCCCAAAGTGCTGGGATTACAGGCGTGAGCCACCATGCCCGGCCCTAAACCATAATTTCTAATCTTGTGGCTAATGTTAGTCCTACAAAGGCAATCTAGTCCCCAGGCAACAGGGAAGTCTGCTTTGGGAAAGGGCTGTTACCATCTTTGTTTATAAACTAAGTTTCTCCCAAAGTTAGTTCAGCCTATGCCCAGAAATGAACAAGGACGGTTTAGAGATTAGAAGCAAGGGCCAGATGAGGTGGCTCATGCCTGTAATCCCAGCACTTTGGGAGGCCGAGATGGGCTGATCACAAGATCAGGAGATTGAGACCATCCTGGCTAACACAGTGAAACCCTGTCTCTATTAAAAATACAAAAAAAATTAGCCAGGTGAGGTGGTGGGCGCCTGTATTCCCAAATACTCGGGAGGCTGAGGCAGGAGAATGGCGTGAACCCAGCAGGCGGAGCTTGCAGTGAGCCGAGATCGCACCACTGCACTCCAGCCTGGGCGACAGAGCGAGACTCTGTCTCAAAAAAAAAAAAAAAAAAAGAGAGAGATTAGAAGCAAGATGGTTGGTGAAGTTAGATCTCTTTCACTGTCTCAGTCATAGTTTTGCAAAGGTGGTTTCCGTTGCAGTAAGCCGAGATCGCGTCACTGCACTCCAGCCTGTACAACAGAGCAAGACTCTGTCTCCAAAAAAAAAAAAAAAAGAGTTCTCTCAGTGGTCCATGGAGGAGGGTTTTGTGTTAGAGAAAATGGGCATGAAGGTGGGCTCAGCCCCAAGACATTGCCCAGCCACACACCTCCTGCCTACCACATCCCAGGGGACCAGTCTCCTGCTGCCGTCTGGAAGACTCACTCCTTCTCCGGTGAGAGATGCCCTTCCTTCCCTCTCCTTCATAGGTGCCAGACATTGATCCTGAGAATTGTGATTATGAGTATTGTTCAATTCTACATTCAGGGCTGCTGCTCATTCATTCATTCCTCATACATTACTTGATCCCATACTGAGTGTTGGATCTTGTTCAGGGTGCTGGGAATACAGTAGGAAGATAGGCAAAGTCCTTCCCCTCAATTTGCTGACATCCTGGTGGAGGCCGACACAAACCAAATACACCAATAAGCACCTGATGCAACATCAGGCGGCGCTGGAGAACACAGGCCGGGTGGTGGCTCACACCTGTAATCCCAGAGTTTTGGGAGGCTGAGGCAGGAGGATTTTTTGAGGCCAGGAGTTTGGAACCAGCCTGGACAACATAGGAGACCTCCATCTCTACAAAAATAAAAATTAGCTAGGCATGGTGGTACGTGCCTGTAGTCCCAGCTACTTGGGAGGCTGAGGCGGGAGGACTGAGCCCCAGAGTGTGAGGCGGTAGTGAGCTAGGACCGTGCCACTGCACTCCAGCCTGGGCAACTGAGCAAGACCCTGTCTCCCAAAAAAAGAACAATGCAGTCAGGACAAGTAAGACCAAAGAGTGGCTGGGTGAGGAATGGTCCAGGAGAGCCCTAGGAGGAGGTGATGTCTGACCAGAGACCTGAATCGAGTGGGGAAAGGAGCCTTTTTGGGATCTGAGGAAAGAGCTTCCAGATGGAGAGAACAGGATGTGCCCAGGCCTCGGGGTGGGAAGGAAGGTGGGTGGGATCTAGATGATCCTTCTAGCCCCAGGGTTTATAGAGCACTAGGAAAAGCAAGGGCTTTGGACCCAAGCCGATGGGGATTGCATCCGGCTGGATGACCTCAGGCAGGCACCGCACCTCTCTGTGCCTGTTTCCTCAATGGGGTGTGGCAATGGGAATGAGATGGGAGACAAGCCCGAGGTCACCCTCAGACACACAGTGGGGGCCTCTTTTAGCCAGAGACAAGGCTCCTGTGACCTCTGCTCTTCCCCCGCTTCGTCCTCCATCCATCTCTTTCTGGGAAAGGGAGGGTGCCATCGGTCAGCCAGGGCAGTGGATGCTCAAGGAAAGAATAAGGGAAGTAGCCGGTGCCCCAGAGCCGCTGGCCTAAGGGAACGGGGGTACATTCCACCTGTGGAACGGGATGGGGTGGGTCTGGAGAGGCCAGTCTGGGCTCCTTGTCACAGGCGCTGGCTAGAGAAAGAGAGAGGCCTGTGAATGGATCTCCAGGCCTTCGAGGGAGATGGTGGAGAAAAGAAGGCAAGGTGCAAGGGACTCACTGGCCATGGCCCCCTTTCAAATTGTAATAAGAAAGCTCAGCAGAATGCACAGGTGTTTACCCTGAAAAATGGGACTCCTGGGTCTTCCACTCGCTCCATAAACACTGCTATTTTCTGGATGGGCACGGTGGCTCACAACTGTAATCCCAGCACTCTGGGAGGCTAAGGCAGGAGGATTGCTTGAGCCCGGGAGTTCAAGAGCAGCCTGGCCAACATGGTGAAACCCTATCTCTACTAAAAATACAAAAAAAATAGCAGGGTATGGTAGCAGGCACCTGTAATCCCAGCGAATTGGGAGGCTGAGGCAGGAGAATTGCTTGAACACGGGAGGCAGAAGTTGCAGTGAGCCGAGATCGCGCCATTGCACTATAGGCTGGGAGACAGAGCGAGACTCCATCTCAAAACAAAACAAAAAACACACCAGCCTGGGCGACAGAGCAAGAGACCCCATCTCTACAAAAAGTAAAAGAAAAATTAGCCAGGCGTGGTGGTGTGTGTCTGTAGTCCCAGCTACTTGGGAGGCTGAGGCAGGAGGATCCCTTGAGCCTAGGAGGTCGAGCCTGTAGTGAGCCATGATCATGGCACTACATTCTAGCCCGGTAGTGACAGACCTTGCCTCAAAAAAAAAAAAAAAAACCACCCCAACACCTGCTGTTGTTTTCTTTACATTGTTAACCAAGAGCATGAAATTTAGGCCGGGCATGGTGTCTCACGCCTGTAATCCCAGCACTTTGGGAGGCCGAGGCGGGCGGATCACGAGGTCGGGAAATCGAGACCATCCTGGCTAACATGGTGAAACCCCGTCTCTACTAAACATACAAAAAATTAGCCGGGCGTGGTAGTATAAGCCTGTAGTCCCAGCTACTGGGGTGAATTTCTTGAACCTGGGAGGGCGGAGGTTGCAGTGGGCCGAGATCGCGCCACTGCACTCCAGCCTGGGTGACAAAAACTCCGTCTCAAAAAAAAAAAAAAAAAAAAAAAAAGAGCATTAACTTTGATAACTTAAAAAGAGTCACGTGAACATATCCACTGTCCGTGTAGATTCTACATTTATTTGTTGGGGGCGGTAATGGGGCCCCTTGGAGGTGTGCGTTCCGTCGGGGGCCGGGAAGGCGGGGCCTCACCCAATCCTGGAGACTCCTGCGGATGCCATTATGAGGAGCAAGAACGCGAAGGGGCCTCGGGTCCGCTGTAAGGCTGCACCCGCACCTGCGGCGCCTCTGCGGCGGCCGCCGTCGGCCCTGCCCCGCCCCGCCCCCTTCTTCCGGAGGAGCTGCGGTGGGGGCGCTCCACCGGGTCCTAGGAAAGGGGCTCTCTCTGGCCCCGTCCCCGGCGGCCCCGCTCCCGGCCCCCCGGCGCCGCTCAGCCTCCCGCCCAGCCCCTCCGCGCGTGACCTCGGCCCCGCCCCCGCGAGCCCCTGCCCCGCCCCCGCTCCGGGTCCCTCTGTCACTTCCTGAATCCTGCTTCCTGCTTCCCAGAGGCCGGGATCCGGAGCCGCCCGAAGCCGGTGCCGCAGCCCCCTGCGCCCCCGGTGCCCCCGGTGAGCGCGGCAGGGCCGGGGCTAGGGGCGCGGGCTGGGGGCTGGGCGGGGCTGCAGGGGCCGGGCTGAGGGGGCTGAGGGGGGATCGCGGGTCCCAGGAGCCTTTCGCCTCCCCTCTACCCCACTCAGTCCCACTCCCCTTGGCCGCCCAGCCTCTCCTCTCCTGGGCGGAGGTCCCTGGAAGTTGGGCTCCTGGTTCACCCTGGACCCCGATTCGAGGCCGCTCTGGGTTGCTTCGCGGCCCACAGCTGCGTCCCGACCCCGTCCCTTCCTGGGGGCCATGCCGGGGCTCCCTGGACATTCCCTGGGACTCAGAACTGGGCACTCACTCGGCCCCACAGTAGAGAGACTTTTCCTGCTTCCTCTCTCCTTCTTCCCCATTACCTAGCCTCCAAATCTCTGGGAGCAGGAAGGAGGCTGCTCCCGACTGGCTGGGACCTACAGTAGAGCTGAGAGCTCTCCAACCCCGGCACCTCCCACCTCCTGCCCCCGACACACACCAGAGCCAGGGAGGGGCCCTGCGTCCTGCAAAGCCCCTCAGGACTCAGCAGTGGTCAGGGCCGGAGCATTTACCTCTCAGATCACTGCCTGCGGGGTGACAGGCGGCCAGGCTCTGCACCTGTGACCCCATTCTGTAACTGGGTAAACCGAGACCCAGGAGGGTTACGGTGGCCTGGCCCCCGGTTGCATCCTCCCGGCTCACCTTCAGCAGCCTGGGGAGGGCTGGAGTTGTTGGGATGGGCCGGACTGACCCAGGCCTCTCTGTCCCGCAGACATGTCCTTCCGCAAAGTGGTCCGGCAGAGCAAATTCCGGCATGTGTTCGGGCAGCCGGTCAAGAACGACCAGTGCTATGAGGACATTCGCGTGTCCCGTGTTACCTGGGACAGCACCTTCTGCGCCGTCAACCCCAAGTTCCTGGCGGTGATTGTGGAGGCCAGTGGAGGGGGTGCCTTTCTGGTGCTCCCCCTAAGCAAGGTGGGTCCTGTCAGGGTTGGGGGAAGAGGAGGCACCTCGGCCACCCCTACTGGGCCTTTCTGCACACCTTGAATCCCTCATCTTGCCGTTTCTCACACTGCTGGGCAGGTGTTATAACCCAGATTTATCGCCCCAAGTGTTAGCACAGATGGAAAGTAGCCTGTTGCCATAGAGGCAGGGTTAGAGGCAGCAAACATTTCCTGCTCACCTGGCAAGTGGGGCACAGTCACATCTGGGCCACCTGTGAGCCGGGACGTGCATGTCATTCCCACTCCATGGAGGGGAAGACCAAGGCTTCGGGAGGGATGGAGCCCACTGACTGCCCCCTCGTGCCCACAGACGGGCCGCATTGACAAGGCCTACCCGACGGTGTGTGGGCACACGGGACCTGTCCTGGACATCGACTGGTGTCCTCACAACGACGAAGTCATAGCCAGCGGCTCGGAGGACTGCACGGTCATGGTGAGGCACAGGACTGGCTGGGCCAGGGTCGTGGGTGTGGCCGAAGGGGGCCAGCAATAGGACCAGCAGAGGACTGAGCTCGGTGGCCCTGTCCCTACCACAGGTGTGGCAGATCCCAGAGAACGGGCTGACCTCCCCGCTGACAGAGCCGGTGGTGGTACTGGAGGGGCACACCAAGCGAGTGGGCATCATCGCCTGGCACCCCACGGCCCGAAACGTGCTGCTCAGTGCAGGTCTGCACCGCCCCCCGTTTTGTGCTCCCCCCCCCCACGGACCCCTCCATACATCCCAGCAGCCCCTCCAGGGCCCACATGACAAATGGGAAAGCTGAGGCCCTCAGAGTTGGAGAGACCCGTCTGTCCCAGGGTGGTGGGCAGAGTGGGCCTCAGCCTGGTGAGCTAATGGCCTCCTGCCACCCACCCGGCCCGAGCTGACAACCCTCACCTGCCAGGCTGCGACAACGTGGTACTCATCTGGAATGTGGGCACAGCGGAGGAGCTGTACCGCCTGGACAGCCTGCACCCTGACCTCATCTACAATGTCAGCTGGAACCACAATGGCAGCCTGTTTTGCTCAGCATGCAAGGACAAGAGCGTGCGCATCATCGACCCCCGTCGGGGCACCCTGGTGGCAGTACGTGGCTCTGGAGGGCAAGGATGGCTGTGGATAGGCCCAGGACCTTGAGCAGGGCGCTGCACTGACCAGCCTGTCCCCCCGACAGGAGCGGGAGAAGGCTCATGAGGGGGCCCGGCCCATGCGGGCCATCTTCCTGGCAGATGGCAAGGTGTTCACCACAGGCTTCAGCCGAATGAGCGAGCGGCAGCTGGCGCTCTGGGACCCAGTGAGTGGCCAGCCTGAGGGGGCAAACTTGAGACTTGGGCCCCACCCTGGGCCAGGCAGGCAGGGTTCACCCTGGGGAGGCCTGTGGTTCCTAGCTTCTCTGCCTGGAACTTGAGGCTCTCAGGGCCTAGGACTCTGTCAGACTTTCCTCTCCTGCCCCCTGCTCGCCCGACTGCCCCACCACTCCCCCATGGCCTCCCACTGCCTCTGTGTCTTTGCCCATGTTGTTCATGCCAACGGAAGGGCCCTTCTCTCCCTTGCTTGCCTGTACCACCCACTGCCTGCACAGGGCTCCCCGCTCCTCCAGAAAGCCTCCTCCTCCAGCAAGCCTCCTGGCCCCAGCCCTCTCTGCTTCTGCATAGTGACCTCCAGGGCACCTTGAGCAGGGGCTGGTGCCGCTGGCACCCCAGCTCCCCACAGTGAGGTATGTTTCAGCACTTGCTTAGTGGCCTGGGCATAGTCTTAAGGCCTGGAGGAGGCTGGAAAAGAGGGACCCTGGGAATAAAGTGAAGCCAGGAGGGCCAGGTGGGGGTCGTCATGTGGGAAAAGGCATAGAGATGGCAGAGGGCCCACCTGCATTTAGGGGCAGTGCTGGCTGGCCTTAGTGAGGCCAGCTAAGGCCCGTCCTGGTTTGGGATTAGGGGGTGAGGAGGTTCTGCTTGGCCTGACTGCCTGCAATGTGCCAGGAAAACCTCGAGGAACCCATGGCCCTGCAGGAACTGGACTCGAGCAACGGGGCCCTGCTGCCCTTCTACGACCCCGACACCAGTGTGGTCTACGTCTGCGGCAAGGTGGGGCTGGGCAGGGCTGGCGAGGGGCAGGGAAGAGGCGTGCCCAGGTGCTGAGCCCCCTCCCCACACAGGGTGACTCCAGCATCCGGTACTTTGAGATCACAGAGGAGCCTCCCTACATCCACTTCCTGAACACGTTCACCAGCAAGGAGCCGCAGCGGGGTATGGGCAGCATGCCCAAGCGGGGCCTGGAGGTCAGCAAGTGCGAGATCGCCCGGTAAGAGGGCTACCGAGGCCACTCGGGGATAGGGGCATCTAAGGTGAGAGGTCAGGTCATTGGAGGCTGCTTGGGAGCAGGAAACCTTGCGCCAGGGAGGCCCGGCGGGCCATGAGAACTGTCACGAGGCAGCCCGTGTGGGGGTCTAGCCACCTTAGGGGTCGGCCTGCGGAGGTCCTGGGGTGAGGACTGGAAGTGGAGGATGCCAGGAGAGCTGGCGGTGGGTGGGGGGGGCGGTGAGGGTTCCACCCGTGGCTCCTCCTTGCATCCCCAGGTTCTACAAACTGCATGAGCGCAAGTGTGAGCCCATCGTCATGACTGTGCCAAGAAAGGTGAGGCCGCCCGTCCCTCGGCTCACTTGGCCCTTTCTCCAGCAAGCGGGCCATGCAGTTGTGACCAGGGCGAGGCCTGTGAATGGAACATGACCTAGTATGGTTTGTGGGCAGTGAGCTGGACAGATGCCAGCTTGCCCTTGTACCAGCCAGCTGTTGGGCTGTGCCAGTCAGGGGGCAAGTGGGGATGAGACAGAGGGTGAGCAGGGGCCCTGCTCTGGATGAGCCACAGGAGAAGGACACCAGGCAGTCAGGGAGGGAGTGGCAGCCACACAGATCTTCCTGAAGGAGGCAGGACCCATAACACAGCTGGGGTGGCGCCATCCACTGGGGGCAGGCCAGGCGAAGGGCACAGTGGTGGGAATGGAGAGAGGAACAAGGAGTCTGGCTGCAGTGGGGAATCCCATGAAGAGGGGACCGGGCCACATGTGGCTTGGCCTCAGATGCCAAGAGCCTCGGACACGCTTCCATGATTCTCTGGCCAGCATTTGCCGACTGCTCTTTCAACATGCCAGGCACATTTTGGGGAGTGGAGCTGAGCTGATAGGGCCTGCTCCAGGAGCTCACAGTCCATGGGCCCCAGAATCCCATAAAGCCACATAGTGGCCCCTGTGCCTTGCAGGGGAAGGTGATGACAGGGGCCTTGCTCAGAAGGGTGGGAAAGCTTCCGAGGGAGCTGTTGATGGTGTCCAGAAAGGAAGTTAAAGGCCAGATTTGAGCTTTCCAGGCCGTGGGAGAATGGGTTAACAGAGTGCAAGCCTGGAGGCCAGGGGAGGGATGAGGGGACCCTGATGGGGCCTCCTAACTGATCCTGACCTCCCCGGCCCCCTGCCCAGTCGGACCTCTTCCAGGATGATCTGTACCCCGACACAGCCGGGCCCGAGGCAGCCCTGGAGGCTGAGGAGTGGGTGAGCGGGCGGGATGCCGACCCGATCCTCATCTCACTGCGGGAGGCCTACGTGCCCAGCAAGCAGCGGGACCTGAAGATCAGCCGGCGCAACGTGTTGTCTGACAGCCGGCCCGCCATGGCCCCGGGCTCCTCCCACCTAGGGGCCCCCGCCTCCACCACCACTGCTGCTGATGCCACCCCCAGCGGCAGCCTGGCCAGAGCCGGGGTATGCACGCGCAGGCAGGGGTGGTGCTGGGAGCCCCAGGTGTGGCCCTGGCCTGCTGTGTGGGCTTCAGCCATTCGCTGTCCCTCTCTGGGGTAGTGGTGGGTTTGGGAGGGCTATGGCTTAGCAGCCCCTGACCACCGCCCCCTACCCCTGCTTCATGTCCCCACAGGAGGCTGGGAAGCTGGAGGAGGTGATGCAGGAGCTGCGGGCCCTGAGGGCGCTGGTCAAGGAGCAGGGCGACCGCATCTGCCGCCTGGAGGAGCAGCTGGGCCGCATGGAGAACGGGGATGCGTAGGGCCACAGCCACACGCCACCTTCATCTCCTCCGCCGCCCCCTTCCCACTCAGCTTCTGCCAGCGGGTCGCACCGGGCTAGCTGGCTGCCCAGAGCCTCTGAGGCAGCGCAGGGGTCAGTTCCCACCCCCACCCGTCCCAGGCCCAGGCCGAAGCCAGCGCCCAGCTTTCCTCACTGTTCCTGTGGAGGATGTCTACGCCCAGGCGAGCTCCTCGACCTCTGAGGGACCATCTCCCCGACCACTGCCCAGCCCTCTGCTCCCTCCCCAGAGGAGGCGGGAGGGTGGGCTCTATATTTTCATTCCAAATAAAATTCTCTTTCTAAAAGCCAGGCTGACCTGCTGCTGCAAGGGTGGGGCTGAGAAGTCTGGAAACCTGGAGACAGAGGATGTCACAGGAGTCACACATGTGCAGAAGGTCTGGGGGCAGTGAGCAGCCCCACAGGCATTGCTCCCCTGGATTGTCAGGCAGGGAAACTGAGGCAGAAGACCTGAGAACACATGCAAGGCTGCATCCAGCTTCAAGTTGGTGCTGCTTCTTCCTTGGAGGACAGGCCCGGCAGCCCAGCCTCCTCCAGAGAGACTGGGGAGGGTCTGGTGTGGACCAGGGGTCCTGCAGCAGGGAGGGGCAGGTGGGGTATGTGGGCAGGAAGCGGAAGCCTGGGCCACCCTTCACTGCAGACGAGCACTGAGCTCACTTCTCGCTCGACACAGCCAGAGCTGGAGGTGGGTGCCCGGCACGGAGGGGCCTGCGGACCAATGGTAAGCCTCGGAGCCCCCCGGGTTCTTGGGATGGGGGCCACAGGCGGTCGGGGCTAGAATGTCTGGGCCTGTGGAGCTAAGGAGGGCCCCACATTGGCCCCAGGGAAGAGGTGAGACCTAAGAGGAGTATGGCAGAGGCTGAACCTTTCTCTCACCTGAGCTGGGCTCCCTGGGACTCCAGGCCTGGCCCCCAGCACCCCATACCGGACCAGGCCCCTGTCAGGAGCCCTGGGAAGGCCCTTACCTGGTCTTCCTGTGAGCGGGAACTTGCATTCCTGGAGCCTGGGCGGACAGCCTGGGGTGGTGGGGGAGGCTGGCTGCACCTCAGCACCCCTCCCCCGACACCCCCCACCTAGCCTGTTCCGACCGCAGACTTCCTCTGGCAGCTGCGCCCGCCTCCCCCAGCCCCCCCCAGCCCCCGGCCCTGCACGCCTGTGGCCCTCAGGGACTGGGAGTGGAACGGAAACCCTGCCGCTGGGGCAGCCCCGTGGTGGGGAGGGAGGAAGAGGGGCCTCACGGACCCCCGTTTGGGGACCTGGCCAAGCAGAAGATGAGCAGTTGCCTCTGGGTGCATCCAGGCCCCTCCATCCCCCATCCCAGGCCTCAGGGAGAGCCAGCCCTGACACCAGCTAGCAACCTCCTTCCCTCCCTCCCATCTCCTCTCCCACCCACCCAGGCAGCCTAGACACATTTAATCCATACTTATTGAGCACCTACTAACATGCTTGACCCAAAAAGCCCCCGTTTCCTAGCAGCTTATTGTGGGGGGTAGATAAGACAATAGACATAAAAAATGAGTACAGTTATCTCCTGCGTTAGGTGACATGGAAGGAAAAAGGCACTGAGTGCTGGGGGGTGCTGGGGTGGGCTGCAGTGATAGACATCAGGGTAGAGGTTAAGGTCAGGTTCAGCCTCACTGGGGTGAAGTTTGAGCACGGTGAGCAGGCCATGCAGCCCGGGGGAGGGGAGGATGGGAGGAGGTGGAGCTTTCCGGGCAGAGGGAACAGCCAGTGCGAAGGCCCCAGGCAGGTGGCTTAATGCAGCTGTTGGGGGAGGTGAGTGGTAGGGAGGAGGCTGGAGGGATGGGGGCTGATCTCACAGGGCCAGAGCCTGGTTGACCAAATAAGGCCTTGGCCTTTTCTGCTTGGCTGTCCCAAGAGGATCCCAAAGAGAAAAAAACGAAAGTGGTCTTGGTCACCCAGCCTGCCCCACACCAGGCCCCACCCCAGGTGCTGAGCCCTCTGAGCCCCTGCCTGTCTCCCACAGGCTCTGCCCTGCACCTTAGGGCTCGGGATGCTGCTGGCCCTGCCAGGGGCCTTGGGCTCGGGTGGCAGCGCGGAGGACAGCGTGGGCTCCAGCTCTGTCACCGTTGTCCTGCTGCTGCTGCTGCTCCTACTGCTGGCCACTGGCCTAGCACTGGCCTGGCGCCGCCTCAGCCGTGACTCAGGGGGCTACTACCACCCGGCCCGCCTAGGTGCCGCGCTGTGGGGCCGCACGCGGCGCCTGCTCTGGGCCAGCCCCCCAGGTCGCTGGCTGCAGGCCCGAGCTGAGCTGGGGTCCACAGACAATGACCTTGAGCGACAGGAGGATGAGCAGGACACAGACTATGACCACGTCGCGGATGGTGGCCTGCAGGCTGACCCTGGGGAAGGCGAGCAGCAATGTGGAGAGGCGTCCAGCCCAGAGCAGGTCCCCGTGCGGGCTGAGGAAGCCAGAGACAGTGACACGGAGGGCGACCTGGTCCTCGGCTCCCCAGGACCAGCGAGCGCAGGGGGCAGTGCTGAGGCCCTGCTGAGTGACCTGCACGCCTTTGCTGGCAGCGCAGCCTGGGATGACAGCGCCAGGGCAGCTGGGGGCCAGGGCCTCCATGTCACCGCACTGTAGAGGCCGGTCTTGGTGTCCCATCCCTGTCACAGCCGCTCACTCCCCGTGCCTCTGCTTCCCAAGATGCCATGGCTGGACTGGACCCCCAGCCCACATGACCATGCCTCAGACTGTCACCCCCTACCAGTTCCCAAGTCCATGTGTACCCCGCTCACCACGGGAACGGCCCCCCCCAACCACAGGCATCAGGCAACCATTTGAAATAAAACTCCTTCAGCCTGTGGCCCTGTGGTCCTACAGAGACCCCTCCCTCCTGGACCAGGGGCTCCTCCTGGCACAATCCAACCCAACCCTGCCCCTAGGCATGCAGCACAAAGAGCCAGGTCAGCACCATGATTCAGCCCTTTAATCTTCCACGGGAGCAGTTGAGCGCGGGGCGTGGCGGGCGGCCCTCCGTGCCCATGATTCAGGGGCACAGCTGCCCCAGCAGACACACACTTTCATACGCACTCACACCCCACCCCCAGACACACCCCCAGGTCTCTGGAACTGGCCCAGGGTCCTGCTGCTCTCACAGCCGCAGGGACAGGGCTCAAGGGCTACCCTCACCCCCACCCGGCTTCCTAGCGCCCTGGACGCCCACGGCCCCTCTTGGACTTCTTGGTCCCTGAGGGGGGACGGATGGGGAGAGGGGCGGTGGTCGAGGGCGGCGGCGGTGGCAGGAGTGGAGGTAGAGGTAGCTCCGTGGGCTCCGGCAGGCTGGGGCTGGGCCGAAACCCCTCAAAAGGGGAGAACTTGAGGGGGCTGCAGGGGAAACCAAGGCAGAATAAGAGCCTCCTAGGCCCTGCCAGAGGCTCCCAGCACTCAGTCAGGGAAGGCAGCCTTTCCCACCTGCCCAGGCACACAGGCCGCGGGCTCCACAAACTCCCATCCAGGCAGCCTGGCCACAAGGGGTGTAGGAACTGAGGTCCCCATGATAGACACAGCAACCGAAGCCAACACTGGCCGACAGACGTGGCCAAGGCACCCAAGGCTGGAGCTGGCATCCTGCCTGCCAGCGTCCCTAACCCAGCCACACACCCCCACGTCCCTCAGTACCTGACGGGGGCCCGGGGGCTACTGTTGAGGCGCCTGGGTGAGCGCAGCTTGGGCTGGAAGGAGAAGCCCTCCTTGATGCTGTCCAGGACAGACGGCGCCACGTATGTGAAGCCCTGGGGGGCGGAGGCAGGGCCATGCGACACTCAGTGCCTGCCATCCTTAGTCACGATCCGTGCCCTGGTCCCACAGGCCTCAGGCCCCCGCACTCACCAGGAAGGCCTGGTTGGCACTCTCGCTGAGGGCTGTGTCATCAGGACTGTCCACCGGCGTCTGCCGTGTGAAGCGGGTATCAAACTGGCTCACGTCCTCCTCTGACTGCTGTGGGCCGACCAGAGTGGGGAGGGGTCAGAGGGCACCAAGATGCAGGTTCTCCACTTGCCACCCGCCACCGGCCACTGGCCACCAGCCCTGCTGCTCACCAGACAGGGCCTGAAAGGGGGGTCCACACGCCAGGCCAGAAGGTCGTCCCAATTCATGTGCCGGAAAAAGGGATGTCTCTGTAGGTAGAGAATGCACCAAACCCACTAACAGCTCACCCTGCTTGCCCCCCGGTCACTCCCTCTGCCCTGGGGCCCTGCCCCCATTCCCGGCACCCTTGGAGACTCAGCCCTACCCCTGGTGGTGGTCCCAAACCCACCTGCACATCAGCAGCATCCCCTGGGCCACCCCCAATCCGCTGGCTGGGATTCCGTTTCAGAAACTGCGGGACCAGGAGAGAGGGTGAGGGCCTGGGCAAGTACTGCTCATGTGTCCCCGGGTCCCAGGGCTAGCTGGAGTAGGGGTCAGGTGACATGGGAGAGAATGCTTTTGGGTGTGGCTCCCACCTATGGATACCCTCAGGGCTTTCAAGGTTTGGTCAATGGAGCCACCTTCTCCACAAAGGCTTTGCAGAGGCTCCTGGGCCCTGGCATTGCCCCAGGGCGCGTTGGTGAGGCGCCAACTCCCCATGTGGCTGTCCGGCCTCCCCCTAACACCTCCGATGCTCGCCTTTGACGGAAGTGTGGCCAGCTCATCACAAGCGTGTCACTGGTTAGGACTCAGCCTAAGGACTGGGCCAGGGCAGCAGCTGGTCTGTGACAGGGCTGAGACCTGGGCTCAATCCCTGACTTCAAGGGAGGGGCTCCTTTCATTCCCAGAGGCAAACTGCACAGGCCGGGGTGGCCCTGGCTTCCCCACAGCCCAGAGAGACTCAGGAACACGTGCAGAATGGCTGGCAGGGCCCCGGAGAAGAGAGAAGGGAGCTGCACCTTTTTGACAAGGTCCCGGGCATCTGGGGTGAGGTAGGGGGGCAGTGCCAGCTTGCCCCTGATGATCTTATCCATGGTTTTCTTCCGGTTCTCTGCGGTGAAGGGCGGCTGGAGGAGGAGGAAGGTGAGAGGAGCCTTGTGGGCCTCCCACCAGGCCCTGCCCTTGCCCCAGGAGGGGGGCTACTCCCACCTCTGCCCCTGCCCCTCCTCCTCCCCGGGGGCTGGACTTGCCGATCCAGTGAGCATGTCGTACATCAGGGCCCCCAGGCTCCACCAGTCCACAGCCCGGTTGTGGCCACTGCGCACCAGAATCTCAGGGGCCCTGGGGTCCAGGTGGAACTGTCAGTCAGGCCGTGCCCCTTCGGGCTGTCCTCCCGACCCCTGGGCCAGCCAGGTGCCACTTACATGTACTCAATGGTGCCGCAGAAGGTGTGAGTGACGGCGCCCTCATGGATAGACTCCTTGCAGAGTCCAAAGTCGGTCAGTTTGATGTGGCCTGAGGAAGGGTGTTGGAGAGGCGTGACCAGGGCCCCACCCCACCCACAGAGGTCCTCAGCCCTCCCCACAGATTGCAGACCCCGCCTGCAGCTGCCCGCACACACATGCGCACCCTGGCTGCTGAGCATGATGTTCTCGGGCTTGAGGTCCCGGTAGATGATGCCCTGGGAGTGGAGATGGCCCAGGGCCAGCGTGATCTCAGCCAGGTAGAAGCTGCAGAAACAAGACAGGGTGAAGGCGGGAGTAGAGCAGGGACCTGGCAGCCTCAGGAAAGCGGAGGATTAACACCCACCAGGCCGTATCTTCCAGGAAGATGCCCTCTCGCTCCAGATGCGTGAAGAGCTCGCCACCTGCCACACAAACACGTCAGCAGCCACGTGCTGGGTCCAAGCCCCTTTGTGCTTTCTGAGTCTTTATTTCTTCTTGGGGAAAGAGGGGCTCATAATTCCCGCCCTACCTGCCTCACAGAGCTGCCGTGGGGATTCAATTCAATTCAGCAAACATCTACCGACGCCTACTCGGTGCCTGGCCCTGTGCTGGGTGAAGCTGGGGACAGGATGAAGAGACCCAGCCACTGCCCTCAGGACGCTCAGTCTACTGGGGAGACAGACATGTACACAACGGCTCTAATACGCCAGGCCCAGGCCACAGCTCCAAGAGCTTAGCCCAAAAGATCTCGCAGAGAAGACAGGGAAGACAGAGTGAATCCCAACAGAACAGAACAGAGAAAGCGCGGTTTGCTGGGACTTTAAGGGGATGCTGAGATGGACGGAGCGAATGCAGAGCATGGAGGCAGAAGCTCGCAGGGTTCATCTGGCCCAAACGAGGGAAAGGCAGGTCAAGACTGCTCACAGCCTGCAGGGGACAGCCGGCCTAGGGGCAAGGCTTGATGTGGGCAGCCAGCCGCAGGACTCTGAATAGAAGGGCTGGGAGCAGCCCCAGGCTCTATGACCTCAGCAGTCGGCAGAGGAGACACTAGAAAGCAGGTGAGCGGGAGGCCTCAGCCCAGTTAGAAAAGTGCTCTGGCCACCCCACCAGGCCCCTGAGAGTGGACGGATGGAGGAGGACACTACAGAGAATGAACCAGTTGGGCTGGGGACCTGACAGGATGCAGGGCACACGGGAGAGAAGAACAAGACAGGGAGGGGAGTAGGAAGAGACTCAACCATCCTCTGGACTTCTATCCAAATTCGCACCATGCCCATCCACCCCCAACACACGTGAGGGACACAGTAGGTGCTGGACAGACGTTTGCTGAATGAATGAATGATGGGACGGATGCACGGATGGATGGATGGATGGGTAGGACAGAGTGGGGGCCCCCTAGCCAACCCCCACAGACTCATCTCTCAAGAGCTTCCCCCCAGAGCTTCCTTTGCTGGCTCGCTGCCCCCCCGCGACCCCCAGCACCCCTGCCTGGGCCCGCACTCATACCACTGAGGCACTCAAGGATGAGGTAGAGTTTGCCACCAGTCTGGAAGGCATAGGCCAGTTCCACAATAAAGGGGTGCTTCACTGACTCTAGAATGTTCCGCTCAGCCCGTGTGTGTGCTGTGTCCTTGGCATTGCGCACAATTTTGGCCTGGAGATACAGGAATTGGTTAGAAACTGAGGCATCCAGGCTGGGCACAGTGGCTCACACCTGTAATCCCAGCACTCTAGGAGGCCAAGGCAGGCGGATTACCTGAGGTCAGGAATTTGAGACCAGCCTGGCCAACATGGTGAAACCCCATCTCTACTAAAAATAGAAAAATTAGCTGGGTATGATGGTACACGCCTGTAATCCCAGCTCAGGAGGCTGAGGCAGGAGAATCGCTTGAACCCAGGGGCAGAGGTTGCAGTGAGCTGAGATCACGCCACTGCACTCCAGCCTGGGTGACAGAGCGAGACACTATCTCAAAAAAAAAAAAAAAAAAAAAATGGGGGCAACCAGAGCTCCTCAGACCATCCATCTGTTTGTTAACTGCTGCATCCTCTGTCACTGCATTGTATTTCTCCATAATTCTGCTGCTGTCAGCCACCATCATTTTCAGGGATGGGTTTATCCTCTAACACAGGGTTTCTCAACCTCGGCACTACTGACACCTGGGACCAGGTCATTCTTTGTTGTGGGAGGCTGCCCTGCGCATCGTGGGATGTTCAGCAGCATCCCTGGTCTCCACCCACCGGGTGCCAGTAACACTCCCCTCTTGCCTTGACAATCAAAAATGTGTCCATGCCAGGCGCAGTGGATCACACCTGTAATCCCAGCACTTTGGGAGGTTGAGGCAGGCGAATCACCTGAGGTCAGGAGTTCGAGACCAGCCTGACCAACATGGTGAAACCCTGCCTCCACTAAAAAGTACAAAAACTAGGCCAGGCACGGTGGTTCATGGCTGTAATCCCAGCACTTTGGGAGGCCAAGGTGAGCGGATAGCCTGAGGTCAGGAGTTCAAGACCAGCCTGACCAACATGACAAAAACCCATCTCTACTAAAAATACAAAAAAAAAAAATTAGCCAGGAGTGGTGGTTCACGCCTGTAATCCCAGCTACTCAGGAGGCTGAGGCAGGAGAATCACTTCACCCTGGGAGGTGGAGGTTGCCAGTGAGCCGAGATCGCACCACTGCACTCCAGCCTGAGTGACAGAGTGAGACTCCGTCTCAAAATAAGTAGGTAAACAAATAGAAATACAAAGATTAGCCAGGTGTGGTGGCACAAGCCTGTAGTCCCAACTACTCAGGAGGCTGAGGTAAGAGAATTACCTGAACCCGGGAGGCAGAGGTTGCAGTGAGCAGAGAGTGCACTACTGCACTCCAGTCTGGGGAACAAAGCAAGACTCCATCCAAAAAAAAAAAAAAGCTAGGGACGGTGGCTCATGCCTGTAATCCCAGCTCCCAGCACGTTGGAGGCCAAGGCGGGCAGATCACCTGAGATTAGGAGTTAGAGACCAGCCAGGCGAAACCCCACCTCTACAAAAAAGTACAAAAATTAGCTGGGTGTGGTGGCAAGCGCCTGTAATCCCAGCTACTCCGGAGTCTAAGGCACGAGAATCGCTTGAACCTGGGAGACAGAGGTGGCAGTGAGCCAAAATCGCGTCACTGCACTCCAGCCTGGGTGACAGAGCAAGACTCCGTCTTAAAAAAAAATAAAATAAAATAGTGTCCAGACACTGTTGTCAAATGTCTGCTGGGAGTCAAAATTGCCCCCATTGAGAATTACTGCAAGACAATACACATCACAACAGACAATAAACCAGCAAACGCCAAAGTCAGGGATCCTCCTCCACTGTGTTCCCTGCTGTCTTCCCAAAGCCTGGTACAGCATGTTGGGAATGGCAGCCACACAGTATTCGTTGGCTGAACGAGTGACTCACCTTCCTTAGGACTTTCATGGCATATATTTTGCCCAAGTTGGTGCCTTGCACCTTTCGCACCTGGAACACCTGTAGGGCAGGGGAGACAGGATCAACTTCCCTCTCCACATCCTATCTTCAAGAAGCCCCACCCTGAAGCTCTGGCTTTGGGATCAGGAGGCCTAGGCCCTGCCAAGGGTGGGGCAGTGAAGATTTCAAGTCCGATTGGAGAGGATTTGGCCTTCCCTCCTTTATGTTTCTGGCTCTGAATCCCATTAGAGGCCCTGCTGATTCACAAGTCTAATTTGTTTTGAGAACCCTTTGCTGCCTCCAGATGGAGGCTGTGAGGCCAGGAGGAGGGTGCGCCCGCCCCTACCTTGCCATAGCCCCCCTTGCCCAGCACACGCAGCAGCTCAAAGCAGTGGGGCCCGATGCGCTCTGGGCCAACGTTCACGCTGGTCTCAGTCAGCTCCACCTCTTCATAGTGTCCCACAGGCCTACGGACACAAGGAGTTAATGAGGACAAGGCTCCAGTGCTCCCCAGTTCCCCTTCCCCACTCCATTCCCCCCTCCCCCAACACGACCCTCACTCACTCTAGGCCAGCTGCCCTCAACTCGGCAAGGGGACATGCGTCCTGTGAGAAACCGAGGGGTAAGAGCCAAGGAAGGTGCCAGGATACCTCCCCGCTCCCGTTCAGGTTGGACTGCGTGGCCCAGGAGAGAAGGGTGTCAGGGATGGCAGCTAGTAGGGGATGGGTAAGAATTGGGAAGAAACCGAAGGCAGGAAAGGGAGAATCGGGAGAAAAGGCTGGGGTTCTGGAAGAGAGGTCGGGGTGAGGGTGGGATCAGAACTTAATAGAGACCGGGATCTGAGAAGGATCTGGGTCTGCAAAGAGTCGGAGCCCGCTCTGGGCGTGCGGAGCCGCCGCTCCGGCCTCGGCTGGGTGACAGGATCGGCTCCAGGATCCAGTCGCGCCAGGGCAGGGCACTCACCGCGGGGCTGAGCTCTGGCTCGCCCTCGCCCTCGCTGCCTTCCTCCGTCTCCAAATCCAAATCAAACACGGCCGCCATGGCGGCGCCGGCCCCGCGGGCCCGTCGGCCCGTACCTGGCCGCGCACTGACTGACAGTCCCGGACCTAAACATCATCTCTCCGCGACGGCAGCTGCGCGCGCCGGTGACGCAAGGGATCTTACTCCCCCTCCGGAAAATCGCTTAGCCTGGTGGGGAACAAAGATGGCTTCCGTCGCAAGGCCTCTCGGGAATTGTAGTCCTAGAGTGGCGAGGCGCCTAGCCTTCAGCCTGCAGAATCCTTTCCGCAGGACCCTCGGTCTTCCCAGCAAGGCTTTCTGGGAGCCCGTTTTGGTTCTACGGTGTTTTGAGTTTGGATGGAGCAGGGTCGGAAGTGTATGCAGGTGTGAATGTAAATGCAATCCCCAGCCCTGTTGGAGACGGGTACTGCCAGGCCGGCTGCGTGATGAAAGGCAGGTCGCGTTGCTTTCGGTTCACTCCAGAAAGGGAGGCGGCTGCATCAGGGTCTCCTCAAAGTGCCTCTGGCTCGAGGACCCTGCAAATCGGAGCATTTACTGAGTGGCCAGCTCACTGCCAGGCTATGTTGCCAGGTTCCCGCCTTAAATAGGGTTTTGGGGGTCAGTGATAGACCTGTAAATATGGGATTTTGTTGGCGTTTACTCCCTTCTTAATTTAAGCACATTTAGGCACCTGGTACAGAATAGACACTTCAAAAAACGTTGTTGAGGCCGGACACGATGCCTCACGCCTGTAATCGTAGCACTTTGGGAAGCCAAGTTGGGAGGATCACTTGAGGCCAGGAGTTCAAGGTTACAGTGAGCTATGATGGTGCCACTGCACTCCAGGCTGGGTGACACAGTGAGATCCTGTCTCAAAAAAACAAACAGGCCGGAGGCGGTGGCTCACACCTGTAATCTCAACACTTTCGGAGGCCGAGGTGGGTGGATCACTTGAGGTCAGAAGTTGGAGACCAGCCTGGCCAACATGATGAAACTCTGCCTCTACTATAAATACAAAAAATTAGACGGGTGTGGTGGCGCGCACCTGTACTCCCAGATACTCGGGAGGTTGAGGCAGGAGAATCGCTTGAACTCGGGCGATAGAGGTTGCAGTGAGCCAAGATTGCACCACTGCGCTCCAGGCTGGGCGGCAGAGTGAGACCAAGTCTCAAACAGATAAAACCCGAAAACCTGGCTGGTCACGGTGGCTCACACCTGTAATCCCAGCACTTTGGGAGGCCGAGCCAGGCGGATCACCTGAGGTCGGGAGTTCAGGACCAGCCTGACCAACATGGAGAAACCCCGTCTCTACTAAAAACACAAAATTAGCTGGGCATGGTGGTGCATGCTTGTAATCCCAGCTACTCGGGAAGGCTGAGGCAGGCGAATCACTTGAACCTGGGAAGCGGAGGTTGCGGTGAGCCAAGATCATGCCATTGTACTCCAGCCTGGGCAACAAGAGCGAGACTCCATCTTAAAAAAAAAAAAAAAAAAAAAAAAAAAAAAAAAAAAAACTTTATGGTTTTTTTTTCTTTGTTTTGTTTAGTTTTTCAGACAGGATCTTACTCTGTCACCCAGGCTGGAGTACAGTGGCAAGATCGTGGCTCATTGCAGCCTTGACTTCTTGGGTTCCAGTGATTCTCCCACCTCAAATCCCAAGTAACTGGAATGACATAATCACATAATCTTTTTTCTTTTCTTTCTTTCTTTCTTTTTTTTTTTTTTTAGAGGGGAGGTCTTGTTTTGTTGCCCAGGAGGCTGGTCTTGAACTTCTGGACTCAAGTGATCCTCCTGCCTTGGCCTTCCAAAGTGCTGTGATTACAGGCATGAGCCACTACACCCAGCAAAAACCAAAAACGCTGTTGACAGAATGAACTTAGGCCAGGCAGGGTCGCTCATGCCTGCGATCCCAGCAATTTGGGAGGCCAAGGCGGGTGGATCACTTGAGGTCAGGAGTTCAAGACCAGCTTAACCAACATAGTGAAAACCTGTCTCTACTAAAAATACAAAAATTAGCCGGGAGTGGTGGTGCATGCCTATAGTCCCAGCTACTTGGGAGGCTGAGGTAGGAAAATCGCTTGAACCTGGGAGGCAGAGGTTGCAGTGAATCAAGATCACGCCATTGCACTACAGCCTGGGCAACAGAGTGAGACTCCGTCTCCAAAAAAAGAAAAAAAAAGAAAGAAGGAATGAACACACTCAACACAGCAAATCTTGTCTGTGACATGTGGTCTGTGACTTTAGATTGGGTATGGATTTGGCGGGGCGCGGTGGCTCACACCTGCAACCCTAGCACTTTGGGAGGTCGAGCCGGGTGGATCGCTTGAGGTCAGGAGTTCGACACCAGTCTGGCCAACATGGTGAAACCCCGTCTCTACTAAAAATACAAAAATTAGCTGGGTGTGGTGGTGGGTGCCTGTAATCCCAGCTACTTGAGAGGCTGAGGCAGAAGAATCACTTAAACCCGGGAGGCAGAGGTTTCAGTGAGCCGTGACTGTGCCATTGCACTCCAGCCTGGGCAGCAAGAGTGAAACTGTCTCAAAAAAAAAAAAAAAGATTGGGTATGGATTCTTATTGGATGGGGATGTGTGGGTGTGAATTTGGGTCAGACCAGGCCTTGGGTGTGAGTTCTGATTGTTGGAGGCTGTCTAGGTGTGCCTTCCATGTGCATAGGGGAGGTTGGGTATGAACTGAGGTGGACAGAATTCAGGGGTCTCCAGGCATGCAGAGGGTTATCTCGTTGAATGTGGCCCTCTGGTTGTAATTCCACCAAAGGAGATCCCCAGGTTCGGGTCTTGATGTGGGTGTAGGGCAGGCCCCTAGCAACCCAGGGCAACTCAGACACCAGGCCAGTGGGGTGGTTTTCCCTTAGCTCCAGATGCTACAAGTATCCCCTACCCGTCTCTTGATCCCCCTTCCCCACCCCCTATCTAGCTGATCCTGGGAGGAGTTGTCCAGTCAAGAGAACCTATCTAGACACTTCACCAGTACATAAGCCTTTATTTGGGGAGGGATGCCTGGGGAGCTGCCTCCAGCTCCTCTGCTGCACAGAGGCAGGATTTCTTAAAGCATCTTCCCTGAATGAGGAAGAGAGTGTAGACTCTCCTCTGCCAATGCTAGTTAGGTGTGCCAGAGGCCAAAGCACCAAAGCTCGGTGGAGAAGGTTTGTGATGCATAGGAGGGAGGTGTTCACGTGTCTCAGGGCCACTTGTGAATGAGGGCAGGGAGGTGAGGGGGGCCTAGAAGCTGAATGGGCATGTAAGACTTGATCAAAACAGAAACCTGGACCCTGCATCATGTCCTGTGACCCGCTCTCCACTGTGGTATAATCCTGGAGCAGTCATTTTTCTTCTCTCAGCCTGTTTCCTCTCATCGGGGGAACATAGGCAGTTGTGTCTGCCTGGGGTGAGCAGAAAGAGGATTACTTCTGTCCACAGGCCACCTGCCTCTACCGGTCAGGCCGAATGAGGCAGGTTGGATGCCACCAAGTTTCCAGCAGGCTTCAGAGCTATCCTAGAATTTGGGTAAGAGGAAGACAAGGGTTCTAGTCTCAGGTTTTCCCAGGATTTGTCCAAGGCTTGGGGCCCAGCCAGGTCCTCTCCTCTTGTAGATGGCAGGAAGAGAGTGAGACCTGGAGAGGTGGACAGGAGGGGCTGGGTTTGGGCCCACTCCCACCTGGGGAGCTGGCGTCAGAGGTGTGTGTGTGTGTGTGTGTGTGTGTGTGTGGCCATTGTCATTTCTCCAAGGCTAGAATGCTGGGGAAGCTGTAGGCTGGACTGGGGCCTTCGGGAGGGCAAGAGGCCCTTGAGTCCAGGATGCCTTGGTGTCTAAATTGCCCTGCTGCTCTGGAACAGACCTAGGCATTGCAGCGGGCCAGGCTGGGGCTGGGGCATGGTGATGGGGAGAGAAGCAGGAAGAGCTCCAGGGAGCAGAGGGCACCACAGTGCCTCCACCCAGCACTGCTTCCCTGCCCCCTGACCCCAGTGCTATTTGAAGTGAGACAGGAAGTGGGCAACAGGGTAGCTGGGCCCATCGATGCCCAGGCCCTGGCAGAGGCCCAGCAGGCGGAGACGGGCCTCGGTGGGGCTGGGTCCGGCACAGGCCACACTGCAGTAGGGCTCCTCATACTCGCCAGGCACCAGGGCCTCCTCCAGCAGATTGAGGCGTAGCAGTCCACGGTCGTGCAGGGCCTGCAGGGTCTCACGGCTGGCGGTGGAACTCAGGGCCTGCAGGTGCTGGGACACAAGGCACATGACGCCCACCAGATGGCCACGAGCACGTGGGCGGGTGGGCAGGGCAGGACGCAAGCCACAGGCCACCATAACAGCAGCCAGCAGCAGGTCAACACCATAGAGCTCCAGGATCCAATCACGCAGGTAGAAGCCACCCATGCGGGGGTTGATCTCGATAAGCCGAGGCCCAGCCCCGGTCAGCTTGAGCTCCACGTTGAAGACTCCATCGAGCAACCCGCAGCCCAGGCAACAGCGGAAGGCTGCCTGAACCATCTGTGCCTCCTGCTCTGGTGCCAGCCCGGTGGGCATGCAGGCCGCCGTCTCAGTGAAGCCAGGCAGCCTCGTAGGGCCATTGTCGGAGACAAAGGCAGCCAGCAACCGCCCACCAAACAACACCAGGTCCACGTCGTGCTCGGTGCCCTCCACAAACTCCATCAGCAGCATGGCATTGCCCCAGCCCAGCCCAATGCCTGGGTGGTCGGCCTCGCCCTGCAAGTCTCGGGTAATCCGGGAAAAGTGCTCATGGCACTGTGGCGCATCCTCTACCAGCCGGACACCCACTGCACCTGCCCCGAACTCCAGCTTCATGACACCTGGCAGGGGTACCTGGTGCACGGCCCTCTCCACATCAGCCTCACTCTCCAGTGGGCAGCAGGGCACAGCATGGAGGGAGGGCGCAGGCCAGGGTGGGCCATGGTGGTGCAACAGGTGCAGCTGGGTGAGGCTCTTCTGCTTAGCCAGGCGCATGGCAGCTGGGGAGCTGCAGGGCAGACCTAGCTCCTGGCAGAGCAGGGCTGTGAGCACCAGGCAGTCATCCCAGTAGGAGAAGCAGCCATCTAGCTTGAGGCCGCGAGCCCGCACCAACTCTGCCAGCAGCCGTGCGTTCTCCTCATCCCTCCGGTGCTCTGTCATGTCAAAGTGGATGAAGGTCTGTACCAACTGGGATGCAAAGTGGTTGGGGTCTGACTCCACGAGGTGCAGCTGCAGAAGCCACAGGGTGGGGCATATCCAGGTCAGCTAGTACTGGGTGCTAGGGGGATAGGATGGGGCCTAGGATGGCCCCTTCAGGGGATACGAGTACACAAACACTAGGTGCTCAATAAATGTGTGTTGTGGATTGACTGAATAAATGGAAGGGGCAGAAGTGGGACACCTGATACAGGCCGGAGGGGAGGGAAGGCATCCTAGAGGAGGCAATGCCTAAGCTGGGAGCTGAAGAATATGAGTCAGCCAGGTGGCTGCAGGAGGAAAAGGCATGTTCTGGGTGGGAGGGGCTGCAGCACAGAGAAGAGGGTGTGAGAGAGCGTGGTGGACTCTTTCCCACAGGCAGCCTCACTGGCCGGGGATTGCAGAGAAACTACCAGGGCTGGGGCTTGGGACAAGTGGTTTGGTCACAATTCACCCCATGTGCTCTGACACTGGGAAGTGTCCACGGAGGAATCCAGTGGGGCCCCGTGCCCCTAAAGCTTACTGCCTGCTGGGGGAACCCAGGGCAGGGCAGCCACTGAAGAGAGAGGGAGGGTGGCTCTCTGCAAAGTAACACAGCCTCGGCAGTGGAGTGACATTCCAAGTGGAGAAAACACTGAGCAAGGCAGGGGACACAGAGGTGGTGTCCACAGGGGGTGCTGCACGGTGGGAGAGGGGAGAGGAGGCCAGTGTGCTAGATTAGGGCCAGCTTGAGATGGCCTCAGTTTTCTTATCTGTTCAATGGGGATAAGAATGTCTAATTGGCTGTGCGCAGTGGCTCACACCTGTAATCCCAGCACTTTGGGAGGCCGAAGCAGGAGGATCGCTTGAGCTCAGGAGTTCAAGACCATCCTGGGCAACAGAGCGAGATCCCGTCTCTACTAAAAATTTTTAAAATTAGCCAGGCAGGCCGGGCTGGTGGCTCACGCCTGTAATCCCAGTTCTTTGGGAGGCCAAAGCGGGCAGATCACTTGAGGTCAGGAGTTCGAGACCAGCCTGGCCAACATGGTGAAACCCTGTCTCTACTAAAAATAAAAAATTAGCCGGACATGTTGGTGCGTGCCTGTAATCCTAGTTACTCCGGAGGCTGAGGCACGAGAATCACTTGAACCCAGGAGGCAGAGGTTGCAATGGGCCGAGATTGCGCCATTCCACTCCAGCCTGGGAGACAGAGAGAGACTCCGTATTAAAAAAAAAAAAAAAAAAAAAAAAAAAAAAGGCCGGGCGCGGTGGCTCACGCCTGTAATCCCAGCACTTTGGGAGGCTGAGGCGGGTGGATCACGAGGTCAGGAGATCGAGACCATCCTGGCTAACATGGTGAAACCCCATCTCTACTAAAAGTTAGCCAGGCGTGGTGGCGGGCGCCTGTAGTCCCAGGTACTCGGGAGCCTGAGGCAGGAGAATGGCGTGAACCCGGGAGGTTGCAGTGAGCCGAGATCACGCCACTGCACCCAGCCTGGGCGACAGAGCAAGACTCCGTTTCAAAAAAAAAAAATTAGCTGGGCATGGTGGCACGTGCCTGTAGTCTCAGCTACTAGGGAGGCTGAGGTGGGAGGATCGCTTCAGCCCAGGAAGTCGAGGCTGCAGTGAGCTGTGATCGCACCACCGCACTCCAGTCTGGTCAACAGATTGAGACCCTGTCTCAAAAAAGAAAAAACAAAAACAAGTCTACCTGCCTGGCTCGCTCCAGATTCTGTAAAGTGATGCCCTGCTATGAACTTGATTCAGGATCTGTATGCGGTTCCCCAGCACCCTCTGCGGGTCCTGGGTGCCAAGTGTCAGGAATTCAACCTCAAAGGGCCCGCCCTTTCCCCAAGACAGAGCCAGGCTCCTTAGCCTGGCATTCAAGGCCCCCACTCTGGCGCTAACGCTGTCCCTCGCCCAGCCCATCTACCCGGGCTCCTCTCCTCTTTCTGTGGAGGACTCCCTGCCCTCCCCAGGGCCTCTCACTCCAGAACTAGCGGAGTCCCCTCACCCTCACCGGGCGGCGGACTCCGCCCTTACTCCTGGGCTTACTTGTACCTGGCCAGGATGCCCCGCCCAAGCACCGCCTCTAGCGCGGCTGGTCCCGCCCCAAGGACGCCCCTTTGCTCCAGGCCCCGCCCCGGGGTCCCGCCTCCACCACTCGGGCCAGGACCTGGGGCCCAGCCCCGCCCCGCGCCCCGCCCACCTGGAGCCCGTAGTCGCGCGCCGCCTCCCACACGAACTTCTTGCTGACGCCGCCAGCGCCGACCACCAGCAGCTGTTTTCCCTCCATGAGGCAGCGCGCCGACCGCCGAAGCATGGTCTCCACCAGCGGCGCCGCCACCGCCTCGTCGGCCGCCGGCCCCAGCCGCGGCGCGGCCCACAGCCCCTCCAGCGCGCCGCACGCCTCCAGACACAGGCCGCCGTTCAGCTCCAGGGCCACTGGGGTCAGCACGCCGCCGGCCGCTGTCAGCGCGAAATCCACGCCTGCGCCGGGCGGGAGGCGCGAGCTCAGCTACGGCAGCCACCGCCCTCCAGCCCCTGGCCCTCGGCTCCCGGCCCCGGCCCCGGCCGCCCTCACTCACCCAGGAAGTCCGTGTGCGCCCGGCGCCCGCCGCGCTGCTCGGCACTCAGGCCGGCCTCCAGAGCCAGCACGGCGGCCAGCGCGGCCTCGGCCGCCGCCTTGACGCGCTGCCGCACAGCCGCCACCTGCGCCTCCTCGCCCAGGCCGCACTGGGCCAGCGCCACCTCCAGCGTCCTCGGCAGGGAGTTGTGGTGCCGTAGAGGGCGGTCCCCGCGGCCCACGCCGCACACCACCTGGGCAGGGGGAGACTCAGGGGGAGGCCCACACACTCCCTGCCCCCCACGCACACCCCCACCGCCTTGTGCCAAAATTCAGACCAGACCCCTCACTGGACATTCAAGAAGCCCCGTCCTCCAACGTGTCTTAAATTGCACACGAGCTCTCCCTGCCACTCCCCATCTGGTCCCCAGACCTCTCCAGGGATTCTACCTACCCAGGCTTCCAGGCCCAGCTGGGGTCCCCCTCCAGGATGGCTCCTGCAGCCCTGGGGGCCTGGGCCACCCTGGTGTGCCCCACCCTAGCATCTCCCTGGGGCGCACCTTTCCCTACCCCACTGGAGCTCCCTGAGGG
The DNA here is from genome assembly GCF_000001405.40 of Homo sapiens. Classification (NCBI taxonomy): domain Eukaryota; kingdom Metazoa; phylum Chordata; class Mammalia; order Primates; family Hominidae; genus Homo; species Homo sapiens. Next base: position 67,420,271 of record NC_000011.10, on the reverse strand, counting down.
CAGGGTCGAATCTCTCCCTCTCAGTGTAGCCTAGAGCGGGGTACTCAGGAGGGTCCGTAAGCCTTCCTGACTCTCCAGCTTAGAGGCCCCTCCTGAAGGCGTCCAGGCACTAGAGGTTTATCAGGAGGCCCTGGGTCAGCCTCTACGTGGGCAAGAGCTCTCTGGGAAGACAATTCAGCCCCCTGGGCCCTGGTACTACCCAGCGTGGGGCTGAGCACAGGGGCAGGGGCTCTTGGTGTGGGAGGGATTCTGGAAGGGTTGCAGGAGAGGGAAGACGGTCAGACCCAGTAGTTTCCCCAGAGGCAACTACGACCCCCCTAAGGATTTTGTCCTCTCTGCCCAGAGACGGCTCAGGGGCCCTTGGCAAACCACTACTGGGACTGGGCTGGCGTGTGGCAGGCAGGGTCACAGCCTGGGCCTGGGCCACGCTCACCTTGCTCAGCAGTGGCCTATCACCCTGTGTCCGACACACCACAGCACAGATTCGCACGGCCAGGCCGGGGCCGGGTGAAGGACCATCTGGGGGAAGACGGGGAGGTCTAAGGCCAGCACAGAGTGGCCAGAAGGCCACACCAAACTCCCATCCCTGGTCAGCCCAGGTGGCTCTCACCTGAGCAGGGCAGCTGGGCAGGTGGGTACACAGCCTCCACCAGGACACTCTCCTCCTCCTCCAGCTTCTCCAGCAGCGCCAGCACTGTGTCCACCACTGCACCCAGCTCTGCCCGCGGGTGCAGACGCCATGCCTGCCGCCCCCGCCAGCGCCAGCCACTGAGCTTCACAGCTACCTGCAGCAAGGAGGGGAAAGGGGCCTCCTGGACACCACCCCAGGTACTGCAGGGTGGGGCACTTCCGCCACAGGAGCCGGTGAGTAAACTGAGGCAAAAGGGCAGGGGATTGCCCCAGAGATGGGGCAGGGCAGCGGCAGGGCTAAGAGGTAGGGACACCTTTCCAGCCAGACTTGGTAACCGTGCCTGGGTCCCATCCTGCTGGCATCTGTACAGACCTCAGGGTGGGCGAGAGTCTGTTACCTGCAGGATATCACCCAGGGCCTCGGAGCGCAGAAAAGCCTCCACTTCCTCTTTCACCAGCGTCTCCTGGCCCTCTTTGCCACTCAGCTCCACCAGCCGTAGCCCTAGGCTGGCATCCCCTCCCCGCAGCAGCCCCGGCGGCTTGTAGGTGAAAGCCAGGGTTGCTGGCACAGCCACACCACCCTGCTGGGCCAGCAACTGCCTTGTCAGCAGCCGGTCCTCCAGCAGCCGGGCCAGCTCAGCCGAAGCTCCTGTGGGGCAGGTCAGGTCACGGGCGAGTTCTGCTGCCTCTCGGCCCCGGCCAGGCCCCAGGCCCAGGCCTGCCAAAAAGTAGGTGGCACGGCGCGGGGGGACAAAGTCATCCAGGAATGTCAGGCCCCCAGGGTGGAAGCTCACAGCCTTGGAGACTAGCAGGGCTGCCTCACCCGGCTGCCCGGGTGCTGGCACCTTCATCAGCCAAGCAGGGGACAGGCAAAGGAGCATGTTTCCTGTGGGCAGAGAAGGCAAGTGGCTGGCCAGGGAAGGCTTGATGCCCTATGCCCGGGCCCCCGGGTAGCGGAGTGGAAGCAGCTGATCCCAGAACCCATCCCCATTCAGCATGGCAGCTGCTCCGGTGGAATGCAGGCAGTTGCCAGGGTTGGCGGGTATTTTGGGATGTGGCTGGGCCAGGGCAGGGCTGCCCTTTCTGTAGAAGGGGATGGGGAAACTTGAGCATACACTCACCCGGGCTCTGGACCCCACCCTCCAGCAGCACAGGCAGAAAGGTGCTGGGGGAGCCCAGAACGCACAAGGTCACCTCCGCCCCAGGACAGCCTCGGGAAAGAGAACATGGCCCAGCTCACCAGGGGCGCCCTTGCTGTCTCTCTGCCCACCTTCCACCACCTCCACACCCACGGCCCCACCCTGAGCCCCCAGAGTTTTCCCAGGAATCGGATGAGACAGGGGACAGGCAGGGAATGGAGGTGCCCGCCAGTCCTGCCCCGTGAAGCTGGTTTCCCCTTTCTGCAGCTGTTCCAGAGGTGCTGTGGGCTAGGTGACTGGAGACCTGAGTTCTAGCCCGAGCTCTGACTTTCTGTGTAACCTTGGAGGAGTCAGTGTTCCTCCAAGCCTCAGTTTCCAAGTTTGTACAATGGGACCAAGTCTGTGATTCTCAGGTATTCTGCCTGTGAACCCTCTGTCCACACAAAGTCTGATATATGTAACAGGCGTGGAGGGGCAGAAGGGGAGGAGTCTGGGGGGTCTCAGCTGCTGAGCTGCCTCCACCACAGCTCCCAAGACCTTTCTCTAGAAGCTTCGGTGCCACACAACGTGGTTTCCCAATCCCAGGGCTGGGTCTTTTTGGGGAGGGGGTGAGGGCAGGGAGCCCAATCCTTGACCTCACTGGTGCCAGATGCCCTTGCAAACAATGTCCGCCTACCCTAGGCCAACTGGCTGTGCCTTCCCTGCCTTCAGATGGAACCAGAGCCTAGGGGAAGGGGCCGACCTTGACAGGGATGAGCAAGCAGACTGGGCTGAGGGCCCCTCCCTGCCCCCAGAGGTGCCTCCCTCCAGGGAGCCCTTGGGCACCTGTGCGGGGCACCTGGCCGCGGTCCTGAGTCTCCGGAAGGCCAGCTTGCTGCAGACAGCTCTGCAGGAGGCTGTAGTAGTAGACAGTCCAAGCCCGGGCCTCGGCCCCCTCGGGGGATCCCTTGCAGTCCAGGCCCACGTCCTGGCGCCAGGAGCCAGGGAAGCAGCCTGTGGGCGGCAGGCCAGAGCCCCCTCCCCAGGGGCCCTCTTCCTCCAGGTCCTTGGAGCCCAGTGGGCAATCCCACTCGGGACCCGATGGATCCAGGGAGAGCTGAGAGGGCAGAAGTGGTAGGTCTTGGGCAGGGTGGGCCAGTGGGCACATTAAGTCACCCAAGGGTGTAAGCCCCCCACTCTCCCAGCCTGGGCTATGTTCAGGGCTGACACCGTCCCGGGGACTAGGAGAGGAAAGGCTTGTGTTGGGGGCGAAGGCTTGTTAATGGGAACGCAACCGTGGGAGTGCTTTGTAAACTGTTCTGTGTGGTGCCCCTGGGGGGAGGGCAGGAAGCAATGTCTTGCCAGCCAGCCCCTCCCGCCCCTGCCATGCTGGGCTCCGCCTTAGCTTGCTTCACAGCAGCAGAGTTTTCTGCTTGTTTTGTTCATGGAGGCAACCCCAGCACCTAAAGCGTGCCTGGCACACAGCCACTTCTCAGTAAGTGTTTGTTGACTGAAGAGTAGATGAATGAACGAACCCAGCCATCACTCTGAGGTGGCTTATTTCTGTCTCATGACCCGGCATGGAGTGTGCTGACACCTAAATGTGATTCCACTGTCATCCCCACGTAGGTCTTGAAGCCCTACTGTGTGCCCAGCCCTGGGCTAAACATTAGGAGGCTAGACAGTATCCCCCCTGCAGATATTTTGAGTCACGGAAATGCTTTCTTTGGATGAAACCTAACGTCCCTCCCCTCTCTGAGGCTGGCGCCCCCCCAATATGGGGCTGCTGGGAGGCTTCGTGTGAATGGAATTCTTGTTCTTTGCAGTCCCCAGGCCTGGACAGGCCTGGCAGCTGAGTCTGTCCTCCAGGGGACAGGCTCGGCCACCTTGAGCAAGTCGTGAGGTCTCTTTGGACCTTGTTGCCTGGTGCCTGCCCTCTCCCATCCCCTGGGGGCTGATGAGGCTGGGACGAAGAGAATCTCTTGGTTGTTGGGAGATGGTGTGCTGTGGCCCAGACGGCAGAGGACTGGGCCTCATGCCTGGGCTCGAATCCCAGTTTGCCAGGGCCAGAGCCTCTGTGCCGTCTCCTAGAAGGTGAGCTCCCTGAGGGGCCATGGAATGAATGAATGTCACAGGGCACTAAGAGTGCCCACCTCCCAGGATGCAGCCGCAGGGTGGGGGTGGGGGAGCTGGTCGTGGGTCTAAGCTGTCTGCAGGGGGCAACTCCCAGGCTTAGGTCCTAGGTGCTGCCTGCTGTCCTCTGGGCCCACTCTCTGCCCAGGGACTTGGGCCTTGTGGGGGAGGGACCACAGAAGACTCACCATCTCGTGGGTGGAGTGGCTGAGAGACTGATGGCAGAGACAGAGGGACAGAGAGACGAAGGAGTCAGGGCAGCCAAGTCCCTGCCTGGCCTTCCAGCCCCTAGACTTTGGGAGTGGAGAGGTGGCCGACACCTGTCCCTGCAGAGAGAGGCCAAGGCAGCCCCACCCCCACCCCGAAGGTAGGGAGGGATTTCTGCTGCCCAGACCGAGTGGCTCCTGCCCCAGTGCGGCTCACAGGTCCTTCCTGCCCTGGGGTCCGGGCTTGGCTCTGCCCCTCCAGCGCGGGGGGGAGTTGGGGGCACCGGGTCCCGGGGGTGGGGGGCGTAGCGTCGAGGGTCCCGCCGCGGGGAGCGGGCGCCCGGGGTCCTCGTCCCCGCGACTCCTGCCCCGGCCGCCCCCCTCCCTGGCTCTCCCCGGGGCGGGGCCGGAGCTGGGGTACCTGGCGGCGGCAGCGGCTCGGCGGGCGTGGCGGGCGGACTCGGACCGGGCGGGATGCAGCGGCGGCGGCGGTGGCAGTGGCACAGCGCCCGGCCCAAGCGGCGCCGCTTTATATAGAAACGCCTGGGGCATGCCCAGTGCCCAGCGGGGGCGGCGCGGGGCGGACGGACCGACAGGGACCGATAGGGACCCGCCGGGGACGCGCCCCCCCCCCCCCCCGCCCGTCAGCCACGAAAACGTCCCAGACCTGGGGGCGTGTGGCGGGACACGGACCCAGCAGGAGGAGGGCACGGAGCAGGCAGGGAGAGACGGGGGTCTTCAGAGACACAGAGGAAGTCCCGACAGAGGGCCAGGTACAGATGGACAGGGACTGTCGTCGAGGGTCACAGACGTAGGGCTGCCATGAAGAAAGAGGGAGGCCCACCATGGAGAAGAGATGGAAAGGAGGGGCGGGGAGAGCCGGAGCAGGCAGAGACTGGTACTAGGGCCCGCCCTTAGGGGTGGGGTGCCCGGGAGAGCAGCCTGGAGCACACAGCCCTGAGCCCTACCTTTGGATGGAGGCCGGAGGTCCCAGCCCTGCAGCTTTCTGTCCCAGCTGCCAGCGCTTTGCCCTATTGCACGTTCTCCCAGAGAGGCCCTCCTGGGCCAGGGTCTCCACACATCTGTGCAGCCCCCTCCTCACTTCTGGACCCAGTGGACTTGCACACAGGGGCCAGGATGTCTATAAGATCCAGCCTCTCCTGGTGCGGTGGCTGCCTATAATCCCAGCACTTTGGGAGCCTGAGGCAGGAGAATTGCTTGAACCCAGGAGTTTGTGACCAGCCTGGGCAACATAGCAAGACCCTGTCTCTATAAAAAAAAAAAATTTAAACTAGCTGGTTGAGGTGGTGTGGGCCTGTAATCCCAGCTACTTGGGAGGCTGAGGTGGGAAGATCACATGAGCCCCGGGGGTCGAGACTGCAGTGAGTCCTGGTTGTGCCACTGCACTCCAGCCTGGGCAATACAGTGAGAGCCTATCTCTCTCGCTCGCTCCGCTTTTTTTTTTTTTTTTTTTTTTTTTGAGACAGAGTTTCAGTGTGTCGGCCCAGGCTGGAGTGCAGTGGTGTGATCTCAGCTCACTGCAACCTCTACCTCCCAGGTTCAAGTGATTCTCCTGCCTCAGCCTCCTGAGTGGCTGGGATTACAGGCACACGCCACCACGCCTGGCTAATTTTTGTGTGTTTAGTAGAGACAGGGTTTCGCCGTGTTGGCCAGGCTTGTCTTGAACTCCTGACCTCAGGTGCTCCTCCTGCTTCGGCCTCCCAATGTCCTGAGAATACAGGTGTAAGCCACTGTACCCAGCCGAGACCCTATCTCTCTCTCTTTTTTTTTTTTTTTTTTTTGACCCTATCCCTTTTTTTTTTTTTTTTTTTTTTAAGACAGAGTCTTACTCTGTCACCAGGCTGGAGTGCAGTGGCACAATCTTGGCTCACTGCAACCTCCGCCTCCCCGGGTCCAGTGATTCTCCTGCCTCAGCCTCCCAAGTAGCTGGGACTACAGGTGCGAGCCACCATGCCCAGCTACTTTTGTTTTGTTTTGTTTTGTTTTGTTTTTGAGATGGAGTTTCGCTCTTGTTGCCCAGGCTGGAGTAGCTGGGATTATAGGCATGCGCCACCATGACAGCTAATTTTGTATTTTTAGTAGAGACAGGGTTTCTCCATGTTGGTCAGGCTAGTCTCGAACTCCCGACCTCAGGTGATCTGCCCGCCTCAGCCTCCCAAAGTATTAGGATTACAGGCATGAGCTACCGCGCCCAGCCCACCCAGCTAATTTTTGTATTTTTAGTGGAGACGGGGTTTCATGATGTTGGCCAGGATGGTCGCAATCTCCTGACCTCATGATCTGGTCACCTTGGCCTCCCAAAGTGCTAGGATTACAGGTGTGAGCCACTGCACCTGGCCCCCCTATCTCTTTAAAAAAAAAAAAAAAGAAAGAAAAAAGAAGAGAAAAGAAAGGAAAAGAAATCTGCTCTGCTTATCAACACCCACCCAGGTCAACTTCACACCCGGAGTTGAAGCTATAATCTCCCCAAGACATACATACTCACACCCAAGTGTACCCACCCAACCACAGAAGCATACCCCAGGAGACCTGGGTCTCAGCCACAATTCACCCACAGAAGCACAACCAGAGATTCACCCCCTCTCCTGGAGTGTGTCCCACCAGTGGGTTTCAATCCTAGCTCTGGCTGTGGGACCTGGGCCCCTCCCCTTTGTGATCTGAAGCTCACTCTCCCCAGCCTAGAATGGGGCTGGTTTCCCTCTCCTAGGCAGGGCAGCCTATGGCTCTAACTCCTCCCTCTCACAGTCCCCAGTCAGCCCTTCTCCCTGCCTGTCTCGCAACTGGACACATATTGAGCCCTGGCTGTCCTTGAGAGCCTCCTGGCCTGGGGGAGAATACTGAGGGGCCCACACATGTCAGGGACAGAGATGACAGCTGTTGGACCCTTTCTGCAACTATATACAGGGCAGTCTGTGCAGACCCATCCCTGTCTACCACTGGAGAGGGTCGGCAGAGAGGGGAAATGGCTTCTCCAGGATGCCCAGTCCAGCCCACATTCCCCACACAACTTCCAGGCCCACGTGCAGCCCTCCCTACAGCTGGTCCAGGCTCCAGGAATGAGGAACCAGCCCCATTCTAGGCTGGGGAGAGTGAGCTTCAGATCACTAAGGGGAGGGGCCCAGGTCCCACAACCACCCCAGGAGACCCAATCGCTTGCCACCTGGGTGGCCTGAGCGCCCATGGGGTCCCACTGTGGGGCCTGGGCGTGATCCAAAGAGCATGAGCTTTGACATTTAACATTTAACAAGCTCTGCAGCCCTGGGGACTCAGTTTTCTCATCTTCAAATGGGGATACAGTGCACACTCAGCCCAGGCTTAACACTTCACATGCAAGGGAGCAATTATGAGACTGAGAGAGGTCGTGTGACTTGCCCAAGGTCACACAGCTGGTGAGAGGCAGAGCCGGGATCTTCTGCCAGAATGCGTGCATGCATGCACAGAGTGCTGCGGCTGTGCCCTCTCCTAGGCCACCCTGTCTGGTCCCTGGCTGCTCTGGCTTTTGCCTTGTGGATACAGGGAGGAAAATCAGAGTTGGGCAGCTGCAGCCCAAGCTCAGGATCCTGGGACTTGGGGCAGGCAGGTGGGCGGGTGGTTCTGCTCTGCCCCTGCCAGGAAAGCCTGGACATCACCTGAGGCTAGGTAGGGGTGGGGTGAGGAGAGGCAGTGCTTTGGCTGCTGTCCCGCTGGACTGAACAGTCATCATCATCATCATCATGAGCTGGTAGAGCCCTCTTGAGGCTGGGGTGGGGGCTATTATAATCCCATTATCCGCAGGAGAATACTGAGGCTCAGAGGAGAAGAAAGGGCCTTTCCCATGCAGGTGAGTCCAAGTCTGACCCCTCTGGGAGCCTGGAACAGTGTGGGAATTCAGGGAACCTCAAGTGGGTGGCAGGGCAAGATGGAGACCGTGGGTCCTCCCCGCCGATCCATGGCAGGCACCCATTTGTCCTGCTCCACTCCTTTGCATGCCCCCACTCGTGTCCACTCTGAGGCAGGCTGACAGACATCCCAGGGGCCCTCCCAGCTTCAGTCCCCACACACTGAGTCCTCTCAGATGCATCACTTCCCTTCTCTGAGCCCCCTTCCAGGCAGATCTGTAGGGACTTTCTAGGTTCACTGAGCATGTTTGTGTAGGTTGCTCACTGCACAAAGGCACCTGGGAGAGAGATCACACCCCACTCTGCTACACCGTGCACTCTGGTGAGGCTGCATGTTGCCTGGAGGAGAGACGTCTTTCCCTAGCTGGCAAAAAGGTGCTGTGGGGGCCGGTGCAGCCCTGCGGAGGAGAGCCTGTGAGAACGCATGTGTGCGAGGGTTCACACCCGGAGGGCACTGGGCCTCTTCTGTCCAGCCTGTGAGTTAGGGCTCCCATGCAGGTGACTGATAAGGAAACCTACAGAAGAGCTGCCCAGAAAACAGTCTCCTGAGTAGGAAAGGCAATGACTGAGCCCCAGCTGGAGGGACGCTGCTGGAGACCACCGGCTCCTAGGGTCTGTGTCCAGGGTGAGCCACTGCCACCGCGCCCCCGCAGGCTCATGACAGACCCTCGGCCCAGGGCTGAGGCTGCTGCACCTTGCTCCTCTATTCTCCCAGGCAAAGAGCTGAACTGTGGAGGGCGGGGAGCTCCCAAGTGGATTTCAGGGACAAGTGCCCCCTGACCCCGGCCACCCTGCCCGCTACAGTGCCTGAGATTCCACCAAGACACTCCTCGTCTAAGGATAAGGCATAGTCTACACAGCACAGAGCCTTGCCTCTGCATTCCAGCCGGCTCTGCCTTTCACTGTGGGCCTGGGTGAGGTCCTTGTCCTCACTAAGCCTGTGTCTCTAACAGGGATATCAGGGGCCACCTGCAGAGAGAGGGCCTAGGGGCGGGGGGTCTGGGAAAGGGTTTTGTAAACTACAGGTAAGGAGGCTATTATTAAGTTGCAGGCACCCCAGCGGGGTAAGGAGGAGTGGGCAGAGGAGGCTCTGGAGCGCGCTCTAAATCACGGGAGTCTGGCTATTGCCTCATTCACACACTGAGGGGCTGGTGCAGGATTGGGGGTAGAGCGGGGAAGGAGCAGGAGAAAGCACTCCCAGGGGGCTGCCCAGGGGGGAGCTGCCAGTGGTTGGGGCAGGGCTAAACCTTGGGTCTGCTATGGATAGATAGTAAGGCTTTCTGCAAGTTCCTGCTCCTCCTGAGCCTCAGTTTCCCCCGGAGAAACGACAGATAAGGAAGGGTCTGGGCCGCCATGATTCCCTCTTCCAGGGGTTAGGCTCCTTGGGAGTAGGACAAGTCTGCCCAGGACCCAGGACCTGGCACTTGCCACATAGACGCAGCCTGTGGCCCTGTCGCAAGAACATTCCAAACCCAGAGTCTGACAGGTGACTCCACTGACACCCCACCCAATGGCCACCCCTGGAGCCTGGGCCTGCAGATGCCTCCCATCCATATGGAGTCCTGCCGTGTTCCCCATCGAAGGGAGGGCACTTGGGAATGGACACTGCGGGACACACGCCTGTGTCGGAACCAGCCCTGTTGCCCTGGCGATGGCTCAGGTCCTGGGCACCCACGGGGGCTATTAGTGAGTGTGGGAGGGGGTTTCCATGGTGGCGGTCCCGAGGGGGCAGACGCAGGGCCCAGGGAGGGGTGAGGGCTGGCGGGACCTTTCTCCTTTGTCCGAGGCACACTAGGCCTTTGTTCTTGCCTGGATCCCTTTGACAGATGTGACTAGAACCATGGGTGCGGGGAGGACTTGGGTTAGAGTCCCCCATCCCAGCGAGTACTGAACCACCCTGGAGGGAGGGGAAGGAGGGCAGAAGAGGGGGTAGAGCCCCTGGACTCGCCATCCACTGGGGCGCCCTCCTCCTGCAGGTGCAAAAGCCACTCCTGTCCCCAGAGGCTGGGCAGGGCAACTTTCAATTGGCTCTTATTACTGTAAACACCTTCCCCAGCGGCCAGTGGGCAGCCTCGGTGTGTCCCCAGGGCAGGACCAGGAGAGGGCGGGGCTGGGAAGGGCAGATGAGGGAGGAGGGGAAGGGGCTGCCTGTCTGGGGTTGGGAGGAGGGCATTTGATCCAGCGCCATCCAAGGCATCTGTTCAAGAAGATTTTATTCCTGGTGCCCTCTGGGGTCCCTTGACTCAGCCAACCCCTTCCCTGACTCCTTTGGTGCTGGCTTTGGTACTTGTGAGGGCCTGGGCACCAGGACGGTTCCATGGGTCCTCACGTGCCCCACTCTGTGACCCTCCTCCATGCTAGTGCCTGACCCAGTATGTACCACGGAGGACCTCCTCCTTCCCCACTGCCTGGTCCTTGCCAGGAAGGAAGCCAAGTCCCCGAGTCCCAAGAGTAAAGTGCGGTGCCTATTTGCCGGGCCGGCATCAGCCATCAGGCAATTGAGACTGGGGGACACTAAGTCCATGGTCCTCTCAGAAGCGGGTGTCCAGGAAGGAGGTGGAGCCTCGTTGGGGCCTGGGGGGCCCCTCGATGGGGGGGCCCCGGGCCCGAGTCAGGAGCCCATGGAAAGTCTTGCCGCGGGTCTGGGGTTTCCGCCGCGGTGGTCTGGGCTCCTCCGGGGGCTGCACCACAATCCGAGGCACCTCAGGCTTGGCGCCTCGTCGCACTCCTGCCAGCTGCTGGGCCTCAAAGATGGCTTGGGCCCCGGCGAGGCGGACCTGTGGCCGGGGCGGGGGTCCCGGCGCGGAATCGGGCAGCTGGGCCAGCTGGGCCTTGATCTCCCGCTGCAGGTCCCGCTCTGACAGCACCACGCTGTGCACCTGTGGGGAGCAGTTGGTGCTGCGTTTGCCCGGCCTCAAGGCAGGAACAGGAAACTGTGAGGTCCCCAGCCCAGGAAGTGGCTGAGGACTGAGGGGCTGACAGCCTCACTGGGGAGCCACAGAAAGCCACTGGAGGCCTCAGGTTTTTGTGTTCTCTGAAGCTCAGGGGACAGGAACTAAGTCCCCATTCTCGCTTTGGCTTCCTGCTCTGGGACTCAGTTTCCCCCGTGCAGCAGGGGCTGGGCAAGTCCAAGGAGAGGTGGGGGTACCCACCTGTGACATGAAGGCCTCCTCCTGCAGCTGCGCGGGGGGGATGGCTCGAAGGGCTCCCAGTGTCTCCAGGAGGCCAGGGCAGGCCCCTCGCTGCTCTGCAGTGCCCAGCGCCAGGCGCACCAGTGTCAGCCCCACACGGAACAGTACTCTGGCACCTGCAGGCCGGGGGCTTATTCACTGGGAGGCCGGCCCTGCCCCTCCACAGTTCTGCACCCAAACCTGCCCTCAGCCATATGCCTCCCACTCTCCTGCAGCTCTGCCCTCCCCGGTTCAGGAACAATGACAGAGGGTGGAGTTGCATTTCGGGTAACACAGGCCGCTGTACTGGCCAAGTTAGCCTCAAGAGCCACAGATGCTTTGGGGAAGAGTTACTATCTTGTGAATTTGGTTACTGTCGCCTCCCATCCCCACCCCCGCCAAAATGAAGGTCTTGATCACTTGATGCTCAGATGCCATCCATATCTGGAGCCAGCAAGCACCCAGCAGGTGCCTGTGGGCTCCGGGGAGGAGCACCTCCTACCCTCCCTGAGCCAGTCAGGCCTCCATGTGCTATGATCACCCAGCTCCTACCCCAGGCAGCATCCGGGTGACAGGTGATGTGCCACCAGGCACAGGGCCATCACCTTCAGCACACCTGGTCCCATGACTCGAGGCTCCAAAAGGGAACCCTGGAGCTGGTGAGCTAGCTCCCTGTCCACACCCCAAGGCTCCAGTCCCCTCCAAGCCACCAGCTTCCTGCCAGGAGCCCAGGGCTACTGATGCCTTCACACCAAGCCCTCCCTGGGCCTCAGCTTGCTCATCTCCATGATGAAAGGTCAGGTGGAGCCCTTTAAGGGCCTTTCCAACTTGGATCTGTGACCCTCTGATTCTAGAAAGATCCTAGGCAGAACTGCTCTTCCCTAAGCCAGGAGCATAGCACTCAGTGCACACTCCCCACAGTGTGAGTTTGGGCTAGTCCTGGAGCCTCAAAATTCCTTCCTGGCAGCCTCTGATCTGAGAAGAGCCACCAGGGGACCAGCGAGGTTGAGTGATGATGGTAGGAACAATCACTATTCATACTATCGTCCTTCTGATAAAGGGAGCCTGTGTAGTGTTTGCCCCCAGGTGGGCAGGTCAGGCCCTGCCCAGCTCTGCCCAGCCCTGCTCTCGAGGTCTAAGGCTGGTTGGAAGGTGACCGCATGGATAGCGACTTGGACACCTGTGGCCAGAACTCTAAGTCAGCCAGTGGTCCTCCGCTGTGCGGAGGGCAGGAAGCCGGCTGAGCACACGACAGGCATTCAGTATGCACAGTATGCATATGCTGACTGATTTCTACCACGTTTTAAGGTGCAACCTCCAGACCTCACATATAGAACAGAATGCAGGTGGGTTACCGATGGCAGTATCAAGGCAGAGTCCCAAAGACACAGGGAGTCCAGCTTGGCTCTGCTCCGACTCCCCTCCTGTTCTTGGCCTGGCCCCCAGCCTCCACCTCTCTGGCTTCATGGCTCCAAGCCCTCCCTGCTTCGTAGACTGTAGCCTGGCCCCTGGGGACAGTGGCCTCTCTGGCCCCAGGCCTCCACAGCCACCCCTGTGAGTCCTCCTCCTGCACAGAGCAGCCAGAAGGAGCTTAAATGCAGCCATCGCCCCTGCACTCCCCTGACACTCCCTGTCACATCCCTTGTTTTATTTTCTTCATGACACTTCTGACAATCTATAAATATCTTGTGAATTTGGTTACTGTCGCCACCCATCCCCACCCCCGCCAGAATTGAAGGTCTCGATCACTTGATTCCCAGCTGCAGATCCACGTCTGGAGCCAGTGAGCACCCAGCAGGTGCCTGCGGGCTCTGGGGAGGAACGCCTCCTACTGTCCCTGAGAAGCTCAGGCCTCCATGTGCTGTGATCACCCTGCTCCTGCCCCATCTGCCTCCTCTGGAAGCCTCCCTGGCCCAGCTCTGCACCAGGCGGTGCCTGGGTGATGGGTGATGGGTGATGTAGCGCCAGGCACCAGGCCATCACCTTCGGCACACCCAGTCCTGTGATTTGAGGCTCAAAAAGGGAACCCTGGAGCTGGTGAGCTACCTCCCCACCCACACCCCAAGGCTCCTGCCCCAGCCACTGGCTGCCCCACTCACCCTCACTGAGGAAGGCATCCCAGACACGCAGCACTGTGGGGAAGGGCAGGGAGCGGGCGAAGAGGCACAGGAACCACTCGGGCAGGTACAGCAGGGGTCCGACGCCCACCTGCTGCAGGTGCTTGTGCACGTGCGGAAGCAGCCGCCGCAGCAGGGCCATGAACACCTCGGCGTCCAGCCGCACAGCCTCCTGTGGCCACGTCCATCAGCAGGCCAGCACCGCCACCCCCAGAGCCCAGGCTCAACCTCCCTCAGTCCCCAGACCCCCACCCACTCACCGGGCCCCTGCCCCTCCTTCCTCCAGCCCCCATGTCAGCCTCTCACCATGTGGGGCCCGTAGTACCCAGGGAGGTAGACCTCACAGATCTGCACCAGGCACCAGAAGGCCTCCTGGGGAAGGGGCAGGGCACAGGCCTGTAAGTGCTCACCAAGGAAGGGACCGTGGAGGAGAAGGCAGGACAGGGGAAAGGAGTGAAGGGGAGGGCCTGGGCACCACAGGGGCCTGCACTCAGGGCCACTCCTAACCTGCGCAGTTCCTGGAAGCCCTTCCCAAAAGCCCCCTCCTCTGCCCAAGACAGGGTCTGCTGAGGGGTTTAGGGTGTTGGAAATCACAGGGCTCATGGTGTTAGATTTGAAGGTCACAGGGTTGGGGTTCACTGGCCAAGGGTTGGGAGTGTCCCAAAGTTCAAGTCCTGGGTTTCTGGGTCTTTGGGGTTGGGGTCGCAGTCCCCAAGTTCAGAATCAGGAGTCGTGGGGTCAAGGTGATAACATCCAGATTCCTAGATGACTGGGGTCAAGGCTGGGGTCAAGGGTCCCAGGTTCCTGGAGTCAAGGTCATTAGGCTTGAAGGTCACTGAGGCTGGCAGTCATGAGGACCTGGGTCACTAGGACAGGGTCCAGGAATCAAGGATTGCAGGTTTCTGAGGCCACAGTTCCTGGGGATGGGGTTCCCTGGGCCTAGGTCACTAGGGTTCCCAGAGCAGGGTCAAGGTCACTCACCTCTGGGGGCAGGTGCATGAGCAGCACAGCAGCCACGGGCCCCTGGGCCTGGCAGTAGCCCTGCTCCGGTCGATACAGGGTGTAGGCCTTGAGCACCTGCAGGAGCCCCTGCTGCCTGTGCCGGAAGACCCCATAAGGGGCCAGTCCTGCAGGCACCCCCTTCTCCACCCTCTGGGGGCCTCTGCCCAGGCCTCAGCCTCCCTGGGCCTTCCTGGGTCCCCTGAGATGCAAGACTGTAGAGCTGGGCTAGGGAAAGTGGGCTGGAGCACCTGGGGCTTGTGGGGCTGGGGGTCCCTGGGCATCACCGGCCTCGTACCCGTGGCCCTGAGGCGACACAAACATCTCGTGCAGAGGGAATTGACGGTGCAGGTCCCTGCCAATGGTCTCCATCCACTGTGGGTCTCCAGGGGCCTCTGCCAGCTCCTGTGGGTAGCCAGGAAGGTGGGTGTGAGGGTTCAGTGTGGTGAGGGGCTCTGGGTAGGGGAATTGGGGCCCCTGCCCACTCCCTCACCTGATAGGTGCCAGGGCTGTTCTTCTGGCACACATGGGCCCCACACAACAGGGGCCAGCATCGGGCGCGCAGGGCAGACGGGATGCCTTTCCGGCACTGCATCTTTACCTGTGGGTGAGGCCAAGGGCTCCACTAGGCAGCCTCCATAGCTCCTGCTGGCAGGCCCCAGGCACAGCTCATCAGCAGGCAGGGGCCCACTTTGGGTGGCAGGGAGCAAAGGCCGGAGGTGCTGGGACACAGGGTGGGTACATTTTGCCAAGATGTGGGCTGAGGCAGAGAGGAATGAGCCATGGAAGCCAAGTGGGGCCCCTGCCCCCCTCACCTTCTTGTACCGCCGGGACATGGTTTTCTCCCAGTGCGAGGTCATCTCCACCCACTTCATCTCCCGTTGGCGGATGAGGTCTGCAGGTGGGTGGCCCGGCCTGGGGGTGCATGGCACAGGTATCCAGACGCTGGGCAGCTGTTACCCAAGGCCCACACTGCCACCCTCCAGGCTACCCAGGTGAACCCAGCTCCTGGCCCTAGGGATCTCTGGGAGCCCTGTGGGGTGACCTGTGACCCAGGAGCTGCCAATGCTTGTCACGGGGACAGGAAAGGATGTGGCTCCGACGTGGGCAGAAGCAGGAGACTGAAGGGGTGAGTGGGTGTGTATTGGGGGAGGGACTGGTTGGCTGTCACCCAGGACAGGGACACAGACAATTCATAGGGGAAGCTGGCTGGAGAGAGCCCTGGACTGGAAGCCCAGAGTCCTGAGTTTGAGTCTGGGTCTGTGTCTGATCTGTGTGACCTGGGGCAAGTTTCTGTCTATATCTGGACTTGTGTTTCTGTCTGTAGCTTGGGGAAAGGGGGAAGGAGGAGGTATGGGTTCTGTGATTTGGATCTGGGATTCCTGAGCCAGAGGTTCAAAGGGGAAGGATGTTCTGCCCCAGTAGTGGGTGCAAACCCTCGGAGGCTGGGGGTAAGAGACGTACAGAGGCCTCCCCGGACCCTTCCCACCTTAGGGTTCCACCTGGCACCTGCAGAGGGGTGCTACTGGCTGAGTCCCCCTCCCAATCCCTACCACCAGACCCTCCCGGCCTCCCTCCAGAATTCAGCCCTCAGCCCCCTGTCCTCTGTCCCAGCATTCCGCCAGCCCTCACCCTGCCCCCTTACCCTGGCTCTGCTGAGCTGCCCCCAATGAATCCATAGCGGTCGGCCTGGCGATATGGGCCAGGCCCGCTGAGCTCTGAGTCGGACCCCAAGGAGCTGGAGTCATCCTGCAGCTCGGGAGGCTGCACCAGGTCCTCCCCCAGGGCCTGGGCCATGGTGCCCGGGGCCTTCGATGCCACAGGCAGAGAAAGTGGGGAGAACCAGTGTGAGGGGCCACTCCCGGCCAGCCTGGGGCCTGGCTGCGGGGTCAGAGGGGGGAGGTTTCAGGGTATCTCACCAAGCCCCCTATGTCTCCTCTTTTATGGGGGCAGGGGCTAGGCCCTGCCCTGACAGAAAAGCCAGGCCTCTGTCCGGAGACCCAGCCCCAAGCCCTGCCCCTGTCCCCACCAGCCCAGCTCACCTCCCGCAGCACCTCACCTCCTCCTCTCACTTCCTCCTCCTCCTCACACAGCTTTGGCAACCGCTGGGGGCCCCTCCCAAGGGTGGGGGGTGTCACCCCTTCCTCTCTGAGGCTCTTCCTGCCTGCCCCAGTGCCCCTGAGCTGTGGGCTCCTCCCACCTTCCCCATGGCCCCAGTGACTGCAGGCTTGAGTTCCTGTGCTGGTGTGGAGGGCCCAGGACTGTTAGACGCAGGGGCCGGGCCACCTCCAGTTCTTTTGTTTGTTTCTTTTGAGACAGAGTCTCGCTCTGTTGCCCAGGCTGGAGTGCAGTGGCGCGGTCTCAGCTCACTGCAACCTCCACCTCCCGGATTCAAGTGATTCTCCTGCCTCAGCCCCCCAAGTAGCAGGGACTACAGACAAGCACCACCATGCCCGGCTAATTTTTGTATTTTTAGTAGAGACAGGGTTTTTGCCACATTGGTCAAACTCTTGACCTCAGGTGATCCATCCACCTCAGCCTCCCAAAGTGCTGGGATTGCAGGCATGAGCCACTGCGCCTGGACTTCATGTTTGTTTCTTGAGACAGGGTCTTGCTCTGTCACCCAGGCTGGAGTGTAATGGCACGATCTGGGCTCACTGCAACCTCCACCTCCTGGTCTCAAGAGATCCTCCTGCGTCAGCCTCCACAGTAGCTGGGACTGCAGGCGCGCACCACCATGCCCAGCTAATTTTTGTATTTTTTGTTGAGACAGGGTTTCGCTGTGTTGCCCAGGCTGGACGCAAGAGACCATCCCGCCTTAGCCTCCCAAAGTGCTGGAATTACAGGCCTGAGCCACCACGGCAGGCCCACTTCCAGTTCTGAGGTTACTGGCATGTAAAGCACCAACTCAGGGTTCCAACAAGAATTAAGGTTCATTTATCGTCTGCTCTTCTTTTTTTTTTTTTTTTTTTTGAGACAGTCTCGCACTGTCGCCTGGGCTCCACTTCCCAGGTTCAAGCGATTCTCCTGCCTCAGCCTCCCAAGTAGCTGGGATTACAGGAGGCTCCCATCATGCCCAGCTAACTTTTTGTATTTTTAGAGAGATGGGGTTTCACCATGTTGGCCAGGCTGGTCTCGAACTCCTGACCTCAAATGATCCGCCCGCCTAGGCCTCCCAAAGTCCTGGGATTACAGGCGTGAGCCACTGTGCCCAGCCACGTCTGCTCATAAAGTAATTATTTTTATGTGCACACCCTGCAATATTACTGTGCTACTCAAAAGCTAATTATGGGGCCAGGCTTGTTGGCTCACGCCTGTAATCCTAGCACTTTGGGAGGTCAAGGGGGGTGGATCACTTGAGGTTAGGAGTTCAAGGCCACCTGGCCAACATGGCGAAACCCCACCTCTGCTAAAAATACAAAAATTAGCTGGGCACAGTGGCGCACGCCTGTAATCCCAGCTACTCCAGAGGCTGAGGCAGGAGAATCGCTTGAACCCGGGAAGTGAATGTTGCAGTGAGCCAAAGTCGCGCCACTGCACTCCAGCCTGGGGGACAGAGCAAAACTCTGTCTCAAAAAAAAAAAGCGAATTATGGGACTTATAAGAAAATATTAATTTAGCATGCCCCAAGGACCAAAGTGCGCTGGGAATTCAGCCGTAGCTGTCTTTGAGTGTGGTCAGCCGCCTGGGCGCCACAGAGACCCACGAAGAAGTGGGGGGTCCTCCGTGAATGCGAGGTCCAGGCTGTTTTTATCTCTTGAGCCTCAGTTTCCTTTCCTGCACTTGGAGCAGTTAACCCTCAGTGCCTAGCAGCCGGTTATTAACATGTTCACAACACCTTCCACCCAGGGAAGGGGTGGGAAAGTCTGTTGGGCTTTTGAAAGAGAAAAACAACTTCCACAGTCCTTCCGGCCCCACATCCTCTGAACAGGGCTGGGCGCCTCCTCTGGGGCGTAACCAGCTTGGTCACGCCCCCGACAGACCCCGCCCCCAGCCCGCCGCCGAGGCCCCGCCCCCCGGGCCGCCGCGCCTCACGTCCAGCGGGGGCGCTAGAGGGCGGGGGACTGGGCGGGGCGGGCCCGGGAGGCCTGGAGGCGGGGCCGCGGGCCGGGGGCGGACTGGGGCGGGCGGAAGGAGAGCCAGGCCGGAAGGAGGCTGCCGGAGGGCGGGAGGCAGGAGCGGGCCAGGAGCTGCTGGGCTGGAGCGGCGGCGCCGCCATGTCCGACAGCGAGAAGCTCAACCTGGACTCGATCATCGGGCGCCTGCTGGAAGGTTGGTCGGGGCGGGGGAGGCCCGCGTCCGCCGCGCCCTGGCCCCCTGCCCGGCCCGGAAGTGGCGCGCGGGCGGGCCCCCGGGGCCAGCTTAGACTGGGCGGGGACGGGCAGCGAGGTTCCGTGGCCGCAGCTGCCCCCCCGCGGACGCGCCTGAGAGGTCCGGGGCCAGCTCCGACGCGCGGAGCAGCTCCCCCCCTCTCCCGGGCTGGGGGCGCACGGGTTGCCTGGGCTCTTGGGGCGAGGGAGAAACCCGGGAAGCCCGGTCCAGGAAGGGGTCCTGCGCTGTGAGGTTTTTGGTGGCAGCCCCCTGCGCACGACAGTCGCCTCCCGAGGCGCTGAGGGTAGCTGGGGGCTTCCCCTGGGAGGCTTGAGGCCGCGGTCCCGGGAGGCTCAGCAGCAACAGCTGCCTGTGGGCAAGGAGGGGCCGAGGAGGCCTAGGCGCCCCCGGAGGTATCCATGGGGCCACCCGTGTCGCCCACCCTCCTCCTGTCAGGGTCCAGGGTCCTGACACCCCATTGCGCCCCAGTGCAGGGCTCGCGGCCTGGCAAGAATGTACAGCTGACAGAGAACGAGATCCGCGGTCTGTGCCTGAAATCCCGGGAGATTTTTCTGAGCCAGCCCATTCTTCTGGAGCTGGAGGCACCCCTCAAGATCTGCGGTGAGCCCCCGGCCCAGGTCCCCTTGCCTTCCTAAAAGTGGCACTGGACCCCACAGAGTTCCTGGAGCCCTCCTCCCTTGAGCGCAGTCCTGGCCCTG
Source organism: Homo sapiens (assembly GCF_000001405.40). Classification (NCBI taxonomy): domain Eukaryota; kingdom Metazoa; phylum Chordata; class Mammalia; order Primates; family Hominidae; genus Homo; species Homo sapiens. Next base: position 67,400,969 of record NC_000011.10, on the reverse strand, counting down.
GGTTCAGGTCTAGACCTTGCATCTAGCTTACCCGGTTCCCTGGGTCACAGGTGACATACACGGCCAGTACTACGACCTTCTGCGACTATTTGAGTATGGCGGTTTCCCTCCCGAGAGCAACTACCTCTTTCTGGGGGACTATGTGGACAGGGGCAAGCAGTCCTTGGAGACCATCTGCCTGCTGCTGGCCTATAAGATCAAGTACCCCGAGAACTTCTTCCTGCTCCGTGGGAACCACGAGTGTGCCAGCATCAACCGCATCTATGGTTTCTACGATGAGTGTGAGTGGTCTGAGCGTCTGGGGCTGCCCGGGTCCTGAACCGCACTCTTTGCCATTCAGTGGGACCTTCACATTGGCCTGATATCTGACAGACACTTGATAGACTGTGCGCTCCACGAAGGCGGGGCCCAGGTCCGTTCTCGTGCCTGCCCTGCCCCTCCTGGCATGGGGTCTGGGGAATGGTTGCTGACTGAAGGGCTGCCCGGATTCTAGTGCTTTCCCCCAGGGCCCTGCCTGGTGACACTCCCCCTACATTTGCTACTAAGCACTTAGGATGTTTGCAGATGGGCTCTGCTGTCCAGAAGCTGAGATAAACCAGACCTGGACTTGGCCCGGCTCATGGGTGGGGGCATGCGAGGAGTGCCAACCCTGAGGCTGGTCCAGATTGGAACTTAGTTTCCAGTGGACTCGGGTGCTTTAGAATTACTTCTGGCAGGAGGCCGAGGCGGGAAGATCCCTTGGACCCAGAAGCTCCAAGTTACAGTGAGCTATGATCTTGCCACTGCACTCCAGCCTGGGTGACAGAGCAAGACCCTGTTTCTTTACTTTTTTGAGACGGAGTTTCACTCTTGTTGCCCAGGCTAGAGTGCAATGGTGTGATCTCGGCTCACCACAACCTCCGTCTCCTGGGTTCAAGCGATTCTCCTGCCTCAGCCTCCCAAGTAGCTGGGATTACAGGCATGCGCCACCACGCCTGGCTGATTTTTTTGTATTTTAGTAGAGACGAGGTTTCTCCATGTTGGTCAGGCTGGTCTCGAACTTCTGACCTCAGGTGATCCGCCCGCCTCGGCCTCCCAAAGTGCTGGGATTACAGGTCTTAGCCACTGCGCCTGGCCAGATCCTGTCTTCTTTAATTAAAATAAAAAGTAACTAGAATTGCTCCTGGAAGGCTGACAGGTGGCAGGGGTGGGGGGTGGTTTGCATCGGTGCCTGACTCTCTCCTCCCAGCCACGGCTGAATAGCCCAGGGACCCTGGCTGAGGGTGGGGTAGGCAGGCACCTCACAGCCACCTCCCCCTGGGCAGGCAAGAGACGCTACAACATCAAACTGTGGAAAACCTTCACTGACTGCTTCAACTGCCTGCCCATCGCGGCCATAGTGGACGAAAAGATCTTCTGCTGCCACGGAGGTGAGGGAGGGGATGGCTGGGGAGGAGGAGCACTGGCCGCATCCCTCAGCACCCGGCAGCTCTCCTTAGGTCTCATCTGGGAAGTCACTCCTTCCAGGAAGTGTCCCCCATACCCCACTGTGCTGGGCTGCACTCACTTCCTTGATGTGTGTCCTACATGGAGTGGGCTTGTCTCCTTTCTCCCGGGAGCTCTGTGCTCCTGAGGGCAGGGATGCCTTTGTGCCTGTTTGGGAACTTGAAAAAGCTGAGGGGAAGGGGATGACTTCTGCCTGTCTAGGCGCCCAGGAGACCAGTGGCGGGACCAGGAGGGTGGTGGGAAAGGTGGGGTTCATTGGCCAAGGCTTCCTGGAGGGAGGATGTCCTTGTTTGAGGAAGTGACCTTCCCCCGGCCCCCCAGGCCTGTCCCCGGACCTGCAGTCTATGGAGCAGATTCGGCGGATCATGCGGCCCACAGATGTGCCTGACCAGGGCCTGCTGTGTGACCTGCTGTGGTCTGACCCTGACAAGGACGTGCAGGGCTGGGGCGAGAACGACCGTGGCGTCTCTTTTACCTTTGGAGCCGAGGTGGTGGCCAAGTTCCTCCACAAGCACGACTTGGACCTCATCTGCCGAGCACACCAGGTGGGCTGGTGGCTCCGGCCTGCGGCAGGGGAAGGGGAGGGCCGTGCCTGCGCTCGGGACTGACTGCTCCCATCCTCGCCCAGGTGGTAGAAGACGGCTACGAGTTCTTTGCCAAGCGGCAGCTGGTGACACTTTTCTCAGCTCCCAACTACTGTGGCGAGTTTGACAATGCTGGCGCCATGATGAGTGTGGACGAGACCCTCATGTGCTCTTTCCAGGTGAGTGTGGGGAAGAAAGGAGCCGCTAGGCCCTGTGGCTCAGCCCCATGAGCCTGACCAACACTGTCTCTTTTAGATCCTCAAGCCCGCCGACAAGAACAAGGGGAAGTACGGGCAGTTCAGTGGCCTGAACCCTGGAGGCCGACCCATCACCCCACCCCGCAATTCCGCCAAAGCCAAGAAATAGCCCCCGCACACCACCCTGTGCCCCAGATGATGGATTGATTGTACAGAAATCATGCTGCCATGCTGGGGGGGGGTCACCCCGACCCCTCAGGCCCACCTGTCACGGGGAACATGGAGCCTTGGTGTATTTTTCTTTTCTTTTTTTAATGAATCAATAGCAGCGTCCAGTCCCCCAGGGCTGCTTCCTGCCTGCACCTGCGGTGACTGTGAGCAGGATCCTGGGGCCGAGGCTGCAGCTCAGGGCAACGGCAGGCCAGGTCGTGGGTCTCCAGCCGTGCTTGGCCTCAGGGCTGGCAGCCGGATCCTGGGGCAACCCATCTGGTCTCTTGAATAAAGGTCAAAGCTGGATTCTCGCCATGGCCTCCGTCTCACATCTAAGACACTGCCTGGCAGCTCTTCTGCACAGAGCCGCTTGGGAGTCTCGGCACCGGGCCCCAGCCAGGGCAACCCTAGCCACACACTCGGGTCCAAGGCTCTTAGAATTCCAAGTCAGCGCCAAAGAGTATCAGGAAAGCAAGGAAAACTTGTCAGCTCCACGGGGGTCCCAGATGCATGCCCAGGACTTCAGGAAGGAACAGGTCATGATTGGCAGAGAAGCTGGATCACCAGGGGCCAGCAGCACCTACTATGACATTTTCCTTAGGAAGGTGAGCCTGAGGGAGACAGGTTTCCAGCCTTGGCCAGCTGGAGTATAGCCTGAGGCTCAATGAGAAATAAGAGGTAGGAACGTCAGTAGTTCAGGGCCAAGTCTGGAAAGTCCTGATTGGCTGGGGGTTGTGGGGAGATAACGGCCCAGGCCCGACCGCTGTGGGACAGCTTTACAGTGACAGCCAGCTGGGGCCTGCGAGAGGCAGTGAAACAGCTCAGCTCCAGCAAGCCCACCTTTCTGATCCCCAGGGCTGAGAGACCCAGTTCTGCCACTGGCTGGGGCTTCGTCTAGTCCAAGGCCTCTGGGTACAGGCTTCAGGTTCTTGGTTCAGCCTTCACCCTCACTGTCTTCCGCCAGCACAGGGCTGGGGCCCTGGGGGGAGCGTACAGGGGCCAGGATGGAGCCGAAGAACAGTGAGCGGAACTGGAAAGAGAACAAGTGAGTTCTGGAGGCTGCTCCCTTCCCTACCTCCCACCCCTGCCTCCACCTCCAGTCCCTACCTTCTTGGGTGGGGGAGTCCCAGGCACTGTACTGGGCTCAGCCTCATCTTCCTCCTCGGAGTGGGGACCGGGGCTCTTGGGGGGCTGGGGGCCAGGTGAAAGGGAAATGGAGGGCAGCACCCGCGAGCCCTCATTGCCTATAGTGGTTTCCATGGCGATCATGTAAGAGTCAATGTCGTCATTGGCAAAGTCGTCCGGGTGGGGTGTGCTGTAGGCAGAATCGGAGTATCAGGGAGGGGACTGGGGGAGCAGAGGCAGGGCCCCACCTTGGAGGGCTCGAAGGGAGCTCTGGGGCCCCCGACCACTGGAGATCTCTTGGTTTTATGACTTCCTGATTTGGCTGGAGAGGAGAGGATGCAGGGGTTAAGTGGTGACTTCCTGGAGGGGGTGGGCCAGGAATCTCTTTGATCAGAATTCAGGTAGGGGCCTGAGGGAGGCATCCCGGGGGCTACCTTAGCTCAGCTAGGAGGGAGGAGCAGCAAGTCTTATGAACTGGGCCACATGGAGCCCAAGCCCCCACCTTCCCAGGGGACAGGAGCTGGAAAGCACAGGAGCCCAGGGACAGGCTGGGCTGGGGGCCAGCCCCAACTTCCTGTGCTGAAAGTGCACTGGGCCATCCTCCCCAGCCCACCTGCCCTTCCAGCCACCTGCTTCCCCCAGCCCAGGCAGCTCCTGCCTCCCAGCAGCCCTTTCCCTCCTTGGCCTGGGAGGAGGCTCAGAGGGGCGGCCTCAGCCAGAGAAGGAAGCTGGCAGGGCCTTGGGGATGCTTCCCTGGGTGGGAGGGGTCTCTGAGTACAGCTAACCGAGAAGGCTGAGTCTGCAGGGCTGGCAGCTGTGAGCACTATAGGGTTAGGGGCTGGGGCCTGATAGAAAGAGAAGGGGCGGGAGAGAACACATTGCGGGGAGGTGCAGAAGCTAGGAGTTGCAGTCTCAGGCTGGAGTGCACAGACATGGAGAGAGGAGGAGTTGGGGGGAGGTGCCCTCACCTGTGAGCCTGGAGCTGAGGCACTGGCTGGTGACGCTCTGGGGAGCCCAGGTCCTGGGAGTGCGAGTCGGTGTCTGAGAGTGTGGCCAAGACAAAGTGGCCGTCCAGCAAAGAGTCCTTGATGGTGAAGATGGCGGGCCTGGGCAGGGGAGGGGGCCCAAGCTAGGTCATCCCATTCAGCTCCTGCCATCCCAGAGCCCTTCCCTGTCCCAAGGCTGGGAACTACCTGCCTGGAGCATCAAAATGAATGCTAAGATTCAAGTTTGCTGACTCTGCAAAGCTCAGGAGCCCCTGGGAGGAAAGAGGTAGCAGGTGAGGCCCCGGGCTGGGCTGAGCTGGGCAGGGAGGACAGGACGGCGAGCGCCTGGGAGGAACCTCACCCGGAATTCCTTGAGGCAGAAAGTGATGGCCACCCCTTCCTGGGCCTGCAGCTGCTGGAAATCCTCCTCTCCAAGGCACATCTCAGTCACCATGGCTTTGGCAGTGCTGTCTGTTGGGGAAGAACAGGAGTAACCTGGGCCCCGCCCCTCTCCCACCTGCCACTCTGCTGTCCCAGGCCACGTCCAGCCCCCTCACCTGCCTCCTCCTCGTGGTAGCTGCGCAGGATGACCCTGCGGCCACGGCCAATGCCCAGCGTCACTTCAGCCAGTGCAGGAGAGAAGGGCAGAACAGCCTCCCCCAGAACCCTGTGAACAGGGTGGAGCATTACCCGAAATGCCTGGCCCTGCCCAGGGCTTTGCTCTCGGAGGACCTGAGGTGGGGGTGACACATGCACACGCACGGATGTGCGCAGGCCTAGCGCACCGTGGATGAGGCCCAGAGAAGGTGGCAGGGAGGGGACTGGTTGCAGTGGTTGCTCAAACCTGGCAGGCGGCACCTGACCATGCAGACCAGGGAGAGGGCCCAGAGGCAGGACGTGGCACTCAGGCCACCCTACAAACCCGGCCTTCAGAAAGAGCCCTGAAATCCTTATCCTCTAAGGATACCCATTGACATACAGATGAAATCACATCTGGAAATTGTTTCAAGTCAAGTGGGGACGGGAGCTGCGTCTGCTTTTACATATATTTGAAATTATTCATGAGACAGAGTGCTTGCTTCGGCAGCACATACACTAAAACTGAAGCATGCAAAAGATGAGCAAGGCCCCTGCGCAAGGATTTAAAAAAAAACAGTGGCTCATGCCTGTAATCCCAGCACTTTGGGAGGCCGAAGCAGTGGATCACTTGAGTTCAGGAGTTCGAGACCAGCTTGGCCAACATGGTGAAACCTCGTCTCTACTAAACATATATAAATTAGCCGGGCGTGGTGGTGCATGCCTGTAATCCCAGCTACTCGGGAGGCTGAGGCAGGAGAATCGCTTGAACCCGGGAGGCAGAGATTGCAGTGAGCCAAGATTGCACCACTGCACTCCAGCCTGGGTGACAGAGCGAGACTCTATCTCAAAACAAAACGAGAGAAACAATTGCTCATTTTTAAAAAAAGAGACTGAGTGTGGTGGCTGACGCCTGTAATCCCAGTACTTTGGGAGGCTGAGACGGGCAGATCACCTGAGGTCGGGAGTTCAAGACCAGCCTGACCAACATGGAGAAACCCTGTCTCTACTAAAAATACAAAAAATTAGCCGGGCATGGTGGCGCATGCCTGTAATCCCAGCTACTCGGGAGGCTGAGGCAGGAGAATCACTTTTATCGGGAGGCGGAGGTTGTGGTGAGCCGAGATCGTGCCATTGCCTGGGCAACAAGAGCGAAACTCTGTCTCAAAAAAAAAAAAAAAAGACACCACCCTAAATGCAGACCAAGGAATTGGCCCCCGTCTCTCACTACCCAAAAGAGCTCTGAGCAGTGCTGGCTCAAAAGAACCTGGGGAAACAGATGTCAGGACCCAAAGGGATCTTCAGTCACCCTGAGAAATGAGCAGGACCTTGGGCCACTTGAATGCAAGCAGTGACCAGCATGGAGCAGGGGGAGAGCCCACTCCTCTCTGAGCTGGTCCTCGCCAGGGACGTTTGCTTCAACTGGAGTCCCCATTTCCCTGGCCCCAGACAGCCCCCAGTGCTCGGACTGCCCAGAACAGCTCCACCCCATAGCTGATTATTCAGCCTCCCTCCAGCCTCCTGCCCTGGCCTTGGGGACTCCTCGATCCTGGGCAGTCAGGAAAAGAGGCTGCCGTTGAATGGGGAACACCTCTGGAAGGATGCCCAGGCCGGAGAAGGGGTCTGAGCCTCTGAGCCACAGGTTATGGGCAGACCTTCAAGGTTACTCAAGCCAGACAAGAGATTTGGTGGCAGGCCAGAAATGTGCTCCCTAGAGGAGGAGTTGGAATGGGTTTGAGCAGCCAGAAAGTCAAGTCAGACCTTTGGGATGGAGAATGCAGGCTCCTAACAGTAAGGAGAATGGAGCAAGGAGGCGCCTGCCCCTCCTCCATGCCACCGTCTGCCTTTAAAGAGCCAGGTAAGGACCTGAGCACATAGCGGGCCATGGGATGTCTTTGAGGTTCACAGAAACTCTGTAGGGAAAATGAAAGAGGTACCTTCTAAAATCAACCCCTTGGGGCCCCAAAGAAGGAAGAGAGAGACCCGGGGCTGAGCTGAGGGCAGGGGTGTGCTCACCGTGCTGGGGCGCGGAGCATGTGGGGGCACGAGGCTGGGTCGAAGACGGCCTGCAGGGACTCACAGTCCTGGAAGGACAGGTTGTGAGTCTTCCGCACCCCTGGATGGGCGATAGGGTCTCAGTGGGCCTCGCCGACCTCCCTGCTGAGGCACCCCTTGGCTGGCCGGCTGCCCACTCACCGAACTTGCAATGCAGCTGGACCACCAGGCGGCTGCTCCGGCCATTCAGGGAGATGCAGCATTTTTCCACCGTCTTCTCCAGCATCGCCAGTGAGCGGAAGACAGACAGGAAAGACTGCATGGGATAAGACACCTCAGCCTAGCATCACATCTCTGCAACAAGCTCTCCTGTCCCATGCAGGCCCACACCCATCATGGGCCCAGCATGTAACTCTGGGAAAAGGGCTCCCACGTCACCTCGGGCACTGGCATCCTTCTAGGCCTCATTCATGCTCTTCCTTATGCTTGGAATGCCTTGAAAGACCTGCTTACCTTTTTTTTTTTTTTTTTTGAGATGGAGTCTCGCTCTGTCACCCAGGCTGGAGTGCAGTGGTGCGATCTCAGCTCACTGCAACCTCCACCTCCCGGATTCAAGCAATTCTCCTGCCTCAGCCTCCCGAGTAGCTGGGATTACAGGCGCGTGCCACCACGCCCAGCTAATTTTTGTATTTTTAGTAGAGACGGGGTTTCGCCATGTTGGCCAGGCTGGTCTCGAACTCCTGACCTCGTGATCCGCCTGCCTCGGCCTCCCAAAGTGCTGGGATTACAGGCGTGAGCCACCGCGCCCGGCCAAAAGACGTGCTTACCTTTCTTGACGAACTTGAGCGTCACCACCCTCTCAGGTCCCCGCTGTGATGCTTTTACCATGGCCCTCCCTGTGTTTTGCATGGATTGGGCTTGCACGTGTCTCTCTCCCCACTTAGCATCTACTGAGTACCCCAGGGCAGAGGCACAGCTGGTGGAGATTCCTGGGGTGGAGTAGTGCCACTGCTGAGGGAAGGGCCTCACCTTCATCAGGATCTTACAGCGCAGCAGGTCCTGACCAGGGGTGGCTGCCTGGTATTGCTGGAAGAAGAGCGGGGCAAAGAGAAAGCAGGCATAGGCAGAGCGGGAGGAGTTCACCGTCCGGAGGGAGAGCTGGGCCACGAAGAGCAGGGAGAGGGACGTGGTCAGGGGGCAGCCACAGACCCAGCCCTCTGGCTGCTTCTGCTCACACACTTGCCCTATCGTCCTCCCGCTCCGCCACCACCTGCTGAAAAACCCTCCTTTCCCCATGGAAGCCTTCAGAGTCGGCCCCGGCGCTGCTGCCGCAGAGGAGGGGTCGCACACCCAGGCCTTCCCCGAGTTTCTCTAAGTGCACGTCACCCCCTGGGAGCTCGCAGGACAGCTTTCCTCAATTCACACACCGGCCTGGGAAGATGACAGCCGCCAGACTAAGAAACTGAAACTTTGCCGACAAATCTGCCAGCGGTCATCCCGCCTAGTGGGGGCGAGACTCTAGTCCGGGTTACCCGCTCCCGGCTGGAGTCCCACCCGCCCCCCACACCCTAGCCCCTCACCCCGTCCTCCAAGGGTTCCAGGTAGAGCTCGTCCCCGATGCGGGACAGGGAGTGGACGGCCTTGCCGAGCACTGCGGGGAGAAGAGCGGAAGGGGGTTAGGCTGGCGGCTCCGCGGCTGCTGCACCGCCGCTGCCAGGCCGACCTGCACTCACCCTTCACGTTGCCGCCCGTGACCAGGCACTTCATGCTGCCCCAGCGCTCCGCCAGCGGCCAACACTGCCCAGCTCTCCGCGACCTCCGGGTCCGGGGTCCCTTCCCGCGCACCGCCCCTGCCGGCCCCGCCCCCGCCTCCCCATTGGTCCACGTGCAGGCGCCTCCGTCACGTGAGAAAAACGCTCACAGGCTCTGCCGTCACGTGACGGCGCACGTTGTCCGGGGTGTCACGTGACCGGGGAGGCCCGCGGCGCCCGCCAGCCAGCTGCTCCTGGCTCCCCCGGCACGCCTCGGCCTTCCGTGCCCCTGGAGATCGGGGCGTTCCGCGGGCCGCGCACCGGATTGCGAAGGTCAGAGAGGACGCAGCTGTGGGGCGCGAGGTCCCTGTGCAGTGGACCGAGTGCTGGACTCGGAGTCGGAGTGTGGGGGCGAGCTCTCTGGGGTCACCCACTTAGTAGAGTTCCCGGGCGTCTGCCGGGGGATACAGGGTGCAAGCAAGACCATCGCACCCACTCTGGGCCTGAGACTCGGACTCCAGCAGCAATCCCCAACTCTAGAAAGAAGTCAAAGCAGCTTGCTTGCAGCAGCCGGGAGTGGGAGGTGGCTGCTCCTTCCGGCTTCGAGGATCCTTTAAGGAAAAACGGCAGTTTCTCCAGGCAGAAAGGGGTAGAACGGTGCCCCTGGCAGAGGGAAGAACAAGAGTAAATGCTCAGCGGTGTGGGCTCCGCCCCCTGGAGAGGGGAGTAGGTCTGTGAGTCTCAGAGAGGCGTAGGGGCCGCCAGATGATGAGGGGCACCGCTGGGACGCTCTGGAAACGTTTTACGAGGGTAGATCGTGGTTATGTGCCTTTTTTTGTTTGTTTGTTTTTTGAGACATATTCTTGCTCTGTCACCCAGGCTGGAGTGCAGTGGCGCGAACACGGCTCACTGCCGCCTGGAACTCCTGGGCTCAAGGGATCCTCCCATCTCAGTCTCCTGAGTATCTGGGACCACAGGCACACCCACCACGCCCGGCCCTTTTTTTTTTTTTTTTTTTTTGGGTAGAGACGGAGTCTTGCCATGTTGCCCAGGCCGGTCTCAACTGTGGGGTTCAAGCTGTCTTTCCGCCTTGGCCTCTCAAAGTGGAGTGAGCTACTGCACCGGCCTGTTTTTTGTTTTTTGTGTGTGTGTGTGGGGTTTTTTTGTTTGTTTGTTTTGAGATAGAGCCTCGCTCTGTCGCCCAGGCTGGAGTACAGTGGCACGATCACGCCTCCCAGGTTCAAGCGATTCTCCTGCTTCAGCCTCCCAAGTAGCTGGGATTACAGGCGCCTGCCACAACGCCTGGCTAATTTTTGTACTTTTAGTAGAGACGGGTTTCACCATGTTGGCCAGGCTGGTCTCGAACTCCTGACCTCAAGTGATCCGCCCGCCTCGGTCTCCCAAAGTGCTGGGATTACAGGCATGGGCCACCGCGCCCAGCCCCGGGTCTGTATTTTTAAAAGACCCCAGACTGGCCGGGTACGGTGGCTTACGCCTGTAATCCTACCACTTTGGGAGGCCGAGGCGGGCGGATCACGAGGTCAAGAGATCCAGACCATTCTGGCCAACATGGTGAAACCCCGTCTCTACTAAAAGTACAAAAAGTAGCCGGGCATGTTGTCACGCGCCTGTAGTCCCAGCTACTCTGGAGGCTGAGGCAGGAGAATTGCTTGAACCCGGAGGCGGAGGTTGCAGTGAGCCGAGATCGCGCCACTGCACTCTAGCCTGGCAACAGAGTGAGACTCCATCTCAAAAAAAAAAACCAGACTGTGTGCCAGGTGGGGATGCATCAGCTGGAAGGTATTCCCCTTCCCCTGGGCTTCCGGGTCCACGTGTGTAAAATGTAAGGGAGTCCTGGAGAAACTCACTGACCCCTACTCTCCCCACAGTACCAAGGCTCTGGTAGTTCTTGGAAGGGCCCAGGGCATCCCTGTATTCCTGCAGGGCCTGCCCGTGCCTTGCCCCTCAGGTCCTGTGGTAGTGCAGAAGATATATTTATCTCTGCCACCCTTGCTCTCCAGACCCACTTTCAAATGAGTTGAATTGATACATAATAATTGTACACATTTGGATACATGCATACACTTTGTTTCTCCCTCTCCTTCCCTTCTGCTCCCCTCGTCACCAGCCCTTGCCCCTTCCGTGGAGCCTTGGGGGAGGAGGTTACTCTTCCCTTCCCCTTCCCGGGGGATCCATGGAAATAGTGCCCCTGTCCCTGGGCATCCGGCTCAGTATGCTGGAGTCATCCTTGACCTCATGCTCGCCCTCACCCCTACACAGTCTTTCAGTTAAGTCCTGACCACTCTGCTTCCCAAACAGGTGGCAACTTAACAGGTGGCAACTTTGCCCTCCTCTTCCATCTCCAAGGCCTAGGCCACCATCCTCTCACCTGGATGACTGTAACAGCTCTCAGTGGTCTCCTGCCTCCACCCTGCCCCCTCCAGGCCACTCTCCATACAGCAGCAAAGTGACCCTCCTAAAATGTCCATTGTGTCATGCCTCTCCCGTGTTTGCACACTCCAGTGGTTGCCATAAAATCCAAACTCTGCCCTGAACCTGCAGGAGCCGCCGCCACCCATTTCTCCACCTGTGGCCTCCCCTTGATCACCTGCACAGCCATGCCAACCCTGTGGGCTCCCTGAACCCTCCACTTCCTTTTCCACCTGGGGATTTTAGCACATCCTTAGCTGTCCCCACCACTTGGCATCGTCTTACCCCTTCTAACGTGGCGGTGCTTCTCTTCCTCCAGGCTCAGTGCCGTCTTTTCTGCCCCCACCAGCATCCCATTACACTCTAGCTAGACCCTGTTTTAGCCACAGCACTTATCACGTTATTTCATGCGTGTGTTTGCCTGTTTAACATCTGTCTTCCTCACTAGTGTGTCTGCCTCACAAGGGCAGGAACCATGTCTGGTTTTTGGTTTTTTGTTTTTTCTGAAGACAGAGTCTTGCTCTGTCGCCCAGGCTGGAGGGCAGTGGCGCGATCTCGGCTCACTGTAACCTCCGCCTCTGGGGTTCAAGCAATTCTTGTGCCTCAGCCTCCCAAGTACCTGGGAATACAGGTGTGTGCCACCACGCCCGGCTAATTCTTGTATTTTTATTAGAGATGGGGTTTTGCCATGTTGGCCAGGCTGGTCTCAAACTCCTGACCTCAACTGATCTGCCCGTCTCAGCCTTCCAAAGTGCTGGGATTACAGGCGTGAGCCACTGCACCCGGCCTTGGCTTTGTTTTGTTTGTTCTGTTTTGTTTTGTTTGTTAAGATGGGTTCTTGCTTTGTCACCCAGGCTGGAGTGTAGTGGCACGATCATAGATCACTGCAGCCTCAACTTCCCAGGCTCAAGCGATCCTTCCACCTCAACCTCCCGAGTAACTAGGGCTACTGGCGCATGCCACTACAGCCAGCTAATTTTTTAAATGTTTGTTAGAGACAAGGTCTCCTTCTGTTGCCCAGGCTGGAGTTGAACTCCTGGGCTCAGGCGATCCTCCTGCCTTAGCCTCCCAAAGTGCTAGGATTACAGGCGTGAGCCACCACACCCAGCATCCATGTCTGTTTTGTTTGTTGCTGTATGTACCTCACACAGGGTCTGGCACTCAGTAAATAATGAATAAATAGGTGTTACATTTAAAAATGTGTAAACCAGCCGGGCGCGGCGGCTCATGCTTAATCCCAGCACTGTGGGAGACCAAGGCTGGTGGATCACTTGAGCCCAGGAGGTGGAGATTGCAGTGAGCTGAGATAGCGCCACTGCACTGCAGCCTGGGTAAGAGAGCCAGACCCTTTCTCAAAAAAAAAAAAAAAAAAAAAAAGTAGGCCGAGCGCTATGGCTCACGCCTGTAATCCCAGCACTTTGGGAGGCCGGGGCAAGTGGATCACCTGAGGCCAGGAGTTTAAGACCAGCCTGGCCGACATGGTGAAACCCCATCTCTACTAATAATACAAAAATTAGCCAGGCATGGTGGCACGTGCCTGTAATCCCAGCTACTCAGGAGGCTGAGGCAGGAGAATCGCTAGAACCTGGGAGGTGGAGGTTGCAGTGAGCCAAGATCGCGCCACTGCACTCCAGCCTGGGCAACAGAGTGAGATTCTGTCTCAAAAAATGAATGAATGAATAAATATCTGTAAACCATTCCTGTTGACAAAGGGCATGGAAAAATAAGCAAACAAACAAATAAATAAATCAGCGTGAGCCAAATGCAGCTGAGATGTCTCTAAGTCACTCTTAGCACAGTGCTGAGAGAAACATCCAACTTCCAGCCCTCCACCCACAGTCCCATCTGTCCCTGCTTGACAGTTGTCCCCATGCTCTCAGCCTCATCCTGCGCTCTGGACCCCTCCCCCACCACGTGTAAACCAGGACAGCCTTCCCACCTCTGCCTCATACTCATTACCTGAGCAGCCGCCTGGAATAAGGGTAGATGCCGAAGCTCCGTGAAGGCAAGGGAGGTGGAGGCTGTGAATCTTCACACAGTCCTGTTTCTGCCCCTGACACCTAATGGGGTTATGGGGTTCTATGACCTTGAGGACCCTAGGCAGAAGAGAAGGGACACATAAGCTTTTTTTCATATGTTTCATATCTGTCTTCTCCACTAGTGTGTCTACCTCACAAGGCCAGGAACCATGTCTGCCTTTTATATCAGCCAGGGGCAGGTGTGAGCCACTGCCCCCAGCTGACATACACTCTTTCGACTCGTATTGAGTAGTTTTCAGTCACCCTCCCACCCCCTTGCCAAAAGTCAGAACTCGTTGGAACTTTCTGAAGGGCTTAGAACAGCAAGAAGCCTAGAGCGGGAAGTCGGGAGCTGTGGTAGGATACGTCCCTGCCCCCGTGTGATTTGTGCAAATCCCTCCCTGTCTCGGCTGCTTCCTCATCTGTATGATGTGATGGTGGGGGCTGGGGAGAGTAGGAGGTACTCACTGAGGTCCCTTCCAACCTTGACATGCTGTGATCCTGAAGGGGCCCCGAGGCTCCCCTATGCCCCTCATCCACCCCAGCTTGGGGGAGAAGCTGTCCTGCCTCCCCCGACCCTCTGGCCCCTGGGCTGTGGGGCTGGAAGGTAGCTTTCCAATCTGAGCCAAGGATCCCTTCCAGGCCTGCATTTGGCATATCCAGTAACCCACTTCAGGTGCAGAAAGGGGGGCACACAGGGGGATACCAGGAGCTGGGAGCTACCAGGAACCCTGTGTGTGGGTGAGAGATAGGTACGGGAACCCCAAGAGGACCTGGGGTCTGTGCTGAAAGTCAAGGACCTGGATGCAGCTTCAGCCCTACTCAGATGGCATCAGGCCCTTGTCTGAGCCTCAGTTTTTTCCTGAATAAAATGAGGGCCATTCAATGAGATGCTCTTTCAGATTCAATGAGATGCTCTTTCAGGAGCTTTTTTTTTTTTTTTTTTTTTTTTGGAGACAGGGCCTTATTCTGTCACCTGGGCTGGAGTGCAGTGGCATGATCCTGGCTCACTGCAGCCTCAGCCTCCTGGGCTCAATGATCCTCCTACCTCAGCTTCCCGAGTAGCTGGGACTACAGGTGCATGCCACCACGCCCAGCTAATTTTTTAGCCAGGATTCTTTCAAACACCAAATTTTTAGCTGGGCATGATGGCTCATACCTGTAATCTCAGCATTTTGGGAGGCTGAGGAGGGAGGATTGCTTGAACCCAGGAGTTAGAGATGAGCCTGGGCAACATAGTGAGACCCTGTCTCTATAATGAAGAAAATAAAAAACAATTTTAAAACACCAAATTTTTGGTCTTTGGCATACCCCCATTAGCAGTGGCCTCGTATAAGCAGGTGGGCATGTAAGTATGTGTGAATGTGTTGGGGGGCAGATATGGAATGGAAGCTTGAGACCCTAATGCTCACTCATTCATTCAACATATATTCATTCAACATATCCTGGATGCACTTTTTTAACTATGGGAAAGACAGCACAGGACAAAAATCCTGGCCGGATGCGGTGGCTCACACCTGTAATCCCAGCACTTTTGGGAGGCCAGTGTGGGCAGATTGCTTGAGTCCAGGAGTTCAAGACCAGCCTAGGCAACATGGTTTCTACCAAAAATACAAAAATTAGCTAGGCATGGTGGCACATGCCTGTAGTCCCAGCTATTCAGGAGGCTGAGATGAGAGGATCCCTTGAACCTGGGAGGCAGAGGCTGCAGTGAGCTGCGATCGTACCACTGCACTCCAGCCTGGGCGACAGAGTGAAACCCTATAGTATGCAAGAACATGGTGGGTGTTATGAAAAAAAAGAAAACCCAGAGAGGGAGAGAGGAGTGTCAGGGGAGAAGGGCTTCGATTCTAACTAGCACAGCCAGGTTGGCCTCACTGAGAAGTCGCCATTTGAGCAAAGACTTGCAGGAGGCAAGGGAGTGGACAGCGCAGATGTCCGGGAAGGAGTGCTGTGGTAGAGGGAATGGCCAGTGCCAAGTCTCTGAGCAGAAGTGTGGGTGGTTGGTACCTTCTGCAGAGTCCGGTCTCCTGAGCTGGGGAGGGCGGGGGTCTAGTGGGGGAAGACTGAGATTAGCCAAAGAATCATCAAGGTAAATATGAAATTACACCTTTGAGAAGGATCAGGAATGATGATGACGTGGGCTCTGCGAATATGTCCTGGGGAAGACCTGGTCAGGAGCATGAGGGAGAGCTTCCTGGAGGATGAAACAGTCTGAGAGGGGTGAGGTTAGAGCACGGGCTGGCCAGGAAAGCACAGTTGCTGAGAAGCCATTGGTGGGGCTCATTTGCCAGGCACTGCTCTGTCCCACCATGGGATTCCCCATGCAGCCCTCCTTACAGACAAAGGAGCACAGACAGTATTACTCATGGCTGGCATTTTTCCAGATCAGGGTAACTAAAAGTCAGAAGGGGCAGAGGAGTAGAGGAGTTTAGGGTTCAGGAGTTTACTCTGGCTTGTTTTCTTCTCATCATGCACACACAGGGACTGGCATTTGTATGGTTACTGTGGGGTAACCAGGCAGGCAAGGCAGCTCTGAGCTGGCAGGGTACCTGCCCTGCTTGTAATGAGTTTGTGGCATTCCAAGTGCTGCCAGCCCCCCAGCCAAGCTCTGCCCCTGCCTTTCTTGTTCCCTGGCATTTCTCCCAGAAATCAGAATGATGTTTGGCACACAGCAGTGGTGTAATAAGTCTGTGCTGAATGACTGAAGAGTACGGAATTCAGAGAGGTTTCGGGACTTGAACCCACGATTGTCTGTTGAGGTTGAGAATGCAGTTGTGGATGCCAGCCCGTGTAGGTCTGAATCCAGCCTAGCCGCAGTCTCCATCACTTAACAAGTTGTGCAAAAATGGACAAGTTGCTTATGTTCTCCAAGCCTGTTTCCACCTCAAAGGGCTGTTGTGAGGAGTAACTTAATATTTACGCAGCTCTTAGAATCTGCTGTTAGCACTGCTGCGACTATGATTGCTGCGTCCTGCCCCTCCAGCTCGAGTCATCCTTACAGTATCCTTGGGCCGGGACTGGAGACAAAACAAACCATCAGCTTGGACAAAGCTAGGGTGAATCTACACAAGGATCCCAGGAGGAAAGTCTCGCAAGGAAACATTACAGAGAAAAGGCCTGCTGTCCAGAAACTGGCAAATATTCAGAAGACTCTTGGCCAGGCACGGTGGCTCACACCTGTAATCCCAACACTTTGAGAGGCCAAGGTAGGCAGATTGCTTGAGGTCAGGAGTTGAAGACCAGCCTGGCCAACATGGTGAAACCCCTTCTCTACTAAAAAAAAATACAAAAATTAGCCGGGCGTGGTGGCACACACCTGTAATTCCAGCTACTCAGGAGGCTGAGGCAGGAGAATCACTTTTTTTTTTTTTTTTGAGACAGAGTCTCGCTCTGTCACCCAGGCTGGAGGGCAGTGGCGCGATCTCGGCTCACTGTCAGCTCCACCTCCCGGGTTCACGCCATTCTCCTGCCTCAGCCTCCCAAGTAGCTGTGACTACAGGCGCCCACCACCACGCCCGGCAAACTTTTTGTATTTTTAGTAGAGATGGGGTTTCACTGTGTTAGCCAGGATGGTCTCGATCTCCTGACCTCATGATCCACCCGCCTCAGCCTCCCAAGGTGCTGGGATTACAGGCGTGAGCCACTGCGCCCAGCCAGGAGAATCACTTTAACCTGGAAGATGGAGGCTGCCGTGAGCAGAGATCCCTCCACTGCACTCCAGCCTGGGCAACAGGACAAGATTCCATCTCAAAAAAAAAAAGAAGACTCTTGGTTAAGGTCAGAAGAGTCAGCCCATGGGGAAGAGGCTCTGGAGAGAGGCTGCTGCTACTGCTGCCTCCAGCGGCACCACGTGCTGGCCCCATGATTCTGGGCCCTCTGTGTCCTCTGCCTTGAGAGGAGAATGTGAGCCCTTGCCTTCCTCCCAAGCTGCTGGAGCCTGGCATGAGATAATGGATGTGCCCACACTGCCAGGCACTGTGCGCAGATGAGGGACCAGGTCTTTTGAGTCTGCAGGGCTGGAGGTGGAGGGGAGATGGGATGAAATTTTTTTTTTTCAGACAGAGTCTCGCTCTGTCGCCCAGGCTGGAGTGCAGTGGCGCGATCTCGGCTCACTGTCAGCTCCGCCTCCCAGGTTCATGCCATTCTCCTGCCTGAGCCTCCCGAGTAGCTGGGACTACAGGCGCCCGCCACCATGCCCGGCTAATTTTTTGTATTTTTAGTAGAGACGGGGGTTTCATCGTGTTAGCCAGGATGGTCTCGATCTCCTGACCTCGTGATCCGCCCACCTCGGCCTCCCAAAGTGCTGGGATTACAGGCGTGAGCCACCGCGCCCGGCCAGGATGAATTTTTTTAAACCCACAGTGAGGATGGGAAGGGAGAAGTTCAGGCTTGTTCACCAAAACCTGGCACACTGGAATTACAGGCCCCCTTGGAGCGCAAGTGAGGTAAGTTTAGGACAAATAAAAGGCAGTGTGCTTCACCCAGCAGGGGAGGACGCTGATGGAACTCATTATCCCAAGATGTCGTCTCAGCTGGAAATAGAAACAGCTTCACAAAAGATTTAGATACATCCATGGATGATGGCTCCATTCATGGGTTAGAAGGGGAAGGAGGCTGTTTGAGGCCCGTCCCCCAGGGCAGGCATCAGGGAGGTGGCCCGGTCTCCCTAAGACCCCCCTTTGCACTCCTGTTAGAGGCAGGCTTCTGGCAACATGGACCCCAAGAGGCAACGTGGAGTCCCGTAAGTTAGAGCCTGACCTGTGTCCCTGGCCTTTTCCTCAACCTCCCCAATACTCAGCATCCACTGTTGGGGAGAGATAAGGTGCCACCAGCTTCAGGGAAAGCATCCCGGCTGGGCTGTCCCCTAAGAGACCAGCAGAGGGAGACAGACACCGTGTCCAGTCCCAGCTTCGGGAACAGAGACCTTGCTGATCCGCCTTGGGCAGGCCTCTGTGGGGGCAGTTTTGTGCTCATGTTGTGCGGGGTGGGACAGAAGGGGACAGAGAGGGCATCCTCCCAGGCTGAGACAGGCTTATTACTGGGGAGATGGGGGCAGGGAGGAGATTTTTAGGAACTAGGGGCAGGGTGAGGAGGAGGCTACTAATTAAGAGCCGGGTGGCTCCAGAGCCAGGCTGCCTGCCTGTGTAACTTGGAAAAGTTATATAACTCTGTGCCTCAGTTTACCCATGGTAAAATGGCAACTACAACAGCACCGGCCTCAGGAGGGCTATGTGAGATTGCGTGCTGTATTCAAATGCTTCACTGCAGTGCCAGAGAATTGGGAAGAGCTCAGTAAATGGGAGCGATAGCCTACACCGTGGGGAGATCAGAGGACTCTCCCGTCTCCTTAGAGCTCCGGAGCTTGCAAAGCCCTTTTACTTTATTATCTCATCTGGGCCTCACCGAACCCTGGAGGTTTGGTGAGGCTAAGAGGCTCACTTTTTTTTTTTTTTTTTTTTTTTTTGGAGATGGGGTCTCACTCTGTCACCCAGGCTGGAGTGCAGTGGCTCAATAGCTCACTACAGCCTTGAACTCCTGGGCTCAAGCAATCCTGTCACCTCAGCCTCCCAAGTAGGTAGGACTACAGGTGTGTGCCACCATGCCTGGCTAATTTTTTGGGGAAGTAGGGGGGGATCTTGCTATGTTGCCCAGGCAGGTCACTTATAAGTGGTAGATCTGGGCTTTCTGATGCTAAAGAATCCAGGGATCTTTCTCAAGTTCCCTGCTGAGCTGGAGGCTGGAGGAGGCCTGCTCCAGGTGCCCTTGTCTGCACTGAGCCTCCTGGCAGGCCGCCCATATCTCTAGTTGGTATTGAAGTTATCTTGCCCACTGTCCCACCAGCTCCCGAGTCCCTGGCAGGCAGGCTGTGTTTCTCTGTAGGTCCACACTGTTCAGCAAGGCATATATAGCAGGGGCTTCCAAAAGCTTTTGGGAGGTGACGGGATTCCATGGGTCTGAATGCCAGCTCCTCCCCAGCTCCTGTCCTGGTTCCAGGTCAGGTGTGGCCCCCCACTTTTTGCCACTCAAATTCTCCCTGCCGTATCTCCAAAATCTCCCGACGTCTCCCTCTTCTGACCTCTCCTTTCTCTGCATCATAGCCCTTTGTATATCTCCTTAAGTTCCTGTTTCATTTTGAAATCTTGCAACAGTCAAAGGCTAAAACGGAAATATGTACAGAGTGCTCTGTTAAGGACCACAAGGTGGGCCTCAGAAAGATGGCTGTGGGTGCTAGAAAGCGGGTGAGCCTCAAATTAGCTGGGCATGATGGTGGGTGCCTGCCTCCCAGCTACTCGGGAGACTGAGGCGGGAGAATAGCTTGAACCCGGGAGGGGGAGGTTGCATTGAGCCGAGATCACGCCACTGGACTCCAGCCTGGGTGACAGAGAGAGACTCTGTCTCAAATAAAAAAAAAAAAGAAAGTGGTTGAGCTCTTCATAGACCTAAACCACCCATGTCTTCTAGACAACCTGAAAGCCTAGGACGGGGCTGGGTCAAGACTGGTTGGTTTCTCTCATGCCTTCAGAGCTGACTGTGCCATGAGACTCCACCCTTCCCACCTCCAGCCCTCTTCAACCCACTGAAGTCCTACAAGAATCTCTTGGGGACAAAAGAGGAGAGAGATGAGACGGGTCCTTAGAGAGCACTTATAACACAAAGTGGAGAGCAGCAAGGGCCCTGGAGAGTGAAGTCTGTGGTGGGGAGCAGAGCTGGGATGACAGTGACAGGCTTCAGGAAGAAGGCAGAAGAACAAAGGGTCTAGATGAGTAGCCATGGGGAGCTCACGAGGGGCAGCTGCATTGTGGGTAGAGAGGACACCATTAGCAAAGACAGAGGGATACGGTATGAGGGGTAGGTAACAAGATTCTTTAACATTATTGGCTGGGCGAGGTGGCTCACGCCTGTAATCCCAGCACTTTGGGAGGCTGAAGCAGGCAGATTGTTTGATATCAGGAGTTTGAGACCAGCTTGAGCTACATGGCAAAACCCTGTTTCTACAAAGAAATACAAAAAAATTGGCCGGGAGTGGTGGCTCATGCCTGTAATCGCAGCACTTTGGGAGGCCAAGGCGGGCAGATCACCTGAGGTCAGAAGTTCGAGACCAGCCTGGCCAGCATGATGAAACCCTGTCTCTATTAAAAATACAAAAATTAGCAGGCGCCTGTAATCCCAGCTATTCAGGAAGGTGAGGCAGGAGAATCGCTTGAACCTGGGAGTTGGAGGTTGCAGTGAGCCGAGATCGCACCATTGCACTCCAGCCTGGGCAACAGAGCAAGACTCTGTCTCAAAAAAAAAAAAAAGAAAAAAGAAATACAAAAAATTAGACAGGCATGGTGATATCCATCTGTAGCTACTCAGGAGGCTGAGGTGGGAGGATCTCTTGAGCCTGGGAAGTCGAGGCTGCAGTGAGCCATGATTATGCCACTGCACTCCAGCCTGGACTCTGTCTCAAAAATAAATAAATAAATAAATAAAACATCATTGATTGCTTCTAAGTGCCAGCAATTTGACCTATACTCACTCAGTTGTCCCTCATTCAGTTTTACATGGAGAAAACAGAGGTGTGGAGGGTTAGAGACTTGGTGGGGGTCACACAGCTGGTGGAGGCGGAGCAGGCACTCTCCCAGTGGTGCTGGAATGGCAGGCCCGTGAGATGGGACATCCCATCACTGGGATGGCCCCAGGGAAGGCGGTGTCCATCCTTTGACCCCAGGGGCCCCTAGAGCGGGAGCCCAGACAGTCTGGAGAAAGCTGGGAGAAGCCTGACAGAGGGGAGGACAGCGGGGTAGGAGGGGAGGAGAGCTCGGGAGGAGCCGGCATGACTCAGCAGGGCAGGATAAAGATCTTCCAGCCCAGGGAGAGGCAACCCCACTTCTCTGCCAGGGGAGACGGAGTCACAGAGCCCGCGGCATGGGCTGGCCAGGGCAATGGAACATCCTGGGAGAACGGCGGGGAAAGCTCCTGGTGGGCGAGGGAGGAGTGGGGCACCTGGGGGCATCCCTTCTGCCCTGCCCTCCACACACCCGTCACTCAGACACCCTGGCAGATGAGGAGGCCGCGCCCAGCTAGGGCAGGAGAGGGACAGGCAGAAGGCCCCGTTCCTCTCAGCTTCTCTCTGGCTTCCCCGGGAAGCAGGGGGTGTTGGGGGGAGTCCTTTGGGAAGCCTGAGCTGGGTCAGGTGTGGGTGGGGACCCAGGGCAGGGTAGGGCCATTGCTGAGGTCAGAAGAGGCCCTCTGCCTCTGGGTTTCCGCTGACATCACAGCCAGCTTAGGGTGAGGCAGGGCCCTCTAGACTCCTGTCTACTGGAGGGCAAGGGAAAGTGTGTGCATACACACATAGACACACACACACACACACACACACACACCCTGCCTTTCCTTCCCTCTCCTGCCCTCGGGGGCCCCAGTGGTGCCTGCACACGCACACTGGAGGGTGTGCACACGAGGCAGTGGAAAGGAGGGCCTCCTCCTGGGGATGCCGAATCCCAGGGAATGTCCTGGGTGGGACCTCTGAACCTACCTAGGGCTCACTTTGCCCTCAGGAAGCAAAGGGAAGCCCTTGCTCTTGTTCTGCTGGCGGGGGTGGTGGTCATCTGACTCCCAGTTTAATGCTCATTCCAGGATTCCCAACTCCCTGCTAATGGAATCCAGAGCTCTAGCTGAGCCCTCCAGTGTGGGAAGACGATGTGAGGCACCTGGCCCATCTGCACATTGCCAGTTCACGTAAGGGGTCGGTGGTGGGCAGGAAACCCAGGTCTCCCTGTGCTCCAGGCCAGGACTCTCCAGGCACTGGAGGACTCTCTTTATGCCCCAAGCAACATCTGAGTGACCTGAAGAGACCAGCTGTGCCAGGCTAGATGCCTCATAGCCAGGGGCACTCAACCAAGTCCTGCTGTTGCTGAAGTCTGTTCCCAGCACCCGGACTCCTCTTTTCAAGATGTGCCTCTGGCCCTCTTCCCCAGGCTGGCACCTGCATGGTGGAGTTAAAAGAGCATGTTGCTGAAGTTGGATAGCACTGGGTTCCAGTCCTGGTTCTACCACTGCCAGGCTTGTGTGACCTCAGACAAGTGACTCTGTCTTATGAAGCCTCAGGTTCCTCATGTATAAGTAGGGAAATGATAGCTCCTGTCTCGGAGTTACTGTAAAGATGAAATAAACTAGGCCGGGTGTGGTGGCTCACGCCTGTAATCCCAGCACTTTGGGAGGCCGAGGCGGGCAGATCATGAGGTCAGGAGATCGAGACCATCCTGGCCAACACAGTGAAACCCCGTCTCTAATAAAAATACAAAAAAAAAAAAATTACCCGGGCATGGTGGCGGGCGCCTGTAGTTCCAGCTACTCGGGAGGCTGAGGCAGGAGAATGGCATGAACCCGGGAGGCGGAGCTTGCAGTGAGCTGAGATGGTGCCACTGCACTCCAGCCTGGGCGACAGAGCGAGACTCCGTCTCAAAAAAAAAAAAAAAAAACAAACATGAAATAAAATAGCCCGCGAAAGCCTTAGCACTGTGCCTGATGTGGGGAACAGCTGCGTGCGCGTAAACTATTGTTAGTATTTCAGCAAAATAAATGTCAGTGAGAAATACCAGCATCACAGCAGGCTGGAGGAGTCACTGTAGCAGGCATCTGCCTCTTCTCCCAACACGCAGGTCAGCCTCCGCCCCTCCACCCCACCCCCTAGGGCTCCTCTCTGTGTCCCCAGCACCAAAACTTAGGGAATGTTTGGTGAACAAATGAATGAATGAGTGAGTGTCCCTACTCACCTCTGTGGGTTTCTCCAACACACCTGTCAGGAGGGGGCCAGCTAGAGGCTCCCCTAGTTCAGGAACCCAGACACTCCCTGGGCCAGGGTCCCATCAGTGCTAATTGTGCAGCTGTGTGCGACATGGTGTTTTGGGTGCCTGGAGAGCCTTCCTTGGGGATGTCACCATGTGGGGAGGAAGGGTGGGACACTAGCCGGTCCCTGAGCCAACACTGACTCACCCTCCCCCCTTGGAGGGCAGCTCAGTCATCACCTGGTGCCAGCTCTGGCCCCCAGCCAGCCACACTTCTTGAGGACCTGACCTGCCACCCCCCTGTGGATGGTGAAGCCTGGAGTCTAAAAGGCCAGAGAAGGCAGCAAGCCAGTGGCCCCTCGTCAGCTCACGGACTACTCCCACCATCCCATGGAGAGGAGGGCAGAGGTGGTCAGACCCCATCATACAGAGAGGGGACAGGCTTGTCCCAAGGTCACACTGGCCAACTGGAATGGAGGTTTTCTGACTCCCAGAGTAGCTCTGTGCCTGCTGCAGGGAACACTGAGCTGTACCTGGTGCTACCTTGGCACTTTGCCTGTGGTTGCCACTGCTCTTCTAGCTCAATCCATCCACATTTCTACCCCAAAGCTCTACCTCCTCCAGGAAGTTCTCCTCCCACCATCCTCCTTGGCCCTAAATGTACCCACTGCCACCTATGGCTGATGTCAGACAGTTTAATGAGTGTCCCTAGACTGTGGAATTCTTTTCTTTTGAGAGAGGGTCTTGCTCTGTTGCCCCAGGAAACAAAGACCATGTGTAGTGGTCATAGCTCACTGCGGCCTCAAACTCCTGGGCTCAAGCAATCCTTCAGCCTCAGCCACCTGATTAGCTGGGACTATAGGCATGCGCCACCATGCTGGGCTAATTTTTAAATTTTTGGTAGAGATGGGGTCTCTATGTTGCCCAGGTTGGTCTCAAATTCCTCAAGGAATCTTCCTGCCTGGGCTTCCCAAAGCGCTGGGATTACAGATGTAAGCCCCAACTGTGACATTCCTAAAAGCAGGGATGGGTTTTCCTTGCCTTCTCTCTGTCCTTAACAGGACCTGGCAGAGACTGAGAAAGTGCCTGCACAATGTACCCCTGGAGCAGACGGAGCGCTTCTCTTTCCCATGCTTGTCTGGAGCTGGGGGGACTGGCGTCTCCTCTAAGCTGTGCCCTCCCACCAGCAACCCCAGATTGTTAGCACTGGAAGGGCCCCTAACAAGATTCTTTTTGAGAGCCACAGGGGAGCAGGAACTTTCCCAAGGTCCTGATTTCCAGCTGGAAATCAGAGGGCAGCCACCTGTCCTGCCCCATCCCACGGAAATCTTGGAGGGGCTACTCCTGCTCCGTCTTTCCTCTCTTCCTTCTTCCCCAAACCCCAGCAGCTACCCCCATTTAGGGACTTGGCAGGATAAAGGCACAGTCTTTATTCCAGCCCCCGACCCAACCCAACTGGCAACTCCCAGCCTGCTGCCTTTGCCCAGGCATGGCAGAGGGGCACTGGCAGCTTGGAGATGGAGCTGCTTTTCCCTTTGGCAGTGTGGAAGGTGGGGGAGGGGAGGGGAGAGGCTTGGCCCCCACTAGGTGAGGGGAGAGGGCAGGGAGGCAAGTCCAAGAGGCAGAGGGAGAACACAACTTTCCCAGCTTTCGGGGTCACTACATTAAGATTCAAAGACAAACTGGGGACTGGGGGGCTGTGTGTAAAGCCAATTGTCCCTGTACCCACCTGGCCTGGGTCCCTGTTTCAGAGCTGCAGCCCTCAGTTCCTGCAAACCAGTGCTTTCTGGCTGCCCCAGGTGGATGTGTGCTGGGGATGGCGTTGTCCACTCCCACCTTCTGCTTCAGTGTCTTCCTCTCCCCGCATCCGCTGCTTCCCCCTCTTCCTCCCAGCTCCCTCCTCCCCTCTTTCTCACTCCCACCCATTTGCCTCTTTGTGTCTCCTCTTTCCTTCCCAGTCTTGCCCCTTCTCTGGTCTCACCCCTCTTCTCTCGCCCCCGCCCCTTTCTTCAGCGCCCCCTCCCCTCCGCTCCCCCGACACTGGGGCTGCTTTCTCCCTGACTCAGCAAGGTGCTTTATAAGGTGCTGAGGGGCTCAGCCAAATCCAAACCACATTGTGCAGACTCCACAAGGAGCGGCTTCGAGGCGGAGGGAGAGGCTGAAGCGGCTCCCCTTCTCCCTCTCCCCTCCTTCTTGGCCCCCTCCCTCTGAAAGGGTAGCAGCTAGGGGGACCTCCTGGCTGGCCTCCGTGCCATGCACCCATGGGCATCTGCCTTCTTGACCTTGGCATGGGCATCAAGAAATCACTGGGTTCATCCATCAGGAATGTCACTGAAACTCCAGAGTCCTGGCTGGTGGGGGCAGGGAGGAGGTGCGGGGGCGGTGGGGGGGGCAGAGGTAGGCCCTGAGCACTTTTCACAAGGGTCCCTCCAGGCAGTTTTCATCAGAGCTGCTACTGAGGTCCCTCAAAGTCCCCTGCCCCCCACCCCAAGCCAGCTCTCCTTTCCCAGCCCTTTTTCTCCTTGTTTAGGAAAAAAAAAAGGAAGAAAGGACAGAGAGAGAGAGAAAAAAAAAAACCAACCCAACAACAAAGTCTGTCCCACTCCAGTGAGGTAATTGAAAACAAACTTCTTCCCCACCCCCCCCACCCCCCCACCTCAGTGCTCGCGGTACAGAGAAGGGAAGAGCTGCCCTGGGACCCAGCACTGGCCATGATCAGGATGCCTGCCCAGGCCACAGGTTGGAGGCGCTGGGGCTGGACTGGCAGAGTGCCCTCCCATTCCAGGGGCACCAGGAAGGAGTGGGAGACAAATCTCTGATGCCACTCCAGGGAGAGGCATCACCTTCCAGGTCTGGCCCACCACTGGCCTCTCCCACTTTGAAACAATAAATAAACAACAACAAAAGCAACTTATTACCCAGTGATTTAATTGGTGGTGTGGCTATAGGGCACCCAAGCCTTGGGGACCACATGACTCTCCCCCAGGAAAATCATGAAGCAGGGCAGTCCCCAGCCCTGGGTTAGAGCTGCCTCCTCTGAGCGTGTTCTCCCCGGCAGCCCTTGGAGAGGGAGGAGGGGACCCCCTCTGGGAGGGTCCAGGCATACCCCCAGGTATCCTGCCCAGCAAATCCCAACCCAGGCCTGCGGGAAGGAGGGGGAGCCCTCACCGCTAAGCCACCCCCACCTCACCACCGGAAAAACCAACAACCCGAAACCCCAAAGGAAGGAGAATGCCAGGGTCTTCATGGGGAAACATTTCACAAATGGGGACGCTCGGGCGGTCCATCGCCTTGAATCGGAGCATTCCCGCTGAGTCACCCAAGAAGCCTGTGGTGTTGAAACTGGTCCGTTGCCTCGTGCTGATTAATGAATTACAAATCCCCCACCCATGTACATTCTCCCTGGTCACTGGAGGAAGAATGAAGAACCTTGTGAACTTGAGGGAAAAAGTCCCGCCAAGTGGCCTCTTCTCGCCTCTGGGCCGGGCAGTGGGCCTGCAGTGCCCTCTTCCTCCCCCGCAGGGGGCATTGTGAGCTGGTTAGTCACCTGCCCCAGCCCCAGCGCCTCGCTTAGCTCTAGCTTTTGGAAATGGGACAAGCGGCGGGACAATAGGCAGGGGGGGCGGTCAGCCCAGACAAAGGGCAGCAGGAAAAACACCATCACTTGCTCCCAGGCCAGCTCGCTGGCATTTGGGAGAATGTGTCATTGCATTTACTCAAGGGGGAGGAGGAGGGAAGGTTAGAGATGAGGAGGCAGAGGTAGGGTGGGAGCAGGGACCTCGCACAGGCAGAGGTAGGTTGGATCAGGGACCCCGCATCGGCAGGGGACAGGGGGCAGGGGGCGGTGTCCCAGGCCAACGCCTGGGGAGAAGCCCACCCGAAGCCGGCGCTGTCCCCCGGCTCCTGGGAGTCCTCAGACGGACTGATGGCCTCCCCGCCCCCTCCCCCAGGAGGCCCAGGGTGGTACCGCCACAGCCTCGCCTCACCTCACCCCCCCTCGGTGCTGTGGGAGGGAGAGGGAGCCCCAGAAGCCCTCCCTTCCCTCCTCCCCCCTCCTACCCCCACCCCGGGGAGGGCCGCTACAATTTGTGGTTACAGCTTTACACGTCAGAAAAAAAAAAAAAAAGTTTGCAGAATGTCCCACACCGAAAAAAAAAAAAAATCCGAAACCGAGCGAAAAAAACCTGCGAGTGGGCCTGGCGGATGGGATTATTAAAGCTTCGCCGGAGCCGCGGCTCGCCCTCCCACTCCGCCAGCCTCCGGGAGAGGAGCCGCACCCGGCCGGCCCGGCCCCAGCCCCATGGACCTCCGAGCAGGTAGGAGCCAGGCGGCCGAGGCCCCGACCCCCGCCCCGCCAAGCAGCCACGAGATCCGGTTCCCGTCCTGCCCTGACCCCCGGGAGCCCCGCGCCGGGGCCGGGCCAGGGAGCTGGGCTCGGGCCGGGGGAGGCACGGCTGGGCGCCCTCGAGAGGGGCCGGGCGGGGACGCGGCATTCCTGGAGTCCGCACGGCGGGGCCAGGAGGTGGCCGGGAGCGGCGGGGAGCCCGGACGATCGCAGACCTGGGGAGGCGGCAACCTGGAGCCCCAGCGAGGCGGGCCGTAGGAGCCGCAGCCCCAGAGCCCCGCGCACCAGTCGGGGCCAGAGAGTCCGAGGCGGGGAGCGAGGCTGCGGGTGGGAGGAGGGGCTGGGAGAGGAAGAGGGAGGGAGGCCGGGGGAGCCCGAGGCCGGGCGGCGGGAGGCGAGGGGAGGCCGACACCTCGGGCCGCGCCGCTCTCCCTCCCCGGCCCGCCGGGAGGGGTAGGAGGGCGGGCGGGAGGAAGGGCGGGCGGCGGAGAGGAGGGCGGAGGGCAGCGCCGAGCCTGGCTGGGCCGGGCCGGACGGGCCGAGCCGCGCCGCGGGACTCGCGGCTTCCTAGCTACGCGCCGCGCGGCCGGAACCCTCCATGGTGCCCACGGCCGGGGAGCCGGCGGCAGGTAGGGGCGGCGGGCGGCGGCCGCGAGTCCCCCGGGCCACCGTGGCCTGGGAGTGATTATTGTTTGGCGGGGGGCTGGCGCAGCCGGGCCGGACCCGGCAGGAAAAAGTCTGTCACTGGCCAGGGAGCGGCGGGAGCAGCCGCTCAGCCCGGGCAGGAGGGGAGTTGACGCGCGGGAAAGGGCAGCGCCGGGCAGAGCCCG
Organism: Homo sapiens; assembly: GCF_000001405.40. NCBI lineage: Eukaryota > Metazoa > Chordata > Mammalia > Primates > Hominidae > Homo > Homo sapiens. Next base: position 67,372,664 of record NC_000011.10, on the reverse strand, counting down.
GAGCCCGGTGCCCCGGACCCCGCCCCCGCCCCCGCCCCCGCCCCCGCCGCGGGGAAGGAGCGACCGGGCGGGAGCGGGAGGGGGCGGGGCCGGGGGCGCCGAGGCCACACAGGGGGAAGGCGCAGCGCCGGGAGGGGTCCCAGAGCGAGAGGTCACCGCCAGCAGGGAGGGCCAGCTGGCAACCGCCGCCGTGCAGCTTCCCGGCCGAGCCCCTCGAAGGAAACCTTCGAAAGAGTCCCCGGGGCTCGCCAGAGGTCCCCTCATGCTTGCTCTCCCCACCCGCCTTCCTTTCCACAACTCCGTGCTGGGCTTCTGGAGCCCTCCCCACAGACCCTCCCAATCCCAGAGGACCCCTGTTCCCCCAGCTCCCAGCCTGGCCCTCCCCCCGGGGTGTGAGGGGCTACCAGGAGAGGAGGGGAGACGGGCGGGTGGAGGCTAAGCCTTGGAGAGAGGCTAGGGGTGGGGGGCACTGGGCACGCTGCTCTACTGGGTCCTCCTTCTCTGACCCTAACCCAGGGACACCTCTGTGCTTTCACTGACCCCGACTGACCTCCGCCACAGCTCGGGAGCACACGTTGCCCCTCACACCGGACAGGATGCGAGTACATATTCCCCTAACAGACCAGACGCGCTCCTGGCCAGCTCAGACACCCTCGCTGCCCTGGAGCCACACGCTCCACCGGGGAGGAAGCAGAGATGGCAATTGTCACCCGGCAGCCCCAGAAGTGACACTGCTGATGGGTGCAATGGCTCCCTGTCCCCTTCATTCACAGACCCACACTCTTGTCCGTCACACTTCTGCACACCACCCCTGCACGCCACCCCTGCACACCAGCCACTGGCTCACTGACACTTCACATTCCTCCCCACGTCCCACCTCTTGTGCACACCTGGCTCCTGCACTCTCCTCCCCCCCCACGCCCCTCTTGATAACAACACCCTTTCCAATTCACCCACCACTGCCCTGGACTCCTCCTTCACTGCTCCTCCTGCCTCTGGCTCTCAGTGGGCTGCTGGGCTCCCCCCTGGCTCCCCGCTGGCCTCCCTGAGCACACCCATGGCCCTCTTGTGGCACAATCAGGAACCCTCTCACTCCAGCCAAAGCCCAACTCCTGTCTCGCTTGCTTGGTTACTGACTTCATAAGGCAGTGGGGCTGGCCCACCCTCAGCTTCTTCCCCTGGGCCTCAGTGACCTCTGTCATTTAGGCTGGAGGAGAAGGGCACAAAGGGGGATGCTGGAGAGGAGAGGAGAGATGAAGCCCCGTGTGTTTCCTCTAGGAGGAATTGAGCTTGCATAATGTGACCTCCTTGTGCAAGCCCACAGTCACCAGACGAATTGGTGGCAAAGCTAGGTCTCCCAATTCCCAGGCCCATGTGTCCCCACTCACCAAGCTACTTCTCAGTGGCCTGGGGTAAAAGGAACCAAGGAAAAGGCAGAAGGGAGATAAGTAAGAGAGGGGAAAGCAGCAGCCCAGAGGGTGGAAGGAAGATGGGTTTCTGTGGGCCTTTGCCTGGGAAGGTAGGTCAGGACACGCCCCTGGGGCAGTTTCCTACCGTCACAATGCCTGGACCTCACCCACTCCATCCCTAGCCCACTCCTCACCCACTCTGCCCGCCTAACCCACTCCATCCCTCAATTCCCCTCAACAGACCCCTCCAACCGCAGCCAGCGCTGGTCCTGGTCTGGCCTTTCCTCCTGGCTCCCATATTCAGCCCAGCCTGAGGCCACCATGCCCCACCTCTGGAGCTCTGCAGTGCCTCCCTGGCTGCAACATTTAGGGCTTACAGTTCTTAGCGTAGCTCTTATAGTCCCAGGTGCAGAGACTCCCATTGACTTGTCCTACCACCCTAAGCACCCTGGCACATCTGCATGGCTGAACTCTCACCCTCACTGGGAAAGGTCAGCCTGGGGGTGTCCAGGCCAGGGACTGAGGGGCAGCTGGCTAAAGTGGCTAAAGACATGTGCTCACGGGTGCGCCTGCCTGTGCAGCTGTCTGGGTGGCCAGTCACTTCCTTGGGCTAAGAGAGAGAGAGTGTGTGTGTGTGTGTGTGTTCATGAGGAGAGCCTTGGTTCCTAGGGCCCAGGGATCTGGATGGAATTAGGGGCTGGCCGGGGGTGGGGGGCTGTTGCAGGAAACGTGAGCTGTACTCGTTAGCTCCTCACGTGCTCAGCCGGATTTATAAACACACAGAGAAGACGGGATGTAAACAATCAGTGGGCAGCAGCCAGAGGCAGAGCTGGGGCGGGGGCCGGGCTGGGGGCCAGGACTGGTGGGGAGGGGGAGAGGGGGACCTAGGACACAGCCCCAGTGGCCGGGGTCCACCTGCACAACATGAGCCTGAGGGAGGATGGATGAGGGCTCCAGGAAGCCCACCACGCACTCTCCTCAGGAGGCAGGCGAGCTGTGTTGGGTTCCCAAGCTCACGACTAAACCGCAGGTGTTCACCCCACGCTGCTTTCCCTCCTGCTGCCTGAGACACGGGCATGGCTTTGCCCAGAGTGGAAGCTGTCATAGCAGGGGCAGAGCCCTGTCCTTCTACCCCCCCTTTCTTTTCTCCTAACCTCTTCTCCCTCTGGATTCCTGAGAACCCTTCCCTCTTTCTGGTTCTGTGGGCCGTCGGATCCTTCTGTTCTCCCCTGCCCCCCACCCGCAGCCTGCAACGACACAGTTACCTCAGAACTGAAATATTCCTGGAAACACCGGCCTCGTCTGGTTAATTTCATGAGCCGTTTTTTTCTGCCCAGATGACTTAGTTCTTGTCTATCCAAAGGCTTCTCCCCCTGCTGTCCCTGTGTAGGGAGCTGATCTCCCCTAGGGATGTCCCACAGGGCTCAGAATGGGAGAGGGTAAGTTCTGAGCTGGGTTCCTGACTGTACCTCTTGGCCATGACAAAGGCAGAGCCTAGAACTCCGGCCAGCATGTGGGTAAAGAAGGAAGCCTAGCTCCCAGCTCCGGCTTCAGTTGGGACCCTTGGTCTCGCCACTAACTTTGAGTGAAGCCAGACTCGATGCTGAAAGCGACCTCAAGGCTGGGAGGGCCGCTGCCCAATTCAGCAGGTCTCCAATCTCCAAAACTAATGCTACTCTGTACCCATAGGATCCTAGAGGTGACTGCCAGATCCCTAGGCTTGGAGTTGTGTTGAGATGTGAGGAGCAGGGAGGAGAAAGGAACTGAGTCAGGCAAGAGCTGGGGATAGAAAGGAAGAGTGAGGAAAGCAGCGTCCAGGAGGAAGCCACAAGCTCAGAGGGGACAGGAAAGGGTGAGCTGGTCTCCCCAGGGAGCAGTTGAGTGCCTGACCCTACTCTCTGTCCTAAAACACACGCGTGTACACACACTCACACTTGCCTCAAACCAAGACCCTGTGACTTGTGGTACCCCACCGCCACGCTCCCTTAGTAAAGCCGGCCAGTCACACATCTGAAAGAGTCCAGACTGACCAGGTGGGCCACTGCCGAAGTCCTCACTGACCCCTGTCCTCCATAAGAGATGTTTTATACAAATGGAGTCTTGCATCCTTCCTAGTTATTAGCCCTCTCCAAAACTGCCCCAGCACTGTGATTAGACCTAACCTAGTCTTCATTCTTTCTTGAATCCAAATCCCATCCTAACCATGGGCAAAGCGTTATACCTATCTAAGTTATTTCTGCCTATCAAAGCAACCTATGTCATTATAGAAAAATCTGAGAGTATAAAATATGAACTATAGGGGTGGTGGAAAGAGAAGGTGGCAGCAAAAAAAAAAAAAAAAAAGGAAAAAAAAAGAACTATAGGAAAGAAACCACTCATGACCTCACACCTATTCAAGCTGAAAACCCAAACTAGCCCTGCTCTTCATAACATGACAAGCAGCGCCCCATCTGATACCTAAACCGACCAAGTCACAGCCCTCCAACTCACCCTCTGCCTGCCCAGACCTCACCACATCCTTGCTGGACTCAAACCTCAACCGCACTAAATCAACCAAATCCCAAGTCTAAACTAATCTGAAACTTTTAAAGTAACCCAGTCCTTAAACCTAACCTAGCCCAATGCCAATTATATCTACCCTAGCCAAACCCTAACTGCCTTTGCCAGTCCAAAGTGTCCACTGAATCCTCACCTTGGTCCTCACTTAAAATCCCAGAAAAGCATATTTCCCCACTGCCCACATCCCTCCTTACAGCACCCAACCCTGGCCTCTGGACTCCTGGTATCCTGGGATGTCCAAACTCTGCAGTGCCATCAGCCAACAAGCCCGACTCGTCAAATGCACCTCTCTCCCTTCCTGTCCCCACCCTTGCAGGCTGATGGAAAGGCCTCATTGAAGTCCAACTTTTCCCCACCTAACACCAAGAACGGGGTGAACCTCCACACTGCCACCGTTCCCTGAGAGTGAGCACTAAATCTCCTTCAATCTAACCCCACCCTACACTTCCCACACTCAGGAATCACATCCTAGAATATACCCAAAACTAAGCCCCATAAGGCAGCCCGACCCTAGTGGTCTAACCCTATACCTTGCTTCCTATGGGTGAGTCTGTTCTTGGCGGCCGCCTCTCTCCTGCTTCCTCCCTTAGGGCTGACTGTGCTCAGCCTGCCAGCTCTGACATGTGCTGTCTCCCACCCTCTGACTCCCCTCAAGCTGCAGTGGGACTGAAGACTGGCAGGAAGCTAGGGTACAACTGGAACACAGGCAGGTCGACCTGCAGTCCCTAGGCCTGGCCCCGTCCCTCCATGTACACACATATACATGTTGGCACACACACAGTGGCACACATGCCAAAGACTCTCTCAGCTGACACACAGATCCATTCTCAAGTATCTACTGATAGACACTCATGCGTGCCAAGTCCTCATCCTCAAACATACACATGCCTCTCTTTCTCTCCCGTCTTGCCAGGAGTGTTTCCCCTCCTCCATCCCCTCTGCCTCCCATCTGGTGTCCCACCCTCACCCCCCACCCAGCCCAAGGTGGGGACAGACACCTGAGGGGCTGCCAGCTGCTTCCCCGTGTGGGCCCGGGCCGCGCTCATGCTTCTCGTCCATCCTGCCCACAGGGGACTCGTGGGGGATGTTAGCGTGCCTGTGCACGGTGCTCTGGCACCTCCCTGCAGTGCCAGCTCTCAATCGCACAGGGGACCCAGGGCCTGGCCCCTCCATCCAGAAAACCTATGACCTCACCCGCTACCTGGAGCACCAACTCCGCAGCTTGGCTGGGACCTATGTGAGTATCCAGCGTAGGAATCTGGGAGTTGGGGAGGAGTGAGGAGTTGGGGAAAGACAGTCCTAACCGTGGAGGGTTCTGGTAAATGATGGGGTGAGGAGGGGCTCTTTGGCTCCCACCAGTCCCCCTGTCTGGTCTATCTCCTGCCCTTCCCTCTTAGGTGGCCCCCCCACTTCCCCATCCCTGGCCCCAGGACTAGGCATGTGGGCAGGCCTCGCACCCGCCTTGGCCCATTGCCCCACTGGCTGCCAGCCCAGCCGCCCGCCTCCCCCTGGGGGCCGGGGAAGTCTCCTCTGTTTACACCGTGTTGTGGTGTCTCTTGCGCGGGCGGGGTTGGGTGGGGACAGAGGGGCCCCACCTCCCATGCCTGCGTTCCAGCTCGCCTCTGCCCCCAGACCTGGGGCCCTGCTGCTCTGGACCCAGGGGCCTCCCTTCCGTCTGCCTCTCCCATCCTAGCTGGGCCTCCTAGGGGGGTCATGGGGGAAGGGGACTGTAGGGAACCCAGGCAGTAGTGGCAGGGGGTTTAGGGTGTGGATGGAGGTTATGCTGTAAGGATTTGGGGGTGGTCCAGAGGTGTTCAGAGAGCCCAGGAGAGAAGGAAGGAGGGTTGGAGGAGCCGAGGACCATGGGGAACCGGCCCCCTCTTCCCGTGTTCCTCTTCCACATCCCAGACCCTACTCTGGAGCCAGGGAAAGAAAAGGGAGGAGGGTGGCGGGGGAGCTGGCTCCAGCCCCAGGATACACCGAGGAAATTAGTTTGTCTCTGTGCTTGTCAGCGTGTGAACCTCCCCCTGGGCCCTTGCCTATCCCAGGCCTCTCCCCTTGCTTCTCCCTTCTTTCCCAGTTATACATCTCCCTCATCCCTTTCCCTGGGCCCCAGCCGCTCCCCCGAGGGTTGGAAAGGGCTCTGCCCTCTTCCCTATACCATGCTGTCTTCCATAGCCTTCCTCCTGTCCTACTCATGAGACTGCCTCCATTTCTTCCTTCTGCAACCCTGCTCCTATCAGCTGAACCCTTCTTTCGGAGTGTTAGTGAGTACCCGTCTCTCCCCAGCCCCTCAGCTGGTGGGCCTGGGTGTGTCAGCGGCAAATGGGGCTCTGGTTCCAATGGGCCACTCTCATCTCTCTCTTGTTCCTTGTGCAGAAAACCTTTGCTTCACTCCACTGCCCTCTCTAGTTCCCGACCCTTTTTCTCTCCTGGCTTTCCCTGCCAAATTTCTCCAAGGAGTGGTCTACACCCTCTGCCTCCACTTCCTCTCCACCCACTCACTTCTTAACCCCCTGCAATCTGGCTTCCAGGCCCCAGCAATGGTTCTCTCCAAGGTCGTCAGGCACCTCCTTGCCAAGCCCGACAGTGTTTTGAAGGCTCATTCTCCTTGCTGTCTGTTTTGCAGCCACACTGCTGAGCGCTGCTGCCTTCTCGAACTCCTCTTCCTTGGTCTCTGCACTCTCCTGGGCCACCTTCTACCTCTCCAGCTCCTCCAGGCTCCTCTTCCTCTCTGTCCTGCCCCCACAGCGGGCACTCTCCCAAGGTTTGCCCACCCAGCCAATCAGCACGTCCTTCCTGAGCGTCTTGTGCGTCTCCTCCTCCTCCTTTTTCTACGCCTCTCCATTGGAGAGCTCACCACCGCCACTGCTTCAACTGTCACCTGCATACAAATGATATCCTTATTGGAAAAACTCAGGGAGGCCATGAACAAAGAAGCCTAGCATGGAGACAGGGCCAGTGTCAGGGGACACAAAAAATAGAAACTTTGGGAGCAGGTATCTCCTTGGTGGTGAGCCAGCGGCTCTGCCCTCCTCCTTCCCCATCACCCTCTCCTTTTCACAGCTGAACTACCTGGGCCCCCCTTTCAACGAGCCAGACTTCAACCCTCCCCGCCTGGGGGCAGAGACTCTGCCCAGGGCCACTGTTGACTTGGAGGTGTGGCGAAGCCTCAATGACAAACTGCGGCTGACCCAGAACTACGAGGCCTACAGCCACCTTCTGTGTTACTTGCGTGGCCTCAACCGTCAGGCTGCCACTGCTGAGCTGCGCCGCAGCCTGGCCCACTTCTGCACCAGCCTCCAGGGCCTGCTGGGCAGCATTGCGGGCGTCATGGCAGCTCTGGGCTACCCACTGCCCCAGCCGCTGCCTGGGACTGAACCCACTTGGACTCCTGGCCCTGCCCACAGTGACTTCCTCCAGAAGATGGACGACTTCTGGCTGCTGAAGGAGCTGCAGACCTGGCTGTGGCGCTCGGCCAAGGACTTCAACCGGCTCAAGAAGAAGATGCAGCCTCCAGCAGCTGCAGTCACCCTGCACCTGGGGGCTCATGGCTTCTGACTTCTGACCTTCTCCTCTTCGCTCCCCCTTCAAACCCTGCTCCCACTTTGTGAGAGCCAGCCCTGTATGCCAACACCTGTTGAGCCAGGAGACAGAAGCTGTGAGCCTCTGGCCCTTTCCTGGACCGGCTGGGCGTGTGATGCGATCAGCCCTGTCTCCTCCCCACCTCCCAAAGGTCTACCGAGCTGGGGAGGAGGTACAGTAGGCCCTGTCCTGTCCTGTTTCTACAGGAAGTCATGCTCGAGGGAGTGTGAAGTGGTTCAGGTTGGTGCAGAGGCGCTCATGGCCTCCTGCTTCTTGCCTACCACTTGGCCAGTGCCCACCCAGCCCCTCAGGTGGCACATCTGGAGGGCAGGGGTTGAGGGGCCACCACCACACATGCCTTTCTGGGGTGAAGCCCTTTGGCTGCCCCACTCTCCTTGGATGGGTGTTGCTCCCTTATCCCCAAATCACTCTATACATCCAATTCAGGAAACAAACATGGTGGCAATTCTACACAAAAAGAGATGAGATTAACAGTGCAGGGTTGGGGTCTGCATTGGAGGTGCCCTATAAACCAGAAGAGAAAATACTGAAAGCACAGGGGCAGGGACAGACCAGACCAGACCCAGGAGTCTCCAAAGCACAGAGTGGCAAACAAAACCCGAGCTGAGCATCAGGACCTTGCCTCGAATTGTCTTCCAGTATTACGGTGCCTCTTCTCTGCCCCCTTTCCCAGGGTATCTGTGGGTTGCCAGGCTGGGGAGGGCAACCATAGCCACACCACAGGATTTCCTGAAAGTTTACAATGCAGTAGCATTTTGGGGTGTAGGGTGGCAGCTCCCCAAGGCCCTGCCCCCCAGCCCCACCCACTCATGACTCTAAGTGTGTTGTATTAATATTTATTTATTTGGAGATGTTATTTATTAGATGATATTTATTGCAGAATTTCTATTCTTGTATTAACAAATAAAATGCTTGCCCCAGAACTTAGTCTCTTTGCCCAGCCTCACCCCTCCTGGTGCTCATCAGACTCTTGCCACCCCTGGCTCCCACTCCCTGCTTGCCTCTGGTGGAGCTGCACAGAGCTCTGGGAAGAGGCCCTCTTCCTCCCCGCACTGGGGCGATGGGCGCACCTCAGACTTACCCACTGCTGCTGCCACCACCAACCCCTTGATCCCTCAGTCCTCCCACACAGCTTCTGTCCACCCCAGGTTTCCCTCACCCCACCTTTGCTAAGTCTTCCTCACCTTTCTGGGATTCGGTTTTCTTTCTTTTTTTTTTTTTTTGAGACAGAGTCTCGCCCTGTCGCCCAGGCTGGAGTGCAGTGACGCGATCTCGGCTCACTGCAAGCCCCGCCTCCAGGGTTCACGCCATTCTCCTGCCTCAGCCTCCTGAGTAGCTGGGACTACAGGCGTCTGCCACCACGCCCAGCTAATTTTTTGTATTTTTAGTAGAGACAGGGTTTCACCGTGTTAGCCAGGATGGTCTCGATCTCCTGACCTCATGGTCCGCCCGCCTCGGCCTCCCAAAGTGCTGGGATTATAGGTGTGAGCCACTGTGCCCGGCCTTGGTTTTTCTTTGAGAGAGTCTTACTCTGTTATCCAGGCTGGAGTGCAGTGGCGTGATCTTGGCTCACTGCAATCTCTGCTTCCTGGGTTCAAATGATTCTCATGCTTCAGCCTCTCGAGTAGCTGGGATTACAGGGGTGCACCACCATGCCTGGCTTTTTTTGTATTTTTAGTAGAGACGGGGTTTCACCATGTTGGCCAGGCTGGTCTCAAACCCCTGACCTCAGGTGATCCACCTACCTCAGCCTCCCAAAGTGCTGGGATTACAGGCGTGAGCCACCTCGCCTGGCCAGCCTCACCTTCCTGGATTGCATTAATGGTCTCACAGGTCTGTCTTCCCACCTTGAATTTCTATTTCTGCCCTCTGGCCCAGCCTCCTTATGATGAGCAAAGCTATTCATCTGTGCTTCTGGTGCTCTACCCTGAGCAGTCAGCCCCTGGGCTTCACTCCCCAGCTTCCCCAGGACTCCTGCCTGTCTCTGTCCACTGGGGCTTCAGGAGCAGTGACCCTCACTTCAACACCCTTCCTCTCTTCAGGAGGGAAACAGACTGTGAACAAGTCACAATCCTCAGCTGTAAATGCTACTCCTCTCTCTCCAATGTAAGATAGCATATTCAGGAAAAGAGAAAAATTCAAATTGTGAGAGAATGGGATAGATGCTATTCAAGGGATGCCCTAAGCTCAAATCTCAGACTCACAAATTTTGAGTGACCAGTTTCCCCATCAGTAAAGTGGGGATAATTAAATACCCATCTAAGACTGCTGGAAAGGATAACAGGAACAACAAAGGGCAGATGCTTGGCTGTAGCAGCAGCAGCTGTAGTCATTACAGATTACTTAGGCTCTAGCAGCATGTCATGACACTTTAGTTAGGAACCACTGGGTAAGTCAATGAATGAATAGCTCCCAGGTAATACATGGATATTTTATGGATCTTGAGAGCTTGTTTGGAAGTTCTAGCATGGGAGCGAGGCTACTCATATACCCTTGACGGAAGACTGATCCTCCTCTATCAGGGATGGTCGTCCTCAACAGAGCACACAGCTTCGGGAGGGATGCACGAGGAGCTGTGAGGGAGGACAGGGACACCCGCCTAGACAGCCAGATCAGCCGAATCAACCCTGGTGATCAATGGGGTGACAGATGTCACAGCCAGATCATCCTCACATCCTACATGGATATTTTATAAGGGCCTCCTGGAGATAATGCCTTAAGTGAAGAAAGTAAGAAATGATGGCAATGTCAATCAGTTGACAAATATTTTCAAGATCTAATTACCTGCCTGTGGTGTAGAAAAGCCAAAAGAAGCCTAAAACCTAATTTGGCTCCTGCCCTTATGGAGCTTCTAATCTACTTGGGAAGAAAAGATCAATGTACCTGAAATAATAAGGGCCACAGGCATATCTGTGCGATGCAGACACAGAACTGCCAGCAAGTGCAAGAATCACTAGAAAAGGGAGAGGTCAGAGTGTAGGTGCAGGAGCTACTAACTTGCTTGTGGGTGAGGCAAGCCAGCTCTGCTGAATGGCCCTGAGTCATCTGGCCCAAGTTAGAGGGCACATGCCCCACCCTGAGGGGTCCGGGCTCCTCATCTGCCTAGGCATGGCCTAGGCATGGCCAAGGGCACCTGCAGACCCTGCCCCCTGCATAACAAGATAGAAAGGAGAGGGTATCAGGGCTGTCTCCACACATAGTCAAAATAAGCTGTGGCCTGTGATATGCAAAGCATTAAGTAGGGGCTATAAGGAATACAGAGGTAAAGGAGGAGGTCTTATCATCAGAGAGCTTACACAGTACTATCCTGTTGAGTTTCTTGGGGACAGCTTTTGAGTCTTCTTCTACTCACTATACCAGCACCCAGCTTAGACTCCATCCAAAAGAAGGTGCTCAATGAGTGTGTTGGACAAAACAATCTAGAAAAGGGAATAGAAACCCTTCCCTGAATGGTAGAATACAAGGCAGAACTCGATTAAATGCAGAAAGATCCAGGCAAAATACTACAGAAGACTAGGAAAGAGAGACTGCATCTAGTTAGGTGAAGGCCCTCTAGGCTGTGAGCCCTATTAGGGGAGAAAACAGCATCTGAAGTTATTGCTGACTTCCATAGCTGTATTTCCAGTGCAGAGCACACAGCAAGTGCTCAATAGTTACCTTTTCCATAAATGCATGCGGTGGGATTTGACACCATTCTTGGAGGATGGGCAGAATTCAGACAGATGGAGATGGGGCAGAATAAGAGTTAGTTAAGTGTGGCCGGGCGCGGTGGCTCACGCCTGTAATCCCAGCACTTTGGGAGGCTGAGGTGGGCAGATCACCTGAGGTCGGGAGTTCGAGACCAGCCTGATCAACATGGAGAAACTCGTCTCTACTAAAAATACAAAATTAGCCGGGCGTGGTGGCACATGCTTATAATCCCAGCTACTAGGGAGGCTGAGACAGGAGAATCGCTTGAACCTGGGAGGCGGAGGTTGCGGTGAGCCGAGATCATGCCATTGCACTCCAGCCTGGGCGACAGAGTGAAACTCCAACTCAAAAAAAAGGAGTTAAGTGTATTTGTCTTTCTCTTTTTCTTTTTATTTATTTATTTTTTTTTTTGAGATGGAGTCTTGCTCTGTCACCCAGGCTGGAGTGCAGTGGCGTGATCTCGGCTCACTGCAAGCTCCGCCTCCCGGGTTCACGCCATTCTCCTGCCTCAGCCTCCCGAGTAGCCAGGACTACAGGTGCCCACCACTGCACCCAGCTAATTTTTTATATTTTTAGAAGAGACGGGGTTTCATCGTGTTAGCCAGGATGGTCTCGATCTCCTGACCTCTTGATCCACCCGCCTCGGCCTCCCAAAGTGCTGGGATTACAGGCGTGAGCCACCGCACCCGGCGTATTTGTCTTTTTCAAGCAAATAACATCTTGAGGGCAAGGCCCACGATTTATTCATCTTTGCATCCCTACAGCATTTTAGTGTTTTGTTGTTTTTTTCTTTTGAGATGGAGTCTCGTTCTGTCACCCAGGCTGGAGTGCAGTGGCACAATCTCAGCTTACTGCAACCTCCGCCTCCCAAGTTCAAGAAACTCTTCTAGCTCAGCCAACCAAGTAGCTGGGATTACAGGCGTCCACCACCATGCCTGGCTAATTTTTGTATTTTTAGTAGAGACAGGGTTTCACCACATTGGCCATGCTGGTCTTAAACTCCTGACCTCAAGTGATCTGCCCACCGTGGGCTCCCAAAGTGCTTGGATTACAGGCATGAACCACTGTGCCCAGCCCTACAGCATTTTAGTGTAATGCCTGGCACAGTAAAACTTTGATAATTTTTTTTTCTTTTTTTTGAGCCAGAGTCCTGGTCTGTCCCCAGGCTGGAGTGCAATGGCACGATCTTGGCTCACTACAACCTCCACCTCCCAGTTCCAGCAATTCTCCCACCTCAGCCTCCGGTGTAGCTGGAATTACAGGCGTACGCCACCACATCGACTATTTTTTTTTTTTTTGTATTTTTTTAGTAGAGATGGGGTTTCACCATGTTGTCCAGGCTGGTCTTGAACTCCTGATCTCAAGTGATCCCCCTGCCTCGGCCTCCCAAAGTGCTGGGATTATAGGCGTGAGACACTGTACCCAGCCAAACCTTGACAATTTGACTTAAACTGATTTAAAGAGTGTCAAGACATCAGTTAATAGGGTTGCTATATTAGAGAAAAATTTAAAAAGTGTGTGTCAAGACGATAGTGTTTTGGAAATTGACAGAAAAGGCCAGGTACAGTGGCGCACACCTATAATCCCAGCACTTTGGGAAGCTGAGGCAGGAGGCTCACTTGAGCCCAGGAGTTCAAGACCAGCCTGGTCAAAATGGCAAAACCCTGTATCTACAAAAAACACAAAAATTGGCCAGGCGCGGTGGCTCACGCCTGTAATCCCAGCACTTTGGGAGGCTGAGGCGGGCGGATCATGAGGTCAGGAGATAGAGACCATCCTGACCAACATGGTGAAACCCTGTCTCTACTAAAACTACAAAAATCAGTTGTATGTGGTGGCGCACGCCTGTAGTCCCAGCTACTCTGGAGGTGAGGCAAGAGAATCGCTTGAACCCAGGAGGCGGAGATTGCAGTGAGCCGAGATGGCACCACTGCACTCCAGCCTGGTGACAGAGCGAGACTCCATCTCAAAAAAACCCAAACAAACAAAAAACAAAACAAAACAAAATTAGCCAGGTGTGGTGGCGCACCTGTGGTCCCAGCTACAAGGAAGGCTGAGGCAGGAGGATCGCTTGAGCCTGGGAGGTCGAGGCTGCAGTAAACTGTGATCACACCACTGCACTCCAGCCTAGGTGAAGGAAGGAGCTGATCAACAGTCTCAGATGCCCCAGAGGAGCTCAAGAAGAATGCTGAGCAAAATCCAGTGGCTTTGGCAATCAGGAAGTCTCAGGCAACCTTTGTGAAACAGCAGGTGAGAGGCAGCCACCGAGTTGTGAGATTAATGAAGGCCATGGTGGGCAGAAGTAGAAGGGGTAAATCAAGTCCCTCAGAGTTTGCTGGTTAAGAGACCAGGCGCAGCAGCTTGCACCTGTAATCCCAGCACTTTGGGAGGCCAAGGAGGGCGGATCACTTAAGGTCAGGAGTTTGAGACCAGCCTGGCCAACATGGCCATCTCTACTAAAACTATAAAAATTAGCCAGGCCTGGTGGTGCATGCCTATAATCCCAGCTACTCAGGAGGCTAAGGCAGGAGAATCGCTTGAACCTGGGAGGTGGAGGCTGCAGTGAGCCAAGATCCCACCACTGCACTCCAGCCTGGGCGACAAGAGCGAGACTGTCTCAAAAAACACACAAACAAAAAAACACCATCTAGAAAGGTTAGCAAGATCACAGAAGGCTTTTGTTTGTTTTGTTGTTGTTGTTGTTAAATAGAAGTGATCTAAACATGTTATTGCTGAGTGAGTAGGGGGCGGGTGGAGAAAAATGGGGAGGTTTAGAGAATGGAATAAGGAGACAACCACAGGAGAGCCAAAGGGTGTCTGGGCAGCCAAATAGAACCCGGTGATATCAGCAGGCACCTTTGCCGTGGACCTGTCACCATGGGCAGTGACATTCCTTAGCATTTCAGAGGGAGGGACAGACTGGAGAAGAGGGCATTTTCCAAGGCTGAGGATTGGCAAGGCAAGAATGGCAGAGAATCAAGGGGGATTCTAGGCTGCTGGAAACTACTGGAAATTGGCTGGGAGCCAGAGCCAGGCAGTAAGGGAAGAGTGGTCAGTGGAGGGAAACAGAGGAGGGGAATAGGCTGGGAGAAGAATCCTGAATGGGGAGCGCTGGGGTTCCTGCATGCTGAGGACGCAGAACGCTCCCACAGTGGCGGTGGCGTGGTGGAGGGAGAGGGGGATGAGAGCACCATCAGAGAGGGCACTTCAGAGTGTGAGTTCTTGAACTCTCTCAAATAGCCCCTAATGATGGTGACAGGGGATGTGAGCTGCTCGTTTGTGTTTTGGCACTGTGTCCCACAGGCATCTTGTGAAAATGCCAGCACCACAGCACAGGGAGCACCTGGTAGATCACAGGGCACTGGCGTTTTCTGTGAGTGAGTCATTGGTTTTCCATCCAGAGCTGCTTCAGGAGATCCAATGAGTTTTGTTGGTTATCGAGGTTCTACCTCCTAAGAATGGCTTCAGAGTCAGAGGCCCAGAGGCTAACATGAGACTCTAAGGCATTGCAATGTCAAAGGGTGGAGGGTGTGTTATCTCTAGTATTCCTCATGTCCCCACAAGGATCGGGAGAGTGGGCAAGAGAAGACCCTCCTCTCCATCATCTCCAGATAGAATGTAAGGATTAGAAATCTTGTCATCATCTTGAGTGCTTAGAAACACACCTATGTTTGAAAGAATGAGCATAAAATGGAGAACTATCACTTGAGGCAGGGGCAACCTCTGGGGGAAGTGGGGCTAGAGGAGGCTCTGATGGGAGATGGCACAATACTCAGATCTTGCCAGTTTTCCACTTTTGCAAAGACTGACCTACCGTCCAAGACTTACAGGCCGCCTCATGATATGAGAGGCTCATTCAAGCACTGAGTTTACACACACATGCACACACACACTCTCACTTGCCACAGCCACCCTAAATGGGGAAGGGCAAAGGGAGGCCCTCTGTTCCCCTTAACCTAGAGGGCAAGGGCTAGTGACTCAGTCCTGGCTGGGCACTCCGATGGGCAGCTCCCTCTCAGCTTCCCCTTCTGCTGTGGAGCTACAACTGTCCCTGCCTTTGTTCCTTCAATTCTCAAGCTCCCTGACTCAGCCTCGTTCCTGAACTTCCCAGCAGGGGACAAAGCCCTTGTCAGTGGGGTGGTGTGGGGGCAGTGGCAGTGAGGGGGATCTGGGGGAAAGCTGTAGAGTCAGAGTTCCAGTCCTTTTCCCAGTCTCAACCTTCAGGGTCCCTCAGCCTTGCCAGTTCAGTGGTCACCTCTAGGCTCCTCCCCAACTTGCCCAGATCTCTCTCTGAGGCCAGACTGATGGGGTGGAAATGGTTAACTAGAACCTTCCTCCCACCCAGCTGGGCAAAGTCTGACACCTGGTGGCCAAGGTGAGTAATGGCCAGAAGGCCCCTTTTCAAGTCTTCCCGGAACTGCTCCAGAGCCTGGATGGCCAAGGTGAAAGAGGAGGTGACTAGAGAAGAAGGTGTGGAGGGTGGTAGGAGCAGGACAGAAGATGCAGTGGTAGAAAAACCCAGAGACCCCATCCTTTCCACTCAAGCTGCTGCGATGGAAGCACATTAGGCCAGAGAACCTGGACCAGGGGAAGAGGGAGTGTCTGGGAAGGCAGTGAGGGACTAGGAAGGACTGCCTGAAAGAATTCTGGCCCACAGGGTGAGGAATGGGGCCCACGGTGTGTGAGTATGTTGGGGGCCGGGGCCAGGGGTATTCTGGCTGCCCAGAATCTCCTGAGTGGGACTGACTTTCAGCTCAGGGTGGGTGGCAGGGCCCAAGGGCCTGAGGAAGGGGGGTACTGGCGAGAGGGAAGAAGAGCTGGATCCACCCCACAGCCCACTGGGTCCCAGGCAGCTGCTCCCCTCTCTCCACCTGCCTCCAGCTTCCCAGCTCTACCTGGCTCTCCCCACAAACCTCATGGTGAGGTGGGGGAAGGGAATGCAGGTGCAGTGCTGAGGCCCCCATTCTACCACATTGTCTGAGCTAAGCCAGACCTAATCCTTCCCTTGAGTGCAGTCAGCGGTGGGCCTCAGCCCCTGGGAAGGTGCCGGGTTCCTGTTTCAGTTCTTTTCTCTCCTGGACCCCCAGGACTCTGGGCTTGGCCCTGAAGCAAGGGTCTTGGGTATTGTTACCAGGCTGAGGTGCAAAGGTCACTCCTACTAGTCTCATCACCAGCCTCTGGGTGTCGGGGCTGACACAAGGGTCTCAGGACATTCCCCCAGGGAGAGAGAACTCAGCACCCAACCCAGAACTCTGGCCTGGCCATCCAGTCTGAAGCCTGAACAGGCTCCAAGACAGCAGTTTAGGGAATGAGGCCAGGATGCTGCCTGAGTAGGTGAAGGGGTTCTAGGCAAGAAGGTACAGAAGGTGGATGGGGTTGGACAGCAAAGAAGGAAAAGACCTGAGGACAGGAAGGTCAAGGTCCAGCCTAGTCCTCAGCGCACCTTAGGGATTCAGGTGCTGAGTCAGGGCATGCCAGTTGGACAGGGATGGTTCCAAAATCCCTGGGTGCCAACTCTTTCCTAGGGGCTCCACCCTACTGCCATCTAAGAGAGAGCAGCAATGCTGCCTGCAGAGAGTTCCCTCAACTCCAAGGCAGAAAGCCAGGCCTAGGGTGCCTGCACTTGAGCTGACCACTCTGAATCTTTTTCTTGGGTGTGGGGGTAGCTGAAGCCTGAGGGAGACATCTTCCAGCCTGGGTTGGGGCCTGTGCCAGGCAAAGCTGGGGAAGCTGGCAGGGACAGCCCAGCCAACATCTACAGAGCAGCTCAGGATGCCAGAGGCTGCCCAAGGAGAAAAGGCAATAGGCCCAGGCGGTGGTAGGAGCTACTGTGGCTGCCCAGCGGCACACCCCATTTCACGCTCCCTGGGCGGTGGCAGGGCCCCACGGCTATCAGCTTTCAGGGGTGGGAGGGACTGGGAATGAGGAGGGGTCTGCCCCACCCATGGCTCCCTACTCCCTCAGGGCTTGGTGGACTCAGGAGGTGGGTGCCACACACCTCTGGAAACAGCCCAGGAACCCTTGCCAAGACCCTCTGGGGAGGGGTAGTCAATCCCCCAGAGCCTAGACGCCATCCCTACCTAGCATGCTCAGCACCTGACTGGACTCAGCACCTAGGCCCTTCCCAGCCCTGGTAGACAGGGCCTCCCTGCTTCCATCACTAACTCCGCAGGGACACTGTCTCCCTGAATGTGGGCCCCACTTAGTCCGCAAGGCAGATGGGGGGATTAGACTAGGCCCAGCCCAAACAATACAGCAGAAAGGGCCCTCCAGCTCCATGCAGTGCCCCCACAAGCTCCCTCCTCTAGGACGCCGATGGGGAGAGCCAGGCAGGACGTGGACCCTGAAGACATGGCCTGCTCCTCTGCCTCCCCTCTGGTGGTCTCCTTTCCAGAGCAGCTTCCTCCCTTGTGCCCACGTGTACCAGTGGCTTAGCCCTCTTCCAGTGCAGAACACCCAGACCCCAGAGCAGGGAAAGGAGGAGGCAGAGGCCTCTGAGCAGGCAGCAGCCCAGGAGTCTGTGCCCCACCCTCCCAGTATCCCTGGAAGGAAGAACCGGATGGGATCTCTGGAGGGTGATTAGAGCTGGGCTGGTCCCTGTGCTGGTTCCCAGACTCCCACTGGCCAGTACTTTTGCCTCCTGCCAGGAAGTTGGTGAGGGGGAGGCAGCAGTATGGGTGAGTCAGTGATGACAGGAGCCCAAGGGACAAAGGTCATGGGTGGAGAATTGAGAGACATTGTTTACAGCAGTCCACCTCCTCCAGGAGGCCTTCCAATGCTAATCATCCCTGTGGTCCTAACCAATCTCTGACCCACCCTTTCCCTCTTCTGGTAGGAATTATAGCCTCTCACTGACAACTGTGCATCTGTCTGCCTTGTGACAGTGAGCTCCTGGGGTGCAAGAGAGACTGTGGTTTGATTGGGGCCCTACAATGCCTGTGACTATCAGCAGTGATAATCATTTAGCTATACTTCCTACTTTCAAAAACTTTTTGACATCTATTTTAATTAACATGTGGGAAAGTGCTTAGAACAGTACTTGGCACATGGTACGTGCAATGAGTGTTAGGTTTATTATTAATATTTTCTGCTCAGACTCACATTATTGTGAGAGACAGGGCAGATTTTGCCAGTGAAGAACTAGGGATCCAAACACATTGTGGTGGGGGGACCAGACCCTTGCTCTGCCTTCCTACTCAGTATGGAATCTTCCTGACTGGTGGGGCGGGCCGGACACGACTTGGGACCCCAGGAGAGTCAAAACGGCAAACACTTACTCGGACTAAGAGTGGGCAGCATCTTTGGGCACAGACTGTGAGAAAGGAGGTTTCAGAACCCATGGGCTTCTCCAGCCAGGTCTCCTGGGGCCAGTGGGGGTTGGGTGGGAGCCGGGAAGGGGCCTGGATTAGCCCAAACTCTCTTCAGACCTCCAGACCTGCCCCCACAAGGCGGGGCGGGCCAAAGGACCGAGTGAAGGCTCCAGCTGGACTCTAGGGAGTTACAAACTGGCCACGGGGATTAGCGAAGCTGAAAAGAACATTTGCCTAGGAAGGGAAAACGGGAAGTGAGAGGCTGAAGATAACTCTCCTGAAGTCTCTCGGGACCCACAGCAGACCAATGGGGGCCGGGGAAGGTGGTGAAGTCGGGGCATCCCGACAGGTCCCCCGCCCCAGCCTGCCCCTCCTCCCGCGGCCCACAGCTGAGGCACCGCCCCGCCCCTCACCCTACACTGCCTACCATTGGCTAGCGCCAGGGCCCCGCCCCGCATAGGCGGCCTGCCATTGGCTGAAGTCTTTCCTGTTTGCGTGCTTTTGGGGGTGGGGGAGGCGTCCCTCCCTGGACCCCGGCGACTTCCTCTCTCGGTTTGTCTGGGTCATCTTGTCTGCCCGCCGCTGGCCTGGCCCCGTCTGTCTCTCTCAGCAGCTGTCTTTCTCGCGCCCACTGGCCGGTCTCTCCTCTTCCCCGCAGTTGCCTCCTTCTCTGCCTGCCTGGGTGGCCGCCATGGGCCGGAAGCGGCTCATCACTGATTCCTACCCGGTTGTGAAGAGGAGGGAGGGGCCCGCTGGGCACAGCAAGGGGGAGCTGGCACCCGAGCTAGGTCTCTGAGGTGTGAGGGAGGCAGGAGGAGTGGACACGGAGGGGCCTAGAGGAGGCCCCTAGAGGGGCGGAGGGGCCGATGGAAAGGGAAAGGTGGCCTGTCCTCCCCTCCCGACACCAGGTCTAGCTGCGGGGTGGCAGAGGCAAAGCGGTGGTGAGGAAGGCTGGGAGGTGAGGGGCAGGAGACTGAAGCCAACCTCGTACTGAAGAGCAGCTGTCATTGCAGGGGAGGAGCCCCAGCCCCGCGACGAGGAGGAAGCGGAGCTGGAGCTGCTGAGGCAGTTTGACCTGGCCTGGCAGTACGGGCCCTGCACCGGTGAGAACCCACCCAGCCCCACGGAGGCGCCTCTCCCAGCCAGTCACCCACACGTCTCTGAAGTCACCCAAGCGCTTGCGTGACTCTGACCCTCAGGAACTGTCTCCCCCCAACACACACATTCTCCAGCTCAGACTCTACCCCACCCCCCACAAGTCTCCAGAGTCTTCTTCCCACCCTGGCAGGGATCACACGGCTGCAGCGCTGGTGTCGGGCCAAGCAGATGGGCTTGGAGCCTCCCCCAGAGGTGTGGCAGGTGCTGAAGACCCACCCCGGAGACCCCCGCTTCCAGTGCAGGTCAGAGACAGGCCGGGAGGGCTTTCAGGGGAGCCAGGGCCTTCTCCAGGCACTGTCACCCTGCTGTCCTGACCTGAGGGAGAAATGGATGGAGGGTTGGAAGGCCTTGCTGAACAGGCAAGAAGATTCTATGAGGTGCCTGGCTCAGGAGGACACGCCACTATAATAATTCTTTTTTTTTGAGACAGAGTCTTGCTCTGTTGCCCAGGCTGGAGTGCAGTGGCGCGATCTCGGCTCACTGCAAACTCCGCCTCTCGGGTTCACGCCATTCTCCTGTCTCAGCCTCCCAAGTAGCTGGGACTACAGGCGCCCGCCAACACGCCCGGCTAATTTTTTCTATTTTTAGTAGAGACAGGGTTTCACCGTGTTAGCCAGGATGGTCTTGATCTCCTGACCTCGTGATCCCACCCACCTCAGCCTCCCAAAGTGCTGGGATTACAGGCGTGAGCCACCACACCCGGCCAATAATTCTTACCTCTACAAGCTAGTGGGGGGCAAAGGTACACCCAGGACCCAAGGAACTATCTATTTAGAACTGAGGGGTTTCCCAAGGACTATGGGCATGGCCAAGAATAAGCTGGTGAAATCAGATCCAGGGACTCAACAACTGATTCTCTGTTTCTCTCTCTCTCTCTCTGGGGTATCCCTCCCTCCCACCCCATCTTCCACAGTCTCTGGCATCTCTATCCCCTATGAGGCACCACGTAAGACCTCCTGCCCTTAGCTCTCTTGCTCACCACCCAAGAACCTCAGGACAGAAGCGAGAGCCCATTGCTCCTGCTCAGCTCAGCCCGGCTGCGGAGGAACCCTTGGCAGGCAGAACCTGGAGGTGTCAGAGGCTCAACTCCTCCATCTAACCAGCAGGCTCCCAGAGTCCCCGGAAGAGCCTGCGCAGCTGAAGCAGAGTGCTTCTAGATGGAGAGTGGTCACTGGGGAAAAGGACCTGGCCATCACCTTCCAATACCTGCTGCCTGTCTCCCTGACCCATGATCTGGCAAGTTAGGCACAGTCAGACATGGACAGTTGATCCATGAGGAAAAGATGCTCTCCCACCTAAGGCCAGGAATCTGAGAGCAGGACTGGCTGAGCTCCCAGGGCAAGGGGTTCACTAATGCTTATCAATAAAGAATATTGAGCCTGGAATCCTGACCTTCAGTCCTTTACTGTGGCCCTGCTTTGACTGGCAGTCCCTAGCAAGTTAGGAGATGAGAGAGGCACCACTACAGCTCTTTTCCTTCAAGAAAGTCCTAGGCCGAAGAGGGAGGAGACAGTCATCTTGAGACGGATCAAGTCCTCGGAAGAGCTGAGCGACCTCTGGTGCCCCCTGGTGGCCCACAGGGAAACTACTCATGACTCACCTTCTGGAGCAGCCAGGGAAAACCTACCTGACTAGCCAGCCACCTGCCTTGCTAAGCGGTGCCCACCTCACAAACATGGGTGCTTTGCCAGAGAAGGACCCCTGGGGTCCATAGCTCATGAAGTCCAAACATATCTATACATTCCCAGCAAGCACCTCTGGCTTCCCACATCGGGGGCCACCTTGATCCAAAGCAGGGCTGGCGAGGGTCTCAACTTGCAGGACCTGCTCAGACATGACCATCATCTGAGGGGCTTTGGTAAGAAACTGATGGCTGGGCGCGGTGGCTCACACCTGTAATCCCAGCACTTTGGGAGGCCAAGGAGGGCGGATCACGAGGTCAAGAGATCGAGACCATCCTGGCTAACATGGTGAAACCCCATCTCTACTAAAAATACAAAAAATTAGCCAGGTGTAGTCCCAGCTACTCAGGAGGCTGAGGCAGGAGAATGGCGTGAACCCGGGAGGCAGAGCTGGCAGTGAGCTGAGACCGCATCACTGCACTCCAGCCTGGGTGACAGAGAGAGACCCCGTCTCAAAAAATAAAAAAATACAAAATAAAGGCTGGGCGCAGTGGCTCACGCCCGTAATCCCAGCACTTTGGGAGGCCGAGGGAGGTGGATCAGGAGGTCAGGAGATCGAGACCATCCTGGCTAACATAGTGAAACCCCGTCTCTACTAAAAATACAAAAAAACTTAGCCAGGCCTGGTGGCGGGCACCTGTAGTCCCAGCTACTTGGGAGGCTGAGGCAGGAGAATGGCGTGAACCCGGGAGGCGGAGCTTGCAGTGAGCCGAGATCGCGCCACTGCACTCCAGCCTGGGCGACTGAGCAAGACTCCATCTCAAAAAAAAAAAAAAAAAAAAGAAAGAAAAAAGAAACTGATGGTGCTGGGGGATGGAGGAGAACTGGCTGGAGCCAGAAACAATGCCCAGGGGACCCAGGGTCAGGGTATGACATGGAGAATAGAGTCAGTAACCGCTTCTATAGTGTTACCTTCATCTACTGTGGCAGCCCTCTATCCTGGGGGTAGATGGAGGCAGCACTAGTAAGTTCTTGGAAACAGGCCTAGAGGGCAGCTAAGTGGCCTGTGTAGCCCCCGTCTGAGCACTGATCATGTCTCAGGTACTTTAAATGTATTACCTCGAATCCTCCTAAAAAACCTTCCAGGTAGGTTTTACTGAGGGGGAACTGAAACTAAGAAAGGTTAAGTAAAGTTGCCCAAAAGCACACAGCAGGCAAGAGGCAGTGCAGTGACCAGGGGCCACTTGCATTAACCTCTTCCAGACTATGCCATACCTCCTGCCCAGCTGCTAAGCACTCACTATGTGCCAGGCACCAAAGGTCCCCTTGGGGTATTACTAATGGTCAGGAGATGGGCAAAAACAAACACGTAAGTTAATTATGACAGGTAGCAGTCAGTAGTAAGCAAAATCAGAGTTGGGATCAGAAAGGGTCCAAGGATGCCAGGGGCGCTATGTTAGAGAGACTGGTCAGGGAAGGCCCTCTGCTAAGGTGGCATTTGAGCAGAGACTTGAAGGAAGGAAGGGAGCAAGGTCTGCATCTGAGGGTTCCAGGCAGAAGGAGCAACAAGGAGAAGCTTCCTGAGGAAGGAGTGTTTCCAGCCTGCTCCAGGAAAGGCACTGAGGAGGCCAGTGAGGCTGGGGGCCAGGGAGTGAGGAAGGGTAGTGGGAATTGAGGGCAGACAGGCAGCGGGCTGGTCCCTAGGGCCATGATAAGAAACTGGATTTGATTCTGAGTGAGAGGGGAGGATACTGGAGGGCTTGAAGCCAATAAATGACAGAGTCAAGCTTATGTTTCGAAAACATTACTCTGTTGGTGGAAAACAAGATTGTGGAGCTGGGGAAAACAGAGGTAGCAAAACCACTCAGGAGGCTACTGAAGTTGGCCTCATGAGAGCTGAGGGTGATCTGGACCAGCGTGGGGAGGTGGACTGCTCAGAAGTGGCCAGGTACGCTCTGTATTTTTAAGGAAGAGCTGACTGGCAGGACTTGCCTATTGGTCGACTGTGGGATTTAAGAGGGAGGAGCCAAGGATAACTCCAAAGGTTTTGGTTTGGGCGACTGGAAGGACAGAGTTCTCATTACTAAGATGGGAAGACTTGTGGGAAGGGTGGGGCAGGAATCTGGAGCTCCATCTTAGACATGCTGAAGTATCTGTGCCACTTCCAAAGGGACATGGGGTATAGGCAGTGGATATGTAAGTCTCGGATTCTGAGGCATTCTAGGTTTAAAATATAAACTTGGGAATCTTTTAGATGGCCTTGAAAGCTCCAACAGTGGATGAGATCCCCAGAGTGAGTGTAGAGAGAGAAGTGATCTGAGAGATCCAGTAGCGAGGGAACCTGAGGTTACCGGAGATGAGGAGGCAGTTGTGTGAGTGAGATCTTTGTGAGGGTGAGGAGGGCCAGGAACCAGGATACAGGAAGAGGGTGGCCTTCAGTAGACACATGCACTGTGACAGGAAGGGAGGCAGAGAATATGAGAGGAGCCTCAGGTAGGGGGATATATTTGGGGATGGGAATATTCAAGAATCAGATATTTACTAAGAGCCTGACACTGCTGGGAGGGCTCTGATGTTTACTAAGTGCCTATCCATGCCATCTGCTATGTGAAATGCTGCACACATGTTATCTAGTTGAATCCTGAGAACAATCTCATTAGGGAAGTACTATCCATGTTTTACAGATAAGGAAACCAAGGCTGAGAGGAAAAGTGCCTTGCTCAATCAGTAAACACCAGGGCCTGAATTCACCCCGCACCTGCACTCCAGATGTTGGAGGATAAGAATGTTGTCGAGGAGATAAGGACTACATATGTGGCAAGTTAGAAAACCATGTAATATGAGTGCTTTCCCGAGGCAACCTAGGAGTGGCACAGACACTGAATTGTCTGAGTTCTCAGAAAGGAAAGAGCACCATGGGTGACAGGGACCCGCTGCAGGGGCCTCGAGCACAGGGACTGCAACCTTCCTCCCGCTGCATTGTATTCCCCCTGCTGCACCTCATCTGCACCTAGCCCCTTCTAATCAGGGGTCCCTGTTTCTCACCTTCCCACCTTCCACCGCAGGGCGAATGCAGACTCCCCACTGTAGGGGACAGCACCATGCGGAATGTTCTTAGTCATTTCCTTCATCAATTTTGCATTCTACTCCATATGTCTGGAGTAGTTGTACTTCTTTTTTGACACAGAGTCTCACTCTGTCACTCAGGCTGAAATGCAGTGGGATGATCTTGGCTCACTGCAACCTCTGCCTCCAGGGTTCAAGCAATTCTCGTGCCTCAGTCTCCCAAGTAGCTGGGATTAGAGGTACCCACCACCATTCCCGGCTAATTTTTGTATTTTTGGTAGAGACGGGGTTTTACCATGTTGGCCAGGCTGCTCTTGAACTCCTGACCTTAAGTGATTCACTCGCCTCAGACTCCCAAAATGCTGGGATTACAGGCATGAGACACTGTGCCCGGCCTGGAGTAGCTGTATTAACATAAAAGTAGGTGAAATTATTTATAATTAAATAAAATGAAGTCTCCAGGAAGATGTGCCACATGTGGCTTATGGCTGCTTTCAGGTACCCCTGATACATCTACTATACCACCTCACTCAGTTTGAACAGCACTTCAGAAATACTAAAAAGCATATATATATATATATATATATATATATATATATATATATATATATTTTTTTTTTTTTTTTTTTTTTTTTTTTGAGAAAGGGTCTTGCTCTGTTGCCCAAGCTGGAGCACAGTGGTGCAATCATGGCTCACTGCAGCCTCAAACTCCCAGGTTCAAGCCATCTTCCTGCCTTGGTCTCCCAAGTAACTGGGACTATAGGCACGTGTCATACACAGCTAATTAAAAAAAAATTTTTTTTTTTTTTTAGAGAGATAGTCCTGCTATGTTGCCCAGGCTGGTCTCAAACACCTGAGGCCAAATAATCCTCCTGCCTTGGCCTCCTAAAGTATTGGGATTACAGGAGTGAACTGCCACACCCAGCCAGAGAATAGTGTTCTAGACTAAGGGAATGAGCTGAACAAAGGCAAGCAGGAGGGAATTATGTGTGTGCCACAGGCTAGGTGCACAGAGCTGTGAAGTATATACCACAGAGGTTTCCACATAAAATCATAAAAAACTAGCATTTGGCTGGGAGCGGTGGCTCATGCCTGTAATCCCAGCACTTTGGGAGGCCGAGGCGGGTGGATCACCTGAGGTTGGGAGTTCGAGACCAGCCTGACAAACGTGGAGAAACCCTGTCTCTACTAAAAATACAAAATTAGCTGGGCGTGGTGGTGCATGCCTGTAATTCCAGCTACTCAGGAGGCTGAGGCAGGAGAATCACTTGAACCGGGGAGGCGGAGGTTGCAGTGATGCAGTAACCAAGATCGCGCCACTGCACTCCAGCCTGGGTAACAAGAGCGAAGCTCCATCTCAAAAAAAATAAAAATAAATAAAATAAAGGGACAAAGAACTATAAGAGATGTTGCAAAAGAAGTTGGCAAAACTTGCATTTGGTAAGGGAAGAATGGGGAGGAGGTGTCAAATATGACTCAGGTTTTGAGCTTGGGTGGGTGAGAGAATGCTGATGCCATGGGAAGAAAAATGGAAACTGGGAGGGGGAAGACAGGCTCAATTTTATACATGCTTGGTTTGAGATGACGACAGGACACCAAATGGAAACATCTGGTAGGAAATGGAAACAGAGCTCAAGTCCAGCAGAGAGGTCAGGGGAGGGGCAGTATCCAGGGGACAAGGAAATCACCTGCATAGAACTGACCTATGCGCACAGATGAAAGATTCAAGAGAGACAGTCAAAGAGAAGACCAAGCATGGCACCTGGGAAAATTCTCTCTAGAAAATGGTGGAAGAAGATCCAGCAAACCAGAGGGGAAGAGTGCTCAGAGTGGCAGGAGAACCAAGGCAGAGCAGTGTCCCAGAGGTCACCGGTGTGATGCTGCAGAGACATCAAGGAAGACACTGTCAGGAAGCATGGAGGGGACTTGCCCTCAATTCCATTCCTCCATTTCCCACTTCCCGCTATCCTCGTTTTGTAGTTCTCTCGAGTGTCTTTGGCTGTCATGGTAACTACCAGTACCACACCCCTCTATGAAGGCCACACTGATTCATTCTTTATTGACTCAGGTGTGGCAACATTTATCCACCCTCAGACAAACTCACTAGTAGCTTGAAGGTTTAAGGAGCTAATTTACCAAGAAACTAAAGTCAACACAGGAAAGAAGCAAGTTTCTGAACTGGTCTAGAAACAGAAGAAAACTACAACAGTGCCAGCTTGAGGCCAATTTGGGTTACTGCCACCTCTGGGACTCAAGAGATTCTCAAAATGATTCCTGGTTTTCCACGCAGTTTATCCACCTGAGTCTATCCACCTGAGTCCTAAGCTAGAAAACCATAACTTTGTGCTAGTCATGGCAGATGCAAATGATTAGAACCCCAGGCCCTAAGCCCCAAGAGCTCACTGTAGTAGGGAGACAGAAAACAGACGCGCAAGTATACTTCAAACAATGCTGCAAGACAGGCATGGGCCTGGCCTATGACAACCTTCAGCTGAGTATGTAAGGACGAGTAGGGGTGCCCTCCAGGTGAACAAGTGATGGTAGACCATGTGTTGGCATCTGAGATCTGAGTCCTTCTTAAGCCCAACTTTGGTCCTTTGTCTCTTGAAGGAAAAGGCATCTCCTAGGAGCTCCCTCTGGGATGTGAGCCTCCATCCTGACCTCGTGGATGCCCCTTCACCTCACCTAGAGGCGCCAATGGTTCCTATGCCTGCAGGCCCTGCCCTTGACTGCAGGATGTTTTTCACTCTGTGCAGCCTTCCCTGAAGAGAGTTAAGGATTTCCCCTCTGCTTCCCACGGTAACCTGTTTCTGTTTTATTACAGCATGTCACATTGCCACAACAATACGCTTCATTGTTTTCAGTGCTAGAGAATATTTTATCTCTGCTGGTGTATACCTAACACAAGGTTGGCTACATAGTAAGCGCTCAAAGCTGGCTGAGGTTGGTCATAGTGGCTTACCCCTGTAATCCTAGCACTTTGGGAGGCTGAGGAAAGAGGATCACTTGAGCCCAGGAGTTTGAGACCAGCCTGGGCAACAAAGGGGTATCCTGTCTCTACAAAAAACAAAAAAAAACTAAAAATTAGCTCGGTGTGGCACACGCCTGTGGCCCCAGATAGTGGGGCTGAGGCAGGAGGATCACTTGAGCCCATGAAGTTGAAATGCAGTGAGCCATATTCCCACTACAGCACTCCAGCCTGAGCAACACAGCAAGACCCTGTGTAAAAAAAAAAAAAAAAAAAAAAAAAAAGCTGACCAAATCGTCCCACTTCACTCACATCTACTTTTTTTTTTGAAACAAACTCTTGCTCTATCCCCCAGGCTGGAGTGCAGTGGCATAATCTTGGCTCACAGCAACCTCTGCCTCCCAGGTTCAAGGGATTCTCTTGCCTCAGCCTCCCGAGTAGCTGGGATTACAGGCAGGCACCACCATGCCCAGCTAATTTTATATTTTTAGTAGAGACGGGGTATCACCATGTTGACCAGACTGGGCTCGAACTCCTGACCTCAGGTGATCTGCCCACGTCGGCCTCCCAAAGTGCTGGGATTACAGGTGTGAGCCACTGTGCCCAGCCTACTCACACGTACTTTTTGATCCTGTCTAGCCCGTGAGAATCATTTGTGTGAGAGTTGTAAATGCAACTCTTTGGGCTCTAAGTCACTTCTCCATAGGAGTTGTGTGGCCTTGATGGCAGGAGCCATCTTCTCCTAAGGCCTTCTCAGTGAGGAAGGCATCAAAGCTGTCAACTGCAGAAGCAGGCCCTTTTCGTTTCCTGTTTTGAAGCCTGTGCCTCCAGTGGGCTGGCCATGGAGTGCTTAGCTGAGGTCCTCTGAGGTGCAGAGTAGAGACAGTCATCATTGCAGTGAGCCATCCAGCCCACCTCTCCACATGCTCTCGGGAGAATGGCTGGCCAGGATCTGACTATTCTAGTTCTGCAATGCTGGAGTATACACTTGTACAACTCCAAGGACACTAATTTGGCATTATATATCAAAATTATAAATGCACCTATCCTTTTCAGTCTATATCTAGAAATTTATCCTACAGATACGTTGGTATATGTAAAATAACATATGTAAGGTTATTTATTATAAAACTCTTTGTAATAGCAAAGAACATAAATAGCCTAAAAGTCTGTCATCCATAAGAGACTGGGCCAGGTGCGGTGGTTCACACCTGTAATCCCAAATATTTGGGGGGCCAAGGTGGGAGGTTGCTTGAGGCCAAGGGTTCAAGTCCAGCCCAGGTAACATAGCAAAATCTTGTCTCTACAAAAACTGTTAAAAATTAGCCCACTGTGGCGGCTTGCACCTGTGGTTCCAGCTACTCGGGAGGCTGACGTTGGGGAGGACCCCTTGAGCCTGGTAGGTTGAGGCTGTAATGAGGTGTGACTGTACCACTGTACTCCAGCCTAGGTGACAGAGCAAGACTCTGTCTCCAAAAAAAAATAAGGGCCAAGTGCAGTGGCTCATGCCTATAATCCCAGCATGTTGGGAGGCCAAGGCAGGAGGATTGCTTAAGCTCAAGAGAATTTGAGACCAGTCTGGGGCAACAGAGTGAAACACCATCTCTATGTGGAAAAAAAAAAAATTAATTAATTCTCGTTATGTTGCCCAGGATGGTCTTGAACTCCTGGACTCAAGCAATCTTCCTGCCTCAGCCTCCCAAAGTGCTGGGATTACTGGCATGAGCCACCATGCCTGGCCAAGTTCATTCACTTTTGTTGCTGAATAATATTCCATTGTGTATTGGCCGGGCACAGTGGCTCACACCTGTAATCCCAGCACTTTGGGAAGCCAAGGCGGGCAGATCATGAGGTCAGGAGTTCAAGACCAGCCTGACCACCATGGGGAAACCCCGTCTCTACTAAAAATACAAAAAAAATTAACCAGGTGTGGTGACGCGCGCTTGTAATTCCAGCTACTCAGGAGGCTGAGGCAGGAAAATTGCTTGAACCTTTGAGGCAGAGGTTGCAGTGAGCCGAGATCGTGCCACCACACTCTAGCCTGGATGACAGAGCAAGACTCCGTCTCAAAAAAAAAAAAAAAAAAAAAAATCCATTGTGTGAATATACTAAAATGTATTTATCCCATTTATCAGCTGATGAACATTTGGGTTGTTTCCAGTTTTAGACTCTGATGGATGGAGCTGTTATAAACATTCATGTACAAGTCTTTGTGTGGGCAGGTTTTCATTTTTTCTTGGCTATATGCCAAAGAATCATATTGCTACATTATATATCATATATATATATTTGACTTTAGAGTAAACTGCCAGTCTGTTTTCCGAAGTGGTTCTACCATTTTATTTTTTTGAGATGGAGTATTGCTCTGTCACCCAGGCTGGAGTGCAATGGCACAATCAAAGTTTACTGCAGCCTCAAACTTTTGGGCTTAAGCAATCCTCCCACCTCAGCCTCCAGAGTAGCTGGTACTGGAGGTGTGAGCTGCTGTGTCTGGCCATGCTCTATTGTTTTCTTTGCTGTGCAGAAGCTTTTTGTTTGATGTAATCCCATTGGTCTACTTTTGCTTTGGTTGCCTGTGCTTTTGAGGTCCTATCTCAAAAATCCTTGCCTAGGTCAATGTCAGGAAGCATTTCTCCTGTGTTTTCTTCTAGTAGTTTTATAGTTTGAGGTCTTATATTTAAGTCTTTAATCCATTTTGAGTTAATTTTTGTCATTCTTCTGAATGTGGATATCCAGTTTTCCCAGCACCACTTATTGAAGAGACCATCTTTTCCCCAATGTATATTCTTGGCACCTTTACTGAAAATCAGTTGTGTGAATTTATTTCTGGGTTATCTATACTGTTCCACTGGTCTATGTGTATGTTTTTATGACTGTACCATGCTGTTTTGGTTACTATAGCTTTGTAGTATATTTTGAACTCAGGTAGTATGATGCCTCCAGCTTTGTTATTTTTGCTTAGGATTGCTTTGGCTATTTGGGGTCTTTAGTGGTTCCAGATAAAATTTTTGGAATTTTTTTTTTTTTTGAGACAGAGTCTCGCTTTGTCACCCTAGCTGGAGTGCAGTGGGGCGATCTTGGATCACTGCAACCTCTGCCTCCCAGGTTCAAGGGATTCTCCTGCCTCAGCCTCCCGAGTAGCTGGGATTTCAGGCGCGTGCCACCACACCTGGCTAATTTTTGTATTTTTAGTAGAGATGGGGTTTCACCACGTTGGCCAGGCTGGTCTCAAAATTCTTGACCTCAAGCAATCCACCTGCCTTCCTCGGCCTCCCAACGTGCTGGGATCATAGGCGTGAGCCACTGCACCCGGCCAGAATTTTTTTCATAATAGTATCTTTAGAAGAACGAAAGTTTTAAAATGTGTGTGTGTGTGCGTGTGTGTCTGTGTGTGTGATGGAGTTTTGCTCTTGTTGCCTAGGCTGGAGTGCAATGGCGTGATCTTGGCTCACCTGGAACCTCCGCCTCCTGGGTTTAGGCGATTCTCCTACCTCAGCCTCCCACGTAGCTGGGATTACAGGCATGTGCCACCATGCCCAGCTAATTTTTGTATTTTTAGTAGAGACAGGATTTCACCATGTTGGCCAGGCTGGTCTCAAACTCCTGACCTCGCATAATCCACCTGTGTCGGCCTCCCAAAGTGCTAGGATTACAGGCATCAGTCACCACACCCGGCCCAAAGTTTTAAATTTTGATGAAATCCAATTTATCATTTTTTTTGTTACTGCTTTTTATGTCCTAAGAAATGTTTACCTACCCCAAAGTAACAAATATTTTCTATTTTTTTCTAGATATTTCATTGTTTTAGCTTTTACATTTAGGTTTAGGATCTATTTTTAATTTCACTGTTTCATTCCTGATAATTGGGGATTTATATTTTCTCTATTTTCTTAGTCTTACTAGGGACTTAACAATTTCATTTTATTTTATTTTATTTTATTTTATTTTATTTTATTTTTGGAGACAGAGTCTTGCTCTGTTGCCCAGGCTGGAGTGCAGTAGCGCAATCGTGGCTCACTGCAACCTCTGCCTCCTGGGTTCAAGCAATTCTCTGCCTCATCCTTCTGAGTAGCCAGGATTACAGGTGCCCGCCACCATGCCCAGCTAATTTTTGTATTTTTAGTAGAGACAGGGTTTCACCATGTTGGCCAGGCTGGTCTTGAAATCCTGACCTTGTGATCCACCATCCTCGGCCTCCCAAAGTGCTGGGATTACAAGTGTGAGCCACTGCGCCCAGCCTCAATTTTATTAACTTATTTCAAGAAACTAACTTTTGGTGGATATACAGTTCCAGCCCCATTTGCTCAAAGACCTTTTACCCACTTAATTACGTTGGCACTGTCATCAAAAATAATTTGGCCATGGCCAGGTGCAGTGGCTCATGCCTGTAATCCCAGCACTTTGGGAGGCTGAGGAGGGTGGATCACGAGGTCAGGAGATTGAGACCATCCTGGCTAACACCGTGAAACCCTGTCTGTACTAAAAATACAAAAAAAATTAGCCGGACGTGGTGGCGGATGCCTGTAGTCCCAGCTGCTTGGGAGGCTGAGGCAGGAGAATGGCGTGAACCCAGGAGGCGGAGCTTGCAGTGAGCCGAGATTGTGCCACTGCACTCCAGCCTGGGCGACAGAGCAAGACTCCGTCTCAATAAAAAAAAAATAATGATAATAATTTGGCCATGTAAGTGTGGGACTACTGCTAAACTCTCTTTCGCATTGATGTGTTTATCTCAACATCACACTGTCTTGATTTGTGTAGCTTCACAATAAAGCTTGAAATCATATAGAGTTAGTTAGTTTTTAAAAACTGGTGTTTTTTTGTTTCCTTTTGTTTGCAGAGACAGGGTCTCACTATGTCACCCAGGCTGGTCTGTGGTCTGGAACTCCTGGATTCAAGCGATCCTCCTGCCTCAGCCTCCCAAAGTGCTGGGACTATAGTCATATGCCATGGTACCCAGCCTAGTTTTAAGTGTAGAGGTCTTGCTTATCTTTGGCTAAATTTATTCCTAACAAGGTTTTTATTCTATTAAAAGTGGATTTTAAAAAAATTTTCATTTTCCCATTGTTTGTTGCTAGAACATAGAAATAGAAATGGTTTTTGTATATTCACTTTGTATCCTGTTACCTTGGTAAATCCACTTCATTCTAGTGGTTTTTAAAAGATTCTGGCCAGGCACAGTGGTTCACGCCTGTACTCCCAGCAGTTTGGGAGGCCAAGGCAAGTGAATTGCTTGAGCTCAGGAGTTCGAGGCCAACCTAAGAAACATGGCGAAACCCCATCTTTACAAAGAAGTACGAAAAATTAGCCAGGCATGGTGGCACCCACCTGTAGTCCCAGCTACTTCTGAGGCTGGAGTGGGAGAATCACCTGAGCCCCAGAGGTGGAGTGAGCCATGATTGCCACTGCACTCCAGTTTGGGCAAGAGAGTAAGACCCTGTCTCAAAAATAAATAATAAATAAAACATTTTTAAAAGGGGTTATTTCATTCAAGTTGTCAAATTTATTTCCATAAAGTTGTTCACAATAAATACTCCTTTTTATCATCTTAATACATAACAATCTAAACTGATATCTACTCTTTCATTACTAATAATTGGTAATTTTTTTTTTTTGAGACAAGATCTTGCTCTGTTGCCCTGGAGTACAGTGGCATGATCTCGGCTCACTGCAGGCTCCACCTCCCAGGTTCAAGTGATTCTCATGCCTCAGCCTCCCAAGTAGCTGGGATTACAGGTGTGCACCACCACGCCTGGCTAATTTTTTGTACTTTTAGTAGAGAAGGGGTTTCACCATGTTGGTCAGGCTAGTCTTGAATTCCTGGCCTCAAGTAATCCACCGGCCTTGGCCTCCCAAAGTGTTGGGAATACAGGTGTGAGCCACCATGCTCAGCCTGTATTTTTTTTTAATCAGTCTTGATACGGTTTTATCAATTTTATTATTTTTTCAAAGAATCAACTTTTCGCTTTGCTATTTTTCTCTGGTGTGTGTGTGTGTGTGTGTGTGTGTGTGTGTGTGTGTGTGTGTATTTATGTATTTTCTTTTTTTTTTTTTTGACAGGGTGTTATTCTGTCATCCAAGCTGGACTGCAGTGGTGCAATCATGGCTCACTGCAGCCTCTATCTCCCAGGCTCAAGGGTTCCTCCCACCTCAGCCTCCCAAGTAGCTGTGACTACAGGCATGCCCCACCACACTGAGCTAATTTTTTAAATTTACTTTTTGTAGAGATGGGGTCTCACTATGCCAGGCTAGTCTTGAACTCCTGGGCTCAGGCGATCCTCTTGCCTTAGCCTCCCAGAGTGCTGGAATTACAGGCATAAGCCACTGCTCCCAACCTCTGTGTGTTTTCTATTTCATTAACTTCTGCTCATCATTATTTCCTTCCTTTGGACTTAACTTGTTCTTTTTCTAGCTTATTTTATTTTCTTCTTCTTAGGCCGGATGCCATGGCTTACCCTGTAATCCCAGCACTTTGAGAGGCCGAGGCGGGCGGATCACTTGAGGTCAGGAGTTCGAGACCAGCCTGACCAACATGGAGAAACCCCGTCTCTACTAAAAATACAAAATTAGCTGGGTGTGGTGGCACATGCCTGTAATCCCAGCTATTTGGGAGGCTGAGGCAGGAGAATCACTTGAACCCGGGAGGCAGAGTTTGCGGTGAGCCAAGATCGTACCATCGCACACCAGCCTGGGCAACAAGAGTGAAACTCCGTCTCAAAAAATAAAATAAAATAAAATATTTTCTTCTTTTTTTGACAGGGTCTATGTCACCAAGGCTGGTCTCGAACTCCTATGCTCAATCTTTCCACCTCAGCCCCATGAGTAGCTGGGACTACAGGTGCACAGCACTGTGCTGTTTCTTTTCTTTTCTTCTTCTTTTTTTTTTTTTTGCACTATAATCCACATAATATAAAATTCACCATTTTTAAAATTAATTTATTTTTTGAGACAGGGTCTTGCTCTGTCTCCTGAGCTGGAGAGCAGTGGCAGGATTGCGGCTCACTGCAGCCTTGACCTCCCAGGCTCAAGCAATTCTCCAGCCTCAGCCTCCCAAGCAGCTGGGACTACAGGCACGCACCACCACGCCAGGCTAATTTTTGTATTTTTTGTGGAGATGGGATTTTGCTATGTTGCCTAAGCTGGTCTCGAACTCCTGAACTCAAGCCATCTACCCGCCTCGGCTTCCCAAAACGCTGGGACTATAGGCATGAGCCAACATGCCCAGCCTCTAAAATTCACAATTTTAAAGTGTAAAATTCAGTGATTTTTAGTATATTCACTATGTTGTGCAACCATTACCATATCTAATTCTGTAACATCTTCATCAACCCAGAAAGAAACCTGTGCTTAATGGCAGTCAGTTCCAATTCCTCCCTGGCAACCACTAATCTGCTTTCTGTCTATATGGATCTGTCTATTCTAAAATTTTCATTTTTATAATTAATTTTTTACAATTTTTTTTGAGGCAGGGTCTCACTTTGTTGCCCAAGCTGGAGTGTAGTAGTGCTTACTGCAGTCTTGGCCTCCTGGCTCAAGGGTTCTCATGCCTCAAGATTACAGGTGTATGTCACCACGCCTGGCTAATTTTTTATTTTTTGTAGAGAGGATCTCATTATGTTGCCCACGCTGATCTCCTGGGCTCAAGCAATCCTCCCACTTCAATCTCCCAAAGTGCTGGGATTACAGGCATGAGCTACCATACCCAGCCCTGAAAATTTCATATAAATGGAATCATTTTGTGTCTGCTTTTCTTCACTTAGCATAAGGTTTTCAAGGTTTATCCATCTTGTAGCATATAACCACTTCATTCCTTTTCATGGCTGAATAATATTCCATTATAGGGATATACCACATTTTGTTTATTCATTCGTGAATGGACAGTTGGATTGCTTCCACATTTTGGCTAACACTGTTATGAACATTTGTGTACACATTTTTCTATGAACATGTTTTTGATTCTCCTGCGTATATACCAGGGAGTAGAACTGCTGGGTCATATGGTAATTCTATTTAACTTTTGGAGAAACTGCCAAACTTCTTATAGCTTCTTAAGGTAGAAACATAGAATTATTAATTTAAACCTTTCCACTGGGCACGGTGGCTCATGCCTGTAATCCCAGCACTTTGGGAAGCCAAGGTGGGTGGATCACTTGAAGCCAGGAGTTTGGGGCATGAGAATCGCTTGAACCTGGGAGGCAGAGGTTGCAGTGAACCGAGATCCCACCACTGCACTCCAGTGTCCCACTCTGTCCCTCTGACCACTGCCCCCCCAAATTTAAACCTTTCTCTTTTCTCATGTAGGTACTTTAAGTTATCCACTTTCCTTTAAGTACTTCTTTAGCTGCACCACACATATTTTGATATTCTGTGCCTTCATATGCTACAGTTTGAAATATTTTCTCATTTGTGTTTTCTTCTTTGATTCATTAGTTATACAGAAATACTTTTTTTTTTTTTTTGAGACAGAGTTTCACTCTTGTCACCCAGGCTGGAGTGCAATGGCATGTTCTCAGCTCACTGCAACCTCTGCCTCTTGGGTTCAAGTGATTCTCCTGCCTCACCCTCTTGAGTAGCTGGGACTACAGGTATGTGTCAACATGCCTGGCTAATTTTATTTTTTGTAGCGACAGGATCTCGCTATATTGCCCAGGCTGGTCTCAAACTCCTGGCCTCAAGCAATCCTCCCTCCTCGGCCTCCCAAAGTGCTGGGATTACAGGTGTGAGCCACCATACCTGGCCTAAAAATATATTCTTTGGAAATATATTCTTTAATTTCTAAACATTTGGGGACTTTCTAGATATGTTACTATTAATATTATTTGTCTCTAATTTAACTTCATTGTGATCAGATGATCAGAGAGTATTCTGTAAGGTTGTCTGGGGTTTTTTCCCTTTTTTTTTTTTTTTTAAATAGAGACAGGGTCTCACTCTTTAACCAGGCTGGAGTGCAGTGGCACAATCATACTCACTGCAGCGTCCAACTCCTTAGGCTCAATCTTCCCACTTCAGTCTCCCAAGTAGCTGGGACTATAGGCACGTGCTACCATGCTCAGCTAAGTTTTTTACTTTTTATGGAGATGGGGTCTATCTATTTAATATGTTGCCCAGGTTGGTCTTGAATTTCTGGCCTTAAGCAATGATTTTAATCTTTAGAAATATATTGAGACTTATCTTATGGCCCAGATATAATCTAGCTTGGCTAATGTTCTATGTGTGCTTGAAAAAAAATGTAATCCCAGCACTTGGGATGGTGAAGTGGGCGGATCACCTGCAGTTATTTGGTGGAGTTTCTTGAATGTCAACTATATCAAATTGGTTGATGGTATTTTTCAGGTTTTCTATATGCAGCTGCTTTTTTGTCTAGTTGTTCTATTAATTGCCAAAAGAAGGTTTTCTTTTTTTTGAGATGGAGTTTCACTTTTGTCCCCTAGGCTGGAGTACGATGGCATGATCTTGGCTCACTGCAACCTCTGCCTCTGGGGTTCAAGTGATTCTCCTGCCTCGGCCCCCCCGAGTAGCTGGGATTACAGTCGCCTGCCACCACGCCTGGCTAATTTTTCTATTTTTCGTAGACATGGGGTTTCACCATGTTGGCCAGGCTAGTCTAGAACTCCTGACCTCAGGTGATCCACCTGCTCTGGCCTCCCAAAGTGCTGGGATTACAGGCATGAGCCACCGCGCCCAGCCCAAAAGGTTTTCAAATCTCTGACAATTGTGCATTTGTTGGTTACTTATTTATTTATTTATTTAGAGATGGAGTCTCACTCTGTCGCCCAGGCTGGAGTGCAGTGGCACAATCTTGGCTCACTGCAACCTCCACCTCCCAGGTTCAAGCGATTCTCCTGCCTCAGCCTCCCAAGTAGCTGGGATTACAGGCCTGCGCCACCAGGCCTGGCTAATTTTTGCATTTTTAGTACAGATGGGGTTTCACCATGTTGTTCAGGCTGGTCTCAAACTCCTGACCTTGTGATCCGCCCGCCTCAGCCTCCCAAAGTGCTGGGATTACAGGTGTGAGCCACAACACCTGGCCTATTTATTTATTTATTGAGACAAGGTCTGGCTCTATTGCCCAGGCTGGAGTGCAGTGGTGAGATCCTGCCTTATTGCAACCTCCACCTCCCAGGCTCAAGCGATCCCTCAGCCTCCCGAATAGCTAGGACTACAGGCGCCCGCCACCACGCTCAGCTAATTTTTTTTTTTGAGATGAAGTCTCGCTGTATTGCCCAGGCGGAAGTGCAATGATGCGATCTTGGCTCACTGCAACCTCCACCTCCCAGGTTCAAGCAATTCTCCTGCCTCAGCCTCCCGAGTCGCTGGGATTACAGGTGCCCACCACCACGCCTGGCTAATTTCTTTGTATATTTAGTAGAGATGGGGTTTCACCATGTTGGCCAGGCTGGTTTTGAACTCCTGACCTCGAGTAAGCTGCCCGCCTCGGCCTCCCAAAGTGCTGAGATTACAGGCGTGAGCCACCGCACCTGGCCTTTTTTTGTACTTTTACTAGACACAGGGTTTCACCATGTTGGCAAGGGTGGTCTCGAACTCCTGGCCTCAAGTGATCCACTCGCCTCAACCTCCCAAATCGCTGGGATTACAGCCACTGTGCCCAGCTGATTTTTCATATTTTTTTGTAGAGATGGGGTTTTTAAAAATTAATTAATTAATTAATTTTTTGAAACAGAATCTTGCTCTGTGGCCCAGGCTGGAGTGCAGTGGCACGATCTTGGGTCACTGCAACCTCTGCCTTCCGGATTCAAGCGATTCTCTTGCCTCAGCCTCCCAAGTAGCTGGAATTACAGGTGTGCACCACCATGCCTGGCTAATTTTTGTATTTTTAGTAGAGACAGGGTTTCACCATGTTGGCCAGACTGGTCTCAAACTCCTGACCTCAGGTGATCTGCCCACCTCGCCTCCCAAAGTGCTGGGATTACAGGCACAAGCCACCATGCTCAGCTGGAGATGGAGTTTTGAGGGAAGATCCTTTGAGCCTGGGAGCCCAGGAGGCTGAAGTGCAGTGAGCTGAGATCACACCACTACACTCTGGCCTGGGTGAGAATGAAACCTTGTCTCAAAAAAAGAGAAGGGGAGGGGAGGGGAGGGCAGGGGAATCATAAAAGTATATTTACTATTAAGTGGAAGTGGATCGTGATAAAGGTCTTCATCCTCGTCGCTTTCACGTTGAGTAGGCTGAGG
This sequence comes from Homo sapiens, assembly GCF_000001405.40. Lineage (NCBI taxonomy): Eukaryota > Metazoa > Chordata > Mammalia > Primates > Hominidae > Homo > Homo sapiens. The sequence continues at coordinate 67,334,086 of NC_000011.10, read as the reverse complement.
AAGAGGAATGGTTGGTCTTGCTGTCTCAGGGGCAGCAGAGGCAAAAGTGGTGGAAGGGGAGGCAGGAGAGGCAGGCACATTCTGGTGTAACTTTATGGAAATACATTGTAACTTCTGTCTGACATTTTTGCTTTTTCATTTCTCTAAAAATGTTTCTATATAGCAGCAGTCCCAACCTTTTTGGCACCAGGGACTAGTTTTATGGAAGACTTTTTTCCCATAGATGGGGTTAAGGGGGTAGTTTCGGGATGATTCAAGCACTTTGTATTTATTGTGTGCTTTATTTCTATTATTATTACATTGTAATATATAATGAAATAATTAGACAGCTCACCATAATGTGGAATCAGTAGGAGCCCTGAGCTTGTTTTCTTGCAACTAGATGGTCCTTTCTGGGGTGACAGAAGACAGTGACAGATCACCAGGCATTAGATTCTCATAAGGAGCTGGCAACCTAGATCCCTCACACGCACAGTTCACAATGGGGTTCGCTCTCCTGTGATCTGACAAGAGGTGGTGCTTATGTGGGAATGCAAGTGATGGGGAGCAGATGTAGATGCAGATGAAGCTTGTGTTCGCTTGCTCACCCGTTGCTCACCTCCTGCTATATGGCCTGGTTCCGGTGGCCTGGGGGTTGGGGACCCCTGCTATATGGTATTAATCCTTCTTCCACTGTTTGATTGAGTTTCAGTGCCTGCATCACAGAAGGGTCCATGTCATAAAAAATGTCAAAAGTGGTCCTGAATAATCAGAACCCTTCTTCTAGACTAATGTTAATTATTTTCTGCCACTGCTGCTTCTACATCTTCTTCTTCATCTGGCACAGGTTCAGAAGCACTCATCTCTATCGAGTCATCTTCTGTTAATTCGTCTTGGGTGGTGTCTATTAAGCTCTTCAATTTTTCTGAGATCCATATCAAACCCTTCACCCCATCTTTTTTGCCATATCCACAATCTTTTTCATGATTTCCTTGCTTGGCTTTATCATCAATCCTGTGAAATCATGCATAACATCTGGACACAGTATTCTCCAGGAGGAATTTATTGTTTCAGGCTTGATGGTTTTCATGGCTTTTTCCATAACAATGATGGCATCTTCAGTGGTATAATCCTTCCAGACTTTCACGATGTTCTATCAGGGTTCGCTTCCATAGAGTTGACAGTCCTTTCCATAGAGTACCATGTATATGTGTAATGAGCCTTTAAGGTCCTTACGAACCCCTTGATCTAGAGACTGAATTAGAGACGATGTGTTTGGAGACAAGCAGACCACTTTGACACCTTCGGTATTGAACTGATGGGGTTCAATGCCAAGGGCATTGTCCAATAACAAGAGAATTTTAAAAGGCAATCCCAGGCCAGGTGTGGTAGCTCTCGCCTGTAATCCCAGCACTTTGGGAGGCCGAGGCGGGCGGATCACTTGAGGTCAGGGGTCTGAGACCAGCCTGGCCAACATGGTGAAACCCTGTCTCTACTAAAAATACAAAAATTCTCTGGGCATAGTGGTGCGTGCCTGTAATCCCACTTACTTAGAAGGCCAAGGCAGGAGAATTGCTTTAACCCAGGAGGTGGAGGCTGCAGTGAGCTGAGATCATGCTACTGCATTCCAGCCTGGATGACAGAGCAGGACTCCATCTCAAAAAACAACAAAAAAAGGCAATCCCCTTACTGACAAGGTACATCCTGACTTCAGGGACAAAGTATCAATGAAATCAATTCAGAAAAAGGGTTTTCGTTGTCCAGGCTTTCCTGTTGTACAACCAAAAAATTGGCAGCTGGTGTTTTTCTTTTCCCTTCGGCTTGGGGGTTAGCAGATTTATAGATAAGGGCAGCCTTCATCATAAACCTGACTGCATTTGCACAAAACAATAGAGTTAGTCTCTTTTCTTTCCTAAATCCTACTGCTCACTTCTCTTCCTTACTAAGAAAGGTCTTTTGTGGTTTTCTCTTTTCTTCTGCATTAAAAACCTGTTCAGGCAGGTACCTTTTCTCCTCCTCTTTTTTTTTTTTTTTTTTTTTTTTGAGACAAGTTCTCACTCCCATTGCCCAGGCTGGAGTACAGTGGCACAATCACAGCTCACTATAGCCTCAACCTCCTGGACTCAGGTGATCCTCCCACCTCAGCCTCCTGAGTTGCTGGGACTACAGGCATTTGCCAACACAGCTGGTGAATTTTTTGTATTTTTTTTTTTTTTTTTTTTAGTAGAGATAGAGTTTCACCATGTTACTCAGGCTGGTCTTAAACTCCTGAACTCAAGCAATCCACCCACCTCGGCCTCCCAAAGTGCTGGGATTATAGGTGTAGGCCACCGCGCTGGGCCTCAGTTATTTTCTTATTGGCATCTCAGAACTCATCTTTTGTCTCTTGGAAGGTAAAAGGTGCTTTTCCTGTTATCTTGACCTTTTTTTTTTTTCTTTTGAGGCAGAATCTCACTCCCATCACTCAGGCTGGAGTGCGGTGGCACTAACACAGCTCACTGCAGCCTCGACCTCTCGGACTCAGGTGATTCTCCTACCTCAGCCTCCCAAGTAGCTGGAACAATAGGTGCATGCCACCATGCCTGGCTAATTTTTAGGATTTTTAGTAGAAATAGGGTTTTGCCATGTTTCCCAGACTAGTCTCAAACTTCTGGGCTCAAGCAGTCCTCCCATCTTGGCCTCCCAAAGTGCTAGGATTATATGCATGAGTCACCGCACCCAGCCTCTCTTGACATTTTTAAAGCCAAACCTCTTTCTAAAACTACCAAACCATCTTTTGATGGCATTAAGCTCTCTAGCGTTAGATCCTCACCTTCCTTTTGCTTTAAGTTGTCATATAATGACTTCACTTTTTCTCACATCATATTAGAGTCTACATGTACTCCTTTCTTATAGCAACCCTGCACATAAAAGGTGAATTTTCAATATGAGATAAAAAGTTATTTTGCAAAAAGTGCAAGATTTTCACACCTCCTGGTATAGCTTCACCAATTTCCTTTATTTTTTTTTTTTTTTTTTTTTACAATAGTCCTTACACTGACTATTGAAATAGTGGGCAACCATAGGTACAGACCTCAATCTGTGGAACATATCAAGCAATTCAGATTTTTCTTGAAATGTCATAACTTTTCTCTGCTTCCTGGAGTGCTCCCAGCATTAACAGTGGCACTTCATATGGGTCCTATGCTGAAATTCAAGGTCGATGGCATTGCACGAGACAATGAAAACTCCATGAGAACTGCAAGAGATCACCTTTTTACTGCAATAGGCAAGTTACTAGATAGACAAACTGCTCATGCAGAGATGATTAGTGTCACAGCATTTTAAGTGGATACTCGAAACAACTGAACTCAATGCAACAGCAACAGGAGGTGGTTATGAAATTATTACAGTAGTACAGTATGTACTAATTTTATGCAGTTATGATTTAATACGGCATCAAAATTTTTCTTTTTTTTTGAGACAGGGTCTCCCTCTGTCACTCAGGCTGGAGTGCAGTGGCATGATCATGGGTCACTGCAACCTTAACCTGGGCTCAAGCGATTCTCTCACCTCAATCTCCCAAGTAACAGGGACTACAGGTGTGTACCACCATGGCCAGCTAATTTTTTAAACAATTTTTTTGTAGAGACAGGGTCTGGCTATGTTGCCCAGGCTGGAGTGCAGTGGCATGATCACAGCTCACTGTGACCTCAAACTCCTGGGCTCAAGTGATCCTCCTGCCTCACCTTCCTGAGTAGCTAGGACTATACGCACGTGCCTCAAGTGATCCTCCCAGCTTGGCCTCCCAAAGTGCTCTGATTACAGGTCTTGGCCACCTCATCCAGCCAATTTTAACTTCTTATAATAGATTTATCTATATTTCATTGTAGTAAGTGATAAAATAGACCAGTAGCTATACTTGGTGCATTCATGACATACCGAACTTTCTCTTAATTTTTCAATATTTCTAGGCTATGTGGTTTGTTTGTACATTTTTCAAATTGTTGCAAATCTCTAAAAAAAAATTCCAATATATTTATTGAAAAAAACCTGGCTGGGTATGGTGGCTCACGCCTGTAATCCCAGCACTTTGGGAGGCCAAGGCGGGTGGATCACGAGGTCAGGAGTTCAAGACCAGCCTGGCCAAGATGGTGAAACCCCATCTTTACTAAAAATACAAAAAAAATTAGCCAGGTGTGGTGGCAGGTGCCTGTAATCCCAGCTACTGGGGAGGCTGGGGCAGAGAACTGCTTAAACCCGGGAGGCAGAGGTTGCAGTGAGCCAAGGTCATACCACTGCACTCTAGACTGGGCAACAGAGCAAGACTCCGTCAAAAAAAAAAAAAAGAAAAGAAAGAAGGAAAAAGAAAAGAAGGGAAGGGGAGGGGAGGGGAGGGAAGGAACTTGTGTGGATCCAGGCAGTTCAAACCCATGCTGTTCAAGGGTCAACTGTATATTTCTTTTAGGTATTATATAGTTGGATCTTGATTTTTTTTTTTAGACAGAGTCTCACTCTGTCACCCAGGCTGCTGTCTTTTAGTTGGAGTATTAAATTGGAGTGTTTATATTGAAAGTAGTTATTAATATGGTTGGGCATAGGTCTACATTAGTTTGCTGGAGTTGTGCTATGGTCTGAAGGTGTCCTCCAAAATTGATGTGTTGAAAGCGCAGTCCCCAACGCAATAGTGTTAGAAGGTGGGGTCTTTTTTTTTTTTTTTTTTTTTGAGATGGAGTCTTGCTCTGCTGCCCAGGCTGGAATGCAGTGGCACAATCTCAGCTCCTTACAACCTCCATCTCCCAGGTTCAAGCGATTCTCCTGCCTCAGCCTCCTGAGTAGCTGGGATTACAGGTATGTGCCACCAAGCTTGGCTAATTTTTGTATTTTTAGTAGAGACAGGGTTTCACTAAGTTGACCAGGCTGGTCTTGAACTCCTGACCTCAGGTAATCCGCCCGCCTCAGCCTCCCAAAGCGTTAGGATTACAGGTGTGAGCCACCGCACCCAGCCTAGAAGGTGGGGTCTTCTAAGATTTTTTAGATCATGAAGACTCCGCCCTCATGAATGGATTAATATCACTATGAAGAGGGCTTGTGGGAGTGGGTTCACTCTCTCTTGCCCTTCTGCTTTTCTGCCATGTGAAGACACAGAGTTCATTCTCTCTTGTTCTTCTACCTTCTGCCATGTGAGGACGCAATCAGAAGACTTGAACACTTTTGGAACTATGAGAGAATAAATTTCCGTTCTTTATACATTATCCAGTCTCAGATGTTCTGTTACAGCATCACACAACAGACTAAGACAGGTTGCCATAACAAAGAACCACAGATTGGGTAGCTGAAACAACAGAAATTTATTTTCTCACAGTTCTGGGGGCTAGAAGTCTGAGATCAAGGTGTTGAGAGGGCTGATTCCTTTTGGGAGCCATGAGAAAAGGATCTGTTCTAGGTTCTGTTCTCTCCCCTTGGCCTATAGATGGCTGTCTCCACATCATCTTTCCTCTGTATGTGTCTATATCTGAATTTTCTCTTATGAGGACACCAGTCATAGAGGATTAGCATCCACCCTAAGACCTCATTTTAACTTAAAACCTCTGTAGGCCAGGTGCAGTGGCTCATGCCTGTAATCCCAGTACTTTGGGAGGCCGAGGCAGGTGGATTATCTGAAGTCAGGAGTTCGAGACCAGCCTGGCCAACACAGCAAAACTCCGTCTCTACTAAAAATACAAAATATCTCCAGGTGTGGTGGTGTGTGCCTGTAGTCCCAGCTACTTGGGAGGCTGAGGCAGGAGAATCGCTTGAACCTGGGAGCCGGAGGGTGCAGCAAGCCGAGATTGCGCCATTGCACTCCAGCCTGGGTGTTAGAGCAGGACTGCATCCAAAAAAAAAAAAAAAAAAACACCTCTGTAAAGATTCTGTCTATAGGCCGGGTGGCTCATGCCTGTAATCCCAGCACTTTGGGAGGCTGACGGGGGCGGCGGATCATGAGGTCAGGAGTTCGAGACCAGCCTGGCCAACGCAGTGAAACCCCGTCTCTACTAAAAATACAAAAATTAGCCAGGTGTAGTGGCCCGTGCCTGCAGCCCCAGCTACTCAGGAGGCTGAGGCAGGAGAATAGCTTGAACCCGGGAAGCGGAGGTTGCAATGAGCCGAGACCAAACCATTACACTCCAGCCTGGGTGACAGAGTGAGACTCCATCTCAAAAAAAAAAAATATTCTGGCCGGGCGTGGTAGGTCACGCCTCTAATCCCAGTACTTTGGGAGGCCGAGGCGGGCGGATCACGAGGTCAGGAGATCGAGACCATCCTGGCTAACACCGTGAAACCCCGTCTCTACTAAAAAAACAAAAAAATTAGCCGGGCGTGGTGGCGGGCGCCTGTAATCCCAGCTACTCGGGAGGCTGAGGCAGGAGAATGGCATGAACCCGGGAGGTGGAGCTTGCAGTGAGCTGAGATCACGCCACTGCACTCAAGCCTATGCGACAGAGTGAGAATCCGTCTCGGAAAAAAAAAAATTCCATCTGTAAATATTACGTATTATTAGGAGGATTACTTGAGCCCATGAGTTTGAGGCAGTATTATGCTATGGCTGCGCCTATGAATAGCCACTGCACTCCAGCCTGGGCAACACAGCAAGACCCTGTCTCTAAAATTAAATAAATAAATAAATAAAAATTACAAACACAATGAAATAAATAAATTAGGCAAGGATTATTAATGCTAAGGCCAATGGCTGATAGATTGCTGGGGAAAAGCATATTCGCATGGTCTCAACTTACCATCCAAGTTATTTATTTTTACACGTGGAAAAGAGTTCCTTGTCAATAGAGAGATCTAGCAGATACCATCTTAACCAAGTAAATAAACTCAGTATCGGCTGGGTGCAGTGGCTCATGCCTGTAATCCTAGCACTTTGGGAGGCCAAGGCGGGCAGATCACCTGAGGTTAGGGGTTCAAGACCAGCCTAGCCAACATGGCGAAACCGTGTCTCTACTAAAAATACAAAAATTAGCTGGACATGGTGGCGCATGCCTGTAATCCCAGCTACTAGGGAGGCTGAAGCAGGAGAATCGCTTGAACCCAGGAGGCAGAGGTTGCACTGAGCCGAAACCGTGCCACTGCACTCCAGCCTGGGCGACAGAGTGAAACTCCGCCTCAAAAGAAAAATAAAAATAAAAAATAAAATAAACACAGTATTATCAATAATGGGATAAAGCAACATTACATGACTAAAGTAATGCAACAAATAGGAAGAATATGTTATACAATATCCTTAGTATTCTTGTAGTATTATGTAGTATTCTTGCAAAAAGGCTTACCCTGAATCTAATTATAAGGAAATATTCAAAGAGACCCAAATTGAAGGATATCCAACTAGCTTGGATTCTTCAAAAATGTCAATGTCATGAAAAACAAAAAGACAAGAAGACTATTCTAAATTAAGGAAGAATCAAGAGACATGACGACCAAATACAATCAGTGATCCCTCATTCAATCCTGAATCAGATATTTTTTAAAGCTGTAATGGAAAACATAGGGATATTTAGAGAAATGTAATTATGATCTGTAGTCTAGATAATAATACTGCATTTTTATTTCTTGGTCACTTTGTAAAACAGTGTGGCAGTTTCTCACAAAGTTAACAGAATTGCCATATTATCCAGCAATTCCACTCTTAGTATGTACCCTAAAGAAGTGAAAGCAGTGACTCCGATACTAGTAAACCAATGTTTATGGCGGCATATTCACAACAGCCAAAGGCTAAAACATTCCAAACGTCTATCAGCAGATGAATGGGTAAACAAAATGTGGTCTATCCATATAAGAGAATATTATTCAGCCTTAAAAAAAAATTGAAATTCTGAACATGTGCTACAACATGGGTGAACCTTAAAAACATGCTAAGTGAAATAAGCCACACATCAAAGGACAAATAATGTGTGTCTCAACTTATATGAGGTAATTAGAAGAGGCAAATTCACAGACAGAAAGTAGAATTGAGGTTACCGGGGGGAATGGGGAGCTATCATTCAATGGGTACACAGTTTCTGTTTGTGATGATGAAAAAGTTCTGGAAATGGATGGTGGTCACAGTTACACAACATTGTGAATGTACGTAATGCCACAACTATATACTTTAAAACTGCAAAATAGTAAATTTTATGTATATTTTACCACATTTTTATTTTTTGTTGTTTTTTAGAGACGGTGTCTCACTCTGTCATCCAGGCTGGAGTGCAGCGGTGCAATCATGGCTCACTGCAGCCTCTCAAACTCCTGGGCTCAAGCCATCCTATTGTCTCAGCCCCCTGAGTAGTTGGGACTATAGGCAAGCACCAGTATGCCCAGTTAAAAAAAAAATTTTTTTTTGAGATGGAATCTCGCTCTGTTGCCCAGGCTGGAAGGCAGTGGGGTGATCTCGGCTCACTGCAACCTCCGCCTCCCAGGTTCAAGCGATTCTCCTGCCTCAGCCTCCCAAGCGGCTGGGATTACAAGTGCTCGCCACCACGCCAGGCTAATTTTTGTATTTTCAGTAAAGATGGGGTTTCACCATGTTGGCCAGGCTGGTCTCGAACTCCTGACCTCGTGATCCACTTACCTCAGCCTCCCAAAGTACTGGGATTACAAGTGTGAGCCACCGCGCCTGGCGTGCCCAGTTAATTTTTAACTTTTTTTTTTTTTTTTTTTTTTTTTTACAAATAGGGTCTCACTCTGTCGCTGAGGCTGGAGTGCAGTGGCAAGAACATTGCTCACTGTAGCCTCAACCTCCTGGGCTCAAGTGCTCTTCCTGCCTTGGCCTCCCAAAGTGCTGGGATTATAGGCATGAGCTACCACACCTGGCCTAATAATCACATTATCTTTTTTTTTTTCCTTCTTCTTCATTTTTTTCTTTTTTTTTTGAGACAGGGTCTCACTTTGTCACCGAGGCTAATTTTTAAATATTTTTGTAGAGATGGGAATCTCACTATGTTGTCCAGGCTAGTCTTGAATCCTGGCCTTAAGCGATCCTCCCACCTTGGCCTCCCAAAGTGCTGGGATTACAGGCATGAGCCACCACACTCAATCCCAGACTTTTTTTTTTTTTTTTTAAGAAAAGACTGGCCAGGCGCAGTGGCTCACGCCTTTAATTCCAGCACTTTGGGAGGCCAGGGCAGGCAAATCACGAGGTCAAGAGATCGAGACCATCCTGGCCAACATGGTGAAACCCCATCTCTACTAAAAGTACAAAAATTAGCTGGGCGAAAATAAATAAATAAATAAATAAATAATTAGCTGGGCGTGGTGGTGCACGCCTGTAGTCCCAGCTACTTGGGAGGCTGAGGCAGGAGAATCGCTTGAACCTGGCAGGCGGAGGTTGCAGTGGGCCAAGATCGCACCACTACACTCCAGCCTGGTGACAGAGTGAGACTCAGTCTCAAAAAAAAAGGAAAAGAAAGGATTGTGGTTATGTAGAATGATGTCCTTATTATGAGGAGATACAGACCAAAATATTTAGGGGTAAAGTGTCATAATGCCTGCAACTTATTTTCAGTTGGTCCAGGAAAAAAAGAGAGAAAAGAAAGAAACATGTAAATAATAACTGGCAAATCTAGGTGTAGGTTACATAACTGTTCACTGTACTACTCTTTCAACTTCTCTGCACTGAAATTTTTCAAAATAAAAAGTGCTCAAAAAATATTTTTAAATGGAGAGATGAATGGTGGAAGGAACCTTCCCAGACAGAAAGATAAGCATAAGCAAAGGTGAAGAGGTGGAAAAAGTTTTTCGAGAAACAGTCGGTAGTCTAGTTTGATGAGAGTGAAAGGTACATCGTAGGATGTTCTGGGAGATAAAGCCAGAAAGGTAGGCTGGCATCAGATTCATAAAAGGCCTTCAGCAAAAGAATAGAGAGTCTGAGAATGGCGTGAACCCCGGGGGGCAGAGCCTGCAGTAAGCCGAGATCGCGCCACTGCACTCCAGCCTGGGCGACAGCCAGACTCCGTCTCAAAAAAAAAAAAAAAAAAAAAAAAGAATAGAGAGTCTGGGCTGGGCGCAGTGGTTCATGCCTGTAATCCCAGCACTTTGGGAAGCCAAGGCGGGCAGATCACAAGGTCAGGAGTTTGAGACCAGCCTGGCCAACATGGTGAAACCCTATTTCTACTAAAAGTACAAAAATTAGCCAGGCACAGTGGCACGCGCCTGTAATTCCAGCTACTTGGGAGGCTGAGACAGGAGAATTGCTTGAACCCGGGAGATGGAGGTTGCAGTGAGCTGAGATCACGCCACTGCACTCCAGTGCAGAATAGAGTCTGTACTGCACTTGGCAGGCCATAGAGAGCACACCAAAGGCATTTAACACAGGAGTAACACATGCGAAGGGATGAATACGTCTGTGTAGTTAAGGTGCTCTGGACAGACTAAAGGGCATCACCAGCTGTAAAGTTATCACAGTAGCTGAGGCGTAGGAACAGGGACTTCGGCTGGGTAAAGGAAGTGGGGACAAAAGGCAACTGTTTTGTGAAGGACTATCAGAATCTGATAATTGATTAAATGTGGAAAGTCAGCGTTACCCTGAGATTTACAACTGGGTATAGGAGACTATTGATAATGGAAAAGTCAGCAGGAGGGGCTGGTTTGGAGCTCAAGACTCAGAGGTGAGCTGTAAGAAAAAAGAATGAGTTTAGTTTTATCCTAGGCTTCCTGTCAAATGGATCCTTCACAGTTCCTTGTACTCAAACAAGGGTCTAGCCAGAAACAGAATTCTCCTTCCAAGAACAGCTCCTCCATCAGACCAGCCTCACCTGGCCCCACAACCCAGTCCCAGGGACCATTAGGCCCTTACAGCTACCCTGGGCCCCTGGTGCCTTCAGTTATTCTCCGACAGCATCCCTTCCACCTAGTTCCTTCCTATCTAGCCTCCATGTACTTCCAAGTCTTCTTTCCCTAACGTCTTCTCTTATCTGAGTCCTTTTTCCTTTTGAAGAGGAGAAGAATCAGAGCTATCTGCCCAGAAGCGCAAGTCCTGCAGCATGCAGGCCAAGATGGGCACCCGTAGGAAGCTCAAGTGCAGATAGGCCAGGCAAGCATATGTGCCCCTAGGGTCAACAGCTGCTGCTTGCACTACCTAGAGGGAGGAGAGGAGGGAAAGAGGGAAGAGAGGAATGAACAGGGCTGAGGTGGAGGGTGAGGGTGAAGCTGGAGCAGGATGGTGGGGTAGGCAAGTGAGGACCACCTGTGGATCTTGCTGCATATAGGCCTTGCTATACACAGCCCCACCCACCACAGGGATATTCGGGAGTAGGGACGGGGGATCTCTGCTTATCAGCTCAGGCATCCCATTGACCCCAAAATGATTCCATTGGTTGCCTCCAAACCACATGCTCTAGGCCCCATGGCACTCAGCCTCCCTCCCAATTTCCCATTTCTGTGTTGAAAATAAGAGCTTTGGGTTGGCAGGAGTGAGGACATTCTGAGAAGGCAGAGTTCAGCCTGGCATAGGAACATTTGGGATGATCAGATCTCAGACGGTGGACAGAGCTGCGGGAGGCATCTAGCTGAGCCACCAGGCAGGGTGGAGGGTGTGAAAAAGGTCTCTCGAGGGCCATCAGAGGATGGGAGTCGGTCTGCCAAACCAAGAGAGGAGCTGCACAGCAGTGTGTGCTGCCTGGGGAGACAGGCTGCTGCTGTTCTGGGCAAAGCAGGCCAGCTCCAAGCCTTCTCAGGCCATATGAAGATAAATTAGGTAGGATGCATATAACCAGCTCCCTCTCCCCAGGGGCATCCTCCTTTACCCAAACCTGTCTCCCACCTCCGCCTCCATGGCTCTGGCTTGAGTTATGCCAGCAGGTGGGACCCTGCTTTAGCCTTTAGCCTGAGCCTTTACATTCCCTGCCGCACTCACCTTCCACCTTTACCTCTGTGGCTCACTGAGCTGCTCTGCCAGGGCTGCCAATGAGATGGGGTCGCATAGGGTGTAGCATTACTATCCAGGCCAATCCCATCAGGCAAACTTTTGCTAACTTCCTTCCCCACCCAGTGGGAGAACAGTTTTCCTATTCCTGGTTCTCTAACCCAGATACAGAATCCCCTGAAGTCTCACAGCTACCCAGGGTGCCTATCTGGGAGAGGGTGCACCTGGCAGAGTCAAGGGGAAGAGCACAAGTTCTCAGTGCCCTGAGAACAAGTCAGCATGTACTGAGAGCATGAGAGTGAGAGAGAAACTCAGATCAAACTTGTCCAATGACAGGCAGAAGCTGTGCTGAGATAAGACGCTGAGGAAAATGGGCAGTAAATTCTAGCTGAAATGGGAACAAAGGAGAGTCTTGGTCTAGTTTCAGGTTAACCTAGGACCGTGCTCTCACTAGCAGGCAGATGGCACCCTGTCAGTGATTATGGAGGTGGTGGAAAGATCACTGCTCTCAGTGGCATCATTTAGTTCTTTGACCTACAACCTAAGAAATCAGATCCCTCACGTGGAAAAGTGAAAGTCACAATACAAGACCTTACAGCTGTTGAGGTCAAATGAGATCACATGTAAGTGCCAGTGCTTAGTAAACTGTATAGGACCATAACGCCCTTGAAGTAGGTGGACAGAGGCCTCCATGGCAGGCACTGGGCTGTCATAACCTCTTATCAAGTACCAGGCCTGGAGCTACTCAGGCTTCACATGCACTTAGCTATAAGGAAATCCTGATACACACTGCAGGCCCTTACCTGCAGCCTGTGGAGCGGGAGTGAAGTGGGAAAGGAGGATGAAAAGGAAGAACCATTCTCTGGAGAGGGAGCACGGGCTGCCAGAAGGATGGTGTAAAGGCTCACCTTGAGTTGCGTCTCCAGGAGAAGGAGCATTTGTGGCCCCCAGATGTCCTCCAGCATCCCATATCTAGGGACAAAAAGGACAGCCAGTTGTGCTCTATCCCCTGTCTGGTTGCACCTGCTTAATCTCTCCCCAGCTTCCTTGTTCTAAGGATGACTCCACCTTCTGAGCAACAAAACATTCCACGGGGAATCTAGACCTTGGATGAATTAAACAGGACTTGGGAGGATTTGCCCTGTCCTCAAGCCATTCTCCTTTCAACCTTTTCTACTTTTGCTATCCCAGCTCCTGAGGTCATTCTCCCCTCCACAGGCCATTAGACACCTGTCTCTAAGGGGTCTCCTTCAAGGCTAGCTCCTAGGGCAGGTTCAGCCCTGGACAGAACTGGAGAATGGCAGGGCCCTGGCTGAAGTCAGCTTCCTTCCTGTGCAGCAGCGGCAGGCCTTGGCAATCTGCTGGCATGGTGGACACAGTTTCCCACTCCCAACTGGGTCACAGATGGGAGAGAAATCTCCCTAGGAAGGAGCCATAGAAAAAGAAAAGCCAAGAATGGACACAAGAGTCAAGGGAGTGTCCATCACTGGCCTGAGGACTGCTGCATGGTCCTATGCTTCCGTTTCCTTCCCTCATGGTTCTTCACCTTAGTTCCAGGGAAAGAGGCTCACAAACCCCCTATCCATTGATGAGACCTTGTTCCCTGGGCTCTCAGCTGGTACTGTGCCAAAGATGCCAACAATATGGCCCTTGCCCCATAATCATCTGCCCATTCGCTTCCTTCCCCTAGAAGAATGGCTCTGAGACAGCAGGTGAGTCTAATAAAAGAGCTTCAGGGTAATATAGAGACCACAGCTCCATTCCTCTCTACAGGAAACTCATAGCCCCTATTCATTCACTAATATTTACCATGGCAACCATGTGCCAATCAGGGGAGGAAAACGCTGACCAAAATCTAGTCCCTGCCTCCCAGAAGCTCACCATTTAATCAGGGCTGCAGATAGCTCTTCTTCATGTATCTCAAAGCTATGGAATGGGTGCCCAGAATATCTTTTCCCTACTTCTTGGCATATCCACATTGTTTACATGCTTTAGGAGGTTCAGAAGCTGTCTTCTTGATTCTCTCATTACACAGTGTGACTCGACAGCGATCTCTCCTGCCTCTGAATCTTCAGAGCAGTAACCTGGACCTCTCTATGACACATCACTTTCTACTTGAATTTTATATGTTTTAAATGCATAATTGATCTCCTCTACTAGACTGTATTTCCTGAGGGCAGAGAGTGTCTTATACATCTTCATATCCCTCACAGCACCCTGCACAGTTCCATGTACACAGTAGGTGCTCAAAAAATATTCATGGAAAGCCAAGCGTGGTGGCTCACACCTGTAATCCCACCATTTTGGGAGGCTGAGGTGGGCAGATCACCTGAGGTCAGGAGTTCAAGACCAGCCTGGCCAACATGGTGAAACCTCATCTCTACTAAAAATACAAAAATTAGCCAGGCATGGTGGCGTGTGCCTGTAATCTCAGCTACTTGAGAGGCTGAGGCAGGAGAATCGCTTGAACCCAGGAGGCAGAGGGTGCAGTGAGCCGAGATCACACCACTGCCCTCCAGCCTGAAAGACAAAGTGAGACAAGACTCCGTCTCAAAAAAAAAAAAAAAATTTCACGGAATATAGCTTCCATATAAAGATGTTTGTTGGACGAATGAAGGCTTGTTCGTGAAATTATTGGATGTTCCCAGATTTTTAAAATACTTTTTTCATTAATTTAAAACTCCTTGTTACAATTTTCTCAATTAACACAAAGCTTGAACTCAATGCAAGCAGCATAGAATTCTTACGCATTCTTTATAACCATGAAAGTAACCAGTCTTATGTAAATACATAATTCTATATTCAGCTGTTTTTGCATCATAAGTACTCACATCCTCTATGAATCTTAAGTATCCACCCTACTATGTGGCATTAAGCCTGCATCCTCCCTAAATGCTGTGTGGTAACGCTATAATTCAGCCTACAGCTGAAGGGAGGCAATACACTGGCCTTGAGCATCCAACCTTGGGTGAAAAGACTCAAGTTTCCCCATCAAAATCAGCCTATAAAACCATCCTGCCTAGCCAGGTGTGGTGGCTCACGCCTGTAATCCCAACAATTTGGGAGGCCGAGGCGGGCAGATCTCTTGAGGCCAGGAGTTTGAGACCAGCCTGGCCAACATGGTGAAACCCCATCTCTAACAAAAAATACAAAAATTAGCCGGGAGCGATGGCACACGCCTGTAGTCCCAGCTACTCAGGAGGCTGAGGCACGATAATCGCTTGAACCCAGGAGGAGGAGGTTGCAGTAAGCAGAGATCACGCCACCGCACCCCAGCCTGGGTGACAGTGAGACCCTGTCTCAAAATAAACAAACGAACAAAAAGCAAAAAACCGCCCTGCTTAGGAGAATGAACTTGCCCAGAAATAAAGTGAATTCAAAAATTAAGAAAAGGTCTTATGGTGGCTAGGGACTATTGTAGAAATTATCAGAAACGATAGTTGGGACCTGGGATAGCAGTTCCTCTATGCAGTCCCTGGGCTAAAAACTTACATGCGTCATCTCATTTAATCCTCAAAAACCTGAGGTAGTATTAACATTATCCCCAATCTTGCAAATGAAGAAGCTGAGTCTCAAGAGATGTCCTAACTTTGCCCAAAGTCACAAACCCAAGTTTCTCTGACTCTAGATCCCAAGCTGAGAGTCTTGCTCAGATCATCCCAGGTCCCCTTCTTTCTTCTTGCACTTGGGGTGCAATAAGGGGCAATGGGGCCAGCAGTGTGTAACATACTGCACCGTAGGAAGAGACGTTAGGATCATCGGTCTCAGCCTCCGTATTTTACAGAGGAAGGAACTCGTAGGTCACACAGAGCCAGGGGGCTGCTCTGCAACAGAATCTCAATGGACACTAGAATTCCAGTCCAAGCCCCATTTTACAGAGCGTGGGAACTGAAGCCCACCGGGCCTGGGGGCCTCCCGGGTTCCGAATCCACCAGCGGCTGAGCCAGATCCAGCCCCGGGCGCACTCACTGCCCTGTCTGATTCTACCTCCGCGTTCACCTGCGCCGCGAACCCTCCCCGTGGGCTGCCAGCGCCCGGGAGTACCTGTCGGCCGCGCGCAGGCCCTCGGCTCGGGGTGACAAGACGCTGGCGCGGGCAAGCGGGGCTTCGCGGGCCACAGCCAGATCTCGGCCTCGAGGACCCGGGTCGCCACGCCAGCCCCTTTCCTCAGAACGCCGAGGCCTCAGGAGCGTGTGCGCGCCGGGACGCCCCAGAGAATTTGGAAGCGCTGGTCCCGGAGGCAAGGCCGGCTTGGTCTCCTCTCCTCAATCCCCCGACGCCATCCCCTGGACCTTCTGCAGACCGGGTCCCAGCCCCAGCGCACCTCAGGAAGAAACAACACCTTCGCGCTTAGCTGAGTCAAGCGGCCAGGACTCTAGAAGGGGCGAGGTTCCCATGGCAACGAGGGAAACTCTTTGCGCCTGCGCAGAGGCGCTCGGCACGCTGGGAAATGTGGTTTCCGGGTTGTCCCTGGAGGCTAAGGGAATGGACACAAGGTGGCGCGCGAACGTTGCGGTCGATGTGGCTAAGCCCGGGTCCCCAGCTGCCGGGCGCTGCGGGCGCAGGAGAGGCCGCGAAGGTCTGAAAGGTAGTTTCTCTGAGGCGTCTGGGATGCGGAGTGAAGAGAAGGAGGCACAGTCTCTTCAGCGCGGTTGATTTTGCCGTTTGAAAACTTGGCCTAACAAGCGGCAGCCCTGGCTAGGGCGAGGGCAGTTGCTTCCGAGGCCCCGCCCCAGCCTGGGCTGAGCCGGGAGCGGCCGAGGGAGGGGGCTGTGACGGTGGGAGCTGGTTCCGGAGGGAAGCGCGCGACGGTCGTGCTGCAAGCGTTCCAGGTCCAGGCTGGGCGACCCCTCGCGCTGCTGAGAGGCTCCTATGCCCGGTGGGAGTTGAAGTCGGGCTCCGGGAGCAGCAGTCATCCTGATCCTCCCACCCGCGAGCTCCAAGCACTTCTGGATCCAGGTCCCGCCTTGGGCGGAAATGTGCAGTCAGTTGACTGCCCAGGAGCCACCTTCCCCGCTCCCGCGTTAGTCTCTTGGAATGAGAATCTAGAAACCTAGGATCTGATTCCGGCTCTGTTAGAGATTAGTAGTTACTTCTCTGAGCCTCAGTTTCCTCATTTCTAGAAAACGATGGTATTGGGGCAGGCGCGGTGGCTCACGTCTGTAATCCCAGGACTTTGGGAGACGGAGGGGGTGGATCACCTGAGGTCAGGAGTTAGAGACCAGCCTGGGCAACATGGCGAGACCCCCTCTTCTACTAAAAATATGAAAATTAGCCAGCGTCGTGGCACAAAAAAAAAAAAAGAAAAGATTTTTTTTTTTGGAGATGGAGTCTCTCTCTGTCGCCCAGGCTGGAGTGCAGTGGCACTATCTCGGCTCACTGCAAGCTCCGCCTCCCGGGTTCACGCCATTCTCCCGAGTAGCTGGGACTACAGGCGCCCGCCACCATGCCCGGCTAATTTTTTTGTATTTTTAGTAGAAACGGGGTTTCACCGTGTTAGCCAGGATGGTCTCGATCTCCTGACCTCGTTATCCACCCGCCTTGGCCTCCCGAAGTGCTGGGATTACAGGCGTGAGCCACCCCGCCCGGCCACAAAAGTGCTTTATAAAGCATTACCTGGAATGGGGGCGGGGGGGAGCCCTCAGACAACCTAAATGTTCATCAATAAATGACCACTTAACTGATGGATTCCATAAAATAGAACATGTGTGGTTATTTTTTAAATGAGGCAAATCTTTTATGTACTATTTGGGGGGAAAACTCAAATGGCGTTTTTCCTCTGCTCTCACACCATCACAATTATCAACACGTAAGACTTTGGTGACCAAAGATATTGGGTTGGCCAGGCGCAATGGCTCACGCCTGTAATCCTAGCGTTTTGGGAGGCCGAAACGGGTGGATCACCTGAGGTCAGGAGTTCGAGACCAGCCTCGCCAGCATGGTGAAACCCCCATCTCTACTAAAAATACCAAAAAAAATTAGCCAGGCATGGTGGTGGGCACCTGTAATCCTAGCTACTCGGGAGGCTGCGGCAGGAGAATCGCTTCAACCTGGAAGGTGGTGGTTGCAGTGAGCCAAGATTGCGCCATTGCACTCTAGCCTGGGTGGACAAGAGTGAGAATCCATCTCAAAAAAAAAAAAAAAAGGTGTGGGGTTTTTCTCCCCACACACCAAGCAACAGACCAGCTGGGTGGCCTCCAATTCAATTCCAACTCTGTCTACCGGGAGATAGTGTCGGATCGCACAGGTTGAGGCTCAGCCCCCAAGACTGCATCTCCCTCCCCTCAGATCCCAGTCAAAAGTCCAGGCCTCCAGAACTTCTGCCTGACCAGCTTCAAGTTGGGGTTCCCACGATCCCCTCTTTCGGTTTGATTAATTTGCTGGAGCAGCTCACAGAACTCAAAGAAACACTTACGTTTAGTGGCTTATTATAAAGGATACTACAAAGGATAAAGGTGAAAAGATGTGCACGGGGGAGGGTGCGGAGTGTGCACACCCTCCCTAGGTGCACCACCGGGGAGGAACCTGCACATGGTCAGCTACCCAGAGCTCCAAGAAGCCAGTCCTCTTGGGTTTTTAATGGAAGCTTCATGACATCAGCATTCCTTACACCAGGGTATAGAGTGAGGAGGAGGGTCTCTCTGGGGAGGGTCTTATAACCCACAATCTGAAAGTGAGGGTGAACAGTAGAGCCCTGCCTTGGGGCAAGGGAGAGGAGGGCAGAATGTCAAGAGGTTGTTTCCTGCGGCCTGCTCCTGAGGCCTGACACACTCAACATTAGAACAAAAGACTGAACAAGGGCTATGAGGGTTATGAGCCAGGAGCCTGGATGAAAACCAATGTATATATAACACCACGGTACCGATGTGGAACTCTGATATGAACCAATTTTCAAAGTGTAGAATAGTATGTTAACATGCTATTGTCTGTATTTTTAAAAAATACACATACCAATATATTTGATTACATAAGCATGGGGTACCTGGAGGGCATCAAAGGCAGCTGGTAACAAGTCATTGCCTGAGTAGATGTGAAGGACTAGAGGACAGAGTAGGAGTGAGATTTACTTTTCATTTTATATCCTTCTTATTATTTTTTGCCCCTTTAGCAATTTGGGTGAGCTTTGTGTATACATAGGGTTTTTTTTATTTTTATTTTTTTTTGGAGACGGAGTCTCACTCTGTCACCCAAGCTGGAGTGCAATGGCGCAATCTTGGCTCATTGCGACCTCAGCCTCCCAGGTTCGAGCAATTCTCCTGCCTCAGGCTCCCAAATAGCTGGGATTACAAGTGCACGCCACCACACCCAGCTAATTTTTGTATTTTTAGTAGAGACAGTGTTTTGCCACATTGGCCAGGCTGGTCTCGAACTCCTGACCTCAGGTGATCCAACCACCTTAGCCTCCCAAAGTATTGGAACTACAGGCGTGAGCCACTGCACCCAGCCAATAGGGTTCCTAATTGTTTGTAGTTTTGTTTTGTTTTGTAGAGATGGGGTTTCACCATGTTGCTCAGGCTGGTCTCGAACTCCTGGGCTCAAGCAATCCGCCTGCCTCAGCCTCCCAAAGTGCTGGGATTACAGGCATGAGCCACCACACCCGGCACCCTCTTGTCTGTATTTTTGATGCGGTTTCCCCTCCAGTCTTCATTTCCCTGTTTGCTGACTTCTTACTTCTTAGAATCCTCCTGGATTCTAGTGGATTCTAGTGAGCCCCACAGCTCTGAGTTCCTGATTGGACCTGCCTTCTGAGATGCACAGGCTGCAGGAGGGGCAGGGCCTGGCCTTGGCTTACCCCGACACTCTCACCACCACCCCACCCATCTGCAGCCCTAGGCCAGGAATACTGAAAGGGCAGCCTGGGTAGGACTCCTAGTTGGCCACAGAGTGGGGGGTAGCCCCCAGTGTTTGCTCAGCAGGATGGATCAAGAATCAGAACTAGCTTGCATGTACCCCACATCTTGTGACCCTTAGGCATACCACCCAGATAGGTGCCAAGGATTCCTCTTCTGGAAGGGAGGTAGAGGCTAATCTAGCAATGTCTAGATAGCATGTATTGTTAAAATGTATCAAAGTGTAGCCAGGCGTGGTGGCCCTGTAGTCCCAGCTACTCAGGAGGCTGAGGCAGGATGTCTTGAGCCTGGGAGGCAGAGGTTGCAGTGAGCTGAGATCACCCCACTGTACTCAATAATAAATAAATAATAAATAATATAAAATGCATCAAAGTGAAGAGGGGTACTTGGGGATTTCCAGGTCTAATCCCTTTATTTTACAGAAAGAAACAGAGACTCAAAGCAAAGTAATTCATAAGTGGTGAAGCTGGGGCTAAATCCAAGTCTCCTGCCACTGCGCACTTCAGGGTTAGAGCAGTGCTAGGAGTCCCACCAGGGCCTGGGTGAGAGATTCATTCTTAAAACTGGGCGTGAAGTCTCAGTCACTGAGAATGCTTGGTGCCAGCTCCCATCTCTAAGGACTGCTTTGAGGGAAGGAGTTGAATCCGGCCCCTTCCCCAAACCAGGGTAATGTATCATAGAGCAGAGAGCATACATAATCTTGGGAAGAGGGATAGAAGTGACAAAGATGGGCCAGGCGCAGTGGCTCACGCCTGTAATCCCAACACTTTGAGAGGTCGAGATATGCAGATCGCTTGAGCCCAGGAGTTCGAGACCAGCCTGGGCAACATGGTAAAACCCCGTCTCCACAAAAAATAAAAGATAAAAATTAGCTAGGCATGATGGCACATGTAGGTAGTCCCAACTACTCAGGGGCTGAGGCAGGAGGATCCCTTGAGCCCGGGAGGTTGAGGCTGTAGAAAGCCAAGATCATATCACTGCACTCTATTCTGGGTGACAGAGCAAGACCCTGTCTCAAAAAAAAAAAGGAAGTGACAAAGATACAACCACTTAGCTAGGTGTGCCTGTGGTCCCAGCTACTCAGGAGGCTGAAGTGAGAGGGTCTCTTCAGCCTGGGAATTCAAGGCTGCACTGAGGCATGATCGTGCCGCTGCACTCCAGCCTGGGCAACAGAACCAGACTCTGTCTCAAAAAAAGAAAAAAAAAGATGGAATGACTAACTCTTCTTGGACACTAAAGTTGAGCAGAAGGAACCCCTGGGCAGGAGGGGAAGTGTCACCAAGGGTCCTTCTTCCCAGGCCGCAATAGCCTGGCTTGGAAAGTCAGGCCCTTTGCTTTGTAGCAGGAGGAAGGTGATTCTTGGGACCCAAAACATGCCAGAGAACCTGGCGCCGAGTGTCCCAAGGAGGCTTCGCTTTTGGAACAGGCTTGGTCCTGTCCAGGTAGGCACTTCCTCATGAGTAACCCCTTCCAGCTCTCACAGTGGAGCCACATGCCTGCTGCCCGCTGACGACTTCTTCCCTTGCCCGACCTGTCTGAGCGGGTGGGTGTGAGCAGGTCATATTTACCAGGCCCTGCCCCAGGAGATGGGGAGATAGCACTGACTTCCTCTCTTCTCTTACCCAATCTTCCTCCCACGCCACGCCCAAACACGGCACTCCCCCAAATAGGTCTGTCACGAGCCACCTTGGAATTGTGAGGAGACTGCTGGGAGGAAGGGGCGGCCACCTTCCCCAGCCAGCAGAGAAGGGTCTGACTGCAACACAGATGGCTTCATCGTCACATTGAAAATAACCAAATATGAAAATGTGTTTTATTTCTCAGTACAAAGCCAGATACTGTAAGGCTATGAAAAACTGACTAGCCAGAGGCCAGAAAGGACAAAAAGAAGACTATCTCTGGCCTGGTGCCCTGTGATCTGGCGTGGTGTCACAGGAGGTCTGGGGACAGCAGCAAAGACCTGGACCGGTGGAGGTGGATGAGGGAAGCGATCTGCCAGCCCTTCCAGCCTCCCGCGGCTGGGGCCTGAGGATCCTGCCTGCCTTTGGGGGCCACTGGTTGCCTGGCCTGGCTGGTTCCAGGAATGAACTGGGAGAGGACAGGAGGTGCAGGGAGGGGGCGGGGGTGGGAGGCGTGACCCTTTTTGCACGGGAAGCTCTGTTTTCATTCCGTGCCACAGGTGAGTGTGCAGGGCTAGAGTTGAGAATGAAACTAGGGTGCTGTTGCCCCCAAAGGTACCTTCAGTCCCTCTACCACATCCCAGTTAGAAAGTCTTGAGCCCTTGGACAGGCAGACATGGGCCTGGGACTTAAGGCTGTAGGAGGTGAGGCTGTAGTGACAGGGGTGGGAGGTGAGGCCGTAGTGACAGGGGTGGGAGGTGAGGCTGTAGTGACGGGTATGGGGCGGAGCTGAGAGGAATGTGTGCGGCAACAGACGTGAGGGTGTTTCTCCAAGGAGTTGTGGATCCTCTTCAGTGTCAGGGGAGCGTGGGCATGTGTGAGGGCTCAGGCCTCGCCCTCCTCTCCACTGTCATGCACGCTGGCCTGTCTCACCACCTTCCGGAACCTGGGCGTAGAGGAAATGCAGGGCTCTCCCTGCCCCTGCCCCTGCCCCTGCTCCTGCTCCTGGAAGGCCTGGGTCCGGTTGGCCACCACGGCACTGCCCTGGAGGGTAACCACTGACTGGCGGGACTTCAGGGCAGGCTGAGGCCCCCTGTCCACCTGCTGGCCTCCCTTGGTCCTTGCAAGCTGTGGGAAGGGCTGCAGAGGCTCTTCATGTGAAGACTCGTGGGAAGAGAAGACCTGGACAGGTGTGAGGATACGGAAGCCATGGGAGGCCTTTCTGGGGCAGGGGTGCCCAAGCACAGAGCCGGGAAGATCTGGGGCAGGGGTGCCAAGCACAGAGCCAGGAGGAGGCGAGGGCCGGAATGTTTGTGGCACGCACGCCAAAAGCCAAGCTGTCCACAGCCACGCTTCCTCGGGAGGGAGGACAACACCCCAGCCCTGCTGCCCCGCTCCTTGAACCCTACCTGCTTGTAGCTTCCTTCTGGCCCCCAGAAGCCCTCCTCAGCTCCCTGGAGACCCAGGCCTCCCTGCCCTCCTCCCCTCCTATGCTTTCTCTGCCTTTGCGTAGGCAGCCGGCAGGTGAAACCCGTGCCGGCACCAGCCCCTGAGCTGGGCTGGGTGGATGCGTGCGTCCGGTGCTGGGTGAGGACCTCTTGCCTTTAGCAACGCCCACACCCGCCCATCAACCCACCACGCCTCCCTATCCTTCCCCACCCACACCTCCTCCAGGAAGCCTCTCCCAAATGTTCCTGCCCTCAGTGGATGCTCCTTCCTCCAAGTCAGCCATTTGGCCTTGAGTCCCAGACAGGGCCTGGCTCCCAGGCTTAGGCTTGTGCCCGCAGCACTGAGCATCAAGGGTGCTGACTTAGGCAGGACTTGGGCGGCGTGAGTGCGCAGACTCCTCCCCACCCCATCCTTTGAGGTGCTGCTCCTCAGACCAGGGAGGGGCTTCAGAGATTAATTTAGCCTCCCCACCATGGGGTTAGAGATCGCCCCCAGGGCCTGCAGGGGCCTGTGGAGCTCATGGCCTGGGGAGGCAGCCCTGCCCCTGAGACAGCTAGTCCTGTGGTCAGGCTGGAACCTGCCCGCGATCGAGGCTGGGGCTGGCTCACCCAGGAGCCTTGGAAACAGGCACTGCTTCCTGCCCTGCCCCCGTGACCCCTCTCCAGCCTGTGCCTACAGTGCCTCCGCCTGCCCTCACTGGATCTCAGCTGCTCTCAGGGGCCCAGGACGTGGCTGGTCCCCATCTTCAGGGGTATTCATGGGACAGGCTGGAGACGCCGGGTGCTAAGAGATACTGGGCTGACTGTGAAGGAGGCTGGGACCAGGCCCCCTGGGTCCTCCCAGGACACCCTGCATGGGCGGGCCAGACTTAGCCCGGGTACGCCCTGCTCAGGTCTACAGTCAAACGCCCATCCTGGTCTTTCCCCATCTCCCTCCTTATGGCCCCCACCCCTGCAAGCTGAGCTCCCCCAGCCCCAGCCTCACCTCTGGCATGTCACTGGTCTCTGAGGTGCTCTCCAGCTCCAAGGAGGGCTCCAGAAGACTGATGGACCTCATGACCCCTCGGAGGTTTATACGTGGCCGTGGCCCAGGCTCTTCTTTCGGGGCTGCCTGGCTCTCTTCCATGCCTACAACCTTCTCCTCCCCACCACCCTCAGGTTCTGGCGGAAGAGGTGGGAATGGTGTAGAGACTTCAGGGGCTGGGTGCTCCTCTGGGGAGACCCCACCCACTTTCTGCTCCCAGACATGGCTCTGGCGGCTGTGAGGAGGTGGCCCTGAGTCAGCTCTGAGTGACCCAGCAGCCACCCCCAGCAAACCCACCTACTCACCCCCTGCCACTCGCTCCCATCCCATACCTGGCCGTCAGGATGCCCTGGTAGATCTGCAGCTGGCGCAGGAAGCCAGGGTTGGGGCGGGCGATGGGCCGGAGCTCCTGCACGTGGCGCAGGGCCTGCTCCAGGCTGCATTCGTACTGCTTCATGGCATAGGCCAGCACTGTGGCCGCTGAGCGGCTGACGCCCATCTTGCAGTGGACCAGCACGTGGGTGCCCTGTGCTCTGTGGAAGCAGGCCAGGTTCAGCACCCTCCCCTCACCATGAAGGATCCCGCCTCCTGCAGGGGAGGGCAGGTGAAGGGCTCACAACCAACTGAGAGTAGAGAAGGAGGGAAGGACACTGAGGGCTGGAAGGAATGGCACAGCTGATGGCAGAGTGGGCAGGAGGAGGGCACCGGAGGCCGCTTGAAGCCACAGTGGGGCAGGCAGCAAAGCCAGGAGACCGACCTTGCAGCCTCAATGAAGCGGTGCGTCTCCTTCCAGTGCGGCAGCAGCTGGGCCGACTCCTCATCCCAGAGGCGCACATTGTGGTAGGTGAAGCGCTCAGGGTAGAAGTTGTCAATCTCCCGGGCCATGTTCAAGATGTGGGTGACCCTGTCCCAGAGGGCCCAAGGCCAGGCTGATGTGGGCAGAGGTACCAGGCCCACTGGCAATCGGACCTGGCAGCCCCTGGGCCTCGCTTTAGCTCTGAGTTTCAAGTCAGATGGAGGCAGCAGTGACAGTGGGAGGAGAAGTGACCCAGCTGTCACCTGGCTGCGACCTTAGACCAATCATCTTGCCCTGCTGGGCTTGTTTCCCCATCTGGTCCAGACAGCTGGGCCAACTGCAACTCCAGCCCTTCAGTTATTCTCAGAAATGAGTTAGAGAACAGCTTTTGAGCTAAGCTGAGAGTGGGTGGGTCTGCAGCAGTGGGTGGCAGGGGCTACAGCAGGTCCCAGAAGCCCATGGTGGGCAGATGACAGGTACCTGTCAGAGCAGGCAGCCAGGTCCCCACGGGGAGAAGGGCAGTTCCTTCTTCCCTGAGACAGGGCAAGGTGGAGAAAAGGCTTTTTCTCTCTTTCTTTTTTCTTATTTTTTAGAGACAGGGTCTCTCTCTGTTGCCCAGGCTGGAGTGCAGTGGCGTGATCACGGCTCACTGCGGCCTCAATCTCCAGGGCTCAAGCGATCCTCCTGCCTCAGCCTCCCAAGTAGCTGGGCCCACAGGCGCATTCAAGAGGAGCCTTTTTCTGCTTGTCCAAGGCAGTTACAGCAGTATGCGCTGCTGCTTCTCGTCTTGGCGTGGCTGAGGCCCTTTGTTTCTGTCCTTGTTTCACAGTGTGGATGGGGGAGGAGAGTGGGCGGGGGCTGGCCAGCAGGTCTCCTGTCCCCACCTGGGAGCCCACACCAGGGCAACAGCCCCAGGACAGAGTTAGAAGCAGAGCTAGCAGCTGCTGAGGGTGGTCCAGGGGTTTTTGAAGCTGGCTACCACCCAATGCGGGGAGGCCAGGAGAAGGGAAGATGGGGTGGGTGGCCCGAGGGGCTCATAGCCCTACCTGTTCCTCTGCAGCTCCTCCAGGTTTGCTGCGTTCCACTCTGAGCCCTGGGAGAGAGGGAACAGCACATTTCTCCTCTCCTCCAGCCTCTGCTCCTGGCCTGCCGCCCTCACAGCTGCCAGCGGTCCCCATGGCCCAGGCCTGGCTGAAGCTCACCAGGTAGAGGTGGGGGAAGATGCGGGAGGCTCGGTCCCGCTGTGCCACCAGCAGCAGCATCTGGTTGTCGATGAAGTCACGGTACTGCTGGAGGGGGAGCCCCAGGCGCAGCTCCAGAGCCTGGCGGATCTGCAGGCAGAGCCCAGGGCAAGAGAGGCTGGGGCTCTCCTAGTGCCCAACCTGCCACCTTCCCTCTGGGACCTCTGAGGACAGCACCCTATCCCATCTAGATGGATTAGGGCCAAGGCCAAGGCATCCAGGAATGGCTCAGGACTGGAGACAGGCAAGGTGGGGAGGGCTCCCAGGAAAGGCAAGCTTGCAGCCCCTGCTAGAGGGGACTCAGTCCCCGGGCCCCCTGCCCACCTCTTTGGAAGTGACACTCTCCAGGTCACTGACATCCAACACTTTCCACAGCTCAGCACGGATCGCCTGCTCCATCTGCTCCTGTTCTGAGGACCTGGGAGCAGAGCCCCTCAGTCAAGGGGCCCTTTCCCCTCTCCACCATGCCCCCCACTGCATTATCCTGCCTTCCCCTCCACCCAGTCCCTCCCCTCCACACACTGACCCGCCAGGCTCGGCGCTGGGAGGCCGCAGAGACTCCAGGTCGGCCATAGCCGTCCACTCATTGAGGCAGCTCTGTTCGGAGTTCAGTCTCTCCTGGTAGTGGCTGGCCCAGGTGAGGGCACTGCCACCCGGTACAAGGCCGCTGCCTAGAGCTGCCTCACATGCTTGGTGCAATACCTGGAGTGTGGCCCTGAGACAGGAGGAGAGGCTGGGTCACACTGTTCCCTTGCTGCCCTTCCCCAGGCCCTGCAGCCTCCTTCGAAGGAGAGGCTGGCCTGAGTCCAGGCAGTCTCTGTCCTTACCACATGGTCTGGATGGAGATGGGCTTGAAGATCCGGCTTTGCCCACCAGACGTCACGCTGAAGCCCCTGCAGGAGACCAGGCACAGGTGAGGCCAGACTCCAGGCTCTGCGACAGAGAACCCATCCTTTTGCTGGATACGGGAAGCCGAGACCCAGGAGTCAGGTGCCTTGCTCAGGATCACGGTGAATCTGACGTGGAGCTGGGAGCAGGCCCCAGAGTCCCAGCCTAAAGTTCTACTGTACCCTGGTGCCCAGGCCCCGTCACATCCGTCACACTCAGTTATTCCACCCTCCAGCCCCCACCTCCAGTTGCCATTGCTTACCCGTCTCCATCTAAGTACACCTGGGTGTCACTCCAGAGGGGCAAGACCAGGCCCAGGGTGCAGCTGGGGGAGCTGGCAGGGGACAGAGGGAAAGCCATTGTCCCCCCTGTCCCTCACCTCTTTGCCCCTCCTTTCCTCTCCCTGCTCGAACCTGCTGTCAGGGAAATCCACGCCCAGGAGGACCGTCTCATCCTGGCTCAGACCTTCTCCTTCTCGTGTAGAAACTACCAGCAGGTAGCGGAGCCGGGGAGGCCGGGGTGCCTCCAGCTGGGCTGCCTGGGGGGAGATGAGGAACCCAGGGTCACAGTGGCCCCAAGGACCCTGCTCCCCACCTAGACACCCCAGGCCCAGAACAGTGCTGACCCTGCTCCTTCCTCTCCCATCCCCCCTCTTCCCAGATGTAAAATCAGTGGGTAAAGAGGGACTGTGTGGAAAAAAGCGGGGAATGGGACTGACATAGGTTGCACATTTTTTGTTTCTGCTGAGGAAGGAGGTTGTTTTTGTTTTTGTTTTGAGATAGGGTCTCACTCTGTCGCCCAGGCTGGAGTACAGTGGCACCATCACAGCTCACTGTAGCCCCGAACTCCGAGGCTCACATGATCCTCCCACCTTAGCCTCCCAAGTTGCTGGGACATCAGGCCCATGCCACCATGCCCAGATAATTTTTAAGTTTTTTGTTGAGATGAGATCTTCCCTATGTTTCTTGGGCTGGTCTTGAACTCCTGGACTCAGGCAATCCTCCCTTCTCAGCCTCCCAAAGTGCTGGGATTACAGGCGTGAGCCACTGTGCCCAGCAAGAAGGAGGTTTTTTCTTTTTTTTTTTTTGCAATGGAGTCTTGCTCTGTCACCCAGGCTGGAGTGCAGTGGCGCAATCTCAGCTCACTACAAACTCCATCTCCCGGGTTCACGCCATTCTCCTGCCTCAGCCTCCCGAGTAGCTGGGACTACAGGCACCCGCCACCACGCCTGGCTAATTTTTTGTGTTTTTAGTAGACACGGGGTTTCACCGTGTTAGCCAGGATGGTCTCGATCTCCTGACCTCGTGATCTGCCCGCCTCGGCCTCCCAAAGTGCTGGGATTACAGGCATGAGCCACCGCGCCCGGCCAGTTTTTTTTTGTTGTTTTTTTTTTACCCTGTCACTTGCAAATGCTATCATTTCATTTGAGAAATGTTTATCACCAAAGAAATATTAAGGACAAAATCTCACGATAGGGGATGATACTTCTGTTGTAAATTCAGTTTTACCAAAGATTCACTGCATCTTGTTTGCCACGTCTTGCTGAGGACGGCGAGCTGTCTCCACAAGTATTTGAGCATGAGCGCTCCAGCTCCACCTGGACTCCCTTCCTCCGTGGGGCTGGAGTCCTCCTCCCCTCTGCCTGGGTCCCTCTAGCACACCCTCCCCCAGTGTGTGTCCAGCAAGCCTGCCTTGTGCACTGGTCCATTTAGGGACAGCTCACATCATCAGGAAAGTCTTCTACTGGTTGAGGAGAAACATGCCTCTGGAATTCCCACCCCTTGGACCTAATTTGGCCCTATTGGCTCACACAGGACAAACCTCCCCTGTTCTTTCCCTTCCAGAGACCTGCAGCCATGACCTCGCCCTGTCAAAATATCTCTGCCCAGGCCGGGCGCGGTGGCTCACGCCTGTAATCCCAGCACTTAGGGAGGCCGAGGCAGGCGGATCACGAGGTCAGGAGATTGAGACCACCCTGGCTAACACGGTGAAACCGCATCTCTACTAAAAATACAAAAAAAATTAGCCAGGCATAGTGGCGGGTGCCTGTAGTCCCAGCTCCTCGGGAGGCTGAGGCAGGAGAATGGTGTGAACCCGGGAGGTGGAACTTGCAGTGAGCCGAGATCACGCCACTGCACTCCAGCCTGGGCAACAGAGCGAGACTCCATCTCAAAAAAAAAACAAACAAAAAACAAAACATCTCTGCCTGAAACAGCAGGGTCACTGGGATATGGGTAACCCCAACACTCCCCAGGCTGCCCCCTGCCCTCACACCATTGCTCCCCAAGCAGACACATACACAGGGCTCCATTCTGCCCTCAGGCGTGTCTCTTCCCCCCACCCCCCGGAGCTCCACATGGGCCCTCACCAGGCGGATGTCATCCTGCGGCCTCAGCAGCTGTACCATGAGGTGCAGGTGCTGCCTCTGCTCCTCCTGCTTCTGGGGACTCTGGGATCCTTGCCCGAAGTCTGTCTGGTCCCCGTGGAGCTCCTCCTCACTCGGGGCCTTCTCTGTTGGCTCAGAACTGGCCTCTGCTGCATCATCATTGTCCCCTCCATCCTGCAGTCCCAGGACAGCCCCACGGAGCACCGCAAAGCTCTGCCTGGCAGGGCAGTGGGCAACTGTCATGGCTCCTCATTCCCCTTAGGGTAGGGGCTCTCAAAGTCTAGCATGCATCACATTCACCTGCAGCCCTTGTCTACACGGATTCATGGGCCCCCACGCGGTCGATAGGTCTAGAGTGGAGGCCTGAGCATCTGCATTTCTAACCCCTCGGCCCCTTGGCAATATTGCTGAGAACCAGTCTTGGGGGCTTCCAAGCTCTCAGCCCCTCTACTCTAGCTCATCTGTGGGGAGAGGGGGCTGCTCCTTTTCCCCTCCCACCTGTTTAACTCAAGTGCTGCTGGGAACATGGTCGGGGACCCAGGAGTCCTCAGGCCCATCATGCCCTCCTGCCGTTCGGCCCGTGGCCACCACCTGAGCCAAAGCCCAGGGCAGTGGATGAGGAAGCCCCAGCTGACCAGGGGGAGGGTGAAGGCAAAGGCCGCCCTACCGCGAGCCCACCAGCCGGCCCCACCGGGAACGCTGCCCCACAAATTTGGCAGTGGGCTTCGCTGCGCGTCCTCCGGGGAGCTTTCTGTCCCTGCAGCTGGAGCCCAGGACGGCCGTGGCCAGGCCCGGGGCAGACGGAAGTGTCTGCGTGGGGGAGGTGGCGCTCACCTTCGCTGGAGTCGACTCCTTCGCTGGACCGCCTGGTCCTGCGGAGAGAGCAGCCCCAGGGCAGGGTGAGGGCGGGGAGGGCTGTCCCCTCCCCTCTCTCAGGAATTCTAGAGTTGGGGGAGGCCAGAAAAGGCGCCAGATGCCAATCGTCTTCCCACCCCAGTCCACGCCCCACCGGGAGGCCCCGTGGAGCCCCGGCCCAAGGCCAGGTCGGCTGGGTGGGCGCCGAGTGTGGCGGGGGGCGCGCTCAGATCGGGGCCTCCGCAGCCCGGGCGGCGCGCAGGGCTCTGGATTGTGCCCCGGCGCCAGTACCAGAGACCCTCGAGGCCCCCAGCGCCCTCCAGCCCGAGCCCCGGGGCCCCCTCCTCATGTCCCCGTTCGAGAGGAGCCCGCTGGCGGGCAGGACGCGCTCCCAAGCCGGGGCAGCAACTGCGTGGGCGGCACCACGGCCGGACCACACTCACCCAGGGCCCCACGGGCGTGGAGGCGCCGCTGCCCGGGGGCGAACGGCTCACTGTGACCAGGGCCATGGAGCCAGGCCGCGAGCACCTGGGCTGGCACCGGGCACGGCCCCTTCCCTCAACCCCGCGGACAGTCCTGGACCCGCAGGACCAGGAAGGACGGACGGCGCCACCCGGGCCTGGCACCTCCTCGGGGGCGGCCCTTAAAGGGCCAGACACTCGCCCAGCCGGGCCCGCGGAGCTTCTCAGGGCGGCCGGGCCCCGCCCCTCCGGTCTCCGCTGTTCGGCCCGCCCAGCCCCTGGGCACAGGTCAGGGGCGAGGCCGGGGGCGGGCGCAGGTGCGGAGCCCGGAGACCCGGAGGGCAAGAGCTGAAGGCCGGGAGTTTGGTCCCCCTCCCAGGAAGCGCCCGGCCCGGGCCGGCCCAGCGGGAGCACCTGAGCTGTTCTGGGCCTCCAGCGTCCTGTGCCCTGCAGAGGCGGGTCCTAGGGAGGCAGAGCTGAGGTGGGGAGGTGGGGGACAGGTCTAGAGAGGATCAGGCACGGCGCGCCCTCGGCCAAGGGCCCCCACCCCAAACATTTCTCCCTGCTGGTCGGCCTTCTCGTTCCCACTCCGCAGGAACCACTGGAAGACAGGCTTCCGGGGAAAACGGCCTGGGGTTTACAAATAACCCAGGAAGCCCATGAGGGGCTCTCAGGTCCACCTCGGAGGCGAGCAGGGCAGGGCTTCCAGCTACGCAGGCGGAAGTGACTTGCGCAAACCCACCCGCAGAGAACAAGCCGCAGTCAGGGCCAGGGCCTGGGCTTGGCTGCAGGGGTCGGCGTCGGGGCTCTTCCCAGCTGGAGGTGAATGGTGCCTGGGGACCCAGGCTTTTCCTCCCCAGCAGGCACGTGGGCCGGTTTCCAGAAGACTAGGCTGGGTGGCAGGACGAACCGGGTCCCCAGCAGGTGGGACAGGGCACAGGGGATCTGACTTTCACAGGACGCCTGCTTGGTAAGGACACGTGACTCTCGCCAGCTCCTTTCAGCCCTGAGGGGCGGAGGGTGGGGGGTGGTCTCCTCATTTTACAACTGAAGAAACTGAGGCTCAGATAGGCTAAGGGGACCATGACCAGGATTCAAGCCCAGGTCTGAGGCCGCCATCCACAGTGCCTCTCCACAGCGCCCCACCTTCAGGGTCCCCACCGCTCCAGCCCAGTGAGCAGAGCAGCCCTGCTGCGACAGTCTCTTTATTTCCATCTCAGTCTCCCCTGCCTGCTCATTCCTGGGGCTCCAGGCCCCAAGCTCAGCAGCAGAGAGTTTATAAATAAATAAATTACAAAAGCGGGCAGGGAGTGGCCTGGCCAGCCCTCCCGGGGCTATGGCTCAGTGCTCAGTGAGTGACAGCTGCAGGATCCGCTGTAAGTCCTCCTCCTCCTGCTGCCCGCGCCGCTCCCGCTCCTCCTGCTCCCGTGAAGACAACTCCAGGGCCAGGCGCAGCTGCTCTTCAAAGCTGGGTGGACCGGGGGCTGGGGGTGTCCTGGGAGGGGATCCTGGGCCCCTGGGCTCTGTGGACAGCTGCAGGCTTTCCTGGAGGGCCCTTCCAGG
Source organism: Homo sapiens (assembly GCF_000001405.40). Lineage (NCBI taxonomy): Eukaryota > Metazoa > Chordata > Mammalia > Primates > Hominidae > Homo > Homo sapiens. The sequence goes on along the minus strand of NC_000011.10, from coordinate 67,302,110 downwards.
CAGGGCAGGGGAGGGAAGAACAGGCCAGTGAGCGCCAAGGCTGGGGCAGAAGCCGAGGGGCTGGGGACCGGCTTTGGAGGACAAAGGCAAAGACAGGGTGGCAAGCAGAGGAGACAAGGCAGGGCCCTGCTTCCCCACCCCTCACACCACCTTTGGTGGCAGATAGCGCTGCTGACAGAGGGTGGCCTTGCAGAGGGCCTGGGGTCCTAGCACCTTCCTGCTATCCCCCTCCCCGCCAAGCCAGGGCTGGGGGGACAGGGACCCAGCCAGCCCCATGAGGGGCTCACCGCTCCAGCTGAAGCTGTTCCTCATAAACCGTGGCCTGGGGAGGAGGGCGGGCACCGGGCCGGGTGTTGGTCAGGGCTTCCCAGACGGTCACCTGCAGCCACCAGAGCCCACAGCTGTCACTTCTGCCGTGTGGCTGCAGAGGCCAGAGCCCACCCCCTGGGCAAGTCCCACCTGCTCCGCCTCAGTGCCCGCTTCAAGCAGGCTCTGCTGGATGGCGAACTGCAGGAGGTCATCGTCCTCGTCCCGGAGGGGCTCGTTGCGCTCCATGCCCAGCACGCTGTACCCGTTGGGCACTTCAAACACGGTGGGGTCCACCTCGCACGGGAAAGGGTTCCCTAGGCAGGTGGCAGAGGGGCCACGCTCAACCCGCGGGGCTTGGTGACCAGAAAGCTGTGCAGGCTCCCTCTTCCTCCCGTTGGGGTACCTGATGCGGCAACAGCAGAGCTGGGGGCCGGCACCCACACGGAGCTCAGGGGCTCATCACAGCCACACAGGTTGCTGAAGGTGATGCGGGCATTGAGCACGTGGAAAAGGGGAATCTCTGTGAGAAGACAGCCACGCCTGAGCCCTGGCGGAGAGCCACCTGTGCCTCCGGCCCCTGCAGCTCTCCAGGGACTGCGCTGAGGGAGGGTGCCATGCCTGAGGTCCTCCCGCTGCCTGTGCCCAGCCTCTCACCAATTTTGACGGGGAAGCCAGGTGGAAGGCGCAGAGTGATGAAGTCGCGCAGCTTGGCAAAGTGAGCGTTGCTGATGGCCATTAGGTCGATGATGGGGGTCACCTGGTCACCCAGGGAGAGCGGGTGCTCTTCACTCAGCCACAGTGTTGCCTTGAACCTGCCCAGCCGACCACAGGACATGGGTGAGGCACGGCTGGTGGCCCTTCCATTGAGGACTGCCCTCTGGTTCGTGGGCAGCTGCCTTTACCCACCTTCTGCCTGGCCTGGAGTGCCCTGCTCTGCTCAGATGCCGCTGCCCGCCTCCCCCGGGAGCTGGTGTCCTGGCCACGTGGCCCAAGCTGCCCTCCTCCCTGGGCCCAGGCTGGGGCTCCTGAGGATTTCGTACCAGCTCATCTGGTCTGGACAAGGAGGCCAGGTGCCAGGCTGTGGGCTTCTCTCTGGGCCTGGCCCACAGCCCCGTTTTCCTCCTCAGCCCAGAGCTGGTCACCAGCTCACGTGTTGCCAAACTTTTATGTCCAGCACACCCCAGGGCAAGACTGCCAGGGTTCGAATCCCAGCGACTGTTGGGTGGCTAAGAGAATCCTCCTGAGATGGTGGGGAGAGCGCTAGGCTTGTGCAGGCACTGTGCCTGCTGTTACCGCCTATACCTGCTCAAGGCTCCTCACGAGGCAAGAGCGTAACTGTTCTGTTCCACCAAGGCAGACGCTCCACTCCCAGGCCACGTCGCTGGGGGCCCTTCCCACTGTGCCACGCTGGCCCCAGCAGGTACTCATGAAATTCAATAGAAAACCATACATGGGTGGCACCATCCATTCATCAAAGACAAACTACCGGTTTTCTGTGCCAAGCCCCTTGCTAAGGGCTGAGGACCATGGATAAGGCAGACATGACTCCTGCCCTCCAGGAGTGGAGTCCAGAGAGAAGCCAGCCGAGGGAGTGGGTCCCTAACTATGACAGGCCCAGAGAGGGGTCTGCAAGAGCCCTTGTCCCGAGGCAAGTCCCCAGCCAGCTCTCAGACCTCACCTCTGTACTTTGCTGGACATCTCGATGGGGCGGCCAATGTTCCGTGACTCCAGGCTGAAGTTGGGGTCGAAGTACTCCTCAGGGGAGATGGCTGTGGGGTTGGTGGGGCTGGCTGCCTGCTGCACGGGGGCCTGCGTGGGTCCCAGGGCGGACTCAGCCATCAAGGTGACAGAGGGTGCCCTCCCGCCCAGGCTCGGCCCCCCGCCAGCCCTGTCTCGGCCCAGCCCCGGCTCACCCCGGTGTGGGAGGAATGCTGCTGCGCCATCCCCAGGAAGGACTGGAATGGAGTCTTCCCCGCTACGGAGAAGGGGTGGGAGCTGGTAAGGGGTCACAATGCTCGCATCGCCCCTGCCCACCTCCACCCCTGGAGCCTACTGTCTGGGGGAAGAGGGGTCAGACGGGAATGGGGAGGCCTCCCAGCTCATCCTGGGAAACTCTGGCCCCTAATCCCAGGCCAGGGTGACCCCACCACACGGTGTGACCGGGCAGCAGGCAGGCGCACCTGGGTTTACCTTTGCTCCTCGACTTGTCCTGATCAGAGAGGTGCTCCGTGCGTGTGCGTGTCACCAGCTCCACGTTGGTGGCACTGTACACCTGGGGAGCAGGGGACACGGGGAGCTGGGGGCTCAGAGCCTGCTCCCCACACTCAGCCTCACCAGTGCAGAACCCAGGTCCTCCTGTCCCAGAGACAGATGAGATCTTGCTCCCCAAAATGGAGGAGGTGGCAGGGTCTGAACCCCAGGAAGTCACCAACGAGGAGATGCAGCCCCAGGGTCAAGAGGAACACACTCCTCTTTTGATCTCGGTACCCTGGGTAGGGGCCCATGATGTGGGTGAGCCCTGTGTACTCCGCAGGGGCTGGGCACTCAGGCCCGCTGAGTTCCCACAAATGCTCAGGGTTTCCAGAGCCCAGGGGCTACTCTGGGATGGATGTGGAGAGGAGCTGAGTTCCTGGACCTCATCTCCTACCCCCAGCCCCCCACCCCTAGCCTCTCCTGCCTTGGCCTCGTAGCCGCTAACAGTTTCCATCTTCTCAGACCGCCAGCCCCAGATACCACATTTGTTCCTGAAACAGACCAAACAGGAGCTGGTGAGACCTGCACCCTCACACGCTGGCCAAAGCCTTCCTTTCCAAAGCCCCCTCCAGCCAGCCTGCCCGGGGTGCCCAACTCTCAGGGCCCCTTCTCGCTATGAAACATGGAGGACCCCTGAAGAGGGTGCCTGGACAGGGGGGGACACTTGAGCATGGACTTGGGACTAGAAGACACTGAGGAATTAGCATGAATCTTGTGAGGTATGATAGTGTCGGGGCTGGGTTTAAAAACATCCTTGTCTTTTAGAATTGTGCAGAAGCATTTACTAGAAACATTAGGACATCTGGGATGAGCTTTGACACACTCTAGGAAACATTTTTAAAAAAGGTAAGGAAGGATAGATTCAGTAAGATTGGCAAGATGTTGATAAATGTTGAAGCTGGGTGATGAGTAAGTACATTATCTCTTCTTTCATATATGTTTGAAATTTTCCAAAATAAAAAGCTAAAAGAAAAGTATGTCAGTTGGAGACTCCAGTACCCCACTTTCAATAAGGGATAGAACAACTAGAAGATCAACAAAGAACCAGAAGATAAGAACAACACTACAGCTGGACTTCATAAGCAGGCTAGAACACTCTACCCAATAACAACCACACACACGCTTCTCACGCGCACACGGAACACTCTTCAAGGCCATACACTAGGCCATTAAGAAAACCTCAATAAGTCCGGGCGCGGTGGCTCATGCCTGTAATCCCAGCAGTTTGGGAAGCCAAGGGGGGTGGATCATGAGGTCAGGAGATCGAGACCATCCTGGCAAACATGATGAAACCCCGTCTCTACTAAAAAATACAAAAAATTAGCCGGGCACGGTGGTGGACGCCTGTAGTCCCACCTACTTGGGAGGCTGAGGCAGGAGAATGGCGTGAACATCGGAGGCAGAGCTCGCAGTGAGCAGACAGTACCACTGCACTCCAGCCTGGGCGACAGAGCGAGACTCCGTCTCAAAAAAAAAAAAAAAAAAAAAAAAAGAAAACCTCAATAAAATTGAAAGGATAGAAGTCATACAATGTATGTTTTCCAACCACAATGGAATGAAATTAGAAGTCAATAGCAGAAAAAAAAAACTTTGGAAATTCACAAATATGTAGAAAGTAAACAACACACTCCTAAATAGCCAACGTCTCAAATAATAAATCAAAAGAGAAATCAGAAAATACTCTGAGATAAACAGGAATAAAGACACAACATATCAAAACTTATGGCCGGGCACGGTGGCTCACGCCTGTAATCCCAGCACTTTGGGAGGCCGAGGCAGGCAGATCACAAGGTCAGGAGATGGAGACCATCCTGGCTAACACAGTGAAACCCCATCTCCACTAAAAATACAAAAAATTAGCCGGGCGTGGTGGCAGGCGCCTATAGTCCCAGCTACTCGGGAGGCTGAGCCAGGAGAATGGCGTGAACCCGGGAGGCGGAGCTTGCAGTAAGCCGAGATCGTGCCACTGCACTCCAGCCTGGGCGACAGAGCAAGACTCCCTCTCAGAAAAAAAAAAAAAAACCAAAAAACTTATGAGACACAGGTAAAGGCCAGGCCAGGCCCGGTGGCTCACGCCTGTAATCCCAGCACTTTGGGAGGCTGAGACAGGCAGATTGCTTGAGCACAGGAGTTCGAGACCAGCCTGTGCAACATGGTGAAACCCCATCTCTACTAAAAACAGAAAAAATTAGCTGGCGCCTGTGTTCCCAGCTACTCAGGAGGCTGAGGTGGGAGGATCACTTGAGCCTGGGAGGCGGAGGTTGCAGTGAGCTATCACACCACTGCACTCCAGCCTGGGCGATGGAGTGAGACCCCATGTCAAAAAAAGAAAAGACATGCCTAGAAGTATAAATGTAATATGTGTGAATGCCTATATTAAGAAAGAAGATCTCAAATCAATAACCTTAACCTAACCTTCCATGTTAAGACAATGGAAAAAGAGCAAACTAAACCAGAAAGAACAGAAAGAAATAATAAATATTACAGTAAAGGTTAATGAAATAGAGAATAGAAAAATAATAGAGAAAATTAATGAAACCAAAAACTGGCTCTTCGAAAACATCAACAAAATTGACAAACCTTTAGCTAGGTTGACCACGGTGGGCAAAAAAAGAGAGAGAAGACTTGGCTGGGGGCGGTGGTTCACACCTGTAATGTCAGTGCTTTGGGAGGCCAAGGCAGGAGGATTGTTTGAGGCCAGGAGTTCAAAAGCAGCCTGGATGACATAGTGAGACCACATCTCTACAAAAAAAGAAAATTAGCTGGGCTTGGTGGTGCATGCCTGCAGTCCCAGCTACTTGGGAGGTTGAAGAATCACCTAAGCCCAGGAGTTCAAGGCTGCAGTGAGCTCTTATCATGCCACTGCACTTCAGCCTGGGTGACAGAGTAAGACTCTGTCTCAAAAACAAAACAAAACAAAACAAAACAAAACAAAACAAAAACTTCAAATTACTCACCAGAATCAGAAATGAAAGAGGGGAGCAACAGAAATAAAAAGCATTATAAAAGGATACAATGATAGCTGTACACCAACAAATTTTATAATTTAGATGAAATGGACAAATTCCTAGTGAGACACAAACTACCAAAACTAATTTGAGAATAAATAGATAATCTGAATAGATGGATAACAAGTCAAGAGACTGATTGGTAAATATAACAACAAAAAACTATACACACATACACACACACACACACACACACACACACTCAGGCCCAAATGGCTTCACCACTGAATCCTACCAATCTTTTGAAGACAAATTAATACCAATTATTTGCAAACTATTAAAAAAAATAGACAAAGAGGTGACATTTTCCACTTCAGTTATGAGGCATCACCCAGATACCAAAACCAGACATATATCACAAGAAAACTACAGACCAATATCACTTATGAATATGGACACAAAATCCTCAACAAAATACGAACCAACCAAATCTAGCAACATATGAAAAGAATTATACACCACAACCAAGTGGAACTTATCACAGGAATGCAAGGTTGGTTCAATATCCATAGGTCAATTGATGTATCAATAGAATTTTTTAAAAAATCACATGATCATATCAATAAACACAGAAAAAGCATTTCACAAAATCCAACATCCTTTCATGATAAAAACACTCTAACAATGAGGAATGGAAAGGAATTACCTTAACCTGATGAAGGGTATCTACCAAAAACTCACAACTAATATCATACTTAATGGTAAGACTGAATGTTTTTCCCCTAAGATGAAGAACAAGACAAGAATACAAGGATGTCTGCTCTAACCACTTTTCTTTTCTTTTTTATTTATTTATTTACTGTTTTAGATGGAGTCTTGCTCTGTCACCCAGGCTGGAGTGCAGTGGCACAATCTGGACTCACTGCAACCTCTGCCTCCTGTGTTCAAGCAATTCTTGTGCCTCAGTCTCCCAAGCAGCTGGGACTACAGGTGCCCACCACCATGCCTGGCTAATTTTTTTTTTGTTTTTGTATTTTTAGTAGAGATGATGTTTCACCATGTTGGCCAGCTTAGTCTCAAACTCCTGACCTCAAGTGATCTGGCTGCCTCAGCCTCCCAAAGTTCTGGGATTACAGGCGTGAACCACTATGCCCAGCCTGCTCTAACCACCCCCCTTTTTTTTTGAGATGGAGTCTTGGTCTGTCGCCCAGGCTGGAGTGAAGTGGCGTGATTTTGGCTCACTGCAAGCTCTGCCTCCCGGGTTCACACCATTCTCCTGCCTCAGCCTCCTGAGTAGCTGGGATTACAGGCGCCCGCCACCAAGCCTGGCTAATTGTTTGTATTTTTAGTACAGATGGGGTTTCACCATGTTAGCCAGGATGGTCTCGATCTCCTGACCTCGTGATCCACCCACCTCGGCCTCCCAAAGTGCTGGGATTACAGGCGTGAGCCACCGCATCCAGCCTCTAACAACCTTTAATCAATATTCTACTGGAAGTTCTAGTCAGAGCAATTAAGCAAGAAAAAGAAACAAAAGGCACCTAAATTGGAAAGGAAGAAATACAACTAAATCTATTTACAGATAACATAATCTTATATGTTAAAAAAAATACTGAGGAAAGGAATCCACTAAAAATCTACTTGAATGAATGAGTTTAGCAATGTTGCAGGATACATGGTCAACATACAGAAATCAATTGTAATTTTATACATTTGCAATACACAATCAAAAAATAAAATTAAGAAAAACATTTGATTCATAATTGTATCAAAAAGAATAAAACCCTTAGTGGCCAGGCACGGTGGCTCACACCTGTAATCCCAGCAAGGTCAGGAGTTGGAGACCAGCCTGGTCCGACATGGTGAAATCCTGTCTCTCTAAAAATGCAAAAATTAGCAAGGAGTGGTGGTGGGCACCTGTAATCCCAGCTACTTGGGAGGCTGAGGCAGGAGAACTGCTTGAACCCAGGAGGTGGAGGTTGCAGTGAGCCTAGATTGTGCCACTGCACTCCAGCCTGGGCAATAGAGTGAGACTCCATCTCAAAAAAAAAAACAAAAAAACAAAACAAAACAAAAAACAGAATAAAACACTTAGGAATAAATGTAACAAAAGTGCAAAGCTTACACTCTGAAAACTATAAAATAATGTTGAAATAAATTAAAGAAGATCCAAATAAATGGAAAAACATCCCATGTTCACGGATTAGAAGACTTAACATTGTTAACATGGTACTATTCCCCAAACTGCTTTATAGATTCAGTGCAATTCCTATCAGAATCCCACCTGACTGTAGAAATTGACAAGCTGAATCTAGAATTCATATATTCTGCCTACACTGGGTTGTGAGAAAAAAGAAAATAGAATTCATATAAAATGCGAGGGTCCCAAAATACTGAAATAACCCTGAAAAAGAAAAACAAAGTAGGAAGACTCACACTTTCCAATTTCAAAACTTATTGCAAAGCAACAGTGATTAAGACAGTATAATATTGGCATAAAGACAGACATGTAGACCAATGGAACTAATGTGGGAGTCAGAAAGTAACCAATTTATCTATGGTCAACTGATTTTCGACAAGGGTGACAAGACCATTCAGTGGGAAAAACATAGTCTTTTCAACAAAGGGGGCTAGGACAACTGGATAGTCACATGCAAAAGAACCTTCCACTATACACAAAAATTAACTTAAAATGGCTCAAAGACCTAAGTGTAACAGCTAAAATTATAAAACTCCTATGACTCAATAATCAAAAGATGACCCAATTTTTTAAATGGGTGAAGGGATAGGTGTGGTGGCTCATGCCTGTAATCCCAGCACTGTGGGAGGCCCAGGTAGGCAGGTCGCTTCAGCCTAAGAGTTTAAGACCAGTCTGTAGACTCTATCTCTACAAATAACTAAACAAAACAATTAAATGATATAATAAAATAATTACAAATAATTTAAAAATTAGCTGGGCATGGCAGCATGCACCTGTAGTCCCAGCTACTTAGATCACTTGAGCCTGGGAGGTGGAGGGTGCAATGAGCCATGATCATGTCACTGCACTCCATCCTGGGTGAAAGGCCAGACCCCATCTCAAAATAAATAAGTTAATTAAGTTAAATAAAAAATGAGTAAAGGATCTGAATAGACATTTCTGCAAAGAAGATATACAATTGACCAATAAGCACATGAAAAGATGCTCAACATCATTAGTCATCAAAGAAAGGCAAATCAAAATCACAGTGAGCTATCACTTCTCACCCACTAGGCTGGCTAGATTCCAAAAACAAATGAGTGAATAATGACGTGTTGATGAGGATGTGGAGAAACTGGAACCCTCACATGCTGCTGGTGGGAATGTAAACCAGTACAGCTCGTTTGGTAAACAGTCAATTAAACAATGAGTTATCAGTAACCTAGCAATTCCACTCTTAGGTATATACCCAAGAGAAATGAAAACATATGAAAGAGAAATTAAAACATACGTCTACACAAAAACTTGCACATGAATACTTAGAGTGGCATTATTCATAAGCCAAATAATGCAAATAACCCAAATGTCTATCGATGGGTTAATGAATAAACAAGATATGGTATATTCATACAATGGCCACAAAAAGGAAAGAAATAGTTACGTGCTACAACTTGGATGAACCTTGAATATATTATACTAAGTGAAAGAAGCCAGACACAAAAGGCAACATATTATAAAATTCCATTCATATGAGAACTCAGAGCAGGGAATTCTACAGACACAGAAAGTAGATTAGTGGTTGCTTAGGACTGGGAGAGGGGATAAGAAGTTTGGCGAAGAGTTAGCTAAAGGGTGGGGGGTTTCTTCCTGAGGTGATAAAAATGTTCTAAAATTGACTGTGGTGATGTACAAATCTCTGAATAAATATACTAAAAGTCATTGAACTGTATGCTTTAAATGGGTGATCTTATATGGTATATGAGATTATATCTCAATAAAGGTTTTTTGTTTTTTTTTTTAAGTGTTTCCACTGACTGTTAAGGCAAGAGGGGGCATGTGTTGTCAGAGAAACTCTTGCTGGAAGGGTCAGGTTCCTAGGCTACCCACAAAGGATTCTGCCCCCAACACAGCCGCACCAATGACAAGCCAACATTGGTGCAAAGAGCTGCCGTGAACCACAGCCTAAATCTTTGTCTTAATGGGAAAACATATGAGGTCAGAAGTCAAGAAACTGGGGACATCTTGACCTGACCCCTCCCCACAAAGGTGGCCACAGGAGCCCAACCACCCCGGCAGTCTGAGTGAGACACGGGCTGCAGCAACCCACCTGCCCCTGAGCAGCCCCTTGTGAGTGAGCCCAGAGGCCTGAACCAGGATCTTCAAGGATCGCCCTGCCCTCATTAATGGTGGCTCTTGCTATCCGTCCCCATCCCACCCACGGTGTGCCAGGACCCGACCGACCTCTCAAAGGCCACATTACGAGTGTCCAGGTGGGTGGAGACGATAGGAGAGGTGAGGCGACTGGCCACATGCTCCTCGCTGGGCCGCATGGCGGCCAGCAGTGTTTCGGGCTCCTGCAGAGTGAGCCCCAGTGTCTCCACATGCACCACCTGCCGGTCATGGTCCACTTCCATCACCAGGGCTCCTGCCTCTGCCGGCCGGTAGGGGTGGACAGAGGGGGCGCAAATCAGTGCTGGGCGCCAGCAGTGCAGAGAGGGCGATCATGTACCCTCAGCCACCTGCTGCCAAGTGGGTCAGTCTTGGCCCCTGGATGCCCCTCCATCCCCAACCTCAGCTTCCACATCTGGAAAGTGGAGAGAAAAGGCAGCACCGTCCTCCCAAGCCGCAGGAAACCCAAGGGCCGAGGAGCTGCAATGAGTTTGTCCAGAGCTCACCCTGGCCCTTGAAGATGAAGCTCCTCCGGCCCCGCTGCCAGGTCATGTGCTCGAAGCCCAGGAGACTGGTGTCTACTCGCAGGCTCTCACCCCGCTTCCACACGCGGTACACATCGCTTGGGCACATCTTAGACACAAGGGGCACTGCAGGGTGCACAGGGGTCACTGGGGGTCTTTCCAAAGGCCCCACCCCAAATCCCTGGGAGCCCAGAGGTCCCCACTCACCCCAGCTGGTGAACTCCCACTTCATCTCAACGTAGAAATCGGGGGCCTAAGAGAAACCAGAGCTGCTTGTCAGCGCCCTGCCTGCTGCTGGCTCCAGCAGGCCTGGGAGCCCCTTGTCCACAGCCAGCCCAGCCCTTCATCAGGTCTTTTTTTTTTTTTTTTTTTTTTTTGAGACTTGCTCTGTCACCCAGGCTGGAGTGTAGTGGTGCAATCTCGGCTCACTGCAACCTCTGCCTCCCTGGGCTCAGGTGATTCTTCCACCTCAGCCTCCCGAGTAGCTGGGACCACAGGTGTGTGCCACCACTCCCAGCTAATTTTTGTACTTTTTGTAGAGACGGCTTTCACCATGTTGCCCAGGCTGGTCTCCACCTCCTGGGCTCAAGTGATCCGCCCACTTTGGCCTCAGAAAGCGCTGGGATTACAGGAGTAAGCCACAACGCCTGGCCCTTCATCAAGTCTTGACGCACTGCTATGGCTCAGCTACGCCCAACCACTCTGCCCTGGAGAGGGTGGGCCAAGTGGGGCACTACAGTGGTCTTCAGACAATGAGGCTGTAAGCACCTGGAGGTGGAGGGCCAGCCTCAACCTGGCCATGAGCCTGTGCAGAGCCCTGGGGGAGCCTTTGTTTCCACTGGGTCTCAGAGTCCTACTCTGTAAAGGGGGCACAGTGGCTCCCTCCGAGCCTGCTCCTGGGGTAGGGGGTATGAGATAGTATGCTCTGCCAGCCAGGCCCCTCCGTGTGCTTCCAGAAGGGTGCGTAGTAGCAAGTATTCCAGGGTTTCAGGCCATAATCCACCGAGTCAACCTGAAGTCCCTGCTCCAGGTAATCTGCATTCTTCAGGAGGCCCAAAGCTGGCAAGGCTTCTCTTCCAAAGGGTCCAGTCTCTCCCACGTGAGCCTGGCCGTCTCTCTTTCCTACGTGACCCTGGGCTGGGGTCAAGATAGACAGACCTCCTTGCTGGTGGCAGGAGGCACACTGCACAAACTGGGTGCCTTTCCAAGGCCAGGCCTGGCACAGTAACCAGGGTGGTGCCCTGCCATGGTACCCCACCTCCATAACTGTGCCCTGCTGTACCTGGCGAAGTTTGTTGAGCAGTTCCGGAATGCCCGCCAGCCTCTGCGTGGCCCTCTGGTAGTCCCGATACTGGAGCACCAGCTGCACCATCTCGGGGTCTCCAGTGCTGACTGCCTCCTGCAGGACTGCGGGCACCAGGCTGCTGAGGGGAGCCCTCCAGATGACCCCAGGCCTGGCTGCTCACTGCCCCCCGCCTGCCAGCCTCAGGGGGAGCCCCTTGTCCTCTGCAGTACCTGCCCAGCCCTGGCGGTTCTCTTTGCCCACGTTGGCATTGTGTCGAAGGAGCACTCTCACAGACTCCAGGTTTCCCAGAGACACGGCCAGCTCCAGTGGGGTCCGCCCGCGGGGGTCCTCCTGTTCAATGTCGTGCTGGGGGAGACGGGACACTCACAAAGGGCAGGAGAGAAGAGGGCAAGGCAGGGAGGCTGCCAGGGCGAGCAGGGTTGGGAATCGCTGTGGGAAATAAGGACGGCGGACTGACCAGGGAGATGGCAGAGGGTGGCCTGCGTGTCCTGGCAGGGGAGAGGAGGGGGCAGGAGGGAAGGCAGGGGCAGAGCCGGGGTCTGGCGGCGGGGCCTGGTCAGGCAGAGCTGCAGGTTGTCAGGAGTTTGGCGGAACCTGGGGACCAGGACCAGAGTTCTTGTTCTCAGCTTGGGTCAGCAAGGATGCGGAAGCGAGTTCGGGCGAGCAGGGCAAGGCCCAGCGCAGGGGAGAGGAGGCCAGAGGCTCAGGCGCGAGGGGCCGGTGACCTGGGCTTGGGATCGTGCAGGGGAGGAAGGCCCAGGATGTGGCTGCGGAGCTGAGCGGGCGGGGGGGGGGGGGGGGCTCCAGGACGGAGGCCACAGCCTTGGGTGGGGGACCCGGGGGAAGGGCCGGGTGCCCCAGCGGGGCCTCACCTGGTGGCTGTGCAGTGCGGCCTCCAGTTCGCGATGCCGGTTCGCCCAGACGAGCCGGTGCAGCGGGAAGGTGGGGCCCGGGCCGGCCATGCTGGGCCTCAGCGCCGCATCCCGGCCCCGCCTCGGCTTCGGGCCTGGCACGGCCCCCTAGCCTCCCCTCCGAGCCGCGCCCCAGCTGCGCCCCCCGCGGCCCCCGCAGCAGTAGCGGCGGCGGCGGCGGCGGCGGCAGCGCGGGCGGCAGGGAGGGCGGGGCGGGCGGCGGAGCGGGCGGGGCTGCGCCGGGCCGGGGCGGGGCTTCGCGCGCGCCCCCGTCCCCCCGCAACCATGGCAACCGCGGCCAGGCCAGCGCGCGGCAGAGCAACCGCGAGCGCCCGAGGAGATGCCCGGCCTTGGGTCTGCGCCCCGACCTCGGTCGGGCCCGGGTCCGCTGGGGCGGCCTGGAGGGCGGTGCCCGGTTACAGCTCCGCCCGCGGCCCGCAGGAGGCGCCCCGAGCCCTGCGCAGACCCCCGGAGCCGGGTCCGGAAGAGGAAGGCGGGGCCGGAGGGGGCGGGCACTGGGCCCCTCGGTAGTGCACGCGCGTGCGCGGCGGGCCGCGGTCCTGCTGCAGCCGTGATGCCTGCGTTTCCCCCGCGGATCCCCTTGCTCGCCCCGGTCTTCCTACCCCAGGTCCCGCGGTCACCGACTCTGCTGGGGTGTGCGGGTGAAGTGGGGCGCCCCGGCTCCCCTCACCCGGCCTGGAGACGAGCAACGAGCAGACGCCACTAAGTGCTTGCCGGCTGAGCGGGAAGCACCTTCCCCTGGGACCTGGCCGGTGTCTGCAGGCCCAGCGATGCGGGGAGGCGGCCCCCGGGGCCCTGAAGTCAGGGATAGGAGTTCGGGGAGAGAGGGGCGCAGGCCCAGGCAGCGGCAGAGCCGTCCCGGCGGAGGACCGCCCGCGGCGAACGGCTGCCTTCGCCCGCCGCACGAGTCCCTTTTGCAGAGGCTGCGGTTGGCTGCCAGCGTCAGGAGAGGAAGGCGAGTTTCGAAATCAGGGCCGGCCCCTCCACCCACACCGGAACTAGGGTGCAGGCCTCCGTCAGCTCAGTTCCGGCCCTTGATTACTGGAGGCCCAGCCTGGGGTCTGGGGCCCTGGTTTTGCTAGGTGGCCAAGGCTGACCCTCTATTCTCCCTTTCCCTACGTGGAACATGATTGAGGAGGGCCAGCTAGCTTGAGCATCACTTCCTGCTGTAGGGCGTCCTCAGTTCTGAGACTCTGGGCTGGAAGGCCTGATTGCCATTTTTACCCTGCCTTCTCCCTGTAGTCACATGGCGCCTGTGCCATCTGGGGTCACTTTGCCACCCCACGCTATGGTGTCAATCTGTGAGGTCCTGGGGTTGGTAGCAGCCCGAAGGCTTCTGAATGCCCAGAGCTCACCTGCTCACCACTACTGCAGCCCTCCCTGGCCACCCCTTTTCTCAGAGGCGGTCCCTTCCCTGAGCCCTCTCCAAACTCAACCCCGACAGGACTTTCTTGGTTCCAGCCTCTCCTGATTTCTGCCATCTTGAACACAGCTCCCCACTGGCACTTAATTCCATGACAGTGCCTTCTCAACCCTCTTCCACGGCCTCCTCTCTCTCCCTGACCCCCACATCCCTGGGAGAGAGACTGTCCGTTCCCATTGTCACCCTGATGCCACCCCCAGGTCCACATTTCAGCTTACTCCAGGACATCTCTGTGCCCAGGGATCCCATGCTATCCCATCAGTATGTCCGAAGCCAACCCAACCACACCTACCCTCTTCCCCAGACTCCCGCCTCACTCAGCCCCAAGTCCAGCCTGTTTCTGCTGGACCACGTTCTTCCCGTCTGGCCTCTTTTCATCTCTTCCTCTCCCACTGCGGAGGTTTGTCTCCCTGCCTCCTGTCCTTCACCTCCCTCCCCACATCCTGTACTCAGTAACCAGGCAATCACTTTAGAGCCAGCTCTCACCACTCTCAGCCCTGTTCCGCACCTTCAAGGGCTCCCTGAGCATGGCAGGTCTGGACTCCATGTCGTTTGTATCTTCATTCTGCAGGCCCTGAGCACACACCTGGCTCCGGGATAGGTTAAGCCTGGCATTCAGTGCCTCCAGGCATGGCTCCTTCCTATAGTCCTCCGGCCAGCCTGGGCCACTCATGAGTCCCTGGCTCTTCCCTGCCTCAGAAATGTCCTCCCTCCTTCCCACACCAATGCTGGAGGCCTGGCTCAAAGGCCATTGCCCCTGACTCTTGTATTCAGCCCTGAGTACCCTGCCCAGCTGCCTGCCTCCCTTCTCTGCCTGGCATGCTGTGCTTTGGCCATGGGCCCCAGCCATGCCCAGCAAAGCCCTGTGTGGAGTGGGCAGCAACATGTATCTGTTTAGTCACCCGCGGGGCTAGGGCAGGGACCTGGGGAAAGGGAAGTTGACCAGAAGCCTCTGGGTAGAGGAGAGGCCTAGTGCTGGGGTTCCCCTCAGGCCTCAGGGACCCCTACTAGGGCTGTGCAGTGAGGCCAGAGAGGAGGCTGAAGCCAGAGATGGCCAAGGGCCCAGAGGCTGCGGTGTGACCTAGAGGGAAGAGGTGCCTTGTGACTGTTTCTGGGGAGGGGCCTCAGCTTGGTGCCTGCTGTGCAGGGGTGTTCTGTGGGCCTGAGACGGTCCCAGTCAGCCCAGACACTGTGCCAGGCCTAACACTGTTGGCACCTCCTCCTGCTTACCTGGGAAGTGGCAGAAGCTGCTCTCTCCTCCCCGGGAAAAGGTGAGGAATGGGCACTGGACAGCCACTAGGTGGAGAGGACTGTCAGCTGGGAGGGGTAGGAGGGGAAGTGGGACCCACTGCCTCACCCCACCTGGAAGATGGCCTGGGCCCGAGCAGACCACCTTGGAAGCCATGGCGGTGGAGGAGACCTGGTACCACCGAGACCCTCCCCATCAGGCCCCAGCCCAGCAGAAGCTGAAAAGGGGTCACCAGGTACAAAAAGAGTCTGAGACAGCCGAATCAGGCACCATTTTTTATAAAAACGCATAGTCTCATTTTTCACTCTTTAAAATCACATTCAAAAATCGGCAAAGAAACGCCCCGGGGAATGAGTAGACGGGAGGGGAGGGTGCGCCAACCCAGCCCCGGGGGGGAGAAGGCGCGACACCACACAGGCAGCGCGACTGGCACGAGGGGGCATGCGGTGGGCGAGGCGGCGGCACTGACAGGACGTGGGCTGTGGGGCTGGCCAGCCTGGGCGGGGGTACACTGATGGGCCAGGATGGGGGGCACACTGATAGGCCCCAGCCAGCCTCCTTGCTGTGCTGCCCGCCCACCTGGCCGGCCCCGTCCTGGGCAGATGGGGTCGCACCCAGCCCAGCATCAGCGAGACCTCAGGCCAGGCGAGGCCAGTATGGCCCAACCTGCAGGTGCCTTGCTGTGGTCCCTGAGCCCGGGTGCTGGGGGTTGGGGCAAGAGGGGACAGCAGGGAGGGTAGCAGCACCTGCTGCCAATGCCACTCTCTCAGCCAAGCCCCGCAGTGTCAGGGAAGTGGGAGTGGAGGCAGCCAGTGACACAGAGGCTTTTCCTGAATAAGGGCACAGGAGCCCGAGTCACTGTGGGAGGCCTTGAGGGCCAGGGAGACAACGGGCCCCTCCTCTCGCCAACACTGTGGAGCAGGACAGTGCAGGGCCTGCCCCTCTGCAGCAGGAGGGGGTGCAGTGGGAAAATTCAAGTCGGATCCCTGTGCTGTGCCTGCCCCTGGTGAGGGGGGATGGGCCACCCAGCAGTGCCCATGGGCACAGAGTGCAGCCCACAGAGCCCAGGGTGGCACAGCTTGGTGTGGCATCATCCCTCGGGGAAGGGGCGGGAGGGCTGTGCTCTTCCCCCACAGGAAGACACTGGGAGCGGGCAGCCCCTGAAGTCAGGACAGAGGGCGCCGGGCAGCGGCTGGGTTGGTGCAGCAGGAGCCGAGGCAAGCGGGCCCCTCCCGGGGGAGCTGGGCCAGGCTGGGGCCACGGGAAATCACAATAATTACAAAATAAAACCTTTTCCGCTTGGCGGGAAAACAAATAATAAAAATTCGACAAAATAAATTAGAGGTTTATAAAAGGCGGGTGGGCGGGTCAGAGGCCGTTGGCACTGCCGCGCTGGACCAGCGGCACCTTGCTCAGCTCCACCACGGGCGAGCGCGGCTTGTTCTTCATCTTGGGCACCCGCTGCACCAGCTGCTGGGCCTCGCGGTAGGCGTCGCGCAGCTCCTTCTTCCACTGCACCAGCTCAGGGTCGCTCTGCACATGCCAAGCCCAGCTCTGTCAGCTGGGGCTCTCCCCAGCCTGCCTGGCCTGGCCCCTCGGCCCTCCCATCCCTGGCTCAGCCCCCACTCACATCGCACTGCAAAATGAACTGTTTCCCACCGCGGATCTTGAGGAGCAGGCACTTGCGCTCCTTGATCTGCGTCTCCTCCACCGACTGGATCTCCTCCATGGTCAGCAGGCTCTGCTGCAGGGCCAGGGATGGGTGGTGCAGGTAAGAGCCGGGCCGGCCAGCCACCCGGAAGCCCGGCTCCCGGACCCCCGCACGGGCTCCTTACCGGGGCCTCGCCCTCGCCCCGCCACTCGAGGCGGTTGGGGAACAGGTAGAAGTACCGCCGCTGCCACTGGGTCAGGAAGGGGTTGCCCATCTTGGACATGTAGCCATGCATGATGCAGTCCTTGCCCAGGGCGTAGTCTGAGGCGAGAGACAGAGGAGACTCAGCCGGCCCCACCTGGGTTTCTTTTTTGTTTTGAGACAGGGTCTCCACTCTGTTGCCCAGGCTGGAGGGCTGTGGCACAATCTTGGCTCACTGCAACCTCCACCTCCCAGGTTCAAACGATCCTCCCGCCTCAGCCTCCCGGGTAGCTGGGAGTACAGGCGCGTGCCACCATGCCCGGCTAATTTTTTTGGTATTTTTTGGTAGAGACAGGGTTTCACCATGTTGGCCAGGCTGGTCTCAAACTCCTGACCTCAAGTGATCTGCGCTCCTTGGCCTCCCAAAGTGCTGGGATTACAGGCGTGAGCCACCATGCCCGGCCCCAGCCTGAGTTTGAATCCCAGAGCCGCCACTTTCTGGCTGTGATCCAGGGTGAGTTCCTTAAACCCGAGCCAGCTGCTCACTTCTAAGCAGGCAGGGGCCTGGTGCCGCAGCAGCCGGCGACCCTCACCTTCCTCATGGCCCAGCTGCTTGTTCTTGGCTTTCTTGCGAGCCTCCAGCCGGTCTGTCTCAGCGTTGATGGTGTCGAAGACAGTCTCTGCCACCTCCTGCTGCCACCGCTCCGAGATGGTGAGGGGGAAGTTGCGGTAGAGCTCCTGATCACTGTCCAGTAACTTTACCAGGTGGATGGGGCAGGGGCACATGGGTGGACAGAGATGCCGGAATACCATCAGCCACAGGCTGCCCAGACCCAGGGCCCTGGGTAGGGATGGTCAGTGCAACTGCCACCCCCCAGGGAAGTTGGCCAAGGAGGAACTGAGGCCTACAAGCTGGCAGGGCTGGCACAGGGTCTCACAGGTGATAAGAAGGGAGAGGGATCCTTCCCCAGGCCAGGATCACAGCCTAGGTACAAGAGGCCAGGCAAGGCCCAGTACCTTGATTCCTTTTGTGTCCTCCTCATCGAAGGAGCCAATGTCGAAGGCGTCGGCCGCGTTCACCTCCCCTCGTGGGGGGATCAGCGGGGGAGGGTACTGCAGCAGAACAGGGGTCATGGGCATTAGCTCGGGGGTGGGGCTGCAGAGCACCCCCAGTCCCTGCCGCAGACTGTTACCTTCTGCAAGAAGACCATCTGCCAGTCCAGGGAGCGGAAAAAGGGGCTCTCTTTCACCTCCTGAGCCCTGTGGGGAGAGGCCAGTCATCTGGGCTCAGCCCCACCCTGAGTCCCGGGCTTAACTCCTGATTGAGCCACTTTCTGGCTCTGTGAACTTGGGCAAGTTCCTTAAGCCTGAGCTGTTTCCTCATCTCTCAAATGGGAGAACAGAAGTTCCTACATCGTAGGGTTGTGGGTTTTAACACTGGTAAATTTTGCAACCCTATGCCCAGTGCTTAATAAATGTTTGATAAACATAAAAAGCTGCTATCATCATCATCTGTGACAAGGGCCCCTCTGGAAGCCAGTTACTAGCTGGTTCCAGCAGCTCCAACTCCCAGGGCAGCCCCTCCACTCTGAGAACATTGGACAGGGCTGGCCATGCCCCAACTTATGAGCTCCTCCAAGGAGGCTGGGACCTTGGAGGGGGTTCCAGGTGACGGGACACAGCCCTTGTCCTCATGGGGGCACAGCCAGCAGCATGCCCAAGGCGCCAGGGTACTCACCCTCGGCCCAGGCAGCCCAATCTCCGGTTGACATCCCTCTGCAGCAACCCCTCCAGCAGGGAGCGTAGTTCAGGGGAGAAGGAGTCGGGCAGCTCCACGGCCTTTAGAGAGGAGTGGGACATTAGCAGGGGCTTAGGAAGAGCCCTTGACCCCATCCCAGCTCAGGGGAGAGAGGGGTCCAGGCCCCCGCAGAGGGACAGATGGGGCACAGCATCCTAGCTCGCCCAGCAGTCATGCTCCAACAGCACGGGGAGGGCGAGAGCCTATGGGGCAGGAGGTCTGTCTCAGAGGCCAGAGTAGGGGTCAGTGGCCCAGATCTCTGCTGGCTGGTGGGAAGCAAGAGTCATGGCCTGGCACCCACAGGAGCTCCCCCCAGCCCCCTGCGGCCCTGCACTGAGACCTGCACCCACCATCGTCAGCGTCATGCGGTCGATCTCATGCTTGTCTTTGGTCTTGTGCTGCCGGAAGGGGCTGTGCCTGGGCAAGAAAGGCCAAAAACCAATGTCAAAGGACAGGAATGGGGAAAGGGAGGCAGGCAGCATGGATGAGCTGTGGCCAAAGTCAGGGACGGTGCCAACCCTACCACCAAGGCAGCTATGGGCTCCCCTCCTTTGGCATCCCACCTGGATTGGGGAGGAACTTCTCTTAGCCCCAACCCACCTGCCCACCTGGGATGGGCCACTCACCCCCGCAGCAACTTGAAGAGCATGCACCCCAGAGAGAACCAGTCGGCACTGCTGTCGTAGGCCACGCCCTTCTGCAGGACCTCCGGAGCCATGTACCCGTGGGTGCCCCTGTGGGAGCAAGGGGGCCATAAGCGGGAGTGGCAAGGGGTGGGGAGGGAGAGGGTGGGGGGCACTCACACGCTGGCATGGGGCTTCTTCTTGGAGAAGTCACAGGCCAGGCCCAGGTCCGAGATCCGCACGTGGCCATGCTCGTCCAGAAGGATGTTGGCTGGCTGTGAAGGAAGCCCAGTGAGCTGCCTGGGGCAGCTCAGGATGGGGCCCAGCCAGGCAAGATGCCAGCTGGGTCACTGCTTCACTGGAGAGGACGATGGGTACCCAAAGAAAGGGCAAAGGTGGGGGTCCTCTCTCCTGTCCCCAGCTACAACCTGGACCCAGAGAGTGGCTCGGTGGGAAGGGCAGGGGCGGAGATGGGAAGATACGGGGCGGCCATGTCCCAGGAGCCCCACTCCTCTGGGCCTGGTGGCCGGGATGTCGAGAGGAAGGAGAGGACAGCCACGGAGGTCCAGCCTGGGGACAGCAGGGGCGCTCACCTTCAGGTCCCGGTAGACCACGAAGCGGTTGTGCATGTGCTCCAGGCCCAGGATGATCTCGGCCGCATAGAAGCGCATGTCAGCCTCTGAGAAGACCCCGTGCTGGGAGAGGTGGTAGTGCAGGTCCCCACCTGAGGGAGGCAGTCCCACAGGCAGCACTCAGTGTCTTGCCCCAGCCTCCCGTGCCTGGGCCCGGCCCACCCTAGGGCCCGGCCAGCACTCACCGTTCATGAGGTCCAGGATGAAGCTGAGCTTGTCTGGCGTGTGGAACGCGTATGACATGCAGACAATGAATGGGCAGTCCTAGGAGGGGAGAGGAGGGGAGGGGGCGGGCAGTTAGCAGGGGCGCCCGGGGTTCCAGAGCCTCAGCGGCAGCCCGGCCCACCCAGCTCACCCCAGTGCTGACGAGCGAGAGCATGATGCGCTCGTTCAGGGCCAGGGTCTCCCCCTGCTTCATCTTGATGCGCTTTTTGTCCAGGCACTTCATGGCGTACCTACGGGGCAGAGGTCGGCAGTCAACACCCACCCTCAGAGCAGGGGCCCAGGGCTGCCTCAGGGGGCGCTTGAGGGAAAGACTAGACCCAGGACCAGCGTGTGACACAAATCAGAGACAGGGAGGGCTGGGGCCAGAGGAGCCTGCGGGGGTAACAGCACGGCAAGACAGGAGTGCATGGAGCAGCAGGTGGCCCTGTGTGGAACCCGGCCTGTCAGGGTCCCCCAGGAGCCCGGCTCCCCGAGGTATCCCACCGCGCCGAGCAGGGTGCTCACATCTTGCCTGTGTCAGCCTTCCGGCACCCATAGACCTCGCCAAAGCCCCCGCGCCCAATGATGCGATGCACGCTGAAGTCATTCATGGTCAGCTGAGGGGCAGCGACAGCTGCGGTCACCACAGGCTGCCTCTGCCCAGCCCTGGGGCAGAGGCACCTGGGCAGCAGGGGCTGGCCCCATGCCAGGGTCCCCATACCCATGTCCTGGCCATCCTTGCCACATATTTACCTGCTCCGGCCTCCCCATGCTGGGATCCCGGCCCTGACCCCCATAGCCACGGCCCTGGGGGCTAAAGGACAGACATCCCCTGACCTCCCCCTCCCAGCCAAGCCACAGGCCCAGCTCCCGGGAGAGGAGCAGCAGGGTGCGTGGCTTTCCATGCCCCACCCAAGCCCACTCACGTGGATGTTGAGCTCCACATTCTTCCACTGGCAAAACCGTGTGAACTTATCGCTGGAAAAGAAGAATCAGGGCTCAGGGGCCACTCAGAATGTGGGAAGGATGATGCTGTCGTGAGCCTCCCCACCCAGCCGCCACTCCCTGGGGTCCCGTGAGGGTAGGTGTGGAAACATCACGAGCGTTAATGTCCTCTTCCAGGAAGGATATGTTGAGGGCCTGCCCGCCCACAGCACCAGTCAGGGCTGCTTGGGTGCCCAGCATGGCCCTCGGCCACCTGGCCGTGGCTTCCTGCTGGAATCAGATCCGCACAGAAAGGAGGTCTTCCAGTCTAACCCAGACTTCCTGCTACCATATCCTTGACAAGTACGTCTCCTGTCCCTGCTTGCATACCCCCAGTGACACAGAGCTCACTCCATGGCTGGGCAGCAGTGACCCTAAAACAGCTGCTCCCTAAAGCTGGCTGAAATCTACCTACAATTCCCACCCACCGCGCCAACTCTGGCTGTGAGGGTCACGGGGGCCATGCGCTCTACTGGGCCTACCCCTACCAGGACTCTGATGCTTCTCAGTCCAGGTGGGCCAGCAAGGTGCTATACAGCCCACGGGAGAGAAAGAGGCACAGGTGGCACAGCTCTCCTAGCTCCCTGGAGCTAGGAGACTGCCTGGGATGGGCTTTGAGCTGCCTGGTGCTGAGGAGGGCAGGGTGGGAGATGACCTGCAGCCTGTCTGACTTCTCAGGAGTCCTTGCAAGGGGGCCGCTGACGGGCCAGCCACCTGCCTGCTCAGGGCCTAATGAAGGCTGGCTTCTGCCCTCCACGCCAGCCATACCCCTTCTGAGAGCGGCCCCTCCCTCCCCCTTCCTCTCCCACACTTCCCTGCTCTCACCTCTCAATGAATTTCTGGAACACGTCCCCTCGGAGGTTTTGACAAATCTCTTCGATGTATGGCTAAGGGAGGAAGCTGGAAGTTGGTGACTGAGCCCCGAGAGACCGTGGTTGCCCAGGCCCCACCCCTGGCTGACCAGGCTTGTTGACCAGGGGCTGTCCAAGGTGACCTTGCCTGGGGAGGGACCGGGAGGCACACACCTGGAAGAGATCCGGAGGCACCTGCTTCTTCCCCAGGTGGCCTTGGACATGCTCAGTGGCACTCTTCGAGAAGGGCTGGGGAAGACAGAGGTGGCCATGAATTCTCAGCAGGGTCCTCTCTTCCCCTCCCAATCTGCAGGTGACTCTGGGCCAGCACACAGGGCCAGCTGAGGACACTCACATGCGAGCAGGCCAGCAGCTCCTTCATGATGTATGAGTCGAAGATCTCCCGGCTGCGGGCCACACGCTCCTCCTCCGTCTCCAGCTTCTCGTACTTCTTGATCTGGAGGACAGGATTCCTGCAGGTCATCTAGAGCCCAGCAGGGAATGGGGATGCCCACACCAGGCAGCTTGTGGGTTCCACAAAGCCGCCCCAACCTCCTCCCCTTTCTCCAGGCAGAGCAGGGCTTGGGCCTCTGGGTCTCACCTCCTCATAGAATTCCACCAAGGGCCTGGCCTCCTCCAGGTGGTTCAGGCAGAAGTCTCGGAAGAGCAGGTACCCTGAAGGCAACAGTGTAAGGTCACAGAGCCACGCCTCTCTCAGAGGCCTTCCCATCATTGTGGATGGTGTGGGTTGGGCTCCCTGGGCAGAACTGGCTATGGAGGTGGCAAAGGTGGTCTCGGCCCCAGGCAAGGGGTGGGCCAGGCAGCTGCTAAGGCTGCTGCCAACGTGAAGATTCCTGGATTCTGGGTTGGGGCCCCTGTGTTTCTACCCTCTTCCTGAAATCTGTTTCCCCAGGTGGTAGCTGGACGGCGATGGGCACCAGGGTGAGGCAGAGGAGCGGGGTTGGCTCTGGCATCAGGGAGCCCTGGCTTAGCACCTGGGCCCCCACTCACTGCAGCCCAGGGCCCTGCGCCTGCTCTGTGAGGCCGATACCCCCCACCGGGGCGGGCTGTGCAGGTGCAACACGATTCAGTCTGGGGGCCCTGGGATGCTGTGGCCACCGGGGCCAGGTCAGGCTGCAGCATGGGGAAAAGGTTAGCAGGGGGCTCTGAGGCCACACCACTCCTCTGGACCCTGCCCCACTCCAGTGTCTGGCTGATTTGCACAGCAGCCTGAGAAACAGGCAGGGAGGGTGGGTCCAGTTGGGGAAACTAGGGCTCAGGGAGCTGGTCAGACACACTGTCTGTGGCAGAGGCTCAAGTGGAACTCAGGGCTACTCCACCAAATGGCAGGTCCCTGGGAAAGAGGTTGGGGCTGGGGCCTCAGGGCAGGGGGCATGGAACGGGTGTAAGCCACAGGGAACTGGAGAGGCAAGGTGGGCTGTGGGAGGGGCTCTCAGGGGACCCCAGATAGGGTGTCCTCATGCCTGAGTAAGGGGCCTGGACCCTGGACCCCGGCCCCCGAGCACTACCAGGGGACAGAGGCCCTCCTCAGGCCTCCAGTCTGACACGGGTAACCAGGCTCGAGCTGGGTGGCCTCTCATGCCTTCGGGGGCACTGCCTGGGCACCTGGGTCAGAGCTGCGGCCATCATTTCAGTCCTCACTGCCTGGCCTTTAGTGCAGGGCCTTTGAGGAATGGGGGCCAGGCTTCACAGTGGGCACAGTGCTCCCATCTGACTCTGACAGGCCTGCACAGTCGGACTCATGAGTCCCATCTCCCAGATGAGGACACCATCAGGCTCAGAGAGGTGAAGCAACTTGCCCAAGGACAAAAGGCACAGGCCTGGGACCCAAACTTTGTGCTTCTTGACACACCGACTCCCCCAGGCTGACCCCCAATGCCTGATCCCATCAGGCCAGGATACCCCCTGTCCAGAGCTGAGCTCCTGTTCTCGGGAAGGCCAAATCAGAGCCATGTGGGGCTGGAGCCTGCTTCCCGAGACCTGCCCCAAGCCTGCCCTCCGGGCCAGGTCCGCAGGGTGGGTCACATGAAACTTCTGACAGCAGGCATCAGACACCAGCTGGAGGAGGAATGGAGGGCCAACACCAGGCAGGTTGCTTACAAAGAGGGCCCATGGGGTGGGGCGGGGCCAACCACAGCTCGGCAGGCGCCACAGGAAGGGCCCCGCCTCTTCCTGTCAGTTCTACCAACGGCCCAGAGCAGCTGCGGCCGCGCCAAGGGGAAGCTGCAACTCTCAAAAACAAAAACCCCAAAGGAGGAACTTCCCTGGCGGCCCTGGAAGACTCTGGGCCCCCACCCCCACCACGGGGCTCCCTGGGCCGACAGCCAGGGGCAAGGAGGCACGCAGGGTCGCAGCGACTTGGAGCAAGCCCTGGGGTCTCGCTGGCTGCTCCACCCTGAGTGGATGGGAGGCCAAATCTCTGGAGAGTGGGGAGCACAGCTGGGCTGGCTGGGGTAGGGGCAAGAAGTTAAGTCCGGTGGCTGGCAGAGCCACTGCCATACTCACCCAGCTTCTGGGAAAAGATCTTCTCAAAGGTCACCTCGCCCCGGTCCTCCAGGTACTTCTGCATGACACTGCGGATGCTGTGGGTCAGGGGGGCGCAGTAAGCAGAAGCCCCCAGAGCCCGTGGGGGCTGCAGGCCCAGAAACGCGAGCTGAGGGCACTGTGGTGGTGTCGCCACTCCCTCCAGGAAGGAGGCCAGCCCGTCAGGCCTACTCACTTATCCCAGCCACAGGTCAGACCAGAAGGCTTCAAGGAAGCCTTTGCCTGCACCGCCCCCGCCAGGCTGTGTCCTCAAAGGCCAGGGTGGCCGGCAGGTGGCCCCCTGCTCAGAGGCCCACCGCCTGTGGGGTCTCGTCCCAGTGATGCCACCGGCTGGCTTTGGGAACTTGGCCAAGTCACAAAAGCCAAGCCTGGTTTGTGAGCGGATGAAAAGACACACATGTGGCATCTCCACGCAGCAGCACATGGCTCGGCTGTAAAAAGGAACAAGGCACCAACAGGGGCCACAACGTGGATGAGCCTTGAAAACATGAGGCTGAACGAAGCCAGTCACAAAGGGTTGCCACATATTGTGAGATTCCACTCATATGAACAGATCCACGGACACAGAACGCAGATCCGTGGCTGCCGGGGGCTGGAGAGAGGGAGAGGAGTGACTGCGGTGGGGACGGGGTTTCTTTTTGGGGTAAGGGTTGCACAACACGGTCAATGTACTAAAAAACACTACATTGTATAATAAAATGATGAATTTTATATGAATTGCATCTCAATTTTTTAAATTGTAAGAAAAGGCCATGCCTTGGTTCGTGTGTCCCTAGTACTTGGATATAAAATGTGACCCCTGCCCTGGGTTGCTTGGTATGGCCATAGGGGAGGGCCTGGCCATTGTGACCCTCAAAACCCAACCCGACATCCCCCACCCTGTTTATCTCACCCCACACTGAGTGCTGTCTGGGAGCGCCACACCAGGCTACACTCCCGGCCTCAAATACCACCTTACTGTCCCCTCCTGCCCTCTCCTGGCCCACCTCAAGCCCAGCCCTGCCGGTCTGTCCCAACAGCCAGCTGAGGCCTGCATCTGGTCCTCACTAGTCTGGGCTCCTGGGGTAACGTGTAGCTGCCATGCTGAGGGCATTGCAAGGCTGGGGGCCTGAAGGGACAACACACCTGAGCCCATGTCACGCTCACATGGCCCTGCAGGTCTATGGGGCCACCAGCAGGCCTCCCGTGAAATGACTGCAGCTGGTGGAGATTTGGATCCGCAAGTCCAGGTTCTCTGTGCTTGCCATGGCCCCTGCCTTTCTGCACCCCGGCCCTGCCTGCCCCTAGGAGCCCAGCCCAGGGCTGGTCGGACTGGCCACCCAGGCTGTGGTCACGAGGACCCGCTGCACATCTACCCCTGAGGCACTGTGTACCTCATGCCAAAGCCACCCCCTGCTCCAAACAGCCCTGCCCAGGGCATGGTTCTGAGCCTGTGATACCAGACAGCGTGTGCAGAAGCCTTGGGAAGGAGAGGAGGCCTCTGGGTCTGGAAAGCCTGTGTGGAGAAGGTGGAACTCCACTGGGTTCCTGGAGTGCAAGTGGGATCTCGGCAGCTGGCGAAGCCAGGGGGGTCGGTAGACGTGGGAACAGGCAGGGGACAGTATGTCCAGGGATGAGCAAGGGGCCAATGGGGCAGGAGAGAGGGCACACAAAGGCCATGGTGAGGCGGAGGGCAGGGCCTTGCAAACCAGGGGGCTTCACAGCCAAGGAGTGGGCAGGAGAGCAGGACTCAGGAGGCTTGGTCCAGGGCGGTGGGTGGCCCGACTCCACTGGAGGCGCCACGCGGAGGAAGCCCAGGCAGAGGCAACACTTGGGCAGGAAGAAGGGGAAGGGGGTGGGTGGGAGAAGGCTCAGGCTGTCGGGGACCGGGAGAAGGGTTATGAGGCCAGCCCCGTGAGGGCTTCCAGGCTTTGGGCCCGAGGGTCTGGAAGAATGGCAGCTTCAGCCAGAAGAGCCGTCTGCGGAGAGCAGCTCCAGACAGTGCGGACCTGGCCTGTGGACCCTGCCTGGCCTCTGACCTCGGCCTCGAGAGGGGGCTCTTATCCGCTTCCACTGGGCACTGTCCTTCCAGGAAGGGCTGCAGTGGACTCCCGGGCCTCGGCCCCTGATCTCACTTGGTTCCAGCCTTCCTCAGGAAAGGCCGAGCGAGATAGCACGAGCACAGCAGGGCTGCCATGAGCACGGTTCCAAGGCCGCGACCCCCTGGCCTGCTCCCCACCCTCAGAGGCTGGGAGGGGCCGCGGCCTCTTCCAAAGTTGTCTCCAGCAGGAAGCAGGGCACTGAAGACAAGGATGGGCCTAGGTGACCCTGAGTTCGCATCCTATGACTGCTTTGGAACAGACCCTGCCTGGATGGGAAGAGGGGGGCCCATGCCCCCCACCGGGGAGTGAGGATGCCCTCTGAGAACTGACAGGAGCTCCGAGGATGGGCCCCGCGTCCACACCAGCACACCCGCCCCTTCGGGCCACACGCCAGCTCATGTCCACCAGCCACCGTCAAGGACATGTTTCCCGGCATGTGGGACTCCCAGGGACACAGGAAACGGTGGACGGAGATTGTGGTGTTTCACACACAGCAAGGGCTTCATAAAAATCTCTTGAATTGAGAAAGACACGGTCCCTGCCCTTGGCACCTGCAGACAGGAGGCCTGGGCCCTGGGCGACCCTCAGGGCACAGGCTGTGCACTGGGAGACTGGAACGTGGAGAAAACCCCAAGGTCAGGGGCCTGCATCTCACCTGGGAGGTGGGCCAGGACATTTTGGTCCACAGAAGGGGATGAAAAAAAGCAAAAAAAAAAAAAAAAAAAAAAAAAAAGGTGCTGGTCAAGCGGAAGGTAGCGACAGGCAGATGCAGATGACAGGCAAAGCAATCCCAGCCTGTAGGGGTCACCCACCAGGAGCCGGGCATTGTCCCAGGAATGGGGGCCACCGGGCTTCAGCAGTAAGCCCCACTGAGCCCCAGACTTGCTTCTTAGGAGCCTGCAAAAATGGTGCCAGCTTGGCGGGACGCGGTGGCTCACGCCTGTAATCCCAGCACTTTGGGAGGCCGAGGCGGGCGAATCATGAGGTCAGGAGTTTAAGACCAGCCTGACCAACATGGTGAAACCCCGTCTCTACTGAAAATACAAAAATTAGCCCAGCATGGTGGCGTGCGCCTGTAGTCCCAGCTACTCAGGAGACTGAGGCAGAAGAATCGCTTGAACCCTGGAGACAGAGGTTGCAGTGAGCCAAAATCGTGCCACTGCACTCCAGCCTGGGTGACAGAGTGAGACTCTGTCTCAAAAAAAAAAAAAAAAAAAAAGGTGCCAGTTTGGCAGAGGGAATGGCCACCTAGGAGCCAGGGAGTAGCCACTGCCACTTTTCAACTGGACACACAAAGTCTCCAAGGGGGAAGCATGCTTGGTTCCCTGCCTGCGACAGCCAGGGGAACCTGCCGGGCAGGCCCTTTCTCCTTCCCAGGGGCTCTGCTGTCAGCCCCGGCCTGGGAACAGCAGGAAGCAGGACCCGGGGCTCTGAGGCCATCTCTCCCCTCAGCAGCCACGCCTGGGCATGGCCACCACATTCTTCCCAGCCCACAGCACTCCACTTTCTTCCTTAAAAAGAAAAAAATGTTTTTTAAATAAAATAAACAACCCCCCTCCCCCCAAGCAAGAAACCAAACACGAGGTCAGGCCTGAGCAGAGTCCTTGAATGGAAGGCCCCCAAAGTGGCAATTTTAGGGTTTCCTGTCTATTCCCATGGGTCTGGCCGCCAAGGGAACTGGCAGGTTGGAAGAACTTGCCACTGGGGGCAGCTCCTGCCAGGGTGGCAAGCACGGGCGAGCACAGGGGTGGGACAGCCTCCTGGACTGGGTCACCTTGTCTCCAACACTGCTCCCTGATACTGGCAGAGTCTGGAGTGGCAGTGAGCCCAGAGCGTGTCCCTGTCCCCCACCCAGGTCAGCAACCCTGAGATCCGGGGGAACGTGGCTCCCAAGATCTACTCTGGAGCATCAGGAGAACCAAGCGGCCTCAACAGTCCCAGATGGAAGGACGCTAAGGTTCCCAACACCTTTGGGCAAGGGCCTCAGAGTTGCCTTTGCTCTGGCCGTTGGACGGGTGCCTGGGTTCCAAGTGGCCCTCACCACCTGGTCACAAACTTGAAATGTCCAGTTTCCCCAGCTGTAAAATGAGGATGTCAATGAGATGCTGAATCGCCACCGTCACACTGGCCATTTACAAAGCCTGGGTGGACACGGCAGAAGGAGGGCTTCTAATATGCCAGGCTGGCCATGCTGCCCGCCGTGCCCCGCCTGCTGGGCCATGGGAGAGAGCCGCCAGAGCCCCATTTCTCAGTGCCCCACGGCTCACCGACAGTCCATGCTAGAATCACACAGTAACTGGTCTTGCTCAAGCCTCTGCTCCACATTTGCCGTGTCCTCGGAGAGGATGGGGCCTTGGAGGATGGGGCCTGTGGCCAGGGCTGAGCCGAGCAGGGTGGGACTCCTCTGCTCACAGACCAGCTTCAGGCACTGCATTGCTCT
The DNA here is from genome assembly GCF_000001405.40 of Homo sapiens. Taxonomy (NCBI): domain Eukaryota; kingdom Metazoa; phylum Chordata; class Mammalia; order Primates; family Hominidae; genus Homo; species Homo sapiens. The sequence goes on along the minus strand of NC_000011.10, from coordinate 67,272,788 downwards.
ACTGCGGGCCCAGTGGGTAGAGCCCGTGGCTTGCCCTGCCAAAGTATCAAGGGCTCCTTGGCACAGAGGTACTTGGTGCCCACCCAGCTTTGGGAAGGAGCAGTCAGTCCCACCTTGGCACCCCTGCAGTTACAGCGGCCTGCACCAGCTCCTACTGCTCCCGGAGCAGGCTCAGCCCAAGACAGTGAGCAGCTGCAGCACTGAGCACTGGGTGACAGGGAAGGAGTGGGTGCTGAGGGAGCACTTCCGGTCCCTTCTGGCACCTCATGGTTCAGAAGAAATGCAAAGTCCAGGCCATCCTCTGTGGCCTGGGCTCTCTTAGGTGTCTCCTGCTCGGGGTCAGAGGCTGTAGCTGTGTGGACAGGAGGGGGTGACAAGTCAGAGACAAACACACTCTTGCTGATGGCAAGGAAGCTGGCTGGGCCACGTGCTCCGAGGCCCACAATGAGTTCGTGGCAAAGAAAATGTCCAAAGGCTCCCTGAGAAACGGCCTCCACTAGAGCACCCTCCATCCCCCCCTTGACCTCTGTGGAAGAGCTGGGTGCAGGGCTCAGAGGACCCTGACTTGTGCCCAGCCTCTGGCCTGGCTGCCCTCCCGTCCCTGACCAGGAGCTGTAGGAGACGAGCAGCCCCCTTCCCTGGAACCCAGGATGGGAGGCAGCCTTGGCTGGCAGCTGGCAGCCAGGGGCCATGCTTCCTGTGCCCCTCATGTGACAGTGATGCTAAAGCTTTGCCACGCCAGGACGGTGCAAGCTGGCATGAAGGCTACAGGCCTGGCAGGTCTGGTGCGGCCACTCTGGGAACCGTCCCCTGGGAGATGAGCGAGCATTCACCAACCAGTGCAGCAGGGCCTGTGGCTGTGGCCGAGGTGCTCCCTGTGGCATTTCCAGGAAACCAGACACCAAGGTGCCAGCAGCAGAAGGAAGTCCCCTGGGGCTTCTTAATGTTTCTCAATGACTCTCCCTGGGGCGAACAAGGACGGGGCCACAGATCAAATAGGAAAGGCCAGCCCAAACCGGCAGGTCCAAGGTAAGCCCTGAGCAGGGGAGAGAAAAAGCCAGCTGGCCCCGCACACACAGCCAGGGTCTGCAGCAGCCTGGGCTCCGGAACGTCGTGTCGGCCACAAAGCAGCTCCCTTGCGGGGATGCTCAGGAAGAGGCACTCTGGCGGCCTTGTCAAATGTCACGGCTTCTTCACAAATATGACATGAGCACCCACACCCTGCAATTTACTGCTGACATGGAGACCGTAATCTGCATTACGCTAGAATGCACCAAGAACAAACTTCCAGAATTCCATGCCCTGTGGTTTCCAGGAGGGGGTTATCCCCCATCCCAAACACGAAATGGCTCTAGAGTCAGAAAATTGCCCCCACCTGGGAACAGAGCTGCCAACATGTTAATACCAGAAAACCCACTTCTGCCAGCATAGACGCGTCCTTTTGCAGTAAACAGCAAAGCAGAGAAGGGATATTACTGTTTTAGAAAAAAGCTGCAGTCAAACACCTCATTTTTAGTATCTCAGTTGCAGCAGAGTAGAAATAACGTGAATATAGCTCCATCCAGCAGTGGAAACTGACCCATGGGGAGCCGGCGGGGAGTAGGGAAGGGGCCCAGGAAGAAGGGGCAGGTGTGAGGGAGGCTGTGCATCCTCAAGGGCTACACTGTGCTTTTGGTTCCCACTGTGTGTTCCGAGGCAAGAGCATACCCTGAAAGCAACAGCCAAGCGCGTGGAGCCCAAACCCACCAGCCTGAGCACTCAGTCCCTCTGCCAAGCCCACCTGGGTGCAACCTAGGCACGGGGAGGAAACACTGGCTGCGGAGCGCTCCTGTACCTGACGTCACCGGGAACTTACTACTAGGAATTGATTGTGCATTAATAGGACACCTCATTCTGGGTTAACAGCCCAGGTTCCCCTGCACAGATTCCAACCTGCATTGCTCACACTCCCTTCAAATCCATTTACCCAGGTAACGGCAGGCGGGCGACTTAATGGCAAATAAGTGAAACGCATGCTCTGGAAAGGAAAACAGACGGGAAAGACATCCCAGAGACCCATTCCTGGGGAACGGCGGTGCTTCAAAGGCCCAGAGGGAGTGACTGCAGGAAAGATCATCTTGTTTGCAGGGAAAGGAGTTGGGAGAACGCTGCCACTGAAGTGGAAAGTTCTGGGTAAGGGACAAAGGCTGGAAGCAGCAGGGTTTCAGCTGGTGCTGCAGGAGTGAAGGAAGGAGGGAGGGAGAGAGCTTCCCGCTGCACCCCTTCCCCCACAAATCGAGGGCAGGAAGTTCTGGCTGCGAAGAGTTAACAGGAACGAGGCAGCGGAGGAACAGGGGCAGGGTCTGGGGAGACAGGGAAGCCAGAAAGGGGCAGGAAGGAGGAAACTCTCGGTGGGGGAGGGACCAGGAAACAGCCAAGAAATCGGGAGGCTGCAAGAGGCACCCAGCTCCGACAATCTGCTGCTGGGGCTGCCACTGTCACCGGGGAGGGCAGAGGAACCTCCTGGGAGCGCCCAGGCAGGGCTCCTCAGCTAGGAGCCCAGAGATTAATTACACGAGGCCTCAGTGGTCATATTAAGCAAATGATGATAATTACAAGACTGCTGGCTGCTGGGAAAGGGAGACAGCAGTTCCTTCAGGGCAAGGCCCAGACCACAGACCCTGAGAGTGAAGGGGCAGCCGCCTCGTTTTACAGAGGTGGAAACTGAGGCAGGTCCAGTCGGGCTAAGGGACTCGCCTGGGTCCCATGTGAGCTGGTGGTAGAGGGAGAAGCCAGACCTCCCATCTTCCAGATACACAATGCTGCCTTACGCTACCTCCTTCTACAAGAAGGTCGGGGAAAGGGACTGTTTCCTTGGATTCTATAGGGTGACAGAAGGGGAGGCCCCTGTGCCAACTCAGTGTGGCACTGTGCCTAACCACTCCCATTCCCTAGCCTTTGGAACTCAGAGCTGTGATGCCAGCCCCAGTTCTTGGCCAAGACACATCCCCAGGCACCAGCCATGGAGGGGCTGCCAAGGTGGGCCACCTCAAGGTATGAACAATTCCCAGTGGCAACCTGTCACTGGGACAAGCCACAGCCCCTCTCCCTGACTCTGACCTTGACCTTGTGGGTATGGGGAAGACAGGCTCCTGCATCTGACGGGACCCTGGAGTGGGGCTGCCCCTCGGTGCAGTAGCTTTGCCACGGCAGCTCAGTTCTCCATCCCAGCCAACGGGAAGAGGGCTGAGCCTTGTGAACTGTGACAGCCGATGGCCCCAGACAAGGGGTGCCAGTCAGCCCACACCGCAAAATGTGGACAGAGGCGAGAACAGTGGTGTGCAGGGGTGGGTGGAGGGGATAAAGCACAGCAAAGAAACAGCACTGGCCTGTGTGGTCCAGAAACCCGAGGCCCCATTCCAGCTTTCTTCTGTGACGAGGACACGACTCCTCCCCTCCCTGAGCCTCAATAACTTCAACTGCTAAAGGGGAGAATCCTAACTGCTGGGCCTGCCTCTCACAGTTGTCAAAAGGACAAAACAGAGTAAAAAGCACTCTGCAAGTGGAAAAGTGTCAGGCAAACATGAAACATGGTCAGGATCACCACTGGGGCGGCGGGGGGCGGGGGGCGGCGTGCTCTGCCCCACTGGGTGTGCAAGGCAAGGCGTTATGCAAAGGGTGGCCTGCTCCCTAATGCCCCAGGCCTGGACCCCCATGTAGGGGTGGCCAGTAGCCCTTCCCAGGCCTTAGCGCACTGACATTCGGCGCTCGCACCTCCAGTCCGTTTCACAGATGTGGGCGATTTGCGGAAGGCCATGCTGCTGATGGTGACCCAATGTGAAAACCTGGGCTGCCTGGCTCGGCCTCCTGCTGTCCTCCTAGAATCCTATCCAACCTTGTTTCTGCTCAGGACTGCATGGGGGTGCCACACAGTCCTGGTATTTCTTGAGCAACTACTACATGCAAGGCATGGCCTTGCCAGCTTCACAGGTTGGTTGCTGGAAGAACTGAGATGACAGATATCAAAATAGGTAAGTCAGTAATAATTCCTATCATTATTGCTATCACCGCCATCACTACCATGGATGGGAAAGGGGACAGGAAAAGAAGACCATCTCGTTTCTCAGGGTTCTGACACCTGCAGAGCCAAGGCGGCGCCCCATCAGAAGCAATGCATTCTGGGGGGAGATTACCCGAACGCAGACAGTTCCAGAAAAGGCCCCGCCTCACAGTTGCAGAACTCCATCCTGCAGGAGGGTCTCGAGGCTGCAGCCACCAAGGAGAGCCGTTTTGAGCCCTAGAGGCTGACTCCCCCGTTTCCTCCCTCGTGGGTTTGTCATTTCTGAACTCATTTCTGTACTAACCGTCACTGCTCCCTGGACAGCCCCCAGCTGACAGTCAGTCTGGTTCCTGTTTTGAGAAATCTGATTGCAAATGTCTTAGAAAAAAAAAGGCCCTAACGGCCTTTTCAAAATGCAGACCAATTTTCCTCTCCCAGGCCTGACGTTCAGTCAATCCAAACACCCAGTGAGCAGGGCATGGCACAGGGGGGCGGTGAGGGCCATGGGCATGGGGCACCCCTGCAGCGTCAGCCAGAGCTTAGACGGCTGCTTCAAAGGCTGAGGGACACCGCAGAGTCACAGCTCTTATTTCACGCCATCCACATTTCACAGATGAGAAGACCGAGGCCCAGTGAGGGAAGAGACTTACCCAGAGTCACAAGATAAGACCACGGCAGTGTGGACAGGCCCCATCCCCAGCCCGCTGGGGCACCAGGAGGAGGCCAACTCTCAGGCATGCACAAGGAGTTGCCACACGACACAAAGAATCGTGGCGGGCACGTCTGCTCCCTGGCACAGGCCAGGGTAGCTGATGAAATGTAGAACCAGAAGTCTGAAGCCCTGATCTGTTGGCCAGGTGCCACCTGGGACTACCTGTGTGACTCGGGGCAGGCCACTCACCTCTGGAGCTTCAGTTTCCCCATCTGTTCCACAGGGACAAAACCACACCTGTCCTCGCCACCCCATGCGCTGCTGAGAGGCTCACACAGTGGAGAGATACTCTATCAGCCATAAAATGCTGGACAAACCGCAGCAATCGTCCACATCCTGTGTACTTTTGCACCTACATCCTGAACAGTCTAAACTTTGATACCAGGTGTGATGTCAGTTGTCTTACAGAGGCGGCAGCTAAGGTCCAGCCATTGCAGGTGTGCTGGGAGGGCCCCTGGTCAACAGCACCCACGGGGCACCATATGCAGGGCCTGCCAGAGGAGAAATGTAGGGGAGAGGGCACAGGGGATGTTTCCCCGACCTGAGCGCGGTCCGAGGGGGAGGGTGCCCGCAGCACCCTAGGTCCTGCTCACCACGCCGCCCTGAAAGCACTCTCGAGCCCAACTCCAGGACAGCGACCCCACCAGAGGGTGGGAGAAGAGTCCGGAAGACTGGCTGTCCCCCAACACCTCACACAAGTGTAGACTGGAGGAGAGACGGGTGGGGGTAGTGGAAACCCTAAAGCGAGTGCCGTGAGCAGGGACAGCAAAAGGGTGGGTGACATCGTCAGGCGAGGTAAATGGTGGCCAGCGGAGGGGAGGGGACCCCACAGGGACCAAGGGCTGCTCCGAGAAGGATGAAGGGGCGCGCCGGGCCCCCGTGGGAGAAGGCGGGAGCCAGGGGCTGACAGCGACTTCGGGGGGCCGGTGGAGCACGATAAGGAAGCAGCAGGGCGGCCAGGGGGACCCGACTGGGTCCGGGGACCGATGGGGCAGAGGAGCTCCGGAGTTGGGGCGCTCCGGGCTCAGGCGCCCAGGGTCTGGGGCTTAGGGTCTGGACCCGCAGGCGCCAAGGCCGGGCTGCTCCGGGCTGGGGGGCCGACAGGGGGTTGCGAGAGCCGGCCCCGGGGGTCCAGGTCGCGGGGTCGAGCATGGGGCCAGGGTCTCGGGGCCGCGGCCGGGGCGCCCGCGGGGTCGGGCCGGGGCCGCGGGCAGCTTCTCCTCACCTGGGCTCGGGCAGCAGGATCTTCTTGCTGGCGCGCGCGGCCGGCGTGGCCTTGCTCTTCTCCATGGCCATCAGGTAGCTCACGTCGGCCAGCACCGCCTCCAGGTCCGCCATCTTGGCGGCGGCGCTGCCTCCTCCCGCCGCCGCCGCCGCCGCCGCCGCTCCTGCTCGCTCGGCGCTCGGCCCGGCCCGGCCGCGGCTCGCTCGGCCTCGGGCGCCGACGCCTCCCGCCTGGCCCTGCTCGGCGCCCGCGGCTCCGCTCGCCGCCGCTCACAGGCGGCGCCGCCCCATGGCGCCGGCTCGGGCCCGGCCCCGGCTCGCGCTCCGCTCCCGCCGGGACTGCAGTCGGGGCGCCGCCGCCGCCGCCGCCCGCGCGCCCGCGCCCCGGAGCCGCCGCCGCCTCCGGCCCCGCCTGCCGCGCACAACGCCAGCGAGCCCGCGAGGGGCCGAGCCGGGCGGGCGACGGCGCCCCCTGGAGGCCGCGCGGAATCTGACCCCGAACCAGACCTGCGACCGCGGGCTCAGACCCTGGCCGTGACCTCGGCCCTCGATGCTGGACGGAGACCCGGGCCTGGAACACGACAGGGACCCGGCACGGAAGACGACCCGAGACCCATTCTCTGACCACAACCTCGGGTCACATCTCTGGATCCCAGGCTCCCCAGTCGGGCCGCAGCCCTGACACCAAACGTGATCACAGGGAACCTGGACGCTCACCAAGACACAGATTCAGACCTCTGAACACCATCCTGGGACTTTCATCTCAGACCCTGGCTATAACCCCGGACTCCCTGACCTTGGACGCAGTCCACGACCTGACACCAGACTCCAAACAGGACCCCAGACTCAAACCTTGGCCCACCACCTCAGACTCTAACCATGACCTCAGATCACAGCCCTGGGTCTCCAACGCCATACCCAGACTGCGACACTCACCTCAGACCCCCAACAGGTCCCCAGATCCAGATTTTGGACCATGACCTCGATCCCATCCTGGTTACTGACCCCAACCTTGATTCTGACCCTAGGCTACTACCATGACCCTGAACTCTAGACTTGGGGTCAGGACTCAGACCTAGATTGGACTGTCAACTCCAGATCACTGTCCTAGACTCAACACCCAGAACTGTGGACACGGACTCAGGACTAGGACGTCTAACCTGGGACCCACACTGGACCCAGAATCCTTAGTAGGTCACCCAGAACCTGGGACCTGACAACTGCAGCGCAGTTACAGGCTTCCCCCATCCCTGATCCCACCCCTCCTACTCTAGAACCAATCCTGGCCGCAGAAGGCCCACTCAGGATCAAGTACCCTGCACCCAACCCCACCCCCCAACCAGCTCATAGACCCAGGTCCCTGGCCAGCACTCTTGGCAGCTCCCTTCCCTGTACCCCATCCCATCCAGATGTTCCTTCAGGATGGTTCCACATGTAGTTACGGTAAAAACTCTCCCAGCCCGGAAGCGCACAGAGGTTTCAGTGCTGCCTGGCAGGGGAAACCCACCCTGCTGAGAGCCCACCCAGAGTGGGGAAAGCCAGGTGTCTCAAGGCAGCATTCCTATCTCAACATGCCCCTCTCTAGAGCCTCTCTTTGCTTTCAAAGTGACAGGACCCTCCTCCCAGCCCTGGGCACATAAAGCTCAAATCTCATTACCATGCTGTGGGCCAGCAGCCAGCATCCTTTTGCAAAGCAAGGCCCCCATCTCTGTGCACCTCTAGGCTACCATCTTGGATCAGCCCCAACAGAACCTGGAACCAGAGCATGTCAGAGCTTGTGAGGTTCTCCTCTCAGTGGGTGGTGAGTCACTCGCCACCCATATACCCATGTCAGAGCCTCAGTTTTCTTTTCCCCAACTGCTCCTTCATTCTCTCCCCTTCTCTAATCTAATTTGTCACCATAGTCTCCTGTCTGGCCTCCTGAGAATCTCCGTGAATCTGTCTACTTCTCAGGGTCCTCATGGCCAGCCACTGCCCTGATGCAGGCCCTGACCAGGGATGCTTTTCCCAAATCTAGATCTGATGGAGTCACTGCCTGCTTGGCACCCAGAAGCAGCTCTCCAGGCCTTCTGGGGCTACTGAGAGTGAGAGACCTAGAGGGGTCTCTAGGACTCACCACACTCTGCCCAAAGCAGATTAGGTGAACAAACTCCTTAATCTGCAAGTCAAGATCTTGGAGGACTTGGACCTTGAATGCTCCAGTTTGTTTCGCTACCATCCTCTGCACCTGGAGTTTCCCCACCAACTCACCCACCCATTCTCACTTCTGTGCCTCTGCTGTTTCCTGGGCCTGGAAGCCCTTCTGTGTACCTTCCTCCGTGGACAACTCCTACTCATCCGCTAAGACTCACCTCCTCCAGGTAGTCTTCCCTGACTCCCTGACCCCAACTATGTACATCTCCAATTCTACACTTACCACCTTCTAGGCCCTGTTTTCCATTTTCAGTTGCAAGATGCATTGTTGCAAGTTTCGACAGTGGGGAGTGAAGCCTCGTTACATGTCAGCATCAATTGGAAAATGCATCCTGATGTTGGAAATGCTGATATATATATTTAAAGAGGACATACTGTCCCCCACTGTCACTGGTGCCCCTAGTTCATCCTTTGCTCCCAGTGCCCACCACAGGACCCGACTCAAAGGCATCAGTGTTTGATGAGTGAATGAATGAGTGAATGAGCTCTTGGAACACATGGGTTTTGGGGTGGAACAAGGCCAGATGCCACAACATGAAGCCTCTAACCTCCTCTCCCCACAGCCCTGTCCTGACTCCTCTGGACTGCGAGCACAGCCACATGTCAGCCAGGGTTTTCGGGAATAGCCTCTATTTTAAAAATTCTACCTGATGAACTTGTTGGACCAGAGTCTGTGTGTGAGTTCTGAAATGCCAGCCATCCTGTTCCAAGAGGTGGCCTTACCTTCCCATCCCCACCTAAAAACTCAGTCCCTCCCACCCACAGCCCAATCCACACCCCCTGCCAGGCCTGAAGCTGGGGTCTTTTGAGGGGGGCTGGTCTCCCTTCATTGATTCCTGGGCCCAGGAAAAGTGACTTCAGGAAGCTCCAGGTTCAGAAGAGGTTGGTGTGAGCCCTAGGCCTGGGGAAGACTGGTTTTGGGGACGGTGTTGCCTCTGTTGGTCCTAGGAAGGTCGATTGCAAACTTGCCTTCACAGGCAGGCCTTCCTTCTCTCAACAAACCTTTGTTCTGTGCCTAGACTGCTCCAGGCCCTGACCAGGATGCTAGGAGTGCAAAGTGGAGTAGAGCCCCATCTCTGCTCAGCTGGCAGCCCCACAGACACATCATTACTTGGCATCGCCACTGGATGACTAATAGATGTTGCAAACTTAGCGCGGCCCACACTGAGCTCTTGCTCCCACTACCCAGCCCCTGTCCAACCTGCTCCTCTCCCGCCTCCCCATCTCAGGCGTGGATCCTCCATTTTCCCAAAATGTAGGAGCTGTCCTCGATTCCTCTCTTTCCTCACCTGGCCCCCACCCCGATGTATACCCCTGCTGTCATACAGCATCTCTGGCGTATCTGTCTCTGAAGTACATCCTTGATCCGTCCACTGTGCCCTGCTAAACCCTGGCCCGAGTCTCAATCACCTCTCGCCTGCATGCCTGCACCAGCCTCCTCTCCGCGCGCCCTGCCGTTCCTGTGGGTTGAGCTTCTATAGATCTCCATCAAAGCCCACCCCCAACGACTGCCCCTGCACTTAGGATAAAATCCACCCCACTTCCTGTGGCCCATGAGACCCGCACAGACTGGTGCCTGCCTATCTCTCTAACTCAGCAATTTCCATTCTTCCCCTTCCTCTTAGTCTCCAGCCTCTCTGGTCTTCCTTCTGTCACTAGAACAAGCCAAGTCCATTTCCACCTCTGGGGCTTTAACTTTACAGTTCCCTTGCCTGGACTGCCCTTCCCCACTTCCGGAGTGGCAGGCTCCTCCTCGTGCTGCCACCTTGTGGGCGGAAGATATCCTGCTCAGCGGTCTCTCCCTTGGCATTTCTGTCCTGGTCACTGCTGCACCCCTCATCCCCAGCACAAAGTAAGGGTAAGGGCTGCATAAAGAATCAAGACTCAGTGTTAGCCCAGTCTGGTGGGGAAGAAAACCCCTAAACACATATCTCCAATTAACCTGGCAAGAGCTATAGTTTAAGGAAGTGAGGGCACTCGGGAGAAGGTCAGGGGAGGGGTCGGGGAGGGTTGGGTAAAGTCTTGAACATGACATTGTGTGCATGAGCATGAGAGAGGTTGGAAGTGGCACGTGCCAAGGCCCGGGAGTGCGAATTTTGTCCTGCTGAGACCTCTCTTCTCCGCCTCCAGCCTGGGCTTTGCAGAGCAGGAGGGTGAGCTCGGGGCTTCCTTGACCTCAGCAGGTGTGTGCCAGATTGACCTGGGGACACTCCTCCCCAACATGGACAGCCATTCCTCTGATGTCAGGTCCCCAGACAGTGTCAGGCTCTGGCCGGGATGCTGGGAGTTGATTCATTCACCCGATTATTTGACAGTATTTGTTGAGCTCCTACTACATGCCAGGCACCTGTACTTGGCGTTGCGGATCCAACACGGGAAGACACAGGAGGGGAGCTTAGAGGCAAACCATACGTGATAACAGCCGCTGACAAGTGTTGGGTTCTCCTTATGTGCAGGGCACTGCAGAGCCCAGCTGATCTCATTGAAAGCGGGAACATCCCTGTGAGGCACGTGACAAGTTCTAAGAATCAGGAGCCTCTTCAGGTGAAGTCAGGGAAAACTCAGGGCGTTTTTGTCAGAGCCAGAGGATGGGAGGGAAGCAGTTGTTTTAGGGGCAGAGAAAAGAGCTTTTCAGGTATGCGGAACAGTAGATGCAAAGGCCCTGAGGGAAAAAGGGCCCTGGTTATCCGGGAGGCTCCAACATCACCAGGACGCCCGGGCCCTTCGCTCCTTTCTGCAGAGGGCAGGGACCTTGGGTGGGGATTGTTAGCCCGCAGGCGCCAGCCCACCAACCATGGCAGGGGTTTCGAGACCCCTAGCTTCTCTCGACCCGCCTCCCAGGAGCATCGCCTCCTCCTGGAACTCTCTGGAAAGTTCACACAGTCCCCGCACTGTCCCCGGATCCAAGGTCCTCTTCCACCTCAGAGTTTTTGCCGAGACGGGGCCCCAGCGAGCTGCCAGGCCCGGCCCCGTCCCCGAACCCCCGCCCCCGCCCTCGCCCTCATCCTCATCCTCATCCCGGAGCCCCGCCCGGCCCGCCAGGAGCCCTGCCCAGCGCGCATGCGCCTCGGCGCCGCCGAGCAGCTTGTTCCCAGAGCCGCTTTGCCCCTTGACGCTCCTAACCGGCTTGTGAGTGTCCGACTCACGGTCTCGTCGCTCCCACTGGGCCCACATTGTGACCGCTGGTACTTGCCATGTGTCGAGGGGTGGGGTAGGAAAGACTTGGGGTAGGATGCCAGTGCCACCTTCTAGGAACCCGGCTGGGTGCCCTAGGCAAGTTACTTAACTTCTTAGGGCAGAGCCTTTTTCATCTGTACAAAGGGCGTCCCACGCGTGGCCTCACTGGATTGTTTTGAGGATTAACTCAGATAAGATGTGTGAAGCGGGCCGGTCGCGGTGGCTCAAGCCTGTAATTCCAGCACTTTGGGAGGCCGAGGCGGGCGGATCACCTGAGGTCAAGAGTTCAAGACTAGCCTGGCCAACATGGCGAAACCCCGTCTCTCCTAAAAATACAAAAATTAGCCTGGCGTGGTGGTGGTCGCGTAGTCCCAGTTACTCGGGAGGCTGAGGCAGGAGAATTACTTGAACCCGGGAGGCGGAGGTTGCAGTGAGCCGAGATCGCGCCACTGTACCCCAGCCTGGGCGACAGAGTGAGACACCATCTCAAAAAAAAAAAAAGGTGTGTGAAGCGTTGGGCTGGGGAGACGACCCGCCGAGTGGCCACTGTCACACTAGAGTATCCTGGGCCTCATTTATGTCTCCCCCCCGTCTTCCTCCATGGTCTCTTTTCTATCCATCCCTTTCTACCTCTTTGCCTTTCCTCTTCTGGGTCTTTCAAGGTATGTTTCTCTCCCTGTCCCTCTGCCTGCTATCCTATGGCACGCTCTGGGGAGGTAGAACTCCCTGCCCATTGGATTGGGGTGGATGTGGAGTGGGAGGCAGAGGCTGGATGACAGCATTGACGGGGGAAAGTCAGGTGTCCCTGACCTCTGGGGCCTGCCGTCAGTTTCCTGCACCTACATGGGTGTCAACGCTGAGATTTCCTTCTGGACCTGGGCTCTGAGAATTGTGGCCTGGAAAGATGGTGAACAGACTGGTCTTTTTTTGAGACAGAGTCTCAACTGTGTCGCCCAGGCTGGAGTGCAGTGGCACGATCATGGCTCACTACAGGCTGAGGTGAGTCTCCTGCCTCAACCTCCTGAGTAGGTGGGATTACAGGCACATGCCACCTTGTCTGGCTAATTTTTTTTTTTTTTTTTTTGAGACAGAGTGTCGCTCTGTCACCCAGGCTGGAGTGCAGTGGTGCGATCTTGGCTCACTGCAACCTCTGCCTCCCGGATTGAAGCAATTCTCCTGCCTCAGCCTCCCGAGTAGCTGGGATTACAGGTGCACGCCACCACGCCCGGCTTATTTTTGTATTATTAGCAGAGATGGGCTTTCACCATGTTGGTCAGGCTGGTCTGGAGCTCCTGACCTCAGACGATCCACCTGCCTTGGCCTCCCAAAGTGCTGGGATTACAGGTGTGAGCCACCGTGCCTGGCTGTGTGTTTTTGTAGAGACCGGGTTTTGACATGTTGACCAGGCTGGTCTTGAACTCCTGGCTTCAAGTGCCCCTCCCACCTTGGCCTCCCAAAGTGCTAGGATTATGGGCGTCAGTCACTGTGCCTGGCCTGATCCAGTCTGGAGTAAAGGAGGAGATGGTTTCCCAGAGAAAGTAATAGATAAACCGAGTTAGGTGTACCAGGTGGAGTGAACAGGACATACAAAGACCCAGAGATGGTGTTAATTGAAAAGTTGGCTGTGAGTGGAGAGGAAGAGGAGGGACAAATGGTGGGCAATGAAGCCGGAGGGCCTGGCAGCCTCATGGGCCACATTACATGCCACATTCAGACTTTATCCTGAGATGAACACAATGAAGGGTTTTAAGCAGGGGAGGGAAGTAGTCAAATCAGTCTTTTTTTTTTGAGATGGGGTCTCGCTCTTGTCACCCAGGCTGGAGTGCAATGGTGCGATCTCAGCTCACTGCAACCTCCACCTCCCGGGTTCAAGCGATTTTCCTGCCTCAGCTTCCCAAGTAGCTGGGATTACAGGCATGCGCCACCACACCCGGCTAATTTTTGTATTTTTAGTAGAGACAGGGTTTCACCATGTTGGCCAGGCTGGTCTTGAACTCCTGACCTCTGGTGATCTGCCTGCCTTGGCCTCCCAAAGTGCTGGGATTACAGGCGTGAGCCACTGTACCCAGCCAAATCAATCTTTTCAGATAAATGTCTGGCTACCAACATGGAGGACAGGGGGTTGGACCGGGACCCTTGGGGCTTTTCCTGTGGTTGAGGTTCTAGACAGTGGTGGCTTCCACTAGGGTGGCAGAGATGAGATTAGTAAGGGCAGATGGGTTTCTGAGATATTTAGGGGCAAAACTGACACTTTTCCTTCCCTGGAAACATCCAAACATGGCCACATCCATATCCGTCCTTGGGGGAACCAACATTAAATCAGCCCATTGTGCAACGCCCTTGTCCACTTCTAGACTGTGCTCCAGAATCGGAGATGGTCCTTTACTATCAGTTTGGGGAATAGGATGGGCGGAGATCCCCAGATTCCTTTGGAGGTAGTGATGGAAGCCTGCTCAGGCTCTCCCAGATGGGACTGCAGCCCTCCTGAGACTCAGCAGTCAGGTAAGGAGGCAGTTCTCTGGCAGCATCTGGCGCACATATTTAAAGACTGGAAACTTGGACTCAACATGCTGGGCGATGAGCAGCAGTAGGATGAGGTGGGAGACACGCTGGTCACAGCCTGCCTGGGCCAGACCCTGCTCAGCTACTTTCTGCAGCTTTAGCAGATGGAATTGGCACTGGCTGATGGCTTGGCAGTTGTGGGGATGAAAGATTAGAGATGCCCCAGCCCATTCTAAGGAGTGTACCACTGGGTGCCTCTGCAGGGCTGCTCTTTTTGGGTGAGAGAATGTCAGGTAATCTCACACTTAAAATGTTCACATCCATTACAAAGTTCACCTTGGGGCTGCGCGCGGTGGCTCATGCTTATAATCCCAGCACTCTGGGAGGTGGAGGCGGGCAGATTACCTGAGGTCAGGAGTTCAAGACCAGCCTGGCCAACATGGTGAAACCCCGTCTCTACAAAAATACACACACACACACACACACACAAATTAGCTGGACATGATGGTAAGTGCCTGTAATCCTAGCTACTCCGGAGGCTGAGGCAGAAGAATCGCTTGAACCCAGGAAGCGGAGGCTGCAGTGAGCTGAGATTGTGCCCTTGCACTCCAGCCTGGGCGACAGAGCGAGACTCCATCTCAAAAAATAAAAATAAAAAAAAAGTTCACCTTGATGAAGTAAACGTTGTATTTCTAGAAGCAAGTGCTGCTTTTTTGGTGTTTAAAAAATAAGCTAAGGAAAACCAAGCAGTAAACATGCCCCCTAGTTCTGCTGCTGCTGCTGAGAGGTGAAGCAAGGGCTCCGTGGCCTTAGCCTTCTGACTTGCTCACACGCACACACCGAAGCAGAAAAGGTTTAGTTTTTGTTTTTAAAGCCTTTTTATTTTTTTAAAAAAACAAAAACCCCCAAACAAAAACAAAACCTAAATTAAAATATTTCCCATTGGAGGCTATTTCTTTTTTTGTCTTTTAAAAATTTTATTACACAAATATCACCCATTCCCACGTGTCAGAGGAAAGATGTCCTTGCTCTCTCTAAAACCAATAGTGGAGAACTTTTGGAAAACAAAACAAAGTCCAACTAGCTTCCTCCTTCTCTGGCCCAAAATAACCTCAATGTGTCAACTGAGATAGCATAAGACTTATCCCCTTAATGCTTACATTTAATTTAAACTTTTTAGCACAACATTGGAGATTGACTCTAAATCAGCAACAAAAAAATATATATTTACAATATTTCTCCGAAAAACAAAAAACACAACCAAACCCTTTAAACATAAGTGACTTTAGGAGTTTTATTTATGGAGCAGTTATTTTTTTAATCACCAAGTGATTTTATATTATATATATATAAATTTTCTTCCTTTCCTTTGTGGTTTTTCGCCCCGGTGCTTGGAAAGATGGAGGCAGGGGTTCTGGTCCTGCAGTCTGAGGGCAGGCTCTCCTGGCAAGGCCGTGTCTAAGAGCAGATTGTAGGACATGCGATGGACTCCCCAGGTTCCTCTGTCCCCCAACAGAGACACTTCTTTCCTCCACATGGACCAACCCTCACCTCTAAAAACCATTTCCCCTCACAGTCCCAAAGAAAAGGAAAACCCAGCAAGGGCATGGTCCATCTGCTGCCTTTTCTGGGCTCCCTTTTCTGCTGACCAATTTACGTGCACGGTAAAAATGCATGTTTTTCCAAACCCCAAAAAACAAACATAAAAACCAAAACCCAAAAGAAACCATTGGCTTGGAAATTTCTGTGGATGAAATGTCCCAAAGTCAGAGGCACTCTCCCGGCACAATCCCTGCTCTGAAGGGGTCTCTCCACCTCCCCTTTTATAAAAAGACAACAAAATAAAACAAAGTAATCTTTTCAGTATTTTCCACAGGAGCAACCAAAGAAAAAGGCAGGAAGCTTCCAATTATAGGTCATTAACGATAATAAGGTTTTTGCTCAATACCCAGGGTTCTTTACAGAGAAGTTCCCCTAACTGAGGCACTCTGGAATAAGTCACTGGCATTTCCTCAAAGTTTCAACCCCAGATTATTGGGGCCTGGAGACCAATGGAAGTGGGCAGAGGGTCATGGGAGCAGACTGCTGTTTGTAAGGTGCAGTCAAAAGATTCAGCAGATTGGAAGAAACAAACAAAATGCCACCCCCTACCAGGATCCAGTTTCTTCTAAGGCCAGTTAATGCCAGGGTCAAAACTGGCCTAGGTGGCAAAGAGGGGACCACTCTGCCTCTATTGCTTTGGAAGTGGCAAGGGTGCAGTTGGCGTCTCTCTTCTCAGTGGCTCACACTTTAGACCCCTGGTGCCTGGGCTCCATTCCCTAACTCTGTAGGGCTTCAGGAAGAGGAAAGCCTGAGACTGGGCTACAGGAAGAGGGCCAGAAAGGGACAGGGATGGACGACCAAAAGGCGGGGCGGGGTGGGGGGAAGAGGTTGTGCTATCAGTATCCTTACAGAGGGGGAGCAGAGTGCAAATTTGCATCAATCATTTATAAGCTCTTGCCATAGGCTGCTGCTACTGAGCATCTCCTCACACACTTAAAAATATTGACCCAAAAGAAATTCCGACCTTTCTTTCTTTCTTTTTTTTTTTAAAGTGCAAAAAGCTCTCTGCTGCCCTAGAGAGAGGATCTTTGGACAGGCCGTTCAATGCAAAGTAAAAGGGGGCAGCTGATGGGGCTCAACAAAGGGCGGTGGAGCGGGAGACACCATGCTCCCCTCCCTCCCTCCCTCCACACACACGCGCAGAATACACTCAGCCACACACACAGAGGCACGTGCACACCCCCTTCCATGGCTGCAGGCAGAGGGCTGGTGACTGGCTTCTAAGCAGGACCCCCTGACTGCCCTGAAAGTTCAGTGAGCCACTGGGGCTAGACACAGGCCTGGGCTCAGGGGGCTCCGCTAAACCAGAGGCCTGGAGGAGCCTGGCTGGGAGGCAGGTTGGGGCTTGGCCCAGTCCTCTGCCGCCTCCAGCTTGGGGGAGATAGGCTGCTCCCTCTGAGGACGTGCATCCTGGGAAAGCCTTCTTCAGGCAGAATGAAGACACATGGAAAAGGGCAGTCAGTGGGAGGCAAAAGAGAGAGGGGGAACAAGGAGATGGTGCCTGTCTCAGAATCCACTTGGGTAGCAACGAAATGGGTGTGTCCCTGGGGTAGACAGTTCCAGCTCCTCTGAAGAGCTTCAACCCCAATAAGTGCAATAAGGACCTCATAGAGACTAGCAAGTAAGTCGGGTAGGCTGGGGTGGGAAACCTAATTATGTGAACAAGCACGAGTGCTGGGCAGAACCAAGCTCAAGGGAGAGGAAAGGAGGGAGAGCACAGTTAAGGACGTGAGGTTTGGGAGATCTCAACAGCACCAGTGTGATCGGCACGGGTCTGGGACTCCTGGGGCTGCTGGCCCCTCCTGCGCAAGCCGGGAGAGTGTGATGGAGGAGAGACGCGCACTGGACACCACAAGAACCTGGCCATGGAGACAGGGCCGTTTTCTTCCCTGGGAGTTTGCTCAGAACCAGGCACTGCTGGGGACCATGGATGGGGAGGAGGGGCACAGGGCCCAGTGCAGATGAAGGTTGCACAAACACCCCAAACTGAGAGCCCGGCCTCCTGGCAGGCGAGTAAGCGAGCAGGCGCCTCGACAGCACAGCCTGTGCTTTCCCCTCAGATCAATCTGCTACTCCCTTTTCCTTAGGAGGGAGAGGAGCAGGCAGATAAGCCTGGTGTCCACCACCCTCTCTGCCCCACCTGTAGAGGAAGGGCTCAAGGGACAGGAGAGCAGAGAGGGAGTGTGACGCTGGCCTCAGAGCCCGTGCAGGGTCGAGGAGAGGCTCTCCTCGGTGGGGAGTCAGGGGAAGATCGGTTTCCTGTTGAATCTGGGCTGGGTGTGTCTTAGCTGATCTTCTGTATCAGCTTCTCGTCAGACAGGCAGTAGAGGCTGTTGATGGACAAGTCTGAGATGAAGTGCTCGCAGGCTTTTCGAGTGATCTGCTTGCATCCTCGAAGGTCGATCAAGGTGACGTTGGCAATGCGCCGTAGGTAGATCAGGGTCTGGTCTGTCAATTTATTGCAACCTGTCGGGAAAGTGGACATAATGACAGTGCTCACATACACACAGCTTTCCTCTGCCATTCAATTCCTGTAGCCGTCTTTCCTTCAAAATGCTAAACAAAAGCCCTCTTTGTCCCACAACTACCTGGCTCAGAGACCAGAAGTGCCATCAGCACCTCCAAAGGGACCCTGCTGCCTCACTCCCATCACCATATGACAACAAGCACAAGGGCTGCAAGGCTGACCAAACTCCAGCTGGATGTTGGCTGCGCAGACAGGCAACCGACTTAACTACTCAAGGCCTCAGTCCCCCATCAGTTAAAAAAGGGATAGAAATCCATGTCCTTGTCCAGATGTGAAGAAATGAGCTGATGTGGGTCAATCAACAGACCCAAGGTCATTCTGGTTTACTGATCAAGTTCCAGGGAGGGCTGGAGGCAGGGGGCACCGCTGATTATGAACAACTGTAGCGGCATACCTGCCATATTGAGCTCTGTGAGAGAGTAGCGAGTGGAAGACCCGACAGCAGTGAGTAGATTGGAGGACTGATCTGTAAGGTGGCTGCAGTGACTGAGGTCGAGTCGAGACAGGAGGGGCATGTGGCGAATTATGAGGCGAAGCGTGGCATCTGTGATGTCAAGGCCTGCCAGCCGGAAGTCGGTCATGTTCCGGAGCTTGCTGCGATTGTCCTGACCTGTACAGGCAAGAGAAGAGCCTAGATCAAAACTCTCAATTCTCTAATCCAGCTTCAAGGCTCCAGGCAGCAACAGCTACTTGCTGGCCAGGCCCCCTTGAAGGGGTTAAGTAGAACTGCCCACACCCAGCCATGCCTTCAGGGTGTGAGCACTGGGTGTAGGCAGTTTCTAGGAAACCAGACAAGTTTTCTTTCTTCTCAAGCTGCTAGATTATGCCTCATGCACACAGCAAAAGGCTATGTGCAGAATGCTCCTCCCCTTCCAATACCACCACACTTTTCTAGACCATCATGCAAATAGCTTTTGACTCCACCTCCACCATAAAGCCTTCTCAGACTTTTTCAGGCTTACACTCTCTGGGCCCCAAACTCCACCAACTCACAAAATGGACTTACTCCATTGTTTGTAGGTAGTTATCTGCTTATAGTTACCCTATTCTTGTACACAGTCCATCATTCTGTTTTCATTTTGTGCTCTTCTATTCTTCCACAGCGTCATATCTGAGACTACCTTAGCTTCTGAAGACGAGGTCTGTTTGGAAGACAAAGCTACCCCAAGACAAGCACAGAGAAGTCAGGTCCAGAGCATACCTGGTTTATCAGCCGGTGGAGTAAGCAAGTCCCGAATTTGAGGGTCCTTGATTCCTACTGCCCACCGAAGATCAAGGGTCCTGAGAAGGGGGCAGCTGGAGGTGCTGAGGGCAGAGACTGCAGACCAGGAGCAGCCTGCTAGGAGGAGGTCTTTCAGTCCTGCAATGGATGGAATGAGACATGTAATAATACACTGTTTCCCAGCATACTCAGAGCCGTAACGATCTGAGCAAAGTGAACAAACTTCCAGTCTAATAGGAGAGAAGGACTATGCCTAATCTTTTAGTCATCCAGCTCAAAGATTTCCATGGTATCCTATACTACATCTTCTAGCTTTAGTGGTAAATTGATTGCTTAGTTCCCACCAGAGCAATACAAGAAGGAGTGACTTCCTGTCTTTCTAAGAGCTCAAAATGCTGAAGAGAACAAGGGCTTATAAGGAGCTGACCAAAGTAACATCTGACTCAAATTTCCTCTTTAGTGGTTATGCTGAGGAGAACTGCAGGGCTGGCAGCAACACTGATTCCGTTCTCTTTGCTGTCCATTGCAGTGATTGGCCTGCCAGTCCAGAGTGCTGCCTGGGAGACTGACACTTAAGATGGCCCTGGGTAAACCTCTTGCTAAGCAACAATGGCATGGGACTGCTGCCCTACACTGCCCTCCAGTGATGCTAAGAAGCACTGCCAATAATGCAACTTTTCTTGCCCGCTTCTTCTGGGCCCCTGGAAAGACAGCGGCAGGGCTGCTCACTTACCTGGCAGCCTATTGACGAGCCATGTCAGTTGCTTTTTAGAGATGTTGGTCCAACTGAGGTCAAGGCTGACTGGCTGCCTCTTGATGATGCCACTGAGGGCCTGGGGCACAATGGCCTTACACCTACTCAAGTCAATTTTTGTCCAAAGTCTCTTGTCGCAGCACCTGTGATAGAAGGGAAGAGAACTCGCCTTCATTAACTTGATCAGTGGAGCTCCCATCACAGGCTGCTTATGGCTTCTGGGAAAAGCAGAGTACCTGGAGGCTCGTTCTTCTACAAGTGTACAGGGATCACACCTTATCATTTTTTGCCTCACAGAATAGGCAAAAAATTGCCTTGAACTCTACAACAACTAGACGCTTTGCAAACCTACATGTTGATAGTATATAACTTGACCACTTTACCCTGATTTATTCTGGAGTGTTTGAGAACACAACAGTTGTTAGGGACCCATAGCAAGCAACAGTCTATAGCCCCTTCATCTGTATTAAAATGGCATGGTTCCTGCTGAAGTGTATATAAGGGAGCCTCTTGAAGTTTCTAGACTTCTTACTGTCTAAAGCTAAGAAGGCCTGCTCCGTTCCCTCCCTTGTCAATCACTCGCAGCTGCCTGAAATGCAGGGTGCTACTCAGCACATCCACAATTCACCCTGCCTTCAGCCCATTACTGTATCAGGTCAAAAGAGGCTCTTTATCAGGCTTACAGAGTCCTCTCTCACCCTCAAGTTCTGCCTCAGTGCTATCCTGACATTTTCTAGCCAGGCCAGACCAGAACTGAAAGGGATAGGCCTGGCTTTCCACTGCAGTCTACAAATCTACAGGCCACAAACCACAACATGCTGGCTTCAATTTAATATTTTATAGCCCCTGCCCCCCAGCCTGGTTGGCAGGGGAAGAGAGACAGCACATAACGGGAATCTGATGTGCCTTGCCCTGAAAACCAAGAGGTAGAGCCAAGCAGTCCTATTAGCCCTAGACAGAGAAATATTAAGGAGAATTTAGATACACTATACATTAATTCAGATTTGGGAAATAAACTCATGTTTGCAAAGAATAGGGTCTATTTAGAGACTGAAACAATTTTACCAGTGGCACATGAAGCTTCTATGGCAGAAGCAAGCTGCTGACAATACAGCAGATTTTGCTGCTCTAAACTCGAGCATGCATCAGAGTCCCCTGGAGGAGCGCTTGTTAAAGCAGACTGCTGGGCCCACCCAAGAGGTTCTGATTTAAGAGGCCTATGAGGGTCCTGACAGTTGACATTTCTAAAAAGTTCCTGAGTGAATGCCATTGGTCAGGACACCACACTACTGTAATAGGATGTGTGTGACCCAGATAAAAAGGATATATCCTAGAGTAAATATATACCAGAGTTTAAGGAAAAACCAACAATGCCCAATGGGAAGCTCCTTGTTCATCATCACTAGCAATTTTTTCCCCCAAGTGTCTGTCCAACTTAAGAAGAAATGGTAGCTCTCATTAAGGAAGCTTCAAAACTGGACTCTGCTTGCTGGAAGAGGGAATTCTGATCCAGGTTTGGGGGGATGAGCATTAAAACTGAAGAAAAATGTTAAGCACCTTCAAATTCATCTTGAAAAGCATGCCCACTTCTCTCACTGAATGGAGAGGTAATTGAGTCAGGGGCTTAAGTGAGGTTATCTGTGTTATCAGCACCAGAAGAGTGACTAGAACATCATAGGCTCTCAACCAACATGTGATGAGTTCAGCTGACTTGAGGAGGAAATTTTCAGCCCGCAAGACTCTCAAGTTTTATCACAGACTACAAATCTATCCCGCAAATCAGTCTCCCTCCCCATAACAATGAGACATGGGAAAGTATAGAGCAGGGCCAGGAGGCAAATGGCCAGTTCCCTAATGACATCTGCGGGTACAACAGGCTACATCTTTAAACAGGACCCAAAGTTTGGGAAAAAGGGTCAATTCACTCCTCATAAGACCCCACAGGCTTTCAGATGCCAAGGTGCATGCTGTTCTCATATGGAAAACCTGCCACCTACTCCCATACCCCTAATTCCTGACCCCCTGAATCCCTGCTCACCATTTATACCACGTCTTGCACACTCGCATACATTCACAAAGTTCTCTGCGGCTGAGGTAGCGGAAGACAGACATCCAGACCTCCCGCTGCATCCAGCTTTCGTCTCCATCCTGAGCCCAACTGCCCCGGCCATTCAGCCTGGCTGCACCCCCCTCCTCTGCACTGTCATCTTCCTCCTCCTCCTCCTCCTCTTCCTCCTCCTCTCCCCCCAGCCCCTCCTCATCCCCACGCTGGGGGGTTCGGGCTGGGCAGTGCTGCACTAGCACACGGGGGGAATGGCGAAGGTTGGCAGAGGAGGCCGTGATGGCCTGCAGCTTGGGCACAATGGATGTCCCGTGGAGCTCTTTGGTGGGCCTCTGTAGCGTGACAGTGAGGTACGATCCCCGGATCTTGGCTTTCTCAACTTCAGACAGCTCCTTTTTGCCGCTGGGATTGTTCTCCTTTTCCCGTACCATGGTGCGCTCTGTGGCCTGCAGCCGCAGCAACTGCCGCCGTTTGAAGCGCTCATCGCGGCTGGCACTGTGGTGGTCGCTGGGGCCAGCCCCAGGGGATGACCGAGTCACCATACCCCGGGGGGAAACCGGGTCATGGATGAGCTGCAGCATGGAAGTGGGTGAATGAGGCGGGGGCGTGAGAGGCTCATCGCAGCTCCGCAGGGGCCGCAGGACTTTGGCTTGCACAGCTTCTTCGTCACTCTCTTCCATTTTCCGCTTCTGCAAAACAGGCCCAGAAAAGCAACATCAGTGCTTCCTTTCTTCCAAACCCTCTGAACCGACAGGGTGGACCTCCCTTGCTCTCAGGGGACCAGAGAGAAGAAAGGTCACGTTGGAGAGGGGGTCATTCCCTCAGAGTCGGCCCAGGCTGGTCTCCAACTCCTGGGCTCAAGTGATCCACCTGCCTTGGCCTCCCAAAGTGCTGGAATTATAGGTGTGAGCCACTGCACCTGGCCTGACCATTTTTAATTGCGTCTCTGACTTACCTCTTTCACCCAAGAGACGTATTTCTGTTTCATGGTGGAAAAAGCCCACATATACCATTTGAACTAAGATCCTGAGTCTGACAATGGTAAACACCATTGGCTTCTAGCTCTACCACAGTCTAAGTTTGACTCCACCAGGCTGCGTCTTCCACTCCAACCCCCACGTGAATAATAAAGCAGATAACAAGAACCTCTCTGAGAAACTGGGTTGCTACAGAGAGATTCACTCAGGATTATGGTGAGGAATCCCACAAGAGCCCCCAACTTTATCTGTGGCATTTGTGCTCTCTAGATACTTGTCTTTTCCTGGAGCCCACTATGACTATGCTATGACAAAGCCCAGTAAACATGTTCCACTAGGAACCGTATCAGTAGTTCAGGTTTTTTGCAAGGAGACATTTTATGTCTCTAAGCAACAACCCTGTTCTCTGCTCCTTTTCCTCCTTACATTTTTTTATCATTATGGTTGGAAGAAAATGACCACCTTTTGGGTGCTACCTTTTC
This sequence comes from Homo sapiens, assembly GCF_000001405.40. NCBI lineage: Eukaryota > Metazoa > Chordata > Mammalia > Primates > Hominidae > Homo > Homo sapiens. Next base: position 67,249,315 of record NC_000011.10, on the reverse strand, counting down.
CAATGTATTAGAAGGTAATACTAAAACACAGCCATCTGCCAACAACACATCTGCTACAGCAGAGATGCAAACACTCAACATCACTAATGAAGACACATGTAAAGGTCACTAGTGCAAGAACTAAGGAGAACTTTGGCCCTAGTCAACTTCAAAAATCCTTGCCCTCAAAGACAAATAGATTGAAAAATTCAACTATCTTAGTATCCAAGTGGGAAGAAATAAAAAGTAAGAAAATTCCTTTCTGCCCCCTTCCCTGCTCCCGTGCAAGGGTCCTTGAAAGACTGGCACTTGGAAAGCCATCTCCTCCTGTAGGTGTCCACAGCTGGTCTTGCCTTGTCAGCCTGAGTAAGTACAGTCCTTTTGGCCCTTTGACATTATTGGCAACCACTGGTCAGCAACCTCAGCTCCTCTGGGCCAAGGTCATAGCACTGGTCCTCTCTGGGGGAGGGGCTGCCTCCACATGACACATTTGGGCATGTGGGATGGGCAGGGCAGGGCTTTCTGCCAGGCCACAAAAGTGAAGATGACAAAAATGTGAACCTGCTTAACTGGAAGCTCAAGTACACTGCTGCACTCACTGGCTGCCTCAGGCCACTGCCTCTCCTCTAGTTAACATTCCTCAGGAGGGATCATACTCACCTAATTTCTCTCCTCAAATAGCCCAGCCGTGGTTCCTCTCTTTGTAGGGCCCCAGAGTATAAAAGGACCTTAGGAATTTGCAGATCCCAAGTGGAACAACATTTAGTAATACAAAACACAATGCTACAAACTCTAACAAAGAAAATACTAAAAATTAACCAAAGGAAAAACATACCAAACCAAACAAAAATAATCTCCTAGGTCAGAGAAACTGTGTGAACACTAATGCAAAGGCAAACGTGTAGCAATCCCCCACATTTGATGCCTCCTTTCTGTCACAGTGCAAATCTGATAAGGTTCCTTTACCTGGGCTTTCTCCGAGCTGTCCTCCTGGTAGCACTTTGGACATTCCCAGCAATTTGGCAATTCTTCGTTAAGCAACCCCTCTCCGTCCATCTATAGGAAGACAGAGATGTTTTTAAAAGCCTGTCTCTCAAGCTTCCTTTATCCAACAATAACACAGTTGGGAAGAGTTACTCATTTCTCAACAACATTGGTCCATAAAGGGAGAAAAACTGTGAGCAATCCAGCCCCAAATAGCCAATGGTGCTGAACCTGATCTTGACAGTGCGGCACAGGTTCTGATAGCTTGGGTTTAGGGACTAATGCTCTAGTCTCTGTGACTCAGTGTTCTCCACTGTAAAATGTTGGCTGATATTATTACCTTCACTTTCCCTCAGGAACTAATACACAGAGATACAACAATATAATTGCCAGAGATACAACAAAACCCACCTTATAGGGTTGTGGTGAAGATTATTCATTGTGTAAAGAATTTAACAAAGGTATGGCATACAGAAAACCCTTTGTATTAGCCATTATCATCATCATGGAATTAATACCCTATTTCACCAATTCTTTGGGTTTGAGATATGTTAATAGATGTAATATGCACCATTTACATCTTCACCAAGTTATAATTAATCAAACAAACTTTTAAGATTGTAAAGTTGGCCGGGCATGGTGGCTCACGCCTGTAATCCCAGCACTTTGGGAGGCCAAGGTGGGGAAATCACTTGATGCCAGGAGTTCAAGACCAACCTGGCCAACATGGTGAAACCCCAACTCTACTTAACACAAAACTAGCTGGGCATGGTGGTGCATGCCTGTAATCCCAGCTACTCAGGAGGCTGAGGCAGAAGAATTGCTTGAACCCAGAAGATGGAGGCTGCAGTGAGCCAAAATCTCACCACTATACTCCAGCCTGGGCAACAGAGGGAGACCATGTCTTAAAAAAAAAAAAAAAAAAAAAAAGATTGTAATGCTGTTAAAATATCCTAAGAATCAGGCTGGGTGCGGTAGCTCACACCTATAATCCCAGCACTTTTGGAGGCCAAGGCGGGTGAATCACTTGAGGTTAGGAGTTCGAGACCGGCCTGGCCAACACGGTGACACCCCATCTCTACTAAAAACACAAAAATTAGCTGGGCGCAGTGGCACGTGCTTGTAATCCCAACTACTAGGGAAGCTGAGGCAGGAGAATCACTTGAACACCAGAGACAAAGGTTGCAGTGAGACGAGGTCACGCCACTGCACTCTAGCCTAGGCAAAAGGAGCAAGACTCTGTCTCCAAAAAAAAAAAAAAAAAAAAAAAAAAAAAAAAAATATATATATATATATATATATATATATATATATAAAATAATTTATAACATTAAATGAATAAATGTATAATCGTGCCACTGCACTCTAGCCTGGGCAACAACACAAGGCTATGTCTCAAAAACAAAACAAAACAAAAACCCGGTTCTTCATTCAACATATGCTTAATGCCTCCAAATACTGACCTACTATTGTTTCTGTTATAGATTTGCTACTATATAGTATTCAAAAAAACCAAAAATCTATAAAAGGTATACTTTTCACATTTTAACCTTTCTGAAATTGGGCTGCTTCTCATGAATGACAGTGTCTTATTATCACTGTCAGGCGACAGTCATGATTTTAGCTGATACTTTCTAAGAAGGCCAAGGAAACAGTGGTTCTCCACAAAGGCTGCACAATTCGGATCAGTAGGGGAGCTTTTGGAACACAAGGCCCATGCTGGACTCAATCTCTGAGGCTGAGATCTGAATTTATTACTTTTTATTACTTTTTTTTTTTAAAGCTATTTAGCTCTGCACTGAGTCTGATACAGACTCAGCACTCATTAAATGTTATCTGATATTATTATCCTCACTCTCCCTTAGGAACTAATATCCAGAGGTACACTGAAGTATGTATCAGAGATGCCTAAAGGCTTGAGGCATCCCAAAACACACCATGCAGTTCCATTATGGCCTGGGAACTCTACATACCCAATCCAGAGTCCAGATTCTAAGCTCCATGAGGACAGGAACTGGGTCTATTTTGTGTACTGTTCTATCCTCAGGGTCTAACGCAGTGCCTGACACATTGTACATATATGAATCAAGGGCTGATGTTAGACCACTGCATTATGTGACCACAGAGCTGATGGCCTACAGTAGGGATGCTGGCACTCCCATCACAAGTGTCCCATTCTGTTGTGTCACTCACTCCATTAGCTGAGACTTCAGGAACCCCTCATAGCTCTCCTCACCTGGAGGCAGCCAGGATGAACAATCTCATTGCAGATACAGCATTCCATGAGTTTCTTCTCAAAGTCTTGTGTCTCTTCATTCTGATCCACCTCTCCACAGAGGGAACATGTGACTGAGTGAGGCAGTCTGGGCTACAAGAGGACAAAGATAGAATCCAAGAGAACTGACTCAGATCTTTATCATTTCAGTTTCCCTTAAACTGAAGATGGGAGATTTGGGTCCTATAATTCTCTACTAAACACCTGGAAGCATGGAGGCAGGGTGGAGAGAACGGAGGTTTTGGGTAGGAAAAATGACTGGGGAAGAGGAGGACTCAACCACCTGGGCACCAGAGACTAGTTTATTTTCAGTTGGCCTATACTTGGCCTCCCCGGTCCTTTCTAATCTACCTGAAGAGGGGAAAGAAAGCAATGATTTGCCCTTCAAATGCTAATCTCTTGTTTGAAAATTAGGTAAAGCCTAAAGATTAAATCGGATTTTTAGTACTAGATACCTTCTATCTAAACCTGGGGAAAAAAGGTACAAAATAAAGCCAAAAAGAGAGTATAAACCTTTTCTTTCCAACTCTGAAGTCTCTTTAACTCTACACTATATGTATTTCAGTTCCTTTGGCACTGCCACCCCTCCCCAAAATTCTTTACCCAGCAGATCACTCACTGCCAAGCACTGTCGGAGGACACAGGACTGCTTCATGCGTCCAGGCCCCCCAAACTTCTTCATGTCTCTGCAGTAGTGGCAAACACCACACTCTCCTTGCACACAGGCTTTGCATTTTCGACATCGCACTCGTCTCCGTCTGGCTCCTGACACAATCGGGGAGGCAGCAGCTGGCCTCACAGGTGTTAACCGTGGAGCTGGTTTCATAGTGTGAGGCTTCGTAATGGGGATGGTAGGAACCCGCACCTTTGGCCGAGTGGGGAATTTAAGCTGGAAAGAGAAAGCAGTGAGGTCAAATATATCAGGTTGCTTTAAGACTGGATAGGGTAGAAGATTACATGGTAGCATACCTAGCCTGGGGCTTGGCCCACTATGGCCAGATCTGCCCACTGCTTGTTTCTAGAATAAATTTTATTGACACACAACTCATCTTGTGTATGTATTATCAATGGCTGCTTTTTTTTTTTTTTTTTGAGACAGAGTCTCGCTTTGTCACCCAGGCTGGAATACAGTGGCATGATCTCGGCTCACTGCAAGCTCCGCCTCCCGGGTTCCCGCCATTCTCCTGCCTCAGCCTCCCAAGTAGCTGGGACTACAGGTGCCCACCACCATGCCCAGCTAATTTTTTTGTATTTTTTGTAGAGACGGGGTTTCACCATGTTAGCCAGGATGGTCTCAATCTCCTGACCTCGTGATCTGCCCGCCTTGGCATCCCATAGTGCTGGGATTACAGGTGTGAGCCACCACACCCGGCCAATCAATGGCTGCTTTCATGCTACCATGGTAGAACTGAGAAATTGTTGACTGTGTGGTGTACAAAACCTAAAGTATTTACTATCTTGACCTTTACAGAAAAATTTACCAGCCCTTGTCCTAGCCCTTTGGCCTACTAATTCAGCTGCTTCCCTTTCTTTTTGCAGAGCTGTTAAGATTCACCCCTCCCTGAGCTTTCTGTATCAAGTGCCATGTACCGAAGTCACTCCAGGAGCCCTCCAATATTTCCTCATCCTGACTTCTCAGATTATACTCCTAAAGAAGACAGTAAACTCCCTTAAGGTGAAACTAGTCTTGTTCATTTCTTTAGTACTCCAAATTCAAGCATACGAACTGGTAGATAGCAGACACTTCAATAATATTTAAGTGTGGAACACATTTCTTAGCATTTGCATTTACCCTGCTGGTGACCTTTTCAAGGACAAGGACCATGTTTTCTACTACTTTAATTTCTTACCATATCTTAAACACTTTTCTGACACAAAATACTCAACAACCAGAAATGACTGAATTGTTTTAAGGCAGTCACCTGTGGCCAAGCAGAGGCCAAGCAGGACTCCTCCCACTAGGGACGAGGAGGTGATTCTCTAAATATACTGTTCAACTCCATACCTTTATATTCTGCCTAAACACCCCTGGAATGTGATGGCTTTGCAAGTTTCAGCTAGGGAACAACAAACAGAAGCCTCATTTATTTGCCAAATTCACAGCCAGGATCAGAATGCTATCATTTATTTAATACATAACCTTGATAGAGGACAGTATGGGGAAAAAAATTATACAGGATCTAAACTGAAGAGGCATGAAAATTCATAATTGACAATTTATTAGCTGACAGTAATTCCTTTCTTCTTCTTCTTTTTTTTTCTTTGAGACAGTTTCGCTCTTGTCCCCCAGGCTGAAGTGCAATGGTGCGATCTCGGCTCACTGCAACCTCTGCCTCCTGGGTTCAAGTGATTCTCCTGCCCCAGCCTTGCAAGTAGCTGGGATTATAGGCGCATGCCACCACGCCTGGCTTAATTTTTGTATTTTTGGTACAGACGGTGTTTCACCATGTTGGCCAGGCTGGTCTTGAACTCCTGACCTCAGGTGATCCACCTGCCTGGGCCTCCCAAAGTGCTGGGATTACAGGTGTGAGCCACCATGCCCGGCCCCTTTCTTCTCTTTTCCATTCCACACTGCAAAGTCCAAGGTAAGGGGATTTTTGAGAGAATGATCTCACTACGTCAAAGAAAAACTCTGCTCCTTTTAGATATCTATGTAATTATTTTAACTGGCTTTCAATCATATCTGTGAAGATAGCTGAGTAACTGGTCACAAGGATAGAAGCGGATGCACAAATGCACAATTTGGCATCTGAATCTGGAGGGAGGCCTCCCAGTTTGATAGTTCTGTTAAGAGAGGTCACCTCCAAAGATAGCCAATTACCCTGACCTACGAGTCAAAACAGAACTGAATAATGATTTTCTGTCAGTTTGTATTAATGCACCAAAAGCCATCTGCCTCTAGTTGTTCTTGTTTTCCCCAGAATGGTAATGATCAACTAACAAAAGGCTTAAGCAGCCTAAAGATCAAGGAAAATAGTTTCTTACCTTATCCCTTTTTGGCCACTGTACTATAGGAACTCCAGTGAGGGCTAACTTGGGATCGCTGTTGGCAAGCTCCTCCAGCAAAATCTAAGGGTAGGAGGGAAAAGAAGGAAAAATCAGGGCAGGGTGAACAAAGAGCCAACCACCCTGAACAGCATCCAGACTCTGCCTCAGTACCCTTGAGTAGCAAGGGAGGCAGGGTGGCAACTGTCTGTATTTGCCCTTCATATAGAGACTCACTGGAAAACAAATAAATCAAAGGTGAAGGAGAAAACTCAAACTTAGGCTGCTGCAATATTATCAAAACTTTGAGGCTGGGCACAGTGGCTCATGCCTGTGAGAGGTGGGAGGATCACTTGAGCCAGGAGTTTGAGACCAGCCTGGGAAACACAGCAAGACCCATCTCTACTGGGGGCGGATGGTGGTGGTGGGGGAGCAGAAAGGACTTCAAACTCACCTTTGTTCCCAATCCCTTACTTGTGTACTAATTATACTAACACACTGAAACAACTAACTTACTGTGGTGACAAGTGTTACTTCTCATACAGTTCTACATATGACAGTAAAACTTTATTATTGCTTCTTCACTTTTCTACACCAGTTAGTGAATATTATCAGGTAATTGCCTTCATTTCTCAGATGTGAACCAAGTGGCATAAAAATGATTTGCTAATACAGAATTAATGAGATGAATGGTACAGCCTAATGTGCAGATTCAACCCAGGGCTCTTTTCTTCTAAGGCTGATTACAGAAATCTCAATCTCAAATCTCTTTCTTTCTCTCTCTCTCTCACACACACACACACACACACACACATACACACACCCACAGAGTCTGCTATTTGCCTTTATTCCTCTAAATGGGGGAAAGGAACAATCTTAGGGGCAAAAGTTCTCATGGCATTACCAATAAAATTTAAATGACTTACGAACAATGCTACAGTGAGAAAATGCCACTTAAGTGAATCACACTGGTTGACTGTTATTTTGAAACAAATATATTTTTTTTAATTTTTATTTTTTAGATGGAGTCTCACTCTGTTGCTCAGGCTGGAGTGCAGTGGCGCTATCTCGGCTCACTGCAACCTCCGCCTCGCCTCCCGTGTTCAAGCTATTCTCCTGCCTCAGCCTCCTGAGTAGCTGGGATTACAGGCACCTGCCACCATACCCAGCTAATTTTTGTATTTTTAGTAGAGACGGAGTTTCACCATGTTGGCCAGGCTGGTCTCGAACTCCTGACCTCAGGTGATCCGCTTGCCTCGGCCTCCCAAAGTGCTGGGATTACAGGCATGAGCCACTGCACCTGGCCAAATCTTTTCGTTTTAGACAGAAACTCCTGAAACCCAAATCTTCTAGTATAATGGAATCCTTCTTCTTCTGACCTTATGAGCCCTAAAGCAACACCAACAGCAAAATAAATCTGGGAGACAAGTTACATGATTCCTTTTCTGGCTACCCTAGGTATGTATGTACAGGATGGTAACTGTTTCGGCAAACACTAAACTCTGATCCTGGACAGGTTAGCAAGTCTGGGCCATTGCTAATAATTTTTCTCATAATCCTGTGTGCTCTGTCCCGGAGACCAGGACTTTTATGTATTTTCATTCTTAACCTAAGGATCCTGCTCCAAATCCCAAAGTTGGGTCTCAGAAAGACCCTTTCACTCATAGCCAAGAAGCTCCTCTACTAAGATCCCCTTTTGCCAAGTCTCCAGATGCCTCTCACCTTCCCCCAAACTCATTTCATCTGCGGATGTTTTATTTACTTCAAGTTGCTATGGCATCCTTTTCTGTTAGTACCATACAGCGTGGGGGTGAAGAGGCGGGGTGTGGTGCCACGTGGGACAAGGCTCTGGTATGGGCTCCTAATCTCCCTAGGGTGAAAAATTCAGGTCCATTCAAAATGTGTGCTAGGGAGTGCATGGCTCCCCTCCCCCACTTCGCACTGACGAAGAGTAGGACTCTGCCCATTTCCTCTGCTGAAGTGAACTGAGCTGTCCACAAACGGGGACTTTCCACTTTCAGCAAAACAGACTGCACAGTAAGATCTGCGATTGTTCAAGAGTAGAAAAGGAACTTAACTGTTCACCAAAAGCAGTCTAATTCTACCTGCAAGATTTTTGTGGGGAATAGGGAAGGGTAGGCGGAAAACTGTGTCGGTGTGTGTGTGGGGGGTGGCAGCTGTTCACACATACAAGACTCAGTTACTGGGGTATGTGTGGGTGTGGAGGGAAATGCAGATTTCCTTCCAAGCCTTATTTTGCTGGGGCCATTCAACCAAGCACGCCCTGCTTTCATCAAAAAAGGCAGACTCCAGCTGAGGCCCTACAAGAAACCATATAAAGAAGCCACCACCCTTCACTAGAGGGGGTTTGGGATAGGAGAGCGGGGGTGGAGTGCGGGAAAGGCTGACGCCTATCTCGGCTCCAGGCATTCGGGAGAACATTTAAACACAAGCCCACACCCTACAGATCACAGGAAGGGAAAGAGAACAGAAGGTGCCTGGGCAGAGAGGGAAAGGATTCTCAAAAGCCAACCAACCCAATTCAAAAGCACATCCCACCAGGTGAGGGAACAAGTGCAATGACGGCTCAAGCAACACGAAGTAACATAGCATTGTCCTGGACTCGCCCGGCAGGCAGTTTCTCCTGCCTCTTCACTGAGACAAAAGTCCCTATAGTTACACGCACCCCAAACCAGAAAGGGTTTGCCGATCGACCCCCTGACCTTTCGTTTCCCGTCGCTCTGGAGCTGCCGAGGCTCTTGGTGAAGTTTCCCCAGCGTCTTTGTTTTGTTTTCTGTACTGGAAGTTCTCCTGAAGGAGTTAGATATTCTGCCTCTGGGAAAATCCGGATTTACTTGAATATTCTGGAATCTCCCAGAGCACATAGGGCAGGGCAGTCCAGCTCTGACCCTTCAGACTACCCAGAGGGAGCAGCGTGCAGCGCTCTGGGCTCCTTCTCGAGCCCTTCAGCTCAGCCGCGGCTTCCTGTGCCTGCGAACAATGCTGCTGCGTCACCCACATGCAGCTCCCAGAAATGCTTTGCAACGGAAGATGGCAGGAGGGGGAGCCGAGCGAGAGTGAGCGAGCCAGGCAGAGGGCCCAGCCGTTCTGCTGCAGAGCCGGGAGGGGGTGTGTTCAGCAACTGCTTTCTTCCTCGCGATTGGAAGAGGCCCTGCCAGGGAGGAGAGCTCAGCCACAGCCCCCGCCCTGTCTCCCTCCCACCACCACTGCAATAGGAGAACCTAGGGCCAGCCCCCTGAGGGCTCCCGGTGGCAGACTTCTGAAGGCGCCAGCCAAAGGGAAGGCTTTAACTCATTCTGCGGGCTACACTAGGCACCTTGGCCCACATTTGTCCTTGTTTCAGTCCACACCCTTCCCCTCAGGGTCACCTCTCACTGTTACCACTGTTACTGCCAGAGCTCTCTGGCTGACTGCACACACACTTCTCTCTCCCCTCTCAGCAAGTAGAGGGGGTCGCCCAAAGTTCCGCCTCTCTGGATGAACTAGGCACAGGAGCTGAGTTCCTCTTGAGTTATCTTCTCTCTCCGGCACACTGCCTGCTTCACCTGCCCTCGCTGACTTGCTCCCAGCCCACAATCCAGAATCTGCCTATGTGTTCCAAAAAACCTTCAGAAATGGCCCATGTCAGCCAATATTGAGATATTCAATAAAATACGGCTAACATCAACTACATCTAAAACAGATGCCTGCTTCTGATTCTGACAAGGACTCCACCCCCACAGTACAGTACTAGAAATGTCTGCGCAGCAATCCTGCAGCAGTTCCACCGTGACCAAGTCAAACAACTGAGGCACAACACACTTTGCCCTCCTGCCTCTAAACAAGGTGCAGGAAGCCAGGGAACACACATTCTCCCAATTCCAGCAGTCTCCTCTGCCTGTAAGATTATCCTACCCTCAGAATACCAGTATTGTACTCTTGGATTTCCATTTCTATTCAAGTCTGTTTGCCTGTCTCATTCTTGATATTCCCCAGATGAAGCAGCCAGTCCTGCATCCTGTCAAGACACCTCACTGCCTTCTCACAGCCACTCGGACTGACAAGTATTGCTCACACCTCTGCACAACAAACCCTGATCCCCGGATCCCCAGCTGGGATGAAGCTCAGACTGAACACACACTCCTTTCAGTCTACAGGAGGAAAGGAGGGTGCACACTCTGGTTGAGTTTCTAGTGATCCACAGTGTACCAAACATCAGCATGGGAGAACCTGAGTAGGAATCAAATACTTAGCAGAAACAGTTTGGGTCTTTTTTAGAGCCAATGTGATTTTTATGTGACTTTTAGACCCTTACAAATGTATAACTTGCCTTTTTTGCAGATGCTCTGATTTAAGCATCTAGCTCTTAAGCATTCTTATTTATTTCCAGGACAGTTGTTTGAGTGAGTTTCTGGTACAGATTTAGTGGCTAACTAGGCTTTCTAAAGTCTGGAGCTTTGCTGCCAGGGGCTACATATGTTATTTTTATAGTAGTTTACCAGGGGAAGGACAGACTTTTGTGCTCTCGGCTGAGCTTCTCCTGGAAATGCTTATATGGTCATCCTAACCCTAAACTTCTCCCGGACACTGTATCTTAAGACTCAAGACCCACTGCAATCGGCTTATTTTGTTTGAAAGGCTTTCCTTAACAGTGATCTAGCTATTGAGAGGTCTTCTTGGAAAATGCTTATTTTGATCTTCAGTGCTATCTATATTATAGAGATAGTAAAGTATGAATACTTAAGAGAAAACATATTACTTTAAAACAAACGTAAGTTCAAGTTGCAGCAAGTGCAAATTCTAGAGGCCACCAGGAAAGGAAAAAAATCACATCGGGCACTAGGAAACTCACTCCCAGTAAGTTTCCAAATCACAAATTAAACAAGGCCTAACTTTACCCCCTCCTGCTAATTGAGAATAAAAGATAGGCAAAAAAGATAAGAATTACTAAGACCATGACATTACATAATACAAGAATATAAGGAAAATATTTAAAATAATTATATGTAACTTTAAGCATATATGCCTCATAACTGAGTTACATTACTTAAAACTTTCTATTCAGTAAGAATGTATGAATTATTACAAATATCTTGTTAGTAAATATTGCAAATAAAGTTTTATTTGTATAAATAAATATATCCTATAACAGGATATAAATTTTTTTTTTTTTCAGACAGGGTCTCGCTTTGTTGCCCAGGCTAAAGTGCAGTGGTAGATGACAGCTTACTACAGCCTAGACCTCAGCCTCCTGAGTAGCTGGGACTACAGGTGCACAATACCATGCTCAGCTAATTTCTTAATTTTTTTGAAGATGGAGTCTCACTATGTTGCCCAGGCTGGTCTTGAACTCCTGGCCTTAAGTGATCCTCCTGCTTCAGCCTCCCAAAGTGCTGGAATTATAGGCATGAGCTAACACATCTGGCCTAGGTTGCTTTACAAAAAAAAATCTGTAAGCCTGGACCCAGGACAAACAAACAAACAAAAAGCTGAGTTGGTTGGGTAAGGTGGCTCATGCCTGTAATCCTAGCACTTGGGAGGTCGAGGCAGGAGGATTGCTCAAGGCAAGGAGTTCAAGATTCAAGACCAGCCTGGTCAACACAGCAAGACCTCGTTGCTAATAATAATAATAATGATAATAATAATAATAAAGAAAAATTTAAAAACATTTAAAAATCTGGCTTAATGGAATAAGAGCTAACTATACTGGGTCTTCTTCTAGTTCTATTAGTGTCAGAATAACCCCCAAATTATCAACTGAAGAGAATTCCTAATTAGTATTTCTGGAGTTATTTGCAACAATAACCCTTTCTGCTTCAATCTCATCATACTCCTGGGATGGGGCCTAACATAAATTTTTAGATCATAGTTCCAAAATAAAATGTTAAGATTCTTAGATAAGAGTATCAGTAGCCTATTACATCACAAATAACAATTTTCCAATTTATAAATTCAGAGTTTTTACCATTTATATAATGTTGTAGTAATAAATTTATATCCTATAACAGGAAAGTTTATTAGCTGGTGAATTAAGACTGGAACATCTCTTTCCCTCAGGATAGACTCTGCCACTCTCACTCATTTTCTCTGTGCCCTGTGTCATGCCAGGCACCTACAAACCTGGACTGCACTTATTTCCTATTTCTTAGCCCACTTTTATATCTGCTTTGCCACTGAACTCTAAGGCTCTTGAGGGCTAGGACCACGGCATGTCTGCATAGTTTCCTTAACATTCAATCTGATTCCTGACACAGAGCAGGCAGGCATTATTCAGAGCGGTGGAATAAGTGAATTTCATAGATTTGTAACATCTAACTTTTTTCTGGCTGTAATAATGCACTGCTTATTAAGTATTTTACTAATCTTGTTAATTTTAACAACAATCTCACAGATATTTTATAGAGGAGAAAATAGGTTTCCATAAATTTAGTAACTTACCCAAAAGTCACAAAGTATGATTGGCAGGCTTATCAAAATGTTTAGAGAAAACAGGAAAGTCGAAAAGTATTCAACAATATTGAATTTGCTTTATTAAGTGAGCTGGGCCGCCAGATATATTGTTATATAAAAAGCTTCTTTTATATATGCATATATATTAAGAACTACTTTATCACCAAAATAAATACCAACAAAAACAACAATCTGATTAAAAACTCAAATTGTGGCTGGGCGTGGTGGCTCATGCCTATAATCCTAGCACTCTGGGAGGCCTAGACAGGCAGATCACTTGAGGTCAGGAGTCAAGACCAGCCTGGCCAACATGGTAAAACTCCATCTCTACTGAAAATACAAAAATTAGCCAGGCGTGGTGGCACACACCTATAATCCCAGCTACTCAGGAGGCTGAGGCAGGAGAATCACTTGAACCCGACAGGCGGAGGCTGCAGTGAGCCTAGATCACGCCACTGCACTTCGGCCTGGGTGACAGAGCAAGACTTCATCTCAAAAAACAAAAAAACCACAAATTCTTCCAGTTGACTACTACTATCCTATTGTGCCCTGCTATTAGCAGGCTGGGATGTACCCTTTTAGATTCCTCTGCAATGCACAAATACGCATACACTTTTTCTTACATTAATGGGATGGTACTATACATACTGTTACATGTCCTACCTTTTTATTCAACATATATCAAGAATACAACTTTCCAATTTTAGAAATGTTAAGGATATCTTGGCCGGGCGCAGTGGCTCACGCCTGTAATCCCAGCACTTTGGGAGGCCAAGGCAGGTGGATCGCAAGGTCAGGAGTTCAAGACCAGCCTGGCCAACATGGTGAAACCCCGTCTCTACTAAAAATACAAAAATTAGCTGGAGTGGTGGTGCGTGCCTGTAGACCCAGTTACTCAGAGGCTGAGACAGGAGAATCACTTGAACCCAGGAGGTGGAGGCTGCAGTGAGCCGAGATGGCGCCACTGCACCCCAGCCTAGGTGACAGAGCAAGACTCTGTCTCAAAAACAAAACAAAACAAAACAAAACAAAACAAAAAAGCAGCCGGGCGCGGTGTCACGCCTGTAATTCCAGCACTTTGGGAGGCAGAGGCGGGTGGATCATCTGAGGTCAGGAGTTCAAGACCAGCCTGAACAACATGAAGAAGCCCAGTCTCTACTAAAAATACAAAATTAGCCAGGGTGGTGGTGCATGCCTGTAATCCCAGCTACTCGGGAGGCTGAGGCAGGAGAATTGCTTGAACCTGGGAGGTGGAGGTTGTGGTGAGCCAAGACTGCGCCATTGCACTCCAGCCTGGGCAAAAACAGTGAAACTCAGTCTCAAAAAAAAAAAAAAAAAAATTCTCATAGTAGGAAAACCCTATTCTACCTATGTACACTTTCAAGAGTCAACATTACCCACAACCCCTCCCAAACAGAACCTCATACACACGCTGATAGCTTTACCAGTTTACCGGTAAGGCAATACTTCCTTTCTTTTTTCTTTTTTTTTTTTTTTTGAGATGGAGTCTTGCTCTGTCACCCAGGCTGGAGTGCAGTGGTGCCATCTGGGCTCACTGCAAGCTCCGCCTCCCGGGTTCACGCCATTCTCCTGCCTCAGCCTCCCAAGTAGCTGGGAATACAGGCGCCCGCCAAGACACCTGGCTAATTTTTGTATTTTTTCTAGAGACGGGGTTTCACCATGTTAGCAAGGATGGTCTTGATCTCCTGACCTCATGATCCGCCCGCCTCAGCTTCCCAAAGTGCTGGGACTACAGGCATGAGCCACCATGCCCGGCCTACTTTCTTTTTGAGACAAGGTCTCACTCTTTTGCCCAGACTGGAGTGCAGTGGTGAGATCACAGCTCAGTGAAGCCTCAACTTGCCCAGCTCAAGTGATCCTCCCACTTCAGCCTTCCACGTAGCTGGGATCACAAACACACACCACCACACCTGGATAATTTTGTATTTTTGTGGAGGTGAGGTTTCGCCACGTTGCCCAGGCTGGTCTCAAGAGATCTGCCTGCGTCTGCCGCCTAAAGCACTAGGACAAGAGGTGTGAGCCACTGGGCTCAGCCCAAGTCAGTACTTTTTAATGTCCTATTTTTTCACTTAATCCTCTTCCAACTCTATATTCTATGACTTGTTCTTCAACGCCTTAGAACCTAAAAAAAGCCCTTTTATCACAGCACTGAAATGCACTATTTTTCCTTGGAATATTATGAATATCTCATCTACCACTTTTCCCCTCATCTCTTCTACTAATTATTCCTGAAAGCCAGATAGGTTACAACAGCAAACAATTCCTTTCTCTGCAGGAAGGGTAAACTGTACTAGCTTTGTCCCCCACTGAAGTATAGCCATCAGTGCTATAAGCACCAAGTTTTCTAGCACTTGAAAGTCCCCAGCTGTGCAGTGATTCAGCAGCTACCCAATCTAATGCTTTTTTCTTTTGAGTGATGCTTAGATTCTCAAGGTATTCAAGCTCTAAGCTTGCTATATCTTTTCTGAGATTTAGCATAACTGATCAAATATAGGAATAATTAATCTATTTGATCTTAAGTGAAACTACACCTGCAGAGCTGGAATCTAAATCTGTTGTCTTCTGACGTCAGCTACATTTTGACTGTGGTTTTGGGTAAACGAGAAGCTGTGGACAAGTCTCTGGAGGGAGAATTCAAACACTGTCGGCCTGTGTAGTCATCTCACTGGCTACTTGTTCCTCATGCTCTGGCCTCTGCCACTATATCTTAGCCAGTGATGGCAGTCACGTTTTTCAGTGGTCCCTGATAAACACAAGCAAGCTATCTCCGGACACTTTTCATAATGCTAAGCCTCCTCTTTAGATGTCTCTTCTTAACTCCCCTCTCTTCTTGCTGACTCTGCTTAATATTTAACCCAAATCTTTCTACTTTTTCCTTTGGTATACCATTGTACCACCCTTTCACCTCAAATCTCCTTATTTAGCTACTTTAGTTAAACTACTCCAATGGATTTGTTGTTGTTGTTGTTGAGACAGGGTTTCACTTCCATCACCCAGGCTGGAGTGCAATGGCGCAATCTCGGCTCACTGCAACCTTTGCCTCCCAGGTTCAAGGGATTCTCCTGCCTCAGCCTCCTGAGTAGCTGGGATTACAGGTGTCTGCCACCACACCCAGCTAATTTTTGTATTTTTAGTAGAGACGGGGTTTTACCATCTTGGCCAGGCTGATCTTGAACTCCTGACCTCGTGATCTACCTGCCTCGGCCTCCCAAAGTGCTGGGATTACAGGCATGAGACATCGCACTGAGCCTTTTTTTGTATTTTTAGTAGAGATGGGGTTTCACCATGTTGGCCAGGCTGGTCTCGAACTCCTGACCTCAGGTGATCCTCCCACCTTGGCCTCTCAAAGTGCTAGGATTACAGGTGTGAGCCACTGTGCCTGGCCCCCCTAAATTTATAAAATGGCTTAAAAGTAGCTTAAAATAATCTATGTGAGGTTTTCAAAATAACATTACAACTTGTAGATTAGCTTTCTAATATACATACCCATTGTTCCAAACACTGATTTAAAAATAAAATTGCTATTTCCAGCTTTACAATTCTTGGTCTTCACATTAATTGTTACTTAGGAGGAAAGACTTAAAATAATTTCCTCCAGTTTAGATAGCTCAAGGTTGGGTGTGGAGGCTCATGCCCGTAATCCCAGCACTTTGGGAGGCTGAGGCAGGCAGATCACCTGAGGTCAAGAGTTCGAGACCAGCCTGGCCAACATGGTGAAACCCCATCTCTATCAAAAATATAAAAAAATTAGCCAGGCATGGTGGCACGTGTCTGTAATCTCAGCTACTCAGGAGGCTGAGGCACGAGAACTGCTTGAACCCGGGAGGTGGAGGTTGCAGTGAGCCGAGATCTTGCCATTGCACTCCAACCTGAGCGACAGAGTGAGACTCCGTCTCAAATAAATTAATTAATTAATTAAAATTAAAAAAAAAAAAAAAAGCTCAAGTCTGGATTCCTTAAGAAAAATATACAATATGAAGGGGAGCTGGAGGAGGGATAGCATTAGGAGAAATACCTAACATAAATGACGAGTCAATGGGTGCAGCAAACTGACATGGCACATGTATGTCTATGTAATAAACCTGCACGTTGTGCACATGTACCCTAGAACTTAAAGTATAATTAAAAAATAAATAAACATAAAACTTGATAAAGCAATGGGATGAATTATTTTAAAATGATGCTTTTCCCAATGTATTTAAGTCTTGATGCTAGATAAATTTGAATCTAAAGAGGCTAAAGCTACTCAACGTTAACCCAGCATAGAACAATTTCATTTCTCTCAATCTGCTTAGGATGAGACTCCTATCAGTCACTTTTGTCCTGAGTTTTATCTCAAGGTAACTTAAGTTTAATGTAACATTTCTTATATAAATATTTTCTTTGGGTCACTTTATTTTTGGGGTCAGCCTGAAACCTATGTTTAAGACTAAATTTATAAGTCTTCAATGAACACATAAATGTTAGTATTTTCAAAACAGGGACATAACCTCATTCTAGTAATGAAAACACTGAGCAGCAATAACAAACACACATGCATATTAACTTCTCTCTGACTGAACCAGAGATCACCCAAAATTCCTATATTTTCTCCCTCTGAATCTGGAAGCTGACTGCCATAGCTGGATCAGTAGCTGTCATGTAACACATCAAACCCTTACCTTTACATCAGCAATGAGAGCATCTTCATCTTCTATCCCTGTGGGGACACATTTCTTGTGCAGTGGCAGAGACTCCAACTTATCTACAAGGCAGCGAAGGCCTTCAAGCTCAAAATGGGTCAGATGCACTTGCCTGTCCTTTCGGGGAGCACACTGGGGATCCCACACTTGTCCATTGTGGGAGCCCCGGCTACAGTCAGAAGATGAGTCCCCAGCCAAAGTTTTCTTCAGACTTGGAAGACTTCGGCAGGTTTTGCCCAGTCCATCATAATCCAGGTTGACTCCATTCGCTACAGGGCTAGTGAGGACAGAACGCCTGCTGCTCAAGCGTCGGGGTTCTCGATCCACTGCTTCCTCATCCCCATTCCCAGACTCCAACCCATTTAACTCCAAATCTACCAATATGAAGAAAAAATGCAGTAAGAACATTTCACTCTGCCATGTGATCAGCAAGAGAAATAGGTGGCATGATAGGGGCCTTGAGGCTATAAATGACAAAATTACCACATTTAAAAAAATGGTCTATCTTTATTCCAACCCATTTGTCCACTGTTCAAAATCACAGTTAACAGGTAGAAACAGGATCCTGACCTAGGAGGACACCTAGGTAATAGTCAATTGGATTTTTTAAAGTTTGGGTAGGACCTAGTCTTTGAACTGTGTACTAGAAATCAGTTACTTATCAAAGTGGTTGTAAAGTCAGTTTCAAGTTAAAGCTTGAATCTGGGATTATTATTTCATTACCTTTTAAAAGAGAAGACACTAAGAAGCATGTATGTTTAAAAAATAGTTTTAGCCTGGGCAACATAGTGAGACCCCATCTCTACATTAAAAAAATTAGCTGGGTATAGTGATGCATGACTGTGGTCCCAGATACTAGGGAGGGTGAGGTGGGAAGACTGCTTGAGCCTGGGAGGTTGAGGCTGCAGTGAGCTGCGATCATATTACTGCACTCCAGCCTGGGCAAGAGAGTGAGACCCTGTCTCAAAAAAAAACAAACAAAAAAAAACCAAAAAACTTTTTTTTTTTGTCTGAAGTTTTGGTCTTAAAATCAAGCTTTGGAGTTGAAATTCTAACAACATAAGTAACAAAACAAAGTGACTATTTTTGAAAAGGAAGATTTTGATAGTCAAAACACAGTGATAAATGTTCACCAGTCTTTTCTTTTATAATTTAGAAAATGCAAGAAGGCGCAAAGCGGTAAATAAGTCATCCCTTATCCCTCCATCCTACGATAACAACTGAACAGTACAATATACTTTCTTTCCATGCTTTAACAGATGTGTATGATTATTATGTGGGTTTTTTTTTTTTATGTTGTGGTTTGTTTGTTTTGAGACAGGTTCTCACTCTTTTGCCCAGGCTGGAGTGCAGTGATGCAATCATGGCTCACTGCAGCCTCAACCTCCTGGGCTCAAGCAATCCTCCCACAATAGCCTCCCAAACAGCTGGGACCAGAGGCATGTGCCCCAACACTCAGCTAATTTAAAAAATTTTTGTAGACAGGGTCTGGTCATGTTGCCCAGGCTGGTCTCAACCTCTTGGACTTAGGTGTGCCTTCCACCTTGGTTTCCTAAAGTACTGAGATCACAGGCATGAGCCACCATGCCTGGTCTATATGTGTTTTGTTGGTTACTTTTTGAGATGGGGGTGTCACTATGTTGCCTAAGCTGGTCTTGAACTCTTGGACTCAAGTGATCCTCCTGCCTTAGCCTCCCAACTAGCTGGGACTACAGGTGCTCATCACAGTGCCTAGCTCTATTAGATGTATTTTTTTTTTTTTTTGAGACGGAGTCTCGCTCTGTCACCCAGGCTGGAGTGCAGTGGTGCCATCTCAGCTCACTGCAAGCTCCACCTTCTGGGTTCACGCCATTCTTCTGCCTCAGCCTCCCAAATAGCTGGGACTACAGGTGCCTGCCACCACGTCTAGCTAATTTTTTGTATTTTTAGTAGAGACGGGGTTTCACCATGTTAGCCAGGATGGTCTCGATCTCCTGACCTCGTGATTGGCCCTCCTCGGCCTCCCAAAGTGCTGGGATTACAGGTGTGAGCCACCACACCCGGCCTAGATGTATTTTTTTTTTTCTTTTTGAGACGGAGTCTCACTCTGTCGCCCAAGCTGGAGTGCAGTGGCGTGATCTCGGCTCACTGCAACCTCCACCTCCCGGGTTCAAGTGATTCTCCTGCCACAGCCTCCCGAGTACCTGGTACTACAGGTGCGCAACACCACGCCTGGCTAATTTCTGTATTTTTTAGTAGAGACAGGGTTTCACCATATTGGCCTGGCTGGTCTCGAACTCCTGACCTCATGATCCGCCCGCCTCAGCCTCCCAAAGTGCTGGGATTACAGGTGTGAGCCACCGTGCCAGGCCCATTTTTTATTTTCAACTGAGAATATAAACTATGAGTAAAATTATGCAGTAAAAGTAAAATGCTAAAGCAAAAAATATCTTGCTTGGATTAAAGATTCCATAAGAACATGTGATCCCAGGATATTATGGTGTTGAGTCCTCACCAGTTTCAGACATATAAGAGTCTAAAAATGTATACTGAAACTACACTGTCATCTAATTAAAATATTTCTCTGATAGATGTTGGGGAAACTTGAAAGCACAGAGATAAAGAGCATAAACTGCAGAGTCTGACCAACCTGGTTTAAGCTGTGAAGCTGAACCAAGCTGGTCAGACTCTAAAAGCTGTAGCTTTGTCACTTATTAACTTTAAGATCATGGACAAGTTTTTAAATATCCTTGAACCTTAATGTTCCCATTTGTAAAATGAGGATAATAATACCTATCTCTCAGGTAATAATAAGAATTTCATAAATGTAAATTGCTTAGTATAGTGCCTAGAATACAACAGGTTATTCTGATGATGTATTCCTAGTTTTTATTGTGCCAAAGACCATTCTTTATACAATAAAACGCATTAGACAACCGGGCCAGGAGTGGTGGCTCACACCTGTAATTCCAATTTGGGAGGTGGAGGCAGGAGGACAGCTTGAAGCCAGGAGTTTAAGACCGGCCTGGGCAACAGAGCAAGACTTCATCTCTACAGAAAGTAAGAATTAGCTGGGCATAGTGGTGTGTGCTTGTAATCCTAGTTACTCAGGAGGGGGATTGCTTGAGCCCAGGAGTTTGAGGTTACAGTGAGCTATGATCACGCCACTGCAATTCAACTTGGACGACAGGGCAAGGCCCTGTCTCTAAAACAAAAACAAAAAGCATATTAGACAACTGATCATCGTTCTTTCTTTCTTTTTTTTTTTTTTTTTCGCAACAGGGTTTCACTCTGTCGCCCAGGCTAGAGTGCAGTGGCATGATCTTCGGCTCACTGCAGCCTCAACCTCCTGGGTTCCAGTGATCCTCCCACCTCAGCCTCCTGAGCAGCTGGGACTCGAGCCACCATGCCTACCCAATTTTCTGTAGTTTCTGTAGAGATGGGGTTTTGCCATGTTTCCCAGGCTGGTCTTAACTCCTGGGCTCAAGCCATTCGCCCACCTTGGCCTCCCAAAGTGCTAGGATTACAGGCGTGAACCAGCGTGTCCGGCTTGATCATCCTTCTTGAGGAGCTAAGTAATAGCAACTCAGACAAAGATCAGATCCAGAGTATTTCATTTGGCCATTAACTCACATCTGGGTAGGTAACTGGTATTCAATTCCAGTGATGAATTTGGTACTTCCAAGTAGATGAATTAAAAAACCAAGAACATATTGAGTGACAGCCTACTGAGTATTTCGGGCCTCACCCTCAGACCTAAGCGGTGTCTTCAAAGCTCCTATAGGCAGAATACTTACCCATGCTGAGGGACTCTTTCTGAAATTCCTTAGTTAGGTGGGAACGGTTGGTTATGCAGTACACATAGCGCTCCAACACATACCAACACATCTCATAGTAGAATGGATAGCGAAACTTATTTGGAACCTACAGAGGAATAAAATAGAGAAAAGATGACGATTTTCAAGGAAAGAGAGTACAACAAATGGAATTACTGTAATCATTAACCCAGGAAATACTCTCACCAGTCAACCTGCAAACCCAGCTTGGCATCTGAAGCAAAAACTTAAGCAGAACCATCAACTTAGAAAACGTTGGTCTTGAGAAACAATCACTGAAGATAAAGGGTACTTGGGAGGCCCAGACGGGTGGATCACTTGAGGTCAGGAGTTCGCGACCAGCCTGACCAACATGGTGAAACCCTACCTCTACTAAAAATACAAAAATTAGCCAGGTGTGGTGGTGCACACCTTGTAATCCCAGCTACTCGGGAGGCTGAGGAATGAGAATCACTTGATCCTGGGAGGCGGAGGTTGCAGTGAACTGAGATCACGCCTCTGCACTCCAGTCTGGGCTACAGAGTGAGACTCCGTCTGAACAACAACAACAAAAAAAGGTACTTGAGGAAGACCATTTAGAACCACCAAGAAGCTGTCTTGGTTGAGTGGGAAAGCATCAAAACAATGAAAGTTTCGGTTCTGGGACAGAGTAAAATGTAAGAGTAAGACACAAAATACTTGAAAAAAAGGCATGCAAAGTACTCTTGCTTTACTATATTTGCCCCTGAATCAGAAGGCCATGGAACAAAGAATCTCATGGAAAAACAGGACATGAGATGAAGTGACATGTTCATATTAGGCTATTACAAATACTAAAGTTTGACTAGAGACTCACTCTCAGACCGTGTCTAGTCTAGGGGCACCAGGTTGGGTATTTTCTCCACTATCGATGCTCAGCTTGCCTGCCTCATACTTTGTAGTCTGCCAAAATGGTATGTCCACAAACCAGATTAATGTTCCATACGACTTAATCAATCACTGTCTTTATTTTCTTTCCATTCTTCCCAAAAGAGCATTTTCATTATTATTTCAGCTGGATACTAATTTTAAAAGGTACTCTTTAGATATATCACAGTCCAGGAAAGGACAAATCAGCACAGATTAATCAGTGAGGAAGACCAATGATGGGGACTATCCTAAATATATTTTGTTGCCTTTTTTTGAAACCATTTTTTTTTAACTTTTAGAGACAGGGTCTTGCTCTTTCACCCAGGCTATCATCCTCCCACCAAAGCCTCCCCAGTAGCCGAGATTACAAGTGTATGCCACCACACCTGGCTAATTTATTAACCCATTTCCCTTTTAGAAAATAAAAGAGCAGCTCGCGGCCAGTGCTCATTTAATTTTACATAAACATGCTCTTTGATGCTGAAGGAAATCTGATTGATTTTCGTTTGTTTTTTGAGACGGAGTCTTGCTCTGTTGCCCAGGCTGGAGTGCAGTGGCGCGATCTCGGCTCACTGCAAGCTCCACCTCCCGGGTTCACACCATTCTCCTGCCTCAGCCTCCTGAGTAGCTGGTACTACAAGCGCCCGCCACCACGCCCGGCTAATTTTTTGTATTTTTAGTAGAGACGGGGTTTCACCATGTTAGCCAGGATGGTCTCGATCTCCTGACCTCGTGATCTGCCCGCCTTGGCCTCCCAAAGTTCTGGGATTACAGGCGTGAGCCACTGCGCCTGGCTGGAAATCTGATTGATTTTCAAGGTGAACATAAAATATAAAAACTGTCTTTGGAGTTATTTCTAAACAAAACTAACAGCAGGATGGTCTGAATCATCAGGATTGTCTATTTCAGAAAAATCAGATCCATCAAATGAATCTCTGGCCAACAACTGTTCATGAATGATATATTATTATTTTTTTTTTGAGATGGAATCTCGCTCTGTCACCAAGGCTAGTGTGCAGTGGTGGGATCTCGGCTCACTGCAACCTCCACCTCCTGGGTTCAAGCAATTCTCCTGCCTCAGCCTCCTGAGCAGCTGGGATTATAGGTGTGTGCCCCTACACCTGGCTAATTGTTATTTTAAATTTATTTATTTATTTATTTTTACTCTTTTTTGACACAGTTTTGTTCTTGTTGCCCAGGCTGGACTGCAATGGTGCAATCTTGGCTCACTGCAACCTCCACCTCCTGGGTTCAAGCGATTCTCCTGCCTCAGCCTCCCAAGTAGCTGGGATTACAGGTGTGCACCACCATGACCAGCTAATTTTTATGTTTTTAGTAGAGACGGGGTTTCACCATCTTGGCCAGGCTGGTCTCGAACTCCTGACCTCAGGTGATCCACCTGCCTCAGCCTCCCAAAGTGCTGGGATTACAGGCATGAGCCACCGTGCCCAGCTATTTATTTATTTAGAGACAGAGTTTTGTGCTTATTGCCCAGGCTAGAGTCCAGTGGTGTGATCTCGGCTCACCGCAACCTGTGCCTCTGAGTTCAAGCGATTTTCCTGCCTCAGCCTCCCGAGTAGCTGGGATTACAGGCATGCGCCACCACACCTGGCTAATTTTGTATTTTTAGTAGAAACACGCCTTCTCCATGTTGGTCAGACTGGTTTCGAACTCCCAACGTCAGGTGATCCACCCACCTCGGCCTCCCAAAGTGCTGGGATTACAGGCGTGAGCCAGCGTGACTGGCCAATTGTTGTATTTTTAGTAGAGACGGGGTTTCACCATGTTGGCCAGGTTGGTCTCGAACTCCTGAACTCCAGTGATTCGCCCGCCTCAGCCTCCCAAAGTGCTGGCATTACAGGCATAAGCCACCACGCCTGCCCAAGAATGATGTTAACATCACGCATAGGAATGCTATGTTTTCTAGGATTTGACATTTTCAGCAATCAAGAATAACTATATTTTGTAAGTAGAAATACCACTACTAAAAACAGAATGCTATAAATAGAATGATATCTTTTGTTTTCAAAGTCAGTATACTAGAGTGATGTGAAAATAATAAAAGCGAGATAGTTCGTGGCAAAGTTATCTTGGGGTAAATGCTGCAGCCGCCGGGCGTGATGGCTCACACCTGTAATCCCAGCGCTTTGGGAGGCCAAGGCAAGTGGATCACCTGAGGTCAAGAGTTCGAGACCAGCCTGCTGAAACCCCGTCTCTACTAGAAATACAAAAATTAGCGTGGTGGTGCATACCTGTAATCCCAGCTACTCGGGATGCCTGGGCAGGAGAATTGTTTGAACCTGGGAGGTGGAGGTTGCAGTGAGCTGAGATCACACCACTGCACTCCAGCTTGGACAACAGCAGCGAAACTCTGTCTCCAAAAAAAAAAAAAAAAAAAAAAAAAAAAATGCTGCAGCTGCCAAGTGCCCCTGGTGAGTATCATTGGGGAAAATGAGAAAGGGATTAATTTTGGCCGGACAAGATAGCTCAAGCCTGCAATCCCAGCACTTTGGGAGGCTGAGGTGGGTGGATCATGAGGTCAGGAGATCAAGGCCATCCTGGCTAACACAGTGAAACCCCATCTCTACTAAAAATATAAAAATTGGCCGGGCTTGGTGGCGGGTGCCTGTAGCCCCAGCTACTCGGGAGGCTGAGGCAGGAGAATGGTGTGAACCCAGGAGGCGGAGCTTGCAGAGTGAGCTGAGATCGCACCACTGCACTCCAGCCTGGGGGACAGAGCGAGACTCTGTCTCAAAAAAAAAAAAAAAAAAAAAAGAAAGGGGTTAATTTTTGGTACGGACAGGGTCTCACTATGTTGTCCAGGCTGGTCTTAAACTCCTGGGATTAAGTGATCCTTCGCTTCAAACTCCCAAAAAGTACTTGGGATTATAGGCATGAACCACCATATCTGGCCATACAGCTTTCTTTTAGAGAGGCCATATTTCAAAAGGATAAGCCAAATGATACTGTTTTGAATATGCAGCTCCTGAGAATGTTCCCATCTCCTCCCATATTGTAGGGATGACTTCACCTACCCGTTTACAAACTCTATATCGGGTAGTGTTCCTGAATCACGGAGAACTGGATAGGAGTCCCTTTTCAAAAACCTTCACCAGGCCACAGGGCATCACTGGGGAATAAGGAGATCACTCTCCCCATGGCAAGGCAGGAGAGGAGATGTACTTTTCATAGTTAGCCCCAATCAGTTTTCTAATGCATAGTAGCCAGACCCTGATTCTGGTTTCTTATGTGGCTAAAACTTTTAACAACTAAAAGAATGACTCTCTTACACGGAAGTAAAATTAATTTATTTCTGACTAAGGGAGACAGAGGAGAGAGACAACAACCAATAGGTATTTGGTCCCTCAAAATTAAATATAATACACTACGCCTCTCCATTAGCCTTTTAAGTATAGCAACACTTTCTGGAAGGGTTTTTATTAGGAGTTCAGGACAACTCCAAATTCTAAAGCCCTCTGGAAATCAGTTGAAAGCTGAGTAATAATGACAGTTTAAAAAAAAGAAGAGTCTGGGCATAGTGGCTCATGCCCGTGGTCCCAAGGCTTTGGGGGCCTGAGGCTGGAGGACTGCTTGAGCCCAGGAGTTTGAGACGAGCCTGGGCAGCATAGTAAAACCTCGTTTCTACAAAAAAATAAAAATAAAAAAACTAGCCAGGTGTGGTGGTGTGCGTCTGTGGTCCCAGCTACTCAGGAGGCTGAGGCAGAAGGATCACTTGAGCCTACGAGGTTGAGGCTGCAATGAGCTGAGATCATGCTACTGCACTCCAGCCTGGGTGACAGAGTGAGACCCTGTGTCAAAAATAAATAAATAAATAAATAAATAAATAAGAAAGAAAAAAGGAAGAAAATATGAAATACAGGCATTAAAATTTTGAGTTTTTACTCGTAACTTATAAGACTGTATTAATTATAGCCAAGAGATACCACATACCCAACCTGACCCCATTGCTTTTTACTTATGCCGCATATCAATTTCTAAGACTGGGTTAGCATTTTTTGGAAATAATTTTTTTTTTTTTTTTTTGAGATGGAGTTTCATTCTTGTCGCCCAGGCTGGAGTGCAATGGCACGATCTTGGCTCACTGCAACCTCCGCCTCCCAGGTTCAAGCGATTTTCCTGCCTCAGCCTCCTGAGTAGCTGGGATTACAGGCATGTGCCACCACGCCTGGCTAATTTTGTATTTTTAGTAGAGACAGGGTTTCTTCATGTTGCTCACGCTGGTCTCAACTTCCTGACCTCAGGTAATCTGCCTGCCTAGCCTCCCAAAGTGTTGGGATTACAGGTGTGAGCCACTGTGCCTGGCCTTTTTTTTTTTTCCCCCTTATTTTTCTTCTCTTTACGTAGAAAACTCTTCATGCAGGGGATAAGGTACTCACTTTATGTTACTGAATATGTATTTTCCTTTTCTTCCCTGAAACTGAACCAGTGTATAAGACCCAGGTGTAAGAGTCATCTTTAACCATAAAAAGGGAACACATTCTAAAAACCAATTTTCAGACTGAATCTTAGAATGGGTACATAATTACCTCTAAGAATGACAGAGTTTTGAGGGGCGCCTCTGCCCGGCCGCCCCTACTGGGAAGTGAGGAGCCCCTCTGCCCGGCCACCACCCCGTCTGGGAGGTGTGCCCAACAGCTCATTGAGAACGGGCCAGGATGACAATGGCGGCTTTGTGGAATAGAAAGGCAGGAAAGGTGGGGAAAAGATTGAGAAATCGGATGGTTGCCGTGTCTGTGTAGAAAGAAGTAGACATGGGAGACTTTTCATTTTGTTCTGCACTAAGAAAAATTCCTCTGCCTTGGGATCCTGTTGATCTGTGACCTTACCCCCAACCCTGTGCTCTCTGAAACATGTGCTGTGTCCACTCAGGGTTAAATGGATTAAGGGCGGTGCAAGATGTGCTTTGTTAAACAGATGCTTGAAGGCAGCATGCTCGTTAAGAGTCATCACCAATCCCTAATCTCAAGTAATCAGGGACACAAACACTGCGGAAGGCCGCAGGGTCCTCTGCCTAGGAAAACCAGAGACCTTTGTTCACTTGTTTATCTGCTGACCTTCCCTCCACTATTGTCCCATGACCCTGCCAAATCCCCCTCTGTGAGAAACACCCAAGAATTATCAATAAAAAAATAAATTAAAAAAAAAAAAAAAAAAAAGAATGACAGAGTTAAACAGGAGTATTTTACTATGGAATTATACATTTTTTTTCTTTTGAAACATTTTCCCTATTTTAGAATATTTACCTATTTTAGAATAGACATCTTTTTTTTTTTTAAATTAACAGACTGTGTCTCACTCTTCCACCCAGGCTGGAGTACAGTGGCACCAACATAGCTCACTGCAACCTGGAACTCCTAGGTTCAAGCAATCCTCTCACCTCAGCCTCCCCAGTAGCTAGGATTACAGGCATGCACCACCACACCCGGCTTTGTTGCCCAGGAGAGTCTCAAACTCCTTGCTTCACATAATCCTCCCACTTTGGGCTCTCAAAGGGTTGGAATTACAGGTATGAGCCCCTGTGCCTGAACTGTACTTTTGTTACTCTTAACAAATAAAAAGAAATGTACTTTTATAAAATGTGTTGAAGAAGCACTGGCTTCCTCTCTTAATTCTACTAGTAGGGCAATTCCTGTAACTCCAACAATAATATCAATGATGTGTATAGTGATACGTAACTCCTACACCAAAATAAATGTTGCAAAATAGGCACCATAATGGTTGACTATTATTGCAGTACATAGGTCAGTGACCATTCCTATAATATATAAAAGACCATTCATATAAAAGTTGTGAATTCTTCATTAATTGTTATTTTAAAATTTTTAATACTTTTAATTCTACCAAAAAGTTTCAAGAGCAGTAGCATTAATAGTTCTACACTCTTCTCTGCAATTCTCCAACTGTTAACATTTCTCCACATCTGCTCATCTCCATACTAGCTTAGTATTCTGCTAAGCTACTTGAGAGTAACTTACAAACATCACAACCCCCAAATATTCTAATTGCTGTTTAATCCCAGTATCATCTATACTTTCATATATGATTCAGCCCTTACCAATTAGAATTCTGCTAAAAAATAAGCTCTCATTCTCTAAGGTGGAGGCTAGCCAGCAAACAACACTTAGTGGATTTGGCCTGCTGCCTCTTTTTATGATTCCTGTGAACTAGGAGTGTTTTTTACCTTTTTTTTTTTTTTTCGGGTCAGACAGGTAATGTGCTGACGTATTAATAGTAACAAGGTTCAAGGGTGGCATCTTTCACATACGTGCATGAACACCTAATCATGATCATGAACTATATAAAAGGATCGTTTTTTACATTTTTTAATGGTTGAAAAAAATTTAAGAGTATTCTGTGACATGTTAAAGTTATCTGAAATTCAACTTTCAGTGTCTATGAATAAAATTTTATATTATTTGAGCCACACTCATTTGTTTAAGTATTTCATGCTACAAGGTAGGGTTAAACAGTTACAATAGACACTTTATGACCCACGAAGCCTAAAATATTTACTATCTGGTCCTTTGCAGGAAAAGTTTGTCAACTCTTGCCTTAAGGTATCCATTGTATATAATAAATTAACTTTTTTCTATGCATCTAGAAGGGTATTAGCTGTGTATCATCCTAGAGAAAAATGAGAAAATAAGATACACAAATTATTTTATTTTGGGCTTAATTCTCTCTTGAAACCCCAGTTGAGAAAGACAGTATATACATTTATATAATTAAAGTAAGATGCTTTGAGTATAGTCATCAGTGTAGAAAAAGATACATGAATTTAAAGTTCTGAAATTTGGGTTGATAAGCCCCATTACACCAAATTATTCTGTGAGCATAAAAATGAAACACATGGCTCAAGAGATTACCAGAGGTAAATGTCTGGCCTTATAAAAATCCAAGATACTGTGGGATGCAGTAGCTCACACTTGTAATCCCAGCACTTTAGGAGGCCAAAGCGGGCAGATCACTTGAGCCCAGGAGTTCAAGACAAGCCTGGGCAACACAGCAAAAACCCATCTCCAAAAAATACAAAAAAATTAGCTGCATGTGGTGGCGTGTGCCTGTAGTCCCAGCTACCTGGGAGGCTGAGGTGGGAGGATCAACTGAGCCCAGGGAGGTTGAGGCTGCAGTGAGCCATGACTGTGACACTGCACACCAGCCTGGGCAACAGAGTGAGACTCTGTCCCAAATATTAAAAGAAAAAAATGTTACTTTTTCCCATTCACTATGGTGTTGGCTAAAAAATAAAATAAAATAAAATAAAATTTTAAAAAAAGGAAAGAAAAAGAAATCCAAGATACCAAAAACCTCACAGAATTGGAGTCCCTAAAACGGAGTATGTAAATCGTGTTAAAATTTTTATTTGGCCAGTCGCAGTGGCTCACACCTGTAATCCCAGCACTTTGGGAGGCTGAGGTGGGAGGACTGCTTGAACCAGGAGTTCTAGACCAGCCTGGGCAACGCAGTGAGACCAAGTCTCTACGAAAAAAATTAAAAATTAGTCAGATGTGGTGTGCACCCACGGTCCCAGCTACTTGGGAGGCTGAGGCAGGAAGATGCTTGAGCCTGGGAGGTTGAGGCTGCAATCATCCATGATCACGCCACTGCACTCTAGCCTGGAAAACAGAACAAGATTCTGCCTTAAAAAAAAAAAAATTAAATTTAAAATTTTGTGTGTTCCCAAAATGTCAACACTGCATTTTAACTGAAAGAAAAATGGAAGTTTTGATAAACCATCAGTGAATCTCTTGTAACATCTATCATAACTGGAGTAAACCTCTTCACATGCAACTGTTACATAAGATTACTTACCCGTGTCCGATCTTCAATGTTGTATATTTTTAACTGCATAGGGATGTTGAAGCTATGCAAAAAATTGCCCCCAAACACTAATGTGTCTGTAGGAGTATACACAGCATGAATCCAGCCTAGGAGAAGGGGAACAGAGGGCAGTGGCTGAAAACACACATTACAGTAAGTCTCTCTCAGAGAACTAGTACAAGACCCCTAGATCACACTCTTCACTCTGATTCTGCTTCTTAGTGGTTTGTCAAGTTACTTAATCTCTCAAAGCCTCAATTTCCTCTATAAAACCAGGATAAATAATACCTCTTATGGTTGCTCATGAGCATTAAATGAGAAAATGCACATCAAATGCTTAGCACATAATAAACGTTTACTGGAGCACCAACTATAAACCAGGCTCTGTACAAGATAGTTTACAATTCAGGGGTGTCCAATCTTTTGGCTTCCCTGGGCCACACTGGAAGAAGAATTGCTTGGGCAACACATAAAATACGCTAACATGACCTGGCGCGGGGGCTCACGCCTATAATCCCAGCACTCTGGGAGGCTGAGGCGGGTGGATCACGAGGTCAGGAGTTCAAGACCAGCCTGGCCAACATGGTGAAACCCCGTCTCTAGTAAAAATACAAAAATTAGCTGGGCATGGTGGTGCACACCTGTAATCCCAGCTACTCGGGAGGCTGAGACAGGAGAATTGCTTGAACTGGGACCTGGGAGGTGGAGGTTGCAGTGAGCCAAGATCACGCTACTGCACTCCAGCCTGAGGCTACAGAGCAAGACTCCATCTCAAAATAAATAAATAAATAAATAAAATAAAATATACTAATACTAATGACAGCTGACAAGCTTAAATAATTGCAAAAAAAAAAATCTCATAATGTTTTAAGAAGGCTTATGAATTTGTGTTAGGCCACATTCAAAGCCATCCTGGGCTGCATGAGGCCTGTGGCCTGCAGGTTGGATAAGCTTGGTTTACATGTGTTCTCATTTATATTCCTTATAACAAAATGAGACACAGATTTAAATATTTGCTCTAAGCGTAGTATCTAGCAGGTAAATGCATAGTCAGAATCCTAATAGAGGTCTGTGACTCCAAAATCTGTGATCTTTATAAGCACTTACTTTGATTTAATGACTTGATCAAAAACATCCCTGACTGAGCACTCCAGCCTTCACAGCCATTCCCTAGAATAGTAGGCAGTTCTTCAACATAGATTGTGTATCACCTGCAGAACAGGTCCTATCTATAGAGATTCTAAATTACTAGGGCTAATGCAGAGCCCAAACGTGTATACCTGAAAAGCCTCTGCTGGCAATTCTCATATACTTTATTGGAAAACCACTGCCTTTTCAAACTGAAAACAAAACAAACAAAACCTCAGCATCTATTCCATAATGACAGGAAGAAACACTGTTGTTTTCTGCAGACGCCCAGCATCATAACTATTCTTGGTGGTAATCCATCAATTTCTTTTTCATTAAGGAAAAAAATGGCTAAATAACCCACTCTTCCCATTTTGCTTACCTGAGGGAATGACGAAGGTATAGCCCTGCTTGAGCTCAATGCGCTGACAATCTGATACCCGGTCACCCAGAAAGATGTCTCCCTGTTTCCCTGACAGCAGCCAATTCTCGTACAGCTCCAGGTTGTGGGCTGTAGGGGGGATGAGCCAGAAGACCTGTGAGTTAAAAAACTTTAGTCTGTTAACAGCCATTGACATGACCCAGTCGTCTCCCTCAACTGATAAACAGGTACAAAATTAAGACCACCAGGTAGAAGAAAGGCAAGCAATTTTCCCAGCCTATAGAACTTGACTATGTGGTAAACCCTAGAAGGTCCAAGGCAGTAGATCTTTCTTATCCTTCACTTGATCCAACAGCATTAAGGCTTCCCTTGGGTTTGACTATACACCATCCAGGACTCGGAGAGAAGAGGGACCATTCAGCTCATTACCTAGGCAGTCCCTTAAACACTCTGTCTGGCTTCCAGAGTCCTAAGTAGTACAGTTAATTAGGCACAGTATCTTCAAGAGACTGGCTCAGGTTGTTTTGTCCAAGGTAGTAACTAAGATCAACAGGGCTTAAAGGGATCTGAAGCAAACAAAATGACTTTTGGATTTGGAGACATAGTTGTTCTGATTAAGACTTTTTTTTTTTTTTTTTTTTTTTGACAGAGTTTCACTCTTGTAGTCCAGGCTGGAGTGCAGTGGCACAATCTTGGCTCACCGTAACCTCCACCTCCTGGGTTCAAGCGATTCTCCTGCCTCAGCCTCCAGAGTTGCTGGGACTACAGGCGTGCGCCACCACACCCAGCTAATTTTTGTATTTTTAGTAGAGACGGGGTTTCACCATGTTGGCCAAGATGTTCTCGATCTCCTGACCTTATGATCCACCCACCTTGGCCTCCCAAAGTGTTGGATTACAGGCGTGAGCCACTGTGCCCGGACAAGACCTCATGTTTTTTTGTTGTTGTTGTTTGTTTCTTTTTTGAGACAGAGTTTTGCTCTTGTTGCCCAGGCTAGAGTGCAATGGCGCGATCTCAGCTCACCGCAACCTCCACCTTGTGGGTTCAAGCGATTCTCCTGCCTCAGCCTCCCGAGTAGCTGGGATTATAGGCATGTACCACCACACCCAGCTAATTTTGTATTTTTAGTAGAGATGCACTTTCTCCATGTTGGTCAGGCTGGTCTTGAACTCCTGACCTCAGCTGATCCGCCCGCCTTGGCCTCCCAAAGTGCTGGGATTACAGGCGTGAGCCACCATGCCTGGCCAAGACCTCATGTTTTAAACAAGGCATTATCTATTCTCATTCTAGTTCCTACTTTTCTCTTACAAATGCATTCACTGCAAGTTAGAGAAAAAAGAGTAACAAGAGTATAATACTATAAACCTCGGGTATTAATTCTAGATTTCCATTCTCATATAGCATTCAGAAGCATTTTCACAAGCTGGAATATAACTGAATGAATAAAGATAATCCTTCAAAACCTGTTTACATCCTCAAAAAGGACTTAAAGGCTTCCTTTGGCCATATTTCAGACCAATGGCTACATAGAGGGAAAGTTGGTTTAGATCTTAATTTGCTGATTTCACAGTGAATCTATCCAAAATTCGTGTTCCCTTCCACTATTTATTATACTTCCAAGTACAGAAATTATCTTGTCCTTCTAAAATCACTTCTTTGGCTTCATTTGGAGAACTCTGATTCAGGAATCTAGAAACAGGACTATTGAGATTTACTAAGTGCTGTGCCAATGGTGTAATGACAGTGAACTAGATGAATACTAATTTCTACTGAACACTAGCCAAGAAGGTGAACTTAATCTATAATTCTTTCCAGATACGAATGGGGACAATTCCCTAACAGATTCATTTCCAGGGTATATTAAGTATACATGAACTGAAGCAAAGTCATACAACCAACTTCAGATTCCAACCCCTATCACAACTATGACCATACCTTTCCCCCTTGATGGATGTGATACCAAACAGAGGTACCACCAAAGTCCACATGGAAGTCAGTATAGCAGCCTCGAACACTCATTAGACAGTACCTGACCCAAAAAAAGCAGCAGCATTAGTGTACTGATGGAAAAAAGTACATCTGCCCCACCAAAATGCCATACTCTCCTCTTATATACTCCCTTTATCTTCCACTTAATCTTAAGTTCCAGAAGGAGAAAAAGCAATGCATTTTCAAGTCATCACATTATCAGAAAAAGGTTTTTTTTTTTTCTACCGTATTGACTAAAATGTAAGTTTTTTTTCCTTTAACTGTGTGGTTGTGTGCTATGGTATGCTCACATACACTCTTCCTTGTGGAACTGTAAAGTCTCATCTTTAAATAATTCATCTTTTTAATCATTCAAGACACAGAGCAAAGCTCGTAAGGGAGAAGCCAATCCTTGCTATTGCTTTGGTCTCCCACAGCACACGGAGGAAGATGCAGGGCGCATCACTTACTTCTGCACTTTAGGGTACTGCATCTCCAAGATGGCATTTGTTGATTCAGTCTGGCTTTCCTTCAAGTGCCTTGGCCACATGTTGTCTACCCAGTCAATGAAATCCACCTTTAAATAGAAGGAGGAAACACTTGGGCTCCAAGGGAAAGGTTGGGGTCAAAGATAATTTTAAAGTCAAGAAAAGCAGAATTTCTTAAAATACATAACAAAAAACTATAATTTAATTATAAGCAAATTAAAAAAATCTGTTGGCGAATCTTAGGATTACTAGGCAACCATCCTAGAAATAATTGTTATATGAGAATAAAGATTAATCATTCCATCAAATGATAATAGTAAAGACAGCACTAGTCAAAATGGAATCATTAATTATGCAATAGTGTATAACTATGAACTCTCTTCTATGTCAATACTTATATAATTTGTTTTATTTTTTAATCCAATAAAAGGTGTTGTCTGGAAGGTATCTATAAACTCAGCAAAATATATACCATTGTTAGAACAGTTAAGATGCCAAAAGTTAGGCCAAAAAAAAGAAAAAAATCCAGTATAGATTTATAGCCTTGCATTGACAATGTGCTATAGAAACTACCAGCTTAGGAATAAGAAGCTCCAGGTCTATCATGTCTTTTCAAGACTATATAAGGCCCTCAAACTCATCTATAAAACTAAGATAGACCAGGCACAGTGGCTCACACCTGCAATCCCAGAGCTTTGGAAGGCCAAGGTGGGAAGATCACTTGAACCCAGGAGTTTAAGACCAGCCTGGGCAACACAGTGAGAACCCATCTCTTCAAAATAAAAAAATAGTTGGGATCAGTGGCTCACACCTGTAATCCCCAACACTTTGGGAGGCCAAGGCAGGCGGATCACCTGAGGTCGGAAGTTCAAGACCAGCCTGACCAACATGGAGAAATCCCGTCTCTACTAAAAATACAAAATTAGGCCCAGTGCAGTGGCTCACGCCTGTAATCCCAGCACTTTGGGAGGCCGAGGCAGGTGGATCACGAGGTCAGGAGATCGAGACCATCTTGGCTAACATGGTGAAACCCCATCTCTACTAAAAATACAAAAAATTAGCCAGGCGTGGTGGCGGGCGCCCGTAGTCCCAGCTACTCGGGAGGCTGAGGCAGGAGAATGGCATGAACCCGGGAGGCGGAGCTTGCAGTGAGCCGAGATTGCGCCACTGCACTCCAGCCTGGGTAACAGAGCAAGACTCCGTCTCAAAAAAAAAAAAAAATTAGCTGCGCATGGTGGCGCATGCCTGTAATCCCAGCTACTTGGGAGGCTGAGGCAGGAGAATCGCTTGAACCCAGGAGGTGGAGGTTCTGGTGAGCCGAGATGGTGCCACTGCACTCCAGCCTGGGAAACAAGAGCGAAACGCCGTCTCAAAAAATAAATAAAATAAAATAAAAAAAACAGCCAGGCGTTGTGGCATGTGCCTATAGTCCTAGCTACTTGTGAGGCTAAGATGGGAGGTTTGCTTAAACCCAGGAGGTTGAGGCTGCAGTAAGCTACGATCACCACTGCACTCCAGCTTGGGCAACAGGGCAAGACTGTCTCAATAAAAAACCCAAAAACACAAAAAAACTAAGATAACTACTTCAAAGATACGTTGTAAGGATTAAATGTAAACACTTTTAAAATCTGAAATAATGTGAGAATACAGAAATCTTTTTTTTTTTTTTTTTTGAGACGGTCTGCTCTGTCACCCAGGCTATAATGTTGTGGTGCGATCTCAGCTCACTGCAACCTCCGCCTCCCAGGTTCAAGCAATTCTCCTGCCTCAGCCTCTTGAGTAGCTGGGATTACAGGCACCCGCCACCGCACCTAACTAATTTTTGTATTTTTTAGTAGAGACAGGGTTTCACCATCTTGGCCAGGCTGGTCTCGAACTTCTGATCTCAGGCAATCCACCAGCCTCAGCCCCACAAAGTGCTGGGATTACAGCATGAGCTACCATGCCCGGCCAGGAATCTTTTAAATAATACTGGCTGAAAAAAAAGAGAAGTGAAAGCAATACGCAACATTTTACACTAAATTATAACATTTCCTGTGCCTTCAAGTGTCTACACTCAACCAATGAACTCCAGGTAGGTAAAACTCGAGAGCCAAACCACCATGAATTCAGCACAGTGCTGATGTGGTAAATATCTAACTTATGGTTATAAAAAACATGTATCTGGTAAGCTTTGTAACAACATCTACGTATTTGATCACTTACTTCCCTTATAATGTGAATGGAGACAAATGCATAAAGTTGTGCATGATATGAAGCAGTTGTCTAGAGGATACCCAGATGTTAACTGTGGGAGAGTGTTTAGAAAGCATCACCACTGACATGGAAGAAACAAACAAGATGAGGAGCAACGGTTAAGGTTAACCTGCTGTTCCATTTCAAAGAATTTCTGCTCAGGGAGCCAACAATTTTAACCAAGCATCCGCCGGTCCCAGAACATTGAATAAGCCCTGGATGCCTTTCTTTCCTTCAAATAAAATTTACTGTTTCTTAATGTAGTAGCCACCATCTCCCATCCCCGTGTGTTGTCCATGGGAATGCCTTTAACAGAATAATGAATAAAGTACTTGCTTAATACGCTGTAAGCTCCCATGTCTGAATAGGGAGAGGAACGGTTCAGAACATATGAGTATTTTTTTTTTTTTTACCACGCATTCATTCACAGAAAGCAGAATTTCTTAATTGCAGCAAGAAAGTCAGTCATTTTTGCCTGCCTTTCTTTGGTATTATTAGGTATCTTCAGACTACAGAGAGAATTTGTGGTAACATGTTCGTGCTTTTCTTCTTAGGTTAATCTTTAGCCTTGGGATAGATCCTTTGCTAAATACTCTGATCCCAGTTATAATCTGTTCTGCAACAAAACTAGGGCCAAACTGGTAAGAAGTCCAATATCATGAACCTAGTCTATTCATAAACAACTCATAGCCTTCCATGAACTTATTTCCCCATCACCAAACAAATGTGTATTATTTGTGCCATTTTAAAATCTACCTCTCAGTTATTGCTGGAATGGCAGCACTAAATAATCTCTTCTCACCATAGAACTCTACTTTATGCTAGCTCCTATAACAGGCATGTAAAAGTTGCCCTTCTTACCTCCCGGAACCTACTTTTACAAATGCTATTCCTTCTGCCCGTAATTCTGGTCTCCCTCTCCTTGCTTCATTATTTCTTTTATGTCAACATTAGGCACCACTTCCTCCAAAGAGCTTCCCCTAATTCTCCTATAGTTTC
Organism: Homo sapiens; assembly: GCF_000001405.40. NCBI lineage: Eukaryota > Metazoa > Chordata > Mammalia > Primates > Hominidae > Homo > Homo sapiens. The sequence goes on along the minus strand of NC_000011.10, from coordinate 67,212,194 downwards.
TAAATTAGGTCATCCTTCCAAAATGCTTCCACAATATCCTGCTTTATTCAATTTTTTTAATTTTAAAAGACTGGGTCTTGCCACATTGCCTAGGCTGCCTCAAACTCCTGGGCTCAAGCAATTCTCCCACCACAGCCTCCCAGGTAGCTGGGACTAAAGGCATGTGCTACTTTGCCTGGCTGTTTATTCACTTTTGAAGCACTGCTCATACTATAGTTTATATAAATGCATATTTTCTTGTCTTTCTTTGAGTCTCTAACAAGAATGATATCATTTTCCACTGTATCTCTAGTACCTAGACAGTGCTTAGCATGTGGTAGGCATCTGATAAATGAATAGGCAAACCCTGAAGGTTGTGAAGATCACAGGGAACAAACAGATTATGTAACTCTAGGATTAAGAAATGCAAATAGGTTAGAACTTGAGGATATAAAGTGAGAAGTGACAGATCAAAGTTTTTAGACATGAAGATTAAGTTTTTAGAAATGAAGATTAAGTTTTTGAATATTAAAAAATTAAAAAAGAACTACTAATAGGCTATTATATATATATTCTTTTTTTTTTTTTTTTTTTTTTTTTTTGAGACAGGGTCTCACTGTGTCACCCAGGCTGGAGTGCAGTGGTGTGATCATGGCTCACTGCAACCTCTGCCTCCTGGTTTCAAGCGATTCTCCCACCTCAACTTCCCAGGTAGCTGGGATCACGGGTGTGCACCACCACACCCAGCTAATTTTTGTATTTTTAGTAGAGGCGGGGTTTCACCATGTTGGCCAGGCTGGTTTTGAACTCCTGACCTCAAGTGATCTGCCTGCCTTGGCCTCCCAGAGTGCTGGGATTGTAGGCGTGAGCTACCGCACCTGGCTTATTTTCTATATTTTGACTATGGTGGTTACTTACATGAATAAATATGTTTGTCAAAACTCACTGAAATGCACACTTAAAATGGGGGTCCACTTTACTGAACATCAATTTTACCTCAATAAAGTTGGTTTTTAAAAAAAGCACTAGTGAAATATACTGGAAAAAACCTAGATAAATGAAGGGATATACTATGGGGGGAATAAGAATTCTACCAATAGAAACAGCAACAACAAAAATAACATGATTGTAGCTATGTTTTTGTTTGTTTGTTTGTTTTGAAATAGGGTCTCATTCTGTCACCCAGGCTGGAGTGTAGTGGCACCATCTCAGCTCACTGCAACTTCTGCCTCCCGGGTTCAAGTGATTCTTGTACCTCAGCCTCCCGAGTGGTCTCGAACTCTTGGGCTCAAGTGATACGCCCACCTTGGCCTCCTGAAGTGCTGGGATTAGAGGTGTGAGCAACTGTGCCAGGCCTCTAGCTATAAATGTAAAACTTGACCTGGTCGATACTTTTCCATTATTAAGATTTTGAAATGTGTGACTATTCCACATGAAGTCTTCTATCTTATTCTATCAACAAAATAAACGTTATTACTTACATAGCAAGGTCACAAAAACCTTACCTGCTTTTAGAATGTGAGCTTGGTAATAGCTCATTCAATCTTTCATGTTTTAGGTCCCCGTAAGATATTAGTATTGTGGCCTCTGCTCTCTTAATAATTTTCTATTTCTGAGCCCTCTCATAGGTTCTTCTCCGCCCTTTAATGTTAATATATTTTTCTAATTTTTATAAAATGATGTCACATTTTTATCATTAAAACTAGGGACAGAGTGAATAAATTCAGGATGCCACAAAAAAGGCTTCATGTGGAATAGTGAGACATTTCACAACCTTAATAATGGTAAAGTATTGACCAGGTCAAGTTTTACATTTATAGCTACAATCATGTTATTTTTCTTGTTGCTGCTTAGTTTTTGTTTTTTGTTTTTTTTTTCAAAAGTAGAAACAAGGTCTTATTATGTTGCCCAGACTGGTCTCAAATTACTAGGCTCAAGCAATCCTCCTGCCTCAACCCCCTGAGTAGCTGGGACTACATGGGGGACGCCATCATGCCTGGCTAATTTTTCTATAGAGACAGGGTTTCACCATGTTGCCCAGGCTGGTATCAAACTCCTGAGCTCAAGCAATCTGTCTGCCTTCGGCCTCCCCAAGTGCTAGGATTACAGGCATGAGCCACCATGCTCGGCTTCTATTTACATTTTTTATCATTTTATTATTTTTTTGAGACAGATTCTTGCAATGTTGGCTAGGCTACAGTGATCACAGCTCACTGCAGCCTCAACCTCCCAGGCTCAAGCAATCCTCCCACCTCGGTCTCTTGAGTAACCAGGACTACAGGTGCATGCCACCATGCCTGGCTAAGTTTCCAAATTTTGTAGAGATGAGGTCTTGCTATGTTAACCAGGCTGGTCTTGAACTCCTAGGCTCAAGGGATACTCCCACCTCAGCCTCCCAAAGTGCTGGAATTACAGGCATGAGCCAACGTGTGTGGCCAATCCTGTTATTTTTAAATTAAAATTCTGGAAATTGGCCGGGTACAGTGGCTCACACCTGTAATTCCAGCACTTTGGGAGGCTGAGACAGGTGGATCACCTGAGGTCAGGGGTTCGAGACAAGCCTGGCCAACATGGTGAAACCCCATCTCTACTAAAAATACAAAAATTAGCCGGGTGTGGTGGTGTGTCCCTGTAATCCCAGCTATTTGAGAGGCTGAGGTGGGAGAATTGCTTGAACCTGGGAGGCGGAGGCTGCAGTGAGCCAAGATCGTGCCACTGCACTAAAGCCTGGGCAACAGAGCGAGAACCTGTCTCAAAAATAATAATAATAATAATAATAATAAAATAAAATTCTAGAAATATTAAGAAAATAAAATTATAAATAAATAATGTTACTGGAATTCTTACATCCCATCCCTCTCACTAAATTCCTATTTAGCAAATCACATTAGGCTAATAAGAAGGCTAAATTCTAACCACCTGTCTTCCTATACTTCCATATGATCAAATAAACATGATTACTAATACAAAAATAGTTCCTTTCGGCCCGGTGTGGTGGCTCATGCCTGTAATCCCAGCACTTTGGGAGACCGAGGCAGGTCGATCACTTGAGGTCAGGAGTTCAAGACCAGCCTGGCCAACATGATGAAACCCCGTCTCTAACAAAAAAAATACAAAAATTAGCAGTGCATGGTGGCCTGTAGTCTCAGCTACTCAGGAGGCTGAGGCAGGAGAATTGCTTGAACCGGGGAGGCAGAGGTTGCAGTGAACCGAGATCGTGCCACCGCACTCTATATCCCGGGCAACAATGTGAGACTCGGCCTCAAAAAAAAAATAATAAATAATAAAAATGTTTATTTTTATTTTTGGGGGTCTCGTGACATTCCCCAGGCTGATCTTGAACTACTGGCCTCAAGCAATTCTCCTGTCTTAGCCTCTCAAAGTGTTGGGATTACAAATGTGAGCCACCATGCCTGGTCAAGAGTGAATTTTTTTTTTTTTTTTTTTGAGACAGGGTCTCACTGTCACACAGGCTGGAGTGCAGTGGCATGATCTCAGCTCACTGCAACCTCTGCCTCCCAGGTTCAAGCGATTCTCATGCCTCAGCCTCCCGAGTAGCTGGAATTACAGGCGCATGCAACCATGCTTGGCTAATTTTTGTATTTTTAGTAGAGATGGGAGTTTTGCCATGTTGGCCAAGCTGGTCTCAAACTCCTGACCTCAGGTGATCCGCCTACCTCGGATCCCAAAGTGCTGGGATTCCAAGCATGAGCCACTGCGCCTGGCCCCAAGGTTGAATTTTAATATTCCTCTCCGTTACATCCAAAGGTCAATGTTCCTACATTAAGTTACTGTGATACAAATCAGAATAATCCTGCCCTATATAAAATTAAGTGATTTCACGCCCAGGCACGGTGGCTCACGCCTGTAATCCCAGCACTTTGGGAGGCCAAGGTGGGAGAACTGCTTGAGCCCAGCAGTTCAAGGTCAGCCTGGACAAAATTGTGAGACCCTGTCTTTAAAAAAAAAAAATTTTTTTAATAATAATAAATTTTAAAATTTTAAAATTTATTATGATTTCGGAAAATGCAGTTATTCTTATCAAAATACAATATCAATATATCTTTATAAAAATACAAATTATTCTTGTCAAATAGTCTTGTTTACCTTCAGCTTAATCTTGATATGTGCAAAAAGTTATAAAATTTCCCAGTATAAAAACAACGCATTTTATTTTAAATTTTTGAGACAGGGTCTTGTTCTGTCACCCAGGCTGGAATGCAGTGGTGCAATCACCGGTCACTGCAGCCTCAACCTCCTGGGCTCAGGTGATCCTCCCACCTCAGCCTCTTGAGTAGCTGGAACTACAGACATGTGCCATCACACCCAGCTAATTTTTTTTTTTGTACTTTTTGTAGAGATGTGGTTTCACCATGTTGCCCCGGCTGCTCTCAAACTCCTCAGCTCAAGCGATCTGCCTCCCTTGGCCTCCCAAAGTGCTGGGATAACAAGCATCAGTTACCAACGTCCAGCCGAAAACAACCCTTTTGGTGACAATGACAATATGAAGAAAATGATTACACTAACCGTGGAGGGCCTCTGCACCATATTCTCCAGCCTGGTGTGGCTAAACTCGAGGCTGATGACATTATAGAGTTTCTCTCGCTCCTCCTCTGGGGTCTCATAGTAGCGTGTCCACTGAGCCATGGTCATTTCAATGCCTTTCTGTGTGTTCACGTCCATGACATCCACCATGCGACGACTCCCTGCCATAAAAGATGCATCGATCATCTCTATCGAGCCACTAATATCCTTAAATATAGTAAGAATATTTTTTAAAAAGTAGAAGAAAAAATACTGTCCTTTCTTATTTTCAATAATACACAAGGAAAAAGTTCTCACTCAACAATCATAATCAAATCACAAAGAATGGGAAAGACAATGGATAATGTTAATAATAATTATTCCCTAAGGCATGTTTACTATACAGTCAGTTGTTGACTCTTTTATCTAATGTCTCATTTAATCCTAACAATTCTAAATGCTAAATACTAATCTCCACTTCATACATGAGAAAGCAGATGTTAGGTAACTTACAGAACAAAGCAGGAAAAGAACCGGGGCAGGCTCACTCTAGAGTCAAGCTCTTACTTACTGATCTATACTGATTTGATGCAGGTTGACCTAATCTATCTCATAATTTGAATGAAGTATCCATAATTTAGTGGGTAACAGACTGATTTTGAATTTATATTCTTTTGTTAAACAGGGCTATTTCGCAAACCTGTTGCTAATATCCTAGCCCATGAAGATAATTATCCTAGTTCATGAAGAACAAAGTCCCCTTTTCATTTATTCCACAAATATTTATAGAATGATAAAGACACCAGGATGGACACGAAAATCTATATCAGATTCTTGTTAACTATAACAACTACAACAAAACGCATAAGGCCACAAGAGTCAGCATAAAATAGTAGTGGAGAGAAAACAATAGCTTTGGAGTCAAAGAGACCTAAGTTTGTTTATTTATTTTTTAGAGACGGAGTCTCGCTCTGTCGCTCAGGCTGGAGTGCAGTGGCACGCTCTCGGCTCACTGCAACCTCCCACCTCCTGGGTTCAAGCAGTTCTCCTGCCTCAACCTCCACAGTAGCTGGGACTACAGGCACACGCCACTACCCCACCTAATTTTTTGTATTTTAGTAGAGACGGGGTTTCACCATGTTGCCCAGGATGGCCTCCAACTCCTGAGCTCAGGCAATCCGCCTGTCTTGGCCTCCTAAAGTGCTAGGATTACAGGCGTGAGCCACCATGCCCAGCCTATTTATTTCTTTAATTTTATTTTGAGACAGTCTCGCTGTGTCACCCAGGCTGGAGTGCAGTGGTGCGAAATCTTGGCTCACTGCAACCTCCACCTCCCAGGTTCAAGAGATTCTTGTGCCTCAGCCTCCCAAGTAGCTGGGAATATGGCCGTGTGCCACCACGCCTGCCTAATTTTTGTATTTTTGGTAAAGTCAGCGTTTTGCCATGTTGGCCAGGCTGGTCTCAAACTCCTGACCTCAGCTGATCTGCCCGCCTTGGCCTTCCAAAATGCTGGGATTACACATGTGAGCCACTGCACCTGCCTGAGACCTAAGTTTAAATCTCAGCTCCTATACTACTTAGACAAGTTATATAATTTCTCTGAACATTAATATCTTGTGGAGAATGAGTATCACCTTGTGGGCCACTGTGAAGATTTAAAGTCGATAAAGTAAAATGTTTAATACAAAGTAGGTGCTCAAGCGGCAGTAAAAACAAAAGGGAAGTATCATATTTTTATTAGACTGATCAGAAAAGGCTTTAGGAAAAGAGGGAGAAGAATAAGTAGAATTCTAACAAGAGATGATTCAACAGGGACAATTCCATGCAGAGGTAAAATATAAGCTAAAAGATTCAGAAAATGGTGGTCAAGGAAGGGAGAGAAAATAAAAAGCTGACAATATTGTATGTCTGGCCGGGCACGGTGGTGCACATCTATAATCCCATCACTCTGGGAGGTCAAGACGGGCAGACAGCTTCTGTCCAGGAGTTTGAGACCAGCCTGGGTAACATAGCAAAACACCGTCTCTACTAAAAATACAAAAAAAATTAAACATACACACACACAAAACAAAAAAATACAAATACAAATACAAAAAATTAGCTGGGCATGGTGGTGCGTGCCCGTAATCCCGGCTACTCGGGAGGGTGAGGTGTGAGAATCACCTGAGCCCAGGAGGTCGAGGCTGTAGAAAAAAAAAATTTATATCTATTGTCTTCCTTGTAAGACGAACAAACACCTGCCCTGGCTGGATGTATCAGGTAGCATTAGAACCTGATACCCTGTCTCTAAGGAATTTATAGCTTAGTTAAAGATAGGAGATAATACCCAAGAGAAGAATATGGCCACTGTGAAATAGACAAGGCAGAATATATATATTACTAGTAAAACATAACTAATAATGTAAGGCAATGGACAGAACCTACACTTCATATTTTAAAAGAAAAAGTGAATGTCAAATCAAAACTGCCAAGAAATACCACTTCACACCCACTAGGATCGCTATAATTTAAAAAATGGAAAATAATGAGTGCTAGCAAAAATGCAGAGAAATTGGAACCCTCATACATCTACTGGTGGGAATATAAGATGGTGCAGCCGCTATGGAAATTGGATTTGCAGTTCCTCAATAAACTAAACACAGAATGACCATGTGACTCAGCAATTCCACTTCTAGGCATATATCTAAAAGAATTGAACAAGGTGTTCAAACAAAAGCTTGTACATAAATATTCACTGCAGCACTATTTAAAACAGCTAAAAGATGGAAATAACACAAATGTTTACCATGATATGAATAAACAAAATGTGGTTGATCCATACAAGGAAATAGTCGACCATAAAAAGGAATGAAGTACTAATACATGCTACAACATGGATATACCAAGAAAACACACTGTATCAGCTGGGTTTGGTGGCTCACGCCTGTAATCCCAGCACTTTGGGAGGTCGAGGTGGGTGGATCACGAGGTCAGGAGATCAAGACCATCCTGGCTATCACGGTGAAACCCCATCTCTACTAAAAATACAAAAAATTAGCCAGGTGTGGTGGCAGGCACCTGTAGTCCCAGGTACTCGGGAGACTGAGGCAGGAGAATGGCATGAACCCAGGAGGCGGAGCTTGCAGTAAGCAGAGATCACACCACTGCACTCCAGCCTGGGCAACACAGTGAGACTCTGTCTCAAAAAAAAAAAAAAGAAAAAAGAAAACACACTGTATCAAAGAAGCCTACACAAAAGGCTACATATTATATAGTTCCATTTATATGAAATATACAGATTAGACAAATTCACCAAGACAGAATAGATTTGTTGTTGCCAGGAGTTAAGTGGAGGAGAAAACGGAGAATGACTGCTCAAAGGTATGGAGTTTGTTTGGGGTGATGAAATTCTAGAACTAGATAGTGGTGATGGTTGCACACTGTGAAAAAACTTGATGACACTGGTATGCTTTAAAATGGGTACATGACAATGAAATGTTCTATGCAAAAAGAAAAAAACGTAATGGTTATGATGGTAAACTTTATATTACCTGTATTTAACCATAATTTAAGAAATAACAAGTAAATGCTTTCCTTCAAGAATGTAGGGGAGGCCAGGTGTGGTGACTCACGCCTGTAATCTCAGCACTTTGGGAGGCCGAGGCGGGCAGATCACTTGAGGTCAGGAGTTTGAGACCAGCCTGGCCAACATGGTGAAACCCCATCTCTACTAAAAATACAAAAATTAGCTGGGCGTGGTGGTACGCGGCCATAGTCCCAGCTACTTAGGAGGCTGAGGCAAGAGATTTGCTTGAATTCAAGAGGCAGAGGTTGCAGTGAGCCAAGATCGCACCACTGCACTCCGGACCTGGGCGACACAGCAAGACTCTGTCTTAAAAAGAAAAAAGAAAAAAAAAAAAAAGAATGTAGAGGAAAGCATTTTATTCTTTTTTCCTTTTGAGATGGGGCCTCACTCTGTCACCCAGGCTGGAGTGCAGTGGCACAATCTAGACTCAATGCAACCTCTGCCTCCCAGGCTCAAGTGATCCTCCCACCTCAGCCTCCTGAGTAGCTGGGACTACAGTGCATGCCACCATACCCAGTTAATTTTTTGTATTTTTGGTAAAGACAAGGTTTCACTATGTTGCCCAGGCTGGTATTCTTTTATTACTAGACTACTTATTTATTATATATTTTATATTATATATTATATAAAAATATATTAATATATATTAATAATTATTAATAATTAATAAATATAATTATATTAATATATTATTTATTATAGACTATTTATTACTAGACTATTTTGTATTTTCAGACTACTTAGTATAACCATATCTTGGAGATATTGTGGGTTCAGTTCCAGATCATTGCAATAAAGCAACTATTCCAGTAAGCAAGTCATACAAAACTTTTTGGTTTCACAGTGCATATATTTACATTATACTGTAGGCTATTAAGTGTACAACAGCACTGTATCTAAAAAACAAGGTACATACTTTTATTTAAAAATACTTTATTGCTAAAAATGCTAACAATCATCTGAGCCTTCAGTGAGTCATAATCTTGGCCTGTGGAGGAACTTGCCTCATTGTTGAGGGCTGCTGACTGATCAGAGTGGTGGTGGTTGCTGAAGGTTGGGGTGGATATAGCAACTTCTTTTTCTTTCGCTGAAGTGTAAACCGTTTTTCTTTTTTTTTTTTTTTGGCGGCGGACGGACAGGGTCTTGCTCTGTTGCCCAGGCTGGAGTGCACTGGTGCAATCACAGCTCACCACAGCCACAAACTCCTGGACTCTGGTAATCCTTCCACCTTAGCCTCCGGAGTAGCTGGGACTACAGGCACGTGCCACAATGGCTGGCTAATCCTTTAATTTTTGCCGATACAAGATCTCGCTGTTTCTCGGGTCGACAATTTCTTTTCTTTTTTTTTTTTGAGACGAAGTCTCGCTCTGTCGCCCAGGCTGGAGCGTAGTGGCGCGATCTCGGCTCACTGCAAGCTCCGCCTCCTGGGTTCACGCCATTCTCCTGCCTCAGCCTCCTGAGTAGCTGGGACTACAGGTGCCTGCCACCATGCCTGGCTAGTTTTTTTTTTGTATTTTTAGTAGAGACGGGGTTTCACCATGTTAGCCAGGATGGTCTCAATCTCCTGACCTTGTGATCCACCCGCCTCAGCCTCCCAAAGTGCTAGGATTACAGACGTGAGCCACCATGCCCAGCTGACATTTCTTAAAATAAGACAACAATAAAGTTTGCAACATGGATTGATACTTCCTTTCACAAAGAGACTTCTCTGTAGCATGCAATGCTGTTTGATATCATTTTACCCATGGTAGAACGTCTTTCAAAATTGGAGTCAATCCTCTCAAACCCTACTGCTGCTTTATAAACTCACTTTATGTAATATCCTAAATACCTTGTTATTTTAACAATGTTTACAGCATCTCCACCAGGAGTAGATTCCATCTTAAAAAAACAAACTTCTTTATTTGCTCATCCATAAGAAGCAACTCTTCCATCTGCTCAAGTTTCATTATAGATTGCAGCAATTCAGTCGCATCTTCGACTCCATTTCTAATTCTAGCTCTCTCACTATTTTCACCACATTTGCAGTTACTTCCTCCACTGAAGTCTTGAACCCCTCAAAGTCATCAATAAGGGTGGGAACCAACTTTTTCCAAACTCCTGTTAATGTTGATATTTTGACCTCCTCCCATGTACCACAAATGCTCTTTTTCATTTTAATTATTTTTTTTAGAGACAGGGTCTCACTCTCATGCCCAGGCTGGAATAGAGTGGCAAGATCAGAGCTCATTGCAACCTCGAATTCCTGGGCTCAAGTGATCCTCCCACCTCAGCCACCCAAATAGTTGGGACTACAGGTGTACACCACCAAGCATGGCTAATTTTTTTTTTTTTTTTTTTTTTTTTTTTTTTTTGAGATGGAGTCTAGCTCTGTTGCCTAGGCTGGAGTGTGGTGGGGTGGTGTGATCTTGGCTCACTGCAACCTCCGTCTCCCAGGTTCAAGTGATTCTCCTGCTTCAGCCTCCCAAGTAGCTGGGACTACAGGCCCATGCCACCACACTCGGCTAATTTTTGTATGTTTAGTAGAGACCAGGTTTCACCATACTGGTCAGGCTGGTCTTGTACCCCTGACTTGTGATCTGCCCACCTTGGCCTCCCAAACTGCTAGGATTACAGGCGTGAGCCACCGCACCGGGCCATGGCTAATTTTTTGTAGAGATGGTCTCACTATGTTTCCCAGGCTGGTCTCAAACTCCTGGCCTCAAGGGATCCACCACCTGGGCCTATCAAAACATTGGGATTACAGACATGAGCCACTATGCCTGGCCATAAATATGTTCTTAATGGCATCTACAGTGGTGAATCCTTTCCAGATGTTTTTCAATTTATTTGGTCCAGATTTACCAGCAGAATCACTATGTCAGCTATAGCCTTATGAAATATATATATATACACACACACACACACATATATATATATATATTTTTTTTTTTGAGACAGAGTCTTGCTCAGTCGCCCAGGCTGTAGTGCAGTGGTGCAATCTCGGCTCACTGCAAGCTCCGCCTCCCGGGTTCACGCCATTCTCCTGCCTCAGCCTCCCCAGTAGCTGGGACTACAAGCGCCCGCCACCACGCCCGGCTAATTTTTTTTCTATTTTCAGTAGAGACTGGGTTTCACCGTGTTAGCCAGATGGTCTCAATCTCCTGACCTCGTGATCCACCCGCCTCGACCTCCCAAAGTGCTGGGATTACAGGTGTGAGCCACTGTGCCAGGCCATGAAATATATTTCTTAAATAATAAGACTAAAGTTGAGATTACTCCTTGATCCATGGGCCACAGAATGAATACTGCTATCTGGCATGAAAACGGTATTAATCTCAGGCAAGGCATGGTAGCTCATGCCTGTAATCCCAGCACTTTGGGAAGCTGAGGCAGGCAAATCCCTTGAGCCCAGGAGTTCTAAACCAGCCTGGGTAACAGGGTCAAACTGTGTCTCTACCAAAACACAAAAATTAACTGGGTGTGTTGGCATGTGCTTGTAGTCCCAGCTAAAGGCTGAGGTGGAAGGATCACCTGAGCCCAGGGACACTGAGCCTGCAGTGAGCCATGATTGTACCATTGCACTCCAACTTGGGCAACAGAATGAGACCTTGTCTTAAAAAACCAAACAGGCTGGGCACGGTCGCTCACGCCTATAATCCCAGCACTTTGGGAGGCTGAGGCGGGCGGATCATGAGGTGAGGAGATCGCGATCATCCTGGCTAACATGGTGAAACCCCATCTCTACTAAAAATACGAAAAAAATTAGCCGGACGTGGTGGCGGACGCCTGTAGTCCCAGCTACTCGGGAGGCTGAGACAGGAGAATGGCGTGAACCCAGGAGGTGGAGCTTGCAGTGAGCTGAGATCGTGCCACTGCACTCCAGCCTGGGCAACAGAGAGAGACTCCGTCTAAAAAGAAAAAAAAAAACCACACAAACAATATTAATCTCTTTGTACATTCCCATCAGAGGTCTTGGGTGAAGAGGTACACTGCCAGTGAGCAGTAACATTTTGAAAGGAACCTTTTTTCCTGAGCAGATCTCCACAGTGGGCTTAATAAATTCAGTAAACCATGCTGTAAAACAGATGTGATATCATCTAGGCTTTGTTGTTCCATTAATAGAGTAGATTTAGCATAATTCTTAAGGGCCCTAGGATTTTGGAATGGTAAATAAGCTTTTTTTGGAATGTTAAATTTGGTTTCCAATTAAAATCACCAGCTGCATTAGCCCCTAACAAGAGAGTCAACTTGTCCCTTGAAGCAACTGCCTTTTATCTAGCTATGAAAATCCTAGATGCTATCTTCTTCCAATAGAAGGCTGTTTCATTTACATGGAAAATCTGTTGTTTAGTGCAGCCTCCTTCATCAATGATCCTAGCTGGTTCTCCTGGATAACCTGCTGCAGCTTCTATATCAGCATGTGCTGCTGCTTTACCTTGCACTTCATTGTTACAAAGATGGTTTCTTAAACTTCATAAACCAACCTCTCCTGGCTTTAAACTTTTCTTCTGCAGCTCCCTCACCTCTCTCAGCCTTTACAGAATTAAAGAGAATCAGGGCTTTACTGTGGCTTAGGGTTTGTTAAGGGAATGTTATAGCTGGTTTGATTTTCTATCCAAACCACTCAGACTTTCTCCGTTATCAGTGATAAGGCTGTTTTTCTTTCTTATCCCCATGTTCACTGGAGTAGCACTTTTAATTTTCTTCAAGAACCTTTCCTTTGCATTCACATCTTGGTTAACTATTTGATGTAAAAGGCCTATCTTGGCTTTTGACATGCCTTAATCACTAAACTTAATCATTTCTAACTTTTGATTTAAAGTGAGAGAGGTGGGACTCTTCCTTTCACTTGAACACTTAAGAGGCCATGTGTTATTAGTTGGCCTAATTTCAATATTGTTGTGTCTCAGGAAATAGGGAGGCCTGAGGAGAGAAAGAGAACAAGGGAATAGCAATGTGGCAAAGCAGTCAGAACATATACAACATTTCAAGTCTGCTCTCCTATATGGATACAGTTCATGGCACCTCAAAACAAGTATAATAGTAATGTCAAAGATCACTGATCTGCTGGGTGCAGTGGCTCATGCCTGTAATCTCAGCACTTTGGGGAGGCCAAGGCGGGTGAATCACTTGAGGTCAGGAGTTTAAGATCACCCTGGCCAACATGGTGAAACTCCATCTCTACTAAAAATACAAAAATTAGCCAGGCATGGTGGTGCATGTCAGTAATCTCAGCTACTCGGGAGGCAGAGGCATGAGAATTGCTTGAATCCAGGAGGTGGAGGTTGCAGTAAGCCAAGATTGTGCCACTGCATTCCAGCCTGGGCAACAGAGTGAGACTCCGTCAAAAACAAAACAAAACAAAACAAAACAAAACAAAACAAACTACTGATCACCACTGACAAATAATAATGAAAAGCTTTTTTTTTTTTTTTGAGACAGAGTCTCACTCTGTCACCCAGGCTGGAGTGCAGTGGCGGGATCTCAGCTCACTGCAACCTCCGCCTTCCGGGTTCACGCCATTCTCCTGACTCAGCCTCCCAAATAGCTGGGACTACAGGCGCCCGCCACTGCGCCCAGCTAATTTTTTGTGTTTTTAGTAGAGATGGGATTTCACCGTGGTCTCGATCTCCTGACCTCGAGATCCGCCCGCCTCGGCCTCCCAAAGTGCTGGGATTACAGGCATGAGCCATTGCGCCCGGCATAATGAAAAGGTTTTAAAATGTGACAGACATGAAGTGAGCATATGCTATTGGAAAAATGGCGGCTACAGACTTGCTCAATGAAGGTTTGCCAGAAACCTTCAATTTGTTAAAAAAAAAAAAAAATACACTATCTGCAAAGTGCAATAAAATGAGGTGCGCTCATACTCTGGGTATGGACCAGAGCACTTAGATAAAATTGTGATGGTCAAAGTAATAGCTAACATTTACTGAGAACTCAGCACAGTTGATCCTTGAACAACACTGGTTTGAACTACATGGGTTCACTTATACATGAATTTTCTTCCATCCCTGCCACTCCTGAGACAGCAAAAGCAATCCCACCTCTTCCTCCTTAGCCTACTCATCATGAAGATGAAAAGATAGTAAATATATTTTCAATCTTAATAGTAAACAAATGTTCTTTTATGATTTAAGGAATTTTTATCTTACTTTATTGTAAGAATACAGTATATAATATGTATAACATAAAATATGTTAATCAACTGTTTACATTATCCATAAGGCATCCAGTAAACAGTAGGTTATTGGTAGTTAAGTTTCTGAGGAATTCCAATTTATATGTAGATTTCTGACTTGCTGGGGGTTGGTGCCTCTAGCCGTTGCATTGTTCAAGGGTCAACTGTATATGCCAGACACTGTTCTAAGCACTTCACATTTAAGTAACTTGTCCAAGATTACACAGCTAGTAATTAGTGTAGCTCAGGACAGTTTTGCTACAGAGTCCATATTCTCAACCAAATACATCCTATCACAGAAAGTTTACAAGACAGAATGGCTTACTTCTTTCTGAGACATAAACTGACACTGAAGAAGTAACATTCCACCACAGGCTGAAAAGAAGAGCTGGATCAGCTTTTTCACTGCATTTTGCCAATGATTAGCTATCCAAGAAACAAAAAAACACCCAGACTTTAAAAAACCTGGATAGAAAGTTAGTCACTGGCTGGGCAGAGTGGCTCACGCCTGTAATCCCAACACTTTGGTGGGGCCGAGGCGGGCTGACTGCTTGAGCTCAGGAGTTCCAAGACCAGCCTGGGCAACATGGCAAAATCCCATCTCTACAAAAAAAATACAAAAATTATCTGGGCATGGTGGTGCCCACCTGTGGTCCCAGCTACTCAGGAAGCTGAGGTGGGAGGATCGCTTGAGCCCAGGAAGTCAAGGCTGCAGGGAGGCATGATTGCCCCACTGCACTCCAGCCTGGGTGACAAAGCAATACCCTGTCTCAAAAAAAAAAAAAAAAGTTTATTTCTGATAAGGTCTGTTAGGTTAGATATAATTGCTATTTTATTTTAAATCACAGCAAAGTTATTTGTGTTCACCCTTGGGTTTATTTAGAAAATACAAGGTTACAAAGGGCTTCCAAAGATCATTATTAGCAGTAAGAAGATTACCGAGGAAAGGAAAAGTGGTAAGGAAGTGGGAAGAAAACCGAAGACTGATGACTGAATAAGATCTTACATATTTGCATAGCTCAGAAATTTGAA
Organism: Homo sapiens; assembly: GCF_000001405.40. NCBI lineage: Eukaryota > Metazoa > Chordata > Mammalia > Primates > Hominidae > Homo > Homo sapiens. Next base: position 67,196,931 of record NC_000011.10, on the reverse strand, counting down.
TACTATATCCAGGAGTCTATTTTTTTTTCAACTTGTAAAAAATGGTAGTAAAATACAAAAAACATAAAATGTTCTATCTTAACCATTTTTAGGAGCACAGTTCAGTGTTATTAAATATATTCACAATGTTGTGCAACCATTACCACCATCCATCTCCATAACTCTGTTCATCTTATAAAACTGAAACTATGGCCGTTTTAAGTCCCCATTGCCCTTCTTCCCAGTAACCACTATTCTATTTTGTCTCCATGATTTTGGTTACTCTATATACTTCATGTCAGTGGAATTACACAGTATTTATATTTTTGTGGCTGGGTTATTTCACTTAGCATAAGTCCTTAGGATTCATGTAATGTGTAGTATATATCAGAATTTCCTTCCTTTTTAAGGCTAAATAATAATCCAGTGAATGGAAATAGCACATTATGCTAAAGTATTCACTGCTGATGGACATTTAGGTTGCTACATTTTAGCTACTATGAATTATCATTCAGCCAAGCACTGTGGCTCATGCTTGCAGTCCCAGCTATGCAAGAGGTTAAAGCAGGAAGATCGCTTGAGTCCAGGATTTCAAGGCCAGCTTGGGCAACACAGTGAGACCTCATCTCTTAAAACTGTAATAGGCCCACTTGCTCCCTCCTGCCATCTGGCTGACATGAAGAACTGGAGGTGGCAGCAGTGGTAGCCTGCATCTGAGGCTCATGGGCTGCAAGCCCCTGCTCGTGCACCATGGATGATTTTGCCAAAGAAAGTTTCACTGTAGTGGATTATGTCTTGTTAGAAAATTGCCCTAATATGGGTGACTATGTCGTTGCTCCTCAATTTATGACCGACAATTATGTTCGTGTGACTCAGCTTAACTGGGATGGGGTGGGTACGCAATAAAAAGATTACATCTAAGTGAGAGAAATTTAGCAATTCTTGTGGTTCTGAGATAAGTTTGAAGAAATCACAACATCTTGAGTTGATAGAAGATATTGTGGATTTGGCAAAGAAAGTTGCTGTAAGTGGTAGAAAAATTATTCCTTATTGGAGCCTATTGAGAACTGGTTATAAAATAGAAAATAAAATACTGGCAACGGAACCAGCTTTGAACTGGGTAAATACACAGGCAATATTAACAATTCTAACTAAATTAGGACAAGCTGACAATTGTTGGCTTATGTTAAGTATTTTCTTTACTGAATATAAGTACAATATAACTAAAGTTCTAACAGAAAACTGCAATTTGCTTGAAGAATTTAAAACCCAAGGTTATACAGACTGCATAGAGCATGAACAACTAATAAAAATAAAAGGAAATAAAGAGTTTTGCAAAGAAAGACTTGATACAGCTCTATTACACCAGAGCCACTGAATAGAGACCTGAAAACCATTTTCTTTATAGTAACAGAGCTCTTTGTTTTCTTCATACTGGACAGTTTAGAACACAGTCCCATGGCATAAAATTTGGAAAATAGAAGAGTTTAAAAAGAAAATAAAAATCACCAGCAATCCAACCACCTTGAAGAATATTGCTGTATTAATGTTATTCAACTTTTTTTTTTTTTTTTTTTTTTTTTGGAGACGGAGTCTCACTCGATCACCCAGGCTGGAGTGCAGTGGTGCGATCTCGGCTCACTGCAGCCTTCGCCTTCTGGGTTCAAGTGATTCTCCTGCCTTAGCCTCTCGGGTAGCTGGGACTATAGGCATGCGCCACCACGCCCGGCTAATTTGTTATGCAACTTTTAGATGGCTCAAGTCATGGATAAACTGAGACTATTTAGACTAGAGAACTGGATGGGCTTGACAGTCTTCCATCAATACCACTATTCTCAATGGGTTCTGACAAGAAATGAGCTGCAAATGTCTTTAGGTTATTGCCTCTGTCTAGGTCCAGAATTGCATATATTCTACACTGTTTGAAGGTAAGTTTGTACACTTTCAAGATCAGATGAATAGGCTGGCAATTCTAAAAGTTGAGGATTCCTGTAATAATTGAGAAGCCAATCCAAAAATCGTGCCTTGCAGGAAGTCATCCACTCTCCAGCTCCAAGAGCTAAGAGGCAAATCCAAGTATTTCTGCTCCTTCATGAATGTTGAATCTTAGATACACAAATAGGATCCTCCTAAAACCCTGCTGCAACAGCAGGTGAATCAAAGTAGGAGTACAGAAGCCAGGTAGCTTGCTGAGATAAAGGCCAAGAGCAGGTTGTGGATCTATCCTTGTACCTCCTTCCTGATGGTCTAGCTTGTGGTTTAATACCACCTACATTTTTATTAGAGGCAGGTAAGCAGCACTGAGAGCCCTCTATTTTTTACTAGGCAATCACCAATATGTATTGGGTGCCTATGTAATGCACAAAGTGTTATGCCACATTGCTTTTGTGGTGTTTTTTACCTTCTCGCAGTATTTACATGATTTACTCAATAATGCAGGGATAATGTTTTCAGGGTCCACAGTATATATAACTCCTGATCAACTGACTAGATAACATAACTTAAGAAAAGAACACGTTGTTAGTAATTCAGATGTGCCATTGACACAGGAGGACCTACGCCTCAGAAAGACTTTTATCTGAGTTACCAAGGTTGAGATGTTTTGAAAGATGCTAGATCTGGGAATCTGGCTGAGCAGCTGCTGGGACAGCTGGGGGTAAAGCAACCACCCTCCCCCAGTTTGGGAAAGGATGTACTACTCAGCTGTTCCACAAGACCAGGATTTTTATTTGCTGTCATTGAAGCAAGAACTGAGATACACAAAGAGAACAGAAATGGAACATTTTAAACTAATACTAGAAAAGAAACAAAAGGATTAAAGTCATGAATGCTAAAATTGCTGAAATAATTTATCATAAAAGATTAGAAAATATAAGTAGAAACACTCAAAGAAATGAGATTAAATTTTAAAAATAACTTTGGCAAGATTAGTATCTAAAATGGTGGACAGGTGCAGTGAGATTACGCCTATAATCTCAGCAATTTGGGAGGCCAAGACAGGAGGACAGCTTGAGGCCTGGGGCTAGAGACCAGCTTCTTCAACACAGCGAGACCCCTGTCTCAATAAATACGTATGTATGTATGTATGTATTGAGATGGGGTCTCACTCTGTTGCCCAGGCTGGAATACAACGACATGGTCTCAGCTTACCGCAACCTCCCGCTCCTGGGTTCAAGCAGTTCTTCTGCCTCAGCCTCCCAAGTAGTTGGGAGTAGAGGCGCCTGCCACCATGCCTGGCTAATTTTTGTATTTTTAGTAGATACGGCGTTTTGCCATGTTGGTCAGGCTGGTCTCGAACTCCCGACCTCAGGTGATCTGTCTGCCTCAGCCTCCCAAAGTGCCGGGATTACAGGCGTGAGCCACCATGCCCAGCCAATATATACGTATTTAAAAGGATAAAAATAATACTGTCTCCAACAACATGGCTGTGACTCTTCTGAGCACTTTATGTGTATTAACTTTTAAAACTAGAGTTTCTACTATTAATCACTATGAGAAAGTGATAACAGAATAAAAGGGAACATGAAAGTTTAAAAAATTTAAATAGATGGCCCAAATAGTCAATAAACATTTCTGAGAACATGATTATCCTTACAGGACATGCAGATTAAAAACTACAAGTTTCTCTTTCATACCCATCAGATTGTTGAAAGTTTAAGTCTCGGCCAGGTGCGGTGGCTCACGCCTGTAATCCCAGCACTTTGGGAGGCTGAGGCGGGTGGATCACCTGAGGTCAGGAGTTCAAGATCAGCCTGGCCAACATGGCAAAACCCTGCCTATACTAAAAATACAAAAATGAGCCGGGTGTGGTGGCAAGAGCCTGTAATTCCAGCTACTCAGGAGGCTGAGGCAGGAGAATCACTTGAACCTGGGAGGCGGAGGTTGCAGTAAGCCGAGATCGCGGCACTGCACTCCAGACTGAGAAACAAAGTGAGACTCTGATACCCCCTAGCCAAAAAATAAAAATAAAAAATAAATGAATATCTCATAATATCAAGTATTTGAGTGAATATGGAACAAAGGACACTCTCCTACTTGACTCAACAAAGTGTAAACTGGTACAATCACTTTGGAGAGGAATTTGACAAGGTGAAAATGTATACTCTTTGGCCCACTTCTAGGCTTATACCGTCTAAACTCTCAAATGTGTACCCAAGAAGAAATTTATAAACCTTCATTGTAGCATTATTTGTAAGACAAGAAATGGAGGCCAGGCACGGTGGCTCATGCCTGTAATCCTAGCACTTTGGGAGGCCAAGGCGGATGGATCACTTGAGGTCAGGAGTTTGAGACCAGCCTGCCCAACATGGTGAAACCCCATCTGTACTAAAAAATACAAAATTGACCAGGCATGGTGTTGCATGCCTGTAATCCCAGCTACTCGGGAGGCTGAGGCAGGAGAATCGCTTGAACCTGGGAGGTGGAGGTTGCAGTGAGCCAAGATCACGCCACTGCACTCCAGTCAGGGCACCAAGAGAGATGCTCCATCTCAAAAAAAAAAAAAAAAAAAAAAAAAAAAGAAATGGAAACAAAGTAAATGTCCATTGGTGGGGAATGGGTAAATTATGGTATATTCATACAATGGAATTCTATATGGTAGTTAAAATGAATGCAATGTTTAGTGAAAAAGCAAGTTGCAGAATGATTTGTACACTATGATGCCATTTGTTAATGTTTAAAAACATGCAAAGCAATATGCATGTCTACAGACTGCATTAAAAACCAAGGGAGTGCCTATCTCTGGAGAGAGGAGGAAGGAAAAGGGATTGAAAATGGGAAGAATGGTACACAGTGGATGTCAATGCTAACAAACTTCTGCAAAAAGAGATGAAGTAAATATGGCAAAAGGTTAATTTCTTACTAAGTTGTACACAAGTGGATCTTCATTTTGGGTTTATAGATGGGTGTTCATTTTGTTAATGATATTCTCCGTAATTTTATGTATATTTGAAATATTTGACAAACAGCAAAACTAAGTGTAAAGATGCACATGATAGAAGGAACCAAAGAAAAATACTAATAACAAATAAAAAAGTCATATCATCTGCCAACAGAGGTGACTTTACTTCTTCCTTTACAATTTGTATGCCTTTTCTTTCCTTTTTTTGCCTAATTGCTCTGTTAGGACTTCCAGTGCTACATTGAATAGAGGCAGTAAAAGCAGGCGCCTTTACGCTGTTCCTGATCTTAAATGCTTTTGGTGTTTCACCACTGAGTATGATATTTACTGAGGGTTTTTCATATAAAGCTTTTATTATGTTAAGGTAGTTTCCTTTTATTTCTAGTTTGTTAAGTGTTTTTATCATGAAAAGGTGTTGAATTTTGTCAAATACCTTCTCTGTGTCAATTGAGATGATCATGTAACTTTTTTCCTCCTTCACTGTTAATGAAATTTATATTGATTGATTTTCACATGTCAAATCATCTATTCCAGGAATAAATCCCACTTGGTCATGGTGTATAATCCTTTTAATATGCTGCTGAATTTAGTATGCAAGTATTTTGTTGAGGAGTTTTACATCATTGTTCAAAAAGGATATTGATTTGTAGTTTTCTTGTACTGTCTTTGTCTCGCTTTGGTATCAGGGTAATGCTGGCCTCACAGAAAGACTTAAGAAGTGTTCCCTTGGTCGGGCGCAGTGGCTCACGCCTGTTATCTCAGCACTTTGGGAGGCCGAGGCGAGCAGATCACGAGGTCAGGAGATCGAGACCATCCTGGCCAACATGGTGAAACCCCATCTCTACTAAAATACAAAAAATTAGCCGGGCATAATCCCAGCTACTTGGGAGGCTGAGGCAGGGAATCGCTTGAACCCAGGAGGTGGAGATTGCAGTGAGCCGAGATCGCGCCACTGCATTCCAGCCTGGCGACAGCAACGAGACTCATCTCAAAAAAAGAAAAAAAAGAAGTGTTCCCTCTTAAATTCTTTGGAAAAGTTTGAGAAGAATTGGTGTTAGTTCCTCTTTAAATGTTTGGTAGAATTCACCACCAAAGCCATCAGGCCCAGCCTTTTCTTCGTTGGGAGATTTTTGAATATTGACTCAATCTCCTCACTAACTACAATATAGTTCTATTCAAATTTTCTATTTCTTAGTGATTTAGTCTTAACAAGTTTTGTGTTTCTAGAAATTTGTACACTTCATCTAGGTTATCCAATTTATTGATGAACAATTGTTCGTAGTATTTTTTTTTTTAAAGAGTCTCGCTCTGTTGCCTAGGCTGGAGTACAATGGCACAATCTGGGCTCACTGTAACCTCCGCCTCCTCAGTTCAAGCGATTCTCATGACTCAGCCTCCTGAGTAGCTGGGATTACAGGAACATGCAACCATGTCCAGCTCAGTTTTTGTATTTTCAGTAGAGACAGGGTTTCACCATGTTGCCCAGGATGGTCTCAAACTCCTGAGCTCAGGCAATGCACCCACCTTGGCTTCCCAAAGTGCTAGGATTACTGGAATGAGCCACCACGCATAGTATTCTCTTACAATCCTTTTTATTTCTACAGAATTGGAAGTAATGTCCTCACTTTCACTTTCTTTTTTTGAGTCGGAGGTTTGCTCTTGTCACCCAGGCTGGAGTGCAGTGGTGCAATCTTGGCTCGCTGCAACCTCTGCTTCCTAGGTTCAAGCCATTCTCCTGCCTCAGCCTCCTGAGTAGCTGGGATTACAGGCATGTACCACCACATCCAGCTAATTTATGTATTTTTAGTAGAGACAGGGTTTCATCACATTGGCCAGGCTAGTCTCGAACTCCTCACCTCAGGTGATCCACCCGCCTCGGCCTCCCAAAGTGCTGGGATTATAGGTGTCAGCCACCGCGCTCGGCCCTCACTTTCACTTCTGATTTTAGTAATTCGATCTTTCTTTCCTTAGTCCATCTGGCTAAATAAAGCTTTGTCAATTTTGTTTATCTTTTCAAAGAAGAACCACCTTTTGGTTTCTTTGACTTTTCTCTATTGTTTTTCTATTCTTTATTTCATTTATCTCTAATCTTTATTACTTCCTTTAGCTTTAGGTTTAGTTTGTCCTTTTTCTAGTTATTTAAGTTGTAAGGTTAGGTTGTTGATTTTAAGTTTCTCTTCTTTTGTTAAAGAGACTGGTGTTTGTTTGTTTTTTGACACAGAGTCTCACTTTGTTGCCCCGGCTGGAGTGCAATGTGCGATCTTGGCTCACTGCAACCTCCGCTTCCCAGGTTCAAGTGATTCTCCTGCCTCAGCCTCCCGAGTAGCTGGGACTACAGGTGTCCACCATCATGCCTGGCTAATGTTTGTATTTTTAGTAGAGATGGGGTTTCGCCATGTTGACCAGGCTGGTCTCGAACTCCTGACCTCAGGTGATCCACCGGCCTCAGCCTGCCAAAGTGCTAGGATTACAGGCGTGAGCCACCTCGCCCGGCCGAGATAAGGTCTTGCTATGTTGCCCAAGCTGGCCTCAAAATCCTGGGCTCAAGCAATCCTCCTGCCTCAGTCTCCCAAGTAGCTGGAACTATAGGCACATGCTACTGCAATCAGTGATTCCGTGTTTTATAATCAAAGCATTTATAGCTACAAATTTCTCCTTTAATGTTGCTTTCACTGATCCCTATAAGTTTTGGTAGGCTGTGTTGTGTTCATTCATCTATAAGTATTTTCTAATTTCCATGTGATTTCTTCTTTGATTCACTGATTGTTAAATTCCACAATTTTGTGACCTTTCCAGTTTTACCTGTTATTGATTTTTAACTTCATCCCATTGTGGTTGGAGAAGATACTTTGATATCTATTTTTTAAATCCACTGATATTTAATCTGTAGCCTAACATATGGTGTATCCTGGAAAATGTCCTACATACACTTGAAAAGAATGTGTATGCTATTGCTGTTAGGTAGGATTCTGTCTGTGTCTGTGAGATCTAGTTGGTTTACTGTGTTAAGTCCACTATTTCCTTACTTATTTTCTGTCTGGTTGTTCTATCCATTATTGAGAGGGGGTACTGAAGTCTCCAGGTATTACTGTATAGAAATGTCTACTTCTCCCTTCAGTTCTGTCAGGTTTTCCTTTGGGTATACTGATGGTCTGTCGTTAGGTACATAAATGTTTGTAATTGTTATATCTTCTTGCTATAGTTAAACCTTTAATTAATATATGTCTTTGCCTCTTGAAACATTTTTTTTTTTTTTTTTTTTGAGACAGTGTCTTGCTCTGTCACCCAGGCTGGAGTGAAGTGGCACAATCTCAGGTCACTGCAGCTTTGACCTGCCAGGCTCAAGTGACACTCCCACCTCAGCTTCCTGAGTAGCTTAGACTACAGGCATGTGCCACCATGCTTGGATTATTTTTATTTTTTTGGTAGAGACGAGGTCTCACCACGTTACCCAGGGTAGTCTCAAACTCCTGGGCTTAAGCAATCTTCCCGCCTTGGCCTCCCAAAGTTGGGATTACAGACGTGTGAGGCACCATGCCCAACCATTTTTTCTTTCTTTTTTTTTTTTTTTGAGACAGAGTCTTGCTCTGTCGCCCAGGCTGGAGTGCAGTGGCGCGATCTCAGCTCAGTGCAAGCTCTACCTCCCGGGTTCACGCCATTCTCCTGCCTCAGCCTCCCGAGTCGCTGGGACTACAGGCGCCTGCCACCACACCCGGCTAATATTTTGTATTTTTAGTAGAGACGGGGTTTCACCGTGTTAGCCAGGATGGTCTCGATCTCCTGACCTTGTGATCTGCCTGCCTCGGCCTCCCAAGGCAAGTGCTGGGATTACAAGCGTGAGTCACTGCGCCCAGCCTCTTTCTTTCAAGACACAGGGTCTTGGCTCTGTCACCCAGGCTGGACTACAGTGGTGTGATCAGAACAGCCTCAAACTCCTGGGCTCAAGCCTTCCAAGTGGCTAGGAGCACAGGCATGCAACACCATGCCCAGCCAACTTTTAAAATTACTATTATTATTTTTTTTATAGACATGAGGTCTTGGTATGTTGCCCAGGCTGGTCTCTGAATTCCTGGCTTCAAGCAGTCCTGCCTCAGCCTCCCAAAGTGCTGGGATTTTAGGTGTGAGGCACCATACCAGGCCCCTCTTGGAACCATTCTTTGATTTAAGGTCTGTTTTAGGGCCCGGTGCCATGGCTCACGCCTATAATCCCCAGCACCTTGGAAGGCCCAGGTGGGCAGATCGCTTGAGGCTGGGAGTTTGTGACCAGCCTGGCCAACATGGCAAAACCCCGTCTCTACTAAAAATACAAAATTTAGCCGGGCGTGGTGGCGGGCACCTGTAAATCCAGCTACTTGGGAGGCTGAGGCAGGAGAATCGCTTGAACCAGGAGACAGAGGTTGCAGTGAGTCGAGACTGCACCACTGCACACCAGCCTTGGCAACAGAGCAAGACGTCATCTCAAAATAAATAAATAAATAAATAAATAAATAAATAAATAAATAAAATCAATTAAATAAATTAATAAATGTCTGTTTTATCTGATATAAGTATAGCTACCCCTGCTCTTTTGGTTACTGTTTGCATGGAATAGCTTTTTCCATCCTTTCACTTTCAATCTATTTCTGTCTTTTGGATCTTTAGTGAGTCTCTTGTGGACAGCATATAGTTGTGTCATGCCATTTTTATCCATTCTGCCAATTTCTTGTCTTTTGATTGGGGAATTTAATCCACTTATATTTAAAGTACTTGTAAGGAGGAACATACTTCTGTCATTTTGGTATTTGACTTCTATATCCTTATAGCTTTGTTCCTCATTTTCCTAAATTACTGTTTTCTTTTGTACTTAGATACATTTATTTGGTGAAATGTGTAAATTCCTTTCTCATTTCCTTCTGTATATATACTATAGATCTTGTCTTTATGGTTATCATAGGGATTACATCTAATATCCTGAAGTTAAATTCTATTTTTAATTAATACCAGTTTGACTTCACTACTATTCAAAGAATCTGCTCCTTTACAGCTCTGTCTCTACCCCTTTTGGTTACTGATGTCACAAAACCACATCCTTATATACTGTGCCCCTATTAGTTATTAGCTTTTGCCCTTAAACTTAAATTAATAACTCATTCATTCATTCATGGGGTGGAAGAAATGGGTCTTTGCTATGTTGCCCAGGCTGGTCTTGAATTCCTGGGTTCAAGCAATCCTCCCACCTCAGCCTACTGAGTAGCTGGGATTACAGGCATATACCACTATACCCCGTTCTACTAATTATTTTAAATGTATTGATCTCTCAAATTATGTACAAAATAAAATGTGGGGCTACACTCAAAGTTTCAGTATTAGATTTTAGGCTAACAACTGTCTTTTAAAAAATATGCTCGTCTCTTAAACTATGGAGAAAACAAAAAGGAGTTAAAAGCCATTGTTAAGATAATACTAGCTCTTACAATTACCCATGTATTTACCTTTATCGAGATATTTCTTCATATGGCTTCAAGTTACAATCTAATGTCCTTTCATTTCACCTTGCAGACTCTCCTGAGCATTTCTTACAAGGCAGGTCCAGTGGTAACAAGTTTCCTTAGCTTTTGTTTTTCTGAGAATGTCTTAATCTCTCGCCCCTTTTGAAGGACAGTTTTGCCAGATATAGGATGCTTGGTTGACAGTTTTGTTTTGTTTTCCTTTTAGCACTTTGAATACACTGGCTCACTGCCTCCTGGCCTCCAAAGTTTCTGATGAGAAATTCGTTCATAATTTTACTGAGGATACCTTTATGTAATGAATCATTTAGTCATTTCTCTCTTGATGCTTTCAAGAGTTTGTCTTTGGCTTTTGAAAGTTTGATTATAATGTGTCTTGGTGAGGGTCTCTGAGTTCATCTTACTTGGAGTTCATTGAGCTGTTTGGATGTTTATACTCCTGTCTTTCATCAAATTTGGGAAATTTTCAGCCATTATTTGATCAAATATATATTCTCTCTGCTCCTTTCTATTTTCCTTCTGGTACTTCTATAATGTGTATGTTGGTCTGCTTAGTGGTGTCAAAATGTTCCTTTAGGCTCTTAGTCCATTTTGTGTTGCTGTTGACAGAAAACCTGAGTAGGTAATTTATGATGAACAGAAATTTATTCGCTCACAGTTCTGGAGGCTGGGAAGTCTAAAATCAAGGCGCCAGCATCTGGTGAGGGCCTTTTTGCTGCATCATCACATGGTGAAAAGCGAGACAGTAAGAGAATGAGAGAAAGCACGAAGGGGCCGAACTCATGCTTTTATAACAGCACCAATCCCACCCATGAGAGTGGAGTCCCTGTAGCCTAATTATCTCTTAAAGATCCCACTGCTTAATACTGTCACAATGGCAATTCAATTTCAACATAAATTTTGGAAGGGATAACTTTTTTTTTTTTTTTGCGACAGAGTTTCGCTCGTCACCAAGGCTAGAGTGCAAGGGAGTCAATGGTGTGACCTTGTCTCACTGCAACCTCCACCTCCCGGGTTCAATAAATTCTCCTACCTGAGCCCTCCCAAGTAGCTGGGATTACAGGGGCCCACCACCATGCCCAGTTAAGTTTTGTATTTTCAGTAGAGACAGGGTTTCATGTTGGGCAGGCTGGTCTCAAACTCCTGACCTCAAGTGATCCACCCGCCTTGGCCTCCCAAAGTGCTGGGATTACAGGTGTGAGGCACCACACCTGGCAGGGATAACATTTAACCTATAGCAAGCTATGTTCACTTTTCTTCAATTTTTGTCATTCTGTTCCTTAGACTTAATAATCTCCATTGTCCTATCTTTGCTGATTCTTTTGCTTGTTCAAATCTGCCTTTGAATCTAAGTTTTCATTTTAATTATTGTACTTTTCAGCTCCAGAATTTCCTTTTAAGGTTTTCTGTCTCTTTATTGATATTTCCATTTTGTTCATACATTACTTCCTTGACTTCCTCCACATATTCCTTAGTTTTCTGAGCATCTTTAAGACAGCTATTTAAAAATCTTTGTCTATTAGATCCACAATCAGGACTTTTTCAAAGACATTTTCTGTTGATTTTTTTCCTTTGAATGGGCCATACTTTCCTTTTTCTTCGTATGCCTTATGATTTTTTGTTGAAAATTGGACATTTGAATTTAATAATGTGGTAACTCTTGAAATCCAATTCTCTCCCTTCCCCAGGGTTTTTTGTGTTTTATTATTGTGTGTTTTGTTTTTGTTTTGTTTTTTATAGGCTATCTCTGTGTCAAGGATCAATCTGAGGTATACACTTAAGTTTTCTTACGTCTTCTCTGAGCCTGACCGTCCATGTGCATATGCAGTCGCTTCCTATTCTGAATGTGCTAGTCTTTAATGTCTGGCTCTTAAAGGGGAAAAGAGAAAACTAAAATGGGGGTGGGTGTGGGCAATAGCCACCCTCCACTCACCTTTTTTTGAGATGAGTCTCGCTCTGTCACCCAGGCTGGAGTGCAGTGGCACAAGCTTCGCTCACTGCAACCTCTGCCTCCCGGTTCAAGCAATTCTCCTGCCTCAGCCTCCTGAGTAGCTGGGATTACAGGCGCCCACCACCACGCCCAGCTAATTTTTGTATTTTTAGTAAAGACGGGGTTTCACCATGTTGGTCAGGCTGGTCTCGAACTCCTGACCTCGTGATATGCCCGCCTCGGCCTCCCAAAGTGCTGGGATTACAGGCGTCAACCACCGCACCCGGCCTAATTTTTGTATTTTTAGTAGAGATGGAGTTTCCCCATGTTGGCCAGGCTGATCTCAAACTCCTGACCTCAAGTGACCCTCCTGCCTCAGCCTCCCAAAGTGCTGGGATTACAGACATGAGCCACTGCACCCGGCCACAATAGCCCTTTAAATCCCCTGGAAGTCAGTTCAGCTGAGGGGAAGAGGCCTGCAACAATTAGGAGAAGATGCAACAACAACTGCCCCACCTGCCTTTTTTTTTTTTTTTTTTGAGACAGGGTCTCACTCTGTTGCCCAGGCTGGAGTGCAGTGGTGTGATCACATATCACTGCAGTCTCAGCCTCCAGGGCTCAAGGAATTGCCCCCCACGTAGCTGGGACTATTGGTGCATGCCACCACACCCAGCTAATTTTTGTATTTTTTGTAGAGACAGGGTCTTGCTATGTTGCCCAGGCTGATCTCAAACTCCTGGACTCAAGCAATCCACCTGCCTCAGCCTCCCAGAGTGCTAAGATTACAGGCATGACCCACTGTGCCTGGCCCCACCTGCCTCTTTGTCTGTACTTCTGTGATCAGAAGCAGCACTCAGTGACCACAGCATGGATCCCATTATTTGGAGGAAAGGTTCCTCTTTGCTCACCCTGGCTCCTATAAGCTGTGTGCAAGTTTTTCGGGGAAACATATGCACAGCTGCTTGTCATGGGCTTGGTTGGCAGGGAAGAATGGAGCAGCTGTTACTGTGCTAAGGCCTGAAACTGACTGAAATTAACTGTACTTTATTGTCCAAGCTGTCCCTGAAATTTGCAAGCCTTCAATAGACTCCTGAACTCCAAAATAGTTGTATCAGACAGATTCTGCCCGTGCAATTATTGTCTAGGTAAGGAGAAAAGTTCCTGGTGCTTGCTACTCTGCCATCTTCCTACAATCCTCTCTGAGAGTCTATATTTTTAACAATATCACAAGCAATTCTGATGCAGGTCATCTGTGGACCACAATCTGTAAGAATGTCTCATCAAGAGGGAAGCTTTAAACAGGGAATTACTGTCCTGGAGGCTCTTTAATAAAAGAGGTCAAATTACAGACTATTACATATTCAGGTAGGTTTTCTGAGGTCCCCTGAGTGTTCTGTCTTGTGACGAGTAGGGGAGCATTTTCATTATTCAACGGATTTACTGAGCACCTACTATATTCCAGGGACTGTGCTAGGTACTAAGGAATACATGGCAACAGGCAGATGGCCAGGGTTTAAAACAGAAACAGTAAGGGGATGAATAAAACAGAGATTTGGGAACTTTCCTCTACCTGGGATATCTGTGACTTTCACGTTTTAGATGAACAGAAGAGTCGGTAGTCTAACAAGGACCCACAAGTGGCCAGGAGATAGTACTGCAGTACTTAATTTTCAAAGCAAAGGAATGGCACTGGAGCTTTAGTACAGAGGACAAAAGATAATAGAAATTCTAGTGCTAGGAAGAAAATTTAAAAAGTCCCTTTGTTTTAAGTCCTATTGGACGCATTTCAAAAAGACTTTATTCCAGCCGGGTGCAGTGGCTCACACCTGTAATCCCAGCACTTTGGGAGGCCAAGGCAGGCGGATTGCTTGAGGTCAGGAGTTCAAGACCAGCCTAGCCAACATGGTGAAACCACAACTCTACTAAAAATACAAAAATTAGCCGGGCCTGGTGGCACATGCCTGCAATCCCAGCTACTCGGGAGGCTGAGGTGGGAGAACTGCTCGAATGCAGCAGGCGGAGGTTGCAGTGAGCCGAGATTGTGCCACTGCACTCCAGCCTGGGCGACAGAGGGAGACTGCGTCTCAAAAAAAAAAAAAAAAAAAAGACTTATTCAATTTTACTGACCATCCCTGAACTCCTAAGGATGCTGAGGTGTCTCAGGACCACAATGAACACCACTGTCTGCAGAAAACTAGGCTGAAACTTTACTAACATCAGGAATTTTCTTCTTTAATTAGATTAATTTGCTTTCTTTTTCCCAAATTTTGAATATAATAAAATAATTAAAAGACTCAATTTTAATGTATCTACTTCTCAGCCTATAAAGTTTCAAGTCTTAGGCAAGTTTCCAAATGCAGCACTGGCGAGCATTTCCTGGAAATTTCTCTACTCCTTTTAGGGGAAGGAAGGGAATCACGGATATTAATGAAACTTCTTTCTTGGCTAAGAGATGTAAGTTTTCGGTTTCTTGGAAAGGTTGCCCTAGAAGGCACACTCTTCAAGGAGAGAAGGAAGTATGAAGGTAGGAAAAAGAGGTTCCAACTTTCTAGGTTTAATGTGTATTAAATAAGGCAACTTCTGTAACTCTCTTTGATAAAATTCTCAGTTCCTAATGAAAATGTAGTTTCTAATCAAATATATACTTCAATGTTCCTAGGCCTTAAATCTCAGTCAGAGATTTAATTCAGTCCTAAGTCTTAAATCTTTGCCTTAAAGACAGAGGCCAAAAGCTCGACACTTACCCACACACATTTTGACATCATTCACAGTGAAGTCTGGATCCGGCATTCTATGAAACAAACACCAGTAAGTATATATGGAAAACACAATTGCTCTAGTAAATGTGAGTTTTTTTTCTTAAAGTACTGAGTACTCCCCAGACACAGTAATATTCACAATCAGGTTTGAAATTATTTTAAAAATATAGGTGATTATATATTTACACATATGCACAGGAAAAAAGAATACATAATAAAATGTTAATGATCTACCTAAGGGTGGTAGATTTCAGGAGATTTAAATTTGTTGTTTTTTTTTTTTTGGTTCATCTATATTTTCTCATTTACCTCTAATATGAAACACTTGTGTATCAAAAGAAAAGCATATACTTTTAAAACAAAGTGGGAAATTATTTTCAATTACTATTGTTTTGGGTTATCAATACCACCACTGTTTATTGCCCTGGGTGTAACGAGGCCATTTTGCAACTACATCCAGCCAGGCTGAAAACACTTACTTTATTCCGAGTCCATCAGAATTCTTGAAAATCAGAGGATCTCTCAAGCCACCCCGCTGAATATACTCTACATTAAAATCTGTCACCATAGGAAAATATTAGAAAGATAAGTGGTATAATTAAAAACGATAAAAGGACCATAAAAAGGATCCTAAGTAATACAGTATAAATGGTGTTTGTTATTCTGTGTATATAGTTATGCTGTTAGTCAATAAAATATATGCTTAGTAAGAAGCATCTCTTAGAAAATATGGAGAGCACATTGAGAAGCAACGCTTGAGGGGTTTTCCAAGTCTATATTCCAAGTCTAAATTTCCACAGGAAATTTAGAGCTTAAATAATATGGGGATAGGACTACTAATAGTGAGTCATCTTATAAATGCTAAACAGAAATTATCATCACCCTGTCTCTGAAGAGTTAAAAAAAAAAAAAAAAGGGCCAGGTGTGGTGGCTCATACCTGTAATCCCAGCACTTTGGGAGGCCAAGGTGGGCAGATCACCTCAGGTCAGGAGTTCGAGACCAGCCTGGCCAACATGGCGAAACCCCGTCTCTACTAAAAGTATAAAAAAAAAAAAAATTAGCCGGGTGTGGTGGCACGTGCCTGTAATCCCAGCTACTCAGGAGGCTGAGGTAGGAGAATTGCTTCAACCTAGGAGACGGAGGTTGCAGTGAGCCGAGATCGCACCACTGCACTCCACCCTGGGTGACACAGCAAGACTCCGTCTCCAAAAAAAAAAGTAAACAAAACATTAATTTTGACCACTACAATACATATATGACATCCTTGTCAGTTTGCCAAGGATCAAAGATGCACGGTGCGCATGGAATCCCACCCTCAGTTTTGGTGGGGTAGATATATACATAAAAGGATTTCTATTGTACTATTTTTAATTAAATTTAAACCAAGGGATAGAAGAAGGAGGAAGAGGCCGTTAGGCAAAAAAATCCAACAATACTCCTGCCCTAATAAAAAGATTACTTCTAATATAGGAGAGAATGACTCACAGGGTGGGAGGACTGGGGGATAAGTGCATGCAAATGGCATTGTATAACAAGAGAAAATAGATAGATAACATCAACAGGCAATATTTTAGCTGGATAAAGGCTAAACCCCCAATGCTCAGAGTCTATGGCTTCCCACATCAAAGGACTGTAAGCTGGAACCAAAACAATACTGACCTTTTCCTTCCATAAAAGTAACAAAATTGGCATTATATTTGTTGGTGTGCAGTTTCTCTTCCAAGTCAAAAGTTCTTTTTCCTTCAATTTCATCATCTGAAATGCCATCATCTTCATAGCGTCGTCGCATGGTACCACGCTAGGAAAGAAAGGAACATACTGATGAAATCATGCACTTTTTCATGCCTACCTACAAGTGGTCATAGATTTCCCTACATGTGCAAAGTGCTACTTTCAAACTCAGTTGCTATTTTCCTTGCCTTATGGATCTTTTCTTTCTCTCAAGATAGCTGATATTCTCAGAATCCACAGAATATAATGAAGTTTCAATGAGCCACTGGGTCCTCTATGAATTTTACCCTTGCTAATTCTTTGAGCCTAGAGATATAAATTCACAATAAAAACAGGACCAAAGAGGGTCTACTAAATATTTCATTTGTCTATCACTGTTTATCAGAGTGGGCACAAACTGTCTTCATAGAAATTTCAAGCCAGGATACAAAATATAATTTTTTCACAGGGAGAGCTGTATTTAAAATTAGCTTGGTAAAGCAATCTCAAAAACACATTTGAATGAATGGATCAAAAACCCTTGTCTCAGATAAAGGAAGAAAGTTAATCTAAATAACAGCATTCCAGGCCGGGTGCGGTGGCTCACGCCTGTAATCCCAGTACTTTGGGAAGCAGAGGCAGGCGGATCACCTGAGGTCGGGAGTTCGAGATTAGAGACCAGCCTGACCAACACGGAGAAACCATGTCTCTACTAAAAATACAAAATAAGCTGGGCGTAGTGGCACATGCCTGTAATCCCAGCTACTCAGGAGGCTGACGCAGGAGAATCGCTTGAACCTGGGAGGTGGAGGTTGCAGTGAGCCAAGATCGTGCCATTGCATTCCAGCCTGGGCAACAAGAGCAAAACTTCGTCTCAAAAAAACAAAACAAAACAAAACAAAAAAAACCCAGCATTCCAAATAGCACACCATCAATATTTAGTTTTAAAGATAACATGTCTTTCCAAAGAAGATATACAAATGTACAATAAGCACATGAAAAATGCTCAATTCTCATTAGTCATTAGAAAAATGCAAACCAAAAACCACAATGAAATACCACTTTATACCCACCAGAACGGCTATCATCAAAGAGATAAACAATAACAAGTGCTGATGTGAATGCAGACCAACTGGAAGCCTCATACATTGCTGGTGGGAATGTAAAATGGTGCAGACACTGGTAAACAGTTTGAAAGTTTCTCAAAAAGTTAAACAAAGTTATCGTACGACTTAACAATTCTGCTCCTAGGTATATAACCCAAAGAACTGAAAACATACGTTCTTCTTTTCAAAACAAAAGCTTATACACAAATGTTTACACTAGTGTTATTCACAACAGCCAAAAGATAGAAACCACCCAAATGTCAATCAATTGATGAATGCATTAACAAAATGTGGTATACCTATACAATGAGATATCATTTAACCACAAAAAGGAATGAAATAACGCTATGTGCCATGACATAGATAAACTCTGAAAACATTATGCCAAATAAAAAAAAAGCCAGTCATAAAAGACCACATATTGTATGACTTCATTTAAATAAAATGTCTAGAATAGGCAAATCCATAGAGACAGAAACTAGATTCATAGTTGCCAGGGGCTAGAGAAAATGAAGAATGGGAGAAGTGACTGTTAATAGTATGGGTTTTTTCAAGAGCAATGAAAATGTTCTGGAATTAGATAGTGGTATTTGTATGACCCTGTGAATATACTAAAAACCACTGGATTGTACACTTTATTTTATTTTTTATTTTCTGAGATGGGGTTGTGCTCTGTCGCGCAGGCTGGAATGCAGTGGCTCCACTAAGGCTCACTGCAACCTCAACCTCCTAGGCTCAGGTGATCCTCCCACCTACAGCCTCCCATAGCTGACACCACCAGTGCACACCACCACACCCAGCTGATTTTTTTATTTTTAGTAGAGACAGGGGTTTCCCATGTTGGCCAGGCTGGTCTCGAACTCCTGTGCTCAAGCGATCTGCACGCCTCAGCCTTCCAAACTGCTGGGATTACAGGCTTCAGTCACTATACCCAGCTGACTTGTACACTTTAAATGAGGAGACTGTATGGTATGAGAATTCTATCTAATAAGCAGTCACTTTCAAAATGTTGCTTATACTGCAAGTTTACCTTTTAATACAGTCATGCACAGTATAATGACATTTCAGTCAATATATATGAACTGCACATATATGACAGTGTTCCCATGAGATTACAGTAGAACTAAAAAATGCTTATCTCTTAGTGACACTGTTGCCATCAGGACATCATAGCACAACACATTACTCTCGTTTGTGGCAATGCTTGTGTAAATCTAACTGTGCTGCCAGTCATGTAAAAGTGTAGCACATACTGTTAGGAATAGTACATAATAAATGACTGTGTACCGGTTTATGTATTTATTATTCTGTGCTTGATCATTATTTTAGCATGCATTCCTTCTACTTTTTTTTTTCTTAATATTAACTGTAAAACAGCCTCAGGGAGGTCTCTTAGGAGGTATCCAAAAGAAGGCATTGTTATCACAGGAGATGACAGCTCATCTGTGTTACTGTGCCTGAAGATCTTCCAGTGGGAAAAGATGTGGAGGCGGAAGACAGTGATAATGATGCCGCTCTGTGATACTGATGACCCCGACCCTCTGCAGGCTGATGTGTATGTTTATGTCTTGGTTTTTAACAAAAAAGTTTAAAAAGTTAAAAAAAAAACTTTAGTAGACAAAAGCTTATAGAATAAGGATATAAAGAAAATGCTTTTGTACGTGGTATAATGTATCTGTGTTTTAAGCTAAGTATTATTACAAAAGTGGAAAATTAGAAAATGTTCAAAAGTATATAAAGTTAAAAAGTTACAGACTAAGCTTAGTTTTATTACTAGTAGTAGTAATATTTTTTTGAGACGGAGTCTTGCTCTGTTGCCCAGGCTGGAGTGCAATGGAGTGATCTCGGCTCTCTGCAACCTCCACCTCCCGGGTTCAAGTGATTCTCTCGCCTCAGCCTCCCGAGTAGCTGGGATTCTCTCGCCTCAGCCTCCCGAGTAATATGCCCGGCTAATTTTTGTATTTTTGTAGAGACAGGGTTTCGCCATGTTGGCCAGGCTGGTCTTGAACCCCTGACCTCAGGTGATCCGCCCACCTCAGCCTCCCAAAGTGCTGGGATTACAGGCGTGAGCCACCGTGCCCAGCCTAGTTTATTATTGAAAAAAAAAATTTTATAAATTAAAAAATAAAACACTGTTCATAAAATCTACAAAAGTGTCTTAGGCCCTCGCATTTACTCACTATTCACTCACTGACTCACTTAGAGCAACTTTCAGTCCTGCAAAACCCATCACAAGAAGTGCCCTATACAGGTATACCATTTTTTTTGCCTTTTATACCATATTTTCACTGTACCTTTTCTATGTTTAGATACACAAATATTTACTGGCATGCTATAACTGCCTATAGTATTCAGTACTGTAACATGCTGTACAGATTTGTAGCCTAGAAGCTATAGGATATACCATATAACCTAGGTGCGTAGTAGGCTATACCACCCAGGTTTGTGTAAGTACACTCTAGATTGTTAGTACAATGATGAAATTGCCTATACACTTCTCAGAACATATCCCCATTGTTAAGCAATGAATGATGGTATTTTACTTTAGCCAGTGTTAAAATTTGCTGAAATTTATTGAATACATACCCAACAGGAAACTGGATGTGCCAGTGGTAGTGGTAAGGATAAAGTCACTCTACCTTTATCTGTGCTAAGAACATCAAATCTAGAATTTAAAACTAAGTATTGATGATCTAGAATTGATTACATAGCACCTGAATCTACATAAACACGTAAGAAAATGAGACACTGGAGATAGGTCTCTTAGGGAGTAGAAGTCTGTGAAAGGGCAGAAATAAGTCATAAAAAATGAAAGAAATAAACTTGACTATTACATACCAGAGGAAAGCAAGATTCAACTTACAAGTTTTAGGCAAAAACACAAAAGGGAAATCTAGTATCTTTTCCATATTTAGTAAAAAGCCTTAGAACACTCTCTTACCTAGTAACTTGGCTGCCACAAATCACAGTTCAAAAGCCAAAAGAAGGTTTAATTTTGATAAGACTTCACTGACACCAATAATGCCATCATCATTCAAAGTATTTTTAGGTATCTTTTGGTGCAGGGCAGGGTGTTCACTGACAATTCCTAACATTGTTTTCCCCAAAAACATCATCCAGTTCTCTCCCTCACCTTATTTTGTATATGTGTCTCTGAAGAACTAGAAAAGATGAGTTCCAAGCACATTATAAAGCAAGAGCAATGCTACTAGAATAAGTATAGTTTCCCAGAATCACTTTTAGAAAGCACTCACTTGCATTTTTAGTTCTAATATGCTTGTTTTAAAAATCCCTCATGTTTTCAAACCTCAACCTTTTTATTAGGTCTACCATAACGGATTCTTCTTCACTCAGGAGAAAGTAATCATCTTGATTATCCCAACATTTCTAATATGATAGGCAAAAAGTTCCCCTGATCTTTTTCATGCTTTTCTTCTCCTTAAATTCTTCCATTTACACCTTCAATAGGGAGAATGTAAGGATACAAGGAAGGCTTCTGTCTCCAAGCCATTCCCATTTATTAAAGACAACAGAAAAATGAATTTGAATTCCTGATCTCTTTTTGATTATTGCAACTGGAAAGTTGGCAACAGTGTGAAAATTACGTGTGTGTGTGCTGGTTTTTTTCGGAGACAGAGTCTCTGTCATCTAGGCTGGGGTGCAGTGGCACGATCACAGCTCACTGTAGCCTTGACCCTTGACCTCCTGGGCTCAAGTGATCCTCCAACCTTGGCCTCCCAAAGTGCTGGGATTACAGGTGTGAGCCACCACACCTGGCCTGTGTGAATTTTAACACTGTCAAGGATGTCTGTTTTTCCTGTATCCTATCTTAATGTAAACCCTAGTCAAAGTAAGCTTCTATAACATATCTCATAAATGCTTTAAAAACATTCAATCCTCACAGTAACCCTGGATATCAGTAGGCAATAACACAATCTCTGCTATAGGTGAAACTCAAAAGGTAAGGCCACTTTAACAGTAAGGAAATCAGCTACTGATTTCCTCTAGCCCATCAACATTACCAAATAATACAAATTGGCTTACTAGCATGCTATGCTTTTATTCTAGATGCTTTTCATATACGTGATTTTAGCAGCCTAAAGGGAGTTACTGGCTTTCTGTAGGTACCAGTCCTCACTAGGCCCAGTGTCACAGTAAGTAACAAGTATAAACTGAACAATGACATCATTTCAACCATATTTCCTCTCAAAAGCAATTTGCATTTCCCAGGGTTAACAGGGAATTGTATTCCTGAATAACCAACAACAAATTACTTTATTCTACTTAGATGACCAAATAATATAGCAAAATCATGTTATTTAGAATCCAAATAATATGAAGAATTTTAAATGTCTTAAAAAATATTCACCATTCCCAGTTTAGTCGTAATTAACTATATAAAGTGGTTAAAATGGCCACATAAATGGAATACTTAGATTAACTCAAGTACTGGTAGTTAAGTCAAACTGCAGGAGTATTAGTTGTATCACTCTCCTAGGTGGTGAGCAGAAGAAATATGAGGAAGCAACACTAGATGCAAGTAGGTATTCATCTATTAATCATTCTATAGAAATTTCTGACATTCTTTTCTAAAGCTGCCAGAAAATAGAATAGTGGAAAGGGTATTTTCTCAAACTGTCTATGTCAGACATTTAAAAAGTAAAAAAGCAGGTAAGAGTTGGGAAATCAGAACTTTTGAGCAGAGAATATTCACTGAGTCAGTAACAATATGTCTGAGTTATCCAGAAAACTAGAATAAGCTGAGAGAGACTGTTTTTAGGAAACGGTTTCTTTCTTTTTTTTGAGACAGAGTCTTACTCTGTCGCCCAGGCTGGAGTGCAGTGGCGCAATCTCAGCTTACTGCAACCTCTGTCTCCCAGGTTCAAGCAATTCTCCTGCCTCAGCCTCCCAAGTAGCTGGGATTACTGGCACATGCCACCACATCCAGCTAATTTTTGTATTTTTAGAAGAGACAAGGTTTCGACATGCTGACCAGGCTGGTCTCGAACTCCTGACTTCAGGTGATTTGCCTGCCGTGGCCTCCCAAAGTGGGCATGGTGGCTCATGCCTGTAATACCAGCAATTAGGGAGGCTGGGGTAGGAGGATCACTTTCTGAAGCCAGGAGCTCAAGACCAGCCTGGGCAACATACCAAGACCCTATCTTATAAAAAAAAAAAATTGTTTAAATTAGTTGAGCATGGTAATGTGCGCCTGTACTACTCAGGAGACTGGGACAGCAGGATTGTTTGAGCTCAGGAGCTTGAGGCTGCCATGAGTTATGATGGGGCTACTGCACTCCAGTCTGGGCAGCAGAGCCAGACCTTGCCTCAAAATAAATAAATAAAAAGAAAAATAATAAAAATAAAAACCAGGCTAAGTGCAGTGGCTCACACCTGTAATCTTAGCACTCTGGGAGGCCAGGGCGGGCAGATGACTTTGGCCCAGGAATTCAAGACCAGCCTGGTTCATGGCAAAACCTGTCTCTTCTAAAAATACAAAAACTGGCTGGGCATGGTGGCTCACACCTGTAATCCCAGCACAATGGGAGGCCAAAACAGGCTGATCATTGAGGTCAGGAGCTGGAGACCAGCCTGGCCAATATTGCAAAACCCCTTCTCTACTAAAAATACAAAAATTAGGCCAAGAACGGTGGCTCACGCATGTAATCCCCACACTTTGGGAGGCCAAGGCGGGCGGATCACCTGAGGTAGGGAGTTCAAGACCAGCCTGATCAACACGGAGAAACCCCGTCTCTACTAAAAATACGAAATTAGCCACGCATGGTGGCGCATGCCTGGAATCCCAGCTACTTGGGAGGCTGAGGCAGGAGAATTGCTTGAACCCGCGAGGCAGAGGTTGCAGTGTGCTGAGATCGCGCCACTGCACTCTAGCCTGGGCAACAAGAAACTCTGTTTCAAAAGAAAAACAAACAAACAAACAAACAAAAAACTGAGGTGGGAGGATCTCCTAAGCCTGGAGAGGTCCAAGCTGCAGTGAACTGTTACAGCACCACTGCACTCCAGCCTGGGTGACAGGGTGAGAGACCTTGTCTCAAAAAAAAATAAAAATAAAAACCAGTGCATCACATTATGTCTATAAATATTCCATAATTTTTTTCTTTTCTTTTTTGAGATGTGGTCTTGCTCTGCCTCAAAAATAAAAAAAAGAGAAAAACATACTTAATGGTGAAAGACTGAAAGCTCTCCCCCTAAGATTAGGAACAAGACAAAGATATGTTTATTCCCCACTTCTATTCAAAACTGTATTGAAGTTTCTAGCTAGGGCAGTTAGGCAAGAAATTTCTAGCTATGGCAATTAGGCAAGAAAAAGAAAAGTTTGGAAAGGAACAAGTAAAACTACATCTATTCACAAATTACATGATCTTGTACACAGAAAACTATAAGGAATCCACACACACACACACACACACACACACACACACAACTATAAGAGCTAATAAAATCAGTTCTATTTCTATATACTAGCAACAAAAAATCCCAAGATGAAGTTGAAAAAAAATCCATTTATAATAGCATAAAAAAAACTAAGGAATAAATTTAACAAGATAAGTACAAGACTTATATACCAGAAAGCTACAAAGCATTGTTGAAGGAAATTAAATGGTAGCTAAATAGAAAAATGTCCTGTGTTCATGAACTGAAAGGCCTTATTAAGATGGCAATACTCTCCCAAATTTATCTTCCAATTCAAAGCAATTCTTATCAAAATCACAGCTTTTTTTCTTTTTGGCAGAAATTAGCAAGATGATCCTAAAATTCATATGGAAATACCAGCAAACCAGAATAGTCAAAACAATCCTTAAAGAGAACAAAAGAAAGCTAGGAGGATCACTTGAATCCAGGAGTTCAAGACCAGCCACTGCCTCTACAAAAAAAAAATATATTAGCCAGGAGTGCTGGTGTGTGCTTGTAGTCCCAACTCCACAGGAGGCTGAGGTAGAAGGATGGCTTGAGTCCCGGAGGTTGAGGCTGCAGTAAGCCATGTTCACGCCACTGAACTCAGCCTGAATAACAGAGTGAGATCCTGCCTCCAAAGAAAAAAGAAGAGTGAAGAACTCACTATAAAACTATAGTAATTTCAAAACTTACTATAAACATATAGTAATCAAGACTGGGTGGTACTGGTGTTTAAGGAGAAACATATAGATTGATGGAACAGAAAGGAGAATGCAGGCATAAACTCTTACACTTACAGTGAATTGATTTTCAGTAAGCATGCCAAGACCAGGAGCAGTGGCACATGCCTGTAATCCCAGCACTCTGGGAGGCCAAGGCACGAGGATCACTTGAGGCCAGGAGTTTGAGACCTAGTTTGTATCAAATAGTTTTTCTTGCCTAAGATAATCACACTGTGAGAATTAAGACGAATGATGGATTTATTTTACACATGAAGAAACAGAAAGGTAAAGCTGACCCAAGCTAACCTTTTTGGGTAATAGCAGAAAAACAACAAAAAAGCAAATGTGTCTAAAGGGAAAATATATCTGGTGTCACTTTTTCTATTACTTTGCTGTGCAACTATAGGCAGTTTAATAAATCATTTAACCTCTCAGATCTCAACTTTCCCTTGGAAGTAAACAACTTAAGGCCCCATTATGTTCTAAAATAAAGTCTTCTACACTCTGAATCCAACTCACATCATTTCAATTTCATTCCTATTTACATTATATATTGACAATTTGCTACATACCAGTCCCTCTGGTCTGTTTATGTTGCATTCAAAGACTATCTAATTTCAGACTCGGCCTCGTCTGTCCTGACTAGGAACACTGAGGGAGACCTGATGGTGGGGTTGGCAAGTAGCTCTCTTAGGGCTTTCCACATCTTCCTCTCAACTTCTATGTATCACAAATCTCAATCAAACAGATGTTAAAGGCTATTTTTTCAGGACAGCTTAAGCAATTCCCATTCCAAAAGGCACAAAGGAGTCTAAATGTTTAAGTACCTACCATGTGCCAGGTACTGTAACAAGCACTATGCATGTATTAATATATTTAAATCCAACATCCCTATGAGATATTAATACCCTCTTTACCAAAGCAAGGAAAATGAAAGAAGTAACTTGCCCAGGTTACAAAGCTAGTAATTGATGTGGCTAGGATCTAGAACCCAGGTACTTTGGTTCT
The DNA here is from genome assembly GCF_000001405.40 of Homo sapiens. NCBI lineage: Eukaryota > Metazoa > Chordata > Mammalia > Primates > Hominidae > Homo > Homo sapiens. Next base: position 67,170,913 of record NC_000011.10, on the reverse strand, counting down.
AGAGCTGACAGTCCTAACCACTACTCTATGCTACAAAAATCCACTTGAGACTTCGACCAGACCAGTCTCTTAAGGTAACCGGAAGAAATTGTCAAGGACGACCTCAGATACAGCTTAAATGGGTCTGGCAGAGAGAGAGAAGGTGTAGTGGTGGGACCAGTCAGCAACAAAGAATGTCTTTTAGTCAGAAAACCATGCTTGGGCCAGGTGCGGTGGCTCACACCTGTAATCCCAGCACTTTCAGAGGCTGAGGCGGGCGGATCACTGGGTGAGGAGATCGAGACCATCCTGGCTAACATGGTGAAACCCCGTTTCTACTAAAAATACAAAAATATTAGCCCGGTGTGGTAGCAGGTGCCTGCAGTCCCAGCTACTCGGGAGGCTCAGGCAGGAGAATGGTGCGAACCCAGGAGGCGGAGCTTGCAGTGAGCTGAGATCGCGCCACTGCACTCCAGCCTGGGCGACAGAGCGAGACTCCATCTCAAAAAAAAAAAAAAAAAAAAAAGAAAGAAAGAAAAAAAAAAAACCCCATGCTTGGTAGGATAAAGGATTAGCAAAGGATCTTCCCTGGGGTAAGAGATTTCTGATATTTGTTAAGGGACACTACATTTCTAGCTATATTATTGTTTATCTAATATTCCACCATTCCTGGTTTCTAATTCTAGCTTTTCGTTGACAAACTACTGGTTGTTCAACTATTCTGGCTGAAATGAAAACACTGCTATTTCTAATCAGCATTTTCTATCACAAGGTGTTTGAACTCGGTACATTTATTGTGTGTATGCCATGAAAATGTGTTCTCACTTCCTATATTTGTAGTTATAATTTATTATAGACCTCTAAAAAGATGAAACTGTGGGCCAGGCATGGTGACTCACGCCAGTAATCACAGCGCTCTGGGAGGCCGAGGTGGGCAAATCACGAGGTCAGGAGTTCGAGACCAGCCTGGCCAGCATGGTGAAACCCCATCTCTACTAAAAATACAAAAATTAGCCTGCCATGGTGGCACGTGCCTGTAATCCCAGCTACTCAGGAGGCTGAGGCAGGAGACTCACTTAAATCCAGGAGGCAGAGGTTGCAGTGAGCCGAGATCTCGCCACTGTACTCTAGCCTGAGTGACAGAGTGAGACTCCGTCTCAAAAAAAAAAAAAAAAGAGAGAGAGAGAGAGAGAGAGAGAGAAGGAGAGAGAGAGAGAGAAGAAAAAAGAAAAAAGAAAGAAAAAAGAAACCAAGTGATGGGCTGAGCGCAGTGGCTCATGCCTATAATCTCAGCACTTTGGGAGGCTGAGGCAGGAGGATCACCTAAGGTCAGGAGTTCAAGAGCAGCCTGGCCAACATGGTGAAAACCCTTCTCTACCAAAAAACAATTAGCCAGGTATGGTGGCTCAGGCCCGTAATCCCAGCTACTCAGGAGGCTGAGGCACGAGAATCACTTGAACCTGGGAGGCAGAGGTTGCAGTGAGCCGAGATGGTGCCACTGCATTTCAGCCTGGGCAACAGGAGCGAAACTTCATCTCAAAAAAAAAAAAAAAAGAAAAAGAAAGAAAGAAAGAAACCAATCTTGTCACTATTAGATTTTCATGTCTCACACTGTGATACGATTTAAAAAAAAAAAATTTAGGGCATTGTTTTGTAAAGTTATATAAAGCTACATGGATTAGGCCGGGTGCAGTGGCTCACGCCTGTAATCCCAGCATTTTGGGAGGCCAAGGCAGGTGGATTACGAGGTCAGGAGTTCAAGGCCAGCCTGGCCAAGATGTTGAAACCCCATCTCTACTAAAAATACAAAAATTGGCCAGGCGCGGTGGCAGGCGCCTGTGATCCCAGCTACTCAGGAGGCTGAGGCAAGAGAATCGCTTGAACCCCGGCAGCAGAGGTTGCAGTGAGCTGAGATCACACCACTACACTCCAGCCTGTGCGACAGAGTGAGACTCCATCTCAAAAAAAAAAAAAAAAAAAAAACTACATGGATTAAATCTGAATCTTTGCAACATATACCAAATCCCCACTTCATAGCCTTAATATGTACTTGAATAAATAAATACATTTTAAAGGAAAAAGCAACCTCAGGCTTTCACTCTGCTCTCCCACAACATATGAATGCATACATATCCAAAAAATCAACTGAACTTTAAAACGCTGTTGCTTTCATTTTCTTCTTTGCAACCTTTTGAAAACCCAGCACTGCTGCCAGGTCACACACTGGGCCATATGTGGATAGACGGACATTGCTGTCTATCCCCCCGACCGTGTGTGTGTGTGTGTGTGTGTGTGTGTGTGTGTGTGTGTGTGTGTGTGTGTGTGTGTGTGTGTGTGTGTGTGTGTGTGTGTATAATTCATACAAGACTGTGTGTGTGTGTGTGTGTGTATTATAATTCATACAAGACCATGCTGAATATAGAAAAAATAGCCAGACACTCTGTATACAAAAATTAAAATGTAGTCCTAGCACTCAAGAAGATTGCTGGCCACTAGGGGGCAACAAATATGTAAATAAATTATAGAATTACAATTTAATGTGCTATGTATTAAGACAGGTAGATACAAATGTTATTGAAGCCCAGTAGGAAGAACAACTAACACAGAGGGTTTGGGGGAAGCTCCACCTAAGAAGCCACATAAGAAAAATGCTGATTCATTCAGCATAACTTCACTGGACATCTACCAAGTTCCAAAGACCATAGATACAGACTGTGTTGCTCCTCTATAGCAGTGATCTCTTCAAATTTTAGGGGGTTTCTCTTCACTTACTAGATTTATCAGTATCTCCTTATTAATAAGATATATATAAAACTTTCTTCTAAAATAAAAGGTTATACAAAGTTTGATAATTTCATATCTCATGATGGATTTTAATTAAAATGCCCTAAGGAAGTATAAAAAGAGTCGGAATCACTGCCTTACAATGACTAAGCCTTAGGCCCAAGTTTTTATCTTTTGATCTATATAAAACTTTTTGTCCCTAAATGATAAATGGCCTGAGCACAGAGAATAAGGAAAAACACATGTTTACTTTTAACATAACTGCCATATATATTACAAAGAAGATGCAGTGATAAATTAACATGGCTGAAAAGCTTGCATTTCTTTTACTGAAAGGTCAGCCTTCAAATACATTCTGGAAAAGATCAAATTCTACAGAGATCAACAGTACATAGAACAGTTTCCATACATGAAAAATGTTAGATCACAATAATTCCAACAACCAGATAATGTAACCCATAAATAGAAGGTGTCTACAGAATTTAGCAGGAAGCTTATGCGTACCTAAGTCTCTTGATTAAAAAAAAATATTTAGTCAGTAGGACCTTTAAGGAAAAAAAAAAAGATAGCTGTGAAGGCAGAATGTTCAAGAGAAGATGAATATACAAAAGTAAACTATTCCCTAAAAAGTTCCCCCAAGAACTAGTGTCAAATAGCTACTTATATACAGAATGATCCTAAAAGAGTCGGGATACACTTACCCTGACCACAAACAAGCCCTCCACAAAACTAATTGGTCAAGAAATGAGTTAAAAGTGCTAGATCTCTCCCATCACTGTTGCCTGCCTTCCTGCATACCATCAGGTATAATCAACTGTTCAGTGTGCTTGCTGCACATTTAACTATGATATCATCACAACTCTGCAACAACAACAACAAAATGTGGCTATCAATTCAAGATGAGGATAAGGCATCTCAACATCATCTTGAAGAGAAGCAATCTGAGTTTAGATGTTATATCTAAGGCACATTCTTGGTTTTTCCAAAGGTTTTACTAGAATATGCATATATTTGTCTCCTTGGGTGCTAACAAAAGCAGTAACTCGCAATATTAAACTTTTTAATTTTTTTTTGAGGCAGAGTCTCGCTCTGTCGCCTAGGCTGGAGTGCAATGGTATGATCTCAATTCACTGCAACCTCCGTCTCCCAGGTTCAAGTGATTCTCCTGCCTCAGCCTCCTGAATAGCTGGGATTACAGGCGTGCACCACCACGCCTGGCTAATTTGTTGTATTTTTAGTAGAGACGAGGTCTCGCCACGTTGGCCAGGCTGGTCTCAAACTCCTGACCTCAAGTGATCCGCCCGCCTTGGCCTTCCAAATTGCTGGAGTTACAGACATGACCCACCACGCTCAGCCCAGCACAGGAGTTTTGACCTGCTCAGTTTCCAACCTGAACCAGTGTACTCCCTTCTTGGTCCCCAGTTGCTGGGAGGTCACCATATTGATGCCAAACTTAGTACAGATACCTGATCTGTATACTGCATTACAGCCCAGAACTCCTTGCTTCAAGAGATCCTCCTGCCTCAGCCTCTCAAGTTACTGGGACTACAGGTCTTATGCCACCATGCCGGGCAAGAAGTAATCTTTAAAGCACCCCCACTCCACCCTCATACACAAATACTACTATTGGAAACAATAATATAACTCAGAAATATTCAGTTTCTCAGCCAGGCACCGTGGCTCACTCCTGTAATCCTAACACTTTAGGAGGCCAAGGCGGGCGGATCACTTGAGGTCAGGAGTTCGAGACCAGCCTGGCCAACCTGACAAAATCCTGTCTCTACTAAAAAATGTGAAAATTAGCCGGGCATGATGGCATGTGCCTATAGTCCCAGCTACTTGGGAGGCTGAGGCACGAGAATCACTTGAACCCAGGAGGGAGAGATTACAGTGAGCCGAGATCACACCACTGCACTCCAGCCTAGGCGATAGAGTGAGACTGTCTCAAAAAAAAAAAAAAAAAAAGAGAAATATTGTTTCTCCTGAAAGTCAACCAATTTTTTAACTTGATTTTCATTAGCCAGTGAAACACCTACTGAAATACAAATACTCCCTGAATACTTCTGTTTACTGCCTGATTTCTGTATCAACAAACACAGAAAAGGGAAACAAAGATAATGCCTAGTTTCTTCACCACCTTTTATAATTGATGCAACTGTTAAGTCATCAGTATAATACATGGTACTGGTCATGCCAATTTAGTTCCTAGAATATAAGGATTAATGAAAGTATTATACAAATAAGAAGTTATGGAAAAAGAAAAAACCCCTAAAAGTTGACCGTAAATCTAAAGGGGAAGTAAGAGTGACCTTTCTTTTTGCCAGTCAAGAAAGGTTACTATAAACCTGAAAGAACAGCTTGTCTTAAAAAACACTAACTCTAGATCTTTGCTTGGTTAATGATAAAAACCATGAAATTTGTCACACATGCTGTTTCTCCTAAGTCTTTAAGTGAATTAAGGGAGATAGCAAGCAGTCACTTGAAACCAGAAGATAGTCTATAAATGCACCTATTTTCCAGCTTTGCTACATTCCTCTCATCAGGAAGCTTTCCTACATGATCCTTCTCTCTGGAGCTGTGATTAATGTTTTGATTCATAGACAAAGGTCAGTCTCTTAATCAACAAATGACCTCTATTTCAAACTGTCAAACTTAAGATTTATGAAATTTCACATCTAGGAGTAGAAGCTTTAGAAGGAACTGGCATAAGATCAAGAGTTGGTATTCTAAGCTGGGTGCGGTGGCTCACACCTGTAATCCCAGCACTTTGGGAGGCTGAGGTGGGCAGATCATCTGAGGTCAGGAGTTCAAGACCAGCCTGACCAGCATGGAGAAACCTCGTCTCTACTAAAAATACAAAATTAGCCAGGTGTGGCGGCGCATGCCTGTAATCCCAGCTACTCAGGAAGGCTGAGGCAGGACAACTGCTTGAACCCAGAAGGTGGAGGATGCGGTGAGCCAAGATCGCGCCACTGCACTCCAGCCTGGGTAACAAGAGTGAAAGTCGGTCTCAAAAAAAAAAAAAAGTTGGTATTCTAAATTACTCCCTTCAAACACATATACTCCTACCCGTCCCACTACCACCATTACATTACAGTCCTGGCAAGACCTCTTTCCTTCTATGTGTTCAGTCACCCCATCTGCACCAACTAAAGTTAAAGCAGAGAAAACTATGTCTTCATCGCTGAAATTACCTAAGAAAGTTACTCTAAGAGTGGTAAACTGACTAACATCATTAAAAAGTACAATAGCAGGCCAGGCGCGGTGCTCACACATGTAATCCCGGCACTTTGGGAGGCCGAGGTGGGTAGATCACTTGAGATCAGGAGTTCAAGACCAGCCTGGCCCACATAGTGAAACCCCACCTCCACTAAAAATACAAAAAATAACCAGTCCCAGCTACTCAAGAGGCTGAGGCAGAAGAATCGCTTGACCCTGGGAGGTGGAGGTTGCCGTGAGCCGAGATTGTGCCACTACACTCCAGCCTGGGCGACAGAGCAAGATGTCGTTTCCAAAAAAAAAAAGTCCAACAGCAGTCAAGTGTGATGGCTCATGCCTGTAATCCTAGTGCTTTAGGAGGCCATGGTAGAGGATCACTTGAAACTAGGAGTTCAAGACCAAGCCTGGGTAAAAGAGCAATGTCCCATCGCTACAAAAAAACAACAACAACAAAAAAAGGCCAATAGCAAGATCAACACTTAATGAACAGTTATACACAAGCCACCAGAGAAACTAAAAATGTAAGTTAATAATCACATCTCTGTTAAACTTCTCCAGATTTAAGTATCCCATCTAAAACATTAAGAAATCATCTTCAATCAAGCTAAAATTCTTATATCTGAAATCAAAAATTCACTTTCAGGTATGAACCTATATTTACTATGTTTAGCAAAACTACATAATCAGAAGAACAAATGGATTAGAGTCAGAAGTAGGTCTGGGTCTAGGCACTGCCACTTTGAGCTTCAAATTCCCTAAGCTTCCATTTTCTCATGTGAAAATGTCAAGAATGTCACCTAATGCACAGGATGGCTGTGATGTTTAAATGAAAACATATATACAAATACTTTGCAAATGTGGCCTTATATATAAAAAGAGGCTGTATAGAGTAGTGGCAGGGTCCAGACCAGGTTTCTAGAGTTCAAATCCTGGTTCAGCCTCTCACTGTGTCTGACCTACTTAACTAGTAATAACAGAAGCCATTCCACAGGGTTGTATGAGGATTAAATGAAAGATGTAAAGTATCTAGCACATACTCAAAAAATATCAGCAACTGTGATTTTTTTTTTTTTTTTTAAGATGGAGTGTCGCTCTGTCACCAGGCTGGAGTACAGTGGTGCTATCTCGGCTCACTGCAACCTCCGACTCTCAGGTTCAAGCGATTCTCCTGCTGCAACCTCCCGAGTAGCTGGGATTACAGGTACGCACCACCACGCCCAGCTAATTTTTGTATTTTTAGTAGACACGGGGTTTCACCATGTTGGCCAGGATGATCTCGATCTCTTGACCTCATTCATGATCTGCCTGCCTTGGCCTCCCAAAGTGCTGGAATTACAGGCGTGAGCCACGGCATCTGGCCCAGCAATTGTGATTTTGAACATGATTCTACATTGGACTGGAAATCAACTGTATGTCCCAAAAAGAATGGCCTAAGTGGCTAGAGATAAGTCATACTTGCCTCTTCTCCAATGGCATTAAATGTCCTTCTTTATCATTCCAAGTCATAGAATTTTCCAAGTCCATACCTTTTGGAATTAACTCTTTTATGATTCCATCTCTAAATCTCTTCATATCAAATGTCTAATCCTAGGGATGAAATTTTATGAAATTCAACAACTGTATCCTGCCACCGATTTAATATGAAGTGGCCATCTCTGCAAGATGTTATTTGAGAAGGCCCTGCCCTAAGTGGTAGAGTTGGTTATGCAGCTGCTGATCCTTCAAGAGAGTTTGAAGGAAGGTCAAACATAAATACGAAAGTGTAGCGCTAGAAGACAGAGTAGCAATGAAGTTATGCAAGAGCAAAATTCTGGATATCAGTCTGACTAGGGCAGAAGGCTGAAAACAAACTAAAGGAGAAGAGAAGTAACTAACAAAAGTAGGATACAGTTCAATTCCTAACTTTAAGAAAAAGAAATCATGGCCACGCTTGGTGGCTCAAGCCTATAATCCCAACGCTTTGGGAGGCTGGGGCAAGAGGATCACTTGAGGCCAGGAGTTTGACCTGCTTGGACACAATGCCAGACCCCATCTCTAAAAAATTTATTAAATTAGCTGGGCAAGGTGGCACATGCCTACAGTCCCAGCTACTTGGGAAGCTGAGGTGGAAAGACTGTTTGAGCCCAGGAATTTTAGGTTCCAGTGAACAATGATCACACCACTGCACTCTAGCCTGGGCAAAAGAGCAAGACCTTGTCTAGGAAAAAAATAAAACTAAAAATCGCAGGCCGGGCGCGGTGGCTCATGCCTGTAATCCCAGCACTTTGGGAGGCCGAGGCGGGCGGATCACTTGAGGTCAGGAGTTCGAGACCAGTCTGGCCAACATAGTGAAACCCCATCTCTACTAAAAATACAAAAGTTAGCTGGGTGTGGTGGCGCATGCCTATAAATGCCAGCTACTTGGGAGGCTGAGGCAGAAGAATCACTTGAACCCAGGAGATGAAGGTTGCAGTGAGCTGAGGTCACGCCACTGCACTCCAGCCTGGGTGACAGAACGAGACTCTGTCTCAAAAAATATATACAAATAAAATAAAATAAAAATCATATCTACTTTCCTGTGTTGCTGTAAATCTCAGTGGGTGCTTCAGGAGAAGTGAGCATTATATATTTACAGGCAATAAGAATTAAATGAACTTTACCTGACCTTATTTGGCACTTATTGCTATGATTTTCTTGTATTATTGGGATGTAAGAAGAGAAACTCTGGTGAAAAATATGCCACCTACACTAGAATTTCATACAGCCAAGAGAAACAGAAGATTTACCAAATAAACCAAAATGATTTAATAAACTATAATTTATCCATCATTATATTTCTTAGGGAGCCTATTCATTAGTGGAAGGAAATTCCTGAGAGGCAAAGTAAAGAATCAGAACAGTAGTCCAGAACAATTCACTGTACTACAGTGAGGTACAGATTAGGCAGATATAACCAAAGACAACTACTAAGAGCATAATATAAATACTGAAAACTGAGTTGAATCTCTGAAAAAGCATCTATTTATATATTAAACCTACTACCTTAGGAAACTCTAGAAAATAAAGAATATACAAATATACATTCCCTTAGTCCTGAGAGCATTATCATCACACATGATATAGTTCTAGAAACCTCTACTATACTTCTGGAAAGTCTACACTTATTAGAGAATGAGAGCAAAAAAGACAAATAATAGTACTGTTATGAAAATAGTTTTGACTTCACAAACCCCTAATAAAAGAATCCTTGTGTATATCCCCAGACCACATGTTGAGAACCACTTTTCCAGATCATCTTAAAGCATGAGTCACAAAAATCAATTTAGGTCACAACAGTGTGTATTTTTTAAATGAAATTTGAGTAAATCAGAAAACACACTATGAGTAAATACCACTTCCTGAAACATGTTAGTTACATATATCCATGCATATAATAGTAATACGTAGTAATATAAAATGTATTTCCTGCTACAGGTCAGTTAAAAACTGTGCAAAACACTGTACTACAACATACTAATTTTCCTAATCTACTGTCTAAGCAAAAGCTTGCACATAACCTATGATCTGTAGACTGAAAACTAAACATTTGTGATACACTAGATACTCTCCAAAGTGAAGACAATTCAAAGGTTTCACGTGGATACAATTTCTATAGATTGAAAAAGTCACAGTTTACCATGATCATGCTGTCATCACAGCCATCACTAAAGTCTTGTTTTTCTTTTGTTTTTGGTTTCAATTTAAAAAAATTTTTAATAGAGACAGGATCACACTGCGTTCTCAAGTTAGTCTCAAACTCCTAGCCTCAAGCAATCCTCCCAACTTGGCCTCCCAAAGTGTGGGGAATACAGGTGTGAATTACTGTGCCTGGCCACTAGTCCACCTTGTCCACAGTTAACTCAGGCAAAAAGGAAAGGAAAGAGAAGTCCAAGCTCCGTCAGCCACAAATAAAGGCGTTCTTTCCTTCCATCTAATTTGCTATTTTTTGTTCATTAATTATTTATTTATTTTTAGAGACAGGCTCTGGCTGTTTCTCACATTGGACTTGAACTCCTGGGCTCAAGCAATTCTCCTGCCTCAGCTTCCCAAGTAGCTGGGTCTACAGGCACATGCCTCAGTGCCCCGCTAGCTCTTGTTATTAATGAGAAGGTCTATCTCATTTTTTTTTTGTTGTTTTTTTTGAGATGGAGTTTCACTCTTTTTGCCCAGGCTGGCGTGCAATGGCACTATCTTGGCTCACTGCAACCTCTGCCTTCCAGGTTCAAGTGATTCTCCTGCCTCAGCCTCCTGAGTAGTTGAGATTATAGGTATGCGCCACTACACCCAGCTAATTTTGTATTTTTAGTAGAGACGGAGTTTCACCATGTTGGCCGGGCTGGTCTCAAACTCCTGACCTCAGATGATCCACCCACCTTGGCCTCCCAAAGTGCTGGGATTACAGGTGTGAACATCGCACCCGGCCCAGAAGATCTATTTCTTAAATGAAGGGCTTCCTCCCTAACAAACTGGTCACAAAATCACTTTCCTGCTGGCATTAAGGTTACTGCTCTCATCCTGAACCCAGGATTTACTAGGTCAAAGCAGCATTCAGACAATGGTTCAAGCTATAATCTCTTCCTAAACCGGCAAAGGCAGGCCAGCATCTGGTGAACTGCAACAAATGGCAACAGCATACCCAGAGACATCAATAATGATCCCTCGAGGCTACAAAGACAAACTCTACTGATGGCAATTGCTAAAATACAACATCACTGCCTGTTCCTAACAGAACTGAACTATAGAATTTTATTTCAGGAAGAGTTTTTCTCCCAATTAGTCCTAATAGACCAACAGGAAGCCTGATAAAAATTATCAGGGAAGAGGCAGTGAGGCAGGGCTAAATTCAGTGGTATGCCATCACAGTGACATATACTTTCATGTGTGTGGTAATATACACATAAAGTTTACCATTTTAGCTGAATTTGTGTATAGTTCAGCAGCATTAAATATGTTCATATTGTTATGCAATCAATACCACTATCCATCTCCCGAATTTTTTCATCATCTCATACTACAACTCTGTATTCACTGGCATATACCTTTTCATGGATTCTATTTTTCTGATATGAACATATCCTAAACTGCAAATGTTCCCTGCTGCAAAAACAGATCCATTCCCACTATTGTCTTCAAACTCTGGAGGGAAAAAGGTAAGGTATGTGAGAGTAGAAATCTCTTTTTCACCACTGTCTTCCCAGTACCTATCAAATGCCTGACAAATATTGAGTCAAATATTTCTGTGTTCATGGCCAAAGAATCACCCCACAGATTATTTACTAGTTGCAAATGGCAAAATGTACCATTACAATGGGAAAATCTGCAGGTTACCACCTTAATCAATTTTTACCATCACTACCAGCAGGACAATCAATCCATCATTGTGTATCTCCTGACCTGATACAATTTGAAGTGCTCAATCATCTGGGAAACATTCTTGCCAAAATGTTTAAGATGAATCTAATCTTCTAGATCCAACTTCCAGTTTACAAATAATGTAGCTTAGGAAAACAAATTAATCTATACAATGAGAAAACAGACAACCCAGAAAGGAGGACATTTTAAAAGACAGTATCACTCATGTAACTACAGATAATTATCTTTGACACAGGACCAAAGGTAACTCGGATGTAGAAAGGTAGTCTTCTCAACAAATGGTGCTGCAACAACTGAACATCCACAAGCAAAATAACTAAATAAATCTAAACACTAACTTTATGCCTTTCAGAAAAATTAACTCAAAAAAGATCATAGGCCTAAATGAAAATCACACAACTATAAAACTTCTAAAAGATAAGAGGAGAAAGCCTAAGTGGCCTTGGCTTTGGTAATGGGTTTTTAGACGCAACACCAAAAGCATGATCCATGAAAAAAATAATTAATAAACTGGATTTCAATGAAACTGAAAACTTCTGCTCTGTGAAAGACACTGTCAAAGGAATGAAAAGACAAGCCACTCACTGGGAGAAATGCGCAAAACACATATTTTATATAAAGACTTAATACTCAAAATTTACAATCAACTTTTAAAACATCACAATAAAAAAACCAGCACAATAAAACAGTAAGCAAAAGATCTAAACAGAGAAGATATACAGATGACAAATAAGCATATGAAAAGATGCTCAGGCTGGGGGCGGTGGTTCACGCCTATAATACGAGCACTTTGGGCATGTAAGGTAGAAGGATCACTTGAGTTCAAGACCAGCCCGGGTAACATAGTGAGACACCATCTCTATTTCAAAAAAAGAAAAAAGAAAAGATGCTGAACATTGTACATCATTAGGGAGTTGCAAGTTAAAACTATGAGATACCACTACACAACGGTCAAAATTGAAAATACAACACCAAATGCTGGCAAGGAGGTAAAGCAACAAGAACTCTCATTCACTGCTGGTCAGAATACAAAATAGTACAGCTACTTTGGAAAACAGCTTGGCAGCTTCTTACAAAACTAAACACTCTTACCATAAAATGTGCTGACTCAATGAATTGAAAACTCATGTCCACACAAAAACCTACACATAAATATTCAGAGCGGCTTTATACATAATTGCCAAAACCTGGAAGCAATCAAGATGTCCTTCAATAGGTAAATGAATAAATGAACTATGAAACATCCATACAATGCAATATTCAACAATACAAAGAAATGAGATATGTAGCCACAAAGAGACATGGAGGAACCATAAATGCATACTGCTAACCAGTCTGAAAAAGCTGTATGATTCCAACTATACGACATTTTAGAAAGGGCAAAACTACAGACAGCAAAAAGATCCGTAGTTGCTGGTGTATGGGGGAGAGGAAAGGGGATGAATAAGTGGTGCACAGTAGATTTTTAAGGCAGTGAAACTATTCTATATGATACTGTAATGGTGGATAATTTGTCAAAACTCAGAACTGTACAACACAAACAGGGAAACCTAATTTAAACTATAAACATGAGGTTACAGTTATAGTTAAATAACAATGTATCTCTCTCTTTCTTTTGCGATGGGGTCTCACTATGTTGCCCAGGCTAGACTCCAATTCCTGAGCTCAAGTGAGCCCCACCTGGAGTAGCTGAGACTACAGGTACCCACACCCAGCTTATAATAATGAATCATTATTGGTTCATCAGTTGTAACAAATGTACAACACTAATGCAAGTTTTTTTTTTTTTTTTTTGGAGACGGAGTCTTGCTTTTGTCGCCCAGGCTGGAGTGCAGTGGCGCCATCTCAGCTCACTGCAAACCCCACCTCCCCAGTTCCAGCGATCCTTGTGCCTCAGCCTCCCGAGTAGCTGGGATTTCAGGCGCGTGCCACTGTGTCTGGCTAATTTTTGTATTTTTAGTAGAGACGGGGTTTCACCATGTTGGCCAGGCTGGTCTTGAACCCCTGACCTCAGGTGATCCGCCCCCCTCGGCCTCCCAAAGTGCTAGGATTACAAGCGTGAGCCACTGCACCCGGCCACAAGATGTTAATAAGAGAAACCAGGAATTTTTTTGCTTTTAAAAAATAAAGTTTACTACTTAAAAAGTCAATCACACACACTCACACACGAAAGACTATTCAAAATTTGCCAACTGTGTGGTGTTTTTTGTTTTTTTTTTTTTTGAGACGGGAGTCTTGCTCTGTCGCCCAGGCTGGATGGAGTGCAGTGGCGCGATTTTGGCTCACTGCCAGCTCCGCCTCCCGGGTTCATGCCATTCTCCTGCCTCAGCCTCCTGAGTAGCTGGGACTACAGGCACCCACCACCACACCCGGCTAATTTTTTGTATTTTTAGTAGAGACGGGGTTTCACCGTGTTAGCCAGGATGGTCTCTATCTCCTGACCTCGTGATCGGCCCTTCTCGGCCTCCCAAAGTGCTGGGATTACAGGCGTGAGCCACCGTGCCCAGCCAATTAGCCAGCTTTTAATGAAAGGGGCCAGAGGGTAAATATTTTAAATTTTGTGGGCCATACAGCCTCTACCACAACATGTTAAATGAATGAGCACGAGTTTATTTGTGGGCACTGAAGCTCCTATTTCATATTTTCTTTTTGAGAGAGTCTCACCCTGTCAGCAGGCTGGATGAAGTGCAGTGGCGCGATCTCGGCTCACTGCAACCTCCGACTCTCAGGTTCAAGCGATTCTCCTGACTCAGCCTCCTCAGTAGCTGGGATTACAGGCACATGCCACCATGCCCAGCTAATTTTTTTTTTTTTTTTTTTTTGAGATGGAGTCTCGCTCTGTTGCCCAGGCTGGAGTGCAGAGGCGCCATCTCGGCTCACTGCAAGCTCAGCCTCCCGGGTTCACGCCATTCTCCTGCCTCAGCCTCCTGAGTAGCTGGGACTACAGGCGCCTACCACCACGCCCGGCTAATTTTCTGTATTTTTCTAGTAGAGACGGGGTTTCACTGTGTTAGCCAGGATGGTCTCGATCTCCTGACCTCGTGATCCGCCCACCTCGCCTCCCAAAGTGCTGGGATTACAGCCGAGAGCCACCGCGCCTGGCCTAATTTTTGTATTTTTAGTAGAGACAGGGTTTCACCATGTTGGCCAGGATGGTCTTGATCTCCTGACCTCATGATCCACCTGCCTCAGCCTCCCAAAGTGTTGGGATTACAGGCGTGAGCCACTGCGCCCAGCCAATACTTTCATATGTTATAAAATATTATCCTCCTTGTGATTTTTTTTTTTTTTTGAGACGGAGTTTTGCTTTTGTTGCCCAAGCTGGAGTGCAATGGCATGATCTCAGCTCACCACAACCTCCACCTCCTGGGTTCAAGTGATTCTTCTGCCTCAGCCTCCCAAGTAGCTGAGATTACAGGCATGTGCCACCACGCACAGCTATTTTGTATTTTTAGTAGAGACGGGGTTTCTCCACATTGGTCAGGCTGGTCTCTAACTCCTGACTTCAGGTGATCCGTCTGCCCTCAGCCTCCCAAAGTGCTGGGATTACAGGCGTGAGCCCTGCGCCCCGCCCTTCCTGTGATTTTTTTTTTTTTTTTTTTTAGCCGTTTAAAAAATAAAAACCGGCCAGGCGCAGTGGCTCACACCTGTAATCCCAGCACTTTGGGAGGCCGAGGCAGGCGGATCACCTGAGGTCGGGAGTTCCAAACCAGCCTGACCAACATGGAGAAACCCCGTCTATACTAAAAATACAAAATTAGCTGGGTATGGTGGCACATGCCTGTAATCACAGCTACTTAGGAGGCTGAGGCAGGAGAATTGCTTGAACCCGGGAGACAGAGGTTGCAGTGAGCCAAGATCAAGCCATTGCACTCCAGCCTGGGCAACAACAACAAAACTCCGTTTCAAAAAATAAATAAAAATAAAAATAAAAACCAAGCCAGTGCAGTGGCTCACTCCTGTAATCCCAGCAACCTGAGAGGCTGAGGCAGGAGGGTCATTTTAGGCCAAGAGTTCGAAACCAGCTTGGGCAACACAGCAAGACCTTGCCTCCAAAACAATTTAAAACTTAGCCAAGGTGGTACCTGCCTACAGCCCCAGATACGCAGGAGGCTGAGACAGGATAATCGCTTGAGCCTAGGAGTATGACGCTGCAATGAACCATGATCAGTCCACTGCTTGCACTCCAGCCTGGGCAACAGGGTGAGACTCTGACTCTTAAAACAATAATAAATGTATAAACTGCTAGGCTGGGGCGCAGTGGCTTATGCCTGTAGCAGGCAGACTGCTTGAGGTCAGGAGTTCGAGACCAGCCTGGCCAACATAGCAAAACCCCATCTCTACAAAACATACAAAAAATTAGCTGGGTGTGGTGGCAGGCACCTGCAACCCCAGCTACTCAGGAGGCTGAGGCATGAGAACTGCATGAGCCTGGGAGGCAGAGGTTGCAGTGAGCCAAGATGGCACCACTGCACTCCAACCTGAGTGACAGACTGAGACTGTCTCAAAACAAACAAAAAACAAAAGAACTAAAAACAAGTATTCAAATATTTACACACAAATGCTGATAGCAGCACTATTCACAGTAGCTAAAAGGTAGAAACAACCCAAATGTCCATCAGTGGCTGAATGAATAAGCAAAATGTGGTATATCCATACAACGGAATATTATTCAGCCATAAAAAGAAATAAGATGCTGATACATGCCAAAACACAGATGAACCTCGAACATATGCTAAGTGAAAGCCAGACACAAAAGGTCATACAGTATATTGTATGATTCCATTTACATGAAACACCCAGGCTGGGCATGGTGGTTCATGCCTGTAATCCCAACACTTTGGGAGGCCAAGGCAGGTGGATCACCTGAGGCCAAGAGTTCGAGACTAGCCTGGCCAACATGGCAAAACCCCATCTCTACCTAAAAAAAAAAAAGAAAAAATTAGCCAGGTGTGTGACAGGTGCCTATAATCCCAGCTACTCAGGAGGCTGAGGCAGGAGAATCGCCTGAACCCAGGAGGCAGAGGCTGCAGTGAGCTGAAATCACGCCATTGCGCTCCAGCCTAGGCAACAAGAGTGAAACTCTGTCTTAAAAAAGAAAGAAAGAAAGAAAGAAACACCCAGAATAGGTAAATCCATAGAGACAGAAAGCCAGAGGTGATGATTGCAAAACATTTTGAATATACTAAATACCACTGAATTGTGCACTTCTAAATGATCAATGGTTAATTTTCTGTTACACAAATTTTACCTCAATTTAAAACAATTATATATTAAAAGACGTAAAAACCATTCTTATTGGATGGGCTGTACAAAATCAAATGACGAGCCAGATTTGGTACATGGGTTGTAGTTCACCTCTATTCTATTAATACACTGAGTGACTAAAGAGTCAACAGTCAAATATAATGCATAAACGTGGACTGAAGTCAAGTGAGAGCTATAAAATTTTATTTAGGACATTGGAAAATTCTAAATATTAGACATTATGGAATTTGAATTTTCTTCAGTATAACCGTAAATCTGTGGTAAGATCATGTTCTTATTCTTAGGAGAGGCAGCTAAAACATTTAGGAATAATGTGTCATGATGTATGCAAATTACTTTCAAATAACTCAGCCAAAAACAACAGAAAATTTTAAATGTGACAATTAAAAATAAAAAAAGGGGATTATCAGTGCAAGATATACACAGTTGGTTGTTTTTGGTGTTTTTTTTTTTTTTTTTGAGACAGGGTCTCACTGTTACTCAAGGCTGGAATGCAGTGATGTGATTATTGCTCACTACAGCCTTGAACTCCTGGGCTCAAGCAATCCTCCCACCTCAGCCTCCTGAGTAGCTGGGACTACCTCACCACCACGCCTGGTTTATCCGTAAACATTTTTGTAGACATTGGGTCTTACTATGTTGCCCAGGTTGGTCTGAAATAATCCTTCCGAAGTGCTGGGATTATGAACATGAGACCCTGCACCACATCCAGATGTTCTTTACGCTATTCTTTCAACTTTTCTGTGTTTGAGCTTTTTCAAAATAAAAAGGGTTTGGGGAAAATGTATTGCATGAATCCAGAAAATGGCTCTAGATAGCTGAATACAAAGTTTGATGACACATTAAACCAAATTTCCCTCATTCTTTGGGAGCCAGGGTGTCTAAAAACTGGGTTGAGGAATACACCTGGTTCCAGGACCTTTTCTTGGACAGAAAAGCATCACCTTTCCAATTACACGTCCTTGTAAACATGCATATTAAGACACACCAGCCGGGTGCAGTGGCTCACACCTGTAATCCCAGCACTTGGGAGGCCGAGGCGGGTCGATCACCCAATGTCAGGAATTCGAGACCAGCCTGACCAACATAGTGAAACCCTGCCTCTATTAAAAATACAAAAATTAGCTGGGCGTGGTGGCACATGCCTGCAATCCCAGCTACTTGGGAGAATATGGCAGGAGAATGGTTTGAACCCAGGAGGCAGACGTTGCAGTGAGCTGAGATCGTGCCATTTCACTCTAGCCTGGGCAGAAAGAGTGAAACGCAGTCTCCAAAAAAAAAAAGACATACCATGAACACTATAAGAGGAATTCCTGAAAACACACACACACACACACACACACACACACACACACACACACACACACTCTGGCACTGTAATCCTATAGTCTCACTGATATATAAAATTAAAAATGCTTTTGTTTTGCTAGCAAAAAAAAAATCTGATTCTACAAAAGTTAAATAACTTAAATATTCTTACTGAACTGAAATCATTAAACATCTGCTATGGAATGATCCATATGAAATTCTACAGCAAGATAAAAGAAGTACTTATCCCTGGTATGGGTTGTTCCAGGCCAGTGGAGCTCAAAAGAAACAAAATGTAAGCTACATATGTAATTTAAATTTTTCCGGTAGCCAATTTTTAAGGGATTTTTTTTTTTTGTAACAGGGTCTTACTCTGTCACTGAAGCTAGAGTGCAGTGGCATGATCACAGATCACTGCAGCCTTGACCTCCCAGGCTCAAGCGATCCTCCCACCTCGGCCTCCCAAGTAGCAAGGACTACAGATGTGCACCACCATGCCCAGCTAATTTTTATTTTATTTTTTGTAGAGATGAGGTCTCTTGCTCTGTTGTCCAGGCTGGTCTCAAACGACCCTCCAACCTCAGCCTCGCAAAATACTTGGAATAACAAGTGTGAGCCACTGCACCCAACCCAGGGAAATTAATTTTTTGTTGAGACAGGGTCTCACTCCATCACCCAGGCTGGAGTGCAGTGGTGCAATCTCGGCTCACTGCAACCTCCGCCTCCTGGGCTCAAGTGATCCTCCCACCTCAGCCTCCCAAGTAGCTGGAAGCACAGGTGCACACCACCACGCCTGGCTTTTTGGTATTTTTAATAGACACAGGGTTTCACTATGTTGACCAGGCGGTTCTTCAACTCCTGGGCTCAAGTGATCTGCCTGCCTCGGCCTCCCAAGATGCTGGTGTAACAGGTGTGAGCCACTGCACCCGGCGGGAAATTAATTTTAATAATATATTTTATTTAACCCAGTAAATCACTTCAAATGTAATCAATAATGCCATTTCAGGCCAGGGCAATGTAACAAAACCTTGCCTCTACCAAAAATTAAAAAAATTAGCCCGGTGTGGTGGTACATGCCTATAGTCCTAGCTACGCAGGAGGTTGAGGTAAGAGAATTGCTTAAGCCCAGGAGTTCAAGGCTATAGTAAGCTAGATAAAGCCATACTACACTCCAGTCTGGGTAAGAGTGAAACCCTGTCTCTATAAAAATAAAAAAATAAGAAATAATAATAATACCATTCCAATATATCGTCAATGTAAAAAATTATGGGGCTATTTTAATCCTTTTTTCATACCAAGTCTTCAGGATTTGAGGCCGGGTCCAGTGGCTTATACCTGTTAATCCCAGCACTTTGGGAGGTGGAGGTGGGCAGATCACCTGAGGTCAGGAGTTCAAGACCAGCCTGGCCAACATGGTGAAACCCCGGTCTCTACTAAAAATACAAAAAATTAGCCAGGCATTATGGCAGACACCTGTAACCCCACTTATTCGGGAGGCGGAAGGTGCAGCGAGCAGAGATGGCACCATTGCACTCCAGCCTGGGCAACAAGAGTGAAACTCTGTCTCAAAATAAAATAATAAAATTAAATTTAAAAATAAAATAAAATAATAAATAAAATATGTGGTGTGTATAGTTTACACCAACATCTTAATTCATAGTAGCCACATTTCACATGCTCCCTAGCAACCTGTGGCTAGTGGCTACCATAGCGTACAACACAACTCTAGGCTGTTGGAAGCAGCAGCAGAACCAAAGCTGAAAAAATCAGCCACCAAGAGAGTGATTCAATATATGTATGTGTATCTCCTAAAGCAACGTATGCTGAAACAGTTCTGTATTTTCAGCATAATTGGTCAAACATACAGTTACCAAGGTATAACTTACAAACTAAACTGAACCCCTGCTTCTACTATCCACCATGATATCCTCCAAGCAAAGGAGAATATCACATCTCTACTGCATGCAAGGGGGGTTTACTACATACTCCCTCCCACTCACACTGTGTATGGGAGTATTGTCCTTTGGCCTTCAACACTAGGTTTAGACTGAAGACTAGGATGAAAGAAGAGGTGAATGCTATGCTCCATTCTCCACCCCACCCCCACCTCCAAAATGTTTAGAATTAACACCATTTACCTTGGCATTTTAATTTTATTTTTGTAGAGATGGGGTCTTGCTCTGTTGCCCAGGCTGGTCTCACACTACTAGACTCAAGTGATCTTTCACCTTGTCTGCTGACCCTCTCTCCCACAGTTTTCTCCAACTCACCTCTAATTCCCCAGAGAAGAGAGATCATGTCTGACATATCCTCCAACTCTTAGATCCCTCCTCTCAAAGGATTAGTAACTATGGCCAGCCCTTTCCTCTTGATATTCCCTTATTTA
The DNA here is from genome assembly GCF_000001405.40 of Homo sapiens. Taxonomy (NCBI): domain Eukaryota; kingdom Metazoa; phylum Chordata; class Mammalia; order Primates; family Hominidae; genus Homo; species Homo sapiens. Next base: position 67,150,578 of record NC_000011.10, on the reverse strand, counting down.
AACAAGTGGTTTCCAGAGAACTAACATCATTTCAAAATCAATCTCCTTCCCTAATTGGCCTGGAATCCACTTTCCAATGTGTACTAATAGTAAACAAACAAAAACCAAAAATACTATAGATTACTACAAAAATAATTTAAATACACTTGAGAATCAATGATATGCAGAAAGCAGTTTCAATTACTCTTCTCTTCCCCCAACCTCTCCTTTGGCCCAACAAGGTGGTGGTAAATTTTTCACATTTTTGAGAAAAGAAAACATCATTTTTTACTTGTCAGACTAACAAATAATACCTGTGGCCCTTAGTTGTAAAATTTGAGGTAAACTGAGAGGCAGTGAATTTCTTAAGTTCTGATCTATTTATCGGCTAGAAAAACAAATGCATATTTCCGGGCTAAACAGCTGTAGCTGTTTCTTACTTTTTAGTTTCTTCCCTTTAATTAAACTTGTCTAGGGTTGTAAAGAATTCTGTAATTTCGTGTAAGATCTGTCATTACACAACGAATTGTTGAATTTTGCTATCTTTTGTTTACTGAGTATCTAAAATACAGATTCTAGGCCATGCGCAGTGGCTCACGCCTGTAATCCCAGCACTTTGGGAGGCTGAGGAGGGCAGGTCACCTGAGGTCGGGAGTTCAAGACCTGCCTGGCCAACATGGTGAAACCCCGCTCTTCTACTAAAAATACAAAATTAGCTGGGACTGGTGGCGCATGCCTGTAATCCCAGCTACTTGGGTGGCTGAGGCAGGAGAATCACTTGAACCTGGGAGGCCGAGGTTGCAGTGAGCCGAGATCGTATCATCGCACTCCAGCCTAGGCAAAAAAGAGAAAACACTGTCAAAAAAAAAAAAAAAAAGATTCTAATACCTAGTAATTTAATATTTATAAAATTAGATTACTATCTTTTCTATTCTTCATCTATAAAATTAAAATGCATGTGTATGTATGCATAAAAGCAAAGAAAAAGACATGGAAGGATATATTAACTAATAAAATGATTACATCTGGTGAAGGGGTTAGGATTAAGGTGGCTAAGGGGCTCTTTAGCCTTATCTGTAAAATTTTAATTTCTACAATAATACAGATATATGTTATCTATATAACTAAAAAATCAGATTTAAAAGGCGTAAAACTGGCTTGTTATATATAATAACGTATTAAGCTTTGAGAATTACAACAGATACCTTTTATTGAAAGCTCACTGTTGGCACAGCAGTCTACATTCATTATCCCATTAAATCCTCAACCAACCCTAAAAGGTATCAGTACCACCTGCACTTTAGAAATGAATAAACCTGAGACTCAGAAAGGTTAAGAAGTACCCTGTTCAAGGTCACACAAATGTTAGAACCTGGAAGGGACTCCACCAAAACCAGGTTATAGCCCTACACTAAGGGAACAGTCAATTTATTCAGGAAGGGAATACATTCAGTAAATTCAGGACTACAGAGAAAACACTTTTTAACTTTTGCCATTATTAAAGAGCTTCAGGGGAAAAAAATCTGCTTTTTCATCTGCCACCATCTGTAAAGGAAGCAAAAATGAACGTTTTGGGATATTTCTTGATTGGCTTATTAACCATGCTAAACATGTTATAACAACCCAAACCTATAAATAGTTTACAAGATTTAAGTAGATCTGTAATGCTGAGCTATGCGCCACCAGCCCCTACCCCAGCTCTTTTGGTTAATTCTAGGCAAAATACCATAGACAATTTCAGCTGAATCGCACTTTAGGGTGTGGATTATTTCTTTTTTGTCTGTCTTGTTTTGTTTTTGAGACGGAATTTTGCTCTTATAGCCCAGACAGGAGTGCAATGGCATGATCTCAGCTCACTGCAACCTCCACCTCCCGGGTTCAAGTGATTCTCCTGCCTCAGCCTCCCAATTAGCTGGGATTACAGGCACCCACCACCACGCCCAGTTCATTTTCGTATTTTTAGTAGAGACTGTGTTTCACCATGTTAGCCAGGCTGGTCTCAAACTCCTGACCTCAGGTGATCCACCCACCTTGGCCTCCCAAAGTGCTGGGATTACAGGCATGAGCCACCACGCCCGGCCGGATTACTTGTTTCTGATGGGGGAAAAAAGATATGATTGATACCTATTATTTGAGTTTTACCCCATGAAAAAACCCTTATTTTATTTTCTTTCTTTTTTGAATTAGGTCTCACTCTGTTGTCTAGGCTGGAATGCAGTGGTGCAATCACAGCTCACTGCAGCCTCAACCTCCGGGGGTCAAGCGACCCTTTGGCCTCGACCTCCCAAGCAGCTAAGACTACAGGTGTCCACCGCCACGCCCAGCTAAATTTTTTTTTTTAATAGAGATGCGGTCTTGCAATGTTGTCCAGGCTGGTCTCAAACCCCAGAGTTCAAAAATGATCCTCCCAATTTGGTCTACCAAAGTGTTGTGATCACATGTATGAGCCACTGCACCCAGCCCCAAAGTTTTCTTAAAGGAATGCAAAAGTAACAAATGCTTGTAACAAATCAGCGATCTAGTAAATACTTTAAGTCAATCAATCAATATGTATGTACTTAGCTGATTTACATTACCACTAGATGATCAGCTAGAGACATTTGCTATAAGACTCTCTAATGAGGGCCGGGCGTGGCAGCTCACACCTATAATCCCCGCACTTTGGGAAGTCGAGGCAGGTGAATCACGAGGTCAGGAGTTCCAGAACAGCCTGGCCAACATGGTAAAACCTCGTCTCTACTAAAAATACAAAAAATTAGCTGGGTGTGGTGGCAGGCGCCTGTAATCGCAGCTACTTGGAAGGTTGAGGCTGGAGAATCGCTTGAACCCAGGAGGCGGCAGTTGCAGTGAGCTGAGATTGCACCACTGCACTCCAGCTCAGGCGACACTGCAAGACTCCATCTCAAAAAAAAAAAGAATCTCTAATGAAAGGGAACTACTCAGTCTCCAGAGAAAGCCCTTGATCCTTGAAATTCTCACTTCTTCCTGCTTTAATAAGGTTTAACTAGGTTCACTGGCTCTTGAAATCCAGTGAAAGTTGCATCTTTTTTTTTTTTTTAAGACGGAGTCTCGCTCTGTCGCCCAGGCTGGAGTGCAGTGGCGCGATCTCGGCTCACTGCAAGCTCCACCTCCCAGGTTCATGCCATTCTCCTGCCTTAACCTCCTGAGTAGCTGGGACTACAGGCACCCGCCACCACACCCGGCTAATTTTCTTTATTTTTAGTAGAGACGGGGTTTCACCGTGTTAGCCAGGATGGTCTCAATCTCCTGACCTCATGACTGGCCCGCCTCGGCCTCCCAAAGTGCTGGGATTACAGGCTTGAGCCACCGCACCCGGCCCAGTGGAAGTCATATCTTTTAACCTGACCATTCCCAGAGTGGCACAAAAGATCTGGCCAAGCCTGGATGAAATACAAACAGGCGTATTTCTATTCTCTTACACCAAACTGTCAACAACAGTGTTCATTTTTAAGTTGATGACATACATCGGACTTACATGGCAGACACTTTCATAAATCTTAGCTCTGTTTCAACTTCCATCCTGTTAGGTTTTCTGGCTATTTATATCTGACTAAGCAAATTTTAACTATTGCTACAAATTAACCTTAGTCTTCAGTGAGGTTCAAGGGAATTTCAAACATTAACATGATCTCAAATGAGATCAGTAAACTATGTGCCTTTGATAAACTTTTATGAAACCTATTTGTATTCCAGTTAAGGAATAATAAATAGATAAAATCCACGAAAGTGAGGGAGGAAAGCATGGCATTAGAGTTTATAACCAATATTAAAGAATGTTCCAGGCACGGTGGCTCATGCACCAGCACTTTGGGAGTCTGAGGCATGCAGATCACCTGAGGTCAGAAGTTCAAGACCAATCTGGGCAACACATCAAAACCCTGTCTCAACAAAAATTACAAAAAATTAGCCAGGTGTAGTGGTAAGCACCTGTAGTCCCTGGTACTTGTGGGGCTGAGGCAGGAGGATTGCTTAAGTCTGGGAGGTGGAGGTTGCAGTGAACCTAGATTATGCCACTGCACTCCAGCGTGGATAACAAAGTGAGACCCTGTCTCAAACAATAAAAAGGAAGACAGACAAAGAGAGAGAATCTGTCACAGTAGATAGAAAATTATATTCAACTGAATTCATTAAATGTTTTAACTTCTACCATATGCCAAACACTGTCAATGCTCTGATAAATAAGACTGCCATGATTTTTGCCCTCAGGATCTATAAAAAGTAAGTAAAAAGACAATCGGTGTATTATTTCTTATGACAGCAGAAAAATCAAATGTTAAAGAAATGGGGGCCAGGTGCGGTGGCTCATGCCTGTAATCCCAGCACTTTGGGAGGCTGAGGCAGGCAGATCAGGAGGTCAGGAGATTGAGACCATCCTGGCCAACATGGTGAAACCCTGTCTCTACTAAAAATAGAAAAAAAATTAGCTGGGTGTGGTGGTATGCGCCTGAAATCCCAGCTACTCAGGAGGCTGAGACAGGAGAATCGCTTGAACCCGGGAGGTGGAGGTTGCAGTGAGCTGAGATCGCGCCACTGCACTCCAGCCTGGCAACAGAGATAGACTCTGTCTCAAAAAAAAAAAACAAAAAAAAACAAAACAAAAAACGGGAAGAACAGGCATTTTATATACCAGAAACAGAGAAACATGTTGAAAATCTCCCGGATACAGTTCATGAAAAGCAGGAATTAAAAAAAAAAAAATTCCCAAAGGATGTAACACTTAAGCTGAAACCTGAAACCTGAAAGGCAGAGTTAGAGAGGAAGGAAAATGTATGATTCAGAAAGAACAGCATACGCAAAGGTCCAAAAGTAAATAAGAGGGCATAAAACATTAAGAAAAGAGAAAGTAGCCGAGTATGGTATCATTTTCAAGTAATGAGAAAAGAGAAAGGGAGAATATGGTATAATGGAAAGAAATTCAACCTGAACAAAGAATACCAGGTGTCCAGTCTTTGTTCTACTGCTTAGTAGTATAACGTTAGGGTAAGTAATTTTGCCTCTATGAGCCTTTATTTCCTAATGAAAAAAAAAATGGGGTGCTACCATATTCCCCCTCAAAGGGATGGCTCAAAGATCAATTTTTATCTTTTTTTCTTAAAATGAAGTCTCACTCTGGAAGGCTGGAGTGAAGTGGCACAATCTCAGCTCACTGGCACCTACACCTCCCGGGTTCAAGCAATTCTCCTGCCTCAGCATCCCAAGTAGCTGGGATTACAGGCACACGCAACTACACCTGGCTAATTTTGTGTGTGTGTGTTTTTTGTAGACGGGGTTTCACCATGTTGGCCAGACTGGTCTCGAACTCCTGACCTCAGGTGATCTGCCCGCCTCAGCCTCCCAAAGTGCTGGGATTACAGACATGAGCAACAGCGATTAGCCTCAAGGATCAAATTTTAAAAACCATGTGAATGGTCGGGCACGGTGGCTCACACCTGTAATCTTAGCACTTTGGGAGGCCAAGCTGGGCAGATCACCTGAGGTCAGGAGTTCAAGACCCGCCTGGCCAACATGGTGAAACCCTGTCTCTACTAAAAATACAAAAAAAGTAGTTGGGCATGATGGTGGGGGCCTCTACACCCAGCAACTTGAGAGGCTGAGGCAGGAGAATCACATGACCCGGGAGGCAAAGTCGGCAGTTAGCTGAGATTGCGCCACTGGCACTCCAGCCTGGATGACAGAGCGAGACTCTGTCTCAAAAATATAAATAAAAATAAAAATCCAGGCACGATGGCTCACACCTATAATCCCAGCACTTTGGGAGGCTGAAGCAGGAGGATCACTTGAGGCCAGGAGTTCAAGACCAACCTGGGTAACATGGAGAAACCCATCACTACAAAAAAAATACCAAATATTAGCTGGGCTTCGTGGTGCGTGCCGGTACTCCCAGTTACTCAGGAGGCTGAGGCAGATCACCTGAGCCCAGGAGACTGTGGATGCAGTGAGCTATTACTGTTCCACTGTACTCCAGCCTGGATGAGCTAACAGAGCAAGACCTTGTCTCTAAAAAATTTATATTAAAAAAAATGTTGGGGCCGGGCACGGTGGCTCACACCTGTAATCCCAGCACTTTGGAAGGCTGAGGTGGGTGGATCACCTGAGGTCAGGAGTTCAAGACCAGCCTGACCAACATGGAGAAACCCCAACTCTACTAAAAATACAAAATTAGCCAGGCATGGTGGTGCATGCCTGTAATCCCAGCTACTTGAGAGGCTGAGGCAGGAGAATCAGTTGAACCCAGGAGGTGGAGGGTGCAGTGAGCAGAGGTCACCCCACTGCACTCCAGCCTGGGCAACAAGAGTGAGACTCTGTCTTGAAAAAAAAAAAAAAAAAATTTAAGGCCAAGGGCCAGGTACAATGGCTCACCCCAGTAATCCCAACACTTTGGGAGGTAGGCAGATCACGTGACATCAGGAGTTTGAGACCAGCCTGGGCAACATGGTAAAACCCCAACTCTACTAAAAAAAATACAAAAATAGCCAGGAGTGGTGGAGAGCACCTATAATCCCAGCTACTCAGGAGGTTTGAGGCAGGAGAATCGCTTGAACCCAGGAGGTGGAGGTTGCAGTGAGCCGAGATTGCACCACTGCACGCCAGTCTGGGCGACAGAGGGAGACTCCGTCTCACAAAAAAAAAAAAATAGTTTTTTTTAAGGCCAGGCACAGTGGCTCATGCCTGTAAACCCAGCACTTTGGGAGGCCGACGCAGGCGGATCACTTGAAGTAAAGAGTTTGAGCCAGCTTGGCCAACATGAGAAAACCCTGTCTGTACTAAAAATACAGAAATTAGTTGGGCATGGTGGCACACGCCTGTAATCCCAGCTACTCAGGAGGCTGAGGCAGGAGAATCTCTAGAACCCAGGAGGCAGAGGTTGCAGTGAGCCAAGATCGCGTCATTGCACTCCAGCCTGGGAGATGGAGTGAGACCCTATCTCAAAAAAATAAATAAATAAATAAATAAATAAAAAGAGAAAGACAGACAGACAAAAGCGAAACTAAAATATAATTCCACTGAGTAAGAAAAAGTAGTGATTAGGAAGGTTGTAAAGAAGCTTTTGAAGTGGTGGCAATTTCAAATCTTGACTGAGTAGTAGTTACACAGGTATTTGCTTCATGCTTATTCACTACACCATATAAATTTATGTTTTACGGACTTTTCTGCATGTGCTTCTTCCCAAGAAATTTTCAGAAACTGAACCAACACTATTTCATACCGATGCTAGTGCTCCTGAAGTCCTGTAGCAAAGACCCTCTCAGATGTTTATGAAATGAACAGACAGGCCAGATGCAGTGGCTCACGGCTGTAATCCCAACACCTTGGGAGGCGGAGGCGGGAGGATCACCTGAGGTCACGAGTTCAAGACCAGCCAACCCCGTCTCTACTAAAAATACAAAAATTAGCCGAGTGTACTGGTGTATGCCTGTCATCCCAGCAACTCGGGATGCTGACGCAAGAGAATCACTTGAACCTGGGAGGCAGAGGTTGCAGTGAGCTGAGATCATGTCATTGCACTCCAGCCTGTGCGACAAGAGCAAGATTCCATCTCAAAAAAAAAAAAAAAAAAGAATAGATATATATATATAACTGAAGTGTTTACAGATGAAGTAATACTATCTGGGATTTAATTCAAGACAACTGAGAGGGAGTAGAAGATAGAGATAAAAGAAGATTTCCAAGTTTTGATAATTGTTGAAGCTTGGCAATGGGTATATGGGTGTTAATCACACCACTATTTACTTCATATAATCTTTCCATAGTAAGTTTTTTAAATGTTTCTAATTTTAATTACTGTACTTCTAGGAATAAGGATTTAATAGGAAACACAGAAAAACAAATACATAATTGAGCTCCTTGTACTTTTATTTCTAACTTTTTTTTTTGAGATGGAGTCTCACGCTTGTCCCCCAGTCTGGAGTGCGATGGTGCAATCTCGGCTCACTGCAACCTCCGCTTCCCAGGTTCAAGCGATTCTCTTGCCTTGACGCCCCCCCAACCCCAACCCCAACCCCAACCCCAACCCCAACCCCCCGGCCAACTTCACCAGTAGCTGGGATTACAGGCACCTGCCACCACACCCGGCTAATTTCTGTATTTTTAGTAGAGGCAGGGTTTCACCATCTTGGCCAGGCTAGTCTAGAACTCCTGACCTCAGGTGATCCGCCTGCCTTGGCCTCCCAAAGTGCTGGGATTACAGGCATGAGCCACCACACCCAGCCTTATTTTTAATGCCCTAAAAAAACTAGATATACAGTGGGCGCGGTGGCTCATGCCTGTAATCCCAGCACTTTGGGAGGCCAAGGCGGGTGGATCACCTGAGGTCAAGAGTTTGAGACCAGCCTGACCAACATGGTCAAACCCCACCTCTACTAAAAATGCAGAAATTAGCCGGGCGTGGTGATGCACACCTGTAAACCATTACTCAGGAGGCTGAGCCAGGAGAATCATTTGAACCTGGGAAGTGGAGGTTGCAGTGAGCGGAGATCGTGCCACTGCACTCCAGCCTGGACGACACAGCAAGACTCCGTCTCAAAAATGAATGAATGAATGAATGAAAGAAATACCATTCATCCATAAAAAAGAATGAAATTCTGTCATTTTCGGAACATGGATGGAATTGGAGAATATTAAATAACATGAAATAAACCAGGCACAGAAAGAGAAGTATCACGTGTTCTCACTCAAATATTAAAGAACTAAAAAGCTGATCTCATAAACAGAGAACAGAATGATGGACACCAGAGGCTGGGAAGGGTGTGTATGAGGGGCAAAGGGGTGCATAAAGAGAGGATGGTTAATGGGCATGAACATACAGTTAGAAGGAATAAGTTCTGAAGCTCAATCGTAAGTAGGGTGACTATAATTAGTAACAATGAATTTTATATATATATATATATATATATATTTTTTTTTTTTTTTTTTGGAACGAGTCTCATTCTGTCGCCCAGGCTGGAATACAGTGGCACGATCTCAGCTCACTGCAAGCTCTGCCTCCCGGGTTCACGCCATTCTCCTGCCTTAGCCTCCCGAGCAGCTGGGACTACAGGTACCTGCCACCACACCTGGCTTATTTTTTGTATTTTTTAGTAGAGACGGGGTTTCACCATGTTAGCCAGGATGGTCTCGATCTTCTGACCTCATGATCCGCCCGCCTTGGCCTCCCAAAGTGCTGGGATTACAGGCGTGAGCCACCGCGCCCGGCCAATAACAATGAATTGTATATTTCAAAATAGCTTGAGAGGAGGACCTGAAATGTTCCTATTAAATATTCAAGGTGATAAGATGCCCCAAATACTCTGACTTGGTCATTACAATCTATGCATCTAATAAAGTATCACATGTACCCCCAAAACAATATGGAAAAATTGTTTCGCATATGAAGAAATGGTTAAATAATAAGGGACAGAAGTAAATGGATGGGTATCTTCAGATGCTTGTGTTCCCCAAAATACAATGTTTAGGAGAGTTCCTAATATTTTCATCGATGAGACAACGTGGAGTGACACTCCAAAGAGAGGGGGATAAACTGAGAAAGTGCCCACAAAGCTAAATGAGTAGTATTTATCAACCTTTGACTTGAGCAAGCATGAGGTAAGAGGTCTGGAGAAAAATTAAGTAATCCATGCAGTAATTAAAATATAGCGTTTTTTAAACTAGTTCTACCTAATAAAAAGTGATCCAAATCTATGGTGATACCTCATGACGTTAACCCAGAATCTCTGGTAAGGTTCTTCATAAAGTAGACCCAATAAATAACTGGTGAATTAAATATGCTACTAGAGACAGAAAGGTTAATATAAATAAATCAAAAGTATACTTGTAACTTTTTTTTTTTGAGACAAAGTTTCACTCTTTTTGCCAGGCTGGAGTGCAATGGCACAATCTTGGCTCACTGCAACCTCCGCCTCACGGGTTCAAGCAACTCTCCTGCTCCAGCCTCCCAAGTAGCTGGGATTACAGGCGCCTGCCACAACGCCTGGCTAATTTTTTGTATTTTTAGTAGAGGCAGGGTTTCACCATGTTGGCCAGGCTGGTCTCAAACTCCTGACCTCAGGTGATCCACCCGCTTCCACCTCCCAAAGTGCTGGGATTACAGGAGTGAACCATCGCACCAGGCCTACTTGTAACTTCTTTTAAGGTTTTCTTGAGACAGTCTTGCTATGTTGCTCAGGGTGGTCTTCCGACCTATATTCTTTGTATAAAACCATGATATTTTTTTTTTGAGACAAGATCTCACTCTGTCACCCAGGATGGAGTGCAGTGGCGTAATCAAAGCTCACTGCAGCCTTGACCTTCCAGGCTCAAGTGATCCTTCCACCTCAGCCTCCCAATTACCTGGGACTAGAGGTACACGCCATGACAGCCAGCTAATTTTTGTATTTTTTGGAGAGACGGGATTTCGCCATGTTGCCCAGGTTAGTCTCCAACTCCTGAGCTCAAGCCTTGAACTCCTCCTGCCTTAGCCTCCCAAAGTGTTGGGATTATAGGTGTAAGCCACCGTACCCAATCCACAAACCATGGTATTCTCTCTCAATTGGTGGCACCACCCATCAACCAGGAACTCAAGCTAAGAACACAGGAGTAGGCCAGGTGCGGTGGCTCACGCCTATAGTTCCAACACTGTGGAAGGCCAAGATGCACACATCAGTTGAGGTCAGGAGACCAGCCAGTGCAACACAGTGAAACCCGGACTCTACTAAAAAAATACAAAAATAGCCAGGCATGGTAGCACATGCCTCTAATCCCAGCTACTCAGGACCTGAGGCAGAAGAATCACTTGAACCCGGGAGGCAAAGGTTGCAGTGAGCCAAGATCGTGCCAGCGCACTCCAGACTGAGTGACAGAGCGAGACTCTGTCTCAAAAAATAAATTAAAAAAAAAAATAGCAGCAGCAACCTTGCAACCTTTGGGCCAGTCGTGGTGGCTCATGCCTGTAATACTAGTACTTTGAGAGGCTGAGGCAGAAGGATCACTTGAGCCTAGGAGTTCAAGACCAGCCTGGGCAACCAACGTAGACAGATCCATCTCTAAAAAACAAAAAGAGGCTGGGTGCAGTGGCTCACGCCTGTAATCCTAGCACTTTGGGGGGCCGAGGTGGGCGAATCACCAGAGGTCAGGAGTTCAAGACCAGCCTGGCCAACACGGAGAAAACCCATCTCTACCAAAAATACAAAAATGTGCTGGGCGTGGTGGTGGGTGCCTGTAATCCCAGCTACTTGGGAGGCTCAGGCAGGAGAATCATTTGAACCTGGGAGGCGGAGGTTGCAATGAGCTGAGATCATGCCACTGCACTCCAGCCTGGGGGACAAAGCGAGACTCCGTCTCAAAAGAAAAAAGAAAAAAGGAAAAAAAAAAAAAGTAGCAATCTTTGGCTGGCAGGGCTGCAGGGTACACTTACTTGCCCTGGCTTGGTTAACTGGTGTCACCAGGAAGGGCGTAGTAATGGGCCCCTTCTGTACTCACTGAAGGTTATTTAAATAAGACTTAAGGAGCATGGTGGGGGGAGAAGCAGTCTTCAGAAACTTAATACTACTGCCTGTGATTCAAGGATACTGTGCCTAAGATACCATTAGTGGTTTAGAAAAATGTCAGCAAATTCAACTGGCAGGAAATATGAAGAAACGATTTTAAAATAACTTTAAGCTGTGAAGTGTGAAATTAAGGTAACTACCTCTAGTTAATTTTTTGTTTCCAACAAACAGAAAAACTGCTACAACAATTCCAATGGTTCTCAAACTTTACCATCTATCAGAATCACCTGGAGAACTAGTTGAAACACAGGCTGTTGAGTCCCCACTGCCAGACTTTCTGATTCAGTACGTTTGGGGTAGGATCCAAGAATGTAGTGGCACAATCTTGGCTCGCTGTAACCTCCACCTCCCAGGTTCAAGCAATTCTTCTGCCTCAGCTTCCCTAGTAGGTTGGATTACAGGTGCACACCACCACACCTGGTTAATTTTTGTGTTTTTGGTAGACATGGGATTTTGCCATGTTGGTCAGGCTGGTCTCGAACTCCTGACCTCTGCTGATCTGCCCACCTCAGCCTCCCAAAGTGCTGGGATTACAGGTGTGAGCCACCGTGCCCAGCCCAAGAATTCCCTTTCTAACTAGTTCCCAGGTAATGTGGTCTGGGGAGCACACTTTGAAAACAACTGGTTTAAATTATTAGAACTAAGAACCTTGTAGGTGAATAAAATAAAGCTAGATAACTAACCTATGCAACCTGATTAGCAATCTAAGGTTCTTTTCATTGTTGAAATTCACTTACTGTGTTCTCTACATTTTATGTATTTTTAGGACTACATAACACATTTTTGTTCAATTCAATAGACAAGTTTTGAGCACCTGAATAAAGCATATTCCTTGACTTACAGAAGTCTACTCTTACTAGGTAAAAAGAGACTCACGGTCAAATACAGACTTGTGCCACTTAACGGCATTTCACTCAACAACTGTATATGTGACGGTGGTCCTATAATAATACTATAGTTTGGCCAGGCGCGGTGGTTCACGCCTGTAATCCCAGCACTTTGGGAGGCTGAGGCAGGCGAATCACAAGGTCAGGAGATAGAGATTATCCTGGCCAACATGGTGAAACCCCGTCTCTACTAAAATACAAAAAATTAGCCGGGCATGGTGGTACATGCCTGCAGTCCCAGCTACTCAGGAGGCTGAGGCAGAAGAATCACTTGAACCTGGGAGGCAGAGGTTGCAGTGAGCCGAGATCGCACCACTGCACTCCAGCCTGGGCGACAGAGCTGAGACCCCTTCTCAAAAAAAGACCCAATCATATGCCAGTAAGTCCTTCCTTAGACCCAGAATCATACCCAATTACCTACTCAACAGTTCTACTGTGATATTTCACAAGCACTTCTCATTTAACCTTTTCAAGTTTTCTCAAAACTGAACTTATGCTCCTTTGCTCAGTCCCCAAACCTGCTCTTCCTTCAGTGTACCCTATTTCAATAAAAGAACTGTATTATAAGCCATGCACTAGGAAAACTTGGGAGTCATACTTATATTTACCTCCTTTACACTGACCCTCAAAACATTCAATGAAAAGTCCCATGATTCTATTTCATATATAGTTCTCATAGAATCAATCATAGAATCTCAATCATAGAATCAATCTCCTCTCTAGTTCTGTCAGCACTCAACCATACCACATCATTGTCTTACCTGAACCAATATAATAGCCTCCTAATTAATCTCCCTAAATCTATTCTTGCCCTCTCCCTGACCCTTTCTCTACATTGCAACCACTGACATTGGTCCAAACGCATTACTACTCTGCTGAACTTCTGCCTTCCCAATGGCTTCAGGATAATGCCCTATTTGATCTGACCTGTCTACCTTGTCAAGAATTTTAACTCTCTCCTTCACTTATGTTTCTTCAGTTACAATGGCTTTTTTGGTGTTTTGTTTAGTTGGTTGGCTTAGCTGGTTGGCAGGTTTCTCAAACATGTCAAATTCTTTCCAACCTTAAGAGTTTCTGCATGTGCTAATCACTCTGCATCTTTGCCTGGTTACCTCCTAGTCACCCTTTAGGTCTCAACTTCAAAGCCTCTCTCAGGAAAGTGTTCTCTAATGTTTCTATCTACTACTGAAGTCTAGATTAGCTCACTCTATCATATACTGTTACTGCAGCCTATGTTTACCTTTGTAGCCCTTTGTGTAACTGTAATTAACATTACTAGTATTTGTTTAATGTCTGACTTTTCCACCAGACCAGAAGCTCCATGACAGAGGGACCATACCTGTTTTATCCATTACTGTAAGCCAGAGCGCCCTACATGGTATCTGAACATGGTTAAATGCTTAGTATTATTTTCTCATTCCTACCTTAGGACTTTGCATTGCCTGTTCCCTATACCTAGGGCCCCAGACCTGGTCCCCAGAACCCCTGAACATCACAAGATTGGCTGTTCATCACTCAGGTCTCAGTACAAAATGCCACCTTCTCAAGAAGCCTTTCACTGATCACTCAATCTCAAGGAATTCTCCATCCTACAAGTATCTCATCATCCTTGTAATTTCTTCAAAGCACTCAGCATTATCTGAAACCACAGCATTTAGAAGACCCAAATAAAATGCTTAGTACAACATAAGCACTCAACAAACATTTGTTTAAGTGAATGAATCTCCTGAATGAGAACAGATGACTTGGGAAACACCCTCAATTCATCAGTGAAACATTTATAAACTGTGTCCCAACAAAGTTGATGAAGAGGCAGTATAACTTAAGTATGCTCTGGAATCACCAGACTGTTTACTTTGAATCCTGGCTCTGTCCCTTAACTGGATAATCTGAGACACTTAACTGCACTTTGGATCTGTTTCCAAAACTTTAAAATGGGAGTCAAAGAATCCATTTCAAAGGGTTCTTGAGAATTAAATTAGTGAGTATATCGAAAATGCCAGTACCAAGCACACAGTACACATTCAATCAATGTGTGCTATTATCCATGAGATTGGGTTTTTATCTCCTACTTTCAAATATGCAGTGTGACTTTTCCTTTACCTTATCCCCCAAAAATGGTTTCTGGCCTGGTGAAAAAATCAGATATTAAACAAACACACTAGTAACGTTAATTATAGTTACACAAAGGCAACAAAGGTAAACACAGAATGCAATGAAAGTATATGATAGGATGAGCTATCTAGAATCTAGACTTCAGTAGTGGGTAGAAACATCAGTTCATAGTTCTACAGGGTGTGCACCATTGAATTCCAAGGGCATCTTTATTCACATAGATTAAGATATGTGAATGGCAACTTTTGGGATTACCCAACATGTAGCACTGTCCACAAGTTCTGGCAACCCCAAGAATGGTGATGATCAAAAGACTAAGATGGTGATGATCAAAAGACTAAAATGACAAAAAGACACAAGAGACAAAGAAGTACTTTGCAAACTATAAAACTACTATAAAACGATCACTACATTTATGAATATATATTATCTTGAGGTCACTCTCAGAAACGAGTCATTTACGCAGATTACTGCCTTGACAAACAAAAAAGTTGCTAACGTCTGTGATCCAGGATCTAAAGAGATGAATTAAGGCTGAGGGCCACAACCAGCTCATGAGGCAGTTTTTCAGAGTGATCATGCGGTCTTCAGCTACAGGGCAATTAAAAATATTTTAACATTTGCTCACAACAGCACCACAACTTTTATCTCATTTCCCTATCCTTCAAAGAGAGTATCAAAAGGAAATCTGTGCTGGGCGCGGTGGCTCACGCTTGTAATCCCAACACTTTTGGAGGCCGAGGCAGGTGGAACGAGGTCAAGAGATCGAGACCATCCTGACCAACATGCTGAAACTTTTTCTCTACTAAAAATACAAAATTAGCTGGGCAGGGTGGTGCATACCTGTAATCCCAGCTACTCGGGAGGCTGAGGCAGGAGAATCGCTTGAACCCAGAAGGCGGAGGTTGTGGTGAGACGAGATCGCGCCATTGCACTCCAGCCTGGGCAACAAAAGTGAAACTCCGTCTCAGGGGGAAAAAAAAAAAAGAAAATCTTATCTGCTGTAGCTTAATGACTGATGTCTAGACAGTGAATGCTTATGTTACCGAAATAAGTTGATCTTTGCGTATGTTAAAAGGAGTAAAGAAAATATGCAACTGGGTTGAGGATTGTCATGACCATGAAGTTAGTTTTGTGAAAATTCAACAACAGAAAAAGGGCTTCATGCTTACTTTTGCAAAGCATGATGTGGGAAACACAATGTGAGACTGCTTTTGAGATGTTTTGTGTTAGATTTATCTAAAATTCAAGGCCAGGTGAGGTGGCTCACACTTGTAATCCCAGCACTTTGAGAGGCTGAAGCAGGTGGATCACCTGAGGTCAGAAGTTCGAGACCAGCCTAGTCAACGTGGCGAAATCCTGTCTCCACTAAAAATATAAAAATTAGCTGGGCGTGGCGACGCATACCTGTAATCCCAGCTACTCAGGAGGCTGAGGCAGGAGAATCACTTGAACCCAAGAGGCAGAGGTTTAAGTGAGCCGAGATCGCACCACTACATTCCAGCCTCGGCAACAGATTGACTGTCTCAAAAAAAAAGTAAATAAATAAATAAAACTTTAAAAAATAAAATTATAAAATGAATAGCAGATAATCAGGACGGAAACATGCAACCTATCTACTGGGTATTTCCCTTTACATCAGGGTTTGTCAACCTTGTACTACTGACATTCTGGACCTGTTCATTCATCGTAGTTAGGGCTGTCCTGTGCACTGCAGAATGCTTTAGCAGCATCCCTAGCCTCTACTCATTAAATACCAGTAGCACTACCCCAGTCTGACCATCAGAAATGTCCACTGCTAAATGTTTCCTTGGGGGCAAAATCATCCCCAGTTGAGAATCTGCTTTAAATCTTCTAGTATCTCCAACTGTCTAAAGCCTCATCCACTCATATTCTCTCCTCAAAGTTTCAAAAAATCTTTCCCCCAGTCTTCCTGGTAATCCAAGCTAAATCCCAAAGTCTACCTTAGTATTTCATTTGTCTTTGCCTTCAAAATCCTCAGAAAGCACACTGTACAACTTCAACAAGGACAGGTCAGTTTTCTTGTTTAAAACCACAGTTGGTGCCGGGCATGGTGGCTCACGCCTCTAATCCTAGCACTTTGGGAGGCCGAGGTGGGAGGATCACGAGGTCAGGAGTTTGAGACCACTCTGACCAACATGGTGAAACCCTGTCTCTACTAAAAATACAAAAATTACCTGGGTGTGGTGGCGCAGGGCTGTAAACCCAGCTGGCTGAGGCAGGAGAATCGCTTGAACCTGGGAGGCGGAAGTTATAGTAAGCCGAGATGGCGCCACTGCACGTCAGCCTAGGAGCCAGAGACTCTGTCTCAAAAAAAAAACCACAGTTGGAAGCCGGGTGCGGTGGCTCACGCCTGTAATCCCAGCACTTTGGGAGGCCGAGGTGGGCAGATCACCTGAGGTCAGGAGTTCAAGACCAGACTGGCCAACATGGCAAAACCCCGTCTCTACTAAAAATATAAAAATTGGCCGGGCGTGGTGGTGGGAGCCTGTAATCCAAGCTACTGGAGAGGCTGAGACAGAAGAATCACCTGAACCCAGGAGGCAGAGGTTACAGTGAGCAGAGATTAGGCCACTGCACTCCAGCCTGGGCAACAGAGTGAGATTCTGTCTCAAAACAAAAAATAAAAATAGGCCAGGCACGGTGGCTCACACCTATAATCCCAGCCCTTTGGGAGGCCAAGGCGGGTGGATCACTTGAGGTCAGGAGTTTGAGACCAGCCTGACCAACATGGTAAAACACCATCTCTACAAAAAAAAACACAAAATTAGCGCAGTGTGGTGGCGCACGCCTGTAATCCCAGCTACCTGGGAGGCTGAGGCAGGAGAAGTGCTTGAACCCTGAAGGCGGAGATTGCACTGAGCCAAGATAGCACCATTACACTCCAGCCTGGCCAACAAGAGTGAAACTCCCTCTCAAAAAATAAATAAATAAATACGAATAAAAGCACAATTGGTAAGAGACTTGATACTAAAACTCAAGGCTCAACATCCCCAATTAAGTACTCTTCTCTATCATAACATGCTGCTATCCATCAGTTACAAAGTTTAGTCAGTCCTTCACTGCCAATGTGTCTTGCTTCTATCTCTTCCTTTCCATTTCTACCTATAACCCACAGCAATGGTTCTCAAACTTTTGCGTGGATCAAAATCACCTGTCTTGTTAAAACACAGATTGCTAGGCCCCAACTCCAGAGTTTCTGGTTCAGTAAGTTTGGGGTGGGGCCCAAGAATTTGCATTCTAATATGTTCCCAGACACTCAGTTAATGCTCATGCTGCTAATGAGAGACCTACACTTTGAAAACCACTGCCTTAAGAGTTCAGGGTTCCTGTCACCTCAAAAGGCAAGCTATTTGAATTTCTTTCTAGACCACCCCGACCTGAAACTGGAGACATTACTCCCAAAATGCCACTTTGGCCAAATCACTGTTATATTAAAAACAAACTGGCTGGACGCAGCGGCTCATGCCTATAATCCCAGTACTTTGGGAGGCCGAGGCAGGCGGATCATTTGAGGTCAGGAGTTCCAGACCAGCCTGGCCAATAATAGTTGAGACCCCGTCTCTACTAAAAATACAAAAAATTAGCCGGGCGTGGTGGCACGTGCCTGTAATCCCAGCTACTTGGGAGGCTGAGGCAGGAGAATCGCTTGAACCCAGGAAGCGTAGGTTACAGTGAGCCGAGATCGTGCCATTGCACTCTAGCCTGGACATCGCAGTGAGACTCCATATCCAAAAAACAAAAAAAACAAAACTTCTAATGGCTATGTCCATACTTGGCTTTCAAAGTTGTTTAAAATTTCTACCCAACGTTATCAGCAGTGCCCCTCAAAAGACACCACCTACTTCAGTCTGCTCATCTATCAGAGATCCACAGAATAGGCCTTATAGTAGTAGTATAAAGCTTATGCTGTCTTTACCACCTGAAAGGCCACCCTCTTCCCTCCTCCTCTCTACCTACCTGAAGGAGGCCTTCACCAATGTATTTGCCAAAAACATTCGTTTGGTCACTATTTGCTGCCTTTTATCTTTAGGGTTTAACTTTTTACCAAGTACTCACAGACAGAGAAAAACCCCAAGAACCTAAAATTTAAAACAGAAAACAAGGATATGAGTGACATACATAAATAAAAGCCTTGACATACACACAAACTGCACAATACTGCCGTTTTAACAGATCAAGTGCAATAAGTTCAAAGTTCATGAAAAGAAAGAATGTGCCATCTTTGTTTGAAACATAATCAAACACTGGCTATCAAATATTTATAGCTATCTAATTCAGGATGTTAAGCAGACAGACGTTAGCAAGAAAATGTTAAAGTAGGCGGAAAGTCGTGGCTCATGCCTGTAATCTCAGCATTCTGGGAGGCCAAGGCAAGTGGATCACCCGAGGTCAGGAGTTCCAGACCAGCCTGGCCAATATGGTAAAACCCCATCTCTACTAAAAATACAAAAATTAGCCAGGCGTGGTGGCACACGCCTGTAATCCCAGCTACTAAGGAGGCTGAGGCAGGAGAATTGCCTGAACCTGGGAGGCAGAGGTTTCAGTGAGCCAATATCGCACCACTACACTCCAACCTGGGCGACAAGAGCGAAATTCCATCTCAAAAAAAAAAAAAAAAGAAAAGAAAACACTAAAGTAGCCTCAAAAGAGAGAAAGTACTCAGCCTACACACCGTGGAGTAAGAGTGTTATTATTATTATTTTTTTGAGACGGAGTTTCGCTCTTGTCACCCAGGCTGGAGTGCGACGGTGAGATCTCAGCTCACAGCAACCTCCACCTCCCAGGTTCAGGCGATTCTCCCACCTCAGCCTCCCGAGTAGCTGGGACTACAGGCGTGCACCACCATGCCCAGCTAATTTTGTATTTTTAGTAGAGATGGGGTTTCGTCATGTTGGCCAGGCTGGTCTTGAACTCCTGACCTCAGGCAATCTGCCCGCCTCGGCCTTGCAAAGTAGTTGGGATTACAGGCGTGAGCCACTGCACCCGGCCTGTTTTCTGTATAAAGTACACAAGAGACGTTGGATGGTATGAGAGAAGAAACCTGGGAGTTTGGAGTCAGGGTACCTGAGTTCAAGGTCTGGTTTCACCTCTTACCGACTCTGTGATCTTGGGCAAGTCATGGCCCCTCCCTGGGCCTCTCTCTCCATAATTAAAAAAAAAAAAAAAATCAAGGTTTAAAACGATACCATCTACCTTCCAGGGTTGTTTTGAGAATTAAATAAGGTAATATATATGAAAGAACCTAGCCTACTATCTGGCATATAATAAATGTTTACTGAATTTTAACCCTTTTTGATGTGAAAGTGCAATGCAAAAATAAAGTATTATTCCAAAAGTGAGATAAACAGAGAAAATTAATGAAACCTAATTAAGAGTGTCCGTTACCCCCCCAAAATAGAAAGATACAAAGAATGTATGTCTATCTACATGATATACATAATGTATCAATTCCTTGACTTAATAACCAAAACCAAGACCCGAGAATAACACAAACATCATCACTTGCAACTTCACAGCTTTAAGGCTGTCTAAAGGTCAGCAAAACCTAGGCACAGTTTAGGACAGGATTAGAACAGGAGAGCTTAAGGCCGGGCATGGTGGCTCACGCCTGTAATCCCAACACTTTGGGAGGCCGAAGTGGGCGGATCACTGGAGGTGAGGAGTTTGAGACCAGCCTGACCAACATGGTGAAACCCTGTCTCTACTAAAACAATATAAAAATTAGCCAGGTGGTAAAGAGCAGTCAGGTGCACCTGTGAGGAAGTCAGGTGCCGTGACTCAGACTCGAGTAAACACGAAGTATGAGTTCAACCCAGAAAACTGCTCTCTCTTGGGTTTTGCAAACTTGTCAGAAATAAATCACTAACTTTAGAAAGCTTTGGTGCAAGAAAAAAAAAAAAATTAGCCAGGTGGGGTGGCGGACGCCTGTAATCCCAGCTACTAGGGAGGCTGAGGCTGAAGAATCACTTGAACCCGGGAGGCGGAGGTTGCAGTGAGCAGAGATCGCACCATTGCACTCCAGCCTGAGTGACCACAGTGAAACTGTCTCACAAAAGAAAAAAAAAAAAAGAATAGGAGAGCTTAAAATTCAGACTAAACTTTAATTTTTTTAATTTTTTTTTTTGAGACAGAGTCTCTGTCGCCCAGGCTGGAGTGCAGTGGCACGATCTCGGCGTACAGCAACCTCTGCCTCCCGAGTTGAAGCGATTCTCCTGTCTCAGCCTCCTGGGTAGCTGGGATTACAGGCATGTGCCACTATGCCCGGCTATTTTTCTTTTTCTTTTTTTTTTTTTTTTTGAGATGGAGTCTCGCTCTGTCACCCAGACTGGAGTGCAGTGGCGTGATCTGGGCTCACTGCAAGCTCCGCCTCCCGGGTTCACACCATTCTCCTGCCTCAGCCTCCTAAGTAGCTGGGACTACAGGCGCCCACCATCACGCCCGGCTAATTTTTTGTATTTTTAGTAGAGACGGGGTTTCACCGTGTTAGCCAGGATGGTCTCGATCTCCTGACCTTGTGATCCGCCCGCCTCGGCCTTCCAAAGTGCTGGGATTACAGGTGTGAGCCACCGCGCCCGGCCTATGCCCGGCTAATTTTTGTATTTTTAGTAGAGACGGGGTTTCACCATGTTGGTCAGGCTGGTCTTCAACTCCTGACGTCAAGCATTCCACTGGCCTTGGTCTCCCAAAGTGCTGGGATTACAGGCCTAAGTCACTGTACCTAGACAGACTAAACTTTTAAAATCAACTAGACACTTTATTATTTGTTCTAAATGGTCCAAATACCAAACATCATCAATGTGGTAGTCTGACATGTGTGCTACACATACGTTTTTATTTGTTATAGTTTAGGTCTCTGTTTCTTATCTACACTGCAAGACCCAATATCCAGATATCCTCCTCATCCCTACCTGCCAAAGTGTCCTCCATTCTAATTTATTCATTTTTTTAGAGACAGGGTCTTGCTCTGTAGCCCAAGCTGGAGTGCACTGGCACAGTCATAGCTCATCACAGCCTTAAGCCCCTGGGCTCAAATGATACTTCTGCCTCAACCTCCTGGGTAGCTGGGACCACAGGTGAGAGCCACTGCATCCAGACCCTCCTCCACTCTAGTGGCTTAATCCTAGCATTCAAGAAAATTGGTAGCAAAGAAGAGCATATATCCAGGCTTTCAACAATATCAACAAATACTTATTCAGCACTTGCTATGTGTTAGGCCCTATTTGAAGCATCTAGCACACAGCATAAACAAAAACAAAGCCCCAACTCTCAAGAAGCTTATACTCTAGTGGAAAGCTATACACAAAGTACAGTAGTGATTAATGCTCAGCAAAATAAAACAACAGAAAATAATAGGGCTTAAATTTAATCCTCATTCTAGGGGCCCAAAATATAGCTTACTGTGGAAGACTGATGTATAAGAATAAAAAATTAGTTGTCATTATCTGCATTTTTGAATCACCCAAAAATGGTCAAGTTTTTCCTACATTATTAGGAGGGAGGCCGCAACAATGAGACCAGTGCACTCTCTACCAACACAGACTAAAGACTAAATCTCATAAAATAATTAGAAATAAACTAATTCAACAATGTAGACCACATATAATTTTTTCTAGCTAACATTATACTTTCATACTAGAAAAAAAAAAGGCTTAAAATAAATATTCTATTTTATCTAGTCCATTCTCAGTCAGAAAGACCTCAGAGTGGGAACGGGTCCAGGCGCAGTGGCTCACACTTATAATCCCAGGAGCTGGGGAGGCTGGAGAGGCCTCCAGGCAGGAGAGAGGATCACTTAAGCCCAGGAGTTCGAGACCAGCCTGGACAACACAGTGAAAACCTGTCTCTAGAAAGAATTTAAAAATAAGCCAGGTGTGGTGGCATGTATCTGTGGTACCAGCCACTCAGGAGGCTGAGGTAAGAGGATCACTTGGGGAGGCTGATGCTGCAGTGGTAGTGCCATTGCACTCCGGCCTGGGCAACAGAGCAAGACCCCGCCTAAAAAAAAAAAAAAAAAAAAAAAAGGCCGGGTGTGCTGGCTCACAACTGTAATCCCAGCACTTTGGGAAGCCGAGGCAGGCAGATCGCCTGCCTGAGGTCGGGAGTTTGAAACCAGCCTGGCTAACATGGTGAAACCCCGTCTCTACCAAAAATACAAAATTAGCCGGGCATGGTGGTGCATGCCTGTAATCCCAGCTACTCAGAGGCTGAAGCAGGAGAATCGCTTGAACCCAGGAGAGGGAGGTTGCGGTGAGCCCAGATTGCGTCATAGCACTCCAGCCTCGGCAACAAGAGCAAAACTCCATCTCAAAATAAATAAATAAATAAATTAATTAATTTAAAAAAGATAATCTGGTAATCGCTGCTGAATTTGGGGAGGCACTTTCAAAGGTAAACCAAGGAAAGGTGGGACTATTGCCAGAGTTTCAGTGGCCGCAGTTCCTTGTAACAGATAAATGATTTAGCTATTTCATAATTATATGTAAGACAGGTTAACAGGATTGAACATGCGATAATAACATCTTTTAGAAAAGCTCTCAATTTCTTATTTTTTATTTTTTTTTGCTAGGTGAAAGTGCTAAAAACTCTCAATTTCATCAAGATTGACAAGCACACCAGGCATAGTGGCTCACACCTGTACTCCCAGCACTTTGGGAAGCCAAGGTGGATCGCTTGAGTCTGGGAGTTCAAGACCAGACTGAGCAAAAAAAACCAGACCAGCCTGAGCAGCCCGAACAGGGATAGCCTGCCTTTACAGAAAAAATTAAAAATTAGCCAGGCATGGTGGCACATGCATGCCTGTAGTCCCAGCTACATGCTGAGATGGGAGGACCACTTGAGCCAGGCGGTTGAGGCTACAAAGAGGAATGATCACACCACTGCACTCTAGCCTGGGCAACGGAGTGAGACCCTGTCTCCAAAAAGAAAAAGAAATACAGAAATAAATCATTGTTACCTCAGAACAACCCACCCCAGCATCAAAAGGAAGCTTCTATCCCTCCCACTTGAGTACCTTCTCAGGTATACAAACTTGCATCAGAGTTCTGGCTTTGTTCTGGCAATCAATATACAAAAGTACTAATATTTTCATTACCTAAAAAAAATTAAGTCTTACTTAAGAGAAGCCAAACATTGTTTATCCACCCTTGTCATTTCCTAGCTGTTCCACTCCAACACTGCAGAATATTCTGGTTCCAAGTTCCAGAAAGTGTAGCTTATATTCCAAATCTACACATACACACCATCTTCAAAGGTGCATTTCTTTTCCACACGTAATAGGTAAATAATGAAGCTTGGCAAAAAATACTTTTTTTTTTTTTTTTTTTGAAATGGAGTCTCGCTCTGTCGCCCAGGCTGGAGTGCAGTGGTGTGATCTCAGCTCACTGCAACCTCCACCTCCCGAGTTCAAGCAATTCTCCTGTCTGAGCCTCCTGAGTAGCTGGGACTACAGGCGCCTGCCACCACATCCGGCTAATTTTTGTATTTTTAGTAGAGACAGGGTTCCACCTTGTTGGTCAGGCTGGTCTCAAACTGCTGACCTCAGGTGATCCACCCGCCTCAGCCTCCCAAAGTGCTGGGATCACAGGCATAAGCAACCGCACCCGGCCAAAAAACAATCTGTGTGTGAGAAACGGGGGTCTATGTTGCCCAGACTGGTCTCAAACTCCTGGGCTCAAGTGATCCTCCCTCCCTGGCCTCCCGAAGTGCTGGGAATATAGGTGTGAGTCACCATAACTGGCAAAAGACAATTTTTTTAAACTAGTTATTCCATTTTTTTTTTTTTTTTGAGACGGAGTTTTGCTCTTGTTCCCCAGGCTGGAGTGCAACGGCATGATCTCAGCTCAGCACAACCTCTGTCTCGCGGGTTCAAGCGATTCTCCTGCCTCAGCCTCCTGAGTAGCTGGGATTACAGGCATGCGTCACCACGTTCGGCTAATTTTGTATTTTCAGTAAAGACGGGGTTTCTCCATGTTGTGTCAGGCTGGTCTCGATCTCCCGACCTCAGGTGATCCACCCGCCTCAGCCTCCCGAAGTGCTGGGATTACAGGCGTGAGACACTGTGCCTGGCCTTTTTTTTTTTTTTTTTTTTTGAGGTGAAGCCTTGCTCAGTCACCCATGCTGGAGTGCAATGGTGCAATCTCAGCTCACTGCAACCTCTGCCTCCCGGTTCAAGTGATTCTCCTGACTCAGCCTCCTGAGTAGCTGGTATTACAGGCGCCCTACACCACGCCCGGCTAATTTTTTTTTTTTTTTTGAGATGGAGTCTCACTCTGTCGCCCAGGCTGGAGTGCAGTGGCGCAATCTCTGCTTAGTGCAACCTCCACCTCCCAGGTTCAAGCGATTCTCCTGCCTCAGCCTCCCAAGTAGCTGGGATTACAGGCACGCACCACCACCCCCAGTGCCCAGCTAATTTTTGTATTTTTAGTAGAGATGGGATTTCACCATGTTGGCCAGGCTGGTCTCAAACTCTTGACCTCAGGTGATCCTCCTGCCTATGCCTCCCAAAGTGATGGGATTTCAGGTGTGAGCCACCACACCCAGTCCTTAACTAGTTATTTCTGATTTTTTTTTCCCCCCAAAAAATGACTTGTTGGGAGGCCAAGGCGGGCAGATCGTTTGAGCCCAGGAGTTCAAGACTAGCCTTGGGAACACGGCAAAACCCCACCTCTACAAAAAATACAAAAATTAACCAGGCATGGTGGCACAGGGCTGTAGTCCTAGCTACCTGGGAAGCTGACGTGGGAAGATCACTCGAGACCAGGATGTCGAGGCTGCAATGACCTATGATCATGCCACTGCACTCTAGACTGGGCGACAAAGACCCCTATCTCAAATAAAAAAAAAAGAAAAAAAAAAAAGAAAGTTCCCTCCAGGCTGGGTGCGGTGGCTCAAGCCTGTAATCCCAGCACTTTGGGAGGCCGAGGCAGGCGGATCACGAGGTCAGCAGATCGAGACCATCCTGGCTAACATGGTGAAACCCCATCTCTACTAAAAAATACAAAAAAAAATTAGCCGGGTGTGGCGGCGGGCGCCTGTAGCCCTAGCTACTCGGGAGTCTGAGGCAGGAGAATGGCGTGAACCCGGGAGGTAGAGCTTGCAGTGAGCCAAGATCGAGCCACTGCACTCCAGCCTGGGCGACAGAGCAAGACTCTGTCTCAAAAAAAAAAAAAGAAAGAAAAAGAAAGTTCTCTCCAAATAGATGATGTGTCCTCTTACACAAACACTGCTAAGATAGCACATTAAACAAAAGAAAACATATGCTAGTTAAGGGTTAATGTATGCAACAAGTACCAATCACCTTACAACTTAAAGAAAAAAAGAAAAAAAAAAATCTTGCCAAGACAAAAGTCAAGAGTACTTGACTCTCCTTCCCACTATTCCTCCCTACCTTGTTTAAAAAAAAAAAAAAAAAAAAAAAGTGGGCCAGGCACAGTGGCTCGCACCTGTAATCCCAGCACTTTGGGAGGCCGAGGTGGGTGATCATCTGAGGTCAGGAGTTCGACACCAGCCTGCCAATATAGCGAAACCCCGTCTCAACTAAAAATACAAAAAAATTAGCCGGGCATGGTGGCAGGCGCCTGTAATCGCAGCTACTTGGGAGGCTGAGGCAGGAGAATCATTTGAACCTGGGAGGCAGAGGTTGCAGTGAGCCAAGATCGTGCCACTGCACTCCAGTCTGGGTAACAGAGTGAGTCTCCATTTCAAAAAATATATATAAAAATAAAGTGAAGCCGGGCACGGTGGCTCACACCTGTAATCCCAGCACTTTGAGAGGCTGATGTGGGTGGATCATCTGAGGTCAGGAGTTCAAGACCAGCCTGGCCAACATGGTGAAACTCCATCTTTACTAAAAATATAAAAATTAGCTGGGTGTGGTGGTGGGCACCTGTAGTCCCAGCTACTCAGGAAGCTGAGGCAGGAGAATCACCTGAACCCGGGAGCCAGAGGTTGCAGTGAGCCCTGATAGTGCCATTGCACTCCAGCCTGGGCAACAGAGCGAGACTCAGTCTCAAAACAAACAAACCAACAAACAAACAACAACAACAAAACCCAAAAGTCCAGGTCCAGTGGCTCATGCCTGTAATCTCAGCACTTTGGGAGGCCAAGACAGGCGGATCATCTGAGGTCAGGAGTTCGAGACCAGCCTGGCCAACAAGGTGAAACTCAGTCTTTACTAAAAATACAAAAATCAGCCAGGTGTGGTGGTAGGCACCTGTAATCTCAGCTACTCGGGAAGCTGAGACAAGAGAATCACTTGAACCCAGGAGGAAGAGGTTGCAGTAAGCAGAGATAGTGCCATTGGACACCAGCCTGGGTGACAAGAGTGAAACTCCGTCTCAAAAAAAAAAAACAGTTAAAAGTTTTGCTTGCTGGAAAGGCTCTTCCTTTAAAGTCTGGACTGCAAAATTCCTTAGATACCTAACTAACAACTTGACATGATAAAAGTGAATTCCATATAGCAATAACTACCTGGGAAAGGAGTTTTATGGCATCATCTCTTTTTCTGTTCCCAAAGAAAAGTTAAATTCAAGAAATGTAAAAATAAAAATAAATCCCAACGATACAATATTCTACTACAGATATGCTTAATTTCTACAAAGTTAGAGATAAAGAATTATAATCTCAACACATGAACTGGGAACAAGACAAATCTCTGAAATTAGGCTCACCGGAATATATGCATGCTGAATATATACTTCCCAATACACACCAAACCTTTCTAGCAGTCACAAAAAAAAAAAAAAAAAAAAAAAAAAGCCAGGTACTGTGGCTCACGCTTGTTAATCCCAGCACTTTGGGATGCCAAGGTGGGAGGATCGCTTGAGGCCAGGAGTTCAAGACTAGGGTGGGCAACATAGCAAGACCCCGTCACTAAGAAAAAAAAAAGTCTGAAAATTACCCTGGCATGGTGGCACACGCCTGTAGTCCCAGCTACTCAGGAGGCTGGAATGGAAGATTGCTTGAGCCCAGGAATTTGAGGCTACAGTGAGTTATGATCACATCACTGAACGTCACCCTGGGCAGAGCAAGATCCTGTCTATAAAAATAAAAATAAAAGGCCAGATGCAGTGGCTCACACCTGTAATCCCAGCACTTTGGGTGGCCGAGGCGGGCAGATCACAAGGTCAGGAGATCGAGACCATCCTGGCTAACACAGTGAAACCCCGTCTCTACTAAAAGTACAAAAAATTAGCTGGGCGTAGTGGTGGGCGCCGATAGTCCCAGCTACTCGGGAGGCTGAGGCAGGAGAATGGTGTGAACCCAGGAGGCGGAGCGTGCAGTGAGCAGAGATTGCGCCACTGCACTCCAGCCTGGGCAACAGAGCCAGACTCTGTCTCAAAAAATAAATAAATAAATAAATAAATAAATAAATAAATAAATAAATAAAAATAAATAAAAAATAGGCCATGGCCAGGCGCGGTGGCTCACGTCTGTAATCCCAGCACTTTGGGAGGCCAAGGTGGGTGGATCATGAGGTCAGATCGAGATCATCCTGGCCAACATGGTAAAACCCTGTTCTCTACTAAAAATACAAAAATTAGCTGGACGTGGTGGCACATGCCTACAGTCCCAGCTACTTGCAAGGCTGAGGCAGGAGGATCACTTGAACCCAGGAGGTGGAGGCTGCGGTGAGCTCAGATCACGCCACTGCACTCCAAGCGTGGGCGACAGAGTGAGACTCAATCTCAATAAAAATAAATAAATAATAAAGAAGTCTCTTCTCAAAAAGAGTAAGGATCACTAGAAAATGTATTCGAGAACCATTCTTTTTCTCCTAAATTCAGTCTAAAATGCAGAGCCAAATAAAACCACCATAAATTCCTTTAGTAATCTTCTAGGCCTTTCAGGTCAGCAAATTTCACATACTACATACAATTCTGTCGCTTTCCTCATAGCCCACTCTTCAAACACAAATTCAGATTTTTATTAATACTGTGAGACTACTAATAAAGCTCTCTTTGGCTAAGAAAAACAAAAATTGAATTCTTAAAACTCCAATAGGGAAACCTTACGAGGAAAGCATGGCTTAAAGGATCCAAGTGTTCATATACAGATATAAGCCAATCCTTTCAAATCATGTCTAAAATTTCTTTCAACAAGATCTATCTCGTACATTCCTCCCAAAACACAGAACTTTATCAGCATCCAGTATTCTACCTACTTGTCTTCAATCAATCCCAACAACCCTTCAAAGCTACCAAAATGTTAATTTATAAAATAAAAGAAAATAATCCATAGTTCTCCCCGCTCAAAGTCACAAATCCTGGGACAACAAAATCTTAAAAAACGTATTGAACTATCCTTCCTCAAACAGCTTTGCCCCCAAAATTTATATTCTAATCTAACGTAATCAGATGTATTACAATGTCAGTACTGTAAAATCAGGAATCTTTGTCACATTGTAATCCACAAAATCCTTTGGTATACAATGGTTTCTATAAAAGCTAAAGGCTACATATAACTCCATTTCCAAACAAGATAAATATATAAAATATAAAACATGTTTGGCCAAAAGCCAAATTCGATATTAATACACCTTTCCCCCTCCTCTGGTGCACAGAAAAGTCACCCGAAAAGTTTTAATCACAGATTCACAGTATATTCACAACTGGAAACAAAATAGTTATCCTACTTTAAAACTGGAGGGTGTGGTGGGGGGAGAAAATACTAACCAATCTCTGGCTGTAACGAATCCTTTCTTCTTCGGGTTCCATCTCTCACTCTTCTGTTGAAATTACTGTAAAGAAACCACTCCAGGGCTGCCTTCCTCTTCCTCCTTAGGAACCAGATTGCAACACTAAAGAATAATGATATAAGCAGAAATGAGAACTCATTCTCAAACTTGTGCTTTCTGTTCACGGAAAGGAGTATTTAAGGTAAGTGTTAAAGGCTCTCTGAAAAATCAGGTTCCTCTTCATGAGTTTGGGACCTTTCTGCTCTTGGGCAAGTGGTTCCATGTCATGTTCAACATTAATCACATTACAACTGTCGGAGGCCTAGACGAAACGAGATGTTGGTTTCAGTTCCTTGTGGAAGGGCCACACCACCAGTTTCTCCCCACAGGATTACAACTAGCAAGGATCTCCTTCATGGCAGCATCAGCAAGAAAAAAAAAAAGCCCAGGACTTTTATCTCCAGAGAGCTGACCAGGTGAAGCACCACTGAACTAATCCAGATCCTAACCAAATTAGTTCTCTCTCACCGGTAATCAGAAACTAAAGGAAAGAAGGGCAAACTGACTATGTAAAAAGAGGACAAAAAATTAGGATTTAAATGACCCCAAAACAATTTCCCATACCCCTCCTGTAAGGCCGTGCACAATCGTCGCCTTCCTTTCTAGACTCCCCGGATCTTATCATTCCCAAATCTACCCTCCACCCCAACACAAGATGTGCACAACTCTGAAACAAATTTCAGAGGTGCAAATCAAGGACCAAAATTCCATCTGATCTTTTTGGATAAAGTAATAAAATAAACGATTGCATCTAAGGATACAAGGAAAATACATCTTGTCCAAAAATTAAATAAAAGACCGGCCGGCGCGACGGTCAATCCGTAATACCAAGAAAGGGTTTTCTTTTTTCTAAATATTCTCGTGGATAATGGCTTCCATTGAGAACACAGGTTCCCCCCGTTTTTGTCACTACATTACAGCCACGTTAACAGCATCCTTTCAAAACTGCTACGAGACCAGAGGACCCGATGACACAGTTTGCAGAGCAGTTAGAGGCAGAGCCCTCCCGGAGGAAGCCCTGGCCCGAAGTCGGGAGGGAAACCGTGCTTGCACCCCCTGGGCGACGACCGCCTGGGCATGGAGCAGCCAGGGCCGGAGAGGAAAAAGGGCGAATCTCGCTGGGCTCCCCCAGGAAAAGGCGTTTCAATGGTTCACCCATCGGAAAAAGAGATAGAAACTTTGCATTCAGTCTTTGGATAACACAGTCAACCAAACTTCCAAATGAGGGGGGGGAGGGGGAAACTCACCGGAGATTCTGCTCTTGAGTTCTTGTCCAAGTGAGAAGTAAAAGATTCCAAAGCTGAGAGGAATAATTAAATCCCAAACGTCGTCTTCGGTTTTTCCGTGGATCAACCCAGTATCCAGAGAGGGTCAGAGCGACCAGGAAAAGGGAGCAAACAGTTGCTGAATCAAACCTTCTCTTCTGGCTTTGGAGACCGGGAGTCGGAGGCGTCAGGAGAGAGGAGCGCGACCCCTCGGCGCCGAGCCCGGGGCGCCCCCGCCTCCCCCAGGCCAGCGGTCAGCAGCCCGGGCCCGAGCCCCGGGCCGGCCCCGGCCGCAGGGAGCGCCCTCCTCGCCGTGCCCTCGGCCAGCAGGGGCTGGTCGCCTGCGGGAGCAGCGGCCGA
The DNA here is from genome assembly GCF_000001405.40 of Homo sapiens. NCBI lineage: Eukaryota > Metazoa > Chordata > Mammalia > Primates > Hominidae > Homo > Homo sapiens. The sequence continues at coordinate 67,119,671 of NC_000011.10, read as the reverse complement.
TCAGCTGAGACCGGCCGGCCCGAGGCTCCCCGCGCCGCCCCGGCCCCCCGGAACGCGGGCCCCGGCCCCGGGGGGCGGACAGGGCGGGAGCGGCGCGGCGCGCCGGGATGGGGGCCCTGGCTCCCCTCGCGTCTCCCCCTCAGGTCTGGCTCCGCGCTGCGGGACGAGCCCCCCGGCTACTCCCCAGTCGCAGAAGAGGGATTCCGGGGGATGGGCCCCCTGGCGTTGCCCCTCCTCCCGGAGCGTCCCCTGCCCAGGAAAGACAGAGCGGCCACGGGCCCAGCCGCTGGGAAGGTGCTCCGAGAGCCGCCGCCGCCGCCGCCGCTGCCGGGGAGGGGTGTTGTTTCCCTCACACAGGAGGAGCCGCTGAAGCAGCCGCCGCCATTTTGAACCCGTCAGACTCTCACATACACACAGCTCCTCCGAGGCGCACTGCGCAGGCGCCACCTCCCCACCCCTCCTCCAGCTCGCCTCTCCACCCCCCCACCCCCTTCAGGCCTCCCTGCGCTTCTTACCGCTCTCCCGGGCGCGCGTGAACGCGCACGCGTCACTCCCCTCTAACGCGGACACACCGCCGGCGCGCGCACGCGCGGATGCGTCGGCCTCGAATCGCCCGCGCCCCGCGACGCCGACGCGGCTCCCTGCGCCCCCTCGCGTCAGGCCGCCCGCCCTCCCTCCCTCCCGCCAGCCCGCCGCCCCCGCTCCCCGTCGGCGTTCTTCCAGGGCTCGGGCCTGGCTGGCTGCTCGCGCCTGCGCGCAGGGCACCGATCCTCCTCCGCGCGCCCTCCCCCCACACACCCTCACACACACTTCGCCTCTGCGACCCCGCCCCTCGCGGCCAGCTGTGCTGGCCGCCCTCCCCCACCCCCCTGGGAGGGTGGTGACCCCCGACCCCCCACAAAGCACATCACCCCCCCCAAGCAGTGGGAGATCTGCGTCCCCTTCCCCTTCAACCGCCTTTGGCCCCAGGCTGCCCGTCACAGTCACACAACCTGAGGGCCGGGAGGCCTGGGCCAGGGCAACCGATACCCGCCTCAAAGCAGGGTCTCCCGGGGTCAAGCCGCCGGGCTGGGCCCGCGGGACCTGGGCTCCCGGCTCAGGCCTGCCCAGGGCGAGAGGGCGCAGGGAAGGGGCGCATGGCCGCCGGCTGCCCTCCCTTCGCGTGCCGGCCGGTGGGCCGAGGCCGGCTTGCCCGCCATTCCCGGGCAGGCCCCGGCGCCGCCGCCACGGGGCCCGTCTGCCCTGGGCCCGGGGGCTCCTCGGTGCAGCGGCCTGGCCCCGCCTCACCCACTGCTCGTCGCTCCGAAGGGGCAGGAAACAGGAGTAGCATGTCTGTCCTGGGCTCGGCTCCCCGGGGGTGCTGCAGGCGCTTAACAAGGGCGTCCACAGGTACCAGGCGCAGAAGCGGTCTCCGCGACGGCCCGGGGGCGGTGGCGGCCGGCGCGCCCACCGCCGGCCGGAGGCGCCCGGCGAGGTGGCCCAGGAAGCCCCCGCTCCTCGGCCACGCTCAGCTTTCCGCCGCGCCGGTGCCCCCGGCGGCCCGGGTGGGACGTGACCCCGCCCCCGGCGAGTCGGGGCGCCCCCCACGGAGGGGTGCGCGGGCCGCCCCCGGCCCCCGGCCCGACCCTGCCGCCCTGGGCCGTGGCGGGCGCGGGAGGCCCGGCCGGGAAGATGTCTCCTGTTGGTGCGCGCAGCTTCGCGCGGGGGTCAGCGACGGGGCAGCAGCCGCCCGAGCTGCGCCGGCCCTGCCCACGGACCGACTCCCGCGGCCCGACAGCTGCCCGACGGGCCAGCAGGCTCCGAACGTCGACGGAGCCCGGCCGGAGGTACCCGAGCAGTGCCATGCGAGCAGCCCAGCCGCGATCCGGGCATTTCCCCAGCCAATCTCTTGCTCTGGGGCCCGTTTAAATTCTAAATCCCACAAAGGACGGTGGCTGGGGCGTTACACATCGGGGTTGGCACTATTGGCTCCACTACGCCCTTGCTGAGCGGTGTCACACAAATCTTTTTCTCCCTGCCTTGGTTTCCCACTCTTTAAGCTCTGACTCCTGGAAGCAGGGAATGGAGCAGAGAGGTAGGGCATGGAGTGAATCATATAACCTGCATAAACAGCCATCAACTCTTTCAGGAGGACGTTAGCGAGACAATTAAAATAATGATACCTTCTAATTCTATCAAGGCTTGAACTCCAAGGTAAAAGCGCTACGTAAATGCAAGGTATTATTATTTATTACCACAGAAGGTTTTTCTGCATGCACAACTTGGGGAGTTTGTACAGACATTCTCTGCTTTGTTTCACAACATCCTTAGGAGACAAGCTAAAGTGCCTGTTAGCGCTATATTCATTTTAAAGATAGACAACTGAAGTATAGAAAGGTTAAAGAGCTTGCATAATTACTCCAACAGCCGACTGAAACATCTCACAAACAGCAAAAAAGGTTTGTTAATAAGATATCATCTTCTTGCGTTCTAGTCACTGGGAAATATTCTTTATTTTGATACCAGTTTTGTTCAGACTTCTTAGATTTTCAGAGCACTGATACGAAGAAGATAATCACAGAAACTGTATCAGATCTAAAGCCTCTTTAAATCTTTCCGACTATGGTAAAGTATATTTTAAAAGCAGCAGTCTCTCACACTGGTGCTACCAGATATGGCCCCATAAGCATCTGGCTCTCTGTAGTTATAGAAAAAGTCAGCAGCTCGTTTTGTTTGTTTTTTAAGCAGGAGAGAAAGCTTTTGCCATTGTCAGATTAAGTGTTGGGCCTTGTTGCTATTTGCAAAATAAACAGCTTTATTTCCTTCCCACTCACCCTTATAACCCAGGGAATACTTGGCGGCAAAGAGAAAGTCTCTAGGAGTAGCTCAACTTGGTCTTGCCCTTTTTCTTAACATTCAGACCCCCTTAAGTAATTAACCCTCAAGGAGGTGAGTTGCACACCCTTGGCAATCAGATACCTCCAAGTTTAATTCAGATGGGCATGCTGGGAGAACCCTAGAAAGGCTTTAGAACAGGCCGGGCGCGGTGGCTCACGCCTGTAATCCCAGCACTTTGGGAGGCCAAGGCAGGTGGATCACCTGAGGTCAGGCGTTCAAGACCAGCCTGGCCAACATGGCAAAACCCTGTCTCTACTAAAAAAAAAATACAAAATTAGCCGGGCGTGGTGGTGCATGCCTATAATCCCAGTTACATGGGAGGCTGAGGCAGGAGAATCACTTGAATGCAAGAGGTGGAGGTTGCAGTGAGCCGAGATGGCGCCATTGCACTCCAGCTTGGGCTACAGAGTGAGACTCCATCTCCCCGCCCCCCCCCCAAAAAAAGGCTCTAGAACAATAATAGTAGTACTTATTTTGAATGGGACTGCCAGTAGAGCAAGATTTGTCAGATTGCAGCCAGCTCTTTTGCCGTAGGAAACCATTTGTTAACTAGTCTGCGTTGGGGGAACGGGACATTTAAACAGATATACACAATGGTTTCTCCACAGGCAGGCTTTGTTAATAATCCAGAGCAGATATATAGGGTGAGATAAGAGGTAGACAGATGGCTAGTGATTCCTCCCGCCATCACAGTGGCTCTGATTGGCAAGGACAGATCTGTGAGGCTGCATTGCCCTAAAACAGCCATTTGCAGGGAGAATAGAGCTTGGGGGATTCCCCAACTATGAACTCTCTGGCTTCAACCCTGACAATGGTATATGGGAAGAAGGAAATAAAAATGCATTCTAGAGGCATTGAGAACAGGGTCCCTGGCTGGAATAAATTGGCATCTTAATAAGATATTAATAAATCACTGCCTTTTTGAGCAAAGCTAAGACTCAACAAATGCTGAGAGTGAAAATCCAGTCACCATTTTCTTTTCTCTTATTTTCTCTTCTTTTCTTTTTTTGGGATGGAGTTTTGCTCTTGTTGCCCAGGCTGGAGTGCAGTGGCTCAATCTTGGCTCACTGCAACCTTCACCTCCTGGGTTCAAGCAATTCTCCCGCCTCAGCCTCCAAGTAGCTGGGATTACAGGCGTCCGCCACCACGCCCGGCCCACCCATTTCTTTTGGGAGACTTTAGGGTGTGAAAAGAGAACTCTTTAGTCTGGTTAAGCTAAACTATTTCCAATTTCTCCTTAAATGTTAAGGAGGAAGTAAAGATGTCCCAAACAGTGTAGGTCTAAACTAAAATAGAGAAGTTGGTTGTGAAGGTTCCCCAGGAGGTAGCATAATCAGTGGCTAAAAAGCTTTGGCCGGGCGCCATGGCTCACGCCTGTAATCCCAGCACTTTGGGAGGCCGAGGCAGGCGGATCATGAGGTCAGGAGTTTGAGACCAGCCTGGCCAACATAGTGAAACCCCGTCTCTACTACAAATACAAAAAATAGCTGAGCATTGTAGTCCCTGCCTGTAATCCCAGCCACTCAGGAGGCTGAGGCAGGAGAACCGTTTGAACCAGGGAGGCGGAGGTTGCAGGGAGCCGAGATCGCGCCACTGCACTCCAGCCTGGGCAACAGAGGGAGACTCCGTCTCAAAAAAAAACAAACAAAAAAAGAGACTGAGGTGGAGGATTGCTGGAGCCCAGGAGTTGGACTATGAACTATGACTATGCCACTGCACTTCAGCCTGAGTGACAGTGAAACCATGTCTCTAAAAAAAAAAAAAAAAAAAAAAAAGAAGGGAAGGAAGGTTTTAAGTAAAGATGCTTCAATATTTAAGAAACTTGAAGTTTTCATGTGAGTCAAGAGTTTGCATAGACATTAAGTGTGATGACTTATTCCTCGATTCTCTTCCCCCTCCCTTTTTTTTTTTTTTTTTTTTTTGAGACAGTCTCACCGTGTCACCCAGCCTGGAGTGCAATGGCATGATCTTGGCTCGCTGCAACCTCCACCTCCCGGGTACAAGCAATTCTCCTGCCTCAGCTTCCTGAGAAGTTGGGATTACAAGCACCCGCCACCATGCCTGGCTAATTTTTGTGTTTTTAGTAGAGACAGGGTTTCACCATGTTGGCCAGGCTGGTCTCAAACTCCCTGTCTCAGGTGATCCGCCCCCCTCTGCCTCCCAAAGTGCTGGGATAACAGGCATGAGCCACCACACCCGGCCCTCTTCCCTATCCTAACTCCTGGTTTCTCTCCCCGACCCCCGACCCTGGTGTCTCCGCTTTCTATTCTTCCCTCTTCCCTGACTCCAGCTGCCTCTTTCTCCTCATCACCTGCCTCCTGAAGTCTCTTTCTTTCCAGCCTTCTCTCCATCATTTGGCCCACCCCCTCCTCCATGTTCATCTCACTCTCCTGGCCCAGTATCATCTGACTGAATGGCTTTCCCACTTTCCTTTACCATCCATTTGTTGCCCTTAATCACCTCAATCCCGTGCTCTCTGATTTTGTTACTTAACCATTTCCTGAACATCTCCCTCCACCCGCACCCCCCACCCCGGGAAAAAAGAAAAAAAGAAAGAAAACTTCTTCTAGGGTTAAAGGGTGTTGGGGGGTGATTATAAGCTTTAAGTGATAGAAAGTTTTCTTTTTTTTCTTTTTTTGAGTTGGAGTCTCGCTCTGTTGCCCAGGCTAGAGTGCAGTGGCGCGATCTCAGCTCACTGCAAACTCCACCTCCTGGGTTCAAGCGATTCACCTGTCTCAGCCTCCTGAGTAGCTGGAATTACAGGTGCCCGCCACCGTGCCTGGCTAATTTTTGTATTTTTAGTAGAGACGGGGTTTCACCATGTTGGCCAGGCTGGTCTCGAATTCCTGACCTGGTGATCCACCCACCTCCGCCTCCCAAAGTGCTGGGATTACAGCCGTGAGCCACCACGCCCAGCTGAAAGTTTTCTTTCTTTTTTCTTTTCTTTTCTTTTTTTTTTTTTTTTGAGTTTGGAACCTGAATTGATCAGGGGGAAAAAAATGAAGCAGAAATGCCCTGCAGATTCTTGGATCATCAAACATGGGTGTCACATGAGGTTCTTGCATGGAATGTGGCTGACGCTTTCCTTGGGACCATGGGACCACCACCCTCCCTGGCCCCATGCTTCCTTGCTGCCATCTTTTCCAGGTATGTCACCTTCCGCTGTGCAGACCCACTGCTCCTGAGCGCTGGGGTGTACTTTGGCTGTTGGGGCAACTGCAGCAGTGTCTGGGCCCCACCTGCTCTTTAGCAGCCTTAGCTTCGCTTTGGGGCCAGGCCACCCTCATTTCTCACTTCTAAAAGGGTGGGACTTCCTGCTGTGCCCGAGAGTGGAGCTCTAAGATGCAGAGCCTGTGCCTCAGCTACACCTGTGCTTGCTGGGGGAAGTTTCTGGCACCCTGGGGTTTCAGGGTCTGTTTGCAACCTTGCACTAGATTCCCAGCTTGGGTTGGTGGTGACAGTCATACAGGGCTCCAGCCACTTCCCCAAAGGGCCAAATGCTTAAGCACTTAGACCTGTTTAGCCCCTCCCAATGAGTCTGATCTTTTTTTATCTTCTTCAAGGGCATTCGCTACCTTTCATCAGTTTCTGCTAAAGCTGGTGTTCCTTCAGCCACTTTGTGAGAGGTTCTGAACCCGTCAGAACTTCAGTTCTCTTTAATAAAACAGAGTAGGCTGGGCGCGGTGGCTTAAGCCTGTAATCCCAGCACTTTGGGAGACCAAGGCGGGCAGATCACCTGAGGTCAGGAGTTCAAGACCAGCCTGGGCAACATTGTGAAACCCTATCTCTACTAAAAATACAAAAATTAGCTGGGCGCGGTGGCACATGCCTGTATTCCCAGCTACTCGGGAGGCTGAGGTAGGAGAATCACTTAAGCCTGGGAGGCAGGCGGAGGTTGCAGTGAGCCCGAGATCGTGCCACTGCACTCTAGCCTGGGCAACAGAGCAAGACTCTGTCTCAAAAAAATATATATTATATATAATATATGTATATAAATATATATAATATATATAAAACATAATACATGTATATAAATATATATAATATATATAAAACATATATTTAAAACATATATATTTTATATATATAATGTATATAAATAAAACAGAAGTAGTGACTCCTGCCCTGTTTCCTCCTAGGATTGTTGTGGAGTGAAATGGACTAATGGACATGAATACCCTTTGGAAACTAGAAGACAACTTATTTTAGAAAGGATTTCTGAGGTCTTGCACAGTGCCTCATGCCTGTAATCCCAGCACTTTGGGAGGCCAAGGTGGGCAGATCACCTGAGGTTGGGAGTTCGAGACCAGCCTGACCAACATGGAGAAACCCCATGTCTACTAAAAATACAAAATTAGCTGGGCATGGTGGCACATGCCTGTAATCACAGCTACTTGGGAGGCTGAGACAGGAGAATCACTTGAACCCGGGAGGCAGAGGTTGCAGTGACCCGAAATCGCGCTTTTGCACTCCAGCCTGGACAACAAGAGTGAAACTCCATCTCAAAAAAAAAAAGAAAAAAAAAGGATTTCTGGTTTTCCTATTTTTAAAAAATTTTTTACTTGGTAATTTTTTTTTTCATAGAAACAGGGTCTCACTATGTTCCCCAGGCTGGTCTCGAACTCCTGGCCTCATGTGATACTCCTGCCTTGACCTCCCAAAGTGCCTGGGATTACAGGCATGAGCCACTGCACCTGGCCAGTTCTCCTATTTTAAATTTATTTTTATTTTATTGTGGTAAGAACACTTGATGTGAGATTTACCATTTTAACAAAGTTTTAAGTGTACAATGCATTGTCCAGTTTCTTTTTCTCCTACATGTAGGATTTGGGTACTTACTGAGTACACTGTGCCCAATGCTAAATTAAGTGCTTGGATAGAGAAAGGAGATTTGAAAAGTTAGAAGGCTTGACTTTTACCTTCGAAAACTTCATATCGAAGAAAGGACACCATGAAGATGTGACATACTCAGAGAACAATCATCATTCCAATGAATTGCTGGAAGATCATTTAGACCATAAGAACTGGTCTTCAAATTGCACTTGGATATAAGCCCCGTGGGGCAGGAAGTTTTGTTCATTGCTGGATTCCCCAATGCCTAGAACAGTGCCAGGCATAGTTGGCACTCATTCCTTCATATTTATTGAATCAGCCAATAAAGTAGTGCAGTGTTGCTTTTGAGGGAAGGAATATGAAGGCTGGAGAGCATTGAATCCTTGCAGAGAAGCTTGGTTTTGTGAGAGCAAGAGAGGCACATATGTTCTGGAGCAGAGAAGGTTGATGTAATAGTAATTGTTGCAGAGAAACTGTTCCTGCAGCTGTCATTGCAGCTGGAATAGAAGTGATAGAAACCAAATCCTGTACTACTGCAAACCAAGCCAGGAGGTATGTGAATCTTGGGCCAAGTTCTTCACTGTCTTTTTATTCCAGCTCCTCTTGTGATCTTGTCTTTCTGCTCCACTTACCTCTACTGTCTCCAGTTTAGGATGTTGACTTTAGAGTCCACGTCACAGTGCAACTTTTTTTATTTTGTTTTGTTTTTAGACAGGGTCTTGCTCTGGCACCCAGGCTAGAGTGCAGTGGTGCACTCTCAGCTCACTGCAGTCTCCACCTCCCAGGCTCAGGTGATCAGTCTTCCCACCTCAGCCTCCTGAATAGCTGGGACTACAGGCACATGCCACCACACCTGGCTAATTTTTGTATTTGGATTTTTAGTAGAGATGGGTTTTTGCCCTGTTGCCCTGGCTGGTCTCCAAATCCTGGTCTCAAGCTATTGGCCTGCCTCCCAAAGTGCTAGGATTACAGGCATGAGCCACTGCACGTGGCCACAAGATTTTTTTTTTTTGAGACGTAGTATCGCTCCATTGCTTGGACTGCAGTGCACTAGCGTGATCTCGGCTCACCACAGCCTCCACTTCCCAGATTCAAGCGATTCTCCTGCCTCAGCCTCCCGAGTAGCTGGGATTACAGGCGCCCACCACCATGCTCAGCTAATTTTTTGTATTTTTAGTAGAGACGTGGTTTCTCCATGTTGGTCAGGCTGGTCTCGAACTCCTGACCTCCTGCCTCAGCCTGCCAAAATCCTGGGATTACAGGCATGAGCCACCACACCTGGACTTCTTTTTTTTTGAGATGGTGTCTTGCTCTGTTGCCCAGGCTGGAGTGCAGTGGCATGATCCCGGCTCACTGCAACCTCCGCCTCCCAGGTTCAAGAGATTCTCCTGCCTCAGCCTCCCAAGTAGCTGGGACTGCAGGCACTTACCACCATGCCTGGCTCATTTTTGTATTTTCAGTAGAGACAGGGTTTCACCATGTTGGCCAGGCTGGTATCAAACTCCTGACCTCAGATGATCTGCCTGCCTCGGCCTCCCAAAGTGCTAGGATTACAGGAGTGAGCCACTGCTCCCGCTCGTTTTTGGTGTTTTTTTTTGAGACAAGGTCTTGCTCTGTTGCCCAGACTGGAGTACAGTGGAGTAATCTCGGCTCACTGTAATCTCTGCCTCCTGGGTTCAAGCGATTCTCCTGCCTCAGCCTCCCAAGTAGCAGGGATTACAGTTGCACACCACCGCACCCGGCTAATTTTTGTATTTTTAGTAGAAACAGGGTTTTACCATGTTGGCCAGGCTGGTCTCAAACTCCTGACCTCAAGTGTTCTGCCCACCTTGGCCTCCGAAAGTGCTGGGATTACAGGCATGAGCCACCGCGCCCAGACAGGAGTGCAGCTTTTGATGTGATATTATAAGCTTAATATCTCCAATCAATTATTTTTCATTATATCTCTTTAATTATAATGTACATTATATTTAAACAGTGTAACTTTAAAATGACAATATTGTTTTTTCCCCCAAAAAATGCTTGCTAAATATTTAAACTCTGAAAATGTATTTGGTCTTTACCTTCTTTCTGGCTAAATCTATTTTCACACTCTCTGGGGGACTGCAAGAAAATATTGACTGAGTTTAAGGTAAGATTTTCATGGTTTTTTTTTTTTTTGCAATTATACTTGATTTGCCACAGCTTAGAGTTCATGTTCGATTTGGTCATAATTTCTAGATCTACTTTTACTGTTGATCAAATAATCTTCCTATTGGTGAGCTTCATATCATTAACTTTCTATTCCTGCATAATGTTATTGGTGGAAGAAATGTGGGAGACCCTACATCTATACCTCATTCCTTTATTACTGGAGCTGATGACAGGATTTACCCATCTGTCTATTTATTTCATTTTTTTAAATTTTATTTTTTTATTATTATAATTCTTATTTTTTGGGATGGAGTCTCACTCTATCACCCAGGCTGGAGTGCGGAAGTGCAATCTCAGCTCACTGCAGCCTCTGCTTCCTGGGGCTTCCTGGGGGTTCACGAGGTTCTCCTGCCTCGGCCTCCTGAGTAGCTGGGTTTATAGGCGTGCGCCACCACACCTGGCTAATTTTTGTATTTTCAGTAGAGACAGGATTTCACCATGTTGGCCAGGATGGTCTCAATCTCTTAACCTCAAGTGATCCGCCCACCTTGGCCACCCAAAGGGCTGGGACTACAGGCGTGAGCCACTGCGCCCGGCCCCCTAGCTAATTTTTAAATTTTTTGTAGAGATGGGGGTCCCACTATGTTGCCCAGACTAGTCTCAAACTCCTGGCCTCATGGGATCCTCCTGCCTCAGCCTTCCAAAGGCTGGCTTGGGTTTACAGAAATGAGTCACTGTGCCTGGCCCGATATATTTTTAGTTTATATGTTTCCATGGGTGAAGGTTTATGCTTTGCGTAAATGTTGGTAGTTTCTATAATATGTCTTACTATTTTACATTTCTTTCCTTTTTTTTTTTTTTTTGACAAGGTCTTTCCTTCTGTCACCCAGGCAGGCTGGAATGCACTGGCACGATCATAGCTCACTGCAGCCTCAACCTCCTGGGCTCGAGTCCCTGTGTTGTCCCAAGCCGATCTCAAAACCCCTGACCTCAAGTGAGGCCACCTGACTTCCACACCTCATCCTCCCAAAGTGCTGAGATTACAGGGGTGAGCCACCATGCCCAGCGGTATTCAGTATTTTATTTTCTTTTTTTTGTTTGTTTTGGAGACAGAGTGTCACTCTGTTGTCCAGGCTGGAGTGCAGTGGCACAATCTCAGCTCACCGAAACCTCTGCCTCCTGGTCTTAAGCCATCCTCCCACCTCAGCCTTCCCAGTAGCTGGGACTACAGGTACACACCACCATGCCCAGCTAATTTTTTTTTTTTTTTTTTGAGATGGAGTCTTGCTCTATCACTCAGGTGGAAAGCAGCAATGGCACAATCTCTGCTCACTGAAACTTCCGCCTCCTGAGTTCAAGCAATTGTTCTGCCTCAGCCTCTCAAGTAGCTGGGATTACAGGCATGCACCACCAAGCCTGGCTAATTTTTTTTGTATTTTTAGTAGAGACAGAGTTTCACCATGTTGCCCAGGCTGATTTCGAACTCCTGACCTCAAGTGATCCGCCCGCCTCAGCCTCCCAAAGTGCTGGGATTACAGGCGTGAGCCACCACACCCAGCCAATTTTGTATTTTTTGTAGAGATGTGGTGTCACTATGTTGCCCAGGCTGGTCTCAAACTCCCAAAGTGCTGGGATTACAGGCATGAACTACCATGCCCACCACCGGAAGTATTTTCTATTTCATTTTACTATTTACTACTCATGTAATATATCCTATAATGTATTTTATGCATTTTTCTTGTCAATGAATTCAGAAAAGTGGACAAATGGAATACGCAATTCTGACTTGCCATAACATAATGTGGAATCCTCAGTGGCTTCCTTTTTCTGAAACCACATTGTGCCTCTTGATGGGACCATATTTCTTTCTTTTTTTTTTTTTTTTTCTTTGAGACAGAGCCTTACGCACTCTGTCGCCCAGGCTGGAGTGCAGTGGCGCGATATCATATCAGCTCACTGCAACCTCCACCTCCTGGGTTCAAGCAAGTCTCCTGCCATAGCCTCCAGAGTAGCTGGGATTACAGGTGCACACCACCATGCCCAGCTAATTTTTATATTTTTAGTAAAGATAGGGTTTTACCTTGTTGGCCAGCCTGGCCTGGAACTCTTGACCTTAGGTGATCCACCCACCTCAACTTCCCAAAGTGCTAGGATTACAGGCATGAGCCACTATGCCTGGCCTCCATGTGTATTTAAGTTGCTCCTTAATACACAGGCATAGGCATATAATTGTGATGCTTTTGATAGGACAATGCCCATAATTTTCACTGCTTTCTCTTTGTTCTCTGGTGTATTTCTTTTCTTTTATCTTCTTGTGTGTGTGTGTGTATGTGTGTGTGTGTGTGTGTGACAGTTTCGCCCTTGTTACCCAAGGTGGAGTGCAGTGGCGCGATCTTGGCTCACTGCAACCTCTGCCTCCTGGGTTCAAGCGATTCTCCTGCTTCAGCCTCCCGAGTAGCTGGGATTACAGGCACACACCACTGTGCCTGGCTAATTTTGTACTTTTAGTAGAGATGGGGTTTCACCATGTTAACCAGGCTGGTTTCGAACTCCTGACCTAGGTGATCCGCCCACCTAGGCCTCCCAAAGTCCTGGTATTACGGTCGTGAGCCACTGCGCCTGGCCTCTTGTTTTTGAGATGGAGTCTTGTTTTGTCACCCAGGCTGGAGTGCAGTGGCGCGATCTCGGCTCACTGCAACCTCCACCTCCCAGGTTTAAGTGATTCTCCTGCCTCAGCCTCCCAAGTAGCTGGGATTACAGGCGCCCACCACCACACCTGGGTAATTTTCGTATTTTCAGTAGAGACACGGTTTCACTGTGTTGGCCAGGTGAGTCTCAAACTCCTGACTCAAGTGATCTGCCCTCCTCAGACTCCCAAAGTGCTGGGATTACAGGTGTAAGCCACTATACCTACCCTTCTCTGGTGTATTTCTGATTAAACCTGCCATCCACTGTCTAACATTTGATTTGATTAGATCTCCATATGACCATTATTGTCAACCACAGAACACGTGCCAGGTTCTAATTTAACTTAAAGGGCCTCAAGATTTAAAACATAAGACTTGGAGCCTATCCTCAAGAAGCTTACAGTTTAATTGGAGAGAGAAACAAAAAACAAAAACAAAAAACAGCACCGTGCATATTAACCAAAGAGACAGCAGCATGACAGAACTGGCAGAGGGAAAAATGAAGGTGGTTCCTGCACAGCTTCAAGAGCAGCACCAACACTCTCCATCGTCCAAGACTTCCTGGTGTGTGTACTCAGTGCCACACTAACTTCTTCCATTTAGGGTCTGAGAGGTCCTCGTCTATTAAGGGGATAACTCTGAATCACAGAATCTTAGAGCAAGCATCGAGGGCAGAGGTCATTTAATCCTACTTGCTCATTTAAAAACTGGCAGTCTGAGGCCCAAAGATGTTAAGCAGCGTGGCCAAGGTCATGCAGCTAGTTTCGTGATGAAATTAGAACTATAAACCATGTCTTCTGATAGCTAGTCCAGTGCACTTTCTGCTACTCCCCAAATTGATGGCATTTTCTAACCACCAGATCAAATGTTCATTTATTCTTTCCTTCCCTAGAAAGAGCACCTGCCTGTGCGGGGCACTGGGATTGCAATGTGAGTGACATGAAGCCACATTGTCAGGGGGCAAGTCAGGTGAACAAAGAAATTAGCCTCTACACTGAGACACTTTCAGAAAATGAAAGGGGCTAATAATAGCTATGTGTGCATCTCGGTTGTAAACCAGGACTGAGTGCCATGATGGACATCAGGTCTATACAGGATATAGACAAGTCTCCCATTCAGGGCAACATAGTGAGACCCCCATCTTTACAATGAAAAACCAAAACAATTAGCTACTCAGGAGGCTGAGGGGGGCGGATTCCCTCAGCCCAGGAGTTCAAGACTGCAATGAACTGTGATTGTGCCACTGCACCCCAGCCTGAGTGACAGAGCGAGACCCTGTTTAAAAAAATAATAAAAATAATAATAATTAAAGACAGGGCGTGGTGGCTCACGCCTGTAATCCCAGCACTTTGGGAGGCCAATGCGGGTGGATCACCTGAGGTCAGGAGTTTGAGACCAGCCTGGCCAACATGGTGAGACCCTATCTCTACTAAAAACACAAAAAATTAGCTGGGTGTGGAGGCAGATGCCTGTAATCCCAGCTACTCGGGAGGCTGAGGCAGGAGAATCGCTTGAACCCCAGAGGCGGAGGTTGCAGTGAGCTGAGATCATGCCATTGCACTCCAGCCTGGTCAATCTATAAGAGCAAGACTCCGTCTCAAAAAAAAAAAAAAAAAAAAAAAAGCACAGTTTCCACAGGAATCTGTGAGGGCGCAAAGGTGGGAGGGGCCACTTCTGCTGTAGGGAGGAGTATCAACTCAGGGAAAGCTTCATGGAGGAAGCAGCATTTGAGCTGACTTAGTAATTACTGGTTATGGGCCGGATGCAGTGGCTTATGCCTGTAATCCTAGCACTTTTGGAGGCCGAGATGGGTGGCTCACCTGAGGTCAGGAGTTTGAGACCAGCCTGGTCAACATGGTGAAACCTTGTCTCTACTAAAAATACAAAAATTAGCCGGGCATGGTGGCGCACCCCTGTAGTCCCAGCTACTCGGGAGGCTGAGGCAAGAGAATTGCTGGAACCGGGGAGGTGGAGGTTGCAGTGAGCCGAGATTGCGCCAGTGCACTACAGCCTGGGCAATGCAGCAAGACTCCATCTCAACAAAAAAGAAAAAAGAAATTACTGGTTACAGACTGGGTGCAGTGGTTCATGCATGTAATGCCAGCACTTTGGGAAGCTGAGGAGGGTGGATTACTGGAGGCCAGGAGTTCCAGACCAGCCCAGCCAACATGGCAAAACTCTACTAAAAATACAAAAATTAGCTGGGCATGGTGGTGGGCACCTGTAGTCCCAGCTACTTAGGAGGCTGAGGCATGAGAATTGCTTGAACCCGGGAAGCGGAGGCTGTAGTGAGGTGAGATCGTGCCACTGCACTCCAGCCTGGACAACAGAGTGAGAGTCCGTCTCAAAAAAAAAAAAAAAAAGAAATTGGGACAGCTTCTCTGAGCAGGTGACACAGGAGACAGGAGTTGAGATTGTTTAGCAAAAAGGAACCTCCTAGGCAGAGGGAACAGCTTGAGCAAAGACCTTCCATGGGAACGGGTGTTGGTGTACTCAAACAGCAGCAGCCGGAGCGTCTGGGGCAAAGTGGCCAAGGTGGAAAATGGTGCGAGATGAAGTCACAGAGTGGCTGGCCAAGTCACATGAGGCTTGTGGCAAGTCAGGAGTATACTCTTTTTTTTTTTTTAAAAAGGAGTCTCGCTCTGTCGCCCGGGCTGGAGTGCAGTGGCGCCATCTCGGCTCACTGCAAGCTCCGCCTCCCAGGTTCACGCCATTCTCCTGTCTCAGCCTCCTGAGTGGCTGGGACTACAGGCGCCCGCCACCACGCCCGGCTAATTTTTTGTATTTTTTAGTAAAGATGGGGTTTCACCGTGTTAGCCAGGATGGTCTCGATCTCCTGACCTCGTGATCCACCTGCCTTGGCCTCCCAAAGAGCTGGGATTACAGGCATAAGCCACTGCATCACGCCTGAATACAGGCGTGAGCCACCACACCCGGCAGGAGTGTACTCTTAAGGCAGGAGCAACCCATGGTGATCATACAAGTAGGGAAATGACGAGGTCAAGTTTATGTTTCAGAAAGAACTCTGATAAGAAAGCAGATGCTGTTGAGAAAATTAAGGTGTTTTATCTTCCCCATGTGAGAAGGACATGGCCTCAGGCAGCAAACAGGGTATGGAAAGTAGAGCTGAGAGGTATAGGAGGAGGAGCATTCGACAGGATGTGGGCACACGTTGGATGTGCGGGAGGAGGGGTCGTGCATGTCTGCCGTGTGTGTGTATTGACTGATCCGCCGTGCCATCCCCTCAAATGGGAAATACAGGAGAAGCAATGGGTCGGGCCAAGAGACACAGGATCACATTTGCACACGCTGAGTCTGAGGGGCTCTAAGACATCTGCTGCTAGCTTTATGAGGCCTGGGATGGAGGGGAGCAGCACACACTGGAGTCAGAGGTCTGGGCATCCACATGCCAGATCCAGGTTGTGGGAGGAATAAGGTGATCCATGGAAAGGGCATGGAAGGCCGGGCATGGTGGCTCCTGCCTGTAATCCAAGCACTTTGGGAGGCCGAGGCGGGCGGATCACTTGAGGTCAGGAGTTCAAGACCACCCTGGCTAACATGACGAAACCTCATCTCTACTAAAAATACAAAAATTAGCCGGCGTCATGGTGCGCTCCTGTATACCCAGCTACTCAGGAGGCTAAGGCAGAAGAATCACTTGAACCCGGAAGGCGGAGGTTGCAGTGAGCTGAGACTGAGCCACTGCACTCCAGCCTGGGCGACAGAGCGATTCTGTTTCAAAAAAAAAGAGAAAGGGGGCCGGGTGCGGTGGTTCATGTCTGTAATCCCAGCACTTTGGGAGGCCGAGGCAGGCGGATCACAAGGTCAGGAGTTTGAGGCCAGCCTGGCCAACATGGTGAAACCCCGTCTCTACTAAAAATACAAAAAAAATTAGCCGGGCGTGGTGGCGGGTACCTGTAATCACAGCTACTCTGGAGACTGAGGCAGGAGAATGGCGTGAACCCAGGAGGCGGAGCTTGCAGTGAGCCAGGATCGCACCACTGCACTCCAGCCTGGGCGACAGAGCGAGACTCTGTCTCAAAAAAAAAAAACAAAAAACAGGGACTGCGCATCAGGGAGAACTGTGCCCAGCCCCACTGTAGGTGCCCAGTAACTGCTTGAAAAATGAATGGGCATGTAAAGTAACCAGGAGAGAAAGCAGAGCCTGTGAAAGCAGCTGAGAAGGAAAGACCAGATGGGTAAGAGAGAGGCAGAGTGTAGGCGGCAGGGAGGAGAGTGCAGAGGAGAGGAGTCAGAGAGGAAGATGAAGCTGGAAGACCACCCCTGGATGCAGCCATTATGACATCACCAGGGACCTTTGATAGCTGTGTCATGAAGTTGGGGGTGGGGGAGTCGGCATGAGGTGAACAGAAGGCAAGTGTGCATCCTTTTTTTTTTTTTTAGACAGTCTCGCTCTGTCGCCAGGCTGGAGTGCGGTGGCGCGATCTTGGCTCACTGCAACCTCCGTCTCCTGGGTTCAAGTGATTCCCCTGCCTCAGCTTCCTGAGTAGCTGGGACTACAGGTGCACACCACCACACCCAGCTAGTTTTTTGTATTTTAGTAGAGACAGGGTTTCACCATGTTAGCCAGGATGGTCTCGATCTCCTACCTTGTGATCCACCTGCCTCGGCCTCCCAAAATGCTGGGATTACAGGAGTGAGCCACTGTGCCCGGCCGTGCATCCCTCTTTCAAGAGCTGGCTGTGGAAAGAAGTTCCAGCAGCGGAAGACAGGATGGGGGGGTTGTAATGGGAACATAAAGAGTTTGTGTGTGGCCTGCAAGAAGATGTCAGTAGAGATGGGGCGGGCAAGGGTGGGACTAGAAACTGCAAATAAGGGATAAGGGATAGAGCAAGAGGTGCTTGGTGCCGGAGCAGCCAGAAGAACCAGCTGGCCTGAGGTAACTTCCGTGGGGTGAGGACACGTCTTCCTCAGAACCTGGGGAGAGGCTGCCAGGGCCGTGTGCAGGTTGATCATTTTGAGGATGTGGGTGCAGGAGATTGAGAGAGTTTAGGCTTGAAAACCCCTGGAATAATCTTGGGAGTTGCTATGGTCTGAATGTGTTCCTCACAGTTTATGTGTTGGAAACAATCCTCAGTGCGACAGTTTTGGAGGTGGGGCCTAACGGGAGGTGTTTAAGTCATGAGGGCTCGGGCCCTCAGGAGTGGATTAATGTTGCTATAAAAGAGAGTGGGGGCTGGGTCCAGTGGCTCACGCCTGTAATCCTAGCACTTTGGGAGGCTGAGGTGGGTGGATCACTTGAGGTCAGCAGTTCAAGATCAGCCTGGCCAACATGGAGAAACCCCGTCTCTAATAAAAACTACAAAAATTAGCCGGGCGTGGTGGTGGGTGCCTGTAATCCCAGCTACTTGGGAGGCTGAGGCAGGAGAATCGCTTGAACCCGGGAGGGGGAGGTTGCAGTGAGCTGAGATCACACCATTGCATTCCAACATGGGTGACATAGCGAAATTCCGTCTTAAAAAAAAAAAAGAGAGAGAGCGGGTTCACTGTCTTCTGCTCTTCTGCCATCTGACAATGCAGTCTGAAGGCCCTTACCAGATGCCAGTGCCTTGATCTTGGACTTCTCAGCCTCCAGAACTATGAGAGTTCACTATGTTACCCAGACTAGTCTCAAACTCCTAGGCTCAAGGGATCTTCCCACCTCAGCCTCCTGAGTACTGGGACTACAGGCACGTGCCACTGTTCCTGGCTATAAATTTCTATTCTTTATAAATTATTTAGTCTTGCCGGGCACGGTGGCTCATGCCTGTAATCCCAGCACTTTGGGAGGCCGAGGTGGGTGGATCACAAGGTCAGGAGATCGAGACCATCCTGGCTAACATGGTGAAACCCCGTCTGTACTAAAAATACAAAAAATTAGCCGAGCATGGTGGTGGGCACCTGTAGTCCCAGCTACTCGGGAGACTGAGGCAGGAGAATGGCATGAACCTGGGAGACAGAGCTTGCAGTGAGCCGAGATCGCACCACTGCACTCGAGCCTGGGTGACAGAGCGAGACTCCCTCTCAAAAAAAAAAATAAATAAATAATCTAGTCTCAGCTATTTTGTTATAGCAGCACAAAGGGACTGAGGCAGGGGTGGATAAGGTGACCCCTTTCTCTCTGAGAGAAGCCAGATCTTACTATGACATATATATTTTTTTGAGATAGGGTCTCGCTCTGTTGACCAGGCTGAAATGCAGAGGCGTGATCATGGCTCACTGCAGCCTCAAACTCCCGGGCTGAAGTGATCCTCCCACCTCAGCCTCCCAAAGTGCTGGGATTACAGGCATGACCGGGTGTGGTGGCTCATGCCTGTAATCCCAGCACTTTGGGAGGCTGAGGCAGGTGGGTCACCTGAGGTCAGGAGTTCAAGACCAGCCTGGCCAACATGGCAAAACCTGGTCTGTATCTAAAAATGCAAAAGATTAGCCAGCAGTGGTGGTGCGTGCCTGTAGTCCCAGCTACTTTGGAGGCTGAGGCAGGAGAATAGGTTGAACCAGGGAGGTGGAGGTTGCAGTGGGCTGAGATCACGCCACTGCACTCCAGCCTGGGTGACAGAGTGAGACTCTCTCAAAACAAAACAAAGTGCTGGGATTACAGGCATGAACCAGCATGCCTGGCCTTCTTTTTTTCTTTTTTTCTTTCCTTTTTTAAACTTACTACTTTCTGTCTACAGTCTTCTACCCCACAGAAGTGGAGAGAGAAGTGGGTGGATTCGGGAAGCATCATGAAAGCTCACAGGAAACCAACTTCCTGTGACCACCAGTTATGCCAGAGGGTCAGTGAGAACCAAGGCAGGTCCAGGCACTGCGCACAGGTGCCCTACACAGGAAGGAGAGCGTAGAGTCCTAAACAGGCCACAGTGGCCCAGGCTAACAAACAAGAGTTTCTCCCTCCTGCAGGCTCACCCTCTGCCCCTCTCCCCTACCCCTGCCTTTGGGCTTCCTGCAAGGCCTAGTCCTCAACCCTCTGCTCTTCTCTCTCTTGAGGCTTTCATTTATTCTCAGAACTTCAGATGTCTTCTCTGCGGGTTTGTCCCTGTGGCTGCTACGGCCCTGAACTTTCCCCACCACCTGGCCAGTGACTTCTCTGTTGGAGATTCCCCTGCACCCTCCTGTGTGAAATGAGGTCTATGCTGTCCTCCCCTTCAAACAGGCATTGGATACACTCTCTCCTCCCTGCCGCCTCCTCTGCCTCCAAACACATGCACAGGCCTTCCCTGCTGCACTCTGTGAATTCCCACAGCCCTGAAAATCCATTCACCCAGCTTGGCAATTACTGCATGCTCGCTTGCGTTTGATTTTTTTCTGAGACAGAGTCTCGCTCTGTCGCCCAAGCTAGAGTGCAATGACAGGATCTCAGCTCACTGCAACCTCCACCTCCCGGGTTCAAGCAATTTTCTTGCCTCAGCCTCCTGAGTAGCTGGGATTACAGGCCTGCGCCACCACACCTGGCTAATTTTGTATTTTTAGTAGAGACGGGGTTTCACCATGTTGGTCAGGCTGGTCTCAATCTCCTGACCTCAGGTGATCCGCCCACCTTGGCCTCCCAAAGTGCTGGGATTATAGGCGTGAGCCACCACGCCTGGCCTCACTTCTGTGAGTGTGTCTGGTTCTCTCTCCAGTGGAGTAAGCTTCCTACAGAATGGGCTTGCTGTGTGCCTGTTTCCTCCACCATGTCTGGAATCAGGCCCCGAAAATAGTTTTCCTCATTCACTAAATGCTTGCGAAGGGTAACAGGAGAGGGGCCCCTGGTGTAGTGGCCGATGTTGGGGGCGGGGAGACAGGCAAGAGGGTTTGCCAGGAAAGAGGTGGAATTTGTAAAAGTAACTATTGGAGGAGTACATTGCAGGCACATAAAGTATTTGCATCTGAGCAAAGACTCAAATGGGAGTGAAATTATTGGAGGAGGAAGACATTGAGTCACTGCCAGGAAGGCCCAGCTGGTAGGGGTGGAGTTGGAGGAAGAAGAGGTAGAGGATACCCCGGGGAGAAAGAGCTGGTGGCAAGTTTAGAGCCCAGGATGGGACAAGGTTGATCACTGACAGCCACTAAAGATGGGAGAAACAGCTTGGCAGCCAGCACTGGGCACATGGCAGGCAGTTAGTTGCTGGAGGCCAGATACCCAGAGGGAGGAGGTGGTAATGGGCAGTGGTGATAGCGACTAGAGTGAGACAGTGACAGAAGAATGGGAAGAGGCATCCAAGTGGGTCAGAGAAAAGGAGCAGTGTGAAGTGTGGCAGAGGACATGGGGTGTGGAGGGTGGTGGCAAACTTGTAGTCTAAGCTTTGCCTTATGGTTGGGAGAAGAATAATAAAGGCCGAGGTACATTTGCATTTCTTGGTGGTTCCTATCCAACTCCATTCAGTGAGGTTGTTCCTACAGGTACCCAGTCTCCCTTGGAGATGCCCCATGGGTGGTACTGGGGAGAATAGAGACATCTTCCCTCTCCTGACCGGGTGCAGCCGGGTCAAATTCGGTTTGACCCAGCAGACCTCCTTTTTTAGGTTGCTGACTCCCAAGCAGGTGGCCTGAGGAAGTGGAGAAAGATGGACATCATTCCCATCTGGCTTCCTGCCCATCCCAAACCTGGTCCTCCAGCCCCCAATCAATTCTTCTTCTTCCTTTTTTTTTTTTGTTATTGAGATGACGTTTTGCTCTATTTTTTTTTTTTTTTTGAGACGGAGTCTGGCTCTGTTGCCCAGGCTAGAGTGCAGTGGTGCGATCTCAGCTCACTGCAAGCTCCACTCCCGGGTTCAAGCGATTCTCTTGCCTCAGCCTCCCAAGTAGCTGGGACTACAGGCGCCCGCCACCAGGCCCGGCTAATTTTTTGCATTTTTAGTAGAGATGGGGTTTCACCGTGTTAGCCAGGATGGTCTCGATTTCCTGACCTCATGATCCACCCGCCTTGGCCTCCCAAAGTGCTGGGATTACAGACGTGAGCCACTGTGCCCGGCCCCGTTTTGCTCTTGTTGCCCAGGCTGGAGTGCAGTGGCGTGACCTCGGCTCACTTCAACCTCTGCCTCCTGGGTTCAAGTGATTCTCCTGCCTCAGCCTCCCAAGTAGCTGGGATTACAGGCGTCTGCCACCATACCTGGCAAATTTTTTGTATTTTTAGTAGAGACAGGGTTTCACCATGTCAGCCGGGCTGGTCTCAAACTCCTGATCTCAGGTGATCCACCCACTTCGACCTCCCAAAGTGCTGAGATTACAGGCATGAGCCACCACGCCCAGCTGCCCCCAATCAATTCTGAGAGCCACCTTCACCCTGACAGATAAACACATAGACACACACTCCAAAAGGCTGGGATTACAGGCATGAGCCCCTGCGCCCTGCCCAGACCCTGTTCTTAATGTAAGCAAGTGAGTGTGTCTTTGTTTTTTTGTAGGTTTTTTGTTTGTTTTGTTTTTGTTTTTTGGAGACAGTCTCACTCTGTCACCCAGGCTGGAGTGCAGTGGTGTGATCTCTGCTCACTGCAACCTCTGACTCCCAGGTTCAAGCAATTCTCCCTGTCTCAGCCTCCCAAGTAGGTGGGATTACAGGCACCCACCACCATGCCCGCCTAATGTTTGTATTTTCAGTAGACACGAGGTTTCGCCATGTTGGCCAGGCTGGTCTCGAACTCATGACCTCAGGTGATCAATCCTCCTCAGCCTCCCAAAGTGCTGGGATTACAGGTGTGAGCCACTGTGCCTTACTTCGAATTCACCCAGAAGCAAACCTTGAGGCAAGGATTCAAGTGCAAGAAGTTTATTTGGGAAATGGTCCTAGGAAATACTGACAGAGGAGTGGAAAGTAAGACAAGGGAGGGAAGAGAA